>NC_000008.11:116964222-118214222 GCF_000001405.40 Homo sapiens | reverse complement strand
CTGTATTTTATTCTATCGACACGATATTCTGTTTCTTCTTCGGATGCCATTCTGAATAACCTATGACTGAGATCAATCAATCCACAGTGATTCATGCTTGTTTCCACTATGATATTATTTCTTGGGACCACCAACAGATAATCTAAAAAAGCTTGACAGTATCACAAGTATATTTGCATCAAACTCATGAACTCTACTCTCAATTTCCAAGTAGGGTACAAGACCTTGTGTGTTTATGGGAAGTTGGGGTGTGGTCAATAGGTGGGTGTGCTGTGCTGAAACTTTTTTTCTCTTGAATGTTTTTTTAATTCTGTAGCTTTCCTGAACCGACCAGAATTGACCTAGACTTCATCTCATGATATAGTCCTATGAGGGCTAAGGAATAAGACTTTAGGAGCTCCATAAGCCTTGCTTAGCCCTTAATAACTTCAGTGTGTAGAATAATCATGCAAGAGTTTCAGTTCAGGAGTCAGCAGATCTAGGCTGTCTTCCAGGTTCTGCTCTTTGGGATTCTAGAACAAGTCTTGCTCAGAGCATCTGTGAAAATTAACAGGGTAGTGAATTTTGATGATCTGCTGCATGGCAAGCCACCCCATACTGGAGAGGCTCAAAACAACAATTATTATTTGCTCATGATTTTGCAATTTGGGCAAGGCTTAGCAGGGACCTCTTATTTTTTCCATACATACTATCATTGGGGACTGAGGATCCACATCCAAGATGTTTCACTGAAATGGCTAGCATGTTAGCACAGGCAGTTGGCTGCTTGTTCAGCTGCGGTGGCTGCTGATATTTGGAATAACCTCAGTTGCCCTCCATGTGGGCCTGTCCATGTTGCGTCATGGCTTATTCACAGCATGGCGACTAGGTTCAAAGGAGGAAGAAACAGAAGTTTCCAGTCCTCCTAAAGATTAAGCCCAGAACAGACACAAAGAAATTTCTGTCATATGCTGTTGGTCCAAGAAGTCTCAGGCCTGTCCCAGATTCAAGGAAGCAGGAGGGAGAAAAAAGACCCCATCTCTCAATGAGAGGTAGGGAGAAAGGCTATGACAAAATATTTGCAGCCATCTGACATAGGATATGGAGATCATTCATGGTTTTTATTTCCTGTAATATAAATTTTACCCTACAAGATTCAGATTTAAATTCAGTATTTTATCTCTTTGCCAAAAGATGAGGTCCAGCCTCCCTCCACCCTTTTATGCTTCATCGTATTCTCATTCTTTATTAAAAAGGCAGGGATTTGAGGTTTGTTAGGTATCTACAGGATACAAGATCCATGATATATGCTCTTTCATTTACCGTATTTCATTGCATCTGAGATCCAACTTGTCTCATATTTTAACATTTCTGAATTGTACCTTTTACAATCTAGGAAGTCTTGTAATCACTGTAGGTCACATGGCAGTGATGCACGTCTGAAGTGGCCTGTGATTGTGCATATCTTCATTACTTCACTCAAATTCACCTGTTGAGTTTAATCACTGTTGAAAAACATCTTCAGAAATATTATACTATAATTTGGCATTGAAGGAAAAATGTGTCTTGTATGCCAAAAGTCAAAGAAACAGTGCCATTAGTGAGGCAAATGTTTGACATTGGAGGTATAATTACAACTTCATATATTTTTGCAAAGCAGCAAACTGAGCTTTGCACTACCTCAAATAGAAAGTTATTACAAGTAGATGAAGGTGTGTTTCGTTTTATTATGGAGATACATCCAAAATGTTTACTTATCACACATGAAGTTTATACCAGAAGGCATAGAAATTGTCAAGTTCTTTAGAGCAGATTAAAGAAATCTTTAAGCCACAAAAGGCTAATAATTATGCCTGATGCGGGACTATAAAAAGCATTATATCATAGTTTAATCAGCATCTTTTTTTTCTTTCTCAGTGGTACATTTTTTTTAAATGTACTTTGGGTCAGACATGGTGGCACACACCTGTAGTCCCAGCCACTTGGGAGGCTGAGGCAGGAAGATCACTTGAGCCCAGGAGTTTGGGACTACAGTGCACTATGATCTTGCCTACAAAGGGCCACTACACTCCATTCTGGGCCACATAGTGAGACCCCCATCTCTAAAGCTTTTTGAAAAAAATGTATCTTGGATTTAATGAAATATAGTAGTTCACACAAACACACACACACACACACACAAAATCTGCAACACACACACAAATCTTCTCCTTTTACACATGAGGAAGCTGTGGTTCAGATGGCTCATAGAACTTAAACAACTTGACCAGTCTCAAAGCTGCCAAATGGAAGAATTTGTTATCTTCCTTATCCCACACTGGTTCCTTAAAATGGTAGGGCAACACAGGTTGGTGGTTCTGGAAAGATATGAATATTGTGTAGTGACAGCCATTCCACCTCCTGTCTCCAGCAAACTTCAAAAATATGAATGAAGTGCTGTTGTAGTCCCCCGAAACCAAACACTAACCGTCTGGAGGGAAAGCTTTTCATGGGGCTGGGCCACTGCCCAGGACTCCCTCGCAATCCTGTTCAGAAGAATAGAAAATTAAGAAAAAAAAAAGCTTACTTGTAGAGTTTTATAAGGGCCTCATAATTTTATAGATTCAGAATTACTTCTCTGAAATGGGAATAATTTAAAATAAGAAATATTTTCCAACTCTTCAGAACAGAAGTAGGTTTAAGGAAGACTTGCCCAAACTGTTATTTTAAAGCAGGACATTAAACATTCCTTGGCCCTTGCAAAAGAAAGCTGTCGTTTAGGTCATTGCTACTCACTCACCCTAAGGAAATGCCAGGAGCTTCCTCCCTCTCTCTCTGTCTGGGCCAGCTCCATTGGAGGGCCACTGTGGACAGCAGCAAGGGCCTGCTTTCCTCTTCTTTATTTCCACTGCAAAGAGGAGAGGAGAGGCTTGTAGACTGCCCCTACCATAATGAGTGAGACTCCATCGCTTCTAATACAGTCCTTCATTATTTATCTTACGTTTGTTTAGTTTAGGAGACTATGCTGATGATTTGGGAGTTGTGCAAAGATGCTTAAACACAATCCCTTCCCACGTGAAGTTTCCGTAACTAGATGGGGGGATAAGGCTTGGGCAGAATTCCCAGCCATATCTGTAAACAGCAAGGAGAGCTCCTCCCCCTCCCTTCTGCTCCCCTGGAATCTTGCCCTTCTATAATAGCATGCAGGACATCGTGCAGTAGTGGTTTTTCTGTGTGCGAATCTCTCATTAGACTGGGAGCTTTCTGAAGGCAAGGGCAGGGGTTATTTGTTGTTCATTTTTATATCCCTGATGTTTAGCACAGTGCCTAGGACAGCAATCAAGAGATGATGGTTATTCCATTTGTTCATCCATTCATTCAACAAAATCATGTGGAGGTTCAGAGCAGGGAGAGATAGGCTTTGAGAGAATATGTGAGGCCTTCTTTCAGAAGTAGCCAGTGCCAGTAGCACTTGCTCTTACAGAAAGGGTAGAATTTGGGCAGAAGGATGAAGAAAGAAGTAGAGACCATGTAAACAAGGGTAGGGCCGTGTAAGACAAATTTAATCCATTTCTGTGTCTGGAATGCATTGTGGATAAGGATGGAAGGAGAAGTTGAGGTTGCCATCATGAATGGCCTGGAATATTAGGTCAAGTTGTTTTCTTGTTTTTTTCTTTTCAAATGAGACAACAATAAATAGAATCCCTCTCCAAGCTGCACTGCTCTGGAGGACAGCAGGGAAAAATGGTATAGGTAGCTTCTCATTAGTAAATGTATCTGGGATTTGTCTTCCTCCTCGCAAATGATGTACAAAGAATACTGCTTTAACAATAACAGATTCCAGGTCTTGGCTGTGATGCAGACTACACTTCCTTAGGGAGGTGGAAGTGCATATAACTAAGAGCCAGAGCAGGTTTCATCCTGGCTTCATCAGTTCTTAGTGGTGTGACCCAACCTCTTTGTGCTCTAGTTCTCCCATTTCAAAGCGGAACTGATAATCATATCAACTTCAAAGCTGTTACGAGGCTTAAAAGTAATAATGCACGTAAACCCCAGGGAACAGTACTTCTTGGCACATGAGGGTTTCACAAATGTTAGCTATTATTATCCCTTGTCTTCTGTGTACCTTGGTTTCCTCATCCAAATAGAGATAATACCATCCCAGCCCATTTCTCCTGGACCCTGACAGAATAAAATGCAATTAAATGTGTGAAAGCAATCTGGAAGTTAAGTGCTGCATAGCAGCAAGGTGGTGGTAGGACTGTTAATTACCATATCCTTGGCTAAGAGGTTTGGTAATTACCATATCCTTGGCTGAGAGGTGATCCCAGGAGGTTGGGCTGAAAGGTAGGGGGGTCTTGGCTCTCTGGGCTCTCCAGGGTATTGGCCACAGGTGTGTGTTTGTGAATAGCTTCTCTAGATACAGTATGTCAAGGTAAAGGCCTTATTTGACTGGTCCAAGATTACATAAAGATGGGAATAAGGAAATCAACTAAGCAAGAAATAAATAAGGTTTAAGCCCCACAGCTTTGCAAGCAGTGTAATTTCAAACATCGTAGTCTTGGACATCTGGGCTCTATTACCTAAAATCTCATTAAACCTTCAGCTTCATAATTCTGTGTAGAACCTGGTAAATTGCAAGATCCTGCTGATGGCCACCAGCCAGTTCAAGCAATTAATCACAAGGGTCCCCAAGCAGGTTTGAGACTCATGCCAAGTGGATTCTTTAAGGGGAAAGTGCGTACACAAAAGAAATAGCCCAGTCCACACAGTTTTATAGCAACGTGCTTTGAGGCTCTGCCCACACAGAGAAATTATCTGTTATCATTAAGACATCTCATAACTCTTTCCTCAATGGAAATTAGTACCCACCAGCCCAGGGAAGATCTCCAAACCTCGTTAACTGCAATATAGATTGTAACCTG
Source organism: Homo sapiens (assembly GCF_000001405.40). Classification (NCBI taxonomy): domain Eukaryota; kingdom Metazoa; phylum Chordata; class Mammalia; order Primates; family Hominidae; genus Homo; species Homo sapiens. The sequence goes on along the minus strand of NC_000008.11, from coordinate 118,209,339 downwards.
CTGAGAGCTGAAGGCTGTAGTTCAGACAAAACCAAGCCCTACCCTTTCACCACCCTCAGCAGTTTCTCATTTTGGGGAACTCGACTTGAGCTCTTTTTTCTTTTAAACTTTTCTGGAATGTCTGGACATTCCAGAAATGTTTGCATTTCCCTCTGTGTTCCAGACCAAAGGGCAAGAACCCACAATATAATAACCTTGGAGACTGTCTTCAGAATCCTGCCCTGGTATGACCCAAGGGGAAAGAGCTCATAACAAAGGAACTATTTCTCATAAGATTTCTTGCTTGATTTTGCCAATTCAAAGAGGTTTATGTAAACAAGATAATCATCCGCACTTCAGAATGTTTATGAAGCCTTTTCTAATTACTATTTTGTATATAGAGTGATTCTGGGAACATGATGGAGAACAGAGGAGAAGCCTTGAGCCCTCCCTACATACAGCAGGAAGGAGAGTGAGAACAAGAGTACACTTACAATATGGGTGAAAGGATTTGAAGCTTCACCTTGCTGTTTAGGTTTCTTCTCTCTAAACTTTATTTTTTTATTAAATTGCTGTCTCTCTTTTCTCCACTACAGAGTGGCGCTGTCAAATATGGTAGCCACCAGGCATACATAACCATATAAAGATAAATGAATTGGAATTAAATAAAATTTAAAAGTAATTTCCTCCATGCACCAGCTACATTTCAAGTGCTCAGTAGCCACATGTGGCTAATGGCTGCCATGTTAGACCAGATCTAGAACATTTCCATCATTGCACATAGTTCAGTTCACATAGGCTTTGAGAGAATATGTGAGGCCTTCTTTCAGGAGTAGCCAGTGCCAGTAGCACTTACTCCTCCTCCTTCCTACTCAAAGTATGGTCCACACACCAGCAGCACTGGTATCACCTGACAACTTGTAGAACTATGTGATCTGCATTTTAACAAGATACCCAGGTGATGCATACACACATCTTAAAATTTGAGAAGCACTGTTTAAAGATACCTTCTACTCTAAGATTCCGTATGACAAAATGTCATCACTGTTGTAAGGATTATTCATTAATACTTTTTTATTTTTATTTTATTTTATTTTATTTTTGAGACAGAGTTTCGCTCTTGTTGCCCAGGCTGGAGTGCAATGGCACAATCTCGGCTCACCACAACCTCTGCCTCCTGAGTTCAAGTGAGTCTCCTGCCTCAGCCTCCCGAGTAGCTGGGATTACAGGCATGCACTACCACACCCAGCTAATTTTGTGTTTTTAGTAGAGACGGGGTTTCTCCATGTTGATCAGACTGGTCTCGAACTCCCGACCTCAGGTGATCCACCCGCCTCAGCCTCCCGAAGTGTCATTAATACATTTTTATCTTGCATAGCTTTGTTTCCAAAAGAGATATTTCTATCTCCTTGAGAGGTGACAAAAAAAAAAAGGAGTATTTACGTAGACCTTGTATTCTCCTTTAAAAGTGTGCTTTTCTTTTTCTCTTGGAAAAGCTGCAGGATCTGGAGATTTTTAAAAATATTTTATCTAAAGTAGTGAATCTTAGAGAACATTGTTCCAATGCAGAATCTGTTGGATCAGTCAACAGAGAAGCCCTTGAAATTAAAATAAGTTTAAAGCAAAAGGCAAAGAGGAGAAAAGATAATTTAAAAAAAGAAGAAGAAGAAGAAAGGAACTTCACTTATTCATACAGTTGACAAACACACAAGGCTCTGTGCTCTGTGACTAAGAGAGATGGGGTGTAGAAGCAATGAGAGAAATTAGAAAACAGTCCCTCGGAGTATAATCTGCCACCCAGTCTAACATTGTGGAGACGGAGGGAAATTTCAATGGTATCTTAGATTATACTTCAAGGTACATTTTTATGCTGTTTTGTGCCAGTGGACAGAGTTGTCCTCTGGAAGGTTCAATGGGCTTTTAGCTGGCTGTCAGAATGTAATGGCTTGAGATACTTGCCTCTGTCCAGTGCAAAAAAAAAATGGAATCACTGAGGTTACCAGTGACTAATTGGCTGTACAAATGCATCCCTGCTGAGAGCATCTGGCCTGATGATGCTTCTCCCAGAAATGCATCATCCTGTATTCATGTGGTACAAGATGATAGTCCACTGTTGTCACCAGGCTTCTAGCTCAAGAGAGCTGTAAAGCTGGGTGAGGCTTTGCCATCTTTCTAGGGAAACATTCCCCAGAGACTGGAGTTAATAGATATCCTAAATGATCACACAGAATATATAGAGTTTCAGATACTTGCATATACTGAAATTTCTAAACCAATTCTCATTAGAGAACAATATCCTGGCCTCCCAGGAAATTCTGCCCATACTTGAAAACTGCTGATTTCATTCATGTGGCTTTCTTCATACATACATTCATTGATTCACTCACTCATTTGACAAACATTTCAGGAGCACCTTTGATAGTCCCGACATTCTACCACACACAACAGAAAGAGAAGAATGAGACATACTTCTTGCCTGAAGGAACTTAAGGTTCACAGCAGTAGTGCTTACAGAGAGGTCCTCAGACTAGCAATATCAGTGTCCCTGCAACATTATTATGAATTCAAAGTCACAGGGCTATCCCAGATCTACTGAATCAGATTATTTCCATTTGGTGCCCAGAAAACAGCATTTTACCAAGCTCTCTGGGGCATTTCTAAGCAGAGTAAAGTTTGAGAAACACTCATCTAGAGACAGCGCATCAGTGATTCTAATAGATTGTGATACAGATTCTATGTAACAATATGTGTAATTATACAGATTGGAGACTCTTCAACCCCTGAAGCCCCCAAGGCAATGCAGGATACTTTAGTGTTTAATACAATACATGTTGTTTGATTGATGTATGAGAAACCTGTAAACAATCCTGGAATGATGGACCATGCCTGTATTCCCAGGACTTTGACTGGGTTGAATAGCTTCTCCTGTCTGCCTCACTCTAAATATTTGGATCACTGCACTGTATTATATCCAGGATTTGTGGCATTTTATTATGTGAAAAGAACAAGGCTATAAAGCAAATTTTCCTGCCGTATATACCACTTTTCTCTGTCTGAAGGACAAATAACTACTATTTAAGTACTGGGGGAAAGATGTAGGTGTGTTCATGGATTTTGCCAAGCTGCTTTTGTGTGAATTCTCAAGGCTATGATTAAACAGAGTTTTCTAGTCCTCCCCTGGACATTCTGAATCATTGGAAATGGAGACAAGCTGGACAAAAGAAAAATGTTAAGAAGCTCCCTCAGATGAGTTTGAGGCAGTCAAGTTTGAGAATCTCTCATCAAAATGTCAGGGTTCTTAAACCTCGGAATCTAGAGATTCAATTTAACCTCCAGGAATCAGAGTCAGTTTCTGAGAGGTTTTTCAGGCTCACAGTGTAGTAGACTAGTGGCCTTACTTTTAGAACAGTAAGTGAGCAAATACAATGTCCTTTTTTTTCCCCAAGGGCTGAGGAAAAGGAGAGAGACAGTTTGCACACAAGGGCATTCTTTTTCTCTCACGTTCTCAATGTGTGTGTTGGTTGGGACCTTCACTTGTCACGAGAACCCTTCAAAACTCCCCAGAGAAAGGTGACCATCCAAGCAACGAGGACTGCAAAGCCAGGCAGCAGAACTACTCCTCTGACAGTATCAGGAGCCAGTTACATTTTAATAGAAACAATAACACCAAGGGGTGAGAGGGTGGGGGTGGAGGCCAAGGCCTTCCTATCCCATCTAGGTATTCGTCTAAAAATGTTGCCATGGGGCCTTGAGACCTTGTATTTCTCGCTTAACATTTCTGGAATTAACAGGCCCCTGATATTTCATAGTCAGATCAAAGATCATAGCCTAGCCTAAAGGCCACAGCCTGTCTTCCATCACTCACCCCTCCAAGTCTGGCTTTCTGCATTTGTGGAGTAAAGGTCATGGTACCTACCTACTTTGGTTGCTGCAAAGTGAACACAGGTTCTTAGCCTGATGCTAAGCACCTAGGAAGTACTTGGTGAATGATAGTGCTAACTCTTATGGTCATTGTGTTATCTGTAGACTCTGCTCCTCAAGGTTCTTCATAAAAACAGAACTAATAAGATGCATAAATATGTATAGAGAGATGTATTATAAGGAATTGGCTTATTCAATTGTGAAGGTAGAGAAGTCCCAAGATTTGCAAACTGGAGATCCAGGAGAGCCAACGGTATGGTTCCAGTCTGAATTTGAGTCCAAAGGCAGGAGATGGCAGTCAGGCAGAAAGAGTGAATTATCCCTTACCCAGCCTATTCTCTTTAGGCCTTCGATGGATTGAATGGGGTCCACTTGTATTAGGGAGGGCTATCTGCTTTACAAAGTCTACCAATTCAGTTGTTCATCTTATCTACAAATACCTTTATAGACAAACCCAGAATAATGTTTAACCAAATATCTGGACACCCAGTGGCCCAATCAAGTTCACACATAAAATTAACCATCACAGACTTATTGTGCTTTCCAGTTTACTAACGATAATGGGAAGTTACCAGTTAGTATGTATGCATCTCTGTTTTATTACACTTAACCCAAGTTCTCTGTCATCCTGATACCAATCTCGTTGGAGATTCTTTTATTATATTTTTTTCTTTTTTTCTTTTTTTGAGACAGAGTCTCGCTCTGTCGCCTAGGCTGGAGTGCAGTGACGCAATCTCGGCTCATTGCAAGCCCCGCCTCCCAGGTTCACACCATTCTTCTGCCTCAGCCTCCTGCATAGCTGGGACCACAGGTGCCGGCCGCCACGCCTGGCTAATTTTTTGTATTTTTAGTGGAGATGGGGTTTCACCATGTTAGCCAGGATGGTGTCGATCTTCTGACCTCGTGATCTGCCCGGCTCGGCCTCCCAAAGTGCTGGGATTACAGGCATGAGCCACCATGTCCGGCCTCTTTGGAGATTCTGACCTTCATCTTCATGCGGTCAGAGGGTTGATTCCTTAATCATACTCTCAGTGGGCAACTCCCCCTCCCGATCCCGCTTCTCTTCGTCAAATTCTTGTGGGGCAGAGAGTGGCAGACATGGGACCAGCGCTGCTGAGAATACATATGATTTCTCCCATCATAGACTAGAAGCAAAGTTTAGCTTTATGGCCACATAAATCCTTTGTCCTTCTTTTATCTTTTACCTCTCCCATACATATTAATTAATTAATTAATTAAGCATACCTCTCTAAATCATCCAATCTTGATTCTTATAATGGTAATGCCTGTGAGGGTTCTAAAAGTTAGAAATGATTTAATATTAGAGGTTTTGATTGCATTGAATATAAAATCACATAAAATGAGCAAATGATGAGAAGAAGAGGGGAGTGAGGTTTGAAATTAGCCTTATTTCCTGTACATACACGAGGCACACTTATGTTGGTTTTTATCTTGGCCTATTTTGGGAGTGATATATTTGGCTCACAACCAGGAGTAGAAAATAGAAACAAACAAAAAAAAAAGGATGAGTTCATGTCCTTTGAAGGGACATGGATGAAGCTGGAAACTATTATTCTCAGCAAACTATCGCAAGGACAAAAAACCAAACACCGCATGTTCTCACTCATAGGTGGGAATTGAACAATGAGAACACTTGGACACAGGAAGGGGAACATCACACACCGGGGCCTGTCGTGGGGTGGGGGGAGGGGAGAGGGATAGCATTAGGAGATATACCTAATGTAAATGAAGAGTTAATAGGTGCAGCACACCAACATATCACATGTATACATATGTAACAAGCCTGCACATGTACCCTAGAACTTAAAGTATAATAATAATAAAAAAATAGAATTAAAAAAAGAAAAGAAAATAGAAACAAGGACCTGTATCTTCCAAACCAACCTCAGTACCACTGACATTTTGAGCCAGATAATTTTCTGTTGTGAGGGCTGTCCTATACATTCTAAAATGTTCAGCAGTTTAATGGGTTTCTACCCATTAGATGCCAGTAGTACCTGCCTCTCCCTCGACACACACACACACACACACACAAGTTGTTACCACCAGTGTCTCCAGACATTGCCATTTGTGCTGTAGGGGGCAAAATTATATCCAGTTGAGAACCAGTGCTCTAAACATAGGAAAGATCTTAGACTGTTAAAATAAAAATGTGCTGCCTTTCTCTAGGTCAAACCTCTTATTTATGGCACTCCATGTATAGGATTCATGTTTGATGAGAATTCTTTTATGCAAACACAGTTACTTGATTTCTCTCCTCCATTCTTGTTGGAGAATTTCTTTTCCCAACAAATGTTTCTTATTGAGTCAGGAAAGCACCGTGGTGAGAACAGATCTGGGTTCTAGTCCCAGCTCTATGCATTCTAGCACTGTGGCTGTGCCAGCTAACGACCCTGCTGTCATTTTCTCTGTGTGAATTACAGGAATAATGAATCCAAACCTCAAAAATGGCAGTACAGATTCAATGAGTAACTGCCTATAAAACCTTTGTAGGCATATTGTAATCGTTCCATAAATGTGAGCTCTGCTTATTGGCTATTCTGCTGGGGCAACCATGGATCTCACTTTTTTGGAATGTGCATTTCACACCAGATATAAATTGTCCCACATTGAAGTTGCAGTTCAGATACACCCCCAAAGGCCTTGAACTCATTACACGAAAGACACTTTCAGGTAGAAGATATGGACCCTTCTTTCTGAAGGGAAGACACTGAACAGCCCTTTTAAAGGATGAAGTCTTATTTCCCCCTTGAGCCCATGAGACGTGGGGCTGCCTGGATATAATATCTTTTCTTCTTCTCCACACACAACAATCCTTCAGCCCTGTGTGCTGGAGTTAGGAAAGGTGGGGCGGGACATAATCCATCCCAGATCTGTTATTGAACCTTTTGCCAAGCTGGCCACTGCCTCCTGGGCCAGTCACTTCCTGCCTTTGAAGTGTTTCAGACTCCCTTTCTCATGGAACTGTCTGTTAAGGGCTGCGCTAATCTGGGAGAGAGCAGGAGCCAGAGTGTGCCCAAAGTGGCCTTGGCAAGCAGGAAGACAGTTATCTGCCTCCTGGGAGTTGCAAAGGCTTGACCTCTGGGTATTTTGTTTCTTTTCCTGGCCCCCAGCTATAGCATTAGAACATTGACATTTAGCATTAAAACACTGATACTTAGCGTTAGAGCTTTGACTTTGATTTCTCCAAGGAATTTTAGGAATTCATGATAATAATAATAAAACAATAGTAGCTATCACTTAGTTATTTACTAAACACCACGCAAAATGCTTTTCCTATGAGTCCTTTTTAACAACACAGCAGCCTGGTGAGGCAGGAATTATGACTGCTATTTTAAAGGTGAAGAAAATGAGCTTGGGAAAAATTCATGTGTTCAACATCACATAGCTAGGAAGTAGTGAGCCTAGGATGTGAACCCATATCTGCCAGAGCCCATGCTCCTGACCACTAGACTCCAGTGCTTCCCTCCTCATCCCAGACTCTGAAGCCATAGGGCTAAATATGATGATTGATTCCAAGAATTCTTGATTCCAATAATTCCAAGAATGTCTAAACTATTAATAGTAATGATGGCCCATCAAACAGAGGTTTGAAAAAGAGCCTTTTACTATTTGTTAGCTGCAAAATCCATACATGGACAGCCCCCAGGATGTACATCTTCCTTGAGTAAGTAGTTGATAAAGCAGAGAAAGAAACCAGAGCAATCCCACTCTCCACATGCAGACCAGGATTGAATCTCATGCAACATTAGTTACTGAATTAAACAGAGAAACAAAGATTCTCCTCCAACATCATTCCTTTCTTTATTAACTTTACAACTATTTAATAAGCACTTTCTGTATACCTGACACTGCACATTGCATTAGGAGAATACACAACAATAAGACATGGCATCACCCACAAAAAAATTAGGAGGAACGATGGATACATTAAATTGAAGTGTTCATTGTGGGTTTTTTGGTAAAAATTTGAGATGCCACACTCGCACACAGGAGAGAGTTGTTAGCTGTGTCTAGAAGGAAAGAATACTTCATAAAGGAAGTGACGCTCTAGGTGGTTGTGAAAGAGGGCGGGGTTGGTGTTCACTAATGCTAGAGGGTATATAAAGAAGACACCCTGGGAAAAAGAAAGGATCAGCAAGACCTGGAACAACCCCACACATATGCAGAGCCAGAAGGAGGCTGGGATGGCTGAAGCACAGGGGATGGAGCCCAAAGAGCGTTGTATATCAAAGACCACATATTTCCCCCTTTTCAGAGCCAGGGCTGTCTAATGCAAACTGCCATTTTGCATTTTGACCTCATGTAGATTTATATACCCGAAGACATGATTCCTGTTGCAGATAAGTCTCTAGCAAAGTGATGATGGCAGAACCCATCACTATACAGATGTGATTGATAGAAAGATTAAGGTTCAAGGGTCCAGGTGTGTGTAGCTGGGTGTAGTGGTGCACGCCACGCCTGTGGTCCCAGCAAGGCTGAGAAGTGAGGGGATCACTTGAGCCTGGGAGGTCGAGGCTACAATGAGCCGTGATGGTGCCACTGCACCCCAGCCTGATCGATGAGAGCTAGACCCTGTCTCCAAAAAATAATAATAGGAAGAAGAAAGACTAAGGTTCAAGGCCTACTTTCACCACGTGTCTTACACATACAGCCTGAGTAAATGGGGACCTCTTGTCCTCCCATAAAGCCCATCTCAGCATGGTGACCCATTCAAAAGGAACACAATACTAACTGCAAAAACAGCAAAGAGCAGTGAAGCATCACTGACTACCATGGAAAGATTTCAAAGATGACACTCCTCTGCCATAGCACACTCTTTTCTTTGGCCATCACTTTTCCCAATGCCCCACTCATTATGGCCACCACTGTCCCAAACCTCCTATGTCACCCTCTAAACCTTCAACTTGTCTCTCTGTGGCTTCTAGTTCTATTTATATTCATGTCTTGCAGGAGTATCTTGTTGCTCTAATATAAATTCATTTTAGCCTCTGATTTTTTTTTTTTTTTTTTTTGGTACTCTAATAGGGCCCTTCATCGTGCTGATTGGGCTTGTGGATAAACACGGAAGCCTACTCAGAAGATGGGATGGGAAAGGCTCAGAATATTTCTATGTTCCTCCCTATCACTCCTGTATGTCACTAGAGGGGGACACACCTAAGTCTGGTGTATTTGTTTGTTGTCGTTCTGCTGTTAAAGACATACCAGACTGGGTAAATTATAAAGGAAAAGAGGTTTAATTGACTCACAGTTCCACGTGGCTGGGGAGGCCTCACAATCATAGCAGAAGGTGAAAGTCACATCTTACATGGGAGCAGGCAAGAGAGAATGGGAGCCAAGGAAAAGGGGAAACTTGTTATAAAACCATCAGATCTCATGAGACTTATTCATTACTACGAGAACAATATGGGGGAAACTGCCCCCATGGTTCAATTATCTCCCACCGGGTTCTCCCCACAATGCGTGGGAATTATGGGAGCTGCAGTTCAAGATAAGATTTGGGTGGGGACACAGCCAAACCATATCATTTGGATATAGCTTTGATCCTTACTAGCTGTGTGATCTTGGGTTAATAATACTTCTGGGCTTCAATTTCCTAATCTATAAAATGGGAATAATTCTACATGTCCTGAGAAGAGGATTGGGCAATGATAAGGGAAAGTGCTCTAAAGTATACTGCACTCCACTTACATCCATGGTTATAAGTGCTTTTTTAATATCCTAAGATTAGACATATCTGCTTTCTCTCAGCTACTAGAGACCATTGTAGGAAACATGGTTATTTAAAGAAGCAGTAACTATGATAAACCTAGTTATCAACTCATGACTCAGGTTCCAAAGTATAATAATTAATTAGGGCTTACTCTTTATTATCATTATTCTTTTTTAAAATTGTATTTTATAGGTTATTCATTATTTTCCAAGGTCACACATTTTCTGGATCTGATTTTAGCCAGGTCTCAAGGATGGTACACTGTGTCAAGTTCCTAGAAATCAATGTTGTTCTTTCAGGCTGTACTGCCCTCCTAGCAGGTCAACCTGGATAGGATCTTACGCACATTGGTGTTTATACCCCTTTCAAAATACTGAAGTGTTTCTCTTAATGAAATTACAAAGTATTTATTTTCAAGGTAGTATTAGTGAGTGAAAACAATCATGATGCTTTAGTTAGTCATGGGGCAATCCTGCAACCCTGTGAGCCTAATTTTTGTTGTTGTTTTGCAAAATACTATGATGACAGTAATAAAAATTCTAGGGCCTTCATTTTCACATACAGTTCTTTTCTATGCATATATATAAGCTTTATATTGTAGTATATCATAACTGTTTCCATGTTGCTACATAATCATAATCATCATAATTAGTATTATTTTAATGGCCATGTAATTATCCATCTTGTTAATGTACCATAATTTACTTAACCTAAATCTTCAACAATAAGAGAGTGGTTGCTTCCAATTTTTCCTCTATGATAAATAACCTCTAGTTTACCTATTTGTGCATATAGCTTCTTTCTTTTTTTTAGATTATTTCCTTAGGATATACTCCTAGGAATGGAATTACTACATTTAGGCATATGCATTTTCAATAATTTTTGAATAAATTGACATTATTTTTCCAGTTGACAATGCCATCAACAATAATAGTATTCTGCTTTCAATACAACCTATCAGAAGTATTATTATTTGATATTTAATACACTTACATAGTACCTTTTATTTTTTCATTTTCTCAAAAATAGCAAATGTTAATCAAACACTTGCTTACAAATAGTGCGTTCTGTCATGTTTTGAAAAGCCAGTTAGTTAGATTTGAGAGCCAGGTTTGAAAACTGAGGTAGATTTTTTTTTCTTTTGCATCAAGAATACCTGCTGTGCTTCTCTCCCATTGTCTGATAGTTTTGTGTATTAGAAACTAATACTGATATTTTTCTGAGCAAAACATTCCATTGTACTCATATAATAATTCTTGAAGACCCATGTATAAGGAACTGTAGGGAGTACCCAAATAAAATAACGGGAACTTTAGACAATTTAAATTAGAACACTCAGGAAAATACATTAATATTTTTATACTAGCACTCCCAAGCCCAAAAGCAGGGTTGCAATTCAATTAGTTTAATCTCTGGTCCGATTTTAATGACTTTCTCTATCTAGTCTCTAACCTTCCCAGCTAATCTGACTTCGCAACTAGCAAACTCAAGAGCTCCAGCCATTCCGCTTCCAATATTTTTTTTCTAGATTGCATCCCAAGAAATCTTTCTGATAAATGAAACCCCCATCTCTCTCCCACAATAAAATGCTTCACACCATCCCCAATCTTACCTTGCACCAGACCAAGCAAATGCATGAACCTTCATAATACATGAAATGGTTTCCCAAACTGCAGCCCCGCCATAGGGCTGGATGCCAATTCCAGAGATCTGGTTTTGCCCTCCCTTCCAGGCAGCTTCACCTATTTCTCAGTTGGGTGTCTTCCATGCCTTGCCAAATGGTAGAAAAAAAAATTTCATGAATATAAGCCACTGTAAATCCATCCTGGCATTGAGTAACCATTATTCTGACTAGAGCTTTCTCTTTGGCCTAAGGGTGTTAGGGTTTGTTTGAATAAGATAATTGCTACATATCAGTGCCTGGAAACATAAAGGAAAGAACTTACCATATTTCCCCCTTTTTCTTCTTGCAGCATCATCTGAGGGTTCTCCATAAACACGGTTAGCCTTCCAAGCTGCTGTCCTGCCAGTTGATATGAACATGGCCTGTTCCTCACAGAAAGACTAACCCATGGCACTGCCAGAAGATATCCTTGGATCGTGGACAGATTAACTGGATTAACTGAAAAAAGCACCCATTCAGTCAATATTATGGGTTTTGGAAAAATCTTGCTTTGCTGTGGATTTAAAATGAGGTGCATAATATAATGCCAACTCATTCCAAGTGGTCATTGGCAGACCATTAGCTGGAAAATTGCTTCCAGTTTTCATCACTGTGCATAACTCAAGTTCCCTTTGGGGAGCTGTCTGTGCCCTTCACTAGAAGTCCTGTTTTAGCATGGCAACTACTGGATTATTTTATTATGTGTGCAGATGGCATGATGTTTTAGAAAAAAAAAATTACAGCAATTCTGCAATCTCAGTGGAAGTGTTCACAATATTATGCCCTGGTAGGAATGTAAACACGTCTCGATTATGTTAGTTATGATGTCTAAAGGTATACTGTCCAACTCTTAAGCACTTTATATGAGAACACTACACCAAGATGAATCAGCACATTCAGCACATGTGAGAAATCAAGTATTTTCTTTTTATTTTTATAAATCTTAGTGGTTTTTTTTTTTCCGGCTCAGACTGTCCAAGACAAACTCCACTACTCGCATATCCCCAGTTGTTTGTGGTAGGTTGATGTAAATATGGCCACAATACTGTTAGACTTCACCTCCAGATACTTTATTGAACAACTGGTTTACTTCTAGCACCAAAGGGAAGAAGAAGGGGGTCCAGTGATGGTGATATCTTAGCTTGCTTCTTTGTTCACAGGCACTATTGACCACATGAACATACAGGTACTCAAATACAGGAGGCTTCTATTTGGCTCCTCCAAGGGAGGAGTTCCTCCAAGGGAAAAAAGGGGATGGTATTCTTTTAATCAAAGACCATGGTGGATGGATGGTAAGGGCAACAGAATGCAATTCTTTTGTGTGGTCTGACGTTAACACTTCGGAAAAAATTCTAAGTCAAGTTGAAATCGCCATTCTCTCAAGAGAGAAACATCAAGAGAGAAACATCAAGTGACCCCACTATGTGCCTAGAGAAGGAAAAGGGTCAAGTCCTATACTAGGTTCCTTACTTAGGGTAGAACCTACTAGTCCCTTGTTAATCCTTTCTGGGATTATACCTGTGACTAATTTTTTTTTTTTTAACTATGTCTTACGACAAAGCACAGTCCTGGGAAACCAGTCAACTTAATTATTGCTTGTCTTTGAGCATTAGAGACATGTTCATATTGACTTGCTACATAACACTGTAGCATGTTTTTTCCTGAAAATATCAAGTTGGTTGAATGGAAAGCTCAGCAAAGTATGTTCTGTGTGCCCACTGTCCCAGCCTGGGACTGACGGGCATCAGAGGCTTTGCTTTAAAATATGGGTAACCAGTTCTGGAAGACTTCCAACGCAAGCAAGCTTGGTGTTTTAGGGTGTCTCCAGATACATAAGCATTGTCTGCCTCCGCTCAGGGTCTCAGGAAATACACAGCCCATTGGAAACCACCCACGCCTGAGATTTGGAAACCTGACGGAAAGGGAGGAAGGTCCAAATGAGTCAGCAGCAGGATGACTCACCACAAGCCTGGCAGGCTGCAGAGCCAGAGAAGGGGGCTTCCAACAAGGAACTCAGAGAAGTTGCAGTCACCACCAAGATCTGGCCCTTCGGCAGGTCAGCACCAGGACTGCCAGGCCCTCTGCAGACCGTAATTCTCTTCACATCTATAATTAGGAGGCCAAACTCCAGCTGCCAACACCCTTGGACACAATATTCCAGTCTCCACTGCCCATCTCATGTGGTTCAGTTCTAATAGCAGGTCTTCTTCTTCCTTTCATTCCTTCCTTTATTCAGCAAGCATTTGTTGAGCATCTACTATGTGCCAAGCATTGTGCTTGGGCAACAACAGTCCACAAAGCAGACTCCCCACCTGCCCTTATGAAACTGTATCTCCTCCTCCCCAACATTATCACCACCCCACCATTTCCACAATGAAAACTGAATTCAGACAGCATTCTCCATTCTGCCAGAGTAACCTAGGAAGAAGAACATGGCAGCAGACGGATCCTCAGGGAGGAGGCAGCAGAGTGACAGATGGTAAACTGCATCAGGCCACATATTTGCACCTTTCAGATACAGCCAACTCTTCCAGGGCCTAGACTGAGCTGGTTGGAGCTCCCCAAAGCAGCATTCAGTTGCTTTTCCTTGATATCCACCCTGGCTACCTATATTCCCTTTCTTTATATAGGCACAACCATTCACCACTACGCTGGATTATCTAACACTCCAATTCTATAACTCATCCAGGGGACACACAGTTGAGTCTGATGAAGCCTAAGAACTGCCAGGTGCTGAGATATTGTAACTGGGAATTAAGATTTAGCCAAGGACATTGTGAGACTACTGCTGACTCTCTTGGAAAACTGGACATGCTTTGTAGTGCAAATGTTCACTAAATGATGGTGGTTCATTGTTACTTACTTTGGCCTTTGCAAAATATTCTGAACAATTCAATAAGTAGAGTTTCCTAGTTTGTTTGTTTTTTTAAGTCAAAGGAACGCTGTGAAATTATTGAAAGATGATGGGTGAAGAGGGACCTAGGAGAAGGCAAAATGAAGACCATTAAAGAGCCCCATTGAAGACTGTATCTCTAAAAATGCCTTAATGCCTGGCACATATTCCATATTTGCATATGAACTACTATTCTTTTCCAAACTGTCAACTTCTGTTTGAAATCATTGTGGGGGATAGTTTGGAAATATGGTGGCATAAAATCCAAGCAGTCAAGAGCTAAACCAGCAAAAAAGAGGAATGACTTCATTCACAGGCTTTGGCTTCTTTATTATGTGGTGGTCCTCTGTGATCTCCCATGGTTAACTTCAACTGTGCTGTACTTTCTTCCCAAGATGCATGTACGGAATGTTACCTCCTAGAAATCCAGAAATAGTTGTGGTGAGTTTTGTTTGATAGGAAGCAAGAGGTGGGGAAGTAAAGGATACATATTTTTATGTCTAAGGACTGTAAACTGTTGATGCTTGACTTTTCCTTTTACCTACACCTGTGCTACACCTTTATTAAAAGGCTGACACCCAGACTTGTGCAGGAAAGGCACTCTTGGGAATGAACAGAAATGAATAATTATGAGACTTTCCATGGTGCCAAGGGGATTCGCTTATTTCCACTCCAGAACTGAATATGCAGAGCATTGCCAGTCCTGCTAGTGTGAAAAGCAAATTACTTCAATAGTTTGAGACGTACCTAGGGGAAGAGAGATCCTATCAACTTTCTTTGCGGGTAGTGGCGTACCTTCAAATCCTTGCTCAGGCTCTGTGAGGTGTGCACCCGCAGATTTCACTTCTACCTCCGGAATCCTGGCAAACAAGCCAGGAATCTCTCCAGAGTCACTTCGCAGTTGCTCAGAAAGAGGCTAACGGTCCTTAGTCCTGAGGAAATTCTGCCATTTTTAACATTCAAGGAGAAAAGGCGTATCAGCTGTACGTGAGAATATCAACTAAGGATAAAAACCTCTAATGGATCCCCCTTGTTACTTGCAAATGCTTTCTTTGTCTGCAAATGTCACATAATTGATTTTGCATAGGAACAACAAAAGTCTCAAGGAATTGAAGTTTTTAATACCCCCCTTAGCACTTTACTTTCACCAAAACCTCCTCTTTCTAGTACATGAGCAGTTTTGTTCTTTGTGATGTTTTCCTCTACATTCTTTAGAATAATTTTGTTACTTGACAACTAGACTTGTCAATCGTCTTAGACTCTTTTGAAAAATCTAATCTTTGAAAATGACACAAATTCCTTTATTGCTTTAAGGCTGTTTTCATTCACCCCTCCCACAGCCCCCTCCACTGCACTTTTTTGTTTTTTGCGGGGATTTTTTTCTTTCATCTCTCTTCTTTTAACATGATGCTGTGGGTAGTTTTCAAGAATTCTATAAAGAACTCAACAAAAAGTGTATTTGTTACCTTTTTCCCCAGTCCTAATATTTCTTCTTAAGCTTGATCTTGGTGAAAATTTGTTGCCCAAAAAGCAGTGAGGTAGGGATTAATAACGCTGACCAGTCATCTGGAAGATTAATTAATCCCAGTGCAGCCCTGAGATCAGGAAGGAGGACAGGCCAGGAGATGTTTCTACTCCAGGCACCACTAAGGACTCTATTTCAAAGGCAGATCCTGCTCCTTAGTCTTTTTAGATCTGAATCTAATCCTGAATCCAGAAAATTATCCTATGAATTCTGGTTTATCAACGCACATGATTCCTGGCACCATTGCATAGCTTCAAGGTAAAAGAGAGCCTTGTTTCCATTATTTTGCTATGGTGGCTTTTGGGAAGACAGAGAGCATTCTTTTGAAAGCGGGAAACTTAAGGAAAAGTTGGCCAAGTACACAGGAAAGTTCTACCACACCTTAATATAAAGAACAAAATAGATGCTTCTCATTTGGGGAAAGTAGCTAAAAGGACAGTAACAGTACTGATGGCCTTCTGTCCATCACCTTAGCTCCACAGGGAAAATTCTGGGTGAGAGCAAGCACTGTTTCTAAAATCTAAATTTTTTCAGGTGAAATTTACCAGCAACAAATGTAAAAGGGAACTGCCATCAGGCATAGGGCTAGTTTTATACTTCCTGCCTAACGGCAAAATGACTGAGACATGACTTCCATGGAACAGCAGAAAATGGATGCCAAAGATATCATAAAACTGAAGTTCAATTTGCCACGTAAGGCTATTTAAAAACCCTGATGCACTCCAAGCATTCTTCCTTCAGAGCTTTCCTCCTACAATTATATCAAGCACAAGAAGGCACCAACAGCATATACTTAATGTAATGTAAAAGTAAACATATGACTTGTGTTGAATTACCATTGGCTGGTTGACATAATAAGTGTCATAGATATTTAGACATTATTTCTGATCATACAAAATTATTTTCATAATTTCATATTCTTTTCAATTTTCATAAATTCTTTTCAATTTTCATAAATTGGAGCCAATGGTTTGGGAGGTTTTTTGTTTGTTTGTTTGTTTGGTTGGTTGGTTATTTGTTGCGTTGTTGTTTTCCAAACCTCAGATATTTTGAGAAGCCTTAGAAAGGCTCTTAAGCCCAGGCCTTTTTGCCTCATGTGCAGAGTATTAATAACAGCCCTACTGATGTGAACCTCAAGGAAGGAGGCTATTAAATTAATCCATCACTGGAGATACTAATACCTCAAACAATTAAAACACTGAAGACTCTGCTGGTTGCCTTCCACATTGTTTATAACCTTTTTAAATTCAGTCATTTGGATCAAGAGAAATAAATGGTTGGTTTCATATGGCTTTTGCCACATTAGCACAGACACATCTACCAAATGTAGAAGTCCAGACTGAGTGGATGCATGAGAGCAAACAGATCTGTAATATGATTGCATTTAATCACCGCCACCGCCCAAATTCTGTAAAAATATATTCAAATATGTAATGCTAAAAAAAATGCAAAACAGGAGACTCTTACTAGATCATGCTTTCACTTAGGGTAGGATAACTGATCTTGAAGATAACTTCATAGAAAAATTTGCTGGCTGAAATGCCCCAGGCACCTCAGGGTTGGTCCTGTCCTATTCCACAAACTGATCATGGTCTTCTCCCATCTTCTCAGAGGAGTTAGCCTTGCCTCTAAAATAGCAAAAATGCCATGAAATTATCTTTCTAACCTCTATAGAGACTTCTTATCCAAGTATAATTCCAAAAATATGATTTGAGTTTGAGCATGCCTGTGGTCCTTGATTCTATGATCCCTAAATCAGTTCTACTTTTCTCACTCTCTCTCTCTCTCTCTCTCTCTCTCTCTCTCTCTCTCTATATATATATATATATATATATATATATATATATATATATATATATATATATATAATCTCCAGTATTTTTTTTCAACCACAATTTAGTGCATTTAGCGTGTTAATGTTGGGAACTGCCTGCTGGCTCTATGTCTACTTTTGACAATGCTTATGTCCAGATACCATACAGTGCATTTGAGAGAGGACCAAGGTTATGTTTTCCCACATACCAGCTGCTGCAGAGGTTTCGAAGTGCCTGACCCAGTTCTTTTTCACATCAAAAAGGCCTTCGGTTGCAGATGGAAACCTTAAAGATGAATGTAGAGTGGGGTAGGAAATTCATGTTTGAATGCTGAAACCCTTGTCTTTTTTAGTTTTATTCAATTCCCACCTCAGATCACCAGAAAGGGAGGCCTCTTTGGTGGGTGTTGGCCCTCACTGGGGGTAAAAGGGGTTCTATTTGCTTAAACTCATGCTCGTAGGCAATTTTAGGGCTCTCTGGGGCTCTGAATGGTTTCTCCACCACCACCTTTCTTCCACCAATAGAAAGATGTTGTCCTTACAAGGCCATGTCTGAGAAGACCATGGTTTAACTAGTAAAAGAAGCTCACATTGCAGAGAGCTGAATAATACCAGGCTCTTGACTTTGTACTGTGTGTCACAGTCATGATTGGGACAGAAGGAACCAGTCTGCTGAAAAGTCAAGCCAGCACAAATATTTGGAAACTAATTCCACTGAAACTCTTGTATCATTAAATCATACTATTGTAGTTTCAGTTAATGTAATTATTTAATATCAGGCACTAAATTAAATAGCTTTGCACAAAATTTTAGAAAAGATCAATCTTGTAACAAAATTTAATATTAACAGTAAAAAGCACCTGAGAAAAGAAAATATCGATCTGTTGTGGTTTATATACTTGAGTTATTCTTAGAACTTTGTGGAGATTGACACTGCTCTGATAAAAAGGAAGAAAATGTTTTGAATTCAAGAATGCTAGACTAATAGAAATAGCCCAGTCTCTCTGGGCCACTGCTCTTCAGTATGGGGTGCTCTCTGTCCCTCCTTAGCAGATGGGGTTGTTTGGAGGCTAAAATGAGCTAAGGGAAGAAGCTATACTGTGCCTCCAATATCCCTTATGTGTAATTAGAGTGCCGATCTGGGCTGCAGGCTTTATTCAATGATTCCTTTCCCTTACTTGAGGCTTTCTCTGTAGAGCTGTTATTTCTGAGCCTCCATTCTGGGATTTACAAAGGAAACAGAATGATGAAGAAGTAACAATCAGCATTTTACACACACGCACACACACACACACACACACACTTTTTCTAATATATGAGGCTAGTCTGCAGAGTCCACAGCCCAGGTGTCCATTTATTTCCACTTCTTCACCTCCCAAAGATTTAGAGCTCCATGATCTACCAAGGTGAAGACTGCCAATCCCAGGTTGGAGAAGACCCGTCAGAGTGTGGAGGTGCCAAACTGAGAGGCACAGGAAGCAGACAGCCACATCAAACTTTTTTGATGAACTACTGCAAATTGGTGTTTGTTCTAGGAAAGAAAGAGGAAGAAAAATTACACAATGTGAATTGAACATAAGAGCAGTGCTCTTTACAGAGTATGAGAAGGGAGGATGGGGGAGAATCTGATTAAAAAAATGATTCATTCCTTCACAGACACTAACAAACATGGCTAAAAAGCACATGTCAGAACACAGAAGCCTAGGTAGATGGTTGACATTTTTATAACTTCCTTAAGTGAGTAGTTAAACCAGCAGTCTTAATTCTGTTGGTCTTCCAAGAGTGTTTAATTACATAAGTATTACCTGTATTCATTTCCCACAACTGTTGGGTTTTTCTTTCTTTTTTTTTTTTTTTTTTTTTTTCCTCTGTGCATCCTAGAAAAACTCCCAGGACTAGACTTAGGAGGAGGCAATCAAGTTATGTGGTAAAACAAGAGTGCCTTTTCTGTTGGATATCCACTTTAGTTTCCTGGCTTCCAGGGCATAAGATGTTTAGAAACTTTTTTTCTCTAAACATAAGAATTATTGTGTACCACAATTTTGAACCACCGATTTCCATATCTTCAGCAGCTATCAACTTGCCAATTCCCTTTGGGTCTCCTTTGTATATTCTTATGTTTCCTTCTGTTTCCAGTTGTCCTCAAAAAGAGTTGAGGGGGGCATGACTCTTATAAAATGGATAAAAATGAAACTGTACAGATGTTTGCCTCCCTTGTATCTGTGAGCATGATCTCTATCAGGCTGGAAAATCTGCTTTATCATTTTGTATATTTGACTATTTTGTATTCAGCATTACTTGACTCCTTATGTGCATGGCAATGTATTAAAATGTGGGATTTCTATTACCGTGTAAAAGCGTTTTGATTCTGATTTTCAACATATATCCTTGAAAAAAATTACATTAAACTTTTCTATTTTCTTCAGCTCATCAGCTTGCAGAAGAAAAAGAAAAGTTAACAGCATTTCACTTTCCCTGTGTTAGCTAATGATGCAATTCATGGTGGAAAATTGTCCTCAATTATGCTGTGTTTCTTAGAGAAATAATATATGTGAAATGAATTGATGGCCTCCCTATGGCTCCCAGCACACAGAATTCCCCCAGCACCAAATCCCACCAGCATAATTGCAATGACTGGTGAACTCTTTAGTGTCGAGCACAGCTGGACGATAGATGCAATTCTCTTCACCCCTCAGACATGGTAAACACACTAGGAAGAGATGGGACAACAGATCTTGGCCCACCGATTTCCTCTCACCCCAGAGAGTCTTATGTGCTAATAATAGTATGATTGATGGTATTTCCCAGCACCTCCTGCTCCATCTCTCTAAGATGGTGGCCAAATGTAAGCTATCTGTATTTTATCAATAGAAAGGCTGACCTTCAAATAACATCTGCCCAAGAGACTCGGATTAGAAACCAGTGCTTCCAGACAGATTTGGCATAGCCAGCCTCTAGTGCGGCAAACATCCGCAATACCCTCCACACACCTCCATGTATTGTTAAAGGGCCATTTTTCTCAAACTTAAAAAAAAAATCCCCTGAATAATATGATACACCAAATATAAAAAATTGACCATTTTCCTGCTCTAAACTACCATTTTCACCTTTCCTTTTGTCAAGGAGACATCATAATGAGTACTTATAGACACTCTGACTCTACTGAATATGATGAATTGCCTCAACCAGTACAGGAGAAACACTTCTTTCCCAGAAAGGAAAAAGCACTTATAAACTGCATAAAAAAGAAAGGAGACACCCATTGCCTTTTTTATTACATGCTTACTGTAAATCTAGTGTTTGTTTGGTTTTCTGAGAAAGGTTTCCAAAAGTAAAACCTGTGATAACCTTTTAGGTTAGCTTACTGACTCCACGTATAAATCTTCCAAATCTTTTGATATACCTTGCAACCCTAAAAGCACAATTTTCTCCTACTTCCTCTACTTAAAAGATTTTGAACTTGGAAAATGGAGCCACCTTTTTGTCAGTTAACATTTTTAGAAGATGGTAAAGCCAGAGCCCCCAAACAAAATATTCTCTTTGTCTTAACCTTTTGGGATCATTTCTAACTATTTCTTCTCTTCCTGTCTCTTTCTCTTATGATTTTCTTCCTTTGTTAGTCCTCTGCCTTTAACTTACCTCTCTCTTTTGTAGGCTTGTCTTAAAACCTTTCTGCACGTGCCTTTCTCTTCCTCTATCTCATCTCCTTTGCCCTCCCTTTTTCTCTCCCATCTCTCTCTTTCTCTCTCTTCCTCTCTCTCTCTCTCTCTCTCTTCCAACCCATTTACCCTTCTCCTTCCTTCTTTTTAGGGTAGAGCAGTTATCTGTCTTTGTATCCCCATCTCTTGGCACATTATAATTGCTCAACATCATAGTTGCTCAACATCATAGTTGCTCAACAAATGTTAGGTGAACTGAATTAAACTTGGTGCCATGTTTTTTCTGGCTTATATTCCTTCTGCCTACTGAGCCTAGCAACCTCTGCAAACACTTCATTAAACAAATCAACTCATAGTAATAAAGACTACACCAGATGTGTTTTCTGAGGTACGTGAAAGCTTTAGTTAACATGTTCTCCCCAAACAAGGAGTAGGCAGATTCTCCTATATATCACTTTGCCAATACAAAGAAAAGCCTTCCTGTCATCTCAGCATTTGGGTAACTCATGATGCCTGGGGTAAACATTGTAGCTATATTTTGATCAAAGACAGTGATGTCTGTGAGAAGTTCAGTTGAGACCACCAAAATAATTTTTCAACCTAAGATTATTCAGAATCTTATAAAATCTCTTTTGTGAGACCTAGCAAACGTGAAGTGCAGTGCTGGTTATCTTGTGCTAGAGAAATCCTTAAATGCATTTTAGTTTCCTATTGATCTTTTTTGCCAAGAGCTGGCGCTGGTTGAGGAGATTTTTTTCTGTTAATGATGAAATCATTAGAATTGTTAATACTTTCTCCAGTTTCTATTTATAAGGCATATAGATGTATGTACACTGTAAAATAGCTTTCCCTTATTTTTCACAGACATTGTGCAAATATTGAAAAATTAACTAAAAACAAGCTTTAAGAAAGACAACTGCAATCACATTTTTGTGTAGCACTGGGGAAATACAAAGTGGGACTAGATCATGAGAATTGTATATAGTTGTTTCACAAGTTGATGATGTTCCCTTTCTCACGAGAAGTTGAAAAGTTGACAGGGTTCTATTTTTCCATCATATATCTCTCCTTTTAGTAGTGTAACCCAAATATTATTAGGTTCCCATGGCCCAGTGTCTGCAGGAAAGTTCAAGAGGGGAATAAGAATGCATACGAAAGCATTGCAAGATTTTACTTTGTCCTTCATGATACTTCCAAAACCGAGTGTGTGGGTGGAGATGTGGGTATGAGTTACACAGAAAATATCTTAAAATCCTACTTCCCATCTATGCTACCCTCATTATCCTCCACCCAAAGGCAGCTGCTTCCTTCCGTTTTAACTCTTCTCTCTCTCTCAGGAAGAACCTTCTAAATCTCAACCCTTTTCCATATAACTTTCCCACTTCTGCCTCTCCAGCTCAGCTTTTCTATCCTTGTCATGATTCTCCCTTTCAAAATCATTAAAACAAAACTAGTAAACATTGAATTTTTCTTTAGTGAGAAAAGAAGAAAAAGGGATATGATAATACTATATTTTTCTTAATGATTTTCTTTATCAATTTTTCTTAGTAATTCTTGCCCCAGGGCTGTGAAATTGATGACTCAAAAAAAAAAAAAATGGAGGGTAACAGAAGGTTAATTTGATTGCCATTGATGGTTTAAATTCTAGTTCCAGTAAGTAAGCCTTGTGGGGCTTGAAATCTTTTCATGTTTTAACAAACATAGGTGGATCTTGTGCCATTTGTCCTGTGTGCCAAGAACTGTTCACCTTACTGGTCTAAGTATTGTTGATTCAGAAATGAATGATATTTTTCCTGACTTTAGAGACCTTACACACTAAGAGAAATAAGCAGCTCAACTAATAACTTCTTCTTAAGTAGCCTATATTAAAATGAAAATATCTCTGGAAGGATAACTTAATACCCATTTATTCCCAGATGTTGGGGTTGGGGAGAGATGCAAGAATATTCCATAATCAAGTCAGCTCTGAAAATATGATATATGTACTTTACCCTTGTCCTAGAGACTTGGGATGCCTATTAGCACATTAAAGGCTCTGAGAAGTCTTGCAAGAAATAATCATACACATTTGTTCAATGTAGCACTTTCAAAATTCATTCAAGCATCAACTGTTTTCCCCCAGAGAATACCAATTTACAGCCCATAGAACAAACACTTTTGGAAATACTGTTCTAGACCAACCAGTGCTTCATGGCAATGTTCTTTCAAGCAGGCAAGTGTGCAGACCCTCAGGAAAGAAGTGGTGCCACAGATGGACCCCCTGAGAGGGAGATGGAAACCTGGGGTATAAAAAGTGGGCTAAAAACAAACCTGCCACTTTCTATTAATGAAAATAATTACAAAACAGCTACTACATGTTCAACCCCGTTAGCCTATCACATCCCAGCCTTTTCACCAGCCATGGATGGAGAAGGGGGAACAGTTGCATAACCTTGGACAAGGCTCATATCTCTCTATATTTTAACATTCTCTTCTGGAATATTAGGGGTTTGGAATAGATGGACTCCTGTAATCCCTTTGTAGCACACTACTTCAGTTCAGTTCTAATTTTGTACAAACTTATCCTCAGCTTTGCTTTTAAAGTAAGCACATAATTATTTTGCAGCAACTTGGATGGAGCTGGAGGCCATTATTCTGAGTGAAGTAACTCAGGAATGGAAAACCAAATATCATATGTTCTCACTTATAAGTGGGAGCTAAGCTATGAGGATGCAAAGCCATAAGAATATATAATGGACTTTGGGGACTCTCAGTGGGAAGGGAGAAGGGGGTGAAGGATAAAAGACTACATATTGGGTACAGTTTACACTGCTCAGTTGATGGGTGCACAAGAATCCAAGAAATCACCACTAAATAACTTATTCATGTAATCGAAAACCACCTGAACCCCAAAATCTTTTGAAATAAAAAATTAAATTTATTTAAAATAAAATAAGTGCATAATTAGAAAATCTAGAAGCTTCTAATACACCATAGTTCACTTTCCTTCTTAATTCTAAAGGGTATGTTTTCATTTTACAAATATTTTTGTCTCCCAGGTGTTATAGAAGCAGTTTTTCAAAGAAAACAAAAATTCGGACCACAATTAGAGCAATGATACAAGCACATAGGTCCACAGTTGGTAACTTCATCAACGCAAACAGGTATTGATTTTTTTATTGGTTAAGCCAAAAATCTTTAAAGATTATTCTTGGATACAATGGAATCAGGAAAAAAGAAGTCTTTCAAAGATTTCAAAAAAAAAAAAAAGAACAAATGGTATCAAACTTGACACTCCCTTTGATGACACTCTATTCAAAAATTAAATTAGGGGAATTAGAGAGAGGGTGAATTCAGAACTATATTTTAAAGAGGGAGCCAGGCTTAGCAGGCTCATGCCTGTAATCCCAGCACTTTGGGAGCCTGAGGCAGGTGGATCACCTGAGGTCAGGAGTTCAAGATGAGCCTGGGCAAGATGGTGAAACCCTATCTCTACTAAAACTACAAAATATTAGCCAGGCATGGTGGCAGGTACCTATAATCCCAGCTACTCCAGAGGCTGAGGCACAAGAATTGCTCGAACTGGGGAGCCGGAGGTTGCAGTGAGCAGAGATCACGCCACTGCACTCCAGCCTGGGTGATAGAGTGAGACTCTGTCTCAGAAAAAAAAGAAAGAAAGAAAGAAAGAAATTATTCAGAAAGATCTTCTGCCTAACTCTTAAATAATGACATTTCTGGGAGTGTGTTTTTGTGTTTGTGTGCACATGTGGTACATACACACAGTGATGGAGGTGGAGGCAGGAAGGAAGAGGGAAGAGACTGGGAGAGTTTCAAAGACCTAATTCCCGTTTGGTCAGGTTTACTTCATCTCTGACCCTGGACATGACAGATACATCCCTGCCTTTGTTTTCCTCTTGTATTCATTTCTATTACATTGCCAAATCATTAAATGATGCTGCTCTGTGAAAATAAAATCCTTTTTTAACGGTTTTATATATTTTTTTTTATTTCATTTTGAAAAACAAAGGTTGCTATAATGAGAATCAGTCCTGGTGAGTATGTGATATTGGTCTCTGAAATATGATTTAATTTCCTCTAACAAAGACAGTAGCTCCATTAATTGAGTGCTTACTATGGGTCAAATATTCTTTACATCACCTCATTTAATTCTAACAATATTCTGTTGGATATTATCATTTCCCTGGAGGCCATTATTCTAAGTGAAGTAATTCAGAAGTTGAAAACCAAATATCGCATGTTTTCACAAGTGAGAGCTAAGCTATGGGTATGCAAAGGCATACAGAGTGGTATAATGGACACTTGAGATTCAGAAGGCGGGAGGGTGGGAGAGGGGTGAGGGATGAAAAACTCCCTACTGGGTACAATGTACACTACTTGGGTGATGAGTACACTAAAATTCCAGACTTCCCCACAATACAATTTATCCAGGTAGCCAAAAACCACTTGTACCCCTAAAGCTACTAAAATTAAAAATAATAATAATAGTAAGATATTATAGTTCCCATTTCACACATAAAGAAATTAAGGCTTAAAGGGATTCAATTATTAGGCCATATCACAGAGCTAACCCAGTTATTTCTGACTGGGAAACATAAAAATCTCAACCATTAAACTGTATATCCATGTATTGAGCACCCACTATACACAAAGCACTATGCTAGACAATGAATCCCTTGCCTAACTGGTCCTTAAACTCTTCAGGATCACAGGTACTTTGAAAACACTGATGAAAGCTATGCATGCTCTTTTCAAAAAATGTACCCAATGCACAAACCTTGGCATACCTTTTCAGTGGATTCAAGAAATTTCTGAACCCATCTCATCTTAAGAACTCCTACTTTAAAGAATTGCACAGAATTCAGTTGGTGAAGAAGATATGATAGAAGAAGAAATGTAGCCAGCAATGACTTGGCCTTCAAGTTGCAGCAAAGTTCCTCCCACAGGAAAAGGGGAGGTGGTCATGATTTATTCTACAAGTACTTATTGGGTGCCTCCCTTGTGAGGCCCTGGGAATACAACAGGAGATTGTACAAAGTCCAGTCTTCATGGAGAATACTGCCCAGGAAAGGATGTAGGTAAGTGAGCAGGCATTTGATTTGGAGTCCTCATTCTGCATTTTTGTATTCTTTGATGCTTCTAAGAGTATCCGAAAAACTAGCTAATTCGATATTGGGTGTTTATAGTAAAGATATTGCTATTGCATAATTTCTGTCCCCATGTGTGAAGTTGAAGATATAATGAACATTTCTGTTAACAAAAATATTTTCCCTATTCCCTTTGGTGAAAAGGAAGCAAATACACCTGTTCTTTCAAACACCGTTCCAACATCTGTCTTCCAAAATTGGTATTAATGTATGATATGTCTTTTTGTGCTGTCGCTCTCAAAATTTTAAACACCCTTTTTTGTTCAATGTGTTACTCAATTTGACTTATACTGGGGTGAGATGGCTTTAGTAGGAAACCAAGTAAATACCCAGTGCCCTCACATGGTATAATTTCAGGCTCGTCAAGTTTTTTTTATGTTTATTCAAGAGCTTTTATTTATTCATAACTCATTTATTTCCACGAAGTAGTCGTGGCAATTCATAAGAAAATATACTATAAAATATAAAGCTATAAATAAGCAAAATTCAGGACCAGAGAAAATGTAGCACCATTAGAAGATCAAGACAAGGATGTAGGCATAGCCTATACACTTTGGTCATCTTTATTAAAAAAGAAGCCATAAATTTCATGCCAACCTTACAGGCCATCATAGTGATTTGATACAGGATTTACAACATCCATAAAAATAAACATGAATGTATAATGGAGAATAATGCAAAAATCATGTGAATGTTTAAGAACTGTGCTGAGGGCTATGCCTTCAATACCTAAGAATATAAGCTCAGTCTTCTCTGATGATGGGGGTGAAAAAGTTGTAGATGTATCACCTTAGGAGATGTCAAGTTTTCCTTTCCATGTAAGTCTGAGAAAAATTTCTTAATGTCTCTTTATAGGTGGAACCCCAAGTGAAGCAGTAGACACTTTCCCTGCAGCATATGCAATAAAGGTTTTCAAATATCTGTTTCTTATGATGCCCCTCCGAGGCAGCAAATGACAGAGACTACTGCGGCCAAGTGGAAAAAAAAATTCTGTGGGGTCCAAAATAATGTGGTCTCAGTTTATGAGCTCATCAAATCTTAAGGTTACCTAAAGGACTGAGAATAAGGAATAAGCAAAATACTGTGCTCATGACTAAAGCCCTCTAGCAACCAACCTCAGCTAGAATAGCAATTACGTTTAGAGCATTTGCAATTTGGCAGGTACTTTAATGCACTGTTTTATTTAATCCTTCTAATAACTCCCAGGCAGGGGCATTGGTCAGGACTCTTTCGGCTGCTAGTGACTAAAGCCCAACTCAAACTACCTTAAGCAGAGAGACAGAAAGAGAAAGATTTATTGGATGATGTAATAGAGAAAAACCAGGGCTGGATGGGCTGTTTAGCTCAGTCTCTTAGTATCCACAAGTGGTGCTTTCTTCCATGAATAGCAAAGATGACATCTCACAGTCCCAGCCTTATGCAGAAAGAGACCCTCTCTCATGACATCCACCTGTCCTGAAAATGGACCCTGATTGCCCATTTTGGGGTCACATGCTACACCTTGGCCCAATCAGTGTGTCCAAGAAGATGTGGCTCTCTAATTGGCTGCCCTGTTGTGGGGAAAGTGGATCCCCAGATTGACGGCAAAAGGATCTCATGGAATTTTGAGGTGGCAGCAGCGTTCAGAAGGAATGGATGCAAGGCAGACAAAAATTTGACAGTCCTTACAGTGAGTATTGTGACCTCCACTTTATAGATGAGAAAATAGAGGCCCAAAATAGCAAGTGGCAGAGCCAAGATGTTATTGTGAATCCAACATTAGTCATAAGAGGTTAGATTGTGCTATGGTAACCAGAAATAAAACTTAAAATTTCAATAGTTTAACTGAACGTGGTGGTATGCACCTGTAGTCCCAGCTACTCCAGAGGCTGAAGCAGGAGAATTTCTTGATCAAGGTTGTTCAAGTCCAGCCTGGGCAACATAGCAAGACCCCCATCTCTAAAACAAAAAAAAAAATTTAATACAAAATTTAAAATGTTTTAATAGCTTAGCACACTGAACCATTAATTCTGGCTTATCTTACATGCCTGACTCAGGTAAGGTTGTAGGGGACTCTGTTCCCCCACAGTACTCAGGCTGACAGCGGAGGCTCTAGAATCTGGAAAACCTGGATTCCAGGCCCATAAGCAAAGGAAGAGAAGGGCATGATGTTGGGTGCAGTGGCTCGTGCCTATAATCCCAGTACCTTGGGAGGTCAAAGCAGGAGGATTCCTTGAGCCCAGGATTTTGAGCAAGTCTGGGCAACTTGACGAAACTCTATCTCTACCAAATAGCTGGGTGTGGTGACATGTGCCAGTAATCCCAGCTACTCGGGAGGCGGAGCTGGGAGGATTGCTTGAGCCTGGGAGGCGGAGGTTGCAGTGAGCCAGCATCACACCACTGCACTCCAACCTGGTCAACAGAGTGAGACCCTGTCTCAGCAAATAAATAAATAAATAAAGAGCGAGAGAGAGAGAGAGGGAGAGAGAAAGAGAAAGGCATGAAACACTCACAGCCATAGCCCACTAGACAGAATGAGCCACATTTCTCTGCCTAACTGCAAGATAGTTAGGAAATGACCCAGGGTCAGCGGGTTGGGGGCAGGAATGAGATAGAAGGGAAGGGTCGTGGTGTGTACATGGATATTTGTATTACATATTTTTGGCACATAAATTTCTATAATCCCAAACCTTTGGCTCTCATCTATCGTTTGTCAAACCCATATTCCTTAAGTGCCACAGAAGCAAATGTGAGTAATCACAGTTTCTGGTCAGCCTCTCATCTCGCCTGGCCACAGTGAATGAGACACGGATAGATATTCTAGTTCTCCAGCTGATCCTAGGAGAAAAGATAAAGGATTCAGAACACAGCAGGCTTACAAAGCTGGCTAGCCCTGTGCAGGTGTCATTTCAGCCCCCTGACCTCCTCTCAGGAGCCACAGTTCAGCCCCGTCTACTGGGCACTGAGTCCGGCCGAGGGAGCACCAGCTTTAGGCTGCCGGCAACTGGGCTAAACCTCCAAAACAAATGTACTTTGATGCTGAGTGTTGTTTCTGAATTTAGTCCTTCACACGATTTAAATTGTCATCTTCAGTGGCCACGCTAAGCTGTGATAGTAGATGCTGGTCTGGACTCTGAATGCTGCCTCGTGGCCTTTTGCTGTTGCAAATATCTGATGGTATGAAGGGTAATCCAGATTAATCTAGGCTTTATAAGTACCCACAGTTTTGATCCAAAAATCCTGCCTAGTCCCGTATGTGCATAAGTCAGATAGTAAACCGCAAACACTCCCTTTTGCCTCTTCTGGCCTAAATCAGAATATGACCTAAGTGCTTGGTTGGCATTAGGCCTCTTTCACCTGGGCCTGACTCTAGTAATGACTTCACCTTTAAAAGGTAAGGGAGAAAACCTGAGGCCAGGAGGAAAGAGAAAAGGAAGTTTTCCAAAAGAGAGCTCTAAAAGAAGATAGTGCTCTTAATTTCTTAACTCCTCTGCATCTCCTATTCCAAATACTACCCCTCGTACCTGGCCAACCACATTAAGCATCCCTGAAGACTTCCTTGTTTAGAATTCTTTTTTTTTTTTTTTTTTCGGAGACGGAGTTTCACTCTTGTTGCCCAGGCTGGAGTGCAATGCTGTGATTTCGGCTCACCGCAACCTCTGCCTCCCAGGTTCAAGCGATTCTCTTGCCACAGACTCCTGAGTAGCTGGGATTACAGGCATGCGCCACCACGCCCGGCTAATTTTGTATTTTTAGTAGAGATGGGATTTCTCCATGTTGGTCAGGCTAGTCTCAAACTCCCGACCTCAGGTGATCCGCCTGCCTCAGCCTCCCTACTGGGATTAGAGACATGAGCCACCGCATCCGGCCCCTTATTTAGAATTCTTTACTTTCACGTCCGATAATTGTAGAGAAATTATTGACACTCCCCAAGAATTCCAAATGCTTGCATCCATTGCCAGCCATGGGAGGAGGGAGTCCTGTGGACTATAAACAGAAGTGATGATGCCCACCCAACCCCCTGGGCAGAAGCATGAACAGGCAGACAGCCTCATTCTGTGCTTCTCTTCTGAGCATCCAAGGCTACTTTCAGAGCCACACTTGCCAGATGGTGAGGCTACAAAGAAAGAGGTGCCCCACGTACATTAGACTTTACATGAGCAAGAAACAGCTTTTTGTGTGTGTAATCTGTCGAGATTTCAGGATTTGTCTGCTGTGGCAGTTAGCATTAATTATTCTGACCAATTCAATATAAGAAATGTGTGGCCGGGGGCGGTGGCTCATGCCTGTAAAACCAGCACTTTGGGAGGCTGAGGCAGGTGGATCACCTGAGGTCAAGAGTTCAAGACCAGCCTGGCCAACATGGTGAAATCCCATCTCTACTACAAATACAAAATTTAGCTGGGAATGGTGGTGCTTGCCTGTAATCCCAGCTACTCGGGAGGCTGAGGCAGGAGAATCACTTGAACCCAGGGGGTGGAGGTTGCAGTGAGCCAAGATTATGGCACTGCACTCCATCCTGGGTGACAAGAGGGAGACTGTCTAAAAAAAACAATTTTTTTTAATTTAAAAAAAACCTAGTGTTTGAAAAATCATACAATGGGTTTTTATGCTTTGCAGGAAGTACTTTGTCCAAAAGAGCCAAAACTTAGTATATAATTCCTAAGTGTCCCTCACTTTTTTCAGATGTTTCTTGCATGCATTTCCATAAGTGTGTCTATGGTCTTTAAGCTTCTTTTCCTTTGCAATTGAACAAAACGTTGCTTGGCTTAAAATAAGATTTACCACTTTCAACTGATTAATAACCTCAATTTAGGTTTTAACTACACTAAATGTATGGGGCTTACGCTTGTTAACTCTAGTCTCAAACATTTAGTGTTTTATTTTCCATTTGTTCTTATAAAATAATAAGAAAAACATAAGAAAATACTGTACTCATGGAATTACCCAAATATACCTGGATAGCCAAAACTAAACTGCTGTTTGACAGGTTGGGCCACCGTATGATGGCTTCAGGTTTTCAGATTTATGGACGTTTCAATTCAGCATAGGAACAGTGGTTGCGAGGTTTCAAGAGAAGTGTATGGCAGTGTGGTTAGACCAGATGGGAGCAGATAAACCTGCATGTGTGTCAGCCACCTGGGATTCTGAAAGGGCCTCTTCCTACCACACACTTGCCCAACTCAGTTTGTTCTCCACATGGCACAGAGAATGATCTATTCAAAACATCAATCAGACCACATTGCTTCTCAGTTTTTAATTTCTAATGGCATCTCCTTTATGTTGTTTTTTTATTTTATGTTTTTAAAAACAGGATCTCACTCTGTCAGCCAGGCTGAAGTGCAGTGGTGTGATCATACCTTACTGCAGCTTCAAGCTCCTGGGATTGAGCAATCCTCCTGCCTCGGCCTCCCAAAATGCTGGGATTACACCCATCTATGAGCCACCGTGCCTAGCTTCCTTCCCAGGCGTTAATCCTCACTGGTGGCTGGGCACAGGGGCTCACGCCTATAATCTCAGCACTTTGGGAGGCTGAGGCACAAGAATTGCTTGAGCCCAGGAGTTTGAGACCAGCTTGAGCAACACAGTGAGACCCTGTCTCTACAAAAGATTAAAAAAAAAAAGTTAGCTGGACATGGTGCATGCCCATAGTCCCAGCTACTCAGAAGGCTGAAACAGGATGATGGCTTGAGCCCAGGAGGTAGAGGCTGCAGTGAGCTATGATTGTACCACTGCACTTTAGCCTGGGTGACAGAATGAGATCTTGTCTCAAAAAAAAAAAAAAAAAAATTCTCTGTGGCTTCCCCTTTAGACTTAATACAAAATTCAACTCAACTCATGAGCAGCTCCATAAGCTCTGCATCATCTGCTACCAACTGCCTCTCCAACTTCTCCTCTGGCCAACACTCTCCCTTTTGTTCATGCCCAATTTTGTGATACCCGAAACGCATCCACTCATTCCCATCTTGGGACCTTACTATTCTCCATGCCTAGGCTTATGCACTGCATCACCACGTAACTGTTTCTTTCTCAACACTCTGGTCTTTTCTCAAATGCCACATCTGTAGAGAAACTTTTTCATCACCCAAATGACCACTTTCCCACACAAACAGACAGTAACAAAAACAGCTATGAAGGACATTTACGGGAAAACTGAGGAAAATTGGAATTTCATTCCATGTTAAATACTATTGTTATATACTACAATAGTGGTTTTTTTTTAATTTTAGGTTCAAGGGGTACATGTGCAATTTGTTACATGTGTAAATTGTGTGTCACAGGGGTTTGGTGTACCAGTAATTTTGTCACCCAGATAATCAGGATAATACCCAATAGGATGGGTAGTTTTTCAATTCTCACCCTCCTCCCATCCTCAAATAGACTTCATGTTCCTTTCTTTGTGTCCATGTGTCCTCGTTGTTTAGCTCTCACTTATAAGTGAGAACATACAGTATTTGGTTTTGTGTTCTTGCATTAATTCACTTAGGATAATGGCCTCCAGCTCCATGCATGTTGCTGCAAAGGCCATGATATCATTCTTTTTTATGGCTATGTAGTAGTCTATGGTATATATGTACCACATTTTCTTTATTCAGTCCACCATTGATGAGCATCTAGATTGATTCTATATCTTTGCCATAGTGAATAGTGCTGTGATGAACATACACATGCATGTGTCTTTATGATAGAACAATTTATATTCTTTTTCATATTCTTTTTTTCTTTTTTTAGACAGAGTTTTGCTGTGTCTCCCAGGCTGGAATGCAGTGGCACGATCTCGGCTCACTGCAACCTCCGCCTCCCGGGTTCAAGCAATTCTCCTGCCTCAGTCTTCTGAGTAGCTGGGACTACAGGCGCATGCCACCATGCCCAGCTGATATTTTGTATATTTAGTAGAGATGGGGTTTCACCGTGTTAGCCAGGATGGTCTCGATCTCCTGACCTTGTGATCCACCCGCTTTGGCCTCCCAAAGCGCTGGGATTGCAGGCGTGAGCCACCACGCCTGGCCAAAAAATTTCTATTCTGTTGGGTATATATCAAGTGATGGGATTGCTGGGTCAAATGGTAATTCTATTAAGTTCTTTGAAAAAATCTCTGAACTGCTTTCCTTTCCACAGTGGCTGAACTAATTTACATTCCCATCAACAGTGTATACAAGTTCCCTTTTCTCCACAATCTTGCCAGCGTCTGTTACTTCTTGACTTTTTAATAATAGCCATTCTGACCAGTGTGATATGATATATCATTGTGGTTTTGATTTGCATTTCCCTAATGATTAGTGATATTGAGCATTTTTTCATGTTTGTTGGCTATATGTGTGTCTTCTTTTGAGAAGTGTCTTTTCATGTCCTTTGCCCATTTTTAGTGGGGTTATTTTTTGCTTGTTGATTTGTTTAGGTCCCTTATAGATTCTGGATATTAGATCTTTGCTGGATGCATAGTTTGTAAATATTTTCTCCCATTCCGTAAGTTCTCTGTTTACTGTGCAGATGGTTCCTTTTGCTGTGCAAGAGCTCTTTAGTTTAATAAGCTCCCACTTGTCAAATTTTATTTTTGTTGCAATCGCTTTTGGAGTCTTTGTCATGAAGTCTTTGCCCAGGGCAATGTCCAGAATGGTATTTCCTAGGTTTTCTCCTAGGATTTATAGTTTTAGGTTTTACATTTAATTCTTTAATCCATCTTGAGTTGATTTTCATATATGGTAAAACTAGGGGTCCAGTGTCAATCTTCTGCATATGGCTATCCAGTTATACTTATGCCAGCACCATTTATTAAATAGGGAGTCCTTTCCCTATTGCTTGTTATTGTTGGCTTTGTTGAAGATCAGATGGTTGTAGGTGTGCAGCTTTATTTCTGAGTTCTCTAATCTGTTCCATGGGTCTATGTGTCTGTTTTTGTACCAGCACCCAGCTGGTTAGCCTTGTAGTATAGTTTGAAGTCAGGTAATATGATGCCTCCCGGTTTTTGTTTGTTTTTTTTGTTTTTTTTTTTTTGTTTTTTTTTGCTTTACTGCTAAATTTTTTGAAAGTCATATGGCATTGTGGTTACACAGGTAAAGATCCTGTTCTTTGGAAATATTTGCTGAACTATTTAGAGATAAAATTCCATGATATTTATAACTTATTCTAAATGGTACAACAACAAAAACCCACACATGTACACAAAGAAGTACATAAAGACATGCACACATAGAGGGGAAAAAGAAAGCAAGTGTGGCATTATGTTAATACTGATGGATTTGGGTGATGAGAAAATGCATATTCATTGCATATTATTTTTTTCTGTAGATTTGAAATTTATCCATATAAAATGGGGAAAAAATAATTTCTTCACCCCCACTTTTTACCTTTTTATCTTGCTTTATTTTGTGCAGTGGAACTAAAATTCTCTGAAATTTTGTATTTCTTTATTTCATTGATTATTTGGATCGTCTTCCTCCACTGGAATGTCAGCTCCTGGAAGTGGAGCATTTGCCAGTATAGTAAAATGAACCACTTTTTCCCAAGCACCTAGACCCAAACAACACTCAGTTAATAGTTATTAAATAGGTGAATGAATGAATGGCCCACGCAGATACACTTGACCCATGCCATGTCCCAGTCTCCTTAGAAGTGAGTCAGAAAAAGGTGCCTTGAACACCTCTTGTCTCCCAACAACCAAAAGGCCCTCAAAACAACCCCAAAAATCAACAAATCTGAACTGAGTGTCCTCACACATCCTGAGGATCTGCAAAAACAGGGAGCCTTCAGTCTCACTGGGGACATTAAACAGGTCCACATGCAACAAATGACTATGACAGCCCTTTTAACTTTACAAAAGCACTTTGGCAAACATTGCCCCATTGAATCCTCAGATCAATCCCACAGGATAGGTAAAATTATTAGCCTATTAACAGAGGAGGGGGCCAAAACCC
Organism: Homo sapiens; assembly: GCF_000001405.40. Lineage (NCBI taxonomy): Eukaryota > Metazoa > Chordata > Mammalia > Primates > Hominidae > Homo > Homo sapiens. Next base: position 118,174,114 of record NC_000008.11, on the reverse strand, counting down.
AGAAGCAGCTTGCATGATTTCCCCAAGGTCCAGTACTTTTAACTGGCAGGACCAAGATTTGAACTGTACTGACTCAGAACAATTTTTTCTTTTTACTACACATCAGTCCATCTAAAATATTATTTAAAATTACTAACAGGCAGTATTTTTAATTGCCAGATAAGTTATGAATATATATATATATAGGCTGGATGTGTTGGCTCATGCCTGCAATCCCAGCACTTTGGGAGGCCAAGGCAGGCAGATCACCCGAGGTCAGGAGTTCAAGACTAGCCTGGCCAACATGGTGAAACCCCGTCTCTACTAAAAATACAAAAATTAGCCAGGTGTGGTGGCACGTGCCTATAGTCCCAGCTATGCGGGAAGCTGAGGCATGAGAATCACTTGAACCCAGGAGGCAGAGGTGGCAGTGAGCTGAGATTGTACCACTGTATTCCAGCCTGAGCAACAGAGCAAGACTCCATCTCAAAAAAAAAAAAAAGTTATGGATATGTATATAATTTAATATAATAAATATAAATATATAATCTATAGTTAAATATATAGATTATATATATATATAAATATTAGATAATGGTCAAGAACACATCCAAAAATAGCCCATCGCATAAAAGAAAACAGAGGCTGCTTGTCTAAAAGACAGGGCCTTGTAATGTACAATGACAGCTACTTGCTTTGTCAATAAGATGGAGGTTCCAGGGGCACCAATTTTAAGCTAAGCCTCTGGGTCCCTTAAGGCAAGTGCCTCTGTTCCTTAATCCACCAGCTTGCCCTTCTGCTCTCCACCTCCATAAAGACAGTCAGCCCATTACAGCGGCAGGCCTAACATGATAGTCTGACAACACCTAACACGTTGTAAGCTACACAGAACCCTGCCTCGATCAATACTTGGATGGAAGGCAAAGAAATAAAAAGAAATTTCAGGCATGGCAAGGAATAGTGTTGTTCACTCAGGAGGTTGCATTCTAAACCATGTGTCAATACTGTACCACTTGTCCAACAGGAAAGGGGAGCTTGTTGAAAAGTATGATTCCTATCTTATGCAAGGGACAGAAAACCCTATTCCTAGGAACTGGCACATTATGGTAAGTGAAATAAGCCAGTCATCAAAGGACAAATATCGCATGATTCCACCAGCACGAGGACAAATACCATCAAATTCCTAGAAGCAGAGAGTAGAATTCTGGTTACCAGGGGCTGGAAGGAGGGATAAATGGGGAGTTGTTGTTCAAATGGTATAAAGTTTCAATTCTGCAAGATGAATAAGAGAGGTCTGTTGTACAGCAGTGCCTATAGTTAACAAAACTATATTGTATACAGAAAAATTGTCAAAAAGGAGCTCTCAGGTGCTCTTATCACAAAAAAAAGGAAAGAGAGGCAGAAGCAAACTTTTGGAGGTGATGGATATATTTATTACTCTGTGGTAACGGTTTCATGGATATATGTGCATGTTCAAGCTCATCAAGTTGTATACATTAAATATGTGCAGATTTTTATATATATCAATTACACCTCAATAAAACTGTTTTAAAAACCCAATAGTACCTTCCAGTTAGAAAACAATGCCTTTTGGCCAAGGTTCAACTCAGCTAATTACATTCCCATCCAAATTTCCAATGGTCTCCAATTTGCTCAAACAGGCATGCAGACTTTGACTGCTGTAAAATATAGTGTTAAGCAGGACCAAAGCAATGATCAAATATATATTCTATATGTTAAAAACCTTTACTGAGGAAACTGACTATAAAGTCTAACATTCAAGACCTGTTTCAGGTTTCTTTTTCTTTCTTTTTTAAAAAACAACCATATTGAAATTAAACAATACATACAATTCCCTCATTTTAGTTTATTTTATTTTTAATTTTACTTTAAGTTCTAGGGTACATGTGCACAATGTGCAGGTTTGTTACATATGTATACATGTGCCATGTTGGTGTGCTTCACCCATTAACTCGTCATTTACATTAGGTATATCTCCTAATGCTATCCCTCCCCACTCCCCCTACCCCACGACAGGCCCCGGTGTGTGATGTTCCCCACCCTGTGTCCAAGTATTCTCATTGTTCATTTCCCACCTATGAGTGAGAACATGCAGTGTTTGGTTTTCTGTCCTTGCGATAGTTTGCTCAGAGTGATGGTTTCCAGCTTTATCCATGACCCTACAAAAGACATGAACTCATCCTTTTTTATGGCGTATATGTGCCACATTTTCTTAATCCAGTCTATCATTGGTGGGCATTTGGGTTGGTTCCAAGTCTTTGCTATTGCAATTTACCCATTTTAAATGCACAATTCAATGTTTAAAATATATTCAAGGGGCCAAGCAATCATCAGTCTAATTTTAGAACAATTTCATGACCTGACCCAAAAAAAAAAAAAAAAAAAATCCTGTACCCATTAGCAGCCACTCCCCATTCTCTCCAAGCCTCCTCTCCTCCCAGTCCCTGGCAACCACTGACCTGCTTTCTGTCTTTGTAGATCTGTCTATCCCAGACATTTCATATGAATGCAATCACACAATATATGGTCTCTTGCTACCAACTTATTTCACCTAGCATGTTTTTCAGGGTTCATTCATGATGTATCATGTATCAGTACTTCATTTCTTTTGATTGTCAAGTAATACTTCACTGTATGGATATACTGCATTTTGTTTAGTCATTCATCAGTTGATGGACTTTTGGGTTGTTTCTACTTCTATGTTATAGGTAACACTGCTATAAATACTCATCTACACATTTTTATGTGTGCAAATGTTTTTATTTCTCTTGGATATATACTAAGGAGTGTACTAAGGAGTATAATCACTGGGTCACATGATAACTATATGCTAATCATTTTAAGGACCTCTCAGAGTGTTTTCCAAAGTGGCTGAACCATTTTACATTCCCACCAGCAATGTGTGAAAGTTGCAATTTCTCCACATCCTCACCAACATTTGTCATTTTGCAACCTTTTCACGATAGCCATCCCAGTGTTTATGAGATGGTATCTCAACGTGATTTTAGTTTACATTTGCAGAATGACTAACAATGCTGAGCATTTTTATATGTACTTATTGATCATTTGTATATTTTCCTTGGAGAAATGTCTATTCATATCTTTTGACCAATTTTAAATTTGGTTATTTGTCTTTTTATTGAGTAGTCAGAATTCTTTATGTATTTTGAATACAAGTCCCTTATCAGATATAAGATTTGCAGATATTTTCTCTCATTCCATCTTCTGTCCTTTCATTTTTTGACGTTATCATTTGCAGTGTAAAATTCTTAATTTTAGTGTAGTCCAATCTATTTTTTTTCTTTTATCACTTGTACTTACATTGTTCTATTCAACAAACCATTGCCTAGCCAAGGTCACAAAGGTTTACTCTTATTTTATCTTCTAAGACTTTTACCATTTTATCTTCTACATCTACATCTTTAATCCATTCTGTGTTAATTTTTGTGTATGATTTAAGCCAAGAGTCCCATGTTATTGTTTTGCAAATAGATGTTTAACTATTCCAGCACCATTTGTTGAAAAGACTCCTTTTCCCCATTAAATTGTCTTGGCATCCTCGTCAAAATCAATTAATCATAGATGCAGGAGTTGGGTTTATTTTTACAGTAGCATGCCTTACATACTTCTCAAAAGTTACAATAAATAAAATTGATCTGTTATTGGTTGAGAATTATGTGTTCCCAGAAATTTGCAAAGAAGATAATTTGTAAAGTATGCATATAGTATAGAGTATGACCTCTTAAAGATCACTTTAAGCCCCCTCCACATTTTATAAGATATATCAGTTTTCAAGTCAAAATATTAAACTAATATATCTACGGTAATAATAATAACTAATACATATTGGGCCTGGAACTTTGCCAAACTAAGTATGGATGGCATTTAATCTTCACGAGCACTCTGAGTTTAGTGTACAATCGTTTCCCCAAATGAGAAACTGAGGCTTAGAGAGATTAAGTAACTTGCCTCACACAGCTAGTAGTCACTTGTGCATTTCCAAGTCTATAATAAACTGATCACCCTATGTATGATGCATATAATTTATAGATATTGCCTAATAACAAATGTAAAAGTCTTAGTGTTCCCATAGGGTCTGAGGCCATGGCTCAATGCAGCCCACCACAAACATGAAATTTCCTTGAATGTACCATGTTTAATCTTTAAATTCATGCAAAATTTTCCATCTCCATAATGTGTGTTTATATAAAATAAGAGTTCATATGAACACACTTAACCACAAGTGGGGTAAAAAACAGCTTTCCTCAGTCTTTGAGAAAAATTACCTCCAAAGAAGAGCCTCTAGACAGCTTTGCTGACTCCTGGAGGTAGCACTTTAGAAGCAGGAGATTCCTTTGTTGTCCTTCATCTTTTTTATTTTTCAATTACGTTAAAATGTTTTAGAAACTGTACACATTGCCTCTTGTAAACATCTCTAGAACTATCCATAGGTCTCCCTGAAAGAAACATTGGGGTCAGTGGATTTCTGCACATAACATTGGTGCAGCTGCCTGATAGACTACAAGTGGTCCTGAACCATGGCTGGAAAACAATTTTCTTCAAGCAAATCTTATTTTCATACTGACTTACATTATATAAGTAAAGATGTATTCCCACAGGAACAAAGAAATGTAGCCCCAACATGCAATTTTGAAACAATTGCATCTGTAGGGAAAGCTTTTCAAAATCACATATTTAAAAAGAAAGTGTATCATTCTTGGTAAAACAATAATAGAACCAAACTAAGCCAGGAGGAGAACAAATAGTGTGCTAAAACTTAAAACATGATGCTAGGATCGGCATTTCCTTGCAGAGTAGCTTCCATGAAAGGAAATTTGTCTACTGTGTTTCTTGGACTTTAATCTGTCTGTGGTTAGTTTTGTTTTATTTTAATTTTTATAATTTCAACTTTTATTTTAGATTCAGGGGGTACATGTACAGGTTGGTTACATGAGTATATTGCATGATGCTGTGGTTTGAGGTATAATTGAGCCTGTCACCCAGGTAGTGAGCATCATACCCACTAGGTAGATTTTTCAACCCTTTCCCCTTTCTTTCCCTCCCCACTATATTATTCCCCATTTCCTATTGTTGAGTGGTTGGTTTTAAAAGAAAAAAATAAGTATTAAAATGCTAAACATCTTTGAATGTGTTAAGGGTGATCTCTTAGGTAATTCATTGTTAGGGTCATTGATGTGTTTGATTAATATTCTTTTTCTTTCTTTATAGTGAAAATGGGTTTATTCTTGGATATATACATCTTCATACCCCTAATTTTTTTCCTCTGGGACATGATTTCCACAACTCGTATGCAATTGCAGTTTTCTGACATTACAGTCAGAAAGAAAATCCTACCGGTCAGTTGATCTTGAAATTTAATGATTTTTGAAGTTTTTTTTCCTAAGCTTATTACTTAGGTTAGGGCAGCAAAAAAGGATAACTTGTCCAAGCATAATTCCACCCTATCTGGGGTGTGCCTGGCAAACCAGTGAGGCAGACAAGCCAGAGGCCTGTTTGCATGAGGACTGAAAAATATTCCGGGAAGAAGACAACCTAAGAGAAAAGGGTCAGAATGTAATGAGGAGAATCTAATAAGGAAGCTTTGGTTGTTGCTATAAATTGTCAGCACTCTCATATTGGTTCACTAAACTTTTAATAAACAGATGCTACACACGTGGTCAGAATGTAGGGAAACCAACAAGAGCTGATGAAGTGTCTCAGGGCTAATGACACGGTGGGGCCTATGTGGTCACTGGAATGTGGAAAGAGAGGACACAGGTTGCAGGAGGGAGGGAGATGGGGGAATAAGTACCCTGACCCCATTCTCCTCTTACACTCCAATGGTCCCTCCTTTGGCCAAACCCAACAAACATCAGAGGGTAAAAGAGCCATTGTGTATTAGTCTATTTTCATGCTGCTGATAAAGACATATCTGAGACTGGGAAGAAAAAGAAGTTTAATTTGACTTACAGTTCCACATGGCAGCAGCAAGAGAAAATGAGGAGGAAGCAAAAGCAGAAACCCCTGATAAATTCATCAGATTTCATGAGACGTATTCACTATCACGAGAATAGCATGGGAAAGACCAGCCTCTGTGATTCAATTACCTCCCACTGGGTACTTCCCAAAACATGTGGGAATTCTGGGAGATACAATTCAAGTTGAGATTTGGGTGTGGCACAGCCAAATCATGTCACATTGTTATGTTCAGTTGGATGTCAATGCTCCCCAGCCAACAACCCCCAAGAACACACCTGTAGTTGAACATGTTGGGTTTGTTGCTCATTATAGTGGGCCAGAATGCTCACCATAGAGAACTGTGGGGAGTCTCTGTGAGGAGATGTTAGGACTTAGCATATCTTAAATTGGGATGGTGGTGGGTAATCAGGGGAAAGGCTGAAGGAAGGAAGAGGCTTCATCTTGGATTGGCTGCTGTCAGCAAAGGGAGGCAAAAACAGCTTCTTTAATCTCATTGTATTGCTCCCTCATTCTAGATAAGGTTTACTAAGATATCTGAGTATAGAATTTCCCCCACTTCCTGATAGCATTTTCCTCTTCTAACTAAGTGATTGTCCATTTTTGTGGCTTGGAAAACATTCATGTTTTTGTCTGTGTTCCAATATGATACAGAGGGGTATTGTTTTCTTGATCTATTCTGATCACAGAGCAGTCTTTTCTGACACTGAAGTTCTGTGAAGGTTCCATGTTCATCAGGAGAACCTCCTGATTGTAACACGCCAGGCCCAGGAGCATACGGGCTGCATTCCTCTTGCTTACAAGTCAGCCTCCTGGAGTGCACACCAGGGAGCATGTGGTGGAGCAGGCCATGGTGTCAAGCATGCAAAAGCCACTAACCTCTGAGTCTGACATAATGTTCAACATCAGACCATGTCTCTGAGCCCAGCTGTCCGTGTGGGGGGCGCGGGGGGCTGGGGGGAGTAAGAAGTGACAGAACTATTTTCCTTGAGAGGAAACACCACTTGCAAAGAAGTGGAGTTCAAGATGCTTCACCTTGGACTGCCTCATCATAGAAGATTACAGGCAGGGAAGAGTACCCACTCTCCCACATCACTACAGGTTGGTAAGCACCTAAGGGGCATGATTAACTTTGTGAGAGTGTCTGGCTGTGCAATGGAGGGAAACTGCATTCCAGCACCTGATTGGAAACTCTGCTGCTCAGTGAAGCAGAGGAGGCCCAGCAGGGATGGACAGTTCTTGAGCATGGGAGAGATGCCTCCTAGAGACACCCAGATATACATAAGGGGCTTTGCAGGAAGCTGAGGTCTTAAGTCATGCACAAGGAGAGAAAAGCCAGGGAAATTTGGGTTTACCATTGTTGTACCTTTGTTAATATCTGTAGTCGGTTGAGGCCTAGAGAAACGTAGTGTGCACACTTTTTAAACACCAAATCAATTAATTTTATATGCATTAAATTAAAATGAACTTTTTCCTGAGCTTGGCAATAATGCACAATACACTTTTAACAGCTTTGTGCATCATTCCCAACCTGTAAAGGTGAATAACCATGCTTACTTATTTATAAAGTTCTTTGAGGTTTTTGGATGAAAGGCTCTTTTAAAGTACAAAGCATTAATTTTTTGTGACAGAGCAATATATGGGAAATGAACATGAAGCGATATAAAAATTTTTGTATTCTTTCTTGCTTTAAGATTTTAGTTGCTTTTTTTACAGAGCCACAAAAAGCCAGTCTCCAACAGGAGATCTGGGGTTTGAGATAACAGAACTAATAAAGGTACTGTAAGTATAAAATCCTAGATAGGTTTGAATCAGCTACTCCTTTTGAAGATGTGAGAAATAAATTGATAGACAAAGTATTCTGTACAAATGAACTCATTTCAGTAAGTTGCACTGATAATCTTGAGAGTATGTAAATGGTCTCTATTTATAGACCCCTTATATCCATTTTTGACCAGGACGAGCAAGTGAAGCTACAGCAATAGTCAATCATTACAAGTAACTAGACCACAAGAAAAAAATGTGCCAGTTGCTAGGTAATGACTTTCAATCTATCATTTTAGGCAATAAATATAAGATGAAGTTATGAGGAAAGAAGCTATTCATAGCTAGAACTCTAGCTAAAATGGCTATTATTTATTGCACGGAACTGAAATCAGATGAAGTCGAGAAACCCAGTGTACCAACCTAGAAGCCAAGATGCCACAAAAAAGCGGACCTTTTTCAAGGACAAATCCAAAGGCAAATAGAAACCAATGGTTTAGGAGGCAGGTGAAGAGGATAAAAAGTTGGGAAAAACTGGACTCAACCATGTTATTTATTATCACGTGTCAGATCAGATATTGTAGATCTGAAGAGAACATTTTGTGAACCACTGGTCTAAAGGATTATAATAAGTAAATTTAAAAGCATGAGAAAAGACACTAGTAACAGCTAGCATTTACTTTTCACTGCTATGCCACTATGCTTCAAATCACCTGTTATGTTTTATATATATATATGTATATATATATATATATATATACATATATATATGTATATATGTATATATATAGATTTATGATAAGAAATACATATTTTGAGGGCCGGGCATAGTGGCCCATGCCTGTAATACCAGCATTTTAGGAGGCCAAGGCAGGTGGATAACTTGAGGCCAGGAGTTTGAGACCAGTCTAGCCAACATGGTGAAACCCCGTCTCTACTAAAAATACAAAAATTAGCTCCCAGTTTGCTGAACATGTGGAAGGTGGCTTGCCCCAAGAGGACATGCAAGCTCCGCATCCCTGTCTCCATACCTCTCCCAATGCATCTCTTCTGTCTGGCTGTTCCCGAGTTGTATTCTTTTATAATAAATGGGCAAACATAAGTAAAGTGTTTCTCTGAGTTCTGTGAGACATTCTAGCAAATCATCATACCCAAGAAAAGGTTCATGAGAACCTTCAATTTATAGCCTGTCAGTCAGAAGCACAAGCCACAACCTGAGACTTGCAGTTAACATCTGAAGTGAGGGCAATCTTGGTTGTGAGCCCTTAACCTGTGGGATCTAATGCTATCTCCAGACAGATAGCATGAGAATTGAGTTAAACTGTAGGATACCCCTTGCTGTCTGCAGAGAATCAATGTATGGAAAACACACACACACACACACACACACACACACACATCTAGTGTCAGAAGCAAAATATTGACTGAGAATATGAGTTTAGAGTAGGAGAAAACAGGTGGTTTTCTACTACATTCCATATATGCATATGTGGAATGCATATATGCATAGGTGTGTGTGTGTATATATATATGTATGTATATATGTGTGTATATATATATATACAGAGAGAGACAACGGTTCTAATATTCATGCATGAATGAACAAAAAAACAGACATTATTTATTTCTCTATTATAGATTAAAAAACTAAAATCAGGCTTGATGAAGTTTAAAAAAAAAAATTGCCTATAGCTGTAAAGTCCAGAGCAGAGACATGAGCCCTGGTCAGTCTCCATCAAAGCCCATGTCTTTCCCACCATATCATTATCCATCTCTGCTACAGAGTTAGTCACCTACTAATAGCAAAAAATAAAAATAAAAAAATAATAACAGCTTATGTTGGAAGAGCTTGAAAATAAACTAAAACCAGAGAGAACTCAAGTGCACAGCATCCTGAGGTCGTTTAAAAAAGACAATATAGCCTGACCCCCTGCAGGCTGGAGACAGAGCACTAGTGTTGGATGACACCATTTTATTGCTTGAGGCGACCCTTGACAGTGGCGTGGGTGGCTAACTCAGTTACAGCTGAAGCAGAAACTGCCTGGTATGACCTTCAAAATCCAGAGAAGACAAGAGGAGATGCTTCAAAATTACATTTTCTCTTTGAAGAGCTCACATTTCTCTCACTCACTTTGACTCCAAATAATAATTATATGTGGAAGCCAAGGGGGTAAAAGTCATAGAAAGTGTCTCCTCACAGCAACAAACAACAAAACATCAAGAAGGAGTTCTGCTTCCCCTTCCTCCTGCTGCTCTCCCTCCTCTTCCTACTCCTCCCTCCTGCTCCTCCTGGTTGTCCTCCTCCTCTTCTTCCTCTTACAAGGAAGAGCCATTTGTTTCCTATGCCAAAAGCACATGTGTAAAGTTGGAGGAGAAACCTCGTTCCTACCGATACTCTTGCTCCAGCAATGTTCTTCCTCCCTACTTGGAAAAGATTGAAGCTCCCCAGGTTTGTTTTTTTGTTTTGTTTTGTTTTGTTTTGTTTTGTTTTGTTTTGTTTGAGACGGAGTCTCGCTCTGTCTCCCAGGCTGGAGGGCAGTGGCGCGATCTCGGCTCACTGCAAGCTCTGCCTCCAGGGTTCACTCCATTCTCCCGCCTCAGCCTCCTGAGTAGCTGGGACTACAGGCGCCCGCCACCGCGCCTGGCTAATTTTTTGAATTTTTAGTAAAGACGGGGTTTCACCGTGTTAGCCAGGATGGTCTCGATCTCCTGACCTCGTGATCCGCCCGCCTCGGCCTCCCAAAGTGCTGGGATTACAGGCGTGAGCCACCGCACCCGGCTGAAGCTCCCCAGGTTTTGCTCTAACCTCAGATTCTGCTTTGACTCTCCAAAGGCATGGGTATGTCCTAACGCTCCCCCAGGTGGTTCTAATGCACAACCAGTATGAGTACCACTGTACAATAAACGTGGCTTTTATCTACAATCCCTCCTGCTACTTTTCTCTTCCCTACCTCAAATCACATCCCTATTACCCAAACTCTAATAGAAGACACTTTTGGCCAGTTGCAGGCTCACACCTGTAATCCCAACACTTTGGGAGGCTGAAGCAGGAGGATTGCTTGAGCCCAGGATTTTGAGACCAAACTGGGCAACAGAGGGAGTCCCCATCTCTACAAAACATATAAAAGTTAGCCAGGTATGGTGGTGTGTGCCTGTCGTCTCAACTGCTTGGGTCAAGGCTACAGTGAGCTGTGATGACGTCCCTGCACTCCTGCCAGGGCAACAGAGTGGGTCCCTGTCTCAAAAAAAGAAACTACTTTTATTGACCATGAATCTTTACAAACTACCTTTCCATCTGTGTTCTTTTAAAAAATGGCAGGAGGTTATGTGCCTCTGTTTATTCAAATCCATGCAATACTTAACCCCTCAAAATCAGGTTTTGGTCTCTAATATCCTTCCAAAGTTGTGTTGTTTGTTTATTTTATTTTTGTTTTTACCCAGATTACTAATATCCTGCCACTTTTTTGCCCAGTCTTCATTTTCCACAACTTTAATGCTGTGTTTGATACTAGAGATTGTTTAATCTTTGAAACACTGTCATGGCCTTCAATTTGTGGCTATGCTCAATTCTGCATTTCATAATTTACCAACCATTGTCTCCATTTTCACTCTTTTCTCATTCTCTATGCCTGCAGTTGTAGACATTCCTCAAAGTTCCACACAGTTCGATTTCCCTTTAGCAAGCTCATCTGTTTACAGCAATTCAGTAATCACTTTTGTGATGTGGTCTCCACCCTTTTTAAAATCTGCAGCCCATGCCTCTTGAGAAATCTAGACCTAGATTTCATCTGTCTGTTGGACATCTCTACCTGAATAAGTCATCAGGATCTCAAATTCAATATGTCTCCAATGAACTCATCATTATCTCTACCAGTCTGTTTCTTCTCCCTCTTCTCATTTATAAAAACACCACATTCATCAGTCACTCAAAGTTGAAATCTTGACAGTCTCTTGTCATCTTTGATTTCTTCCTTTCTTTCCTGCCAATAAGATTACATTCTCTATAATTATGTTAATGTCTTTATTGAGGTACACTTTACATTACAATAAACTGCACTTAAAGTATGTAATTTGATAAATTTTGACATGGATACATCTATAAGGCACACGAGATAGCAAACATAGCCATAACCCTTAAAAGTTGCCTCAGGATGTACCCTTGTCCTCCCATCCCCAAGCAACTATTTGCTTTCTTCTTCTTCTTTTTTTTTTTTTGAGACAGAGTCTTGCTCTGCTGCCCAGGCTGGAGTGCAGTGGCGTGATCTCGGCTCACTGAAACCTCCGCCTTCCAGGTACAAGTGATTCCCCTGCCTCAGCCTCCCGAGTAGCTGGGACTACAGGCATGCGCCACCATGCCAAGCTCATTTTTGTATTTTTAGTAGAGATGGGGTTTCACCATGTTGTCCAGGCTGGTCTTGAACTCCTGACCTCAGGTAATCCACCCGCCTGGGCCTCCCAAAGTGCTGGGATTATAGATGTGAGCCACCATGCCCAGGCCACTATTTGCTTTTTTTCTATCACCATAGGTTACTTTGCATTTTTCAGAATGATATTGATCCATTCCTGTGTTTATATGCCATTTGCCCCTTGGAGACATGTCTGTTTAAATATTTTGCTAAAATTTTAATTTGTTAAACATATTGATAACAATAATAATAATAATAAATAATTTATTATTAATATTGAGTTTTGAGGCTTCTTTATGTATCCTAGATACAAGCCCTTTGCCAGATATATGATCTGTAAATATTTTCTCCCAGTGTAAGATTTGTCTTTATATTTCTTCTCACAATGTCTTTTTTTTTTTTTTTTTAGACAGTCTTACTCTTTCAGCAAGGCTGAACTGCAGTCGCATGATCACAGCGGCTCACTGCATCCTTGAACTTCTGGGCTCAAGCAGTCCTCCCACCTCACCCTCAGGCATTTGCCACCACACCCAGCTAATTTTTTTTTGGTAGAGACAGGGTCTCACCATGTTGCCCAGGCTGATCTCAAAGTCCTGGGTTCAAGCGATCCTCCCACCTTAGCCTCCCAAAGTGCTGGGATTATAGGCATGAGCCAACACGCAGTGTCTTTTGAAGAAGAGTTTATAATATTGATAAAGTTCGCTTTCTTCTTTTATATATCATGCTTTTGGTATCATAAATGAGAAATAATTTGAACCAACCTAAATGTCCAACAACAATAGACTGGATTAAGAAAATGTGGCACATATACACCATGGAATACTATGCAGCCATAAAAAATGATGAGTTCATGTCCTTTGCAGGGACATGGATGAAACTGGAAACCATCATTCTCAGCAAACTATCGCAAGGACAAAAAACCAAACACCGCATGTTCTCACTCATAGGTGGGAATTGAACAATGAGAACACATGGGCACAGGAAGGGGAACATCACACACTGGGGACTGTTGTGGGGTGGGGTGCGGGGGCAGGGATAGCATTAGGAGATATACCTAATGCTAAATGATGAGTTTAATGGGTGAAGCACACCAACATGGCACATGTATACATATGTAACAAACCTGCACGTTGTGCACATGTACCCTAAAACTTAAAGTATAATAATAATAAAATTAAAAAAAAGAAATATTTGCCCAATCCAAGGTTATAAAGATTTTTCTCTTATGTTTCTTTTATAAGTTGCATATTTATATGTTTCACATTTAGCTCTATGATCCATTTTCACTCAACTTTTGTATATGGCTCAAGGTAGACCAAAATTTCTTCTTATTTGTATTTGTAAATTTTTTGGCACCATTTGTTGGAAACTTGAATGAAACTCTTTCCTCACTTTGTGGAAAATCAGTTGACCATATGTGTGTTGGTCTCTCTACTTTGGTTTCTGGATTATCTATTTTGTATCATTGATCTATTTCCCTATATTAACCTAAGTATGACACTGGCTTGATTACTATAACCTCATGATAAGTCTTAAAATCAGATAGTATAAATTTTGTTTTTCGTTTTGAAAATTGATTTGGCTAATATAGGTCCATTGTATTTCCCTACAAGTCTTATGGATTTTCACTGGGATTGCATTGAATCTATAGAACAACTTGGAAAAAATTAAAAATATTTAGTCTTCAGATCCATGGACATAGTATATCTATCTCTCCATTTGTTCAAGTCTGCTTAAATTAACTTCAGCAATGTTTTATAGTTTTCAGTGTACAGGTATTATATATCTTTTGTCAAATTAGTCTTTAAATATTATGAGTTTTACTTTGTTGGATGCTATATATTTTTACATTCCTAGAAATATTTTGAGATTTGTTCTGGAATATATTTAAATTACTTGGAAATTTAAAAGTTTGATTCTTTTGGGTCTTGTTGTAAAGTTTTGTTATGGGCCGGGCGCAGTGGCTCACGCCTGTAATCCCAGCACTTTGGGAGGCTGAGGCGGGCAGATCACCTGAAGTCAGGATTTCGAGACCAGCCTGGCCAACATAGTGAAACCCTGTCTCTACTAAAAATACAAAAATTAGCTGGTCATGGTGGCAAGCACCTGTAATCCCAGCTACTTGGGAGAGTGAGGCAGGAGAATCGCTTGAACCCAGAGGGGAGGTGGAGGTTGCAGTGAGCTGAGATCGTACCATTGCGCTGCAGCCTGGGCGAAAAGAGTGAGACGCCCTCTCAAAAAAAAAAAAAGAAAAAAAAAGAAAAAATTTGTTATATAGTATCAGAGAAGCACTTTATCTAGGATTAATTTTTCTCCACTAGTGAAATAAAGCCCTTCTGAGTACTTTATTGATGCTTCATGAATTAGACTGTCACAGGATCCTTGGAGGGTTGCTTTGCCAGCTGGAAACCTCTGTGGCAGTTGGCGCCTTTGCCCAAGTTTTGCTTGGGCCCACTGGGCTTATTCTGCTCACTCAGCCTGGCAGGCTGCACTTGGCTCATGCTACCAGCCCTGATCCCATGTTTGCCAAGGGCAAACCAGACAAAGAGTGGTGAGAGGTGTGTTAGAGAGTGAGCATGGGGTCCGGCCACTGTGCACAGCCAGGCATGCTGGCTGTGGTGGGGCAGGCAGGTCCAGGCACTGGCACAGGTGCCAGCTCTCTGCAAGGCTGCAACTGGACTAGGTGTACCACAAGCAGCTTCCACTGTGCGCACTGGGGAATGTGGTGGCACCCAGGAGCTTGGAGACACCAGGAAACACAAAGCCCCAAAGATGATGTCATAGCCCTGGCTCAGGGAGTTTCTAGGTCTGGGCTCCCTGAAGGGCCACAGTTCTTCCCTCTTCTCTTCTCTCTTCTGTCCTTCTCATGCTTGAAATGTGGTGAGTGGAGTGGGGATGGGGAAAAGGGCATGTTTCAGACCTGTTTGTGTTACAGCTCTTTCAGTCCCACCATTCAGCAGGTCCCGAGTTCTTGTCCCGCATTCAGGAAGAGTGAGGTATATGGACAACTGGAGGGTGAGCAAGGCAAAGAGGTGCTTTATTGAGCTGTAGTACAGCTCTCTGGAGACCTGAAGTGGGTAGCTCCTTTCTGCAGGCAGGTTGTCTCAATGTCTGTTCAGCTCTCAACTGGGAGGAGACCCACACTGGGTAGCTCCTCTCCACAGGTAAGTCATCCCATCATTTGCCCTAGTCTGGCTGAGTCTGGTGGTTTTATGGGCTCCGGAGGGGAGGAAGTGCATGCTGATTGGTCCATGGGCAGCCATGGGCAGGCCTGGAAAATGCACCATAAGTTCTCACTCTGGTCCACAGAACTGGAGACCCAGCCCCCAGGCTTCAGACTATCCCTGGCTTGAAGGTGGGCTTCACCAGGGACCTGCCACTTTCTGTCCAGGAGCCTGTCCACTTTCTACCTCCATTCATGGTGCCCAGGCTGTTTGTGCAAAGGGGCACCTGCAGGCCAATGCATGCTGCAGCTATGCCTGGAAAAGCAGGGGTCCTACCCCTCCAACTCAGAAAGAGGG
Organism: Homo sapiens; assembly: GCF_000001405.40. Lineage (NCBI taxonomy): Eukaryota > Metazoa > Chordata > Mammalia > Primates > Hominidae > Homo > Homo sapiens. The sequence continues at coordinate 118,158,447 of NC_000008.11, read as the reverse complement.
GAGACTTCCACCTGTCCCCAGCTCCCACCAGCTCCATGGAACTTGCCATCCTGGCAGCACCTCCACCATTGCAGCTGGTGTCTTTGCAGCAGCTGCTCCAGACAGGCCACTCCTGCCATCAGTACTATTTTCTGTTCTTGCTGGTGTAAGCAGGCAATCTTCATGGCTTTGTGTGAAATCTTAAGAGCTGTTTCCTCTAATCCTTTTGGATGGTTGTTTTTCTCGCATTAGGTAATGTCCTTACGTGCATATGCTGATTATTACTTAGGTGAATATGCAAGATGTACCTTCTACAGATCTCCTAGAGTCCTCTGTCTCCTAGAGTCCTCTGTCTGGGCAGCTCCCACTTCTCTTATATTCTGTCCTGCAAACTATAGCTGCTTGAAAGCTTGGCCTCCCTGGACTCTCACCCTTGTCTCCTCAACTTACAGAGACCACTGGGATCCACCTGACTTCCCTCTCCTGCTCCAAGTCCTGGAAACTGTCTTCAATCAGTAAGCTGGAGCAATGATAAGGCTCACCTAATTTGTTTCCTATCTCTCTAGGAACACTGCTCTTCATTGTCTGATGTCCACAGTCCTGAAAAACTTTGTTTCATATACTTTGTCCATGTTTTAGGAGATTTTAAGTTAGAAGGCAAACTCAGTCTCTGTTATTCTATTTTGGCTATAAGTGGAAGTCCTCCATGCCCTACAATTTTATTCCACCACTTCTCTTTCATCCTTTATTTTCTGTTTCACTGCCCTAATTGCAACATTGTAAAAACAGTAACGAAATAGCTCCTATTTATGAGATACTGCCATGTGCCAGGGCTTTATCACACTTGATAAAGAGTACGTCCAGCAACCATGACTACAAGTTAGGCTTTTTAAAATATATATTGATGAAAAATTTCAAACATTTAGAGAAGTTTAAAATAATATAAATGTTTTTCACATGGAGTACAGACAATGCTAACCTTTTGCCATTTTTGCTTCAGCAATAGCTGAAGTCTCCTTTGTCCCCACTTCACCAATTCCATTCCTGACCTTCTGTCCCTGGAGGTAACCATTATCCTGGTATTGGTGTTCCATGGATTTATATATTCATGGTGGGTTTATTATCTTCATTTTACTGATGAAGAGTCTGAGGCTTGGAGAGATTAAGTTACCCGCAGAGAGCCATTCAATTTATAACTGGTGGCACTAAGATTGGTGCCTAGGTCTCTCTGGTCCAAAGCCATGTACTTCATGGCAAGACTACATCCGTCTTCCTGAAGCCCTATGTAAATCATACCATTTTCAAGTTTTGATTGCTACCCCTGAATTAAATATAAGTTTCTCATCTTGACTTTATAGCTCTAAAAAAGCATGACTTCAATGTACTTTAGTGACTCCAACTCTATGTAAATCTCTTCAAATCCAACAAAACCCAGTATTGCTGTGTATTTACTGGCTGTGTATTATTGCCTGTGTTTTTCCTCTGTCTTGAATATCCAACCCTTCTAATTTCCATAGGGCAAACATCATACTGACCCTGCGTAATTTATCTGACAAAATACATCATTCATTCATTCACTTACTCATGTCAAATATTGATAACTGCAAAGAGCATCTGACCAATGGCTGTTTGAGTCTTTGCTCCTTTCTTCTATCTAGGAATGTCACTCTACTCAGAACCCTTTAGCAAAGCATTTTGTATATATTCCTCCAACATTTTGCCATATTGTATAGCATTTTGTATGCTTTTTCTCCCTTTTCTATATGATAACTTTGCCCTTGTATTATCATGAATGTCTAGCACAGTATATAATAGATGCCCGTTGAACACTTACTAAATTGAATTATGCACTTAAAAATGGATATCCTGGGACATATAAGAATTGGTAAATATACTAGTATTTCAGCCAGTTAAAACATACTGAGTACAAAGGTTTTGTTAGGTGAGTAATGAGTACACACATAGAGCCCTTTCAAAACATGCAGGATCTGGCCCACATGGAGCCTTGATATCTAGTGTTTCTCCACTGAAACACAAAAGAAAATCTCAACTCCATCCTTCCACCCACAGAAAATGGCATTAACATCTTAAATCAAGTTGGCTGCAAGACATTTGGATCCAAGCAAGCAATATTAGGCCAAATTTTCACACTGATACAATCTGATGTTATCTTATACCACAGATACTTTGTTCTGTGTTGGCTTGAGTTGTCATGTATTATCATTGCCATGTAAAGTGCCATGGAAATGAAAGGGGTTGCTCTCAGTGGGTCTTTTTGCAGTTACTGAGCTACAGAGCACCTCTGCTTAAGCTGGAATAATAGATACAGCAGATTCCCCAGCTAATTCCATGTGAGTTTGGTGCCATTTTATAGTTTCCCTTGCCTTCAACTAAAACAGGATAGTGACTTTGAGATTATTCATTGCAAAAGACTGAAAATAAATCATGCAATAATGCTATATATTATGAAAAAAGGTATGATTTATGATACAGAAAGAATTTAATGCTGGATAGAAATGCTTGGATTTACTTCTATGCCTGTGACACTTAATTTCACTGAGCTAGGTGGATTAAGTAAAGAATGAGAAAGCAAAAAAATATAAAACCAGAATAAAAAATTCCAGGCTGCTTCACCTTATTCAACTCCGTGTGCATGGATACTGCTAATTTGGACACATACCATTTCCTTTTAATTATTCATCCTCCTAGAAGCTGGACAGACTAGACATGTGCTAAGGTGTGTTGTGAAAAAGTAATGAAATCTTTGCCATAGGCACCCTCCTCACCTCGCATTCCATTCACTTGATTTAGCAATACAGTAATACACTGAGGCTCTTGTCCAAGGAGCACCCTAGCGTTCTCCTTCCTTGGAGCACATCAATTTCCAATACAGTCCAGGTTACATCAGTGGGCATCTTTCTGGTGCCCATGCAATTTATATCAGTGAGCACTGATTGGGCACCAGATGGGATGCCAGAGACAGTGCTGAGTTTTACACTGGATACAATATGATCTCCTGCCTTGAGCCTCTCATAACTGAATAAAACTATACAGAACTTTTAAGATACTGTATTATAAACTATTGTTAGATGTGGCCCACCCCCCCAAAAACACTGTTCATCGAGCACGTTCTTCAATGATGTATCTGGTCTGTGTGTTCTGAGCATTCGATTGTCATTTTAATTTAGGGTTGAGTCCGTTCTAACTTTGGCAAAATGCAACAGCATTTCCTACCCAGGACTTAATAGAAATAAGAAAAAAGATTAAACAGCTTGATTGAACCCACACTTTATAATACATTAGATATAATATACTAAATAGATACAAATAAATACATATATGCATATTCATTACACACACATATATATATATTCAGAATTAAAGTTTAATAATGAAGCCATAACCAATATGCAGATGTAACTAAAATTTAATTATAGTGTGAGCAGTCTTGCTAACAGTGTCACCCAAGGGAATGTCACCATCATGGTGGGATCTAATTCTTCTAGTTTATCTCCTGGTTTTATGCCTGTTTGCTCCATCCATTTGCTGCCCCAAACTGGTCCCTTGCTAGGCTGTTTGCTTACTTTTTTATACCAAGGCTGGCATACTGTTACAAAGGATTGTCATTTTCTTTTTCTGTCACTGCTCTCAAGGTTCAGGTTTTAAGTGTTTATTGGATATTTTACTTTAACTCATGCTATTATTATTCCTAATTTTCTATTGCACAAATGTTTGCAGTGCTGGGCCATAGGATGCACAATGTCTATTCTGCAGAACTGCCTCTTACGGCTATATAGATTCTTGGTGTATACTAAAATTTAATGGTATGAGCTCTATAGAACACCCTGGACCTCAGGAAGAGAAAGAACAACTTCCAGGCTAAGTGCTTCCTGAAAACTTTTCTGCTTTGTGCAGAAAGTTATTTATGCTCTTCTTTCTTCCTGGGGCTTCTCTGAGTAATCGATACATGCACATTTTTGTGAGATCTGCGTTATGATAACAGTATGAACAGCATGTCATGGGAACACAAAGGAAAGAATGATTAATTCTGAAAGAAGAGTGATGTTTGATTAGAAATTTTGGTCTGACAGAGGCTGTCTGGAAGGGCATCCCATGCATAGCGAATATCAGCTACAAATACAAGAATCTATTGAAGTGGGTGGCATGTTTAAAGAATAGGTAGCCCAGTGTGATGAGAGGACAGATGGGGTGAAACGAAATGACGCTGAAAAGGGAGCCAGATTTTGGAGGCCCTTGAGTGCCTTGATAAAGATTTTGGCATTATTCTTTATTGTATGTGTGTGTATGTGTGTGTGTGTGTGTGCACTTGTGTGTGTGTATTCTTTGACTTTTGCTTAAGCAGGCATTGACATGATCTAGTTTGCTCTTTCCAAAGGTAATTGGCTGCAGTGTAGTGGATGGACTGGGGAGGTGAAGGACAGTGACAGCAGATCAGTTAGGGTCACTGCAGCAATCCAAATAAAAGACAAAGAGGATCTAAATGGGGAAGGTAGTGGAGACACTGGGAGAGAAATTCATTTCAGATGTAGAGTAAAGAGATCTAAAACAAATTGGATGACGGGATGAAGAAAAAGAGGAATTAAGGGTGAAGCTCAGGCTTCTAAGTAGAATGACTGGATAGATTCTTACTTCTTGTAAGAAACAAGAAGGTAGATAGGTTTTTGCTTTTGAAGGATATGGAGGAAGGGGAAAGGTAAAGATATCACTCTGACCTAGAGTAATCCTCAACCCATGGTGTAGCCTCTGGTCATCTCCCATCTAAAGCAGTATCAAAGGGCAAGTTCAGTTCTAAGGCCAATGAGGGGAATCAAGCTTAAGACAGCCAACGCAAAGAAGAATGTGCCTGGAGCATGGACCAGTCTCGTAACTGGCACCTTAATACCAAGCCACTTGAGTCTGGGCTACCTGTGTAAGTTGGCTTTTTCTCTCTTTGCAGAAGGAAATAGATTATACGTTTGGCCCCATTTTTTTTACCCCTCTCTGTCCACATGCTTTGAGTATATTTTGCAGTTCCTTTCACAAAAAACAGAGTGTACTTTCCTTTCCCTTGACTTTGAGCTTGACCAATGAGATGCTAGTAGGTTTGACATGAGCAAAGGGCTCAAATGTGCTTGTGCAGTGGGGCTTGCCCTTTGGCTCTTCACTCATCCCTATTAGGACTACTTTCCTTGAGATAGCTGTTTCCTCTTTCCCCAGGTTCTGCAACAAACACTCAAGATGCAGAGCCAATTCAGCAGCTACCATCTGAACCCAAGCCACCCAACCCTACATGAGGAAAAATAAATAATTATTTTATGGCACTGAGTTGTGGGATGTTTTGTTATGCAGTGAAAACTAACTGACACAGACACCAAGTGAAAAATATGCTTATGAGCAGTGATTCTCTGGCTTCCCTTGCCAGCTCTCTTTAGCCAGCCAAGGGGTTAGGAATGTCTGGCATAGCCCACTGCTTATCAAATGTACATGAATTAAATGGATCTATTCACAGTAATCATGTAACACTTCATGGACTTTCAGTCACCATTTTAAAAAATTCACTTCTGATTATGAATGGTGCTGTACTTGTGTCGCATAAAGCACTGGGAACAAATCCCACTACCAGTGGTGCACTTTTCCAAACCTTAATTTCTCCTGAATCAAAAAATTCTTGGCCAGGCACAGTGGCTCACGCTTGTAATCCCAGCACTGTGGGAGGCCGAGGGGGGTGAACTGCTTGAGCCCAGGAGTTCAAGACCAGCCTGAGCGACATGGTGAAATCCTGTCTCTACAAAAAATGCAAAAATTAGCCAGGTTTGGTGGTGCACGCCTGTAGTCCCAGCTACTCAGGAGGCTGAGGCAGGAGGATTGTTTGAGACTGGTGAACAAAGGTTGCAGTGAGCCAATCTTGTACCATTGCACTCTAACCTGGGCACAAGAACAACTCTGTCAAAAAAGAAGGAAGGAAGAAGGAAGGAAGGAAGGAAGGAAGGAAGGAAGGAAGGAAGGAAGGTAGGGAGGGAGGGAGGAAGGAAGGAAGGAAAAGGAAAGGAAAGGAAGGAAAGGAAAGAAAGGAAGAAAGAAAGGGAAAAAGAAAAACCAAACAAAATTCTGGCTATTTTGAATCTCAGTTTGTTATTCCAATCCTAAATCTTAAATGTTTTACTTTTTGGTGGGGGTGGTGGCAGCTAGTTCTGTGTTCTGGGGATGTAGAATCTAGTCAGATCCCAACTTTAAACTCTTGAAGACAAGTATTAAGTAGAACTTTGGCCTTTCTTTCTCTGAGTAAACAACCCAAACTCATTTAACCTTTCTTCAGAGGTTCTATTTGCCAATTATTTGGCCATCTTTCTGCTCTTTTCTGAACCCTTTTCTACTTTGTTATATGTCTTCTAAGTTGTAAAGACCAAAATTGGACATGCTCTTTATATCTGAGTTGGTGCTAAATCTAATCTTTTCACTCTTGGGTCTTTAGGAAGATGGTAGGTCAGATGCCTTAAGGTTGGGGTGGCTTCCATTTCATTATTGCAAAGAGTCTGCACTCCACTTGGATATCCCAGCACTCCCCCAGAGCTCCCCATGTTATATCTTTTGCATTGATTTTTGGTACTTCAAAATCTTTTTTTTTTTTTCTTTTTTTTTGAGACAGAGTCTCTGTCTGTCACCCAGGCTAGAGTGCAGTGGCGTGATCTCAGCTCACTGCAAGCTCTGCTTCCCGGGTTCATGCCATTCTCCTGCCTCAGCCTCCTGAGTAGCTGGGACTACAGGCACCTGTCACCACACCTGGCTAATTTTTTTTGTATTTTTAGTAGAGATGAGGTTTCACCATGTTAGTCAGGGTGGTCTCGATCTCCTGACCTTGTGATCCACCCGCCTCAGCCTCCCAAAGTGTTAGGATTACAGGCGTGAGCCACCACGCCCGGCCTGGTACTTCAAAATCTTAATCTGTCTTTGGTTCCTGCTATGATCACTCCAGGTTTTTTATGATTGCTGTTTATTTTTAAAATTTCTTCTTATTTAAAAATGAATAGAGCATTACTGAGAGGTGGGACAACATCACAAGTTAAATATAAATGTAACTGGAGGCCCAAACAGAAGGGGCTGAAAAACATTTGAAAAGGTAATGGCTAAATATTTTCCAAACTTGATAAAAAGTATAAACTTACACACCCAAGAAGCTCAATAAAACTCACGTACAAGAAACATAAAAAAGAAATACCAATGGTACATTTTAACCAATGTTATTAAAACTAGTAATAAAGACAACGATTTTTAAAGCAGCTAGAGAAAAAAAAGACTCATACAAAAGAGCAAAGATAAGGGTGATAACAGATTTCTCATTAGAAATAATGTGAGCTAGAAAACAGTGGAGAAACGTTTTAAGATACTGTAAGAAAAAATCCGTCAAACTAGAATTAAAAAAAAAATTTTTTTAGAGATGGGTCTCACTATGTTGCACAGGCTGGACTTGACTCCTGGGCTCAAGTGATCCCCCCACCTCCTCTCAAGAGGCTAGGACTACAGGTGTGTGCCATTATCCCTGGCTTTCCAAGAATTTGAAAAATACTCCAAAAAAATACCTTTCAAAATGAAGGCAAAATAAAAATTTTTTCAGATGTATATAGAGCTAAAAGAATTCATCAGCAACAGACTTTCACTTAAAACACAAGGAAAACAATACCATGTGGAAATTTGGATCTACACAAAGAAAAGAAGAACCTTGGAATTGGTAAATATAAATACTCTTCTTCCTAGTTTAATTTCTTTAAGAGATGATCAATTATTTAAAGCAACAATAATAATGTCCAGGAGTGGTGATTCATGCCTATAATTTCAGCACTTTGGGAGGCCAAGGCAGGAGGATCACTTGAGGCAGGGAGTCTGAGACCAGCCTGGGCAACATAGCAAGAGCCCATCTCTACAAAAAATTTAAAAATAAAAATAGCTGGGTGCCTTCTAGCTACTCGGGAGGCCGAGGTGAGAGGATCATTTAAGCCCAGGAGTTCAAGGCTGCAGTGAGATGTGACTGTACCACTACACTCCAGCCTGGGGGACAAATCAAGACCCTGTCTCTAAAAAAAAGAGAAAAAACAATAATAACGATGTACTGTAATATTTATAACATGTAGAAGAAAAATTGCAACAATAGTATAAGGGCAGGGAGAATAAGTATACTGAAGTAAGATTCTTATACTACAGGTGAAATAATATAATATACTTGAAGGTATGTGATGAGTTAAAGATGTATATCATAAATTCAAAAGCAGAGTTTCTCAATAGAGGCATTATTGACATTTGGAACTAGATAACTCTTTGTTGTGGGGACTGTCCTGTATACAGAAGGACGTTTAGTAGCATCCTTGGCCTCTACTCACCATATCGCAGTAGCACCTCTTCTGTTATAACAATAAAAAATGTCTTCAGACTTTATTAAATATCCCCTGGTGATGGGAAGGGAGGGGGGCAAAATCACTTTCAGTGGAGAATCACTGGGATTAAAGAATTCAAGACAATGTGGTATTGGTTGCAAGATGAACAAATAGATCAGTATTACAGAATAGAGTCCAAAAATAGACCCGTATGTATATGGTCAATTAATTTTCAACAAAGGATCAAAGGTGATTCAGTTGATAATGATGGTCTTTTTAACAAACAATGCTGGAAAAATTTGCTATCCACATGCAAAAAAATTAAAAAAATAAAAACTTCATATCTCACATTATGGTAAAGTAAATAAAAACGGATCATGGGCATAAATGCAGAACTTAAAACTATAAAAACTCTAGAAGAAAACATAGAAGAAAATTTTTGGAACCATGGATTAGGCAGAGATGTCTTAGACAATGCACCAAATAACACAACCCATAGAAGAAAGAAGTTATATTTTTCATCAAAATTAAAAATTTCTGTTCTTTGAAAGACTCTGTTAAAAGAAAGAAACTGAGAGAAAGGACTGGAACCCAGAAGACATAAAGAATACTCAAAATTCATTTGTAAGAAAATAAACAACCCAATAAAAATGGGCAAAAGATTTGAATATATACAGATGGAAAATAAGCTTATTTAAAAATGTTGAACATTATCAGTCTTTAGGCAAATACACAAAACCACAATGAGCCATCACTTCACATCTACCAGAATGGCTAAAATAAAAACATATATAATTTTAACTGTTGGTGAGAATGTGGAAAAACTGGAATCCTCATGAACTGCTAATGGGCTCATGCCTGTAATCCCAGCATTTTGGGAGGCTTATGTGGGAGGATTGATTGAGCCTGGGAGCTCAAGTTTGCAGTGAGCTGTGATGGTGCAGTGGCACGTTCCTGCACCCCTCAGCCTGGGCTACAGAATAAGACTTTGTCTCAAAAAAACAAAAAAGTTAAGCATACATTTACCATATGACCCAGCAATTATCCACTTAGGCATATACTCAAGAAAAATAAAACTGTATGTATGTCCACACAAAGATTTGCATGCAATGTTTATAGCAGTCTTATTCATAATTACCAAAAAGTAGAAACAACCCAAATGTCCATCAACTGGTGAATGGATAAGCAAAATGCCGTATAACCGTACAATAGAACTACTATTCAGCAGTTAAAAATAACAAACCATTGAACATGCTGTAACATGGGTAAAGCTCAAAAACATTATGCTAAGTGAAACAAGAAAGATGTAAATAACCACATATGACATGATTGCGCTGTATGGAATGTCCAGAAAGGCAAATCTGTTAGAAAGAAAGTATATTAGGATTGTCTGTGACTGGAAATAGAAATGAGGATTAACTGCACAAAGGTATGAAAGATTTTTTAAGGGGGAGAAGATGATGGAAATATTCTAGAACTGGATTGTGGTAATGGTTGTGTTCTGTAAATTTTCCAAAAATCATTAAATTATACACTTCAATTGGGTAAATTTTATGGTATATATATTATAACTCAATGAAGCAGTTTTTTTAAAAGATCATAATGTTTGTACGATTTTACTTTCCACTTTTTTCACTAAAAATCATAACATATATATTTGTTAATGTCAATGACAACTTGAAAACATTTTTTTCTAATAACTACTTAATATTTCTGAATATATACATACCCAAAATTAATAGTTTCCCTCTAGATCATTTGTAATTTTAAAAAATAATGTTGAGGCTGAGGCAGGAGGATCTCTTGAACCCATGAGTTTGAGACCAGCCTGAGCAGCATAGCAAGACTCCATCTCAACCAGGCACAGTGGCTTATGCCTGTAATCCCAGCATGAGGTGGCTCATGCCTGTAATCCCAGGCCTAGGGGAGTGGATCACTTGAGGTCAGGAGTTCAAGACTAGCCTGGCCAACATGGTGACACCCCGTCTCTACCAAAAAAATACAAAAATTAGCCGGGCATGGTGGTGCATGCCTGTAATCCCAGCTATTCCGGAGGCTGAGGCAGGAGAATCACTTGAACCTGGGTGGCAGAGGCTGCAGTGAGACGAAATCACACCACTGCACTCCAGCTTGGGTGGAATCCATCTCAAAAAAAAAAAGGCTCTATCTCTACCAACACACACACACACAGAAAAAAAAAATTCAGCAAGGAGTAATCCTAGCTACTTAGGAGGCTAAGTCGGAAGGATCTCTTGAGTCTAGGAGTTTGAGGTTACAGTGAGCTTATTGCACCACTCCACTCCAGCCTGGGCAACAGAGCAAGACACTGTCTCTAAAATAAAATTGAAATTAAAACAATGCTTTGTTTAACCTTTCTTTGCATATTAACTATGTGACCTTAGACATGTTCTTTAACCTTTTTTAGCTTTAATTTTTTCATAGGGGCCGGGCACGGTGGCTCATGCCTGTAATCCCAGCACACTGGGAGGCCGAGGCAGGCAGATCATGAAGTCAGGAGTTTGAGACCAGCCTGACCAACATGGTGAAGCCCCATCTCTACTAAAGAGACAAAAAATTAGCTGGGCAAGATGGCACACACCTGTAATCCCAGCTACTCGGGAGGCTGAGACAGGAGAGTCACTTGAACCGGGGAGGCGCAGGTTGCAGTGAGCCAAGATTGCGCCATTGCACTCCAGCCTGGGCAACAAGAGTGAAACTTCATTTCAAAAAAAAAAAAAATTATCCTAGGAAAAATGAGAACAATTAATAGTTCCTGCTGGCTGGGTGTGGTGGCTCACGTCTGTAATATCAACATTTTGGGAGGCTGAGCTGGGTGGATCACATGAAGTCAGGAGTTCAAGACCAGCCTGGCCAACATGGTGAAACCCCATCTCTGCTAAAAATACAAAAATTAGCCAGGTATGGTGGTGTGTGCCTGTAATCCCAGCTACTCAGGAGGCTGAGGCATGAGAATCACTTGAACCCAGGAGGCAGAGTTTTCAGTGAGCCACGATCATGCCACTGCACTCCAGCCTGGGCAACAGAATGAGACTCTGTCTCAAAAAAAAAAAGTTCCTGCCTCTTAGGTACAACATGGCTGTTCTAAGCATTATATAAAATCAAGTGTGAACCATTTAGCATGGAAATGGCAATCACCAATTAGAGTTTAGCCATCATTACTGTCCTCAATAATCATTATAAATCTTCAAATTTATGATTATTTTCTCAGAATAGGAACATATAAGTGAAATCCCAGGGCTCATTTTAAAAATCCTTCCCTCTAAGTTAGAAGTAGCAAAAAACATTCTTGGCTCTTTTCCAGGCCCTATTGTGATACTCAAAACCCAGTGTGGCTCGTCAGTTTTTTGTTCTGTTGCCTTGGTCTGATGCTTCTGAGAGCTCCTTGGCTCTATGCTTCCCATTCTCTCCAACCAAACCTATGAGTCTTGTGATTTCTCTCCTACCGGGAGATGGACTGTGTAACCTTGAATAAAAATAGTGGACAAACGAGCAATGGGTGATAATGAATGTTATTCTTCCTCATAGGCAACATAGCTGTGTTTTCCTATGGATCACTAGTATCTAAACACAGAGAATTGGAATATGGGGTCTTCAGGATGCTCTACAAAGTCTAATGGGGAAAAATTGTTGGTATTTGTGTGTTCAAATCTACAGGCCATATTGTATGTGGTTATGCTGCCTGAATTTCTTAATGGGGTGGACAAGGCCCTCCGTTCTTTACCCCCATGTACTTCTCCAGCTTTGTCTCTTGCTATCACCTCCCTGCAATGTGATACTAAAATCATACAGCAGGTCTTGCTATGTTCTCAAATGTGCCATGCTTTCTCTCCCACAATGCTTTGTACATCATGTTCTCCTGCCTTGAACACTCTCTGCCTACCCCTGCCTCCTTCATTTGGCTAACTCCTACTTATAATCCAGGCATCCTCTTAAACCCTACATCTTCCTGGAAGTTTTCCTGTACCGAAGTCGGAGTTTGGTGCTCCATGGTTAAGCTCCCATGGCACCTTGTCATTACCCTTACTGGACCTAAATTGCCTGTTTATTGGCCTTCATCCTGATCACACTATGTGGCAGCCATGGGGTTGCATCGCTTTGATCTCCCTTCAAGAAAGAACTGGCTATTTAGCTGCAAGGAGTGCAGTTAGCTGACAGCCTCCAGCTGTTAATGCCTTCAAGCTCTGCCTCAGCTTTCAAGCTGAGGCCACGATCTTTTTGGGCAGCCCCAGACAATGACCGAGTATAACAGTGGCACCAGGGCCAACTCAGGACTCCTTTAGCAGGAAATCTTTGGGTCAGCTAAGACTTCATCAGATCTGCATTGTAGTCTGAGGCTCTCTCTTCCTCATCCTGCCTCCTCCCTCTTTCCTTTGACAGATGTCATATCTGCTTTTTGGCATAAAGGATTCCCTTGTCCAATCCCGCTTCCTCACCCTTTCACGTTCACGGCTTACTCTCCAATAAGCCTCCTGAAATCCTTACTTTGTCACCTACATCTGCTTTCTGGAGAATCTGGATAACATAGACAATGAGCCCTTTAAAAGTAGGGACTACATTCTTATTCAAATTTTACCTCCAGCTCCCAGAACAACACACAGTAGGATCTCAATAAACACCTATGAAAGGATTGAATGAATGAATGAACACTCAAGATAGTGTTCAACATTGAATGATGTTTTGATCTTATATAATTCACAGGTGCTGGTCAACATTCAAGAACATTCTGATTTGAAGACTCAGATTTATTTATAAAATGCACTTCAAGAATGACATAATTGAGCATTTTTCAAGTGAGTATTTTCCAATGGTTGGATTTATGCCAAATATATAATTTACCCCTTAGGATAATCCCATGGGCTAATGTAGTTTAGCATGAGTCATAATAGATATTTGTACTTGAAATTACACAGCAGCTATAAAACTGTTATTTACTATCAAAATAGCAAATTTTAAATATTACTGCTTATGCCTGGAAATCTCATCTAAATGTTGTTTTATAGAATAAAATCCAAAAGCATTAAAAGCCTTTCAAAATCTAGACTCTATTTATTTGGCACTTGCCACATTATTGTGTGTGTGAAATATCTAGCTAGCTAACTTCCCCACTAGATTGCAAACTCCTTGAGGCAAGCAAACCATGCACTTCTCTGAATCTTATTGCTCTCTCTTTAACCTAACCCTGGCATCTAACTAGGGCTGTGTTGCATTGGAGACTATATGGATTTTTAGTACCTCAGTTGAAATAAAAGCTTTATCACTTGCTAATTGTGGCCTTCAGCTTTCTAAAACGCATCCTCGTTTTTCTCACCTTTAACCCAATCTCAGAATTTCTAGTGAGAGTTAGAGATATTTTCTTCCCTTCTTTTCCCTTATCTTCTTTTCCCTCTCTCTCTCCCTTTTCCCACCTTCCTTGCTTTTGTTCTTTCTTCCCTCTTTCTTTCCCCTCCCCTTTTTCCTCCCTTCCTTGCACCAATTTTTAAATTAATTTTATTAATAAAAATGTTATTAATTCAATAAAATTAAAACTCATTTTCATCAATAAATTAATATGTAATAAGAAATTAATAAATTTTTATTTACCTACCAAATATCATTAAATGTCTACTATGTCCCAGGCACTGTGCTAGGTGCTTTGGGAGCAGCAGTGAGTGAAACAGACAAGGCTTATGGCCCCCATGAACTCTCTCAGTGGGGATGAGGGTTGTCAAAAATAATTACCCAAATAATGAATATGTGCAATAATAGAAGTGGGAGAGTGGCTAAAAAATAATGCCCCCAAAGAATATTCATGTCAAACATTGGAGCTTGTGATGTGATTTTATTTGGGAAAAGTCTTCGAAGATGTAATTAAAGATCTTGAGATGAAGAGACAATTGTGGCTTATCTGGGCAGGGCCTAAATGCTGTCCAGAGATCCTCGCCCGAATCCTTATAAGACACACAGAGGAGAAAACACACGGAAGGGGAGGAGGCAACATGACCACGGAGGCAGAAACTGGAGAGATGCAGCCACACCAAGGAATGCCTGGAGCTACCAGAAGCTGGAAGAGGGGAGGAAGGATTCTCTCCCAGAACTTTAGGAGGGAACACAGCCCCGCCAACACCTTTACTTTGGATTTCTGGTCTTCAGAACTGCAATAAAATATATTTCTGTTGTTTTGAGCTAGCAAGTTTGTGATAATTTGTTATAGCAGCCACAAGAAACTAACACAAGGGAGTAAATAAACAAGGATCTGGGGGTCTGGGAAATGACTGTGCGTAGACCTCAGTCCTCTCCGTGTTTTCGTGCTTTCCATATTCTATGGCATGTTAGGATATTGTCTCATTTTCTGGACTCTACATTTTTTCTTCTCTGATTGATATACTCTCACTTTGCCCGTGCCTAGAAAGTTGGAGATTAATTCCCACAGGTTTAATTTTAACCCCTCTTGCTGTGGATTCTCTGCAGTCTATGCTTCACATTCTTGGAAGAACACCACTGAGCTCTATCAGTCTGGGTATTTATAATGACAGATAGAGAACGGCTTCAAAGGCATGCTTGCAACTCCCTAACATGCTTTTACACTTTACTGTGATGTGGCGCAAAGTACACAGGTAGATGCCATGAGTTCTGCATTTCAGTTCAGCTTTTGACACTAATTGAGTGCATGATCTTTGACAAGTCACTTAGGGTATTTATGCCTCAATTTCTTCATGTGAAATTAGGGTTTATCTGGCTTCAAAAATAACCATAATTCCTTAGTGAATTTTTTTTACATTTGTGCAAAAACATTTATGTAAATTGACTTGGGGTCCTATATAACTAATTCTATAAGTAATTCTGCAGTACACATTATCTAAAAGGAGGAGAATCTATACTCTTAGATATACTGTGCCCCTCTTGGTTTTGCACAAATGATTCTCCATAAATCAGATGTACAGGTAATCAAAAGTCTTGACTGTGTCCCCAGAAATCACAACTCAGAAGTCAACCTTTAGGAATCCCTTTAAAAAAAAAGTTGTGTTTTATGATGGAATTTCCCTTGGTGAGCTTAAACAAGTAGTATAAGCTAAGTTACTCAACCAGAAGAGGTTTACCATCATACTTCCTTGATGTGTTTCGTAATAAACAGGCCCTGGCCGGTGCCTGTGGTTTATTCACTATTATTATTATTCATTATTCTAACACATCTCTGGGTCTGTGCTCTAGGCAAACCAAGTCTAAACACATCCCTTCCCTCACTCTTCTTCCTCACCGCCATTAGCTCTATGACACAGGATAGTATTAGTCACTTATATAAACTAGTAGATATTCATCTATTAGCCCACTCCTTTGCTTGGCACTGCAGAGATCAGAAATGTGTGACACATGAATGGCTTTTGACATCAAAGAACTTATCTGAGCAAAGATAGCCAAGGATTCATGTCAGCAGCATATTGTGAGGGCCAATGTAGGAGTACTTGAATTTGTTATAGAAGCAGATAGCAGGAAGCAAATACTCTGGTCTGCTAGACTGGAAGTTAGCCCGTTGATCTGAGGTTTCCAGTTCACCACCGTGTTCCCAATGCCGAAGACAGTTTCTGCAGTAAAGCAAGCATTCGATAGATATGAATTGAATGGTTAAATGTTTGGTCTGAACTTGGTAGGGATGGACAGGAGAAGGTTCCCAGAAGAAGAGAAACCTGAGTTAGGGTTTGAAGAATTGAGAGACATTAGGTGATAGAAGGCAAGAGGGAACTTCTAGAGATGCTATAAGCCAAGTTGCAGAAATAGACTTTTCGTAGAGGTAAAGGGGGAATGTGGGTGCTAGATTAATGCTGAGATTGATTCTTAAAAGGTTAATGTCATTTCGGTTTATGGCTTACACATTGTTGAATAGTGAGAGTCTGCTTCTAACATTTGTTAATTTTGGCACTGGAAACAAGAGGTTCAAGGACCTGGGAGAGATGCACAGCCTCCCTCTGAGGCCTTGGAACAACTTTTCTAATCAGGTGCCAAAGTCTCTACGTGGCTCTAAAACCTCCAGCTATGTAGTGAGAATCTCTAGTTGGGGCCACAAAATTTGCGTGGTTATTAGCTACTGAGCCTAGAAGGTATCATTTCATGTTACTATGAACTGGGTCTACAATCCTAGAACATATGCCTTTGATAACTGTCCCAGGGAGAGGCCATCTTCCAAAATTTTCTAGAAACTATCACAGGGGATGGCCAGGACTAAGGTGGGACCCTAGCCCTTCCTAGCCCTCTGTTATTCTTCTCTCTGCATTTGGTTCTGAAGATTTAAATGTCCAAATCTGGTCTTGCTTCTTTGCTTACTTCCTGGCAATTGCCATGGAGTCAGGTGGCACAGCAAAAGGTAAATTAAATAGAAAGATGCTCTGTTTAAGATCTATGTGGCTTCTATTACTCACTGAGTCAGAACTAACAATTTTACTCTTTACATCAAAACTATTCACCAGAGTTATTTGGCCTACCCCATTTCTCCCTCCTTAACCTACACCTCAATTTCTATACTGGTATGTTTTCATCATGGAAAGTCAAATATCAGACTGTTAGCAGGAAGCTTGGTGTATGGGGCATTGGCTCAAGACAGCAGACCTTGGCTTCAGATTTGATTCTGTTATTTATCAGCAATGTGGATCTCCCCTGACCAAGCTTCATTTTCCACCAGGGTAAAATGAGAGCAATCATACCTCACATATCATCCTCACAAACTTATTGATAAACTTCTAATGAGACCATGCATTTCTAACAGGCTTTGTAAATGTGAAGCACATAAACATGTAAGGAACAATTATTCTTATTTTTTGCATCTTCTCTACACATATGGCAGTCTCAAATTAGTTAGTACTTCTGTTACATTGAACAAAGGGCTACTGAACTCTGAAGACTTTCGTAAAAGCTGAGCCAGAAAAGTGTTGACAATGTCCTTTGAATTTCATATCTCTTAGAATTTGCTTCTGTAGCTGCTTATCTTTTTGCCAGTTCCTAAATATTCTTGCTCTTGTGACTAACACTCTGGAGTACTCAATAAATGTCAGTTGAATTAATATATGAATAATGCAGTGTTTATTAGTTAAGATAGTCTAAGCTATGCTGCAATGACAGATAAACCCTGAAATCTCAGTGACTCAGCCCAACAAAACTTTATCTCTTATTCATGTAAAACCTGATGCAGGCCATGGGACAGGGGTAGGCTCCTAATGACTCAGAGGGCCAGGGTTCTTCTGTATTATGAATCAAGGCAATGGTTTCCCAAGTTGCTTCAGGGAAGGAAAAGAAAGATGGAGAAAGCTCTAGGCTTTTAATTATCATGGCCTACAAGTGTCATTTCCACTCACTAATTGGCCAGAATTAATTGTACAGCCCAACCAAACTGCAAAAGAGGCTAGAAAATGTAGAAGAGCAAATGAAATAGTTGTGGAGTGCCAGTTTCTCTGAAACACGATGCCCTCCACCTCAATAAGAGTCATTGTCTCTTACCCCCAATACAGATTGCAGGGAAATATAACAATACATAAGACAGACAAAGGCCAGGTGCAGTGGCTCACACCTATAATCTCAGCACTTTGGGAGACTGAGGTAGGAGGATTGCTGGTGTCCAGGAGTTTGAGGCCAGCCTGAGCAACATAGCAAGATCCTATCTCTACAAAAAAATAAAAAATTAGCTAGGCATGGTGGCATATGCCTGTAGTCCCGGTTGCTCAGGAGACTGAGGTGGGAGGATTGCCTGAGCCCAGGAGGTGGAGGCTGCAGTGAGCTGTGATCATGCCACTCTACTCCAGTCTGGGCAACAGAGTGAGACACTGTCTCAAAAAAAAAAATAAAAGACAAATTCCCTGGTTTTCTGGAGGTTATATTGAGGTGAAAGAATGAGAACATTTTGGCTTCATTTTAGTTTCATAATATCATGTACTGTTTATCCTTCCATTTCAATTATTGTTTATCCTTCTTCTTCAATTGTGCCATTTTTGAAGGTGTCAAAGTTTTTTGAAAGAATAAGGGAGGGACCATTCTAACAGCTCTGTGCTTCACCCTAGGGAAATGAGACTTGTGTCTCTTGCTTCAGCTCCTGTCTGCTGGTTCAAAACTCCCTGTGATTTCAGCTGGGAAGATGGCAGAGGAAAGGAAGTCCAGCGCCTTCCAGCTGGACTTGTTTGGATTGGCACAGTTTTTGTAAGCAGCCATGACTCCAGAGCTGCTGGAAAATGTGCTTATCACCCTAGAGGATTGAGTGGGAAGGAGAAGATCCTAACTGACAGAGTTTGAATGAGAGCCAACGGAAAATGGGCCTCAGTCTTTTGGTAGGTGGGTGGGAAGAAGATACGGGGTCCAGCCACAGGGTGTGAGCAAGCTGTGACATTATCTTTATTATTGTAGCCAGATAGAATGAAATCCTAAAACAGATAGAATCTTAGCCAGATAGAATGGAATCCTAGAATGGAATCCTGGCGCAGTGGCTCACACATGTAATCCCAACTACTTGGGAGGCTGAGTCAGGAAGATCACTTGAGGCCAGGAGTTCAAGAGCAGCCTGGGCAGGACAGAAAGACTCCCATCTCTAAAAATATATAGATATAGTCAGGCACTGTGGCACATATCTGTAGTCCCAGCTTCTCAGGAGGCTGAGGCAGGAAGAGGGCTTCAAGCTAGGAGTTTGAGTCTGCAGAGAGCTATGATCGTGCCACTGCCCTCTAGGCTGGGTGACAGAGTAAGACTGTTTATAGAAAGTAAACTAAAACTAAACAAATAAAGAATAGAAACTTATTGTTAATTTTCATTGAGTGAATGAGAAATATATCCAGTTATGTTTCCTTCTTTGCCATTTCCCTTTATCATTGGGTTTCTCTCCAGTGTAAAGGGAAGATTTCTATTTTTTTTTTTTTTAATGTCTGCCAAAACCCTGACACCAATCTCTGGTCTGACTTCACTGAACATTACTTGCTCCTCCTATGCAGACTAGCATTTCTTGATTCTCTGCACTTAATACTTATACCACATGTTGTTAATATCCATTTCCACCACCTCTGCCTCCACTTGGTCTTGTATCACATGGGCCAGAAAGCCAAAAATTATATTCTCAGTCTCCTTGGCTGTTAAGTTCGATACAATTTAGAGTCCAGCAATGAGTTGTACGCTAATGAGATTGGAAAGTGGAAGGGAAGAGGGCCACTCTCCTTAGTGTCGGTATTGGCTGATGCACATGCTCATCAAATTGGAGCTTGTGCAGTCACCAGAAAGCTGGTGTGAAAACCGATTTGAGGCTGTGGGGCAGCTATGATGGTGAATGTGGTCTCCTGCAGCCTCCTGAACTGGGTGCCAGCTGCAAGAGAAGCCTTGAAGCTTGTTAGTGGCCCTGTGTCTTCAGTTCCTGCCATCTCGCCTATATTTTGTAACCACTTATTTTTCTATTTTAAACCCTATTCTGATTGAAATACCATCTTAGTCCATTCAGGCTTCTATACAAAATACCATAGATTAGTTGGCTTACAAACAAGAGAAATTTATTTCTCATACATCCGGATGCTGGGAAGTCCAAGAGCAAGGCTCCAACATATTCAGTGTCTGATGGGGACCCATTTCCTTGTTCATAGGCAGCACCTCCCAGGAGTGTCCTCACATGGTGGGAGTGGTGAGGGGTCTCACCCGAGCCTCCTTTATAAGGGCACTAATCCCAAATATCAGGGCTCTGTCCCCTTGAACAAATCTCCTCCCAATGGCCTCACCTACTAACTCTGTCACCTTGAGGGTAAAGATTTAAACATATGAATTTGGGGCACATATAAACATTCAGACCATAGCTAGAGTGGTTTCTATTTCCTGCAGGTATTTTCTGACTTATGCAGTGCTTCTATACATTATCTTACTGGGATATTCAGCCCGCTTCGAGTCACTCACTCAGTAAGCGTTGGAATCAGGATACACATTCTAAGACCCATGTTCTTATCACTGTTCCATGCTGCCTCCTCCTTATCCTTTAAGACCCAAATCAGATTTTACTTTCAGTCTCACCCTCTGCCTTATTCCTCCATTCCCAGCACATGTCTGTCCCACACCTCTTCTTATTGGCTCATTCTGCCTAACATTGATATTTCATTTTCCTCTCTAATTTTAGTCCCATGAAAAGAAAAAAAAGTTAAGGAAAAACAAGTTAGCTCATAAGTAAAAAAAAAAAATGCTTTCTCATGTGTATTTTTAATATTTGTCTGATGGCACCATGCTGGCAAGCTTGTCCAACCCACAGCCGTATGTGGCCCTGGATGGCTTTGAATGTGGCCCAACAAAAATTTGTAAACTTTCTTAAAAAATTATGAGATGTTTTTGTGATGATTTTTTTTCTTTTCAGCTCATCAGCTGTCATTAGTGTTAGCGTATTTTATGTGTGGCCTAAGACAATTCTTCTTCCAATGTGGTCCAGGGATGCCAAAAGAGCATAAAGACACAGCACAGAAGGAAAACCTCTGCTCTTTAATTTAAGCTGATACTCCTCCTCCAAGCCATGTAACTCAAGAACTGTAGGACAGTTATAAGAACTTCTGAGGGATGCACATCCTGGTGGAGGAAGTGAGGCAGGAGAATAGGGTCCAAAGGGAGGGGAAACTGAGGCCGATTTCACGCTGACTTCGTATAACTAAAATGAAAGGAAAACCCCAACTTTCCATGCCTAAGTAACAAAAGAACCAGAGGCCACTCCCTTTGCAAAGCCCCCCACCCCCAAGTTTTTCTGGAAGGCAGATGGAAAATTGTGGAAACAAATCAGACGTTTACATGGGAGTGTAACTTTGTAACTTCACTTCAGCCTCTGACTGGGGGCTAAGTCTTCCTTTGCATAGAAGCATAACCATTGTAACTTCACTTCAGCCTCTTATTGGTTGCTTTCCACAATCAATCAGACTGATTGCCGGCCACTACTTCATTTGCATAGAGTGAACACCAAGTGGCCAATGGGAAACCACTAGGGGGTGTTTGGACCCCAGAAGATTCTGTAACTGGGGCCCTGGAGCCACTGCTCAGCCCACTCCCACTCTGTGGAGTGTGCTTTCATTTTCAATGACTCTCTGCTTTTGTTGCTTCATTCTTCCTTGCTTTGATGTACATTTTGTCCAATTCTTTGTTCAAAACACGGAGAACCTGGACAACTAGCAGTCAAACCCTCTACCAGTAACAGAGGAATCTCTATTGCCAAAGAAATGGGGGAGGAAGAAGAGGCAGAAAGAAACTGTCTAGGAATCTACTCACACAGAAGCCCTGGGTTTTCTTCCTTGCGGATTGATTACCCTTTTGCTTTATTTCCTCACATCTTCTACAGTCTCCTTCTGCCATTTTCTTACAGCAGACATTAAAGTGACTCCCCTACCCTGGTTTCCACATCTACAGCTCAGCCAGGGGAGTCAGATCCAGGAGCAAAGACATCAGCTGTGTACACCAACAGCTTTCCTCAAAGGGAAACTTTGAAGTAATTTTCAAAGGTTAAAGGAAACTTGCCAGTCTGGAAGCTCGTGGGAAAACCCAGCCCATACTTGATTTCTTTCCCATCTAAGGAGGTGAGCCCAAAGGATGACAAAACTATAGCCTATTGGATGGTGAACACCAGGGAAATAAGAATTCAGTGGTGAGCATCTGGATTTACAACTTGAAAAACTGTTTTAGGTGGTAAAGTTAAGCCTTCTTAAGTTCTCCCTTATGACTTTCCCACTTGATCTCCTCCAAAATGTTGGCTTTGGCTTTTCAGTTCATGAGAATTGACGTAAGTATCAACAAAGAAGCCAGATAGGCCAGGCATGGTGGCTCATGCCTGTAATCCCAGCACTTTGGGAGGCCAAGGCGGGCGGATCACTTGAGGTCAGGAGTTCGAGACCAGCCTGGCCAACATGGTGAAACCCCATCTCTACTAAAAATACAAAAATTAGCCAGGTGTGGTGGCACACACCTGTAATCCCAGCTACTCAGGAGGCTGAGGCAGGAGAATTACTTGAACCCAGGGGACAGAGGTTGCAGTAAGCTGAGATTGTGCCACTGTACTCCAGCCTGGGTGACAAGAGTGAGACTCTGTCTAAAAAAAAAGAAAAAGGAAAAACAAAGAAGCCAGATAAAGTTTCAGATGGAAAGAACCAGAGAGGAGACAAAGTGGGGACAAAGCGGGGGAGTGGGAAGGAAGGAAGGATGAGGATGTTGTGTGGAAGGAGATGTGGAAAGGAGAGTGGGAGCACAAGGAACCCAAGGAGTAGAAAAGCAGAGCTAAAGAATATTTCTGGGCTGGGCATGGTGGCTCACGCCTGTAATCTCAGCACTTTGGAAGGCCAAGGCAGCAGGCCTCCCATTGCTTAAGTCCAGGAGTTGGAGACCAGCCTGGGCAACATGGCAAAACCCTGTCTCTACAAAAAGTTAAAAAATTAGCTGGGCATGCTGGCACATGCCTATGGTCCCAGCTACTTGGGAGGCTGAGGTGAGAGGATTACCTGAGCCTGGGAGGTTGAGGCTGCAGTGAGCTATGATCGCACCACTGCACTCCAGCCTGGGTGACAGAGCAAGAACATGTCTCAAAAAAGAAAAAAAGAAGAAGAAAATTTCTCCAATGGAAAAATTCCTCATTCAAGTCTGTCGTTTAAGAATCTACCTGATAGGCCAGGCATGGTGGCTCATGCCTGTAATCCCAGCACTTTGGGAGGCTGAGGCAGGCAGATCACGAGGTCAGGAGTTTGAGACCAACCTGGCCAACATGGTGAAACTCCGTCTCTACTAAAAATACAAAAATTAGCCAGACATGGTGATATATGCCTGTAATCCCAGCTACTCAGGAGGCTGAGGCAGGAGAAATGCTTGAAACCGGGAGGCGGAGGTTTCAGTGAGCCGAGATAGTGCCACTGCACTCTAGCCTGGGTGATAGAGCAAGACTCCGTCTCAGAAAAAAAACAAAAAAGAAACACTACCTGATAAACTGTTATAATATTCATCATTATTTAGATTGCCTATATTGTACCAATTAACTGGTATGTGTCCTTTACAGTTGTCATTTTCTCTAGCATATACTTGGTGTCACATATATGAGCTCCTCCAGTCACTTCTGTGTGGTTTCTGGACCAGCAGCAGCACCTGAAGCTTGTTAGCAATGCACACTCACAGACCCTGCTCTGGCCATTCTAAATGAGAATCTGCCTTTTAACAAGTTTTTCACATGATTCATGAGCACAGTAAAGACTGAGAGGCACTGCCCTACAACCTCAGACAATAATGAGCAAGAGAGTGACAATGAGTGAGGGAGTGAGTTTGCTCTGAGGAGGCTGGTATGAAGGCGAGTATGCACTTCGCTGCACACTCGATTCCTTGGAAGACTAATGAAGATTAAACAGCGGACAAGTTAGCAGCAGACTAATGAGTATTGCCTGACCACAAACCAAGAAAACCTGGTTATACCCGAAGCTAGTGGTTCTCAAAGTTTATTGGGCATCGGAATCACCTGGAGAGCTCATTAAACCGTAGATTGCTGGACTCCATTGCTGGACCCTCCCTGCTCCAGAGTTTCTGGTTCAGTAGGTCTAGAGTGGGCCTGAAAATCTGCATGTTTCACCAGTTGCTAGGTGATGCTGACAGTGCTGGTCTAGGAACGACACATTGAAAACAACTGTCCTAAGCAATAAAGACATTCAGATAAAAGAATCTTGCTCCTATAAACTATTTGGGATAATTAAGGTCTCAAATCCCCTATTGAATTTGTCATTGGAGACCAGACCACTTTATAGTGACTTCCAGAAAAAGCCCCTCATGGGAAAGCCCACATGTATTTCAGCCAGCTGCATGGGGTTGAGAGCTAATTAGCAGGGAAGCTAGAATGGTCTTGCTTTCCCAGGCGTGTTATCCAAGAAACCCAGAGACAGTCGGTTGTTGAAGAAAATTATACAGATGAGACCCGGAAGCTGCCATTTCATTGGGGAAGATTTTGCCTTTTCATTACAAGAGAAAGCTAACATTTCCCATCTTTCCCTCCACCAAAAGTAGGCAAGCATAAAACCAAAGCCAATTTCTCACAATTTAGTAACCTCAGTACCAACCAATTATATTCCAAGGGACATGAGAAACAGCTGTTGTAACATTAGAGCTCGAACAGTTTCATCTCCGCTATTTAAGGGGATAAAAGAGCCAATATTTTCATTCCCTTGTGATATTATCAAGACATGATAAACAACCAGGACTATAGTATTAATTACATTAATTTGGAGAGGAGAGGGACTACTTTAATTGCTCCAAGCTGGAGAATAATTTTTTATGGGCAGACAATCATTCCATAAATTCACATTAGAATGAGTACTTTGTCTTATTTTATCAGCAACAAAACTTCTGGAAGCAAAAAACAACCACCACCCACTTTTAAGGTAGACTTCAATAGAAAAAAAAAAAGTCTTGCTGTTGCTATGTATCAGTTCTTCTACCTGACATGTTGAGCTGTTTGGTAAAAAGAAACACAGGGAAGGTATTTGTCCTTAAAGAATTCATAATCTAAAAAAGGAAGTAGTACCAACAGCTAAATTTGAATACTTTCTTATATATAAAACATATATGAAGAGAGTGTTGCCTCCATCTCGGGATTAAGAAGATCAAATGGGGATGTGGGAAGAGCATCAGGAAGAATAGCTAATAGATGCTGGGCTTAATACCTGGGTGATGAATTGATCTGTGCAGCAAACCACCATGGCACATGTTTACCCATGTAACAAACCTGCACATCCTGCACATGTATCCCTGAACTTAAAATAAAAGTTGAAGGAAAAAAAAGAAGATCAAATGAATGATGGACATCAAAATGCCCTATAAGCCATAACACCTTAAAAAAGCAGAAGAGAAAGGGGAAATATCATTTATTGAATGCCTTCTACATGAGGCACTGAGCTAGGTGCTTGACTTACATGGTCATATTTTAAAACTCATAAGGAACTCTAGAAGGAAATAAAAACATAAAACAGAGAAAATATAATAGTGAAATGCCAATTTTGTCAACATGGAAATCATTCAGATAAAACCCAATTTTTTCAATGTGGAAATTATTCAGATAAAATGTTTGACTCATATTAAGTAATAAGATATATATATATATATATATATATATATATATATATATATATATATATATATATACACACACACACATATGTTAGCTACCATAAGAATCATCTCTCACCACCAGAATAAATATTCTCTCACCACAATAAATATTTGTCTCCCTGATAGGTGGCCACATTCTGAAATCATTCAAGCATATACTATAGTTTGGGTAATAAAAACATATGTAAGTAAATCTACTAAGGCTCCTGCAATTAAAAACTGCACTCAGCTCCAATGTTTGGGATGGTGGAAGATGGATGGAAAGGCTCTGGAGAATTCAGAGTGGCTCCAGGAAGTAGCTCCTAAGAGCTGTTGGATGCAGCAGGTGTTGCTGTGGCTTTGAATTTGCGGTTTATAATTCAGGGCCCAGGGGATTCCATCCAGGTTTACAGAAACACTTGTTCTAGAAAATTCCTATGAACAGTGCTGATATTGTCACATTTTCCAGATTCTCTTTCAGGTTCTGCCTGAGCTACTATGAAGCAGTTGTGGGGAGTGGGTCTTCCAATGCTCGGAATGCTCTGGAAACTTGAATTGATGATAAAAGCAGTTCAGCATGGGACTAGTACCAAGACTCACACTAAGGAAGAAGGAGTTGGAATAAATTGAAAGAACACTCTGGGGTTGTGCATTCCCCATTGCAGAATTGGGGACACTGCTGTAAATGGGGAGTACTCACTGGAGAATGAAAAACTTTGAATGTTGCAAAGTTCTGAACCACAGGGTTCCTTTTTATGTAGAAATATCTTCATAATGTATATATCCACAGGGGAATTGCTTGAGTAAAATGTAGAGCAACTATGAACACACAGAACCACTCAGTAAAACTGTATATATCCATATGGTAATGTATGAAATATATTGTAGAGAGAGAATTTCAATTGCAAACAGTATTGTTTTATATGATTTAACTTTTATTTAAAAATACAAAGATATGAATGGAAAAATATTGTAAGTGTATATGTGGAAATACTGACATTGATTATCACTTGATAATGGATATTGGGGTATACCATACCCATTATAATAGGATAATGGGTATCTTCTCTTTGCTTATTTATGTTTTCTGAACTTTCTACAGTACTATGTAACTTGTAAAAATATAAATTTTCAGAACCGGAATTATTTTTCTTATCATCAGGATAGCAATAAATAAAACTTGTCGGAAGCTTACCATGCCACATAGTATTTCACCTTTGTGAGGTCATTTTCTTCTCACAGTGGGATAATAAGGTTGTTCTTTAATGAGAGGAGGTGTTACTCCAAGGAAGCAAATGAATCAACATTAATTGTAGAATTTCTTGTGTTCTTTCTACTACTCCTTAGTCATCTGGAAATTCAGCTCTTCCTGACTTCTACCTATAGCCTTCATTTTGGAAGCAGGCAATAAAATTAGGAAGAGGATGAGCTGGGGGGAAACATACTGGTATTGATAATGTCATGACTATCAATAGAGATACAGGTATAAGTTCATGTCTGTTCCTGAGTCTGGATTATCTTGGCCAAAAAAGCTTTTCCTAAATGAAGACGAATGGAAGCTATATGGGTAATACTAAAATGGCTTTCAAAAAAAATACATTCATTTTAATTTAAATATACAAAAAGGGATGAAATACAGTATACTCAAAAACTAGACACCCTGTAGACCTAAAAAGCAACTAGACCTCAGAATAATAGATCTTACAAGATAATCATGTCTACCCAAAAGATTCCCCACAAAATGCCATCTACTCCTGTTTTATGATATGCTAGAGAGACAATGGTATGACTCTCATCCAAATTTGGTTTTGGTTTCTTGTTAACCAATTTTTAAAAGCTGAATTGGTAGCAAAGACATTGTATCAATTTAGGTGCTCATCAACAGTGCATTGGATAAAGAAAATGTGGTACATACATACAATAGAATACTGCACAGCCATAAAAAAGAACAAAATCATGTTCTTTGCAGCAACACGGATGCAGCTGGAGGCCATTATCCTAAGTGAAGTAATGCAAAAACAGAAAACCAAATACTGCGTGTTCTCACTTATAACTGGGAGCTATGCATTGGGTACACATGGACATAAAGACAGCAACAGGAGACACTAGGGACTACTTGAGGGAAGAGAGGGAGCGGGACAAGGGCTGAAAAACTACCTATTGGGTACTATGCTTAGTACCTGGGTGCCAGGTTCAATTGTACCCCAAACCTCAGCACCACACAATATACCTTTGTAACAAACCTGCACAGAAGAAACTATCCGTGGCCTATTCGATATCCCATGCTTCTTCCTTGCTAACACAATCCTAATTGTGTTTAGGTATTGAGCAGCAACATGCTGGGGAAAGCAGGCTTTGCTCTGGTGGATTATTGACCGTCTAAGTCATGGTCATTGCATTCTCTTTTGCTGGTGGTAGTTAGGTGTGTGATCTGCTTTTGGACAACGCTGGAACAATTTTATCTTTGGTAAGAAAGCACAAACAGAAACTGCTGTCACTTCCCTTTCTTCCTGCTTTTAGTTGGGGTAACAAAGATGCTTGGAGATGGGGTAGCATTAGTGCAGACATCACTGACACATTAAAGTTACAAAATGGGAAATCTGAAAAACTCTAGACTCTTTATGATGTTTCCAATCTGCTTCTCCAACCAATGCCAATCTCTAGACCACCTGTTAAGTGAGAAGCTACTGATCGGACCTTTTGTTTAAGCCACTTTTAGTTTGGATATGCTGTTACTTGCATCAGAAAAAAGCCGGAGAAAGATAATGTTACAACTCTCTTTAGTATCCTATTTTGATCTGTTTTTTAAAGTTTGCTGTTCATAATCGTTTCAGATATTAAATTAGAAACTTTTGAAAATATATAATTTACTGTTTACCTGCAGGACACTGAAAGTCATCCCTGCAGGAGGGCAAGAAATATAAAGAAATGCAGATCCCTTCCAGCAAGGACGTTTTATTCACATCATGGTTGGCTAGACACATACCTGCATTTGGAAGAGGAAGAGGCAGAAGACATCTTTTCTGTTGACCATGAGTGGTAGCAATGCTGCTTAGTCACTCATAGACTTCAGAGTTAAAAGAGGCAAAAAAAATCATTCCAGCTTCTGAAGGGTAAAGCTGGTATTCTTTGACCATATAGTTTTATAGGAAGTTTCATCTTTTCTCATCTCCAAGAGAAACTTCTATTTTAAAAGGTTTAAAGTGAGAAGCACTTTATTGATGATATTGGCCATGAAGCCAGAGGAGACACGTGCACACATCCAGCCTTGAGCCTTGGCAGCTTGCCTCCAAGCCCCACCACTTCAGGAGGCCAGGACAGGGCCAGGGAGATGGCTGTGATGCAGGACTAGATTTTGGTTTCCTGGCCATGAGGCTACTTCATTACTGCAGGGACATGTATCCCGGGAAAGCTAATGACCTCTCTCAAGAGCCAAATGAATTGAATACTTGGGTGAAGGATTTAGCCTTGAAAATGAGTTCCAGCCAGTAGTGAACCTACTGAGAATAAGGCAAATGGGCTTACAGAAATAATATAGTAATTCTAAATGTGTGCCTCCCTTTCCTGACTACAAGCAGCACTGAAATATGAACAGAAATAAATCTATTGTAAATAAAATTCCATTTTCCTATTGGCCTGTATATTTCAAAGATGATTTATCAAAAGGATTAATTTTCTAGGTGGTATTTGTTTTCAACCCTTTAGTTTAACTTAAAATTTTTCTTCTCCTTTCCCAAACTTTCCTCCCAAAATTAAATTGTATTATAGCATATTACATTGCATTACTAGAGGAATTCGCTCGTCCTTCACCCATTCATTCAATACACATTTAATGAGCACTTGCTAAATATCCAGGAAGCTGAGGTGAAAAACAGATCATCCTGGTCGTCACAAAGTTAATGCTCCTTAAGAAACTTGTAGTATGCAAATCAGTAATTGGAATAAAACGTGGCTCACACCTATAATCTCAACACTGGGAGGCTGAGGTAGGAGGATCACTTGAGCCCAGGAGTTCAAGGCCAGACTGGGTAACATGGCAAAACTCCATCTCTACAAAAAACACAAAAATTAGCCAGGCGGAGTGGTACACCTGTAGTCCCAGCTACTTGAGAGGCTGAGGTGGGAGGATCGCTTGAGCCTGGAGGGTTGAGACGACAGTGAGCCATAGTTGTGTCACTGCACTCAAGCCTGAGGGACAGAGTGAGACCCTGTCTCAAAAATAAGTAAATAAATAAGTGTCCACACCGAAGCACAGATGGGAGCAGCATTACTACAGAGGATGAACAAGGTCCCAGGATGAGCCATACCAGACAAAATAATCAACTTCACCTGGAGAGGAAGGAACTTCACACAGAAAGGAAGCTTTTCATTCAATACAGATTCCTTTACAGCATTAATAACCATTGCCAAAATCGATCCATTTTGTCATATTTTAATAGGCCAGTTTGTCTTAAAGCAGGACTTGGCTTAGGCAATATATCTACCCTATTTTATTTTAATTAGCTTTTCTTGAGAATATGGGTTTATTCACTTAGCTGTTCAGTCAAAAAACATTTTTATTGCCTACCATTATGTGGCAAGTAGGTAGGGCAATTCTGGTTCCCAATGTAAGTTAAAAACAAAAAAAAAAAGAAACTAGGATGGGCTTGAAGGGAATGAAAGTAATTGTCGTGGAGCCTTGTCAATTCCATATTGGTGGCTGAGAGAATACTCAGGAGCCTGGTCCTCATAAATCTGAAAATCAATTTTCTACCTTGGATTAAGAGACCAACTGGTACAAGCCACTTTCTTTTCAATTAAGGGAAGAATCTCAGTGCTATATTCAAATTAGTAACTGAGTTCCTGATGGAAACATCCCAATCAATATCATAATAATGATCTGATTTAGGGCCATACATTTGCATGCATACACATATAATCATATCCATGCACTTTTTTTTTCTTTTTGAGACAGAGTCTTGCTCTGTCACCCAGGTTGGAGTGCAGTGGCACGATCTTGGCGCACTGCATCCTCTGCCTCCCGGGTTCAAGCAATTCTCATGCCTCAGTCTCCTAAGTAGCTGGGATTATAGGCACGTGCCACCATGCCCAGCTAATTTTTGTATTTTTGGTAG
Organism: Homo sapiens; assembly: GCF_000001405.40. Classification (NCBI taxonomy): domain Eukaryota; kingdom Metazoa; phylum Chordata; class Mammalia; order Primates; family Hominidae; genus Homo; species Homo sapiens. Next base: position 118,127,912 of record NC_000008.11, on the reverse strand, counting down.
AGATGAGGTTTTACCATGTTGGCTAGGCTGGTCTGGAACTCCTAATCTCAAGCGATCTGCCTGCCTCTGCCTCCAAAAGTGCTGGGATTACAGGTGTGAGCTACCATGCCTGGCCTTATCCATGCACTTTAAAGAGACTCATGCACACATTTCTTTCTTTTTTTTTTTTTCTTTTTTATTGAGATGAAGTTTCATTCTCATTGCCCAGACTGGAGTGCAATGGCGCAATCTCAGCTCACTGCAACTTCTGCCTCCCAGGTTTAAGCGATTCTGCATCATCCTTGCCTCCTGAGTAGCTGGGATTACAGGCATACACCACCATGCCCAGCTAATTTTTATTTATTTATTTATTTATTTTATTTATTTATTTATTTTAGTAGAGTTTATCTCACCATGTTGGCCAGGCTGGTCTCGAACTCCTGACCTCAGGTGATCCGCCCATCTCGGCCTCCCAATGTGCTGGGATTACAGGCATGAGCCACTGTGCCCGGCTTCATGGACACATTTAAAAGACTCCGCTGGCCGTCTCAGGCATGCTACCCTGAGTCCCAGCCTAAGAAAGGCTGGTGTTGAAAGCAAGCCTGGGAGGCAAAGAGACTCAGAGACCCAAGCCTTGTGTGTAATGGGAGTGGTAGAATGCACCGGAAGCTGTCAGAATGTGACAAGAGGAAGAGGGCATTTATTTTAAGGGTGTGGAGAGAAAAATAAATGAGGCTGCAATCAGATTCTTCATGCAGGGGCCAGGAGTTGAGAGGTGCCCCGTGCTTGTGTACAGAATTTTTTTAAAGAATACCCAAGCGGAGAACAAGGAGATATAATTTTTCTTGACACACCAATGTACAATAAGAACATATATTTAGCAACATTCGCCTCCCTGCACCCCAGGCAGCTGTTCAGCTCCAGCAAACACTCTTCCTTTCAGGCAGGGCAGGGGAAGTGTATGCTGCTTGTCTCTTGAGTCCTCAGTGAGAGCTGGGACCAGCATTCCAGAGCCCATCCGCTTCTCACCAGGCAGCAGGGGGTCAAACACAGCCGGTGCTTAGGAAGCAAGGTCAGAGAAGTTGCTCCAAGGGAAGACCAACTGGGGAGTCCTGTCTGATTTCGGCAGGAAGAACAAATCTGCTTTAATTTGGAAGCCACTCTCTGGTCAGGCTCTTAAGGACCCCAGTAGAGTTAAAATTTGCTTCTCTTATTATACCTCCTTAAAAGCAGGAAGCAGGAAAGGGAATCTCTTGAAATCATTCTTCCTTGCTCTGTGAGTCTATAACTCACCAGGCAAGTTTTGGCTGTCAGGGAAAGGTTTTATAGCTCCTGGAGGTAAGACTTCTGAGAAGTGGAAGATAGGATGTATCCATTTCAGGTGAGCCCACCATTTTCATGACATAGTGAACACCTGGTTTCCTAGGGTCATGGTCACCTTCTTGACAAATCTTGACAGGTGCCTTTGGGAATGCAAGTGGCAGTGAAAACAGCCAAGGAGAAGAAAGACCCTATGAAAATGTGATATATGATCCAGTCAAGAATAGGCTTTTTGTTTTCATTTTTATTTTGTTTATTTATTTAGAGACAAGGTCTCCCTCTGTTGCCTGGGCTGGAGTGCAGTGGTGAGATCACAGCTCACTGCAGCCTGGACCTTCTGGGCTCAAGTGATCCTCTCGCCTCTGTCTCCAGAGTAGCTGGGACCACAGGTGTGTGCCACCACACCCAGCTAATTTTTAAATTATTTTCTAGAGACAAAGTCTCACTGCGTTGCCCAGGCTGGTCTCAAACTCCTGGGCTCAAGCAATCCTCTGGCCTCAGCCTTCCAAAGTGTTGGGATTGCATGTGTGAGCCACTGCGCCCAGCCAAGGATATGTGTTTGTTGGATCCTTGATTCATTTGTTCATTCACTCACTGACATCTTCAGTATAGTATGCTGGTGCTGCTCAAAGCAGTCCTCCACTGTCAGGATCATCATGACTTGAGGGCTTGTCAGAAATACACATTCTTAGTCACTGCATAAAGTACTCCAGATAAAACCCGCAGATGTGGAGAAGCCAGCCCCCCACCCTGGACTATAGTTTTATAAATTTTTGAATTTATTTAATAAATTTAAAAAATACACATTCTTGGGTCCACCCCATATCTAGGGTTGTGGGAATTCTCTAAGACTAGGCAAGTGTGATGAAATGTCTTTTTTTTTTTTTTTTTTTTTTTTTTTTTTTTTTTGAGACAGAGTCTCACTCTGTCGCCCAGGCTGGGGTGCAGTGGTGCGATCTCAGCTCACTGCAACCTCCACCTCCAGGGTTCAAGCGATTCTCCTGCCTCAGTCTCCCAAGTAGCTGGGATTACAGGCACATGCCACCACACCCAGTTAATTTTTGTATTTTCAGTAGAGAAGAGTTTTGCAATATTGGCCAGGCTGGTCTCGAACTGCTGACCTCAAGTGACCTGCCCCCCGCTAGGCCTACTAAAATGTTGGGATTACAGGTGTGAACCACTGTGCCTGGCCGAGATGTCATTTTTGAGAAGAGGTTACAAAAGGATTTGGCTACAGTCTTGGCCACACTCTCCCTCACTTGCTGTGAGGGAAGCCATCTGCTACATTGAGAACAGCCTTTTGGGGAGGCCCATGTGGCAAAGAACTGACATCTCCTGTCAACAGCCAGTGAGGACCTGAAGTTCACCAACAGCCGTGGGCATGAGCTTGGAATTGGTTCCTCCTCCAGTCAAGCCATGAGGTGACTGCAGCCCCTAACATGTAGACTGGAGCCTTGTGAAAGACTCTGCGCTACAGTGCCCAGTTAAGCAGTGCCCAGATTCCTGACCCACAGAAACTGTGAGATGGTAACTAGGTAACTAATACAACTACTGAATCAGAAATTCTGCAAAGTGGCCTGGCATGGTGGCTCACACCTGTAATCCCAGCACTTTGAGAGGCCGAGGCAGGCAGAGCACCTGAAGTCAGGAGTTCGAGACCACACTGGCCAACATGGTGAAACCCCGTCTCTACTAAAAATACAAAAAATTAACCAGGTGTGGTGGCACATGCCTGTAGTTCCAGCTACTCGGGAGGCTGAGGCAGGAGAATCGCTTGAACTTGGGAGGTGGAGGTTGCAGTGAGCTGAGATCGCGCCATTGTACTCCAGCCTGGGTGACAAGAGCGAAACTCCATCTCAAAAAAAAAAAAAAAAAAAATTCTGCAAAATGAGTCCCTGGAATGTGTATTTTAACATGTTCTGCAGGTGATTCTCATAGACAGTAGTTTGAGAAGCACTGCTGTGACAAAGTTAAGAGCAAGGGCTTTTGAGCCAGACTGCCTAAGTTCAAATCCCAGCTCGAGTACTTCTCAGCTGTAAGAGCTCAAGTGAATTACATACCTCTCTGGGCTTTAGTTTCTTTTGTAAAATGTTGCTAATAATAGTACATACCTTCTGAGTTGTAAAGAGAATTAATTGGGTTAATATATTTAAAGCATTTAGCTTATTGCCTGGCAACAGCAAGCACAATAAATTCAGTGATGATTCATTCATTCAACAAACATTTATAAGGCCCCCAACTAAGGGTAGGCATTGTGCTAGATGCTGGAGTTACCAGGATTCAGTAGACATGATCCACTTCTCCTGGCACTGTTGTCCTATAGGGGAGGTGGCCATATAAAAGAATAGACACAGTAATGGTTTAAAGATGCTACAATTGAGTTCCCCACAGAGTGAAGTGGAGCCCAGAAGAGGTCAGTTTTATCCTGGATGAAAGCATTAATACAAAGCTTAGTAAATTGGATAGTGAGGGGTTGGAAAAGAATAGAAGATTTGGGCTTGCATCCCCCAAGCCCCTTACCTTAGTCTTTCTGAATCTCTAGAGCTTCCTTTTCATGTGGACAACAGACAAACCTACTGTCACGAACAGCCTCTTCAGACAGGAGCTGCACAAATGCAGGGCCTGGGTATCTCAGTCACAAGGCTCTAGCCATTTGGTTCTGTTTTCTGCTTCTAGACCAGTCAGCTCAGCTCAGCTCAGCTCAGCTCAGCTCAACTTAGGGTGTTTGCATCTGCTTTTCCCTTTCTCTGAAAGATTCTTCCCCCTAATCCTTTCAATGTTGGCTCCTTCCTGTCCCTGCCTAAATGCCTCCTCAGAGAAGTCTTCCTATTTACTGTGTTTAAATAGCATCTCCATTTCAGAGCCCGTATCATTTCCTGAGTAGTACTAGCATTTAGCACTTACTTATTTGTTCATTTCTCTGTTCACCATTGTCTCCCTGGGTAGACTTCACGGTCTCTAAGGGCTAAGACTTGGTCTTTCACGCACCATGATGCACACCAGGGGACACAGTAGGTATTCAATAAATATTTGTTACTGAATGGGTAAATGGATGAATGAACATGTCCTTTCACAGCCACTGCAACATTTCGGCATGATTTGCTGAAATGTCCGTCTTAATTATGACAGACGTTAATTCAAATTCTGGAAGATGTAACTGCTGAAAAACCAGTATGTGAAACCCAGTCACTTTAAGGGTCTGCCAGAGATTTGGGGAGGGATGGGAGAGTGAGAGGACATCATAATAATTAACATTTACTGGCCAGGCACGGTGGCTCACTCCTGTAATCCCAGCACTTTGAGAGGCCTAGGCGGGTGGATTACTTGAGGTCAGGAGTTTGAGACCAGCCTGGCCACATGGTGAAACCCTGTCTCTACTAAAAATACAAAAATTAGCTGGGCTTGGTGGCAGGCGCCTGTCATTTCAGCTACTCGGGAGGCTGAGGCAAGAGAATTGCTTGAACCCAGGAGGCAAAAGTTGTAGTGAACTGAGATCGTGCCACTGCACTCCAGTCTGGGTGACAAAGTGAGACTCCATCTAAAAAAAAATATTGAAAAAAAACCCCCACATTTACTGAGTACCTCCTCCAGGATGCGGGCAAGGTGTTACGTGTTTTATATGCATTATCTCATATGCATCTGAAGTAGTCATCATCATTCTTTTTCGGGTAGGAGCAAATGAAGAAACTGAGGCTTAGAGCTCTTAAGTAACTTGCCTGAAGTCAGAGCCAGTGTGGCGTAGAGCCACAACTGAATGCAGGCAGTCAGACTCCAATACTGTTGTGTTTAACCACTATTCTCTCCTGCCTCCAAAGAAATGCAGTTCGTTAAGTAAATATTCTGCACAAATTAAAGTGTACACAGTCGAACAACTATCTGATACTATAACACCAGACCAGATTGGGAAATACCTGAAAGGTTTTTCAAGGCTGCAGGCAGGAGATCTTATCCATGAACATAGGAAGTGGGCTGTGGTCAGGCAAGTGGTAGCTTATTCATTGCGGCCCCTTCCCCTGCCCAGGGGTCCCATGTTGTTTGGAAGAAAGGGAGTCCATAGTGCAGTAGAAAGTCACGTCACCTCCAATTGACTAGGGAGCTTGTTCTCACCTACAAAACAAGTTTGGTAGTCTCTTCCTAAACCCTTCAAGGATTAGCATTCTCCTTGTCAAGGTGGCATGTAATTTACAGCAATTGGCAGTTCCTGTTGCAACAAATTCCAAGATCAGACTAGTCAAAGTGGGGGAAGGGGCAGTGACAGGTCAGATCAGAGCTTAGGTAGAGAAGTTGGTGGGGGTTAGAGGTGGAGAGGGGGTAGGGGGAGGGGAAGCTTTACAAAGCAGTGGGGACTGTCTGTGTTGAGCCAAGAGCAGTCTTTGATGGATGGTTCCCATTAGCAACAAGTCTCCACAGGCCAAAATGAACAAGAAAGGAACCAGGCTTATCCAGTCTTAAACAGGACTAAAGTCTGCATTTTTCCCGTGTCATAAGGAATTATTGGGCCAGCAGCCAGGGTAGGCTATCATAGGCTAAAATCCTCAGTAGGAGAGAACAATTAGAGAACGATGAATTATGCTTCTGATGACAATTCCCTTCTCAGGACTTACTTAAAGCCAGAATGTATATTTCTAGTGTGCTTTAGTGAGGTTTAAATATTCAGATTTTCAAAGAGAGAAGGCCTCTGCTGAAATTTACATAGAAATATGTCAAAATATATTTAGTCTTCTTTATACCTTTTTCTTTACAGTTCCTGAGTTGCCTGCACTTCTACAATGTGATCACTCGCTGGGAAATGAAGAAAGCAAGTGTCTGAAGAGACAGAAGTTGAGGTAGAATAGCTGGGAGGTTGGTATTCTGGGGCTGGCCTAATGTCATGCAGAGTGTATAATTGGAGGAATAGTTTAGTTTGTATAGATTGCAAGTTTTCAGAATAATGGCTTACGGAGGCCAGAGTTCCCAGCCATGCAGACTTTTGTAGATATATGTATACACTTTTACCTATTTGGAAAGGCTACAAGCATTGTGAAAATGAGCTGGAAACTTGCTCTAAACATCTCAAGAAACCAGAATTCAGAGAAATAGAGGAAATTCAACCAAAGAAACAACCTTGGAGCATCCAGGGATCATTTGGATAACTAGCTCTATGGTCCATCTTATTCGTGTGCTCATAACAAGTTAGCCCATACACTATACACAGATCACCAACTATAAATGATTTAGACTATCATAAACGCACTTAACTCACTGAAGTAGGACTGGACATGATTTAACCTCACTTGAGTGAGTTGGCAGGTACTTTAAGACCTTCCAGGGTCTCATGATTATCATTGTGAGCACCAATAATTACTGTACCATAGTTGCATAGAAGTGCCAGATGATAAATAATATTCAGCTGACATCAGGTGAGAGAAGCTTCATTCTGTGGGGTATCAGAAGTTTAAAAAGAAGAAAAAAGAAGTCAAGGCATCGTTGGCAGACAATTGCATAATAAAAAGTGCTAAAATCCAACAGGAAAAATGTACATGAATTGTGGGTGACTTCCTGATTTCATCACCTTCAATAGTTGACATTTTCATTTCTCATTTTCTTCCAGTGACTCCATCTATAAATGGATCTACAAATGTTAATAAGGACCCGCACAAATGTAGCCTCTTCCTTCCCTTGTAAATTACAGCACGGAGCCGGTTTTATGGTGATTATTTCTTTCCATGTCTGTTTCTCCTCCTGGAGTGTGAGTCTCTAGAAGGCAGGGTGTGAGTCTCTATGTGGCACACACATTCTTTAGGAAAATCTTTAAAGAAAACAGAAGATACCAAGATAAGCAAGCAGGGTAGAGCTTCTGTATCTTCCACTAGGGGTCAGTAAAACTTTTATGAGAATCCTACAGTGGCATCCTGACTTAGAGAAGGGCAATTTCTTGTCACCATTTGTCCCTCAGAAAACACCCACAAGAGGCTGTCCTATCACTGGAAAAAGTAGCTCATTCCAAGTTGTTAAACACACATGAAAAGCACAGCCAAATATGTATTAGACTAGCATGTCAGTATATCAAACATCAGAATTTACATCAGAGACAAAAGTCTCAGCTTAAATGCATAGTTTTGATAAATACTAAACACGCTATCTTGCTAATGAGCAATCACTGGCTAATTGTCCAGTGACTAGGGCTAATTATCTTGACTCTGGTTGTCATAGTGCCTGTATCATAAAAATAAGATTTGAAGTTTCCCTTCTCCTTCTGACTTGATATCCAGGTTTGCAATAGTGCTTATTGTAATATTATACAGGAATGTAGATGGAATTTATTAGAAATAAAGACTTTTGAAAATATGTACTAGATAAATAAACTCGACTCGCTGCCCTACCAACAGCTAGGGGTGAGCTGTTGAAAATTGAAATCAGATCATATCATTCCCCTACTTGAAATCCTCCAAGGCCTTCCCACTCCTAAAATAAAATCCAACACATCATCTGGCCTGTAGTGCCAGGGCAGGCCAAGGTTCCTGCAGCTTCTCTGATCTCATCTCTTGCCCCTTGTTCCTGCACTCATTACACTCCAGCCACAATTACTTTATCTGCTGATGCTTTAACTCAGTGGTTATCAAACAGTGGTCCCTGGATCTGCAGCATCAGCCTTGCCTGGGAAGTTGTTAGAAATGCAAATTCTTGGGCCACACCCCAGGTCTACTGAATCAGAAATTCTAGGGGTGGGATTTGGCGATCTGTGTTTTAACCAGACCATCAAGTGATTTGTTACATGCTGAAGTTTGAAAAACACTGTTCTAATTCTTCAAATTCCTTTCTGCCTTAAGATCTTTGCACTGGCCAGATCCTGGGCCTGGTACACTCTTCCCAAGGCTCTTTCCAAATCAGTCTCATGGCAGCTGCTGAAATGTTAGCTTATCACAGAGACCTTCATTGACCATCCTGTTTAAAGTGAGCCTTCTTACTCTTCCTCATCCCAATCTATGCCATTCTTCTTTTAATTTCTCCATAGAACTATCTGAAATGATCTTCCTAATTTATTTACTTATTATTTTATTTTTGAGACAGACTCTTTTTCTGTCACCCAGGCTGGAGTACAGTGGCACGATTTCAAATCACTACAGCTTCCAATGCAACCCGGTACCACCACGCCCGGTTAATTTTTGTATTTTTAGTAGAGATGGGGTTTCGCTGTGTTGGCCAGGCTGGTCTCAAACTCCTGACCTCAAGTGATCTGCCTGCCTGAGTCTCCCAAAGTGCTCGAATTACAGGTGTCAGCCACCCGACCTGGCCTACTTATTATTTTATTATCTATCTCAGCTATTAGAATGAGAGTAGACACCTTGTTTGTCTTTTATACTATGTACCCTGAGTTCCTAGAACATGGGCACATAATAGGTTCTCAATAAAAGTTCCTTAAATAGATGTCTATGAGATTTTTCTGATATAGCTTGCCTTGAAGAAAGGAGATAAATTTAGATTCTCTAAAGGAAGCTGCAGTCTTGTGGCAGAGCCCTGGCATGAAGCCAGAAAATGAGGGTCAAATTCTAAATTCTCCACATTAAAATTAGCTGACCTTAACCAAGTTCTTCAACTAGATTAGTGGGTCTCAACTGGAGGTTATTTTGCTTCCAGGAGACATTTTTGGCATCCCAACTTGTGACGCAGGTGGGAGTGCTGTTGGGCACCTAGTGGGTAGAGGCAACGGATGTGGATCCCACAATGCACAGGACGGCCTCTTCCAACAGAGAGTTATGTGGAGCAAAATACCAACAGTGCCCAGGCTAGAAACCCTGAACCAGGCCGGGCCTGAACCAGGCTCACGCCTGTAATTCCAGCACTTTGGGAGGCCAGGTGGGCAGATCACGAACTAGGTCAGGATGAGACCAGCCTGGCCAACATGGTGAAATCCCACCTCTACTAAAAATACAAAAATTAACCAGGCATGGTGGCATGTACATGTAGTCGTGCTGCTGCACTCCAGCCTGGGCGATAGAGCAAGACTCCATCTCGGGAAGAAAAAAATAAAACAAAAACACGACCAGATTCTTAATTTTTTGTCAAACAGGGATAATGTTCTTTTCCTACTTCGCGGGGTTCCGGTGATATTCAAACAAAAATTCTTCTGAAAGTGTTTTGTAAATGACAAAAGACTCTAGGCAGATACCCCCTGGTACAGGCTATCTGCTCAATGAATATCCGTTCAAGGACTATGTGAATGAATTGCCAAGAGCCCCCTCCTAGGATTGAGTTTCAGTTTCTTCATTTGTGACAACTGATAAGGAGAATACCTGTGTCTTAGGAACCTTGCAAGGATCAAAGAGATAACACCAGTAAAGCACCTGGCGCAGGATTTGACACATACATGCATGAATTTCCCTTGTTTTGCTCCTGGTTAGCTTCCTGCTTGGCTATCTTGGGAGGCCTGGTGGGGCCTCCTACTTCTACTTGTTTTCCTTCCACTTGTTTGCTTCCTTCTCAGCGGAGTTCCATCTTCCTCTTTCCCAAGCTCTTCCCTTCCTGGACCCACCTGGTCTATACAGGGCATCCTTGACTATTTCAGCTGGAAAGATATCACCACATCTTAGCCTGCATTTTTCTGGATGAAGCTCTCAAGCCCTAGCATTCAGAAACAATGTTACAAGTTTCCTCAGGTTCCTGGCAAAGAGGCAACTAGAAATTAGGCTTCTGTTTTCTGGCTGGGAATCTCTAGATTCATCATTACTGCTCCAGGATGCCTGAACTTTTGTAGACCTGATTGTCTTTTCCCACCTTCTATATCCTATCAGTATAAACCTAGCAGAGTTTCCTGTTCTTTCTAGAAGCTAGAAATGCTTACTGCTAGAGGTTCCATCAGATATCACCAAAACCTTACAATGTGCCCACATCAAATAAAAATTTTGTATACGTTTATGAAGATTGGATTGCCTTGCCAGTTGACCTAGGGTTACATTTTAGGGAATTTAAACATTTACTAATTCCAATACTTCAGCTTGTTTTCATATTTTAGAGCCAATCAATTATTTTTTTCTATAGCAAATAGAATTGTAGACCATTGATAAACATATGTTTCTGCAGTGCTTTCTACATTAAAAAGAAAAATAGTCTCCTTTGCTTTGCTTCCATTGGCTATTTTTCCGTTTTTCCCTTTTTCTGTTGGTTTATAACAGTCAATGACCATTTCAGAGTTTGCAAAGAATCTGGAAACCAGTGTGTGTTTGATGGGCGATATTCCACGTATTTAATACTGTGGACTTGCAAATATGATCACATCTCATGTACTTGTGTCCACATTTGTCCAGGAGTGTGATGATTAAATCTTGCACCTGCCGTGTGCATTGCGGACTGCAAAATTTTTCTCGTACATTATTATTTTGTTCTCATTTGATTCTTACAGTAATTCAGTGAGCTAAGCATGCCATATTACAGTTACTCTTGATTTTACCAATGAGAAACCAAAGCTTAGGGAAGTGAAATGACTTGTTCAAGGTTACATTTTCTGGGTCCTTTTGTGCCACACTGTTTTCAGGTTTTTAGACAGCCCTGGGGAAAAAGTACCTCTGGAAAAGGAAATTAAGCAAGGCTTGAATGCTTGGGCTACTTTAGCTTCGTGTGTGTGTGTGTGTGTGTGTGTGTGTGTGTGTGTGTGTGATGATAGAACTCTAGCCTTAAATATTCTCTTATTTGCCCTACAGACAATAAGATCAGATTAATTAATTAGTTCCACAAGTGTTTATTTAGTGACGGACAGTGTTGGAACTGTTGAGGATATAACACTGAACAAAAGACCAAGTCCTTGCCCCATGGAACTCACATTCTCTATGCAACACATCAATAATAAATAGAATGTCAGGTACTGATTAGTGCTAAGAAGAAAAGTAAAGGTGGGTGAGGGGATCGGCAAATAGAAGGGGTGCTGCTGTTTTATTTAGGGTGGTTAGAGAAGGCCTTAATAGTAAGGTGGCATCTGAGGAGAGACTTGAAGGAAGTGAGGGAGTGCGCTAGGTGGACTGGGGTGCAGACTGGCAGAGACAAGTGTGTGCAGGGGCCCTGAGGCAGGGACATGTTTCCCATGCATGACAAATAACAAGGTCACCAGCCTGGCTGGAGCACAGTGAGTAGATCAGGAGGGAGGGAGAGAGATATAGGCAGGAAATGGGGTGAGAGGATGCGGTGAGGGGAGGTGAGGGACGGTTAAGAAAAATCCTGCAGGACCTTGCAGGTAATTGAAAGGGCTTTATCTCTTAGTGGAGAGAGACAGGGATCCCTTGAGGGCTTTGACCAGAGGAGTTACATGGTTTGAAACACATCATTGTTAAAGGATTTACAATGGACCAGCTTGCCCTCTGTGAAGATAATCCTGGTTAGTAATATTTCCACTTCAAACCACAGACTGAGTCTTGCTTTGAGGACTACCAAGGGGCCTTTAAGAAAGATTTTTCATCAGATTTATTGGGATATGATTGACAAATAAAAACTGTATATACATTGACGATGTTCAACATGATTTGATGTATGTATACATTGTGAAATGATTACTATTATCAAGCCAATTAACCCAACTGTCATGGCACATAGTTATCTTTGTGTGTATGTGTACGTGTGTGTGTGGTGAGAGTACTTAAGATGTACTGTCTTAGCAAATTCCAGGTATACAATACAGCATTATTAACCACAGTCACCATGCCGTATGTTAGATCCCCAGAACTTAGTCGTCTTATAACTGAATGTTTATATTCTTTGACTAACATCTCCCGATTGCCCCAAACTCCCAGACCATGGCAACCACCATTATACTCTCTGCTTCTGTGAGTTTGACTTTTTTAGGTTCCACATATGGGTCAGATCCACACAGAAGTGCAGTATTTGTGTTTCTATATCTTGCTTCTTTCACTGAGCATAAGGTTCATCCCTGTTGTCGCAACTGGTAGGATTTCCTGCTTCTTATGGCTGAATAATATTCCATTGCATATATGTACCACATTGTCTTTATTCATTCATCAATCAACAGACATTTGGGTTGTTGCCACGTATTGGTTATCGTGAATAACACTGTAGTGAACACGGGAATGCAGATATCTTTTTGACATGTTGATTTCATTTCCTTTGGATATATACCCAGAAGTAAGATTGCTAGATGATATATGGTAATTACACTTTTAAATTTTTGAGAATTTCCCTATCATTTTCTACAATGGCCATATGAATTTACAGTCCCACCAACAGTGTGCAAGGGTTCTGTTTTCTTCATGTTGCCCCATTGTTATCTTTTGTCTTTCTGATTACAGCCATTCTAATAGGTATGAGGTAGTATCTCACTGTGGTTTTAATGTGTATTTCCCTGATAATTAACGATGTTGAACACATTTTTATATACCCATTGGCCATTTGAATGTCTTTTTTGAAAAATGTTTATTTAGGTCCTTTGCTTTTTTTTTTTTTTTTTGCTATTGAGTTGTGTGAGTTCTTTGTATATTTTGGATATTAACCCCATATCAGCATTTGGTTTGCAAATATTTCCTTTCCTTCTGTTGGCTGCCTTTTCATTTGTTGATTGTTTCCTTTACTGACTGTGCAGAAGATTGTTAGTTTGATGTATTTCACTTGTTTATTTTTGCTTTTGTTGCCTGTACTTATGAGCTCTTTCTTTTCGAGTTTGTACAAGTGCTGTGATGAAGCTGAATTTTACTAAGTCATTCATTCATTTGAATCAGTGATTGAGCTTCACTTAAGTGCCAGGTACTGCCCTTGGCATTTGGGATAAAGGAGTGAGTAGGACAAACAGTGCTCCTCCTCTCAGGGGCTTCCTTACTGTGAAAAGTTAACAAGCAAACGAACAGAGGAGATTTCAGCTAATAAGGGTTAGGAAAAAATAAAACAGAGGAGACAAAATGATGATACCATTGTAGGGGCTACTTTTAAGATTACAGTTGGAGTTTGAAAAGTGGAACTTAGGCTAATGGTGTTACACATGTAGAGCAATTTACAGTTTACAAATTGAGGCCAGGCACGGCGGCTCACGCCTATAATCCTAGCACTTTGGGAAGCTGAGGCAGACGGATCACATGAGGTCAGGAGTTCGAGACCAGCCATGGCCAACATGGCAAAACCCCATCTCTACTAAAAATACAAAAATTAGCCGGGTATGGTGGCGGTTGCCTGTAATCCCAGCAATTCGGGAGACTGAGGCAGGATAATCACTTGAACCCGGGAGGTGGAGGTTGTAGTAAGCTGAGACCACACTGCTGCACATTCCAGCCTGGGTAATAGAGCAAGACTCTGTTAAAAAGAAAAGAAAGAAAAAAAAAACTGCTGGCAAGAAAGATATTATTATCCTGACTTTTCAAACGAGAAACTGGAGGTCCACTGAAATTAAGCCACATGCCCAAGGTACTAGTAAATGGCAGATCTGGGGTCTGAATTCAAGTTTTCTCTAATTGTCAGCACCAAAGTTTTTCTGACAGTACACAACACTTTGGGATGTACAAGTAGAGATGGGTAACACTGGGGTCTGGGATAAGGAAATTAGCCATAATTAGGCAAGAAAAGCAGGAAGCACATGCCAAAACATAAACAGAACACAAAAGAGCAAGGAGGGTAGCTAGCTCCCCCTAAGGTCATGCAAAACAACTGGCAAGATATAGAGGGGCCAGGCGAGGTGGCTCATGCTGTAATCCCAGCACTTTGGGAGGCCAAGGTGGGCAGATCACTTGAGGTCAGGAGTTCGAGACCAGCCTTGCCAATACAGCAAAACCCCATCTCTACCAAAAATAAACAAAAATTAGCCAGGGCTGGTGGTGCACACCTGTAATCCCAGCTACTCCGGAGGCTGAGGGAGGCAAATCACTTGAATCTGGGAGGCAGAGTTTCTAGTGAGCCGAGATCCTGCCACTGCACTCCAGCATATATATATATATATATATATATATATATATAGAGAGAGAGAGAGAGAGAGAGAGAGAGAGAGAGAGAGAGAGAGAGAGAGAGCACCTCCAGTCCCACAGCCCCACTTCACAGGGCTGAGATAATCTGCACCCTGATCAGAAGAGAAGGCCTCCTGCCTTGAACTGTTGTTCTTAGCAACTTGGGCTGGGGGGAGCTTTGGGTCACATGTGGTTTCAATCACTGCCTTTATCTGCATCATTGTCACTGTATTTGGAAGATGACTGAATCCTTATTCCTGTCCCAGGCCTCTCTACATTGTGCAGGGGGTTCAAGTCAAATCTGGAAAAGCTGTCTCATCTTTGGCAGGTCAGAAATAGGGAGAGGCTTCACGAATGTATAGTAATGTCCCACCCATGCCCCTTCCCTGCTTTATTAAAACAAATCTGAAACAACAGAGGTCTGAAACTTTCCACTCTATCATTTCATACTGCCTTGTTATAACCCTGCCCTTCATCCACACCCCGCTGGGGTTTTTGCAGCCTGAGGGAAGCCGGGAAGTGTCTGCTCCTAGCTCTCAGTCACTCCCATAATAAACAATCACTAAACAGCCGGCTGCCCTAGGCAACTGTCTAGCTTGCCCGAGCCCTGAGACTTTAGCTAGGCCAGAGGGTGGGAGGTGTTTTCTGTAAAGCAGTGTTCAGGATCTGAGGCCAGGGAGTTTGACTTTGACCAGAGATACTGTTTGGGAGCCTAGCACATCTTTGTGGACCTGGAGGATCTTTAGCGGGACTGCTCCTCGGTTACCTGAGTTATCTAATGAAGTTCTTCCACTGGGAGTGGCAGGAGCTTGGGCCAAGGAGTGGGAGGTCAGTGAGGGAAGGACCAACTATTTGGCACTAATTGTACATAAGGTAGTTTTCCTGATGCAAGTGTTCCTTCTATAGCTGGGACAGTTGGCAATTCTACCAGTCATATGTCCTTAAGAGATATCTTTAACACCACCACCACCACCACCACCACCAAGAGAATAACATCACTTTGAGGACTGGGGCAAGCTTAAATTAACTGGTTTCCCTGCAGCCATTAGAAAATTTATTTTTTCTCTGTGATTGGATCTCTTGGAAGCTTTCTTCATAATAGACAGAGGGGGCTCAGGCAAGGCGGCCTAAGTAGATAATGAGGATTTAGGATAGCCGTCTTACACTCTTAGCACAGAGGCAGGCATGAAGAATTGCAACAATTCCTCTTGATTGTAATAATTCCTCTTTATTGTTGGGCATTGGGGTGTTTCTTTGGTTTAAAAAAATGTGCTATGTAGAGGAGGAGTAAGGGGAGATTGTTTTAATGCTTAGCAGAAAATTGAAATACTGGGTCTCGGAGAGTGGAAGGAGGGCTGGGAGAGGCAGCTTTCGGATCGGCGGTCGCTTTCTATGAAGTCTTCCTTTCCTCCCTGCTTCCCTCCTTCAAAGCATCTTTCTCTAGGCGTTCCGGCAGGCAGCCCAGGAGGCCAGATTCTCCAGGGCGCCCGGGGCCGCGCGGCACGGGGCCCCTGCCGGTGCCTCCTTCCCCGGCCGCCGCGTTTCCGCAGGCGCCTCTGGTCCCCGGCACGGCGCAGGCCGAGATCCGGGCCTGGGCGCGCCGAGGGGCCGCGGGGCTCGCACCGGGCCGTCCCGCGCTCCACCTGCCCGGCAGCCCGCCGGCAGCTTGCAACCCGGGAGCCCCGGCTCCCTGCGCCCCCTACGCCCCCAACGCCGCGCCGGCGCCTCGGCCCGCGGCCGGGGGTTATGAATGGGCGCAGCGGAAGCACCGCCCCCCCCGGACGTGACGCTCGGCCAATGGCAGCGCGGGCTGCGTGGATGGATGAGGTCAGCGCTGTCGTGTCGGGAATGGAATGTGTAAGTGTAACATTCAGAACCGGGTAACATTCGGCGACCGAACGCGGCGGTCGGCAGCGTTCGCGCGGGGGCCTGCGAAGCGCTGCTCGGGGCCGGCACTGCCCGCGGGGAGGACGCGCCGCCGCCGCCACCCAGCGCCGCCGCCGCCGCCGCCTCCAGCCGGGCCGCCGCGCGTCCCGGGGGCCGGCCCCGCGAGCGCAGGAGTAAACACCGCCGGAGTCTTGGAGCCGCTGCAGAAGGGAATAAAGAGAGATGCAGGGATTTGTGAGGTTACGGCGCCCCAGCTGCAAGATGCACTAGCCGGCTGAACCCGGGATCGGCTGACTTGTTGGAACCGGAGTGCTCTGCACGGAGAGTGGTGGATGAGTTGAAGTTGCCTTCCCGGGGCTCATTTTCCACGCTGCCGAGAGGAATCCGAGAGGCAAGGCAATCACTTCGTCTTGCCATTGATTGGGTATCGGGAGCTTTTTTTTTCTCCCCTCTCTCTTTCTTTTCCTCCGTCTTGTTGCATGCAAGAAAATTACAGTCCGCTGCTCGCCCGCCCTGGGTGCGAGATATTCAGCCCCGCTCTCTCCCGTGCATTGTGCAACCCAAAGATGAAAGACCGAAGGGGAGAAAGTTAAAGAAATCGCCCACATGCGCTGGATCAGTCCACGGCTTGGGGAAAGGCATCCAGAGAAGGTGGGAGCGGAGAGTTTGAAGTCTTTACAGGCGGGAAGATGGCGGACTGGAGCTGAAAGTGTTGATTGGGAAACTTGGGTGATTCTTGTGTTTATTTACAATCCTCTTGACCCAGGCAGGACACATGCAGGCCAAAAAACGCTATTTCATCCTGCTCTCAGCTGGCTCTTGTCTCGCCCTTTTGTTTTATTTCGGAGGCTTGCAGTTTAGGGCATCGAGGAGCCACAGCCGGAGAGAAGAACACAGCGGTAGGAATGGCTTGCACCACCCCAGTCCGGATCATTTCTGGCCCCGCTTCCCGGACGCTCTGCGCCCCTTCGTTCCTTGGGATCAATTGGAAAACGAGGATTCCAGCGTGCACATTTCCCCCCGGCAGAAGCGAGATGCCAACTCCAGCATCTACAAAGGCAAGAAGTGCCGCATGGAGTCCTGCTTCGATTTCACCCTTTGCAAGAAAAACGGCTTCAAAGTCTACGTATACCCACAGCAAAAAGGGGAGAAAATCGCCGAAAGTTACCAAAACATTCTAGCGGCCATCGAGGGCTCCAGGTTCTACACCTCGGACCCCAGCCAGGCGTGCCTCTTTGTCCTGAGTCTGGATACTTTAGACAGAGACCAGTTGTCACCTCAGTATGTGCACAATTTGAGATCCAAAGTGCAGAGTCTCCACTTGTGGAACAATGGTAGGAATCATTTAATTTTTAATTTATATTCCGGCACTTGGCCTGACTACACCGAGGACGTGGGGTTTGACATCGGCCAGGCGATGCTGGCCAAAGCCAGCATCAGTACTGAAAACTTCCGACCCAACTTTGATGTTTCTATTCCCCTCTTTTCTAAGGATCATCCCAGGACAGGAGGGGAGAGGGGGTTTTTGAAGTTCAACACCATCCCTCCTCTCAGGAAGTACATGCTGGTATTCAAGGGGAAGAGGTACCTGACAGGGATAGGATCAGACACCAGGAATGCCTTATATCACGTCCATAACGGGGAGGACGTTGTGCTCCTCACCACCTGCAAGCATGGCAAAGACTGGCAAAAGCACAAGGATTCTCGCTGTGACAGAGACAACACCGAGTATGAGAAGTAAGTGTCTGGGCTGGCGTGTCTTTGGGAGTCAGCCTTGGGCTCTGCCGGCCTTGGTCCAGGTGTGAAGTTGGGGGATGGGGTGAGGGCGGATGAGCCCTCAGTCCTCTTTCCCCTTTGAGCCTGGAACTGAGCAAATCCGGTTCGGGTGTGCAGCTAGAGGCTGGGGACAGAGAGTTGGAGCTCCTCGGGCAAACTGAAAAGCCTGGAGCACCTTCTCGAGCCAAGTAGGTGACAGTATCTCCCTCTTGCTTAGGAAACCTGCAGGGCGGCGTGTCTCCTGTTAAGAGTCGGGGTTAGATCCAAGTTTAGTAACTGCATTTCAGGCATGGGTACTGGAGGGTGTTTCTGAGGGTATCTAGAGACCCGGAGAGGCTGTGATCTACCCAAAGTCCAGAGACCTTCCACCAAGAGTGATGCTTTTGTTTGCTTTTCTCATGAGCGGGGGTACCTACTTTCCCAGGAGTTTTCCCAACTTCACATTTTCTGTAAGCCTGTAATTCATGTTAGCCGTGGAAATGTTTAAATTGTATCGAACTTTGTGTGGCCCTTTCCTCTCTCCCCCGTGGCATTGACTTTTATGAAGGGAGACTGTAAACTTGTTGGGCCTGTGGCTTTGCATGCATGCATGCATGCATGCATTCATTCATTCATTCATTTATTAATTCATTCATTTCTGTACATGTCCTGTCTCTTTCCTAGGATAAACTTTTTTTTTTTTTTTAAATGTGGGCCTCAGTCTCACTGTCTAAACTCCAGTTGCTAATTTAGATTTCCCGTTCCCTTTTTTCTTTATCTATTTGCATGTAAATTGTAGACTGTTACTCTTTGAATGGGTGTGAGATGCCTCCTTACCCTCTGTAGTGAGGCAAGTTTTGTCCAGTTGCTAAGTAACTGAATTGGTTACTTTGTAGACCTTTTCACTCTTCCTTTTTCCTTCCCCGTGACAGTAACTGACACGGGATTTGGAGTCAAAGCTAAATTCCACAAATCTGCTTTATCCTGAGCTTGGTGGACCAGTTTCCTAGTAGGTGGGGTTGCCGCCCAGACTCTCACTTACATCTGGCTGTGAAAGAGTTAGTGAGTTCCTACAGTGCATTTCCACGTTACGCCAGTTAAAAACCAGAGCAGCCTTGTGCTACCCAGGGAAGGAAGGGGAACCTCTCAGCTGAGTACAAGAGGAACTGGCAGAGGTTGGCAGATTTTGCAATTGATTCATGAAATGCAGAATAGGGGAAATGTTTCGCAAACCTGATTGGAACAGGAAGGGGTATGGTGGGAAACTGGCCTTGAAATGAAAGGTTTGATTGTCGTCTGTGCATTTTTTCAGACACTAGGGCCTCTATAGGAGTGATTGGAAGGGAAATTAAAGTCCTCCAAGACTTGATCATAGAGAGTGAAGGAGAAAGTATCAAGCACTCAGATTCAGCTTTCCAACCCCCAATACCTTTTGCTTTTCAGGCATAAGAAAAGCCGGAGACTAAGATCAATTATGAATCCATATTTTCCTCTCATCCAGGGGCAGTTATGTATGAATGTGCAGTTGCAATGGATTACAGTTTTCTCATAAAAGACATTTAAACTATGGTTAGTAATGAACTGCTTTGTTTATACGACATTTACATTGACCTATTCCTGTGGGTGCTTGTAAGAAAAAAATGCTTATAGCCTTTCAGGAATTTCTTTGTCTGGTTTATGGTGGAGTAACTCGAGATGAAGTCTAACCTTTCAGTGTCTTCTAAAGCAGTCTCAAAGAATTCTGTGGAAGGATTCTGTTCTTCATCCTTCTAAAAGGGCTAAAGCTGAGATTTCAGCTTAGGAAATTTGAATTATATATATTGGAAAATACCCTTAATCCAAGTGAATAATATCTTTCTTACCCTTTTATTCCCAAAATAAATATTACGTTTCTACGTTTTCTGTGGAATGGAAGCATTTTCTAGAGATCAGCAATGAAGGGAGGGGTTGGTTTCTTTAAAACTTTAATTTTTACTAAATTTAACTAATTTTTGACCTCTTTGTGATCGGGCCAAGAAATATGACACCCACACTTTGGTTTATGTTTAAAGACCACAAGGGGTCAGGACCTCAGGATTGGGTCTGATCAGAAAAGTGGCATTTCGTAGAAAAGCAAGTTTGCTCTTTCTCCCAAGCAGGGATCTCTTTAGCAGGGACACTTCTGGATTTTCATTATGTTCCCCTTTGGCATACCTTCCAGCCCTAAACTTGCATGTAGCCCGGGATGGTGCTGCGAAAGGTTTACATTCACTCGCCTGGTACACCTGGAGTTTTGACTCATTCCTCTGAGTGGGTTAGCAGAATTATTTGTCTTTGAGAAATGGTGCTTACAAACTTTATTGCCATTTATTATTGGTTTTTTGGAACACATGAAGATGAAGCAAGAACTCTCAAATTTGGAGATACGCTAGCAGAGCAAGCAACGTGTGTCGTGCTCTGGCGTAAGAGCAACTACTGTGCTACTTATATTGATGCTTTCTGGAAGATGGCCTTAGATATGTGAGATGCAGAACTCCTCAAGTCAAGATATGCCAGTCTCTCTAGCGTTTTGGGTGGAGGCGATATTGAAGTTAGGTCTGTAGACGTGATCTGTGTAAGTTTGACTTCTCATACTGACTCATGGTGTGACTTTTGATTAGTCACCTTGAGCATTAGTTTGGGTTTTGCAGAGTGGGTTTCAGACTGCTTCAGGGGTGCTCTAAGCACTCATTTGGTAATAGCTTGTAAAAACACAATCAGTTTCCATCTAGCTTATTAGCAAGTGTCCATGGGAAAAAAAAAGCTTCAGTTTAATTTGCTCCCTCAAGCAATCACCTGTAAGTTTCCTTTGGAGCAAACTTTATGCAGCCTGATGACTAGATTGAAAATTTATGGTATTATGGTCAAGTTAGAGTATATACAAATATAGAGTATATACAAATGTTTCAACTAAAAAAAGGTTGCTTTTGGTGAAATAGAATATTATGTGTCGATAAAGAATTTAGTGCTAAAAGAGCAATGACTTCTGTCTCACCTGTGCCTTTGTGAAAATTAGACGTTGATTACAAAGGTATAGAAAAGCTGCAAGGAATGAAAGAAAATACTTTTCTCTTGTAATAGAGAGAAAATAAATTTCTTTTGTCATTTTTTGACCCAGACGTTCAGGATTATATTAAAATATCAATTTTTATGATAGCTGTAATTATTTTTTATCAGTTATATATTTTAACACATGTGGATAATGCCAGCTAAAACAAGTCATTGCAGTAATTAGATGAGTTGTAGTGACGCTTTAGAGAAATTCTTTGTATTTTATGTTCTTTCAGCTACTTATGCATCCTTATAGAATTATTGTACTTTTGCATGAACTTCATAGTTCACATCCCTACAAAGGGCATTATTGTGAAACTTTAGATTCAGCTATTTGAAATAGAAGAAAGAGAGGGAAAGGAGAGGTGGCTTCTATCTTTGACCCCCTCCAAGGAAAGCAAGGGTGAATATTTAAAGCTTTTCTGGAAACAGGCAAGATTGTGTGCAATTCTTTTTGGTATTTCCCTTTTTCTGTGTTTGCTAACACTGTACCTCACCATCCTGGTATCTTCAAGGGTCTTGGAGGTAAGTGATCATTCAGCTTCCAACATCCTGATTTTTACAGATGTAGAAACTGAGGGACAGAACGTTTCAGGGGTTTGCTTAAGGCAAGAAAATTGTTTAGTGACAAGGGTAGCACCAGAATGCAGGCCCCCTTAATTTTGCCTTGATCTGCAGTCTTTCATTTCTATTCTCAGGCACCCTTGAAAATTCACCAGCCACAAGGAGATCCTTATTAATGGTGTTTGTTATGGGATTTCTCTTAGAATTCTTCAGTAATCTGATGAAAACTTGGAGGACAACCTTTGCAAAAATAAATGATAAGTAAATAAATAAAAGCATGTACACAATTTGTTATATGGTTTCAGGGGCTGACACACACCTCCCGCTGAGGGCATCCTCAGACTTACAAACTCTTGCTCTGGGAGTTTACATTTTGCCTGTTTGTTTAGTTGGGTAGGTCTGTGGAGCTGTTTAGTCTAAGTAGGAGTTTTTTGAACCTTTCAATTTGGCCCTAAGGGGTTTAGGGAATAGACTGTGCATTGACTGAACAATAAGTTGAATTACATGCACTTACAGCAAAAAGAAAATATGTGCAAGGCAAGTAAAAATGCTAAATACTTTTTTCTTTTTTTCCTCATTATCCCAAACTGTATTAACAGACACCTTGAGCAAGTTCATGATCCAGCAGTGAACCTTAGATGAATGTTTTCCTTCTCCAAAATGAAAGGTGGGAATTGAGATTCTCGGGTTTTAAATGTAAAATATTAGCACCTTTCTCCCCACAGTTGTACAATAGCACAAAAGCATTTCTAACATAAACCCAATTAGCACAGTTAAAAAATAAGGTAGGGCCAGCCCTATGGAAAATTATGAAGTTGGCAAGTTTGTCTTCTGACACCGAGATTCTGATTCTCTCCTTCCTTTCTCGCCTCTTTCTAAACCTGCTTTCTGGAGAGCACCTGAGAACCTCAATCACAAGGAATCCCTGAGTAAATGTTGGGGTGTTATTTGCTACTTTCAGGGACATTTGTATTATTACTGAATTCAGCCTAGCAAATGAGGGTTTCCAGTGGAGTCTGTGATCTAAGCTAGGGGCCTGCAGGATTTTACTCTACGAATAATGGCTTGTTACTAAGGTTTGGGCAGGTCCTGCCCATTGGAGGCCACCTTTGGTCACCCTGACTCTGACAGCAACTTTGGATGGCAAAAGGGGAGATGCTACACCTGCAGGTGGTGTTAGTTCTTTCTGTCAGAAGGCTTGAGGATCTGCCTTCTCAGAACACAGTGCTAGAAACTCCTGCCAATAATGACCTTTAATATGCCAATGTCACAGCAGAAGTTGTGCTTGGTAGGGCCTGGCTGCTTTGCTCACAACCATCTTGAAGGTGTCTTCTCAGGCTATGTTGCTGGTGTGTAAACGGAGGCAAACGGTGGTAAGGTGACTTGCCTGAGGCTACGCAGCCTGTAAGTGGCTGAATTGAGGCTAAAACCCAGGTTTTATGGCCCGAGTTGTCTGTTCTTTTCACGGAGAGAAGAACATTCATTGCTACCTCACTGCATTCGCTTTGCAGCACTGCATATTCAGAATGAACCAGGTGAGACAAAGTGGTCATTGGCTTCTGCAGGCTTCTGGACATGTTTCATGTTCAAACATGAACACAGAAGCTTATGTTTCCATGAGGTTAATAACTACAGGTTGAGCTTCCCTAATCCAAAGGTCCAAAATGCTCCAAAATCTGAAACTTTTGACCACTGACATGAGCATTTTGGATTTCGGATTTTTGAATTAGGGATGTCCAACTCTAAGTATACAATGCAGATATCTCAAAATCTAAAAAAATCCAAAATTTGAAACACTTTTGGTCTCAAGCATTTCAAGCATTTTAGGCCAAGTCCTTCTCAGCCTAAATTGTGTATTTGAAACAAGGTATTTTCTGAACAAGGTGTTTGAGAAGTAGCTATTGCCATGTAATAATTACCTAGCGCTTCCTTCATACTCTGGAAGAAGAAAATAGTGCGTTTTTTTTCTCTCGAGGTCATAATGTGAATGTTGTATGCAGTGGCCATGTCATCAGAACAGGTGTGCCAGCCCCCTGCATGGAACATGTACATGCTTCAGGTTGTGCGGAATTAACTTTCTTTAGATAAGGGATAACTAGCATTCATTTCAGATAACAGATATTCAACCTATAATTGTTTTTATTTAAAACCTCTTCCACCTTGACCAGGCTCCTGTAATAAACAGGATTCCCTCCAGACTAGAAGATTTGCTGAGTACCTGTTATTTGAATTTACTTTTATTAGTTCATAGAACCTTTCAACAACAGTGTGAGTTAGGTTATATCCCCATTTTACAGATTAGAATGTAGGCCCCTGAGACAGTAAAGTAACAAGCTCAGTGTCACATCTAGTGAGAAAATGGCAGGGTTCCTACCTGGGTACTTAGATTCCAAAGTCCATTCTCTTCTACAAAATGTTACCATCTTAAAGAATCAAACAGAGTTTCTCCCTGTTACATATTAACTTTTAATACGTGAAGCGTGAGTCAGGTGTTTGTATATGGATCTTTTTTCCATTGCTTTACTTTATGAACATGTTTCCCGAGGAAAAAGTTTGGCTCAGAGATGTCATAAAGGTGGCTCCTAAACCTGACATTTAAGCACTGAACTCCTTCAACTCTTCTGTTCAAGGGGCATTGGAATTGTTTCTATGTAGATTCTGCTTGTAATTCTCTCCTAGGGTTCTTCTAAGAAAAGTGAGGAAGCTGATTAGCATTCTGTCTGTGTGACCTTTCCCCTACTGATAGCATCCTGCAGGGTGTCCCTCTGTGATTGTAAGTGAAAGTGAACCCTGGAGATGTCGCTGCAGGTGGATGGGGATCAGAGTGACTGCTGCCCCAGGTAGACACTGTGATCCAATAGAATAGAAATGAAAGGCCTATGGGAATATTCTGTTTCTGGAACATACCACACCCAATGCCTCCAGGACCTAAGGCTCTTTAAAAGAAAAACAGTGCTTAAAAAATTATAAGCGTTATACACAGGCTGAGCACAGTGGCTCATGCCTGTAATCCCAGCACTTTGGAAGGCTAAGGCGGGAGGATTGCTTGAGCCCAGGAGTTCTAGATCATACTAGCCTGGGTAACACAGTGAGATCTTATCTTTACTAAAGATAAAAAAATTAGCTGGGCATGGTGGTGCACACCTGTAGTCCCAGCTACTTGGGAGACTGAGGTGGGAGGATTGCTTGAGTCTGGGACATTGAGGCTGCAGTGACTGATGATGGCACCACTGCACTCCACCCTGGACAATAGAGCAAGACCTTATCTTTCTTTTTTTTTGAGACAGAGTTTCCCTCTTGTTGCCCAGGCTGGAGTGCAATAGGGCGATCTCGGCTTACCGCAACCTCCTCCTCCCGGATTCAAGCGATTCTCCTGCCTCAGCCTCCCGAGTAGCTGGGATTACAGGCATGTGCCACCACACTCGGCTAATTTTGTATTTTTAGTAGAGACGGGGTTTCTCCATGTGGTCAGGCTGGTCTCGAACTCCCGACCTTCGGTGATCCGCCCACCTCGGCCTCCCAAAGTGCTGAGATTACAGGCATGAGCCACCAAGCCCGGCCGACCTTGTCTTTCAAAGAAAGAAAGAAAGCAAGAAAAAAAAAAGTATGCATAGCCTCTGTGGAAGATTGGGAAAATACAGAAGATTGGAATACATAATTAAATTTCTTTCCTAATTCTATTATAAGTGTTAGCCACTATTGGTAAACTTTGATGTAGTCAGTCTATTCTAGCACATATATATACCTATATGTTTATGTGGCTCTGTCTCTGCATATCCAAGTACCCTGGATAGATAGGTTAATTATTATTTAATTAATGGTGAGTAAATAATGAATTCAACACATTTTTCTTAAGTGTCTTGTTTGTGCCAGACACTTATGTATTGGAGCTGGGGCTACTTCAGCAAACAAAACAAACTCCTACCCATTCACCTTACCATTCTAGTCTGTCAGTTTTGTAAAGTTGAAGTCAGACTTTAAATGTATTTTTGGATGTTATTTTTTTTCCTAACATTATCCAAGGGCATTTTTCTGTTCTAGTAAATTGTTTGGAAAATAGGATTTTTAAGGTGTGATTTTTTTTTTTTTTCTAACCCATGGTTGGACCAGAGTTTGTTTAACCATTTACATTTTCTTACATATATTTTATTTGTTTATTATTATTTTGAGACAGAGTCTTGCTCTGTCACCCAGGCTGGAGTGCAGTGGCGCGATCTCGGCTCACTGCAACCTTCGCTTCCTGGGTTCAAGGGATTCTGCTGCTTCAGCCTCCCGAGTAGATGGGATTACAGGCACCCACCACCACACCCGGCTAATTTTTGTATTTTTAGTAGAGATGGGGTTTTGCTGTATTGGCCAGGCGGGTCTTGAATTCCTGATCTGAGGTGATCTACCCACCTTAGCCTCCCAAAGTACTGGGATTACAGGCGTGAGCTACAGCACCCAGCCTTCTTACATATTTAACTTGTTTTTTTTTTTTTTCCTCATTAGAAATAGTCTGTAATGGGTTTCACCTTGTTGAGTGTTTTCTTCTTGACTAGGGTCTCTCTCTCAAAACACAATATAGAACTTCCTGTCCTGTCCTCCCTAACTCCCCACTCCAATCCCATTCTGGGCTATAGCTGTTTTTAAGGTGAACACCCATTTAGTGAAGTAGCCATCATTAAATGACTGCCTAGATAAACATTTGTAGGTGTTAATTGGTCCTGCCAGGGGGCCTTTGAAGCTCCACTGCTCTGTTCTCTTTGAAGTTTTGTTTTTCTCCAGCCAAAATCCTCCCTGGTCTCTTACTGAGCAGACATCCCTAGACTTCACTCCAAGCACTGTGCATATAACCTTGCCTGGGATTTCAGAATCTGCAGGCCTTACCTAGGTAGATGTTACTCTTCTAGCTAATTGTATGCAGTTTATCAAGGATTTGTTTCTGTTTTCTCTTTGGTTGTTGACTCCATGGACCATAGGAGGTAAATTTGGACAGGTCGCTTTGACCTCTGGGCATCTAAGTAAGGCCTGGGATTTTAAGTGTAAAGGAGGCACTATTCTAAGTGATTTAAAAATGGACAGAAAAGGAGAAATTTGTGAGGATACACAGCCTCTTTTTGTGTACCCTTTTGTCTTCTGTGAAGCCCTTTAAAAGGGAGAGCCTGTGGCCCTGCACCATAACAGTAGCTGATCCCCCAAAGTTCCTGGACTAGGTTTTTAACTTCTCAGCCTCAGTTTCCACATCTGGAAATGGGGATCATAATACTGGTCTCATAGGGTCGTTAAGAAGGTCAAATGAGGTGGAGTATGTGAGACTGTACCTTGTAAACATTAATGTGTTCTACAGGGTGGTGGTATTATTAAACTCATCTTCCTGCTATTTCCTAATCAACAACAGAGGTTCATTTAGTTTCGAAACTTAGCTCTTCCTAACTAAGCCACAGCAATAACTTATCTCTACTTTGATACTTAAGTCCTCAGGAAATTGTGGTAGGTGCCCTGGAAGTCCAGCCATTGTTTCTGTAAAGACCTACAGGGGTCTTCAAGCTGGGGCTTGCATGTGTGTGGGGTAGGGGTGGAAGCAGTTGAGGGGGATCCCTGGGGCAGTCAGATACTTCCTTGACTCCATGGCCTTCAGGTTCCCAGGTTGACTGCTCTATTAATGCAGGTGATCTCTTTTCCAGTTGACTTTTTTTTTTTTCTTTTTGAGATGGAGTCTCGCTCTGTCGCCAGGCTGGAGTGCAGTGGCGCGATCTCAGCTCACTGCAACCTCTGCCTCCTGGGTTCAAGCGATTCTGCTGCCTCAGCCTCCTGAGTAGCTGGGACTACAGGTGCATGCCACCATGCCCAGCTAATTTTTGTATTTTGAATAGACAGGGTTTCACCGTGTTAGCCAGGATGGTCTCGATCTCCTGACCTCGTGATCCACCTGCCTCGGCCTCCCAAAGTGCTGGGATTACAGGTGTGAGCCTCCGCACCCCGCCTCCAATTGACTTTTAAGTCCTCGCCAGTTGAGGGTAACATTTGGAGGGACACCGTGTGTGAGTGGAGCTCAGCTACTGGGAAGCCTCCCTCGGCCGGTTCAGCAGGCCCTTATGTTGCAAAGAGCCGAAAATCATTTGGGCTACCTTAAGTTTTGGGATTTATTGTGAGGGGACATGGGGCAGAAACTGAACTGAAACTGCTCTCGTAAGTTCTCAGGACCCACCACAATACCTGGGCCAGGCTCCTTTGTTCCTGCTCTATGCCTTCATGTCTTGCTTGGCTAGCATCTCTGGCCCTGTGTGTGTCTTCCAACCACTGGCCAGTCTTTCCTGAATTCTCTCGTCCAGGGCCTGGAGGAGACCAGTCGGATTGACTTTTCCAGTAAGCATTGCTTGCTGGGGAGAGCCATTCATATTAGGCCACGTCTTGGGTATGGTGGTGACCTGGTCAGTGAAACGACTGCCCTGTCATGTTGCCACTCTTGATTTACTTGGTGGTCATCCTCTTGTGAAAACAGCCCAAAGTTGCTTCCTGCAACAGAGGACTGTGGTTAGGGGAAGTTGGCTGTGGCAGGCGCTGTTGAAGCCATATCCTGTTGGCATGCACATATTTGACCCCAGTTGATGATGAGGATAACAGCAACAGCAACTCATATCTGAGGGCATCCTATGTGAGGATAACAGCAACAGCAACTCATATCTAAGCACATCCTATGTGCAGGGTAATGAGAAGTATCTTCTTTAATCTTTATGTCCACCTAGCAGGAAGATACCCATTTTATCTCCATTTTACAGATGAAGAAACTGAAGCAGACAGTCTTTAAAAGTGGTTTGCCTAAGAGCATACACATAGCAGATGAACTGAGGCCCTCTGACTTTTGAACCTGTGTCCTTAACCACAGCACCGTACTGCTTTTGAACAGCTGGAACTGATGTCATAAAGACCACACACTCACAAACAATAGTATGATTGATTTCTAGAGTATCACTTGGATTTCTAACCTAGAATTTATTTAATCTTACGTTAGACAATTCTAACCTGTTAGGTAATCTGGTTTCTCAGCCTGCAGTAGATTAGAAGCAGTACATTTAAAAATGAAAGAGGGATTCTTGCAGATAGTACTGGGAAGAAAGGACAGCTGGTAACCCAAATATAAGGAAGTGGGCCAGGAAATTATAAAATGTAATGCCCAGAAGAAGTAAAGAACCATGGCAATTGAAGAACAGCTGGCCCAATGCCCAAGAATGTGTTCTACACCCTCCTCAGGAATGAATGTGCTTCCAAGTCCAACACCTACTGCCCTGCCTGTCACCAAGCACAGCTTCTGTGGATATTTGATGAACTATAACATGGTACAGTATTGGCTCTGAAACATCATTTGTGTTCACTGTCCTTTGTTTAAGAATGTAGAAAAAGAAGTAATGTGTTTTATAACTTTTTTGAAAACCGTATGATTAATAAAATATACTGATGGTCTTAAGAGTAAGATCTCCATTTGAAAACTTGTCTACCAACTTTAGCAATTTCCGCCAAGGCTCCAGAGAGACAGGGTCTCCTTTCGGTTAGCATTTGATTTCTGCTACTTGTTGCTAACTCTGATTTCTGGGTTTTCAAGATGCATATCAGTTTAAACCTAGGTGAAATGGTAAGTTTTCTGATCCTGTGGTGTAGGCCTGTAGTGCTAGCTATTCTTTTTTTTTTTTTTTTTGAGACAGAGTCTTGCTCTATTGTCCAGGCTGGGGTGCAGTGGTGCGAACTCGGCTCACTGCACGCTCCGCCTCCCGGGTTCATGCCATTCTCCTGCCTCAGCCTCCCAAGTAGCTGGGACTACAGGCACCCGCCACCATGCCCGACTAATTTTTTTTGTATTTTTTAGTAGAGACGGGGTTTCACCATGTTAGCCAGGACGGTCTTGATCTCCTGACCTCGTGATCTGTCCGCCTCGGCCTCCCAAAGTGCTGGGATTACAGGTATGAGCGAGCCACTGCACCTGGCCACTGTGTTAGCTATTCTTGATGGACTAGTATCTAGAATGACTTGGGCTGTGGGCTCAGGTAAAGAGAGTAGCTAGCCTAGGGCTAGGGCTGGCCCTGCCTGCCTAAGGCGTGGCATATGGATGTTAGGGTTTGGAGAAGGGAGGGGCCCAGGAGGGAACAAGGGACATCTCGTCTCTTGTCCTATGGTTGTCCTGGCAGGTATGTTGGGCATTTCACACTCCTAGCGGGGGCCTAGCTTGGACGTGTAGCAGGCACACTTCCTGCACACATTTCAGTGTCCTGACGGATTGGTAGAAATCATCCACAGTGCCACTGATAGAAAATATGATCACCACCCTGCTTGAATGGGCCTTGGGGGTGTCTCATAGTTAATTCACATGTTACTAAGGCAGGCAAGCTCTGCCTGCCTTCTCATCCCCAGCCCCAGGGCAGAGCCACACTCCTCCTCCTTCTCCCCGCTTTCCCCACACACCTCCTTTCCACTTTCTGGAAAGCCAGCACCCAGCTGCATCTGACTTCTTCCAGAGTCACTTCCTTGATGCCTCAGACAAGGCCAAATTCTCCTGGTATGTGCTCATATAGAACATTTAACACCCAGCTGTGGTTTTCCATTCAGTTAGCTGTTTGTTTGTCTCTCTCCAGTAGATTGCACAGAACCTGAGGGGAGGATTCATGTTGGTTTTTCATTGATTTACTCAACAGATACTTATTGAGTGCCTACGGTGTGCAGGCACTGGGGATTCAACAGTGAATAAGAAGGTGCACGTACCTGCCTTCTAGATGCTCATAGCCTAGTGGCTGGAGGCTGAGGATCATGGCATACACATTTTGTCATATATTAGAAGGTGCTGGATGCTGTGAAGTAAAGCAACGTATGGAAGTGGGTTAAGGCAGTGGGTCTCAACCTTAACTGTACAGTAGACTCTCCTGGGGAGCTTCTGAAAAAGCCAGGCCCCAGTCCAGGCCAATTAGGGATGAAGTTCCAGATTTTATTTATTTTTATTCATTTATTTTTATTTTTTTGAGAAGGAGTCTTGCTCTGTTGCCCAGGCTGGAGTGCAGTGGGGCGATCTGGGCTCACTGCAACCCCTACCTCCCAGGTTCAAGCAATTCTCCTGCCTCAGCCTCCCGAGTAGCTGGAATTACAGATATGTACCACCATGCCCGGCTAATTTTTTGTATTTTTAGTAAAGATGAGGTTTTGACATGTTGGCCAGGCTGATCTTGAACTCCTGACCTCAAGTGATCTGCCTGCTTTGGCCTCCCAGAATGCTGGGATTACAGGCGTGAGCCGCTGCACCCAGCCGGCCGAAGTTCCAGGTTTTTAAAAAGCTCACCAGGTCGTTTGGATGCAAAGTAGGAGTGGGGATGAGGAAGAATTTTGCAGCTTTAAATATGGAGGGAAAGAAAGGCCTCCTTGGGAAAATGACATTGAGCTCTCGTACCATTATACCTTCAGAGCCTCAGCACCATGCCCGACTGACTCACAGGAAGCACTCAGTGTTTGTTGCATAAATGAAAAAAATTTACATTTATTTAACCGAAGGGAATGTTACTACTGTTGATATGGTATATTCAAAGTATGGAGTCTCTAAATGTTACTGTCTTTGGTTTGTAGCTCAGGCATTCCTGTTCCTACTCCAAGTTCATTGTGTTCATTTGCTGGTTCACCCAGAGTTTCTTGTCATGTTCAAATGGGAAGTTTCTCCCAATGAACCTTTTTTTCCCCAAGGTATCCTTTCTTCCTTCCTTTCCTTCCCTCCCTCCTTCCCTCCTTCCCTCCCTCCCTCCCTCCCTTCCTTCCTTCCTTCCTTCCTTCCTTCCTTCCTTCCTTCCTTCCTTCCTTCCTCCTTCCTTCCTTCCTTCCTTCCTTTCTTGACGGAGTCTTGCTCTGTCGCCAGGCCGCAGTGGCGTGATCTCGGCTCACTGTAACCTTCCACTCCCTGGTTCAAGTGATTCTCCTGCCTCAGCCTCCTGAGTACCACCACATCCAGCTAATTTTTGTATTTTTAGTACAGATGGGGTTTCACCATGTTGGCCAGCATGGTCTCGATCTCCCGACCTCGTGATCCGCCTGCCTCAGCGTCCCAAAGTGCTGGGATTACAGGCGTGAACCAGTGCACCTGGCCTCTTTTCTTTCTTTTTCTATTTTTACTATTGTGTTTGATATAAGTATCACTGAAGCCAAATTAAAATGAACCAAAGGGTTTTGCTGCATAACACAAATCCAAATAATTTATTGGTACAGGAAAAAACATTATGATCTTTTTATCATTTAACAGTCTGTAGATATTGAAACTTCCCCCCCTTTAATTGTAGTTTTTCTCCCAAAAGATTGATAGAATAAAACTTTTGGCTCACATTTTTTGCTCAGGTTACGTTCAAACTCTGCTAACTGATATTGAAGCATTGCCCCAGAGAATGCAGTAACACAGGGCTTAATTGAGCTATCAGGCTGCTAATGAATTCATATTGAGATTTATCATTTAATTAAAAGGCAAAGCGGGGAAAAGCAAAGGGAAGGTGTACAATTGTTCCTTCCGCTGGCCTCCATTTCCTCCATTTAAAATCGTGGCTTGTTTGTTTAGTTTGTAGAATCCTGTGGGATATTGCATAGAAGTACTCAAGGTGCATAGGTAAAATAGAGGGTGTCCTGTATTGCAATGACTTGACTTCTTAGTGGGTCTTAAAAATTGATTCAGATTTGGTGACAATCATATGACACTTGATTAAGTAGAAATTATGTTTTATGATGTTTTTACAAAAGATTAGGAAGGCCATTTTCCAAAATTATTCCTAGGTCTGTATATCTGAAGCAATCTGAAAATTCAATCAGAGGGAATCTAATACTGAGATGCTTTTGCTTTACTGACAGAGAGTAAATTTTTCTTGAAAACACCATTTCTTATATGCTACATGTGTCTTTAAAATTCACACCTGCATTGAAAAAGCTACCTTTAAGCAACACTTTTTATGATAACTGCATTTTTAAGTATGCAAGTGCAATGTTGCAAACCTGTCAATGCAGGGCAGTCAGTCTTTTATTGATTCAGAGTGGAAATGTATAATATTTTTTGTATTTAGATTATAGAGTTACATGTTTTTAAAAAAGAACAGTATTTTATGATAAGTTAAAATTTAAGTACCTCAATGCTTAGTACGGTTAAAAGGTGGAGTAGTGTTTTCCTGCACTTAGTTTAGACTTAGCTATATCTAAGGAGTAACTCAAGCAGGGATAACAGAGGGCAAAAGGATTAGATGTCAAAACAAATCTTAGGTTTCTATGAAAATAAGCTAAGAAATGAGCCCCCTTGGATGAAAAATATGAAGTGAGAATATAGGGAGTGTTGGTGAGGTTTGAACCTCTTTGGGCCTCAGTTTTCCTCATCTGATTTTCCTACACAGAGACCTCTGATTGAAGCTGTCACATCTGTACATGCACATGTATGTCTGCATGTGTGTTGTATGTTTGCTCAGGGAGGAGGGCATGGTGTTCAACTGACTCCAAATATTTGATATCAGACAGTTTTGTCTGGAGAGAAGAGCAATAAGATTGTGGAAGTGATCCTAAAATCTAGTTTAACTCTTGTGTAGCGTAGACAAAAAGTAGAGATCCAGGGAGGTTGAGCAATTTGCCCAAGGTCATGTAGTTGTGACCGAATCCGAAATGGAACACACGTCTCTTGACTTCCAGCTGAGGATTGCTTAGAGGTTACACATAAGGGTTCTGGTTTGAATTCAGATGGTGACTCTGTCACTAGCTACGAGACCTTGGTCAGCTTCCCTGTTTCCGTTCTTCACTTGTAAAATGGAGATAACAATTTCAACTTCATAGGGTTGCTGTTACAGGGATTAAATGAGTAATAATACATGTAATATGCTTAGAATAGTGCATGGAACATAGTAAACACTCAATAAGAAACTATTGTTACTGTCATTATTATTCTGTCTGTTCCATTAAACTACATTTGATGCCTGTAACTTCAGGCTTACCGTTTGTATGTGTTTATCATGGTTTTAATTTCATTTCTTTCATTTGACCTGTTTACAGCTCATTATAATTGTAGTGTGCAATATTGTACATTAGCTTGCCAGTCATATAGAAGCTCCTGGTGGTTTGGCAAGTGCCCAGAATTCCAACCACCTGTTGGAACTGTTGCCAAAATACAGTAGATTTTTATTTCCCAGATGTTGTTCAACCGAGAGTACAAATCATTAATATGACTTTGTGTCTTTAAAAAAATTCGTTCTCCTATTACAAAAGTATTATGTTTCCCACTAGTTCTGTGAAGCTGAGCAGTCACAGAGGTCTTGTTCCTGCCTCTTGAAAAAACATTAAAACGGGTAGCAAATGTGCTGGGGGTCGGTCACCTGAGATAGCTTTCAGAGATAAACCTGTGCGAGATAGAGAAGGGAAAACTATTTTTCTTTTCTAGCAATCCAGGTAGCCAAGCAAGTGATTCCACCGTGCAGGGGCACTTAGCAAATCAGGAAGCGCGATAACAGTGAATGACTTTCTACTTTCAACAATTTGAAGGGCTGCTAACAACTGATGGCTTCTTCTTGAGGATGGCATTATCAGTAGCAGCAGGACCCAGACCTCTGCACCGTTTCTGCATGTTAAGTTTAAACAGTGTATGCCTATCCTTGAGGATAAACTTATAACAGGGCCAAGGTAAAACTTAGAGAAGAAATTCTAGCCTGTGATTTGAAGATCTGGGAGCATTCAGACATATTGGAACTTAAGTTTTCATTCTTTTTCTCAGGAGACAAAGCTGCAATTATGAATAAACACATTGTAAGAGCCTTTCTGTGATACCGTGTTGGCCACCAAATCCAGATGTGATCTGATTCCTATCCAGTTCCACATTGTAGCAGGCTTTGCTGTCATTGGGTCATCTGTGTTCCTTGAAACTTCACCATATCCAAAAAAAGCATGTTAGAACAGGATTAAATTCTTCTTATACATTACAGAATTATACAGAGGGTTCTCTAACATCCACTGTTCAAAAAGAGACTCTGGCAAATGGTTCACTAAGTATAAGTAAAGTGAGATGGAATGTCTGATCCCAAATTTGATAGTGCTTGGCTCAAGACAGGAAGCAGGGTATGTATGTTATGCACAATGATGATTATAGGCCTGTATTTGTATGTGGAACATGTATTCAAATTTCAAATCTTTTTTTTTTTTTTTTTTTTTTGCTGGGAATTTTTCTGGAGCATGTGGTGTATATTGTTTTCTGCCAAGCATCAAGGGGCTGTTTTATAAAGGGCTTTTTTGGGGGGTGGGGGGAGTGTATCCTCTCCTTTCTTTTCCCAAAGTTTTCTTGTATCTTCTCCACAAAATAAAAATTTCTTTCTTCTAGTTCACTGACTTGGAGATTCAAGCAGCAGCACGATAAAAATACCATATTGCATTTCCAATGAACTCCTTTAATTAGATGAGATGAATTAATTGGATTTTTGGGACATGTCTGTGAAAGTATAAGATACTCACTTTTGGAACTCCCAGGCATGGTGTGGCCTGGGAGCTTTCTCAGTTTGCTCCTATTCAGGACATGGTGTAAGAACTGTCATTTGAAGCCTGTCATTTTAGTCCCCCTTGGGGGTTTTACAAATGGCCTAGTGATTTTTCAGATAGCAGAGAATAAATCAGCAGTGATTTGGCCTGCCCTTCAGCCTAGGGCATTCCCTGGTTATCACCAGCCTCATCATCAGGTGCTTGTATTACACGTTTTTCTGTCCACACCGGCAGGTGAGATGGTAATCTAAGAGTTGATTTCCAACACGTGCGGAGGGACTTTCGAAAGTCCCCCTAGTCCCGGTATTCTCTTGCCCTGTATAATTTTAGGGGTCCAGGCATTCAGGCTTGGATCGTCCTCCTTATGTCTTTCAGGGCCTTGGAAAATTCTGGAATTTAGACAGGGGCAGTAAGTCAGTGGCTGTAGCCCTTGAATCCCATTTGGGACCTTAACTCATTCTACCTTGCATTATAATTATTTGGTTTTTAACTGTCTAGGTTTCTGTACTTTCAGGGGTAAAGCTGATTCATTCTCCTCTGTATCCCAGAGTCCACCTCCAAGGTGGTAGGTTGCTTGATAGGTGCTTAGTAAATATCATATTTGATTAACTTTTTGTAGCCTCCTCTTTAGTCTAGAAATTCTAGATCCCAAATAGAAGGTAAGATATGGTATATTCTGGACTTTTAGTTTTCTATATCTCCTTTTCAAATACAGACCTAGGGTGACAGACAAAAAAATATTGTGATCAAAGTATATAGCATTTCCTTTCATGGTGGAAAAATGTGCCTGATAAATGTTTTCTCTGCATTATTTTCCTCCAAATATATTTTAATGACAGTTATTTGGATATTTCACACTTTATACTCGACTTGGGCTCAGATTAAGTCTTGTGTTAGTTATAACCTTGAATAACAATTAGGTTCATGAGAACAGGGATGGTGTATATTTGTTTTTAATCTGTTTCCCAGCACTTAACCCAGTGCTGAGTTTATAGTGGGTCTCCAAGAAATACTTGTTGAATGAGTGGCTTTTGGTCATGGTGGCCTTTTAGTGCAGAAAAACTTTTGGATCTGAATTGTTAGATTTACTTAATTTTTTTGTAATAACACAGAGAATGTTGAATAGAAAAAGTAAGTTTAGAAGATACATATATATATAGAGAGAGAGAGGGAGAGTTAGATTTATTTATTTATTTATTTTTGTGAGATGGAGTCTCGCTCTGTCGCCCAGGCTGGAGTGCAATGGTGCGATCTTGGCTCATTGCAAGCTCCGCTTCCCAGGTTCACATCATTCTCCTGCTTCAGTCTCCCGAGTAGCTGGGACTACAGGTGCCCGCCACCATGCCCGGCTAATTTTTTTTTCTTTTTATTTTTAGTAGAGACGGAGTTTCACTGTGTTAGCCAGGATGGTCTCAATCTCCTGACCTCGTGATCCGCCCGCCTCGGCCTCCCAAAGTGCTGGGATTACAGGCGTGAGCCACCGCGCCCGGCCGACTTATTTATTTTTTTGTAATAACACAGAGACTGTTGAATAGAAAAAGTAAGTTTAGAAGGTATATATCCATATCTCTATATATTTTACCCTCCTTGAGGTTCGAAATAGTAGGAGTGAAATTAGAGATTTACCAAAATCGGATGATGATTTGCACCTTTGAAATAACTCATGCCTTTGATTGTCACTTTAGCTACAAGTAGGTTCCTGGTCATAACTGTAATATCCCTACAAGCCTGCTTTATGGAACTTGAGCTGCATCGTATTGTCTAAGATAGGCCTCGGTTCTTGGCCGGGTGCAGTTTATGTTCTTTGAAACTGTCTCCTTTTGGGGAGCAGGCTGAGAGATAGTGAACTCATTGAAGAGAATTGTAGCGGAACTCTCTAGCAACTTCCTAATAGAAGATGTCCCCTCCTTGACTTCTTTGGTGTTTCAGCTGCCCCATTGAAGGAAGGGACAGACTGTGCCCTTGGGACCAGAGCCTCCTTGCTAACTGTCTGCAAATGAATGAGGCACCAGCATGCCATGCTCAGCCAACCACCTGTGGTACAAAACAGCTTTCCTGGACTCTGATCCCTTAGTATAAACCTGTGTATACAGGATTCACAAGGATATAATTCTGTGGTGTCATCTATCAGGCACATGCTTTTTTTTTTTTTTTTTTTTTTTTTTTTTTTGAGACAGAATCTCACTGTCTCACCCAGGCTAGAGTGCAGTGGCCCTATCTTGGCCCACTGCAACCTCTGTCTCCCAGGCTCAAGCAATTCTCCTGCATCAGCTTCCCGAGTAGCTGGGATTACAGGCACCCGCCACCATGCGCAGTTAATTTTTTGTATTTTTAGTAGAGATGGGGTTTCATCATGTTGGCCAGGCTGGTCTTGAACTCCTGACCTTAGGTGTTCTGCCTGCCTCGGCCTCCCAAAGTGCTGGGATTACAGGCATGAGCCACTGCACCCGGCCAGGGACATGCATGGTTTTCTACAGAGTGGCTTCAGCTTCCACGGTTCATCCCTAGACAATTTTGCCTTTTTTTTTCAAGACACGGTCTTGCTCTGTTGCCCAGGCTGGATGACAGTGGCACTGTCATGGCTCACTGCAGCCTTGACTTCCCAGGGTCAAGCAATCCTCCCACCTCGGCCTCTGGAGTGCCAGCAGGACGTGTGCCACCACACCCTGCTAATTTTTTATTTTATTTTTTTAGAGATGGGATCTCCCTGTGTTGCCCGGGCTGGTCTCAAACTCCTGGTCTTAAGTGGTATTCCTGCCTTGGCATCCCAAAGTGTTGGGGTTACAGGCATGAGCCACCACTTGTGGCCTACTTGGCTCTTTTTTACAGGTTTTTGGTTGACACTTCTCTGCAGAATAGCACCTGGCACCTCTCACCACCACTGAAAAGGATGGAATTTTATACACCTCTTTTTCCTAGGTTCTCTCTAGCAGTTACCAAGGGACCATCGGAGGTACTTATTGTGGCTGTTTACAAAAGCCTTGCCTCCAGTCTGAGTCACCTCACCCTACTCTCTGCTTCTTCCTTTTAGCTACTCTTTTTTTCAGTAACCCTCCCTCTTTCCTCTGAAGGCTTGTGCTTGCACACACAGGCAGACATACTCATGCACGCGCACACCACACATGCTTCCTGTCCTCTGGCTCTCCCGTATCCTATGTAAAACCTCCTACTGTCATTTAAGTGAAACCCTTCTAGCACATAAGAGTTTTCATCTCAGAAGCTCAATTTTACCTTTCACTTTTCAGATAGAGAACACCCAAGGTTTTTAATAATCTGGCGAATGTGTTAAAAAAGGACATATTTTTTAAAATCTAGATTGCAAAAGTAATACTGTAGCATTGTTGAGTTCAGACATTATAGAAAGTGAAAGTTCCCTATCATTTGTTTCCCATAACCACCTTGAATAGTTTAGTGGATATATTTTATTCTAAGCACATGCTGTTTATCTTCTTGAAAACAGGATCATGGCATAGATATACTCTTTTGTAATTTCTCTTATTAGAAAAGAAGATTAATCATATATCAAACACGATTCCATGTCACTCCATATAGATCTTTCCCTCATTCTGTTTTTACAGCTATAAGGGAGTCTGCTGTGAAAATGCTCCTTCGATTAGTTTATAACTGAGTGTAAAATTTGGCATTTCACTCTTGATTATAGTCTTTTTCTGTATATTCACCCCCAATTCTTTGAGAATGAGGAGTACCCTAATTTTGTAAGCAAAATTTTGGGGGGCTTTGGGGTGAAAACTAATTTAAATGCTTATTTTCTCAGTTGCCTACCTCCATTTAAAAATCAGTTTTGAGGGCTATAAAAAAACCTTATGATATTAAGGCCTTTTTTTCTGTATAAAAATAACATACAATTTATTTTTTCCATTTATTCAAAAGACTGAATTACACTAGCCAAGAAATGATCAGTCTCGTGTAAAAGAATAACACACGTTCTCCTTGAATCAAGACTACTCTGAGATTCAGAAATGCCAGTAGCGGAAGGTGGGGTGTGACCCCTTAAGTAAGTGTGACTAGTTAAAGGTGTATGGATATTCTTTGTGGAAAGCGGGCTGCCAGATACAATTTCAGGCTGTTTCATATTACTTCACACGGTGCTTTCAAACTGTTTATTTTCTCTCTTGGCACTAGTGAGTACAGCTCATAACTGGCCAGATAATATCTAAGTCTAGGACCAGGACAGTGAATGGGTTTTACCATGATTTGATCAAAAGTAAACAAGAAAACAAAAGCAGAGGAAAAAAAAAAAAAAGAGAAGGCATCACATTTTTCTCATTGTGGGGCTAAAATGCTGCATGTTGAATTTTCACTTTCTGATTAGAACCCACAGTTGAACAGATCTGATTTATTTTTTTGGGGTCAGGAAGAAACTGTCAAATTTTAGTTTGACTGTTCTTTTCTTTAGGTCTCCCCCCTTTCTTCCCCTACCTTTTTTTTTTTTTTAAGCATTACTATATTAATCAGATAGCAGCCACTGTTTGACATGTCCTTCTGTGGTGGCTGCAGATTAAGTCTGAACCGTGCCAGAAATCTCGTTGCATTTTTTGATGTAGCAGAAATGAACCTGGTTCATTCCATCTTAACAGCTTT
This sequence comes from Homo sapiens, assembly GCF_000001405.40. NCBI lineage: Eukaryota > Metazoa > Chordata > Mammalia > Primates > Hominidae > Homo > Homo sapiens. The sequence goes on along the minus strand of NC_000008.11, from coordinate 118,088,346 downwards.
AGCCAAATGGCTCAGAAGGGATCTACCCGATTTCATAAAGAAGAGTTAATGTGCAGTCTGGTTTAATACAGGTGCCCTTAAAATACATTTTTGTTTTGTTTTGTTTTCTCACTTCCAAGTTTAACATGTCCATGGACATTGGCTTTAGTTTCCCCAAGATGAGTCCATGAATGACCTTGTTCCAGTATCCCTTGCTGATTTGAGTTCCCAAGTAATAAGCCTGGGAATGTTTTCAGTGCAGCAGCCGGGAGAAGAAGGGGGATTCAGCAGTTGCTGTTCAATGCATTTACTCTCTACCTGCTGGCTTCAAACAGTATTAACTTTATGTGCTCCTTGTGCATTGTGTTTAATTAAAAGCAGTTCTCTTCACAGAGGCACTTGTAGGATTTTTTTTTTTTTTTTTTTTTGCCCTGAAACGAATAAAACAAATAGGCGTCTGGTATTTGTTTTGTATAACACAATCCCCATAAAATGAAGAGTAATAAAACATAATTATCTGTAAAGGCTTGTTTTATAAGCCTGAGAATGGGCTTGTTTCTACCAGGTTTTTATGTTCATTCATAGGAGAAAGAATCTCTTTGTACATTAATATGTAACAACAATAAGAACAAATGCTTCCCAATTACATGCATGAATCAAACTTATCTTTTATTAAAAAATTTTTTTTCTGTTGTAGTAAAAGTTTGTCATTAAATTCTTTCTGTGTAAACACATTAGATTGAAGGAAAATGTTTTCCTTCAATATTCTGTTCAACTGGCATAACTTTATGATTTTTTTCTCCCCAGCATAATTAAAGAAACAACTTTATGGTTGGTTATTGACTTTTTTAGGTCAGAGAGCACTCTGTGGATTCTAAAACCGCCTTCCAGAAAAGTACACATCAAACTTCTACGTACGTTTTTATAGGGTTTGTAGAGCTCTGATCCTTGGTTAAAGATCCCTGACAATGTCTAATAGCTGTTTTGAAAACTGTACCTCCAATCTGAAGCTAAGGTTTTAGTTTTAGTTTTAGTATGTGAATATCTGATGAAACGATTCAATGGTTTTGTAGCATTGGATTCAATTTCAGGGTTGGGCTCCTTTCTAGGAATAGAGGAATATTCTTATCTCAGGAAAAAAAATTCAGAGTGTGGGAAGTACGAAAATTATTAATTCAAAGGTGTATTTGCTGTCAGATTGGATGGCAGTACCCACATCCCTAGGGGCTCCTGTTCCCAAGACTGTTTTCATTGTTTCTATCCAGCGCTGGGCACGAGCCTTGAAGTGGCGAATTCATCCTCTGAAGTTGTGTGTCCATTGCTGCAAGAATAAAAGAAGCAGTAACAGAATCATGCAGCGCAGTATTTCATGGTGACAGTTTTATGTGGTTGTGTGATGTTGCAGAGTCTTGTAGGTGATATCTACCCTTTTCTTTTGAATCAAAACACGGGGTTTTACTGGAGGAGGGAAGTTTCAGAAACAACCTAGTCTAACACAAAATTAAGCTCCTAAATAGTTATCCCATTCTGTCTACTACAAAACTAATTGCTTACAGGAAGTAGAAGTACACATATCTAATATTTATATCCTGTTTGAGTAGTGGTTTCTAATTTTAGATTTCTAACCCCTTTTTACATTATCTTTTTGCATTGAAATTATACTGAAACATTCATATTATTATGAATGCAAGCTGAATTAAATAGACCAAGATTCTCGGTTTCTCCCTTCATGTTGTCATCTACTAGAGAATGAACAGCTTAAAATAAGTGCATCAGTTCCTCATCCAAAGGGAAGCTGAATATTCCAATTCAAGATCACTTTGCGTGCTTACTGGAAATACCATTTTTGAACGTACTTGGCAACTTAAAGTGCCCAATTAAAAGCTCTGTTGAAAGAGGAAGTCTGTGGATGTGCAATTAGTCCTTAGGATTCAGAGCATTTCCTTTATGTGTGGAAGGCCATAATATGAAATCACTGGTCACAATAGCTTTATGCCAGGTGCTTAGACTAGAAGGCATTTTCAGGATGGATTATTTCTGTACTCTTGCTCCTAAAATGGTTTACCTAAAGAGGCTCCCAAGTCCATAAAAATACTGGTGATGTCAAGAAATTTTGGAGGTGGCCTTTCACAAATTTTAGGCAGTCAATAAATATAACTAGCCATGTACGTGATAGGCAATACACAAGACTTGCTTATATTCCTAGACTTTCTATTTTATCTGATTGACAGTGTTCCTCTTCCCACCTTTTTATTCATTTATTTATTTTTAAAAGATGAGGATTGGGTACCAGAAAATTAGCCAGTATTGTGTGCTTTTCCTTACTAAAAAAATGAGGCCTCGCTGAGTAGGGCCAGATGAGCTGTATATTCTGAGATTATTTATAGTGTTTATGATAGAGAGACCAAAAACAGTAAGCACTTAATAGCTTTCCTTATTTACAAGTCAGATTCATCTAAGGGATATTTTTCTTTTATTTTTCTGGTGCTTGAAATGTTCCTTTAAAATAGATTATCAGAGGATACACAGTGACACAAAATTTGTTGCTTGTGAAAATGCAGAGTGGATTAAGCTTTTCTTTTTCAAGGCTCTGCAACAAAACAGGTACATTTTTATTTCAGTAAAAACACTGCTTTTTTTTTTTGCCTCCGTCACACACACGAGTAACATAGGATAGATATGTGTATGTGAACATGTGGCTCTTGTTCCCAGTTGTGTAATGGATGCATTCCCTTAAAGTTTGCAGTAAAGTGAATGTTTATTAAGCAAATTGTTTTTCCCCAGTGACTTCTACTGTAAAAATGGCATTGTCTTTCAGTAGGCTCTGAATATAGTATGTTCCCATATTCTTTGGTAAGATGACCAATCAACCAAAAAAAAAAAAAAAACAAAAACAGCCCCAATAACAAACAAACAAAACAACCCTTTAGGTACCATAAATCTATAGGAAATACTAACCTTCTGATGAAGCTGGCCCGATGCCACTTATTGTTGTCCCCCACGCCTAAGCTATGGTATATGGCTTTAATAACAAAATGGCAACACACAATAGTACCACAACCTGGAGGGTGTTACTCTTTCTTCTGCTCACCCTTCCTCCCATTGTTCCCATGGGAGAGAGGACAGACACCAAGGCTGTAGCAAATAGGTTATTTTAATAACCTCAGCATCCTTGTTTCTATATGATATACATTTGATAGCCAAGTTGAATTTACCCACCTCTCTCTAAACACTTTTTCCTAACCCTTTGTCAATTTGTCACACCATCTTTGGATGAAGAGTGGTACCTGATGGTGTATGATGCTTAACAATCGAAACATCTGTACCTTGTTAGCCATAAAGGCTCATCCCATTTCCTTCCATAAACATCTATTGTAATACAATATGGATTGTGTAAGGCACTGGGCTTTAGGCCCCCAGCCCGAATATCTGTCATCTATTAAGTACTTACTGTGGATAAAGAAGGCAGTATACTTAACATGCACTATTTCATCTAATTTTTGCAAAAGCTCTTTGAGTACATTAGGCCAGTCTCCATTTTATTAATACGGATGAGGAAAGTGAGACCAAGACTTGAGTTCAATGACTTGCCCAGAGTCGTGCAAAGCATAAGGGGCGGAGTAGGATTTGAACACCGCATGAACTGGGCTCTGGAATCAAACGCTTCCCTAATGCCATGCCCTAGGTCTCAGCCTGGACTGTGCTCCCAGAGTCACTTAAGCACTTTTCAAAACACTGACATATGTGGACCCAGCATTTCGAGGAGCTGGGCTCTGGGCATTTGGGTTTTGAAGGTTTTACAAGTGACCCTGATGCTCTGTCAGGCAGGCTTAATAACGACTGAATTATATAACATGCCCAGCTTGGTTTCTTGCTTGGTTGTTGAATTGCTGCATGAAAATCTGATCCCTGCAGTCTTTGAGCCTGCAGCCCAGTGAAAGAGATGGATGTGCACACAACCAAGCATGAACAAGATGCATTATGACAAGTACTATGGTAGTACAGACTTTGTGCTCTGTGATAATTCCTATGACACGACTTGCAGTTGATCCCAGGAGGTAGCATCTGGGACATAGTCACTTTAGCAAGTCCTATTTATTCTAGCTTGGGAGAGTTCCTTGCATCTTAACTCTGTATACTCTGTGATCACCAGACAGTCTTGGTCTAGGTTATTATAAAAGTCCTAGTTGAGGATCTTGAATCTCTCCCATTCAGTTTGACTGAGAGAGCTTGGTGATTAGATCAGTGGTTTGTATATTACCTCATTTGTCTTCCAAACTAATAGATAAGTTCCTCAGGATCCACTCCAGTGGGATTACTAGGTCAAAGATAAATCATTACCAGACTGGTTGATGGTATCACCCAGGCTGGTGTGCAGTGGCATGATCTTGGCTCACTACAGCCTCTGCCTCCCGGGTTCAAGCAATTCTCCTGCCTCAGCCTTCGGAGTAGCTGGGATTACAGGTGTCCACCACCACACCTGGCTAATTTTTTATATTTTTGGTAGAGATGGGGTTTCACCATGTTGGCCAGGCTGGTCTCGAACTCCTGACCCCAAGTGATCTGCTCGTCTTGGCCTCCCAAAATGCTGGGATTACAGGCATGAGCTACTGCGCCCCGCCTCCCTCTTTTCTTATTGAGACCCATTGACCAATAGCTTGGTCAATAGTGCTTGATTCTTGAGTTTAGAAAACTTCTATTGAGCTTCTTACTATGTCCTGGGGACTGTGCTGGGCAGTAAGAACACCAGAAAGGGTGTGGCGTCTTAGGAGCCTATTAAACTAGATTAGGAAGAGAGGTGTTGAGGTGTCACCTAGGGCATAGGCAGAGAACCTGTCTGCCTAATGATACTGGGTTTAGTTCTTGAATTCTTTATATTCAGAATATGGATTAGGGCCAGGCTGGCCTTGACAACCTGAATCATTAAACACTTATGGTGACTGGTGGGTGATTAGCCACATAAGAAGAAGATATATTCATAACAGATATAATAGGAGCAATGGGGACTCGATGGAGAGTATTAAATAGTACAGTGTCTTCCATAAATGTTCTTTAATTGTGGAGATTACTGTTCTGTAGATTATTCACTCAGGCATTGAGTATGCGTTTATTAAGTGCTTTTTGTGTCCTAGGCTCATTCACAAGTCTAAACTTCAAATTTGGTTCTTAAATTCCTCAAGACCAGAGTTTAGCTAAAAGTATCATTATATCCTGAGATGGAATTTTATCAAATTGTATGCTTAAAATGAGGAGATATGTCTGTTTCTCCATCTCGCAAGCCCCACCAGTTTAACTGTCAATTGGTCTTGTCAATCAACTATAAGAGGTGTAAAAATGTCTTGGGCTATAAGTACATACTCCAGGGCGTATCCTGGTGACAGAGATTGAGAAACTGATTGGAAGAGAGTGTAATCAGTAGTGCTGGCCTTACTGTTCTGAAATTTCTGGTTTCTTTCCCTCGCTCCAAACTTAATTCTTTCTTCTCTATTTTCAATTTCAGAAGAAATTTAGAATGAGTGAGGGAAATTAAAATGAAGTCCAGAAGACCAGCAGAGATTTCACCGGGCATGTGGGTAGGAAAGACGTGTGAGAAAACCATTTGAAATGGAATTAAAAGAAAACGTGTTCAGCTCACTATATAATTATAGTTAGCTTGGCCTGGTGTTTTGGGTTGCATTACCTGTAAGTTTGGAACTCATTTGTTGTATAGAAATTGATACCCCACATTTACTTAAATTTTGCCCATCTGTTTCTTGTTAAAAGAAACTGGACATCTGCTAAAATATCCTTGTTTTGGATTACTCAATCTTATTGTCACCTTATAATGGTTTTATTTTGGGGGAGGTTTATTCGTATTAGTATGATGGGGAAAGAACAGAAAGATCTTATTGGAAAATAAATTTAGAATTTTCCAAATAATAAAATCAAAAGATTTCCAGCCGTAATCTTAAGATGCCTTTTCATGATGTCTAGTTTTAGAAACTTTTTTTCCTCTCAGATGTGAAGAACAATGCTTTTTAGGACAATAGTGAAACTTACATGAGAATTGTTCTTTTTGCATTGTGTTATGGTGCATGATGCGAAAGTTTAGAAATAAATATATCCCTGGATACAACAGGCCTCAGTTAAGACTTCAGCTATTTTTAATGCATTTTGTTATTTTTGGCCTGGCATAGTATCTTAGGATGAGAAAATCCATCCCCTTCCCCTAGTCTGAGGTCACATGTTGCCATCAGTTCTCTGTAATGGAGTCAATGATGTTATGGTTTTAAAATAACGGGAAATTAACATTTCTTGTCCCCATGATTGTGGCCGCAGGACTTGATCGTTTTTATACTGTTAATCACACTCCTCTTTTACAAGAACTCCCCGACTCTTGTTTCCCCCAGCAGTTAAATGCCATATTTTCATATATTTACCTTATATCTGGCTAAAACCTTGCAATTTTTTGTTTTGCTCTCGGTTTTTGTGACAATTTTAAGAGGAAGGCAAATAATGTACAGACTGGGTTGAAAGAGGAGAAAATGGAGCAGTTGTAATTCCCCGGGGCAGGGTAAGAGACTGTTAATACATTAGTGGTAGGAGGGCTTCTGCAGAAAATACGACTGCACAATTAAATGGGGCTATTAAAAGCACGCCAGCATCAATTCATTAAATGACAGTGGCAATTTCTTTGTAATCCCCTTTTCCCCATCTCCTCCTGGGACTCAGTATATGCAGGGATGAAAGGCAGATGGGCAAAGATCAGAAAGACTACTGAGGAAGAGGTACAGTTATTTAGATATCTGCTTCCTCATCTTCTTTGGGGGCAGCTTCTGTGATGAAAACACTTTATGAAAGGTAAGACCCCCAAATACCTGTTCTGTAGACATTGGGGATGAAAATGTACATCCTAGCAGATGATCTGGTTCTGCATTCCAGAACACTGCTCTGACTTTAGAAGCAGTTATCTATGCATAGTATATCTACTTGGAGCTAAAACAAAGAGAGAAATTGTTTGATTGAAACCTTCTTATTGCAAAAGTATGCAGAATTGACATTCAGCAATCTTATGTAAAAATACTGCAAAATGTTTCTTTTTCTGGAAAACAGTGTATTTTAAAAATCAGTTGGAATCTGGTTACCTGCATGACCTAGTGAGAACTTCAAGGCTTGGGGAAATGGTTGAGGTTAGTGGTTATGAGTATTTGATATCCTTTTGCGTGTCATTTAATTGTCTAAGCCCCCATTTCCTCATCGGTAAAATGGTGATTCTGGTATCTGTCTTTTTAGTGCTGCTCTGTAAAATTAAATGAGATACTGAATGAAAAGCATTTTGCTCAGTGCCTGGCATAAGATAAGTGCTCCCTAAATATTAACTAGTTTTATTATCCATTGAATTTTAGGACTCCACCCTCCCCCCTAGCCCTCCAAAAGAGTTAATGGTCTTATCTGCCTGCTGAAGAGTAGGGTTATGAGGAAGCTGAGACATGGAGAGATGATGTGTTAATTAGTGAAGAAACCAGAATGGGAACCACATTTTATGACTTCCCACTGCATTGAAGTGCCTCTCATAGTATGAGACTTCTGTATTTAGTAAAGGAGGGCCAACACTTGCTCCACCTATTATAATAGATGAGGTATGCTTTTTATCTATATACTTAAAAATGTAGTTTTAAGTTCATTGCTCAGGTTCTTTCGGTGGCAAAAATCCTTGCACTTTAAAAGGCATTATTATTGGCCGAGTTTTAAAAGAACTACCTTCAGAGAAAAATGCATTTCATTTTGATTATGCCCAACGCCTGCAGAATACCATTTAAACTACAAGTGATATAAAAGGTTAAGTATTTGATTAAAACTAATCTCCTTTAAAAACTAATGTTTCAGTCTCCACCAGAACTTCTTCAGGGAACTTCAGTGTTTTGCTGATAACTGGATCCAATTTATGGGAGGTAAAAAAAAAAAGGCAGTTATTTACTTAATTCATCTATTAGTTTCCAGACTTGATATATTGAATCTAAAGAATGGTGAAATTAATAGATAAGAGAAGAAGTTTGAGTGGTTAAAAAATGGATGATATCTCCTATTTCAGGGAAACAGTATTTGATCAGATTTCAGGGTGGTACGAAGTTCTTGTTGATGATAAAAGGCAAGTCACATTTATCAGCTGAACAACTCAGAAAACACAGATGATCTGAATTTGTGGAGGCGTCCTCCATACCATTTTCTCTATTGCTTTGATGATTGTCTGAGGTCTCTACCAAACAGATACTCATATTCATATTTCCAGTTCAAATCCCTGTTGCATTGTGAACTCTTTGGGAACAGAGACCACTTTTGCCTTTTCAACCAGTGCCTAGCAGGGTGCCTGGAGGCATTAGGGAATGTTTATTGAATAAGGGAATGACTCACACTGTATGCCAAAATCTGGCTTCCCTGAGTTTATATGCCTCTGGTAACCTTTTGTAAATGACACCTTTTCTATATGATTAGCCACTTCTTTCTTTCTATTGAAGTTATTTCTTATTTCCAAGTAAATCTTGTTGCAGCCATCCTCCTCCTGACTACATCCAATGTGGTTCATGTTTTTTCTTTTCTTTTTAATTTTGGGAGGGGTGTGAAGTGCAAGATAGAACATAATGTGGGCTAAATCCGGGGCTATTCAACTTGACTAGGGTCTTTGGCCTTCCAGAATGTTGAGAAACTAATTAGTGGGTGGGGTGGGGGTGGGGGCGGTGTTAGAAGAAATGGCTGGGATTCTTTGTATCCAAAAGAATGTTTCTCCTTGGTGATGAGGCAGGTATTGTCACCCCTCTGAATAAATCCTTAGGCAAAGTACAAAAACACCAGCCGGCTGAACAATGCCTGGCCACTCTGGCCTTAGGATTGCAATACCTTACGGGTAAGTTTAGAAATGAGTTTCCTGTTCAGGTTTTAGGCCTGTCATACTGTTGAGTGGCTGTCTAACCTTTGAACTTTCTGTGTTTTTGACATCAAAAGGAACTCTAAGCTTTACCAAAAAGGTTTTATTCGAGTAATTAATACTCTTCATGCACAGAGGGAAATTAGCCTCCAACTTGTGGACATGGTGAAAAATTAGTATCTTCCCATTTGCTCGGCTTGTTTGAACTATAGTTGATTATTTTTAAAGATAAGGAGATCAAATTTCCTTAATATTTCAGTATGTTGCTTTTTGTACCCTTAAAATTATTTTTTCCTATGCAGAATTGACTTTGATTAAAAAATGTTTTTGATGACTATTTTCCTGATTCGTCAGTATATCTAATTGTGTTCATTTTACTCATGAAAAATCTTGTCTATGAGGGACGTATTTTTAGTAACATTTTTATAGCATATAAGAACTTTTACAGCAAAAACAGGAATCATTAAGTGTGTGTGCTTTTATCATAACTTCTCTTTTAATGGAACTTAAAATCTTAACTCGTGTTTTTGCAGCACTTTTTTTGCACATGGTAGGTTCTTAATATTTGAATGGAATTCAGTGTGACTGTTCTTTGTGTTCTCAAAAGTCTGATCTTTGTAACAATTTGTCTTTCACTTGAGACTTTTTTTTTCTTTGCATATGTGCACGTCTCACTCTTGGTTTTCCTTAATCTTTTTTAACTAAACACATCTATGACTCATATTTCCCTATTTATGAATAGGAGCAATTTAAAATTTCCCAACATGGTGGTATGTGATGTAACATAACCAAAGGCTACATGTTTACCCTTGTTTAATTACCCTTCATTTGTGGAAAGATGACGTATGTATTTATGATGTAAATGTCTTTCAGAATGACCTTTGGGACTAAGCTTTTTTTTTTTTTTCCCACCAAAAAATGGTCATGACCTAGGAAGCCTTGTTAGTAAAATTTAAAAAGGAAAAGTTGGCTGGGCATGGTGGCTCATGCCTGTAATCTCAACACTCTGGGAGGCTGAGGTGGGTGTATCAATTGAGGTCAGAGTTCGAGACCAGCCTGGGTAACATGGTGAAACCCCGTTTCTACTAAAAATACAAAAATTAGCTGGGCATGGTGGCCTGTGCCTGTGATCCCAGCTACTCGGGAAGCAGAGACATGAGAATTGCTTGAACCTAGGAGGTGGAGGTTGCAGTGAGTGGAGATTGTGCCACTGCACGCCAACCTGGGTGACAGAGCGAGACTTCATCTCAAAAATAAAATAAAATAAAAATAAACAGGAAAAATCTGGTCAAATGCCCCTTGTTCTTCTTCAACAGATACATAGTGAGTTGTGTAAAAAAGGAGTTGGAAAAGGAATATGTAGATTCAAAGTGACTTAAAGAATAGAAAAAAAATTTGTTTTAAAAAATGGCCAAGACTAAATCATAGTGTCTAGGGAGGTACACCTGAATAATAAAACTATAAAGAAATACAAAATATGATTACTACTAAGAATAGTCTGTTGCCAGTAGTACACAGAATGAGCACTCAAATTATAACAGAAGCATTTTGGTATTCATAAATGTTCTTTTTTTAAAAAAGAACACAATCGAAATTATAATATAGGCTGTAAGTACTGATTTTAATTGTAGTGAATGTGAAAGTGTTGTTAATGAAAATATAAAGAATATTTGTTAAAGTGTGGACCTAGCCAGGAATACTAGGTAGAAAAGGTAACTCTTTAAAAACATTTTTTTAATTGTGAAGTTAATTTATTGTCACTTTGTTTGATATTTATTATTAGAGTCCCTAGGTTAATTCTGTTTTTATTGCTTTTCAGAATAATTAAGACCTAAATCTTCTGCCGAATTCTGTTTGGTTTCCTTATTTCTTTTGCCATGTTCTTTCATTCCACAAATGTTATTGAGCACTTCCAGTGTACCAAGCCTTGTGTTTACTGCTTTGATGATAAATGCAATAAGGTAATGCTGCTTTTAAGGATCCTTCAGGATAGGCTCTTGTAGCAGTAAGGACTTAGTATTTTTGCTATAGAAGTGTATGGAGAGCTATCTATGGTGCAATAACTGTGGAAATACAGTTTTTATTCTATTTGGTTCCCATATACATTGAGTCCTCCTTTGGTGGGAATTTGATCAGGTTGGTCTCAGTTGAATCCTGGCTGCATATGCCTCAGTAAGGAAGAAGGCCTAGGGGACTGTGGAAAGCCTGGTGGTGGTCCTGGAAGGCTTGAGAATACCTGGAGCTGGAAGCTCCTTGCTCATTGGTGACCTTTTTCATATGCAGCAGAGCTCTTGGCATTCCTAGCATACTACCTTGAAAGGACTGTGTCTTGCCTCCTAGAAATTCTGGACTTGGTAGAATCATTTGTTTATGTTATTTTAAAAAGAAAAAAAACTCTGAAATGTACTTTTTGGAAGAAAAATGAACTTGTTTTTGGACTTTTCTGTGTGTTGTTTCTTTAATTGAAAATTCTGTCTGGAGATTGATTTTCAACCCCCTTCCTTTCCCTCTAGTTTTAAATTGTAACATTGCTTTCCAAGCATTTCAAAAAAACAACAAAAAAGAAATATTTTATTATTACTCTATTTTTATTTGCTCATTAATAATTCTTGATTTTCTATCTATATGAAATCAAAGAAAAATTACTGTATAATTTTCATCCAGTTGCAGTCAATTCTATAACTGAAATACAAGATAAAAAATAAGTAATTGATTTACTTAAGAAACAAAGGCATCTCGACCTCCTAAAAATTTCATCAAATATTCACTCGGCAGACCCTTCTTTGTAATAGGAGCTCACTTACTATTGTGAGCACTGACAGTGTGAGCACTTGTGGCAGGGATTGGGTTTCCTGAGGAATTCATAAGATACTTGCATTGCTTCTGGGCATGAGGGTGAATAACACAGCCATTGGCCTTCAAGGCCTTTGAGGAGGTGTTCTACGGGGAGAGGGGCTGAGACAGACATATTCCTGAAAGGAATAATTACTGCGTGATAGTGGAAATATACACAAAGACTTTGGGAGTAACAGTGATGGAGGGACCCATTGAAAACTTACTAACGTTTACAGCTGTTGTTAAAATTCATCCAAACCAGCCAATTATATCTACATTCTCTAGAATGAAAGTACAAAATGATTACAGTGGATGTTCTAAACACCAGTGTTGACACAATCCCCTTTTCCTACTGGAATGGGGATCTAATGGGGAAAGTGAAATTCTTTCTCAAAACCTTATCGGTGTTGATACCTTACATGTACATGTAAAAGCAGCTGACTTTGTGTTTTGTGGCCTTTGAGATCATATAACTCTTATAAAGCAACTTACAAATTTTCTGGGAGGTTCTTTTGGAATATTGCTTTATGTTTTGTTTTAGGAATATACTTCCCTCTCCCCTGAATTATCTCAGTGGGGATATATAAATCTACTCCCTATCCAAAGCATAACCATGTATGTATTTGTTTTCTCTTTATCATATGATATAGTTTGGATATTTGTCCCCCTTAAATCTCATGTTGAGATGTAATCCCCAATGTTGGAGGTGGGGTCCGGTGGGAGGTGTTTGGGTCATGTGGACTGATCCGTCATGGCTTGGTGCTGTCCTCAGGACACAATGATTTCCCATGAGATCCCATTGTTTCAAACTGTGTGAAACCTCTCCCCTACTCTCTCTTGCTCCTTCTCTTGCCATGTGAGATGCCTGTTCCCCCTTCTGCCTTGACTTAAGCTTCCTGAGGCCTCAGGAGAACCCGAGCAGATGCCACTGCCATGCTTCCTGTACAGCCTGCAGAACCATGGCCAATTAAACCTCTTTTCTTTATAAATTACCCAGTCTCCAGTATTTCTTCATAGCAACGCAAGAATGGCCTAACATACCATATATAAACTATAAAACAAAAAAACCAAAACCCAGAACAATGACCCACTGCAGTACAAATAATAACTCTTTCTTCCAAAGGAACTTCTTTCATTGTTTAAATAATGAGAAACTTGTGTCGTTAGAAACACTGTGTAGGGTGCAGCGTCCCCTCATTACAAACATTTCTGTGCCTTAGAGGACACTCCTCCTGCTATGTATCCTTAGGAGGAACACATAGATCAGCCTCTCTTCCTTTTGTCCAGCTGCAGTATCGGGAATGGAGACACAACACGGTCAAGGTGCCTAAAACTAGAGTGGCCTGGGGTGAGTCTAGACTTGATCTTCCCAGATACTGTCCCTTGTCAGACTCCAACACTGTGCACAGCCTGGTCTCTCTGGGCCCAGGAATTTGGGCACTTGCCCAAAGATTCCTTTGCAGGTGCTCCTGGAAATCAGAGCAGTGTTGAAGCAGGATTTAAAGCAGTAACATCTGTCAGATGTAACCATGGCATTATATCTGAGACAAAAAATTGTAGGAGGAAAAATGCCTGTTCGGAGTGTGGGGTTACTGAAAACCCGCTTGTTGACTAGTGTTTTATTGTAGTGATGGGAAATGAATGAGACTGGTATCTACACCTACTGGCACGGGTCTGAATAAAACCCACAGCCGGCTCTCCTCTCCCTGAGCTTCCAGCCTTCTGTGGTCCAGATTTTCATATTCCTTCCAATTTGCCCAGAGCAAGCTGTGACCCTCATCCATCTTTTTTTTCTCGTTTTGCATTTAACAGAGTTGTAAAGGGATTTATATGCTTTCCATTAGCCTTAGCAAAGCTGCTGTCATGAATATTTAATGGAAAAAGCAGTTTGTTTTCTTTTACTCTTTCCCAGCCTTCCCTCCAGCCCCCAGCTCTCCCTTTCTCTTGCCTGGAGAAATGTAAATATCTCGCCCCTCACCCCTTGGCCGGATCCCAAAGCCCCGGGCTCGCTCAATTCAATGTTCTCACCCGTCTGGTGGGGACTTTTTTTTTTTTTCTCTCTTCTCTCTCTCTCGTAGCCCCCTACGAGGCAACTAAGGTGGTGGCCGCGGTGCGCGGGGCCGGACACGCGTGGGGCTCTGCCTGGCCCGGGCCTCCGCGCCCTCTGCCTGCACCACAGCTCAGCAGCCCGGACAGACGGTCCTTTCCTTTGAACTTCACGGGAGCACAATAGCTTCCCTGCAACTTAGCTGGAGCTCCCTCGGATGCATTCCTGGCTCTTCACGGGTCGCTGGCCCCTTTCTCTTTGCAACAGGAAAAGGGGCGAATGTCTGGGACAGAAAATGACTTCTGAAGACACGAAAAGATTTACCGTGTCTGGAGCAACCTCTGAACTTTTGTGGTGGTGATCTCAGAAAAATGCATATTTTCCTATTGGTTGCTTAGATCATCTCCCATCCTTCTTCCCTCCCCCTCCCCGTCCCCGCAGTTATTTATCTAATTTCTCCATTTCTGTCATACCTCACCCTCACCCCCACTCCCACCCCACCCCCATTCCGGTTTTGCCTTTTCCTTAATTCTTTGTCCGCTCTTGTGCTGCGGGAGTGGAAGCGTCTGAAAGGTGAGGCTGGGAGAGGGCCTGAAAAGTTTGTGTTAACTGAGAAGGAAGGTTCCAGGCGAACCCTCCTCCCTTCTCTAATGAAGTCATACCTGCTGGAGTGTGCCTGTCCCAAGGGACCGTTGGAAAGATGAGAGAAGGAAATCCATATAAAATGCTTAACACAGTATTTGGCTTTAGTAATTGCTCAGTAAGTCATAGCTATATGTTATTAATATGATACACAGTCATTCTTCTGAAATGAATGGGCATGAATGCTTCCCTCTCTGCATAAGGAATTATTTGTGCTGGATCCTTCTTAAGAGGCTTCTCTTCTCTTCTCTTCTCTTCTCTTCTCTTCTCTTCTCTTCTCTTCTCTTCTCTTCTCTTCTCTTCTCTTCTTTCTCTTCTCTTCTCTTCCTTTCCTCTCTCTGTAGCCCAGGCTGGAGTGCAGTGGCATGATCTCAGCTACCGCAACCTCTGCGTCCCAGGCTCAGGCAGTTCTTGTGCCTCAGACTCCTGAGTACCTGGGATTACAGGCACGTGCCATCATGCCCAGCTAATTTTTGTATTTTTTGTAGAGGTGGGGTTTTGCCATGTTGGCCAGGCTGGTCTTGAACTCCTGGCCTCAAGTGATCCGCCCACCTTGGCCTCCCAAAGTGCTGGGATTACAGGGGTGAGCCACTGCACCCTGCCAGAGCTCATCTATTTCTGATGAATGCCGTCCACAGCATGCTTCACCGATGGAGGTGTCATTTCATTTCTCTTTGAGTAACCTAAAATTAGTTAGCGTATGTCACTAATGTATAGCATATGTCACTAATGTATAACATAGTTCTAATCAACTAAAAATTTGTACAGACTCCTAGATGGGCTACTAAGTGAATATATTTTCCTCTGTCCTCTGGTGGACTTCACTACAACTTTTACATATTTCGATACTGAAATTCTTAATAGATTTGGCTTCAAATTCCAGCCTGATGAGATAATATTGGCATCTGCCCCTGAAGTCCAGTATCAGGTCATTCTTGCTCCACTTCAGGCTTCTTTCAAATTTGGTAATCGTGCTCCTCGTGTCTTGGATGGCTATATTGGCAAGTCAGAACCCTTCAATTCATCTCTGTAGACCTACCTGCCTTGGGTTCCCGTAACCCATTAGTAAGTCCCTTTGGGTAAGAGTTCCCACTAATAATGTTTTTCTCTCGATTTCTTTATCATGCCTTGAAACTGACTTGAAACATTTTGTTAAATGCCTAGCTAAAATCCCAACACACTTGTGAACAGATGTTAGTATGATGGAAGAACAGAAAAAAGACACGGCCAAGCTAAGATGTTGGTATGATTAAGTTGGATGAACAGAAAAAATGTGCAGCCAGATCTATCTCCAGAATCAACC
Organism: Homo sapiens; assembly: GCF_000001405.40. NCBI lineage: Eukaryota > Metazoa > Chordata > Mammalia > Primates > Hominidae > Homo > Homo sapiens. The sequence continues at coordinate 118,072,638 of NC_000008.11, read as the reverse complement.
AATTTCCACATTGCTTTCGATCTCATCCTATTATGTTTTCTGTAAGTAAAACTTCCACTGCAAATATTAATTGATGTTAAGTCAAAAGTACTGACGGTCTGGTCACAGGGGCTTAGGGAGAAACGAGAGAAGCAAAAAGGGTCTCCCCCCTTAGGGTAAGCTAGAGTCTTGCTGGGTCAGACAATTAGGCAACAATGTAAGGCAGTATATAATTAAATGCTAAATTATGTAGAGCAGATTATGTGCTATGGAATGGAGAAAATGGCTCTCACAACATTTCTAATGTCCTAAATCAGTTTCCTAAATCAGAATGGTTTCATACATCCATATGTACTTAAAGCATGCTCAGTATCATTGGTCCTTTCCTGCTTTTTTGAAGCCATGGTAATAGTAAACATTTTCTAAGTATCTACTGTAGGTCAGGGAACTGGTCTAAGAGCTTTACAGGTATCAACTAATTTCATGCTCACCGTGTACCTCTGAGATAGGTATGCTTTTCTCCATTTTGCAAAATGAGGGAACCAAGGCGGGGAGTCTAATACCTGCCCAAAGTGAGTAATGATAAATTCCTTCCTCTTTTTGATTTGGTGGGTCTGTGGTGAGGGTAGACTAGGAGAGGCAGTGTTGCATTCTGGGAAGTGAACCTAGATTTTCATCCTGGCTTCTTTTAACCTACTCACCTGTGTAATTAGGACCTTGGGCAAGGTGCATCATCTTTTGGAGCTTCTCCTTTGTAAAATGGGACAGGATGCTGTTTTAAGATTTAAGTGCTTCTTATGCAATAGGAGCTCAAAGAGTGGGAGCTGTTGTTTATTAAAAATAACAATATCATTATCATATTCTCTACCTAAAGAGACCTGTTGAAATTGGACAGAAAAGGAACGTTTCTGTCTTGATAAGTCTTAAAACTCCAGTACCAAGTGCAGCATTCGTTTCTTGTGAGATATTTGTAGAATGGGTGGATAGAAGGATGGGAGAGGAGAGGGGTCTGAAGAATTCCTGTAGCAAGCTAAAGAGGTATCATCTTCCAATTGAGCTATTTTTAGCCTTACTCATCATTTGTAATCAAAACAATCCTTTTCTTAGCCTTACTCCTCCCCCACCCCTGCCCCCCTACTACTTTTGCGATGGTAATCGTCATTGCCAACTTACTTTCTTTGGAATACACAAACAGAGCTGTCTCTTTCCGTCATGGAGATTTTAACAGTAAAAAACTCACTGCACCATTACCTCTGCCTTGTATTCCAGACAATAGTAAAGGACATTGTAACATCACTGTGTCAGCGCAAACAAAGAACTATGTAATTTTATCCCATATTAATACAGTGTCACGCAGGAGGTACTATCATTAGATGGCAATCTATAAAAATGGCCCCTGAGACCAGGCACTGGCACAATTATTTATTCTTCAATTATTTATTCAGTCCTAAGGATGGAAATGCTGACAGACACTGCAAAATGCTCTACCTACCAATTTACAGAAATTGAATGACGGAATCATTTGTGGACTGAAGTAGCTTTTTATTGACCCTATTTTTATTTATTTAAATTCTCACTTTCACAGCTTAACTATGTTTACTACACCCACTTACATGATAGAAATGAGAGGCTGTTTTGTTCATAAAAGCTACTTCAAAACAAATTAATATTTATTCTGAAAGGGTCAGATCACAAATGGAGGCTTTAAAACGGCCTCAGGAACATTCAAATCGCATCCTTAATATTTCATATGGTTTTATATTTAGATTGGCTATTTTATGTAGTCTTTTTTCCCTTTTTAGTGCTCATACCTCTTGAGATCCCTTTTCTAGCCAGGATGGAGGGAACAGTTACACATAGCTTCCATTTGCAGTAAGTAATTTCAACTTAATTTATGTCAGGGGAGATTTCCAGAAGGTTCCCGCTCCTGTCTGCTATTCTTGTGATTCTAATATATTATTTGTACATGATAAAATACAATTCCCATTAATTCACACTTAATTAAGTCATAAAAGAATTTGTTTGGTCTTAACTCCTAAAGTTTAAAAGATTATTTGCATTTGTATTAATACTGGAGTTTAAAAATTATGGCTTTCTTTATAGATCAGTTCCGATTTTCCCTAAATCAGTTATTTTCAGTTTTGATTTTTCAAACACTTGGGTGAGATCCAATTTATCTCACCTTCTGATAGTTTTAAAAGAGAAGTAATTTTAATTTACATTAACTTTAAAATATTTGTATGCCAAACACTAGTTATTTTGAGGGGATCGAAACAAATCATAGCAGAGATAAGGAACTTTCATACTTTGGGAGGATTTTTTTTAAATAACTGTATGTTTACTCTAAGTAGATATGTGTATGCATGCATTCACTTATGATATGCACACACACACACACACACACACACACACACACACACACACACACACACAGAAATTTATGATGTCCTTTAAGAATCTTGGGACTATCAGAAAAAAGTTAAGTGAAATAACAATTTTCAAAAATACATTTTTGTAGTAAAAACGCACCATCGGTGTTACATTACTGTATAAATCAAATTTGCTGAAGTTTATAAATATTTTTATGTTTACTTTAAACTTGGACATAATCAGATCTATCTGCTGTTGACGACATGGCTCTCAATATAAAAATAATCACCTTTTCTGCTTAAAGCCTCATTCTCAGAAGTAAAATGTGTATGTGAGGATATTAACTAGTTCATAGGATTGTTGTAGAAAACCTTTTACATATGTGGATACTGAAATTCTTATGGCCTGGATCAGTGGCCTGGATCATAGCTAATCTTTATGAAAAGATCACTGTATTATTACATTGTTACTACAGGTAGATTTTCACCCTGGTCCTTGCATGAATCATTTGGTTGTACTGTCCATGATGTCCAGTAGTAGATTAAAAAAAAAAGAAATAAAAACAAAAACCCAAGCCAATGCCTACGACGTTGCTACAAGTATCCTTTAACCTGTGGTGTGAAGTTATTTCCAAAGATGAAGTTTGCCATTCAAATACCATTTCCTGGTGTTCATTTGATTTCTGTAACACCTCTTTTTCTATCTCCGCTAACTCTAGATCTGTAGTCCTTCCAAACATGCTACCTACCACTTACACTTTGCCAAAGTGTAATTTTTGCTCTCTTATCTGCTTCATAAGAGAATGTTTGTAGTTTCATGATTTGTAAGTGGGAGGGGGTGCTTAGCAGGAGTTGAGATCACCAGCCCAGGGAGGAGGAAATGGAATCAGAATAAGCAAGAGGAATAGACGGGGTACTGGGCTGAAGAGCACTGTGGGAGGGTGCTATTAGTGATTCACACTGCTAGAGTGAGACCACTCTTTGATTCTGTTTGTAGAAATTTTAAGCTAAAAGTGACAGATTGTTGCCTCTCTTTATGTAAAGTATTACACATGGGAAGTTAACCTCTGCTACAGGATACTGATCAAGACAAGTCATGGGCAAGTGCAAAGAGCTAAGTGGTTTACTTTATACACTAGTATGTCCCTTCTCAGTCTTTCTTGTTATTTCGTATGACTTGCTTCCTCCAGCTAGTCCAAGCTATGTTTGTGTAAATAAGAACTGCCATTTAATGAACCCTTGCTATGAACCAGATACTATGCTAGAAGGGGGTGTAGGTACTCCAGGGGAAAGGCCTCTCCAGCAGATTAGCTTGTTCACGTGATACTAGAGTCCCAAAAGGGCAATAGTGGAAGCTCTAAAGCTTCTTGCAGCTTAGGCTTGGACTGAATAAATAACAGCAGTAACACAACAGCAATGGTAATAGTAATAATGAAAACAACTCTTCTAAAAAATTTGAGGAAAGTCTCTTGTCTATTGAATATAAAAAATATTTACCATTAAAGATTATTTTAAAATTTATTTTGAGTGTTTATTGTCTATCAGGCAGGTGTACTTGGAATGTGTTTTTTGTAATATATTCTGCCGCCTAAAAATAGGAAATATATATCCAGGTTTAGGTGTTAGGCAAGTTTTTCACTTCTGGTTTCTATTTATCTTGAATGTATTGCATTAGCCACACTATTTAACATGGGGATTAAAAAAAACTGCTGTGCATGTTCTCACTTACAAGTGGGAGCTGAACAATGAGAACACATGGACACAGGGAGGGGAACAACACACACACACTGGGGCCTGTCGGGGGAGAGCGGGGTGGGGAGAACATTAGGGAAAAGAGCTAATGCATGCTGGGCTTAATACCTAGGTGATGGGTTGATAGGTGCAGCAAACCACCATGGCACATGTTTACCTATGTAACAAACCTGTGCATCCCGCACAAGTACCTTGGAACCTAAAACAAACAAAAACTGGTGTGATCTCCCTGTAAGACAGGATTTTAAAAGCATGTCTACATTTTTGAGTTTTCTTTCAAGGTGCCAAGAAGAGGCTGACCACATTGTTTGAAGAATGGTTAAGAACTTGAACTTCGGAGTTTGCCAGACTTGCATTCCAGGCTCAGCTCTGGCACTGTAAGCTCTGTGGCCACACAGCTTTGCCGAACCAACCTGCTTAGCAGTAAAAATGAGAATAATAACATTTCCATTGAAAGGTGTTATGAAGATTAAATGAAAGTGTTTTTCTAAAGCTCTAGATATATAGTGGGGGCCCTTCTCAGGTAATCAGAAAGTTGTAGTTGCAGTTTTGTTACTAATATTGCAAATGCTCTGAAAATGTGCCACCATGGCTATGTCTTGTAGATGGTGACTTAAGCTTACCTTCCACAGTGGGAAAATAAATGATTTATTTCCCTTTAATAGCCATCACTCTGTTGATCCAGCCCTGCAAAGCTTACAGCATGGGGCTTATGAATCATGAATCAACACAAATGTCACCAAGCTAAAAGAGAGTTAGCAGAAGTAGCCTATGTTAAGATTAGGTTTCTGATTTAATGTGCAGTTTCTAAAAACCAAGTAGCATGTAACTGGTCTTATCCTTGCTGAGTTAAGATTGCTGGATCGTTAATTTAATAATTGAGAGAGGATAATTCTTGCAACTTCCAATTAGTATTGACTTGACCACTGCTTTGATGTAGGATGAAACCGCTTCACGTTGGTGTGATTTCCTCAGCTATGGTGTGTATAGTCTAGTTTAAAGCTAGGCTCTGTTATGTACTATGTCCATCCTGGAAAGTTCATTAGACAAGGAACAGAATAGTGGCTCTCTCAAGCAGTCAGTCATCCAGTGAATGCTATAGCACCTGCTTCCATCCAGCCCATGTATTCCTTCCCCTCATTCTTCTTTGTTACTTCACACCACATTCTTCCTTCAGCTAGTCCAAGCTATGCCTGCATAAGTAAGAACCGCAGTATAATGAACACTTGCTATGAGCCAGACACAGTGTTGGAGGTGGTATAGGTACTCCAGGAGGAAGACGTCTCCAGCCAGTTAGCTCAGGTGTGTTTGTATGGCACCAGTGCCCCAAGATGACAATATTCAAAAATGCCAGACTTCTTGAAGTTTAGACTTGAGAGTCTCCCAGTGTCATTTCTACTACATTCTTTTGGTTAAAGCAAGTTACCTGGCTAAACCTAGAGTCAGTGAGAGAGGGGATTGTTCAACAGTGTGCATTTAGGGAGAGAATTGTGGCTATGTTACAAACAATCTACCAGAGACTTACAGACGGCAGCTGTCTATTCCCCATTTGACTTCATCATTTATGAGCAGACGTTTGTTAAGCACATATTGGGTAGCAAAACATCTATAATATTAGCTTTTAATTTTTTAAAAAACTTTTATTTCCAGAAAGCTTAGCTTTATCTACAAGTACAGTTGGTCCTTGAACAATGTAGATTAGGGGGTGCTGACCCTCTGTGAAGCTGAAAAACCATGTATAATTTTTGACTCCCTGAAAACGTAACAATGAATAGCCTGTTGTTCACTGGAAGCATTGCTGATGACATAAATGGTCAACTAACACATATTTGTTTGTTCTATATATTATATGCTGTATTCTTACAATAAAGCAAGCTGGGCCTGGCGCTGTGGTTCACATGTGTAATCCCAGCAATTTACGAGGCTGAGGCGGGCAGATCACTTGAGGCCAGTTGTTCAAGACCAGCCTGGTCAACATGGTGAAACCCCATCTCTACTAAGAATACAAAAACTATTTTGGGTGTGGGTGGTGCGCACCTGTAATTCCAGTTACTCAGGAGGCTGAGGCAGGAGAATCGCTTGAACCGGGAGGCGGAGGCTACTTGAGCCGAGATCATGCCACTGCACTCCAGCTCTGGGCAACAGAGTGAGACTCTGTCTAATAAATAAATAAATAAATAAATAAATAAATAAATAAATAAATAAAGCTAGAGAAAAGAAAATGTTATTAAGAAAATAATAAGGAAGAGAAAATATATTTACTATTCATTAAGTGCAAGTGGATCATCATGAAGGGCTTCTTCCTCATTGTCTTCATGTTGAGTAGGGCTGAGGAGGAGGAAGATGAGGGGTTAGTCTTGCTGTCTTGCGGGTGACAGATGTGGAAGTAAATCCTCATGTAGGTGGGAATGAGCAGTTCAAACCTATGTTGTTCAAGGGCCAACTATAGTTGATTAACTCATATCTCTACAGTTAATTTTCAAACAGATGTGATAGCTGAATGAGAACTTTTAAGATAGTACTGGACAGTAACCTTATTGGAACTGGAATGGCCTTTAGACTTTTTGTGTCCAGTTTCTTCTCACCTCCTCTTTCTCTTCAAATGTGCAACTGAAACTGAGAGACCTCAGTCCCATGTCCAAGGTCAGGCAGATACTTAGCGGCAGAGTGAGGACTCCAGCCCATTTCTGCAGCTCTGCTGTGCAGTGGAAGATTTGGGACAAGTACATTATTTAAAAATGCCCACCCACTAAATATTACATTCCTAACTTTTCCCAATACACAAATATGCTTGAACTTTTAAAAGCTTGTTTTTGGTCGTGCTTGGTTTGGAATGTGAATGACTAAAACTACCTTTAGCAATTTCCCAAAGTGTAAGTTCAAATGTACAGAGAATTTTTTTCCTGAATGCCCAACACAATATGCAGTTTTACAACACATACCAGATTCTTAGATTCATTTGGTGAAGGAAGCCTCTGAATTAAAACTTTTAAATATTTCTGATTTGCAACCAGACGAAAAAGAAGAAAATTGACAACTTTTTTGATGCAACTTTGTGAAATCATGGTGTTCCTGGTTTTTCTGGTCTGGTTTTTGTTGTTGTTTTGTTTTGTTTTGCCACAGTTTAGTTCCTCACCTGATCTTTCCTTGTATCCACTTCAGAGTCTCTGAAATGTTATCTGTTTGTTGGTTCCTGGGAAATTGAGAGCCTTTTCAAAGACTCCATCTAGAAGCATATTTAAAAGTGTGAAAGAAGACATTTATGCGACCAACAAACATATGAAAAAAAGCTTATCATCATGGGTCATTAGAGAAATGCACAGCAGAACCACAATGAGATACCATCTCATACCAGTTAGAATGGTGATCACTAAAAAGTCAGGAAAGGCCAGGGGCGGTGACTCATGCCTGTAATCCCAGCACTTTGGGAGGCTGAGGCGGGTGGATCACCTGAGGTCAGGAGTACAAGACTAGCCTGGCCAACATAGTGAAACCCCATCTCTACTAAAAATACAAAAATTAGCTGGGTGTGGTGGCGGGCACCTGTAATCCTGGCTACTCAGGAGGCTGAGGCAGGAGAATCGCTTGAATCTGGGAGGCAGAGGTTGCAGTGAGCCGAGATTGTCCCACTGCAACTCCAGCCTGGGTGACAGACTCCATCTCAGAAAAAAAAAAAAAAAAAAAAATTCAGGAAACAACAGATGCTGAAGAAGATGTAGAGAAATACGAACACTTTTACACTGTTGGTGGGAGTGTAAATTAGTTCAACCATTGTGGAAGACAGTGTGGCGATTCTTCAAGGATCTAGAATCAAAAATACCATTTGACTCAGCAATCCCATTACTGGGTATAATCCCAAAGGATTATAAATTATTCCGCTATAAAGACACATGCACACTTATGTTTATTGCAGCACTATTCACAATAGCAAAGACTTGGAACCAACCCAGATGCCCATCAATGATAGACTGGATAAAGAAAATGTGGCACATATATACCATGGAATACTATGTAGCTATAAAAAAGGGTGAGTTCATGTACTTTGCAGGGACATGGATAAAGCTGGAAAGCATCATTCTCATCAAACTAACACAGGAACAGAAAACCAAACACTGCATGTTCTCACTCATAAGTGGGAGCTGAATAGTGAGAACACATGGACACAGGGAGGGGCACATCATACACCGGGGCCTGTCAAGGGGTGGGAGCTAGGGGAGGGATGGCATTAGGAGAAATACCTAATGTAGATGATGGGTTGATGAGCACAGCAAACCACCATGGCATGTGTATACCTATGTAACAAACCTGCACATTCTGCACATGTATCCTAGAACTTAAAGTATTAAAAAAAAGAAAAAGAAAAAAAGTGTGTAGCGACTTGACGCGGTGGCTCACGCCTGTAATCCCAGTACTTTCAGAGGCCGAGGCGGATGGATCACCTAAGGTCAGGAGTTTGAGACCAGCCTGGCCAACAGTGAAACCCCATCTCTACTAAAATACAAAAATTAGCTGGGCATGGTGGCACATGTCTATAATACCACCTACTCGGGCGGCTGAGGCAGGAGAATCGCTTGAACCAGGGAAGTTGAATTTGCAGTGAGCTGAGATTGTACCACTGCATTCCAGCCTGGGCCACAGAGCGAGACTCCGTCTCAATAAATAAATAAATAAATAAATAAGTAAATAAATAAAGTGTAGCTCTGGTCTTACTAAGTGTATGATGTTTGTCTCCATGAAATAATAATAATGTAAGATCTGAGAAGTTAATACTTAAAGTAAAACCTACAGCAAAACAGTCTGCTGAATTTGTCTGTGATCTCACAGGAGAGTCTAGTTGTAAACCGAAGCAAGGATGGTAGCTAATATCGCAGCAGTGTTTGTAAGAGGATTTTTAGTTTGTCATGCTTAAACAGACCCCTCAGTATTCTCACAGAGAACTGAAGCAATTCATTTTCAAGACTAACAAGAGCACAGCATCTGCATGCATGTGGCAGGTATGTTAGTGAATGTTGTGAAGTAGGTGGTCCCATCAGTTGTCATGGTTCACCTCTGTCCAGACTGTGATTGTGTGACTCGCAGTTGGCACTTCAGCAAAGCTTAGGAAAATGCCTCATCTTCTTTTGTGGGAGGTGGAAAAATAAGTAGCTGCTTTCAATGAACACTGCAAGCCTTGTTAAAGTCTGTACCTTTCATACAGAAACTCCTAGATGAATGGCAATGGAAAATACGGGTTTGTGATAACTTTGAATGATGTGTGATTGCCTTGATTAGCACTATAGTTACTAAGCAGATATGCACTTCTTTGTTTTAAAAGAGAACTTGAATTTTTTTTTTACTATAACTGCCAGTTGCTTAATTTCTACCACTTTGTCTATTTTTTTAAAAAATGAATTTCCACCTAATTTGTGCTTGTCAGTGATGACAAGTTTTAAAAGTAACTCAAGTTAAAAAAAAAAATTCTCCAGAAACCATCATCTGTCAAAAAGTTTGTATTTAATGTTTTCTTTCAGGTAGAAATGAGACATTTTCTCCTTCTTCTTTCCAGATTTGCACCCTTAATGTTCCAGAAAGCTGAGCATCCATATTATTTTGAGTTTAGGAATTTATAGTGACCTAGTCATAGTTATGAGGTGTTTGAGGGAAATGAAGGGAAGGATGAGTAGCAAAGACACATTAAACAGAATAAATTATATAGTCTTGTTTTTGGCAACTAGTCTAGCATGCAGTTTCCTTGCTTTGTTCAGTCCACATATAGAACAACTCTGTCTAAAACAGTGATCCAGTTAGGCCAGTTTCCTGTTTAAAAGCTTTCTGGACCGTCCCTTTTCCTGCTGGCAAAACCCCAGGCTTTGAGACATAGTTCTTTCTAAACTGACCCTAATTATTCTTCCCAGGTCATCTTTACTGCCACTACTGTTCCTTGTGAATATTTCGCATCTCTGGGCTGTTAACATATGATTCCTTCCACTTTGAATGGCTTGTGAAAAAGACGGGGGTCTTTTCACAAGCTGGTGATACTCTTTTCAGTCATGTATTTAGACCAAATCCTCTCACTTTGTGGAGTCTTGGAATAGTGTCCACGTAAGGCTGGCCTGGTTAGTTTCTCCTCTGCTTCCTGAGTCCTTGAGTGGTCTTTGTATATAGCGTGAAGTGCACAGCATTGGGAAGTCTGTGTCTGCAAGCCCATCACCTTCACTAGGATACAACATTTTCATCTTTGGACCTCTAGGCTAACCGGAGATTGAAACTTACTTGGCCTCTACCTAAACATTTCTTGAGCAACTCAGTGAGCTGTCCATGTAGTTTAGCAGACGTTCCGATGATTGTTTCATGGAGTTTGTGTCAACGGGGAAGGACTGCTGAGAGGCAGAAACCATAATGACCAGAAAGCTGGAAGTCATGGAACACGTGTCCACGTTTCTTCAGTTAATTTTTAGAAATGAGTGAATGTCACCTGACAGTTGGTGTCTCTTGTTTTTTTTTAATGAAGCTGTACCATTGCAAGCCATTTTCTCTCTCTAAGTTTCCTGTGGAATTTCTTTCCTTATCAAGATAGTAATACTTTGGAGTTTTGAATTTTTAAGAGATTCAGTCAAAGCATCTTGTCATTTTATCCAGTTGCTCCACTTCTTAATCTGTAAAACGGAGATAGTGTCTTTGCTATTAATTTTTCTTAAGGGACACAGAATCCAAATACTCTTTGATCTACAAATCTTTTGCAAAGATGCATAACTGTTTACTGAACATTTTACTAGAAGTCAGCCTGTTGCTTTTAAAATCTAGGAATGTTATTTGGCTTACCAACTAAACATATTCATATTTTGCTTAGCATGCCCCCTTTCAGATGACTTGCTGCAGAATAATGAGGTGCAAGTTGAACAAAGTACTTTTCAAATTACCACAGGACCTCACCAGTTTTACCACTTACCTCCAGATGTGTGGAGGCCATCATGGGAGAATTTACCTTTTTATGTTTGGACATTTTTGTAAAAAGCTTGTGGTGTTGAATCAATGGGTTATGAAATGGTTTTAGGAATGTAACGAGCCATCCCGTGATTCTACAGAGAGAGACAATTTTATGAGCACATTTTCTATTGAATGTGTTTGCTGGTTGTACTTGAACCAAACCAAACACAATCTCTAAATCATAACACATACAACCTCTCAACTTGGAGACTCTTGATTTACAAATGTCTCTCTGTGACTGAAGTGGCTGCCAAGGGAATCACCTTCCCTATTTTGGTTGAATGTGTTTTTAATTTTGCATGAGCTGTCTTTGTTGATAATAATAAAATGATAACAGTAATTTCAGCCTTTATTGAATGGGTGTGCCAGCCACTGAGCCACGTGTTTTGTGTGCAGTGTTTAGTTCACTTCACTATGGTGCCCTAATAAGGATGGATTTTAGATGAGAAAACCAGTACAGGGAGAAGGGAATTAACTTACCCCAAGTGCCTCAGTCAAAGTTTGCAGAAACACTTTTTGTGGAATTTTTTGTCTCTGTGATGCTTCCTCATTTCAGTCTCAGGCATTTTGCCTGCAAATCCCTTTCACTTGAGAACACCCATTGTGCAACCATTTCTGTTTTTGGTTTCACCATCTCATGATGTAAAGAAAGGGAAAGTGATACCAGGCAGTGTCTTTTTACTAATAAAAGGCAGATAAGTCTTCCTCAAATTGCTCTTCTTGGTGAAGAATAATACTTGTGCTCCAAATGCTTTGGTGATGTGATTTTTACACGAAGCAGCTGAGCCAGGTGGTGTTCCAGCTTGTTCCTGGACATGTTGATACAGCCCTAATTGCTTAAGGTATGTGCCTCTTCTTAATCATCTCTCCTTTAACTGGAGAACTGTGCTACATTATGACCTGGAAAATGGGGGCATTAAAAGCAACCCCAAATGTAAATGGCCCTTACCAGCAAGTCACCAGCTGAGGAAATGCAGACGTCACATGAAGAGAACCTCCTTGATCCTCTAAGGCCCCTGGGGACTGGCTTCCTGAGAGTGTACAAGTTGGTGGTTGCCATCTTAGTTATTTTCAGGGCCCAGGTAGATGTTATGAGTGGAATGCAGAGTGGTAACTGAGATGGTTGTCATGCAAGAAAGTGGGGCCAGGGGACTAGACCTTCGAGTCTTTCAGAAGTTGGAAATGTGGAATTTTAGGGAAAATCTCCCAATTTCCAAAAATTGGGATCAGTTCAAACATTCGAAAAAGTCGGAGGTCCAAATCAAACACGTCTGTGGGCCAGAATCAGCTTGCAAGAACCCAATTTGTGACCACTGGCTTAAGATGTGTTGATAAATGGATCTATTGGTCCTTGACTAAAGGGAATCTAGGAAAGATTTGTTTTATTTTTGGGGGGTAAGAACATAACGCATAAGAAAGAAGTCACTTACTCATTTTTACCTGAGAGTTGTTTATTTGTCTTGTGAAATACTGAAACCTTAGCACTCATTGAGCGCTCTGTGGTAGCAAGTGATTTGTGATGATGGTAGTATTTTTGGAGAAGATTTTTAGAGGTTCAGTGTGGTTCTAAGTGTGTGTATTTGGGTCCTATGTGTGGCAGTAAAGAAATGTGTTCTTTGGTGAACAGTTTTTGCATCCCTGTGTTCACCTGCATGGAATTGCAAGTTGTTTCATAAATGGATCACTAGTATACGCAGAGGCTATGCATTGAGGTCTTTTCTCTGTATTATCCTATTTATCAACCAGCTGTCAGTCAAAGAAACACAAACATGGTGAGTATTATGGGATTAAGGGATTTATTATAGAAATTGGTCCTTCCTCAAATAGTAGAGGAGCTGGCGGAAGTAAAGGTCTTGAAGGAAAGTGAGAGGATTAGAGAAAGTTTCACCAGAAGTTCTTGCGTAGGGTTGGGCAGGTCAGAACTGCAGGATGCTGATGAGGGACCATAGCAGGGAACGGATGAAACATTCCAAAAGCTGCTGCTGCCTCTGTGTCTGTGGAGTTCCAAACCCTGTGGTCTGCAGCCATGTGTCTGGTGCTGGGTGGAGCCCTTGCTGCTCAACAGGGCCGCTTGTTAGGAAGAAACAGGGATCAGAGCAGAAGAAAGCAAAGACAAGCTGGACCCCATTGGGCACCTGCCGTTGTCCATCATGGTGTTTCCATCAACCTTATGAGAGTGGTGGCCTGTTTTCAGGTTCACTTTCCAAGTCTCATTAAGCTCCCCATATGGCTAGCCGTACCCCAGGACCATAGCGGGAAGGGTATTCCATTAAATGAGAGTTCCTGGCTTACCAAGTTGACAGTTGTATGATTCAGTGTACTCTACAAATAAGGACAACATCCTTAGGACTATACTGCCGTGAGCCGCTGGCTACTCTCCCCTGTTGCCCTAAAAGGCTTGTACCTGCTCTGAAACACAGTATTGAAATATCAGGATTTGGAACCTCTGCCTTGGCCAGGCCAAAGTAGGTGTATTTCTGTTTAGGGTCCTCCCAGCATAGTACCAGCAATTTACATGCACATTAGATTAATGATTTTATCTGATCTTTCTTCCTGGAAAATTTGGGTCTGGTGGGGTGGAGAAAAGGGAGGTACTCAAGACCATCATACAGAGAAGCAGAAGGGGAGAACAAGAGAAATTTTGGAGGTTGGATTGAGGGAAGCTGAACTCAATTTTAATTTGGGTCCAGTCCATGTAAATCCTCTACTTTTTTGTCTGCCTGCCTGTCTGCCAATCAATCAATCAGTCCATTCATTCGTTAATCAGTTATGTATATCTATATCTATTAATATTTTTCTGTAGATCTATACCTATCATATCCATCCATATGTTTATATTATATTTACCTAATCTATTTAATCTATATCATGTTATGCACATATATATGAAACATTTTTGAGTGGAAAATTTTATGGAAAAAGTATTCTATATAAGGTGGATTAGTAATCCTCTTTTGAAAAAAAATTCTAGTTCTTCTCAATTGTGAAAGATATGTCTAAGCTTTCTAACAAAATGAACTCCAAACAGTCTTAGATGTCTGCCTCTTTTTAATCATTTAGTGAAATAATTGGTTTCTCTTTTTATGAGAAGGTGTTAGGATAAGTAAGAAATCCTGATACTTAACTCGTCTGCCTATTGCTTGACTACAGAGTTATTAGAGTTCAGTCTTTGCATTAAAAGGAAACATACTTGTAATTTTGCACTCTTTGCCAAAGTGTGAGCTGCTTTTTAGGCGGTACTTCAACTTTTTATTGAGGTATTGGCTACTTCTACTTCTTGCTGGTAGTGTGGCTACTAAACAATATAAAGTATATTACTTTCAAACCTTAGAAAATTAATTCAGAAGTCCTAGAGCACAGAAACAGGTTTTTCCTGCTGCTAAAATATTTTCCCTCCTTAGGTTATTTGTGTGTGTTGTGTATTTGTGTCTGTCTGTGTGTGAGTGGGGAAGTTATTTGATGTGGAAGTGTTGGGAGATACATTGTCATTTGGGAATATACTCCTGAAGCCACTAAACATCCCAGGTAGTGACAGTGGTTTGCTCTGGTGCAGATCACTTTCGATTTTTTTTTCTTTTCCTTTTTTTTTTTTTTTTTCTTTTGAGATGGGGTCTAACTCTGTTGCCAGGCTGGAGTGCAGTGGCGCAATCTTGGCTCACTGCAACCTCTGCCTCCTGGGTTCAAGCGATTCTCCTCCTCAGCCTCCCACGTAGCTGGGACTACAGGCGCCTGCCACCGTGCCTGGCTAATTTTTTATTTTTAGTAGAGATGGGGTTTCACCATGTTGGCCATGATGGTCTCGATCTTCTGACCTCAGGTGATCCTCCCGCCTCGGCCTCCCAAAGTGCTGGGATTACAGGCGTGAGCCACCACGCCCAGCCTCACTTTAGATTTTTTTTTTAAAGAGACCAGACATTTTTTGAACCCCTCAATATGTTAGGCACTGACTGGAGTGCTTAACAATCCTAGCTACTTAGTGGGAAGACTGCCTTTTCTTTCTTCTTTTTCTTTTTCTTTTTTTTTAAATTAAGATGGAGTTTCGCTCTTGTTGCCCATGCTGGAGTGCCATGGCCTGATCTTGGCTCACTGCAACCTTTGCCTCCCTCCTGGGTTCAAGTGATTCCCTTGCCTCAGCCCTCTGAGTCGCTGGGATTATGGCATCAGCCATCACACCCGGCTAATTTTTTGTATTTTTAGTAGAGTTGGGGTTTCACCATGTTGACCAGGCTAGTCTTGAAATCCTGACCTCAGGTGATCCACCTGCCTCGGCCTCCCAAAGTGTTGGGATTACAGATGTGAGCCATTGCGCCTGGCCAAGACTGCCTTTTCAAGGCTCTTAGGAGACTTGTTATGGCCCAGGTGTAGAACATAAGAATGGAAGTTGAACATTCACGAATTAACCAATCACAATTCAGCACATAACTGTTGAGCATCTATTATGTGATGAGGGTTAGGAAAGGCTTTTTAGAGAGGGCAGTGATTTGGGGTGGAGGAGGAGAGCAGTCCTGTCCTTCGTGTCTGTGTTCACCTATGATCATCATAAGGAAGAGCATCCTGGAGGACGTTCCTGTCCTGTATCCCAGGGCCTGTGTTTAGGAAACCAAGTCACACCTCCATGGCTTTTTGGTAATGGCATAGTTGGTTGTGAGGAGTTGTTCTCCTAAGTCTGACTGAGTCGTCATCCTGTGCTCTTAAGCTATGCTTTCCAAGCCCACCAGGCCCTTCATTCCCAGCTGTGGTTGGAAAGATACATAAAGTTCTCTTCCAGGCTCTCTTCTCTGGTAGAACTCCTTGACAATTTGCCTTGTCAAAGCGTTCTTCTGATAATGTGTATGTCTAGTTATCACACCTGCCATCTTTTTGTGGGAAGCTTACTGTCTAGGCCAGAGGACCCCCCAGCACTAGGCTCCTTCCTAGCCTTCCTCATGGATGGTCACCCAGGCTTGAATTACAGACCTTTCTCTCCTTCACCCAGGGCCAAGTACTTCTCTTTCAAACGGTCCCTTTTCAGACTTGCCCGCATGTGTGAAAATACAAGGGGTAGATCTTAGGGGCCTGATAGGTAGTAAGTGGTAAGATGCAATGTAAGCCGGGGTAGGGGGGATGTTTATCACAGGCTTCCTGGAAACTAGTTGGGTTTCACTGAGTCCATTCATTTCCTTCTCTCTGATGAATGAGTAATCAGATGATTCACAGGGAGCTGCTAGTTAGAAGACTGCAGCATGTTCTCACTAGTGCTGTCCTGTTAGACCCAGGGGAAAGGTTATATTGGTGTGTTTTTAGGCACCATGTGTCAATTCTTTCAAGATGTATATATATTTTTGTTTTTCTAAAGGGGGCAGGGTTTCAAAAAGGTTTGAGAAGCATTGTGTTAGACCAAGTTTGTCCAACCTGTGGCCTGTGGGCCACCTGCAGCACAGAATGGCTTTGAATGCAACCCAACACAAATTCGTAAACTTTTAAAAAACATTATGATATTTTCTGTGATTTTTTTTTTCCTAGCTCATCAGCTATCACAAGTGTTAATGTATTTTATGTGTAGCCCAAGACAGTTCTTCTTCCAGTGTGGCCCAGGGAAGCCAAAAGATTGGACATCCCTGTGTTAGACCATCATTTGTTTGCTATATGATGTCATAGTGGTAGAATGGTCACTTAAGGTAAAATCTGAATAGAGAAATTTGGCAGAAATCATAGGAATTTCTGTTTGAAGGCATAATGAGGGTTAATCATTTTTCATAATAGATGTTAAGATTAATAGTAATCATAGCCCATATTTATTAAGCACTCGCCACACACTGGTTTGAGATTAAGATTTTGCGAGAATAATAATAATCATTTAATCTTCCCAATAGCCCTATGAAGGAGGCTCTATTATATTGATTTTATACATAAGGAAACTGAAATTAGACTTAGTTATTATCAAGGGATGGGTCCAAATGACAAGACCAGCCATCTGTCCTGGAAAACCATGCCCTGGTATGCATTCAAAAAGAGAATGAGGTTTTGTTTCTCATCTCCATTTCTTTATACTGGAAAAACCGTTCAAAATTTAATACAGCTGTATGATCTGGCAAAATTCTTCTTCAGATAGAGGTGGATTTTAAAGAGAATGGTGATTTGTCTACACGTGTTCACAGCAGCTTTATTTATAGTAGCCACAAACTGGAAACAACGCAGATGCCCATCAGAGGTGAATGGATGAGTAGACTGTGCTATATCCATGCAGTGGAATAATATTCAGCAATAAAAGAGAACAAACTATTGATACATGCTGACATGGATGATCCCAAAATATGCTGAGTGAAGAAGCCAGAGAAGAAAGAATGTATAGGTTATAGGATGCCATTTATACAGACTTCTAGGAGATGCAAATTAATGTACAATGACAGGAGACAGATTAGTGGTTGCAGTACAATGGTTGGAGTGGATGGTAAGGAAAAGAGAGTGCAAAAACTTTAAAGAGTGATGGGTATTTTATTAACTTAATATTGGAAGTGGATGCATGAGTGCATATGCATGTCAAACTTATCAAAATATACAGTTTACCAATGTGCAATTTATCGCATATCAATTATAGCTCCATAAAGCTGTTAAAAAATTTATATATATATATATACATATACATACAGTAAGGGAAGGCAAGGAGAATGACCCATTAATGTGTGGGAGTAATAAAAGAGAAATTGTACAATGAGAGGCTCACTCTCAGAGCGGCCTCGGAACCCCAGAGAGGTTATTATTGTTTGATCAGTCAGTCAACAGGTATTTATTGAAATTCTTCCAGGTACTTTGAGAGAATGAGAGATGTATGTGAGCTTAACTGTGCCTGGTAGTGGGACCCATTTGGAAAGAGCTGGGCTCTGGAGTTAGTCTGATGTGGGTTTCAATCCTGGTTTTCCCACTCCTTGGGTTAAAGCTTTTGAACTCCTTTACCTTCTCTTAGCTTCTCTTTAGTCCTAGGGAAAAATGGAGATGGCAGTATCTTTATTTTAGGGTCGTTTGAAGGATTAGCAATAATATGTATCAAATGCTTGGCCAAAGTGTGGGGCACATGGTAGGAATGCAGTGGCAGCGATTATTATCATCACTTTAATTGCAAAACTGGAAGTTCAGATTCCAGGAGGAGGATGTAGTTGCTGTGGACTGGCCTTCTCAGGCAAAACTTCACTTGGAATAGGCTTGGAAGACTGTATAGGAGTTACATGAAGTGGAATGGTTTGACTCAAAGTGCAGAAATGGGACTACATAAATCTGTTAGGTTTCTTGAGGAAGTAGGGGAGATCAGGTAGGGGAAGGGCAAGAAATCCTACTTACTAGGAAAGATGGCTTCCTAGCTAGTTTGGGGCACAAATACTCAACAGACCATTGCTATGGTGAAAATGGTAGAAATGAGAAGAGCAATGGAGGGAGGAAGACCTGTGTCATGAAAATACTTATCTGACTGTTCAGCATTATTGATATTGTGGTCTGGATGACTCTGTGTCATGGAGACTTGCCCTGTACATTATAGGATGTTTAACAGCATCCCTGGCCTCCACCCACTGGATGCCAGTAGGTAGCATTCTTCACCCCCATACACATGACAGTCAAAAATATCTCCTGACTGCCAGATGTGCCTTGGTGGGGTCACTGAAGACCACTGCTTTAGTAATTAGACTAAGCATCAGTGAAGATGAGATTTTCATTTCAGTGTTGGAAGGGAGAAAGGAGTGGAGTTCATTTAAAATAATAGAATGAACTGCTCTAATTATAGAGGTGTAGCAGAAGTAACATGGTTCAGAGCATTGACAGCAAGGCCACTTATAAGCTGTATGGTCTTTGGCAAATAACCTGTTGTACTTCAGCTCCCTCATGTGTAAAATGGGGGCAATAATTGCACCTACCTTAAATCAGTAAGTTAAATTGTAACTGAGGCCACCGATTATTTGCTTAAAGAAAACAGCATTACTCCTCCTTTATTGGAAAGACTTTGAAGAAAAGGGGATCTTCCTGTCTCTAGCTCTCTTGAGTTGTTTTTTAAAGGACCCATCTTTTGAAAAGACCCGTTAAAAAATTAGTCAGACATGAGGCTATTGAAAGATCAATGTGGAAAATGTACTTTGTCCCTGAGTTGATTCTTTTTCTCTGGGCCCACTGAAAGATCTTCAGATTATAATGTAAAAGTGAAGTCTTTTTGAACAGAGCAGAAGAAAAGGATATCAAGGGCATGAAGTGGATGTTACTGAAGGGAGTCGTGGTGTGCTGTAAAGGAACTCCTGAGAGGGACATTGGCCGAAGGGTCATCTCCCTCTTCTTGGCACTGAACGACCACCACAGACCACAAAAGGGCTTAGAACCGACCTCCATTTCAATGGGACTTTTCAGTGACACTTGAGACCTCGTGTCATAGCCAGTTTGTGACCATTCTCCAACCCAAGCATTCTGCTGCTTTTACAACAGATTATTTTAGAAGCTGCTTAGGAGATGCTACTAGGGATGTGTCAGGCTTCAACAAATTAGGATTTCCTCCCCACCACTCTGATGATGGTGAGACCAGCATGGAGACTGGCAGAGTGATGAATGCATTGGCTTATCAAGGTCATGAGTGGCAGCCGGCTGCATTGTGTCCCCAATTCAAACAAGGATCCCCCAACACTGCAACAGTCTAGGATTGTCTCCTAAATTCTTCACATTCCAAGCACACAAAGGAGGTGTCCTGGAGCCATGTACCTTGGGGAAGGCAGATTATTTGTAAGCTCTTGTGTTGCCTTCACTGCAGACAGATGGGCCTCCTCTATCCTAAACAGAGGCTATTTAATAACGTTTGCTTCTTGTTAACTTTCCTTACTCACCTGATCTAATGAACCTATGCTGCTTTGGAACATCACTGGAAATGTTTCAGAACAAAGCAAGAATCATTTGGACTAGTACTTCTTTTGGAGAGGTGGCTATTAAATGGGGTTTAAAGTTTTTCATTTGTTTGTTTTTTTACCTCTTAGATTTGGAGCTTCTTCTATGGCCTTGCACATATCATTCTGTGACTATGATGCCCACATTAGCCCAGTTGTCTTACAAGTATGTAAAATCCTTCCAGCAGTTCAGGTTCATTTGGCATTCTTGTTAAATGTACTGCTGTTAGGACTGGAATGAGAAAAATGATAGAAATACAAGTAACCATAAAACAAAACTAGAATAGAATAACAGACACTGAAGTAAAAACAAAATGTTTATCCATATTTTGTCATTCAGGCCTATTCATTGAAATAAAGAGTACAAAGATTTTAAAAATCCAACTATATTATGAGGAAATGTTTTAAGAATTTTTTGACAGTCTTTCCTAAACATTTCAAGTTGATTGACAAAAGATAACAATCCATCATATTGCCTACTAGCCAATGTTTTGTGGTGCCTTCACCTCTGAGTTCTAGGAAGTGGTTTTAATCATGTTTGCGTTCAGCTCCCCTTCCCATTTATTAAAGATTGGAAAATGCTAAGGTTTAGTTGACATGATGACCTTAACGTAAAAGGGCATGAAGAGGGCAAAGACTCCCAGCTTCTAAGTCTAGTTCATCTGTTACTCTCAAAGGTGTCTTTGACACTTAGAAATGCTTCCACACCCTTGCCGACTTTTACTTTTTAGGAAGTGTGCAGTATGGTAACCCCCTTTCAAAGGCCAATAGCAAGGCCACGCCTGACTTCAAAATGAGGTTATGCTTTATGCTGGAGATGCACAGCAGAAAACAGTAGTCCAGCCAGGTGGGGAAATAAAGCCAGAAGAGACAGTATATTTTCAGGAGCAATTTAGTGCTTGATTGATCTTACGATATTGTTAGCGTAGTGTTTATAGCTGATTGGGTTTACCTGAAGCAACTGACCAGCACTCCGTGTTTGGAAACAGTCAAGGGAGAAAACACATTGATTAGTTGGTAAGTTAACTCTGTACCTCCATACTCTAAAATTAGTAAATCAGCCTGTCATTGACAGCTTGGAAAGATGTTCCTGTGTCTCACTGATCCCTGGCCAGGGTTGCCAGGACTTTCTCTTTACTTTGTGTTTTCCCTGGCCCATCAATTCTTCTTCAACTTTTGTGACTTTTTTAAAACTGGCTTTATTCAATTTTTGTTTAACTGAAAGGCACAGGATGCAAACTGAATTTATAGGATGTTTTATAGCGAGAATAAAAGGATAAATTTCAAAATCATATGCTAATATGTAAACTGAATTTACTCAAAACATTCCTTTTGTTTTGTTTTTTTGAGATAGGATCTTGCTCTGTCACCCAGGCTGGTGTGCAGTGGTACCATCATGGCTCACTGCAGCCTCGACCTCCGAGCTCCAGTGATCCACCCGCCTCTCAGCCTCCTGATTAGCTGGGACTACAGGGGCATGCCACCGTGCCCTGTCAATTTTTTATATTTTTGGTAGAGATGGAGTTTTGCCATGTTGGCCAGGCTGGTCTCAAACTCCTGGGCTCAAGTGATCCACCCACCTCGGCTTCCCAAAGTGCTGGGATTATAGACGTGAGCCACTACACCTGGCCAAAACATCACTATATTTGTGTGTATGGATTATACCTTCTCTGCTGATGTTAATAGCAGGGATTCTTTTTTTCCCATTCTTTCTGTGAGGTGTGATGGAGAAAACTTATGTCCTATAATGAAATGGGAATAAGGATCTAAAATACATTAAATAGCACAGAACACCTCCCTCCACCTTCTAATTCTTAGAGCAATATCATCTTTCTTCTTCTTTAGTTCCCTCCAAGATTAATCAAGATATTATTTATGGATGGTGTAGACCTGGTGTGGCAAATTAGAGTCTGTGGGCTAAGAATGGCTTTCACATTTTTAAGTGGTTAAAAAAATCAAAAGAAGAATAGTACTTTATGACATGTGAAAATTATATGAAAATCAAATGTCAGTGTTCATAAATAAAGTTTTATTGGAATACAGCCACACTCAATTCATTTACTTCCTGTCTCTGGCCACTCTCCTGCTACAATGGCAGAATTGAGTACTTGCAAGAGAGACCATATGGCTTGTAAAGCCCAAAACGTTTACTCTCTGACTCTACACAGAAAAGTTTGCCGACCCCTGCTGGGAGGCAGATCGAAAATGAATAATCATCAGTAATAGAAAGAGCACAGCCTTTAGAATCAGGCAGTACAGAGTCCATGTTATGTCTTGGTTTCCTCAGAGCTGCAACTATTACACATTATTATTCCACCTTAGAAGGTTTGGGTGAGGACGAAATGAGATAATGAGTGTAAAGCATCTATACATGTATAGCATGCTGCCAAATACCTCACAGATATTCAGCCAGTGCTGGTATCTTTCCCTCTCCAGGTTACAAATATTTCGGGTTCATTGCCTTACCTCAGGTCCTCTGTTCACACAGAACTGGAGTGAAAAATACCCTTTGCAAGTCTGACAATAGCCGGAGAGACAAAAACCCATGTCTCTCTCTCTCTACCTTCCTTTATTTAGTGTCTTTTCCTCCATAAACTGGTGGCGTTTAGCCCTGTGAAATGTCATTTTACCTTAAGGTGAATGGGTATATAGAATTGGTCTTGACCTTGAATAAAAGAAGGACACACCAGGCAATCATCATTTGGGGGAACTTCAGAGAAATTGCTCCATGAGAGTAACACAGAGCAGTGACTTCTGCTGGAGGGGTTCACAGGTGACATTTTGAGCCCTGTGCAGCCTGTGCCTCCGAGACAGTCAGCGAGGGAGCCCTGGCGGTCGTGGGGCTGCCTTCGCCAGCTTCAGAACTGTGGTTTTTCCCCCATTAACACACTTCTTGTTAAGCTGATGTGGTTGCTTTCTAAACTGAATCTTCCCTTGGCCAGAAAGAAAGAAAAAGCTTCCCTGCGTGAAGATGAAGGTTTATTGGCAATGTCTTCTTTAGTCTCTTAGCAAGAACAGCAAACAGAGAACTCCCTTCTTTCTGACTTAAGTTACACATATTTTTTTTCTCTTTTTTACTTTCAAAGCTGGCAGCCTCATAAGAGCAGCATTCAAATAGACCGTGCCAGGGATGCAGGGCACCATGAATGGGGCATTTCTTGTCCTTCTGGCCCCCTTTCCCTTTGTGCTGTCTCTTTTCCATGTGTTATTAGCCACCTTGCAAAGTCGGAGCTTTGCCAACAAATTCTGGGTTCTGTGGGTTGCTGTCTGAATCTGCTGCTTATTCAGGAAAATGAGTTAGTTTCTGCTGTTTGTAGAAAAAAATCAACAAACCCACTTATAGGTTACATTTAGGTTACTAATATATGTGGTAGCACAGCTAAGTAAACTGGAGATTATGCTGATGCTATGTGCTTATTATTGCAGTGTGGGTTTTAATGTGAATTTTGCACAAATCCATGAATGATATGCCCATTTGCCTTTTTAATTTTCTTGCTGTTAAAAAATTAGCTTATTTTGTAGCCATTGAAATATATATAAAGAAAAAATTAACTTCTACCTGTTTTTTTTCTTTTAAAAATATTTTTATGTGATCTAACCAGTCTGAAATAGTTGGCTGTAAATGGATGTGGGAGTGTCATTTCAAACCTTTTACAATTTGGGATTTCTTCTGGGGGGAGTGGGTATCAGAGCTTTAGTTCTTGTTATTGGCTTATGACGATAGTCTGGAATTTTATAGATTGTGTTTGGCTGTCAGCATGGTGCTTGGGTGTGATTAATTTGTGTAGCTTGCCATTGGATAGATAATATTCATTCCTTGGATCCTTGTTCAGAAGGGATTAACCAAGTGAACTGGAAAACATGTCTTTGCAGGAGAGCTTTCACTGTTTGTGATAATCAGTGAACAATCTAGTGCTAATTTAATTCCACTCATAGATCTGGCTGACTCATTGGCTCTTAATGCTTCTTAACTTCTATATTTTTAATCTTCAGTTTTTTACACATATACAAATATTATAGTAGACATAGTTCAAAACTTAACATTTCTCCAGGGATCTTGCTCTGGGAATGCAAAGTAAATACCCTCTAAAATAGGTTTCTGGAATGTTGTTTTTCTGATGGGTCTGTTATTTCTGCCTTTCTTCTAATGGGAAAAAAAATTGATTTGAAAGGGTAAAATAAACTTAGCTTTTTTGGAAAGGGAGGGTTAAAATAAAATTAACAACAACAACAAATAAACAGGTGATACCTTAGAGACCTATCTGGCATAGGACTTTTGAAGCCTATAACATGGCTTTGGGTTTTGGTATTGATCTTTTATAGGGCTAAATAATTTATAGCCAGGCTTTTGCCTTGTGGGATGGTTGGAGTGTGTGTTCCACCAGGAGGCAAAGGTTTCTGTTCAAATCTTCCTGTTCACTTGATTTAGGTGTTTGATAAGTGACTGCAAAATGGAGAGGTCACTTTAGGAAAGGTTTCTCTCTTCTTGCCCTCTGTTGCCTTTGAGTAGTTTCCTCCTGTGTTTTGTTCATCTGAACAATGCATTGACTTGCCCTATGTAGGAAGGCTGGAGAGCTGCTTATGAATTGTAGTAAGATGTCTTATGGCTTCCAGGGAGCAAACCTAGGGAGTTCCCAGGTACTGATTTTTTTTTTTTTTAATATTAATTCTTGTTCTGTTGTCCAGGCCAGAGTGCAGTGGTATGATCTCTGCTCACTGCAACCTCTGCCTCCCGGATTCAAGCAATTCTCCAGCTTGAGATTACAGGTGTGCATCACCATGCTAGGTATTGATTGATTAATTGATTGATTGATTGATTGTGGTGCCTCCATGGACTAGACTCTGCCTCCCACTTTACTTGTAGCCTAAATGTAGGTGACAGGTGAATGTAGGGTTGCCAGATTTAGCAAAGAGAACTATGGGGCATCCAGTTAAATTTCAATTTCAGATAAATAGCAGATATTTTTTCGTATTAAGTATGCTCTGTATTTTATCTGGCATCCCCAAGTGAGTGTTGGGGAATTAGTTTTCTCTATCCTGAAGGCCTTCAGGTTCGATCACATATTCAGAGATAATTGTGAGTGAGATGTATGGATGGGAAAAGAGAGCACCATTTATTAGGTACTTTTTATATCAAGTACTTTGTATTTAGTCCTTAGCTTGGGAGGCAAGTATTGTAAACTCACTGTACCTTTGATGATAAAAGTAGCTAACGTTGATTGAGTGCTCTCTATGTCCTGGGCCCTGTTCTAAGAACTTTGATGTATCCTTATTTAGTGCTTAAAATAAACCTAAGAGGGTTAAGTACTATTATGATTTCCATTTTACACGAAAGGAAACTGAGCTGCAAGGTCACATAGCTAGTAAGGGATTGTTCTGGGCTGAAGAAAAAGGATGCATGGAGGGGAGTATCTTGCCCAAGGTCACGTTATTAGTAATTAGTGGAGTCAGAATTCCAATGCAGGTTCCTTCACTCCAGCTCTTCTTACCTCAGAAAACACACTTGCCTGGACCCTCCCCTGGAGTTGGATTTAGTTGGCTTGGGCATGGCGATTTTTAAAACTTCCCCAGGCGATTTTAATGCACAGCCAGACTGAGAACCACTGCTTTACCCCATTTTTGGAGTAAAATGAATTACCCTCCTTAGGAAATCTGGTCGCTCTATGTGGCCATTCCTTTAGTTCCTGCCCCTCCTCCACAGAAACACACCATTCCAAATCTGGCAGCTAATTTTTCATGGTCTTTGTTTCTTCAAAATTATTTTCAGGAAGTCTTGGTGAATATATGTTGGGGTATAAACAGACCACAAAGAAAGACCCCATAGGGGTATTCTGTTGATGGATTTTCTGCACGATCTTTTCTTTTTCATTCTTCCATTATACTTCCTGGAGGAGGGACTACCCCTTTGTTCGTCATTTAGTTCCAGCTGGGTACCAGGTTGGGTATTTGGGGAGGTTTACAGATTAATAAAACTAGACCACTACCCTCCAGGAGTTTTCAATTTTAGAAGGGAAGTATATAAATGTAATTCTAGGTTTAATTTTCTAAAAGTCACTTCAGAGGAATACAAAGTATTAGGGAATTCAGAGGCAGCAGAGGCAGAGTGAGGTGGTGTGAAGTGTGAGCTCTGCAGTCACTGCCTTGGTTTGAGTTCCTGCCCCACCGCTTCCTACCCACAGAACTCTGGCCAGTGCTTGAGCCCTCCTGGTCTCCAGGACTTTGTTGGCACAGTGGACATGCCAAATTTTTTGATGAGAGACATGACGAGTTAGTGCTGGTGGAGTGCACACCACCGGGCCCAGTGTGAGGGTCAGTCCTGGTGAGCTGCTGTGCTCTGTGCGTTGCCTGAAGCTTTCCAGCAGGCCTTAGCTGATGCTCATGGATCCAAAACATCAATAGTAAGTTACTAAGCCTTATCTGCTGCTCCTTAAATTGACAGAGTCAAGAATTAGGTAACCAGGGAGGAGCCACAGAGGTGTGTGAATGGGAAACTAGACCCAGTCCTGGAAGATGAGCAGGAAATGGAGTGGGAGACATTGATACCCCAAGACCCTAGTTAGGCAAAAAGAAAAAAAAAAAAAGACATCTAGGCTGGGCACGGTGGCTCATGCCTGCAATCCCAGCACTTTAAGAGGCTGAGGCTGGCGGATCACTTGAGGCCAGGAGTTTGAGACCAGCCTGGCCAACATGGTGAAACCCTGTCTCTACTAAAAATACAAAAATTAGCTGTGTGTGGTGATATGTGCCTCTAATTTCAGCTACTCAGGAGGCTGAGGCATGAGAATCGCTTCAACCTGGGAGTTGAAGGTTGCAGTGAGCTGAGATCATGCCACTGCACTCCAGCCTGGGTGATGGAGTGAGACTCTGTCTCAAAAAAGAAAAGAAAAAAAAAAGACATCCAGTCCATCCAGAGAGCCCGGGACCCTTATCTAGTAAGAAGGCAGCTGCAATAGAAAGAGGAAGGCATTTGGTGTGAGGACTCAGATACGTATTATGTATATGTGGTGGCAGGTGGGAGGAGGGTGGTGATGGAAGCTTCTAGTCTTGGTGGTAACATTCACGATGGATGACATAGAAGAGGCTGATTGTTAAAGGGAAAAGGATGATGAATTAGGTTTTGGGTAAAGTTATATTGCAGCCTTCATTGCAAGCAATGCAGTGCCACATTCTATGTTGTTAATACGCACATGCCCCAGATTGCACATTTGGGGATGAGGGACCTCTCTATATCTAACTTTTACTGGTTTGAGA
Organism: Homo sapiens; assembly: GCF_000001405.40. Classification (NCBI taxonomy): domain Eukaryota; kingdom Metazoa; phylum Chordata; class Mammalia; order Primates; family Hominidae; genus Homo; species Homo sapiens. The sequence continues at coordinate 118,045,433 of NC_000008.11, read as the reverse complement.
GCGTGAATGAAGAAAGGCTCACACCACTGCTACCATCCCATCTGTCTTTTATGTTGAACTTGTGCTTTCTTCCCCTAGTTTGTTTAGGTCTAAGTAGAATACTTTGCATAGGAAATCGATAAATCTTCTATTGCTGTTTGAGTGATGGGGCAGTTTCTTTATTACCAGACAGTTCTGCGAGCAATAAATATTTCTAATATCCTGAGTATATTTATTTCTAAGTGGGAGTTAGAGTAATGAGACATTTACTAACGCTGGGCTCGACTCAGAATTCAGAAACAGAAGGTAGATGACTGGCAAGGACTGTTCCTACTCTAGAGTTTTAAGGTCATTAGAAAGCTTTTGTTTTGTTGAAAGCACTGTACTTTGTGTACGATATGGTTGAGCCTTTTAGAAGGTTGCTGAGACTTACGTCTTATCTTTGCTTATATAGTATCGACTAGAGGTTGGCAAACTTTTTCTGTGAAGCGCCAGATAGTAAATGCTTTAGGTTTTGCACATACATTCTCTGTCACAGCTAGTCAACGCTTGTAAGAGGATAGCAGCTGTAGACAATATGTAAACAAATGAGCTATGTTCCAATAAAACTTTGTTTACAAAAGCATGCGGTGGGGCGCCTGTAGTCCCAGCTACTCGGGAGACCGAGACTGGAGAACGGCTTGAGCCCACGAGTTTTCGACCAGCCTGGGTAATAGAGTAAGACCTTGTCTCTATAAAAAATAAAATCAGCCGCGCACGGTGGCTCACACCTGTAATCCCAGCACTTTGGGAGACCGAGGCAGGCAGATCACCTGAGGTTGGGAGTTCGAGACCAGCCTGGCCAACATGGAGAAACCTCGTCTCTACTAAAAATACAAAATTAGCCAGGCATGATGGCGCACTCCTGTAATCCCAGCTACTCAGGAGGTTGAGGCAGGAGAATCGCTTGAACCCGGGAGGTGGCGGTTGCAATGAGCTATGATCGTGCCATTGCACTCCAGCCTGGGCAACAAGAGTAAAACTCCGTCTCAAAAAAAAAAAAATCATAAAGAAGACCAAAAACATTTCAGGCTGGATTTGGCCCACAGGTCTAGGTTTTCTGACCCTTGGTTCACTATATGAGCCATGGGGGCAGCAGTTCTGGTTTGATCAACCATTAACTGTGTGACTTACCTTCTCTGACTCTCCATTTTATCAACTATAAAATGAGATCATAGAAGAACAAGTTTGTGGTGTTATTTTGACACTGAAAGAGATCACAAAAGTAGTTTTGTATAGTTGCTATAACATAGTAAGGTACAGAAAATGTTAGCTAAAGGGGAACAAAAAATCCATTTCAGTCGGCGTTATACGTAACCCTGATGTTTAACTGCGATTATCTTAAGGTAAGAAAGAGACACTGGCAAAGCAGAATTTTTGAAGGGCCAATTAAGATCACAACTCTACACAATGAGCTGATGTAAATAAGGTATATATTGACTTTTAATAGACTTAAAAAGAGTTGATGAGATCATGGAAAGCTCCACGTGGCCAATATTGTTATTATTCTGTAGATGGTATTTCTTGGAAATTTTGTTTCATTCCCTTTCTGGAAGTGAGTTGGACTTTTACCTGTTTTTTGGCATAGATTTGGTCTCTCCTCCTCCCAGTAGTGGAGGTGTAAGGAGTAAAAACTTTTCCTAGAAATAAAACATAACAAGCACTTACTGAGTGCCTGGTGTGTGTTCACATTGTGTGAGGTGTTATGACTGCAGAATGAGTTTTCCATAATCACTGTGTCTGCATTGGAGTTGGAGGAGAATATCTTACACAGAGCTCCCAAATCCCTTGCAATTTCCTGGGTGATCAACTATCTTTTGTTCTAATGAGGTTACCCTTAGTGGACATGATGCTAAGGCAGCATATAAATAAGTGAGGGCTCATGTGATGTGGGCTGTGTAAATGTGCCAAGATACTTCAGTGTGAGAAAAAAAGTCACATGTGATGGCATTAGTCTGTGGAAGCTTCGTGGAGAAAACTCTGGATAGGGACTTTGGAAGTGTAGTTTTTCTTGGCTGAGTAGGTCTCTTTCCTAGGAAATAATTCTGTCCCATTCCCTGCAGGTATCAAGTTTGGATTTTGATGAATAAAGTGTCTCTTCGTTTTAAAAATAGGGCACTGAATCGCCAAGGCAGTGGCATACAGGGTAGAACTTCGTGGCCATGGCCCACGTGGACTGTAATGGCTTCAGGCATTTGGTTTTGCTTCACACTTCAAAGAACTGAAAAGTGAAGGGGATTTATTTATTCATGAAAACCTGCCCCACACAACTGCTCTGTGTGCCTGGAATTCTTGTTGTGGGTGGGCAGGCTGATCTGGTGAGAACAGTAGTGGAAAGAGGAGAGGAACATTTCCTCCCTAGGATGGAAGTCCCATAGAGCACGCATTTGAGACTGCTGAGTTCATTGCCATATGCTAGCACATTAAACAGAGTGCGCCATAGAGTTGGGGCTCAAAAGTTTCTTTGTAAGGGAGTGAGATAATAATTGAGCTATGCCTTCTGCTCTTAATTTGGTGTTAGGCATACAAGCAGGGTAATCTAATGACAGAATGAACATAAAACAAGTGAGACTGATTCAACAGATGAGGCTGTGTTGAATGTATAGGTGGGCAGAGGTGAGAAGGAGCAACTGTCCATCTTGGAGTTCAGGAAGGTTTTGGACATGGTGTTGTACGAACTTGGTCTTTAAGTATGAATGGAGATATAAGTTGAATGGAAATATACCAGGTATTTCAGGACAAAGAGAACACAGGAGAACATGCCTAATTGTAGGAATGGCAGGGCAAAGGAGTACTGGAATTAAAAAACAAGGTGGGGGCCAGGTGCCCCCAGAGGCTCATGCCTGTAATCCCAGCACTTTGGGAGGCTGAGGTGGGTGGATCACTTGAGGTCAGGAGTTCAAGACCAGCCTGGCCAACATGGTGAAACTCCATCTCTACTAAAAATACAAAAACTAGCCAGGTGTGGTAGCGTGTGCCTGTAATCGCAGCTACTCAGGAGGCAGAGGCAGGAAAAATCACTTGAAATCAGGAGGCGGAGGTTACAGTGAGCTGAGATGGCACCACTGCACTGTAGCCTGGGCAACAGGGCAAGACTCCATCAAAACAAAACAAAACAAAAAACAAAACTAAACCAAGGTGGATTTGGGAAAGACTTATAAGCCCTCTGATTGAGCTCCTTTGTTGTTGACTTCTTGATCCTCTTTAATTCAGGAATCACAGTTAGATTTCTTAGAATCCTTCTTTGTGCTCCAAGTATCAAAGACCTTATGGGGCTCCCCAGCCATAATGGAAAAAGTAATTTCTTTAACAGGGGAGACACCAGAGCAAGAGCGGAGATGGGGGTACGAGGGGGTCCTCATTTATGCAGCTGGCCAGAGCTCCTCATCCAACCCGGGGCTTAGTGAGGTGACAGATGTGATGTTGGCCAATGTAGTCTTCCTTTTCTTTCTTTTTTTTTTTTTTTCTGAGGCAGAGTCTCGCTCTGTCACCCAGGCTGGAATGCAGTGGCGTGATCTCAGCTCACTGCAACCTCTGTCTCCTGGGTTCAAGCGATTCCCCAGCCTCAGCCTCCCAAGTAGCTGGGATTACAGGCATGTGCCACCACGCCGAGCTAATTTTTGTATTTTTTAGTAGAGACAGGGTTTCGCCATGTTGGCCAGGCTGGTCTCAAACTCTTGACCTCCCTTTTCTTTTTCCTTCCTTCCTTCCTTCCTTCCTTCCTTCCTTCCTTCCTTCCTTCCTTCCTTCTTTCTCTCTCTTTCTTTCTTTTTCTTGTTTAAAAATACATCTATATTTCCTCTAGCTTGTATATAAACTGACCTCTGCTTTAAGTATTAGCTATTTATTGAGGAACACGATGCATGGGCCAGACACTGTGCTAAGGGCTTCACCTGTAATACTCGGTATAGACTTCTTATAATATCCTATGGGTAAGATACTATTATTATCCCTACTCCTATTGTTTTGGGGCAGGCACCTTATCCATTTGTTTGCTGCTGTATTCCCCATGCCTCAAAAGGTGCCTGGCACTTACTAGGTGCTGGATTTTAAATGGATTAATCACATGCAGAGTAATTTGACCAAGTCATACTGGTTGTATATGGGAGTTGGAGATGAAGACTGTAGGGTTTCAAAGTCTGGACTCGTTACCCTGCACCATCTCTGCTTTCTGATGCCTAGTTAGAGAAAGAACGTCCTATCTGTTTTAGACTTGAGGACTTCTTTTTAATGACTTTTTCAGACTTGAGGACTCCTTTTTAAAGTTGTAGACTGTTCCACCTAGATCCTTCTGGTCATTCTCTACTTTGTTGTGGATAAAAATTTTATAATAAATTAGGTAATGTTTAAAAGTGGCTTTGTATTTTGTACATTTGCAACAATGTGTGTATTAACCTCTCCTAATTCCATCTACTGGCAAAGCTTGATTTGATGAGAATTGGGTCCCCTGCAGTAATGTGACTCTGAAGCTGACGGATTAGAGAGCTTGTGGTTCAGGCATGAACCTTGTCTCTTGGGTTGGACCTGAGTCTAGACTGACCCTAGAGTTGGAAATTTAGTAGCTTAACTGACAGAACTGACGTGAACAATTGCTGCTTTTTATTAAACAAGGGCAGTTCATCTCATTCGCAAACATTTTCTAAGACCTTGTGCACCAAATGGTGAGAAATAAGAAAGTTCCCTGCCCAGGGAGCTTATTGCCTGCTGGAGGAGATAAAACTTTTGGAAATGGGGTAGAATGTGGTAAGTGTTTTAATAGAAGCTGCAGGAGCTTAGCTGAGGGAGGAGATGACCTTTGGATGGTGTCCCACAGACATATCAGTGGTCTTTGGATCTAGAAGGACCCCACTGTTGTCTGCCTTGTTGCAATTGTAGCATGGGTGTTCTTGAAGGAAGCACAAAGGAAATGTCCACTGACAGAGTTGAAGATGACACTGGCCCAGTAGGTTTGCTATCCAATTTATGGAAGCAAGGCAAAAACATAGACAAAGCACAGGAGATAATGAAGGTGTGAAACATGTTCAAAATAATCAAGAACCCAAACAGATACCTCAAATTTCTTCCCACCCCATCTCCCAGGTAACCAAAATAGCTACCTGGTTTTTTACAACTTTTCATCACTTTAAATACACTTGGGATTCCCATTTCTGAGAAACAAAGACAGAGGAAGAGAGAATTGCAAAAGGCGTTAGTATGAATCTGTGGTTTGCGGACTGGTAATTAGGCCAGCAGGCTTTTTTGAACTACAGAGCAGTTTGTTAAAAATAATGTTAAAAAAAAAATACACCAAAATCAGGTTTCTCACCATAATGAGAAGGAAAGTTCCAGAGGTCAAACACTGGGCCTTTCTGCTTCTCATTTGAGATTTTTATGAGCCAGAAAGCTTCTTCATTAAACAGCAATTTCAACATTGCAGGACTGTATGTTTTTTGGGTTGTTACGCTTTCACAGAATTTTTGAATCATAGCCACACTTCAGAATGAAAATTCAAAGTCAAAATGCTTACATGGACTTAGGAGAAGTGCTATTCTCTGCCTTTCTACTGTAGTGGCTTTATTTTGTTTATGTACTTGTTTATTTATTTATTCCTGGAAGAAATCATCAGGCCTGCTCAGTCAGTAGTTCATCCCACCAGTTCAACTGGAAGGGATTTTTTAAACCCTTTCACCTTCACTCATAATTCATGTCTTATGAATTATGAATTCATGAATTATTGGTGCCTGCTTGGGTGATCAGTAAAAATAATTCATCAGCATTTTCTTCAAAAATTTTCACTCTTCTGGCATGTTGATAGTACCAGTCGGTGGTCTTTTCATTGTACCTTCTGGATCTTATTTTTTTTTTTTTTTTTTTTTTTTGTGACGGAGTCTCTCTCTTGTCCAGGCTGGAGTGAAGTGGCGCCATCTCGGCTCACTGCAGCCTCCGCCTCCCGGGTTCAAGCGATTCTTCCGAGTCAGCCTCCCAAGTAACTGGGATTACAGGCGTGCACCCTTAGGCCCAGCCAATTTTTGTATTTTTAGTAGAGACGGGGTTTCACCATGTTGGCCAGGCTGGTCTTGAACTCCCAACCTCAGGTGATCTGCCCGCCTTGGCCTCCCAAAGTGCTGGGATTACAGGCGTGAGCCACCGTGCCTGGCATTAATGTTGAAATAGAATAGAGGTTTAACCTTGGAATAAAAGAAAGAATCAGCAAATACATTATCTGAGCCTACATACACTTTGTAAAAAGTATACTTCCACTGTTCAGAATTAGATGATGGCACAAAACCTGTTGAGGTCTTCATTCATCCTTACAAATGTTTATTATGCTGAGTGTCCCAGGTGACTGGATACAGTGGAGTGAATTAGAAATTTGAAATTATTGCCCTGAGGGGACCTACATTCTTCTTGTTGGAGTGCGTCTGTGTGGGATAAGGTAGACAAATAATATAGGAAATTCAAAAAATTGTTTCAGACCATAGTAAGTTCTATGCCAGAAATGAATAGTCCATATGATAAGAGGAACAGACATTGTGAGATGTTGGATCTATAGGAAAAGAGGAACAGACGCCATGTTCAGGCCATGGTGCATGTACAAAAGACCTTTTTCTGAAATCAGTGCAGGCAGTGAGTGGCCAGGTGTATTAGGATCTTTTAGATGTAGTTTAATGAAGAGTTTATGGCTTAAAGTGAGACAGTATTACTTCAGAGCTCAGCTTCTCTCCTTGGATTTTCTCTCAGCAAATGGGAGAAGTAACGTCTGCCCTTCGGAGTTGTTACAAGGAGACAAGATAAACACAGGGTCCAAGTGCTTGGTAAATGGTAAGTGCTGTTATTAGAGTCAGGTGTTCTAGTCACAGGTCCTCAACAGATACAGCTTTGGCAGTAGGAGGTGCAGCTGACCTGAGCTGTTTTTAAATTAAAATTAAAGCCACCTAGGTTTCATTAGTCAGCTAGCAGAGAGGAGGTCTGGGGGACCATGCTTAACCAGAGTCAGATGCTTGGAGGTCATTGGACTCTACAGGGATTCTGCACAGTCACTGGGACAGAAGACGTGCTCCACAAATAGGCAAATATCCTTTGACTTCAATTGAATTTATATTTTATCCATTAAGGGAGCCAATTTACCTCCAGTGTTAGTTGTTATTTTAGTCATTTACCCACTGTTCAACGTTTTTGCCTTTTCATATATTTTGTGTTTTAAATGCCATTAGGATATCTACCCCCTTTCCCACTTTAAAACAAAATAATTTTGGAACTCAGAACTCAAATCCTTAATTTTGAACTTACTTTCACTTTTTAAAAAATCTTGGCCGGGTGCAGTGGCTCACGCCTATAATCCCAGCACTTTGGGAAGCCGAGGCAGGTGAATCACCTGTGGTCAGGAGTTCGAGACTACCCTGGCCAAGATGGTAATAATACAAAAAAATTAGCTGGGCATGGTGGCGCATGCCTGTAATCTCAGCTACTTGGGAGGCTGAGGCAGGATAGTCACTTGAACTCGGGAGGCGGAGGTTGCAGTGAGCCGAGATCATGCCATTGCACTGCAGTCTGGGCGACAAGAGTGAAACTCCATCTCAAAAAAAAAAAAAAAAAAAAACAAAAAACACTCTTGTTGATACAAAGAAAGATCTAGAATTAAAAACTTTACAGGAGGAAAGTGAAAAGGCTGGAACTAACTCACCCAAAATATTTAGCAAGTTAATCATAAATAAGATAATAGATTTTGAGTCTTTCGGTTTTCAGTGGAGAACTTTATATTTGATTTTGCCTAATGTGTGAAACTGTATAAAGCATACTCTATAGTATATGTTCCTGCTGCCTGGAAGCAGACACATCATCAAAGTGTGTGTGTGTGCAAGAGAAAACACATTAATTTCTCTTTCTCAGTTTGTCATAAGAGGGGAGTGCTATAAAGAATCTTCTGGCTGGGTGTGGTGGCTCAAACCTGTAATCCCAGAACTTTGGGAGACCAAGGCTGCAGTGAGCTGTGATTGCACCACTGCACTCCAGCCTGAATGACAGAGCAGGACCGTGTCTCAAAAAAAAAAAAAAAAGGAATCTTTTTACCTGCAAATTGTAAGGTACTCGAGGGCAGACATTGGCATTTTCAGATACATGTGACCCTGTGTGTTTGTGTGAATTTCTGTGCACACGTACATCCCCCTCCCACGCCTTGACATAATGCATACAGATAAATGTTGAGGTTCAGTGGCAGCTGTTTTGTTTCCCACAGACATTTTACTTAGATTATTCTGGAAAACATTCTGAAGAGAATCACAAGCATTGATCATAAAGTTAGAAGATGTGATGTTTAAGACAACATGGACATAGGAATTGAAATTTTCTTTCCCATTGTCTCTCGAGTGTTTTTGAGGCCAGTGTTTCTTACTCTTGCTTGAGTATACCTGGATAACAAAATCCAGTTTCTAAGATTTCTGCCCTAGAGATTCTGATGGATTTGGTGTGCTGCGTGCCCCTAGACCCTGGAGATTCTTAGGACAAAGCAAATTTGGGACACTGGGGAAGAAAAGAAAAAGAGAATAAGATAAAGTTCACCTGAAAGGATATTCCAGGAATGGGGAGCAGAGTTTGCAAGGTCATAGAGGCTCAAAAGAACAATGGAGAAAGGGCAGTAGATGGTGGGGGTAGGAAGAACAAAGCCTGGAAGGTGGTTAAGAGACACACAATGAAGGGCCTCCTGTTCAAGGCTAAAGGTTTCTACTCTATCATGGACCCAGTGCTGTGACCTTACTAAATGTGTACATTTTTTGTCTTTACTGATGATCACAGAAGTAACATTTTCTATTAAAAACGGAAACATTACTAGAATAAATGACCCCCAAAGGGAAATTCTCCCATAATTCTACTCTGCTCAACTCAATTGAAATTACTATCCTCAAGGGTTTGTGACTAAACTGGAATTACTATTGTAAAGCAGTGGATAAGATGGAATGAGAAGCTCAGTCCTATAGATAAGTTATCATGCGATTTACTATCCCAGGCAAGAGATCAGTGGGGCTTTGAATAAGGCCTAGGAGGAGACCGAAAAGGGGCGGCCACTGAGAGATATGGAGACTATAGAACAGGTCAGACTGTGGTAAAGGGAAGGCGATAGGGGGATTCTAAGGGGCTCTGAGGTTTCTGGAATGGCTAACAGCCTGAATACTGGTGTCATTAAGCATGTAGGAATACGGTGGGAAGATCATATGGTTAAGGACATGTCAACTTTGAGGTACCCAGGGGGATATCTGTGTGAAGATGTCTGTAAGGCTGCTGGAAATTTAAAAGTGGAATCTAGGAGTGAGTTGGAATTTAGGAATATAGATTTGGAAACCACAGATACATGAAAAAAAAAAAAAAAGACTGAGATACAGAGAAAGGGAGGCAAGAAACAGAATAGTAAAATGGGTCATTACTGCCTAAGTGTTTTTGTTTGTGAAGCTTAATGAGCTAAGGGCTCATTCTTAGGTTACAGTAGTGGAAGAGAGATGAGTAAATTATCTCTGCAGGTCAAAGAGGTTATAGAATCTGTTCTCATATGAATTAATCAAATTTAACTTCTCATGTTGAAAAGTAGACAACTCATAAAGGAGCTATCATGTAAACCTTTTTTTAACTTGGAAGAAGTCCAAATACAGAATACTTACAGATTGAAGAAAAATGTTCAGTTTAGATTTCAAGTGTGGTCATTTCCATAGCTATGTGGTGAAAGAAATTGTGTTTCCGAAAATCGTGTTTCCGAAGAGGCTATGTTTTTAAAGGTGCCACTGGGAAACTATGACTATTATGAGTTTTGCAGTTTTGACATTGGATGGGGTGTGTGTGTGTGTGTGTGTTTGAATTGAGTTATAGAACTTACATGTAAAATTATTCATCTGACTTCCGGGGAAAAGTCTGTTTTTTTTGAAATACCTTTTTTTTTCTATTTATTCCTTTAATTATTATACATTAGAAAGAAATGACAAGGATTGCATCCTAGTTTTAAAATGCTGAACTTTTAAAAAGGCAATTTTATTTTTAAGACTTTAAATAACTCTTATTAGTAATTGGATTTGTGGCAGATTCCAAGAGGGTGGTTTTGGAAAGCACAGTGGCTTCCGGTGGCTTCAGACCTTGGTTTGGAATTGCAGGCCTACCGCACACCGACTCTGGAGAGTGACTTGGAGCCTCCAAATTCCAAGCTTCCTGTGTGCGAGTGAGGCTAGCAAACCACATTGAGTAGGACAGCCTGAGGGTTAAGTTACACCATGGATGAAAAGCTGATGCATGGTTCTAACTTGCCCGGGCTTGATATTCAAAAAATGTCTATTCCTTTTCCATTTTCTCTCTTTTCCAAAAATCCTCTTGCTCTGTTTCTGTTAAGACCCTTTTGCAACACTCTGTTTTAACATGGTGCTTAATATATTGTCAGAAACCACATTTTCCAGTGCATATGGTGCAGTTTTTAATTTCTAATTTAGCTTTTTAATTAAAAACTCACCTTTTGCTCCTAATACCTATAGGGGTTGGTTTCCAATTCTGCTTTTCTGGTGGTAACTGAATCTCTGTTCTCCCAGTGATGAGTGTAACCCTCTGTGTACAAGTAGGAACATCATGACTGCCATGCTTGGGCCATTGGTATAATTATTTCTGCTACCTCTGAAGACTGTGGTGAGGGTAGAATCAGAGTGGTCCCTAGCCATCGTCCCCCTTTTGAATTGGTAGTCATCTTGAATGTCACAGCAGCCTAGACTTGTAGACCATATCAGGAAAGTAGAAGCAAGAATTCTGTCGTGTGCTACTCCACTCCAAGATGCTGTAGGTCATCAGAAGCTCTGTGACTTCAGATGTGCAAGTGAGGCCAAGGCACTGTCACATTAATATCTGTGTGATCTCGGTGGCATTGTGCTTTTCCATCATTGTCAGGGCTGCTGGGCTCTCTGTGCCTAAAAGCTGCTTCAAACAAGCAGCTCACATTCCAGAGCTCTGAGAGATGTTGTCAGCCTTTAACAGTTTTCTCTTCGAGAAGACATTAGATTCTGTACAGGTTGCAGAAACGTTGTCTTAAGGTGGCTGGAAGGAAGTGTTTGAAATAACACATGTGCTTGTGATTTTGGTAACCAAGGAAACATGTACCTGATACAAAGCTTCCTTTAAAAAATGATGGTACCCTTCTGGGATTGCCTCAGAATCACCCACAGCAAGATTCCAAAGGGATTTAAAATTAAAGTAGGTCACTTCCAGCAACTGTATCAAGAGTTAACAGAGAATCACCTCTTTAAAAATGAAGAATCATCTCTTTAAAAATGTACTGTTTAGAAGAGGAACCCAATACATTGTGGATACAATATGCTACCATCTGAATAATCTGAGTCTTGCTTATAATGGATGTTTAATAAGTCTTACCTGGATTAAATTTTCCTCTGCTTCTGCCTTATTATTTGTATTATTTTTATTCTTAGTTTGCCTTCTATTCCAAATTAATCCTTAGCTTCTCGCCATCTCTTTTCTAACAGTTTGTTATTAAAATTATATAGTGATGGTTAATGCAGCCACTACCTGTACTTTGCAAACAGATTTTGCTAATACATCCATGATATGTAGAATGATAGAAACTGGAGTTGACTTAGAAGATAATCATATCCAAACTTTTCATTCAATAAATGAGAAACTGTTGCTGGGTGTGATGGCTCACACCTGTAATCCCAGCACTTTCAGAGGCCGAAGCAGAAGGATTGCTTGAGCCCAGGAGTTGGAGACCAATCAGGGCAACACAGTGAGACCCCTCGTCTCTACAAAAACCAAAAAATTAGCCAGGTGTGGTGGTGCACACCTGTAGTTCCAGCTAATTGAGAGGCTGGGTTGGGTGGATTGCTTGAGCCCAGGAGGTCAAGGCTACAGTGAACTATGATCATGCCACTGCACTCCAGCTTGGGCAACAGAGTAAGACCCTGTCTCGAATGAATGAATGCATGAATGAATAAGAAACTGAATCTTTAGGAATAGTTACTTAGAGTCCTAGAAGTCTGACTTAAGTCTGACTTAAATCTTAAGTAAGTTAAGAGTCTGGCTTAAATCTGAACACAGTATGTACATTTTAGTAATGTTCTGGACACAGAGACCTGAGCCTTGGTACAGATTGTGTGGTATTATTACCAACACCGTTTTAACATTTATGTTACAAAAGACTTCTGCATGTTGGACAACAGGAAAGAAATACAGTACTTAACTCACAAACAACAAAAGGATTAGGACAGTCCTTCTGAAAGCAGGGGTCTCAACATCAAATGTGACAACAGCCATACAGGCTTTACAAATATGTAGACTGGCCTAGTATAAGAGAACAGGGAGTGGGCACATATTTAGCGCATTGCAATGGGCATAAATACCTGAAGTTACTTGACCCGTGGAAGAGCCCTTGACAGCCAGATAGGCAGCAACCCCTTTCCTAGTCTTTGTTGTCATACACTGTAAACTGAAATTGTGCTGCATTTTTTTAAGTGGTACATTTCATAAGAGGTTGAAGTGAAAAGAATGTACCTAGAATTTTCACCTGGGAGAAAATTTTATTCCTGATTCTTGGTTATCTATAAAATTATATACCTGGGGATAAAAATTTCAGTTTAGCTTAAAACTTAAATTGTTGGCCAGGCGCAGTGGCTCACGTCTGTAATCCCAGCATTTTGGGAGGCTGAGGCGGGCAGATCACCTGAGGTCGGGAGTTCGAGACCAGCCTGACCAACGTGGAGAAACCTCGTCCCTACTAAAAATACAAAATTAGCTGGGCGTGGTGGCACATGTCTGTAATCCCAGCTACTCAGGAGGCTGAGGCAGATGAATTGCCTGAACCTGGGAGGCGGAGGATGCAGTCAGCCGAGATCCTGCCATTGCACTCCAGCCTGGGCAACGAGAGCGAAACTCTGTCTCAAAAAAAAAAAAAAAAAAAGTTGTTACCCTCTGTGAAAGACACTGTGAAGCTTTGATGGTATTTTAAAGACACTAGATTATATTAGAGAGTCATGAAAATTAGCACAGACCCTGAAAAAAATCTTTATTGTTCTAAAACAGTGGTTCTCAAATGCCTCGGAATCCCCTGGGGGACTCTGTGGAGCACAGATTGCTGGACCTCACTCTAAAATTTCTGATTCACCACGTCTAGGAGGGGACCTGATAATTTGCATTTCTAACAAGTTCCCGGGAGTTGCTCCTGCTGTTTCTGCTCCGGGGACTACAGATTGAGGGTCACTGCATTAAAAGAAACCCAAGTTAATTTAATACAAGTATTGCATTTATTAGGTCGGTGCAAAAGTCATCGCGGTTTTGGCCATTGAGTAATGGCCAAAACCGCGATGACTTTTGCACCAACCTTAACGACTTGGCATTTTTATTTTATTCTCAACCCAATTGCTCAGCCAGTCACTGCAAGGGTGTGGCACTTCAGATAGCACATTATATAATCAGTGGTTTGCTGGTAAATGCTTGACAATTGGCTTTAGGGTTGAGGAGCAGCCTTGATTTGCAGTGTTGCCAGTTTCTGTGATATAAACAGTCTCATCGTAGCCAATTAAAAGCTGTCAATCTGACATTGGCTTGTAAAATTCCTGAAAATTTAACAGTTATCTTCAGTACACCACTGAGTCATAAGGAGGCGTTAAAGGTCAGGTTGAAATTTAATCTCAGGTTGAATGGACCCTTACTATCTCTTTAAGGGGCAGGTATGGAGGGAGATGAAAAATAAGCCCTTGTTTACTTCTCGGGGATAGGACAGAGATGTGTGTCTTCAAGGGGAAGGAGACACTATAGTTCAAAAGTCAAAGCCTGGCTGCTCACAGAGGGTTTTATTGGCTCAAAAGCCTTTTAACTTTAAATTAGTCACTGACTTTAAGTAAGATTTTTCCCTTGAAAAAAATATTTGAATTTTTTTTTTTTTGAGATGGAACCTCACTCTGTCACCCCAGCTAGAGTACAATGACTCGATCTCAGCTCACTGCAACCTCCGCCTTGCAGGTTCAAGCAATTCCCCTGCTTCAGCCTCCCTAGTGGCTGGGATTACAGGTGCGGGCCACCACGCCTGGCTAATTTTTGTAGTTGTAGTAGAGACGGGGTTTCGCTGTGTTGGCCAGGCTGGTCTCAAACAAACTCCTGACCTCTGGTGATCCGCCCACCTCGGCCTCCTAAAGTGCTGAGATTACAGGTGTGAGTCACCTTGCCGGCCAAAATATTAGGATTTGTATATTTTATTGAATGGAAAATCAGAAATTGCAGCAACTCCGGCCCAGATTCTTACTCAATGGCACTTAGCTGGAGCCGAGGAGCAGCTGTTCCCCCCACACCCCATCTGTACTTTGTTTAGACTGGACAGGCTGTTTCTAGACCATCCACTCCCAGGCTCTCAACTAGGGTACACATGGGACCTGCTTCATCATTGATACTCATGCCTTCAAGAATTTGTATGCTCCTTCTTAGATGCATGTTTCAGAAGGGGGAAGGGAAGAATTTGATCACCTTAAAAGGACCTTTAGAAACGTAAGAGTGAAAGTGAACCAAGTATCCCTTTTTGTTTCTTCTTCAGTGTTTTCACTCCTCCTCCTCTTTCCTTTGGAAGGGGAAAAGCAGGAAAGAGGAATTACATTTTCTAGAAACAGAAGCCAAGACCTCAAGAAGCCTCTAACTGGCCAGGCACGGTGGTTCATGCCTGTAATCCCAGCACTTTGGGAGGCTGAGGCGGGTAGATCATTTGAGGTCAGTAGTTCGAGACCAGCCTGACCAACATGGTGAAACCCCATCTCTACTAAGTACAAAAAAATTAGCTGGGCGTGGTGGCACATCCCTGTAATCCCAGCTATTCGGGAGGCTAAGCCAGGAGAATCACTTGAACCCAGGAGGTGGTGGTTGCAGTGAGCTGAGATTGTGCCACTGGACTCCAGCCTGGGCAACAGAGTGAAACTCCATTTAAAAAACAAACAAACAAAAAAAACCCTCTAATTTCTCTTTCTAAACTGTAGACCTGGTATCTAGATGAGTTTATTCCTGATAAAAGCATACATGCTCCTAGGAGGTTTAATTACTATTTATATGGTGTACGCACTTTTCTTTTCAGAATACTGTTATTTATTTGTCACTTCAGTGTTTCTTTTCCCATTGCTCTTCTCTCAGCCTCTTGTGTCAGCCCTGCCCAGGCTGGCTTTTATATCCTTAGCCTTTTTTTTTTTTTCTAAGTATGGGAAAACATAGTTTAGAAGTAATCCCTTCTCACAAAATCACCTCTCTCAACCACTCTGTGGTTATTTTATTTGAGGGTGGTGGAAAGAGGGAGATGTTTGTAGAGCCTCAGAGAGAAAAGCACGGTTTTAAATCTAATCATTATCAGAGTGAGAGCTAAATACTTTTGCAACCTTCATGAGAGATATCCCTGGGAATTTTCTGGATAAATATCATTCTCAAGTTTTGGCAGTGTGCAGAATTTAGGCCACCCACATTGTATGGGGCATAAAACTGTTTAGTGAAGTTCAAATAATGTGTTGCAAGAGTTTGGTTGAACTTGTAATTTAACCTTGAGGAAAGCAAATACTTGTGGGAAAATATTTGTGCTCAAAATCAATAAGGAATGTGCAAGTAGGATGCCCTCACTCTGAGAGCTGTAGTTTGCAGCTGAAGCTAGTACAAAGTGGCATTTGTCAGTAGTAAGTAAAACGAGCAAAGTGGATGGGTGGCAAGACTTTGACATTATTGGCCTATCACATTCAGATCAAGTTCATCTGCAGATGAATAGTCACTAAGATTTGTTAAGTGTTTACTTTGTGCCACATAGTACAACACAGAACTTTAGCACTATAAGACCCTGACCTGTGAGATGGGGAAATTGACTCTTGGAGAAGTTAGTTACTTTGTGGTGGTCTCATAGCTCAAAGGGGGCTATAATTTAGTCTCAGATCTACCTGACCTCACATTTCAGATAACTTATTATCTGTGCATGCCATGGCCCTTAAAAGAGGATTACTTGTAACTTTTTATTTATTAATTTATTTAATAAAGAGATGAGGTCTCACTGTCACCCAGGCTGGAGTGCGGTAGCATGGTGCCTCATTGCAGCCTTGAACTCCTGGGCTCAAGTGATTCTCCCACCTCAGCCTCCCAATTAGCTAGGACTACAGGTGCACACCGCTATGTCTGGCTATTTTTATTTTTTGTAGAGACTGGGTCTTACTATGTTGCACATGCTGGTCTTGAACTCCTGGCTTCAAGCGATCCTCCCGCCACGGCCTCCCAAAGTGCTGGGATTACAAGCATGAGCCTGGCACATTATTTTTTATATTCATCAATGTTGAATCTACAAATGTATCTCTGTACAACTGTCTTATTTTAAACTCCTAATCTAGGTACATGTAGTCCTTTGTATATTGCCTAGAACATACTGCCTAACTAGACAATCATATATTTTGATTTTAATGTATATTGATATATATTTATGGTGAATATATCTTACAGTATTATTCATTGCTTTATGGCTAATTTATTTATTTTTTTTCTTTGAGATGGAATTTCGCTCTTGTTGCTCAGGCTGGAGTGCAATGGCGCGATCTTGGCTCAGTGCAGCTTCTGCCTCCCAGGTTCAAGCGATTCTCCTACCTCAGCCTTCCGAGTAGCTGGGATTATAGGCATGCACCACCACACCCGGCTAATTTTGTATTTTTAGTAGAGACGGGGTTGTTGGTCAGGCTGGTCTCTAACTCCTGACATCAGGTGCTCCTTCCGCCTCAGCCTCCCAAAGTGCTGGGATTACAGGCATGAGCCACCACGCCCGGCTGGCTTACTTTTTTTTTATTTTATTTTTTCCTTTTTATAATTGACTCATTTGTCAACTACTCATATATAAATATAATATATATGTTAGTCATATGTATATAATTTATATACACTAGTGTCATATGTATATCTATATATGTATATCTTATTTCATTTGGAAAAATTAGAAACTACCAGGCTATCAGACACCCACCTAAATAAAACAGGAAGATTCTTATATTCTATAAAAAACACAGCATCTGGTGAATGGAACATGTTGGAATTTCTATCAAGAATTCTTTTATGCATCAATTTTCTAGAGGTATCTGGTGTTTTTCCAATTAACCTGGAAATATGTTTTGGAAAGAATTTATTTTTCCTAGAGGCCAGATGCGTCCTTGCCCTTTCCCCAACATGGCCCTTGGCCACCAGTGGAGTGTTGGGAGCTCTGGGAAGAGAGCGGCTGCCGCAGACGTCCAGGCATGGGCACTTTCGCCATCTGTCCCGTGTTGTAGGTTTTCATTGCTTTAGTTGTTATCCTCAACACAAGGGCCTTTAGGGGCTGGGACCACAACTCTGCCTCCTATTCTCCCATTACAGCTGCATAATTAGTTGTAAAACTTTTACTTGTAGGTGAAAACTCATTTTGGCAACCATTAATTCCCACTGTAATTCATTTAGTAACTGCAGTACTTCTATTAATGGGAAAGTAAGGTCAAGCATCAAGCAGCATGACTAATATGTGTTGATAATTGCATATTGTTGATAACTGTAAACTCTGAGATTGCACTAATAAAAGGTAATAATTCCCAAGGCAACCAGGAAGGGAACTGGGGAGCGGCTGCAAATTTAGCCTTTGCCATTTTGCCAGTTGTTTAGCGTCATTTACGTTGGTGGGAATTCTAGTGCTCATAATGCACTGGAAGATTTTTTTCTGGACTACGTAAGAGTAATTGGAGATTGATAATGTGTCGATATGGGGGCATGGGAAGTGACTGATGCTGGGGCAGATGGTTTCTCTAGACAATTGCTAAGAGGGTGTGCAAGAAAGTTGCAGCTTAGCACAAGCTTGTGTGGTCAAAAAGTAATCTGCTTGCTCTTTGGACCCACATTTTATGTAAGCTGATACTGAGAGCAAGCACTTGTAGAGAGAGGGAGGTGTGAAGATAGTCCAAAGACTTGAGCTAGAGTCTGGCTCTGCCATTTAGGGGAATGCCCTTGAGCCAGATCTGTTAAATTCATTGAGCCTCAGTTTCTTCCACCCTTGTAGAATGTAGTTATTCTTGTAAAGCTGTTGATAGCATTAAATGCGATTGTGTGTGTGTGTGTGTGTGTGTGTGTGTGTGTGTGTGTGTGAAAGAAACTGATTTGGAAACTCGAAAACCCCTCTATAAACAGGAACCTGGAAGTCTGTTTGTCCTTTCTTAATTTTCTGATGATACAAATAGATATATCATTGTAAAACTATTCTGTGTACTTGAGTTTCTTTCAAAACACTAACCCTGAGTAGTGCTTGCAATTTCTCTAAAAAGTAAATTATCACAGAAAGTCAGTTTATGACCCATTTTCTGGGGCTAGAACTACCTTTCTTTTTGGGGATGGGGTCTCACTGTGTTGCCCAGGCTGGGCTCAAACTCCTAGGCTCAGGCAATCCTCCTGCCTCAGGCTCCAAAGTAACTGAGACTACAGGCACATGCCACTGAGCCCAGCTGGAAGTACCATTTTTGGTAACTCAGATTCCTATAGCTGTGCATGGGGTCATTACCTTGGACAATCTGATGCCTGAGAAGACTCTGTTTTGTGTTTCCAAATGGACCATCTTATGGACCATCTTTGCTTGGAAAAGGCACTGTCCAGAATGTGTGGCTAATGGATTGTTGAAGGAGCTGGACATGGCCCAGGCAGTCCGGTGAATCAGTGACTGATGGTTGTTTGTAGTAGCTAATGCTGTTCCCTCCCCCCAAAGATAAAAGAACCAAAAAACCATCAAGTGGCTTGATTTGACTATAGCAGCATTTGTGACAGAACTGGGAACCAAATGAAAATCAACTTAGTACTACTCTTCAAGAGATTTTTTTTTTCTCCAGAGGCTTAGCGTAGGTCATACCCCAGATGTTGATGATGAATATATTGATTGCTATCTCAGGGCGAAATCTCAAAAGTTTGTGTTGCCCTTTTAGGAATTTCACAGTTTATATTGACCTATAACCAAGAGGCAGGTTCATTATGTTTAATTGCATTAAAAGATAAAAGAAGTAGAGAAATTGAAAGGAAAAAGAGCCCAGAGATTGTTACCTTTTTATCAAGCAACAGCATGCCACAAACTTTGCATAAATAAAAAATAATAACCTGAGCCTTTCATCTTGGGAATCTAATGAAATAAATGTGTGCTGTTTTCCCCATTAGCCCTCACCTTAGCCAGCCCTTACATTGTGGACAGAGGAGTGATGTCATTATTTGTGAGCTAGATGACTGGCTCAGTAGGTGCCGTGTGGTTCCTAAGAAGATTGTAGGTCTTGCCATTGCGTCTTGTGTCTCTTGCTGTACAGGTGGAAACATCTGTGTGTTTTCATTATGGTGACCGCTGGGTAACTGGTCGCCAACCTCTGTAACTGAAGAAACAGCCCTCACAATAGAGTACACTCTTTTCCCATCCAGAGTGTGGCAGTCCTTTTCTGCGTGAGCCTTTGTCTGCATTTTTACCTCTTGCAAACCCTCCTCCAGCCAGAGATTGATATGCCTGGATGATTTATGGCAGTGATTGTCAGAAACTTTTGAAGCCCATCCAATTTCAGGATTCGGGTTCTCATTTCTTGTCATTTATGGCACATTTGATGAATTCTCACTATCAGCTGACATGTTTCATAATTGTCAAAACTTTGATTGAAGTGGTATTTTTGAAAAAAAAAATTATGGAAGAGAAAAAAAGGAAACAAGACTCCTTCATCACATTTTTTTCTCCTGTGCCTAAAACCGCTTTGCCGGAGGTTCACAGCCCCATCATTTAGCCTCTCAGCTACTTGCTGGCCTGGCAAGTCAGTCTCCTCACTCTCCTTTTACAGTCTTGTGCCTGCATTTACTGGGGCTTTTCTTTTGCTTGTTTGGGCCTTTTTTAGTCCAGATGATAAAAGCTTTCGAAAGTAGCCCTTTGGAGAAAGTTTCTAAGCTTTCCCTTCAGCTGTCTTTCAAGGTATATCCGGTGGGGCATGAATAGATAATAATAGCAAGCTCTTCTCTCATTTTGTTATCTTGACCTAGTGCGGTTTGTTTTGTTTTTGTTTTTATTCCATGAGCCAACATTCTTTGGCTGGAATGTTGGCTCTCCAGGTCTTTGGCTGAGGTCAAAACTTAGAAGTCTGCTCCTGTACTTTGGAGTTCTCCTCCTCATGGTGAAGCCCACAGCGGTGAGCCAGGAGTGGATCTGGTTCCTTCATCTGTAGAGTTTTGTTTTTGTTTCTTTACCTACCTTAGTCCTGTGTCTCTTTCTAGGTCAGAGAAAACTTCTTATAGCAAATGACTCCTGTCCCTTCCCACTCTGACCCCCAGTACAGTGACAGGGAATTCCTGCTTCTCCTAGCTTGTCCTTTCTCAGTTTCTTTCCTCAGAAGCAACCACTATCTGCAGTGCCTTTTGTCTCTTTCTAGATATACTTCATGCATAGATAAGGATTCATACATACACGTACATAGAAACACACATATAAACACAGACATGCGAATATCAAGATATAGTTTGAAATCATAATTCTGAACTTTCACTCTAGTGTTTAAAACACATCAATATTTAATATCTCACTGCTGCTAGTTGGATGAAAGATGACCATTTTATCATGCTCTACAAGGATCATGCCTCCTGTGATCTGATTTCCCTCCAACTCTCCAGCCTCATCCAGCACTTTTCTCCTCTTTCTCAGACCTCTAGGCCCACTTCCTGTTCTTCTGTTAATTCCTCAAACAAGCCTTCCCTTGTTTCTTATATTAGCTGTCACTCTGTTACATTCTGTAGTTTCTTGACTGTTCATTTAGGGCATTTAGCACAGTTTGTAAGTTCCATATTTGTGTGATTATTTAAATAGCATCTTTCTGCCTCTACTGAACTGCAAGTTCCAAGAAGACAGAAATGAAGCTGTTTTTTTTTTTCTTTTTTTTAAAGCTGTTTTATCCCTAGAGTCTGTGCATTACCTGGAATATAATAGGATCTCCGTAGATCATAGTTGAATGAATGAAAAACAAATGGCTGGCTGGCTGGATGAATGAATGTATGATGTAGAAACTTCCTTTGGGTAGGGAGGAAATGCTACCTTTTGGAAAACAGTTGTGTTTTAGTATCCAAACACATGTTTTCTCTGTAGACCTTAGGTATTTTCTTTTTGTTGTTTCTAACCATTTTCTAAGAAGTCAGTTATTCTAGAAAGGCTGATCATAGGCACCGTCAAGGAAAATCTTGGCAGTTATTAAGGGTATTAGCTTACAGGGTTTACATTTTCTCACCTTCCTTGATCTCTTTTGTTTCTACCGTGGTTTATTTTTTGAAACATAAGTAGTCCCTGTTTTTCTTCTAAGATTTCTCCCACATTTTCATGGCTTAATGGGGCATCCAGGAGATAATAAGTGGTGGATGGGAGATAGGGGGAAGGAGAAAGTGAGCAATGTCCACTCTAGACTTACAGTCCTCTGAAGGCAAGATTAGGGTCCCACATCTTTGTATTCCCAGCATGTGGCACAAGGTAGGAACTTCACATGCAGTGTGGAGCCACAATGTGAGGGTGAACAAATATGCAGGAAGAAAGGAAGAAATGGCATTGCTAATTCTGGAACTGGCATTATCGTTAATGAGCGGCTCTGTATCTGTGCTCAAGTCTTGCTTCTAATAAGCTGCTGGGGATATGTATTACCTGCTGTTGCAGCTGCTATTTCTTTCAAATTTACTATTGCTTTTTCCCTTTTTAGTTTCTTCATCTACCTCTTTAGTGTTAATCTTTGTGTCTAAAAAAAGAAAACATAGAGTTTGGAGCAAGGACAGAAAGATTAATTTCTACGTACAGCTCTGCATCTGGACGTGGTCCTCATTTATTTTTGAAGGCTGAGGGTTTAGTTTATGATGACTACATTTTCCTAGTAGCCTGAGAGCCTGCTAGGAAGGCTGTCAGTTTATATTTCTATTGGTCCACTTCTTGCACTTAAAATGGCTCAGAGAGTGAAGCCATTCCTATTTTAAAGCTCCCCTTCTGCTGACAGCTTTCTTCTTAGCCAAAGCCAGGAAGAAGTATTTGCTATTACCCATTGTTTTAGATGTGCTAACACCATGCTAATTGCCAATAGTCAGGAATGGTCTTTCTTAATAACAATTCCTGAGTTATTTATAATTAACCCATTGTTTATATCCTAGTAATGTTATTGTATTTGAAGTGATTGAAAATAGCTTAATCTGTCTTAAGTGAATAATTTCTCCTTGTTTACCTTATTCCCAGCAAACTTCCTTTTTCCTGATAATACAAAAGTAAACTTTATTCTATTTCATCCTAAGTGATGAAACTATTTTGCCCATTTATGAAACATTTTGAATACTTACAATTGGTTATTTTCCAGGAAATATTGGGACCTTGCCTTGAAATTTAGTATGGTTTATGACTTGGTTTATGACACCAGACAGAAGCTACAGATATGAATCCTCTAACCACCTGTTCCTATTTTCCTACCCTTCATTAATTTGACTTTTGACTTTTGATAAAGTTATCACATATTAAAATATACGTGGGTGCTAAGCCTTATACTGTGAATGTTCCAGGGTTCAAATATTTTATTTTTACTGCCTTCCCCAGGCATTACCTCCATAAATGATAGAACATACTTTCTTTTTGTCATGAGAAGTAATTGGTTGTTTCTTTTAACCTGTCTCGTTGCATTCCAGAAAAATAATAAATCTTTAAAATTATTAAAATAATGAGCAACAGTTATAGACATTGTTGGGTTAACCTTGGGAGTCCAAAGCTGATCCTAAGAGGAATTAATAATATATCTTTTTTTTTTTTGGGCCAGGCGTGGTGGCTCATGCCTGTAATCCCAGCACTTTGG
This sequence comes from Homo sapiens, assembly GCF_000001405.40. NCBI lineage: Eukaryota > Metazoa > Chordata > Mammalia > Primates > Hominidae > Homo > Homo sapiens. The sequence goes on along the minus strand of NC_000008.11, from coordinate 118,022,595 downwards.
GAGTCCGAGGCAGGTGGATCACCTGAGGTCAGGAGTTCGAGACCAGCCTGACCAACATGGTGAAACCCTGTTTCTACTAAAAATACAAAAATTAGCTGGGCGTGGTGGCATGCGCCTATAATCCCAGCTACTCAGGGGGCTGAGGCAGGAGAATCGCTTGAACCTGGGAGGTGGAGGTTGCAGTGAGCCGAGATCGTGCCACTGCACTCCAGCCTGGGTGACAGAGCAAGACTCCATCTCAAAAAAAAAAAAAAAAAAAAAAAAAAAAAGAATATATATGCGCCCGGCCAAGTATATCTTTTTTTAATATATTGCCTCCCCCTGCATTAATTTTTTTCTTGCTTTCCCAGTTATATATGCATATATATAAACTTCACAGATACCAAATAGGTTATTGCTCATAGGTAATATAATTTGTACCTGATGTAAAGGCTGCAACTGAGGTTTCACTGATGGTTGGTTTACCTGGAATTTTGTGAGTTGGAAGGCTTACTGAAATGAAGGAAAATGCTTATGTATGACCCAGCTCTCTCTCTACGCATTGACCAAAATAGGTTGATCAGGGCAACAGAAATGATTAATAGGATAGTGCAGATTTGGATAAAGAGCAAAAAGATTAGGATTTGAAAGTTGGAGGATGAAGGGAGTCATGTAGGATATAGTCAGGTGGAATTCGGACTTGCTCACAAAATCCCAGAATACTGTAACAAAAGGGCACTTCTTTATGCTAGAAGGAGATAATTTCACTTTAAATAAAGGGAAATGGAATGTCTTTGCCCAGAGGATAACAAGCAAATAGAACTCATTTTCCCGAAGAACCTGTGTAGTCTGGGGTGTCAGGGATGTGTGTTCAAGAAAAATTTAGGCAAAACCCAATGATAGCTTCTCAAGGGTAAGTTTCAAACATTCAGACAATATCCCTAACCCTTGAGTGAACCATCACACAGGGAAACGATTCTGTTGTACAGAATATGTTTTGATGCCACTGTCAGACATAAAGTCTGGTGGGAACTGGACTTCTACTCTGACCCAGGGTGACAATTTTTATGTTTTTAAAATCGGCCGTCTTCCAGAAGTGTTCATTTTACAGTGCTTATATCTCAGTACCTGAACTTCTGCAGAAGAGTTTTATTTGAGTCATAAATTTCTAATGTCAAAACCTCCCTGACAATTATTAGCCAAATGTTTAGCCCAAAAGAGAGATTAAAAACATATATCTTGTAACCTAGCTACCCAATGAGTTAACCCAGAGAGAATTTTCATGTTGGAAGTAGTTTCATAAGACTTTGGGGAGAGATACCTGCAGATCTGACATATTAGTGGTCAGAACAAAAACCTTTGTAATACATGATCAACTGTCTGCCATATGAAAAGCGTATTCATAGAAGCAACTCAAAGTGCACAGTTAGGCAGTCCTTACCAATTAAAGCCTCCCTCTTTTAAAAATTTTTTAAATAAGAGTTCATATTTGCACAATAAATGATTTATTGAGAAATTTTAATGTGTAAGCTTCCCACTGACTCTAACTGAAATTAGAAAGCTTTGAAATGAACTCATAAATATTGTTCTTACATACAAAATACACTGGAAGCTGTAAAATGTAAAGCAGTTTATCATTGAAAAGCTAAGCTACATTAAAGAATGTAGATTTGGTTTAACTCTATCTTCCCCACGTGATGCCGAAGAATTTGCGAAGTACTTTTTATGTGTTTTGTTTTATTTGATCTGTGTAACTACCCATTAAAGTTAGAAGGAGGGTGGGTATTACTGTCTTGGTTTTATAGCCAAGGTTGCTATGGTCAAAGAAGGCTAAGTGACTTGCTGGAAGGTCACTGATACAGCAGAGTGAGGGCTGAAGAACACACATACTCTGTGACTCTGAGATCTCCTCTCCTTCATCCGTGCTAACCCATAATGTAATACTATTCGATCAGGCACAGTCCTGAAATAACCTCAGAGTGCTTAATGCTGAAGGGCATATTCTGTGTTTTAATCAAAGAAGACTATGACAGCAAGAATTAGCTGCACCAGCCCCTTTGTCAAATGTTGGTTAGCTGAATATTTGAAAAAGCTCAATATTTGTGTCTTTGATCAGATAATGCACTAAACATTGATTTATAGAGGATTATCATAGCATCTATAACGTGTTTTAAATAACACAATTAAAATAGTTATGATTTTACATAATAGGACAAGATCGTAATGTAGTGCAACCACTGAAAGTGAAGGTATGTAAAGACCAGAGTCTTTTCCCTAGACTACTAGAATTAGTAGTTCCTTCTAATTCTAGCAAGGCTGAAAACTTGTAAATAGACTCTTTAGTAGTGTTAGAGTGAACTGTTTACATTTTATGTGTCTGTAGGAACTGAGGCCAGATGGGTCGATTGCATCCTCTAGTAATTTCCAAATGAAGTTTTATTAAAATCCTTTCCAGACAAGCATTTTTATAAGAATGACTAATAAAACCCCAAACACAAATTTTAGGTTCTCTTATTTTATAAAAACATGCAAGTTGCTTCTGAAGTTATTGGAAGACCAGTAAAATAATAAATCAGTAAAGATGGAAGAAGAGCAGAGACTTTGAGCAACCCCAAAATAACCAGGGGTGAGCAACATTGCTGGGCATCTTTTGCACATTGAACTGCTCAGGGCTCTGAAACATGAGACTATGAAAGAAGCATTCCTCATGCAATGGGTTTATTGCTTGGTTATTTCACCAAGCACCATTTATTGAAAGGCAGTGTTCCTGGTGGCTAAGAGGGCAGAGTCTGGAATCTGCCACCACCACTTACCAAGTGGGTAACTTTGGTCAGAGTTATTTAAGTTTTGTCTCAGTTCCTCCAACAATAAAAAGGGGATGTTGACAATACTTAATACATAGCGAGTGCTTAAAATTGTGTGTGACACACAGAAAACTTCATTCTGTTCAGGTCACCCTGTGAGCATTGTTGGGTATGGTGGGAAAAGAAAGACACTAAGATCTTAGAGATGACTTCAAGGTTCCTTTTCTGGTCCAAGACGATGTACGATGAATAGTCACAGGAAATGACTCTTTTCTGCGATAGAATCTGGACCCACCATTTACCTTGTGGTTCTGCTCACTGTTTAGTGCTGAGTTGCTAATTTTAATGATTCTTCCTGTTTTAAGAAGCATGGCTCTGAGTCGTATTCTCTCTCTCTGCCTGTCTTTCTCTCTGTCCACAAACACACACTTTTTGAGTACAACAGCACAGAAGACGATTTAGAGATACATGTGCTCAAGACTTACCTCTCTCTGTATAAAAGTTTGAATCTCAATTACTCCCATTTCCTCTTTCTTTCTTTCTTTCTTTCTTTCTTTCTTTCTTTCAATCGTACTGCTATGTCTTACTGCTTCCTAAGTGAAAGGGGAAAAGAATCAAAGTTAGGGAAATCAAAGGTTTCAGAAATGAAAAACTGGATTTCTAAAGCACTCACATTGTACCAACTTATTTTGTGCCTGTTCCTTTAAGTTTTTTTTTTTCTTTTTTTCCTCTGCCTCTAGAGCTACCAAAAGCACACTGATCAGTTTTTACAGCTTTGCCATGATAGGTGCAGTAGTTGCTTTTTTATTGAACCGTAGATTGCAGCATTATAAAACACACTCATTCAGAGGAGTAATGAAGGCCATTTTTAATTGCATTTGGGAAGCAGGGTACTATTATTAAATTATACCTATGTCTGTATTGGAAAAAAGAGAGAGAAAACCAGGTTGTGTTTTCTTTGGGATTTGAGGTTTCCCAGAGCTGGAGTGAATTCAGGGTTGCGTGACAAAATTTGGAACTTCAGCCTTTTGGGATTGTGAGTCAGAATTTCCCCAGTCCTGTGATTAACCTCATGCACCCACAACTGTTGTAAATCAAACATCCAAGGGCTTAGTAATAACGAAATTTATTATTTCCTGGAAGATAACTCTCAATGTATGTGCGTATACAAGTAAGACAGAGTGGCACACACAGATTTTTACTTAAAGATTGTTGTTATACACTGTATTAGTTTCCTAGGTCTGCTGTAACAAAGTCTATAAACTTGGTGGATTAAATAACCCAAACCTCACAGTTCTGGAGGCCAGAAGTCAAGATCAAGGTGTTGCCAGGGCTGTTTTCCTTCCGTGGGCTGTTAGAGGGAGTCTGTTCCATATCTCTTGCCTAGCTTCTGGGGATTTTCTGGCAATCTTTGGTGTTTCTGGCTTTATAGAAACATCATCCTGATCCCTGCTTTCATCTTCACCTGTTTTTTCCCGTGTGTATGTGCATACATGTGTGTGTGTTTTTCCAATTTTTCCCCTTCCTATAAGGACACCATTCATATTGGCTTAGGCACCCACCCTACTCTGGTATGACCTCATTCTAACTTAACTAATTACATCTGCAATGACCCTATTTCCAAATAAGGACATATTTGGAGGTACTTGGAGGCTGGGTCTTCAACTTATGAATTTTGCAGAGGACACAGCTCAACTAGTAACATACACCTATAGATCTGTCTTTAGTGGATATGTATATATCACACTGTTCTATACATTGGAGAAGGGTGAAAATTAATTGTAAGAAAAAATTGCTTGTGCAATGAATAGCACTATAATCCCCTTCTTGACAGTTAAGGGAATCATTCTGGAAAGCGAAATTGCTCTGAGCCAATGTGTGGAAAATTCTGTGCAAGAGCTCATTCCTTTTGTTGCATTTTTTCAAAGATTCTTTTGGCAGTGCTGGGCTCGGTCCAGATGCCTTCCACATCAGGTGGTTTAAGCATGTGTGTACATGATCGTGTGCAGGGTTGTGGGAAGCCAATTACGGTTGGAAACAGTTGTTTAGCTGGCAATTAGATTCCTCACAGTCTCGAATTATGTTGCTTTAAATTAAGATTATGCAGATTTGAGTTGCTTTGATAATTTGCAAAAGCCATTTTGGGGTTATAACTAAAAATGTAATCTGCCAATTAGGAGATTTTCTACCTGATATCTGTTTTGTTCATTGGACTGTGGACCCATTTTAAATATTTATCATCTGCTTTCTAAACCAATGGCAAGAGTGTCTGCATACCAGTGTGGTGAGGGGAGATACAGTGGTGGAGGGGAGATACAGTGGTGAGGGGAGATAAGTCCCTGAATCAGACTTAGCTTTCTTGAGGACTCAGTGCTGACTTTGTTACTGTTTACTTTAGCAACTCAGGTAAAAACATGCGTCAAATAACTCTTTTGTTTCATATAAAACCTGAGGTTTTGCAAGAGACAAAACCTCTTAAAAGTGAGATTTGTTGTTTAAATAAGAAATAGTGTTCTATTATTAACCCAGGCCAGCTGAGACAAGCTTTTTAATTAGCCTAAAAAGAGAGGATAATGTATAAGGAGAATGAGGTAGGTTTTACTTAGTAATGTCTTGGAGATTTAAAAACTTATCCTATGGTGATCAGATTCAGATTCAAGCAGACTAACGGATAGCAGTATTTTCCGTTCAAGATGATGGACATCTTATCTTTATAAATGATTATACCGGTCCGTCTGGGAGAACAAGATGCTAAATGTTACATATTCCTTCCTTCTTTCATTGGAAGTTCATTGGAAATTTTATACACGTACCATGCATACAGAGAAGTTCGTGCATCACAAAGATTCAACTCGATAATTTTTCACAAAGTGAACACGTCTATAACCAGCACCAAGATCAAGAAATCGAATGTCACCAGAACTCCAGAGGCTGCTTGTGTCTGTTCCAGTCACTGACTCAGAATTTTGTGATGGCATGGAAAGCTTGGCTTGTTGTCTGCCGGCAGTGAGTATTGATGATTTTGGGAACACGTTTCCATTCACAGTGCCTTTTCAGTTGTAGGTTAGTTTTTACTGGGAGCAGTTTCATGCTTCTTGTTCATTCTGCTAGAGACTGGGGTTAGCTCCTTAGAGTTAAGCCTTTTGGTGAGCATAATGCAGAGCAGAAGATGGCCTTTACTGCAGCCGGGACAAAGTCTTCCAGGTGCTGCCTGCCTTCCTCTCTTCCCACCAGACTAAATTCTTTGTGGTTCCTTGAAACAAAGGTGGCCTTCCCCTTTACCTCCAGGTCTTGGTCCTGTGGCTTTCCTACGTCAGGATCCCATGCCCTCTGGCCCCGTCCTACTGCATTCATTTCCCAAGGCTGCTGTAACAAAGTACCACAAACGGAGTGGCTTTATTTATTCATTTATTTATTTTTGAGACAGAGTCTCTCTCAGTCACCCAGGCTGGAGTACGGTGGCGTGATCTTGGCTCACTGCAACCTCTGCCTCCCAGGTTCAAGAGATTCTCATGCCTCTCCCACCCAAGTAGCTGGGATTACAGGTGTGCACCACCATGCCTGGCTAATTTTTTTTATTTTTGGTAGAGATGGTGTTTCTCCATGTTGGCCAGGCTGGTCTCAAACTCCTGGCCTCTAGTGATCTGCCCACCTCGGCTTCCCAAAGTGCTGGGATTATAGGCGTGAGCCACCACGCCCCGCCTGGAGTGGCTTTAAACAACAAAAATCTATTCTCTCACAGATGCGAAGTCTAGAAGTCCAGAATCAAGGTGTTAGCAGAGTCCTGCTCCCTTGGAAGCCTATAGGTTTCCTTCCTTGCCTCTGGTAGCTTCTGGTAGCCCCAGGCATTCCTTGGTTTGTGGCACAGCCTAACTCCAGTCCCTGCTGCCACCTTCACTTGGCCATCTTCCCTCTGTGTCTGTGCATCTCTCTCTGTCTTCACATGGCATTCTCTTCTTTGTGTCTCTTTCCTTTTTTTATAAGGACAGCAGTCAACTGGATTAAGGGCCCTCCCCACTCCAGGCTGGGGTGACAGCTGCAACAACTGCTTTTTCAAATAAAGTCATATGCTGAGGTGCTGGGGTTTAGGAATTTGGCATATCTTTTTGGGAGACACAGTTCACCCATAACATCTGCATTACCCCCTTCTTAGTTTAGATGCCGTCTTTTCTAGGAACTCTTCTGCCGTGTTCCTTCCCCCAACATCTGGCTTTGATGTCCCTCTTGACACTGGAACTCTCTTGTCATGCTTTCTAGCATCTCTCATAATTGTTTTTTTGTTTTTCTTCTCTGCCGGACTCTGAGCAATTTGATGTCAGGAATAATTTAGGGTATTTTAGAATTTTTTTTCCAAATTATTAGAAACTTTAGATCGTGGAATTTTGGATACATTTATGCATTTTGATGTAACCTGAAATATTTGTAACCGAGTCATGGTCTTCATGTTCATTTTGCGGGGAAGAAGTGATACCTATTGGTAAAAGAAAAGGCTTGGGTTAAACATTACCCCCTCTCTCGAGTTTCTGTGATCATGACAAACATGGATTCTAAATCCTTGGCTTGAGAGCACATGAATTGCCGAGCAGATGTGGCGTCAGCGCTTGCAAGGCTGTAAGCAGCTTACTGATCCAGCAGTTTAAAGACTGTTTACTGGCAGTGGCAACATTACTTCTGGTTGCCTGTCTTAATTCATTTTAGATTAATCTGTCTTGCAGTTCGAAGGAAAATGAATTGAGTCAGTAACTTCAAGAGTTATGTAAAATCTGTACAGTGCTAAATAATTGAATGGGGTTTTATGTATGGTCTTTAAATTGGAATGTCAATTTGACACAAATGCTCCAAAACAGAGTGTTAGATGAGCTGATCTGTTCCTCATATAAAAGCTTTGAAAATTCCATTCTTGTATCACTCTGGAATTCACCGTTCCCATCCCTTGCAGAATATTAATGTTAACTTTGGGGAAGGTGAGTCTGCTTGTGTAACTCTTGGGCCTGGGGTTGAGGTTTTAGGGTAATGGTACCCAAACTTGAACGGGTTTAAGAACCACACGAGGAGTTTGTTAGGAAGGATGCTTGGCTGGGCATGGTGGCTCCTACCTATAATCCCAGCACTTTCGGGGCTGAGGCGAGGGGATCACTTGAGCCCAGGCATTTAAGACCAGCCTGGGCAACATAGCAAGACTCCATCTCTATTTAAATTTAAAATAAATTAAAAAGAAAAAAGAAGAAGGATGCTTTCTGGGTCCAGCTCCAGAAATTCTAATTTGGTTGTTCTGTAACTGGGCTCAGGGAAGTCCTTTGGCATTACAGGTGGTTCTAATGCTGACATTCTCAGACCACATTTTAAAGAAATAACTGGTTGAAGGGATGCACGGACATGAGAAGGAGAGTATGTGAACTCCTGAGAGAAAATTCAAGACTATTTTGCATAAAATACATTTATCACAACCAGGCAGACCAAAAATGACCTTTTTGGGTGGGATAAAGGGGATATTTTGCAGACCCAAAGAAAATAAATTCTTGAGATTTTTTCCCAGAAATCCATGGGAGGAAGGCTGAAGTATCCTTATTCTTATCAGAAAACATATTTGAATTTTATTACCAATATCTTTAACCCCATTTTGTAGATGGGAAATCTTTGAGGCTCAAAGAGCAAAGAAGGCTAACATTTGTTGAGCACTTAATAAATGAAACTGTCAATATTAGTAATTATTATCGCCATCATCATTATCTTTATTTAACCTATAGCACAGCCCTGTGAGGTGTTATCACTGCCATTTACAGATATGTAAAGCAAGATTCAGGCAGTTCAGATAACTAGCTAGGATTACACATTGAGCTTGTAGTGAGCCAGGATTCAATCGCAGTTCAACTTAACTCCAAAATCCATATTCTTTTTACTGCATCAAGGTAGATTTAAGATCTTTACATGACAAGAGTTGCCAGGTAAAATGTAGGAGGCCCAGTTAAATTTGATTGTCATATAAATAATGACTAGTATAAGTATATCCCATGAAATATTTGAACATACTTACATTTAAAAATAGTGGACCATAGTATACTAGAAAATTCGTTGTTTATCTGACATACAAGGTTAACCAGGTATCCTGTATTTTCATTTGCTAAAATCAAGCAACCCTGTATGTGGGTAGTGGGTTTTCAGATTGTATGATCGTACTTTCTGACTTCTGACTCCAAGTCCATCCATCCTTTCTATGTGCCACATTCTGTTCTGTCTCATTCTTGGGTCTCTGCTGTCCTCTTGGGGAAGAGAGTGAATGGCTTACCTACTCTAGCCCCTGTACTAAGGGGCCCAGTGGCTCATGCCTGTAATCCTAGCACTTTGGGAGGCCGAGGCGGGTGGATCATCTGAGGTCAGGAGTTTGAGACCAGCCTGGCCAACATGGTAAAACCCCGTCTCTACTAAAAATACAAAAATTAGTTGGGCGCAGTGACGGGCTCCTGTAATCTCAGCTACTTGGGAGGCTGAGGCAGGAGAATTGCTCAAACCTAGAAAATGAAGATTGCAGTGAGCTAAGATTGCGCCACTGCACTCCAGCCTGGTGACAGAGTGAGACTCTGTCTCAACAACAGCAACAACAACAACAACAAAGTAGCCAGGTGTGGTGGCCCATGCTTGTAATCCCAGCTACTAGAGAGGATGAGGTGGGAGGATCGCCTGAGCCTGGGATGTTGAGGTGCAGTGAGCTGTGATTGTGCCACTGTACTCCAGCCTGGGCAACAGAGAGAGATTCTGTCTCAAAGAAAAAAAAAACATCAGTGAACACATAGAAGTAGTTCACCTTTTCTTCACCCACATTATGCATGTTTTCATTTGCTTAATTTTAGAGACGAAGGAGTGAGAGCCAGTTAGTTGCCTTACTAACGATAGAAAGAATCAGGCCACCATTCTGCTACAACAAATTTAGGAAAAGGCTTTTATTTTGGGTATGATTACAGTCAGAGCAATAAGGGTGAGTTAGAAAATGGAACAACAGAACCTCCTGGGGTCTTTTTTGTGAGAAAAATAATAATGTTTTGGTTAATGTTAGATTGAATGTCCATTATGTGCCAGGCAATTTACATGCATCATTGTTGCAGGCTGCCCTGAGAGGTAGTTATTTTTATCAGCCCCATTTTAAAGATGTGGAAACTGATAGAGATGTGATGTGCACAGCCCCAGGTCAAACAGCAGTGAGACGCAGAGCTGGAATTTCAGCCAGGTGTCTCCACCCTGGAGGCCTGTTCTTAGTGCACTGTGCTGCCAAGGCTAAAGCCTTTTATCTGGGCCTGGTCTCTGTCCTAGAGACTGCCTTGTCGGGTGGCCTTGTGGAAATCTGCTCTTTGGCTTGGGGAGGCAGACACTGCACCAGCAGCTTGTTCCATCTAGCCTTAGGAAGCTTCACCTTCCCGGACAAAAAGGGTCAATCCAAAAGTGGCTTTTGACACCTGTGCCAAACTAGGAAGCCGCAGTGGCTTCTTCGGGAATTAGGCCTTAGCCCCGTGGAAGAAACTCTGTCCTGTGTGGTCTTCTGTGTGCAGTGGAAACTTTCAGCAAGGCTTCTAAATTCTTGATGATCACAGGATCGCTTTGCACCGAAAACTGGCATCTGGCCTGCGCTTCATTGAGGGTTCCCTACTTTTGGCGAGAGCTTTTGAAGGCCTGGGTCTGTGAGTTTTCCTTTATTAGTAAATGATAACAAAGCACTTTAAAGAAAGGAGACACGTCCGTGGTGGTAGTTCTTGCTGTGTGAAGAAAGGGAGCACTGGATCTGAGAACAAACCTCTCCCAAGTTGGTCCCTGGGGCTCCTCCTGCTGCTGCTGCTGGGAGCCCCTTCCTTGCACCAGTGGTCGGCTGCTTCCCATGTTCTCTCGCGCTCTCTGTAGGACTCTGCCTGCGATGACTGTCCTCCCTTCCTGAGCCATTTATAAAAACAGACTGTTTCCATTTCTAAGTGACTAAAGGGATTCCTTGAAGTAGTGAGATCAAAGATGCGTTTGGAATTTGTCTCTGAGTGAATACTAACGGCTTGTCATGGAGACATGTCACAGGGGAGCCCGATCTTGGGAAAACCAAATGAAAGCCTTAGGAGCCAGAGAGCGATCAGGGTGGGGAGTGACAGATGCAGGGAATTTTGGATCAGACAAACCAGAAATGATCACTTTCCACATATGCGACTTTGGGTGAGTTGTGTTTGTATCTGTGAACCTCAGTTTTCCTAATCTGAAATAGCATTAGTCATGCCGACCTCAGAGAGTCCTAGAAATTAAGTGACTATTATGTATAAAATGCCAGGCATGGTGACTCAGATCCAGTATTTACTCGATACTTTTTCCCCTCTTCATACCCTAATATGGTAATGGAAAATGGATTTTGATGGATTTTGTAGGCACATTTTAAAATTAAAAGCTATTGCAGAATTCCAGCTAGTCATTCACTGGTGTTCATAAGGTTAGTGGGTGCCTACTACGTTCCAGGCTCACTTTAAGTGGCTGGGGAATGGAGTATTATGAGACAGACACGAGTCCTGCCTCTTTGTAGCTTCCATTCTGGACCGGGAAGTCGGTAACAGACAAAGCAGCAGAGGGAGTACACTTTTAATGTCAGGCAGGGAAAAGAGATATGAGAGGATTTGGCTGTGGTAGTCTGTGAGGGCCTCTTTGAGGAGGTGTCGTTTGCATATAACACTTTCTCATGGTGAAGTGGCTGCTATGCTATGCTGACAAATAGCCATAGCTGACCAGATGAGTCCTTCCCACATTGCAAACAGGTTTTCATGTGCACATCTTGATGGCTCTCCCATTTCCTTACCCCTCTTCTTTCCTGCAAGCTCCTGTTGTCCTCTCAGTGTCATATTACTGAACAGAGTTGAATTACCCACAGAAAGCTTTCATTAATCTTGCTGTCCCATTGGGGTGTTACTGTAAACCTTGGCACCCAGAGCGTCTGCCACGGAAGTGGCTTCTAGCAAGGGGAGAAGGTGAAGCCTGAGATGGGGTAGAGTGAGGAAGAGTGAGATGTGAGCCAAGAGAGTCCTTAAACATTTCATGAGGTTCCACAGAGCCTGCGATCACACTCTTGCGGCCGTGCCGTTGCCAGTGAGAATTGATGCCTTCAGCCCAGGGTACTGGGAGCCTCCCAGCAAGGTGATGTGCCACGTAAACATGCTCCTAAAGGACCTGAATGCTAATATCCATAGGAACTGCTCTGCAGCTTCTTTTAATTAGCTGAGATGGATTTTGGGAGGTCAGCGTAACACATTCAAGTGAAATTTATGTTGGTTTTCTTTGTAAACTGTTGCAGTTGGAATTCTTCCCAGTGAGTGGTCAAAGTGCTCTTTTTTGCTTGTTTTGATGAGATTTGGGTAGAGGTGAAATAGAGGTGGGGGGTGAAAGTAGGCCAAAAAATTTGAAAATATACTTTTTTTTTTTTTTTTTTTTGAGACGGAGTCTCCCTCTGTCGCTCAGGCTGGAGTGCAGTGGCGCAATCTCAGCTCACTGCAAGCTCCGTCTCCCGGGATCACTCCATTCTCCTGCCTCAGCCTCCCGAGTAGCTGGGACTACAGGTGCCCGCCACCACGCCCGGCTAATTTTTTGTATTTTTAGTAGAGATGGGGTTTCACTGTGTTAGCCAGGATGGTCTCGAGCTCCTGACCTCGTGATCCGCCCGCCTCTGCCTCCCAAAGTGTGAAAATATACTTATATCCTGCCAACTCTAAGTCCTAACATCCATCTTGCAATAGGCAAATGAAGACACTGATGGACAAAGGTTATTCTTACTTTTTATCTGAGCTCAGGGATTTGGTTTTATTAGCTCTTTAGCCTACCTGTTAGCTCTTAGCCACTTCTTAGAACCCAATTCCCTCAGCAGTTGAAGACCTCCTTGTTTTGCACTAAATACGCATTTGGTCCAGGTGAGTATAGACTAGCGGTTCCCAACCTTTTTGGCACCAGGAACCGGTTTCGTGGAAGACAATTTTTTCACGGACCAGGAGGGTGGTGTGGGGATGGTTTCAGGATGAAACTGTTCCACCTGAGATCATCAGGCAGTAGTTAGACTCTCATAAGGAGCGTGCAACCCAGATCCCTCACGTGCACAGTTCACAATAGGGTTCACTCTCCTATGAGATTCTAATGCCACCAGTGATCTGACAGGAGGCAGAGCTCAGGTGGTAATCCTCGCTTGCCTGTCACTCGCTTCCTGCTTTGCAGCCCGGTTCCTAACAGGCCACGGACTAGGGTCGGTCTGCTGCCCAAGGGTTGGGGCCCCCTGCTGCAGACCCAGTGTTGGTATATGCAAATATTGCTTGCCCTTTTGGAGTCTGGAAATGTTGGCCACTGTCTGGTCATTCACTTGCTTTGACTCACCCTTTCTCCACGTCCTTTTCTCAACTTTCCCTCTGTGGATTAGAGCCACAAATCTATGCCCTCATTTTCCAGTCCTGAAAATGGAGACATGTGACCTGGCATAGTTTTTGTTGTTTCTTCCAGGACTGAAGTAATCTGGGAAATGTAGTTTGGCTGCCAAGAATTTGGCCTTTCCTAGACACATTGCTGGTTGATTAGAACAACAGAGGAGAATGTTAGTCTGGGAGGCGTGCTCACATTCCCAGTGTAGCTCAGGGGACCCTTTCACCAGATAGGACTCACAGACTTCTCAAGTCCCTATTGCGATGTGGCTTCTGGGACACCTTCAACCTCTGTCCCTGGTAAGCCAATGGCTGCTTCATTTCCCATGTTGGTTTCCCCCAATTTTCTGGGACCTCCACATTAATACCTACTTTCCCGTTTCCTTTTAAATCTCCTGGCAGTTCTACTGCTTGGAATGCATTCTACAGATATACTTGCGTAGATAAGAGATGACCCATTTCATAATAGCAATCACATCTAACACTTGCTGAGGATTTACCTGGTTTCTGGAACTAAGAATTTTACATATTTTTCATGTATTTCATTCTTTAAAAAACTCTGTGAGGTGGGACTGATAGTATCTTCATTTTCAGATAAGGCAATTTAAGCAGGAAGAAAGTAAAATGTAACCAAAGGTGTATTTTTTTTTAATTGCAGCTGTGGTTTTAATAAGAAAAGATTAGAAACAATGTAATCAATGTGTGTCTAATTAAATACATAATGCTTTATTGCCAATACCATAGGATACTGTGCAGCCACAGAAAAATGGTATTGAATATCTTCATATAATAGCGTGGAAATCCCTCCATAATACATGAAGTGAAAACAAGTAAGTCTGTATATAAAATGCAGGCTGGGCATGGTAGCTCAGGCCTGTAATCCCAGCACTTTTGGAGGCTGAGGCGGGTGGATCACCTAGTTCGAGACCAGCCTGGCCAACCTGCTGAAACCCTGTCTTTACTAAAAATACAAAAAGTTAGCCAGGCATGGTGGTGGGCGTCTATAATCCCAGCTACTTGGAAGGCTGAGGCAGGAGAATCGCTTGAACCAGGGAGGTGGAGGTTGCAGGGAGCTAAGATCACCTCACTGCACTCCAGCCTGGGCAACAAGAGCAAAACTCTGTCTCAAATAAAAAAACAAAAAAAAGTATAATATGCATAAATTAGCTCAACCATTGTGGAAGACAGTGTGGCCATCATCTTCAGCAAACTAACACAGTAAGAGCAAACCAAACACTGCATGTTCTCACTCACAAGTGGGAGCTGAGCAATGAGAACACATGGACACAGGGAGGGGAACGTCACACATCCCTGGGCCTGTCGGGGGTTGGGAGGTGAAGGGAGGGAGAGCATCAGATTTTTATTATTAGTTAATTTGTTTTGGTCGTCATGACTAGACAGTAATTCACATGGTTTAAAACAAGTATCAAAATATAGTGAAAACAGTCTCCCTTCCACCTGCGTGCCTCCTCTGCCAGCACTGCCCCTCTCCACCATAGATACTCACTATCATTAGTCCCTTGGGTAATGTTCTAGAAATTATAGGGCAAAATTGTCCTCTGTCAAACCCCTTACACAACTGAAGCATATTACACTTTAGTTTATTCATTTTTTTCTTTCTCTCTTCCAGCTCTGTGTCATCTCCCTGTTCCTTTCTTATCTTCCCAAACAAGATTTCTCTCATCTGGTGATGCGAATGAAACTACAGTCTTGTAGTTACCTGGGCTTGAAGCTCTAGAATCATGTTAGACCTATCTTCTTCGTCTTTTGTATTTAATTTAATTTTACTTTAAGTTCCTGGATGCATGTGTGGAACACGCAGGTTTGTTACCTAGGTAAATGTGTGCCGTGGTGGTTTTGCTGCACCTGTCAATATATCACCTAGGTATGAAGCCCCACATGCACTAACTGTTTGTTCTGATGCATTTTCCTTGAAAGGAGGCCTCTAGTTTTCACCAAGTTATCAAAAATATTCAAGATCCCCTTAGGTTGCTTAGGATGGTGGTAACTGTTCCTTGTTACCTTAGAAAGGATGCAGATATTCTTATGTAACCTGTCTGTAGGCATGTTCTCTAGGGCCATCAAATGCTTTTTTTGTTTTTTTTTTGAGATGGTGTCTCGCTGTGTCCCCCAGGTTGGAGTGCAGTGGCGCGATCTCAGCTCACTGCAAGCTCCGCCTCCTGGGTTCACGCCGTTCTCCTGCCTCAGCCTCCCGAGTAGCTGGGACTACAGGCGCCCGCCAACACGCCCAGCTAATTTTTTGTATTTTTAGTAGAAACGGGGTTTCACCGTGTTAGCCAAGATGGTCTCGATCTCCTGACCTCGTGATCCGCCTGTCTCGGCCTCCCAAAGTGCTGGGATTACAGGCGTGAGCCACCGCGCCCGGCCAGCCATCAAATGCTTTTAAAAAATTGAATTAATTGCCAACTCTAACAACTGAAGGATTTCACATAGAAATGTGGATTCAGTGCTTAGGTAGGAAAATGGAAGATTTGGCAGCCCTACGCTTGCATTTCTACATGGCCACGGTCCTCCAGAGCTAGGTAGAGGATGCCTCTTTCATGGAGAGAGTGTTCTCTTTTTTGCCTCAGGCCACTCTTACAACCTGTTGTAGTCTAAATGACACTGGCTTGGCTTGAGAAGAAGTGGGTCCTAGTCTCTTTTCTTCCTAAAGCAACTCTTTAAAAATGTGAATATTTTTTCAGATGATAAAAATGAGATTCAGACAGTTTAGATGGAATCAGCCTCAGTTGTTCACTGAAGTGGGTTAGGATAATGTGAAACTTGAACTCAGATCATCTAACTTTATTCTAATATTCTTTCCACTGAACCACAGTTGTCCCCCATTATTGTTACGATTTTTGACCTTCAAGGCATTCCTAGAGATAGGTAGAGTATTATAGGCATTTCACAGATGAGTAAGTTGAAACTTGGTTCAGCTCTGAAAAAGGAAAGTTACGTTCTAAAAGGGCAGAGCTCATATTTGGTCTCAGGTTTTTTGACTCAAACACTATACTCCTTTAGTGGTACTCAAAAACCTCAGAGATCCATATAATTCTGACATTTTTTACAGCAGTGATATTAATGATTCTAACATATTTGACTCCAAACAGAAGCAGGAAAGGTGGAGGGACCCCCATTGTTGATGTTGTCTCAGAACTGGAAGAAAGTTCCTGCGGTCAGTCAGAGAATAAGTTATAGTAGACTCACTCCTTGCAAAGCACTGACTGGTCTGGGACCATGGGCTGCAAAGTGGGAGAGATGTTAAGAGGAATAAGGAATTGCTTTCCAGAACCCTATAAACTTAGATGGGCAACCTAGCTGAGTATACCTGAGAGGATTTAACAGCTTTATAAAGGCCACACCTCAAGTTCATGTTAACATTATTTTACCTGCATTCTTACCTATAGAGTAATAAGAATTGTCCTGTTTTATAGTATTAGAGCTGTCCTATTGTATAACAGTAGAGATGGCTGCTTTGATGGACACTTCTTGTAAGCCGTAGTATATTTGATGCATATTTATTAGGGCTGTGTATTGGTGGCCAAATTTGTAAAGTGAAGACTCTGTAATAAATGAAGAAGCATACATAGGGTGTGTTATTTTCCTGGATGGTCCTTTTCCCATTGCAGAGTTTGCAATCATTTTGCAATCTTCACCTACATGTGACGTAGAAGAAAAAGTACAGAGAGGGCCAATTATCATAAAAGACACTTTGCGTAGTGGTGAAATGCTGGACTTGTAGCCAGTCTGCCAGTTTTAAATCCTGGCTCAATCACTTAGCAGCTTGTGTGACCTTAGATCATTAGTTTATGTAACCCTTTGTTGCCTCAGTTTTCTCCTCTGTTAAATGAAAAGATTAGACAATTCATATCCGATAGAGTTGCTGTGAAAGTCAGCTAATTGCACGTGAAACATTCTTAGGAAGAGCCTGGCATATACTAAATAGTGCATAGGTATTAGCTACTGCTGCTGTTTTGTTTTGCTGTTTTTAATCATTGTTGAGGTGCCTATTCCTCAGTTGCTATGCTGTAGCAAATCGAGCTTTGTAACTAGAGCTAAGAAACTGGTGGGAACCTAGGCATGGAAGTTGTATATGTGTACCCTTTGGGCTGAGCACTATAACATGAGGGGTTTAGACTAATCCCTAATAGTCTGCCTAGCTGCAAGCAAGTCTGGGATATCTGTCAGTCATGAGAAGCATCATTAAGCATGTGATGGTCTCTGAGGCTGGGCCCTTTAACTTGTATGAAAAACCCCAGCTGTCAAAAGTTAGGTAGAGAGCTTTGGACCTCAAGTCCTGACTGCCACTCTCCAGCTCTGTGATCTCATGCAAATCACTTTGTCTCAGGACTTTGTCTCCCTCACCCCCATGTAAAAGTGGGATGATAACATCATTTTCCAGGATCAGGGTGGAGAATAAATAGACCATGTTTACTAAATGTCCTACGGAGTGTGGTGGCCAAGTAGGTGCTTAGAAAGTGGCTGCAGCTCTCAGTATTATTGTGAATGAAAAATTCTGGCCTCATATCCGGTAAATCAAAATACTTCACCCTAACTCCTAAGGCAATATTGTTGCCTAGAATCATCAGCATATTTGGAGACCAATAACGCAGTTTGCATATTACATGGAGAATGTGGGTGGACTAATTGCATCCAGGCATGGGGTGACTGGCTTGAGATTAAATCAAAAGGAATTTCCTGAGTTTGTGATGTAAGGGAAGCTCAAGAGACTGGAATACTCAGGAAGTGAAATCCCAGATACAAGGACTGAAAATAATCATTCAAGTGGTGGAAAAGGTGATAGAAAGATTGATCAATGGCACCGAGTTTAGTGGGACATCTGCGCTGTGCTCCCTCTTTGGTTTCCTCCCTTTCGTGGCTGAGAGGTTTGGTGTATCAGTGCTTCTTCCTCCTCAGCCAGAAAGTTTCAGTTTTTCTATATTCTGCCCACCCTCTTTTCTTGCCTGTATTTGTCCATTCATTCAATAAAGACTCATTTAGCTCCAAAATATTCATTGAGGAGCTAAATGTGCCAGGTCCTGGAGATGCAACAGTAAAACACACATATGCATATACCCACATGCACGTGCATACACAATTTGCACACATACGTGCACATGCACACCTCCATGCATATGAACATGGATGCACACATGGCCACGTGAATCCCTCTCTTCTTGGAATTGACATTCTAGTTGAGGAGGACAGAAAATTTAAACAATAGTAGTAAGGAAAATATGTAGTTTGTTTCACTTGACGATTATTGTAGGTTTCCCCACAATTTTTTTTTTCCTGCCTCTGCTGTTTGGGAGGTTGTGTGTCCAACTATTTCTATTCTTTGAAGAACTTCTAGCCTAATTGCTTAAGCTTCACAGAATCTCTTCAAACTGTTTCTTAAAGGGCTCTAGTTATTGAATAAGTTTTGATTCACAATTTCATGAAAAAATTTGTAAACATATTAGAATGTGGTAATATGGTTTTTCTGTTTATTGTGCTAAAAGCAAAAGTGTAGAAAAGTACAAAAACCATGAAAATATACCTTGTTTGAAGTAAATAAATATGAACATGAAATATATTATTTAACCATGCTGGAGGTCAATTTTAAATGAATTCTGCTTTTCTCTGGGCTTAAAAAGAAAACTTAGTAACTAGTGGGTTGCTATGTTTTATGTTAAGCAACATTTAAATTGAAATCAAAGTAGAGTAAGTACATATTTTAACTAAAACAGGTATGTCTAGTTATGGGGCAAGTAAAATTGTATAGCAATGAAATTAAATAAAAAACCTATGAATATTTTTTGAGTTTGAAATACAATTGGCAGAATCTGAGCTTGCTATACATCTAGTTGGCTTTTAAGGGAAACTGATTTTTTAAATTTCCCTTCTTTGATTTTGGATCTTGACTTAAAGAATCCAGATTCCCATAAACATTATACAGAAAGTTCTAATGGTGCCAGGAATTAGAAAAATCTAATTTCTTTTTTTTTAATTTTTTTTTATTTCAATAGGTTTTTGGGGAACAGGTGGTGTTTGGTTACATGAGTAAGTTCTTTGGTGGTGATTTCTGAGATTTCAGTGCACCCGTCATCCGAGCAGTGTAACTATACCCAATGTGTAGTCTTTTATTCCTCATCCCTCTCCCACTCTTTCCTCTGAGTCCCCAAAGTCCATTTTCTCATTCTTATGCCGTTGCAACCTCATAGCTTAGCTTCCACTTATGAGTGAGAACATATGATGTTTGGTTTTCCATTCCTGAGTTTCTTCACTTAGAATAATGTCCTCCAATTTCATCCAGGTTCCTTGAATGCCATTATTTCATTTCTTGTTATGGCTGACTAGTATTCCATGGTGTGTATATGTGTGTGTATATATATATATACACATATAAAACATTTTATCCACTCGTTGACTGATGGGCGTTTGTGCTGGTTCCATATTTTTGCAATTGGGAATTGTGCATCTATAAATGTGTGTGCAAATATCTTTTTCATACGACTTCTTTTCCTCTGGGTAGATACTAGGAGTGGGATTGCTGGATCAAATAGTAGTCCTACTTTTAGAAATCTCCAGGCCGGGTGCAGTGGCTCACGCCTGTAATCCCAGCACTTTGGGAGGCTGAGGCGGGTGGATCACGAGTTCAGGAAATCGAGACCATCCTGGCTCACACGGTGAAACCCCGTCTCTACTAAAAATACAAAAAAATTAGGGGGGCGTGGTGGTGGGTGCCTGTAGTCCCATCTACTCAGGAGGCTCAGGCAGGAGAATGGGGTGAATCTGGGAGGTGGAGCTTGCAGTGAGCTGAGATCGCACCACTGCGCTCCAACCTGGGTGACAGAGCAAGACTCTGTCTCAAAAAAAAAAAAAAAAAAAAAGAAAAATATTCACACTGTTTTCCATAGTGATTGTAATAGTTTACATTCCCACCAACAGTGTAAATCTCATTTCTTAATGGCTTGGGCTTGTTGGAAATTAAAGAGACATCAGGAAACAGGCAAGCCTTTTTTTTTTTTTTTTTTTTTGGAGACGGAGTCGCCGTCTGTCGCCCAGGCTAGAGTGCAATGGTGCTATCTCGACTCACTGCAACCTCTGCCTCCCAGGCTCAAGCGGTTCTCCTGTCTCAGCCTCCCACAAACCATTTTTAACTTAAATCTTCTTAGTGTAAAGATAACAACTAATATATTAAATATATGTTTTTTTAAATGGAGTTTATGCTGAGGAAGAATTATTTTGAAAATAATTTATTTGGAAATATTTCCATTGTTAGATTTTTGTTGCTAAAAATGGTATATATTCACCATTAAAACTTTCCTATCTTCTCAGCTTAAAACAGCATTGAAAAATGACTATTTTACTTTGTCTAAAAAAGTCTTTCAACAAGGGTCTCAATAGTTTTTGAATTCATTGGTTTAATTTCTTTTGATAAGTTTGCAAGAACAACTGATAGACATTAAGATAGCTGTGATGCATTAGTAAATTTTAATAAAATCTTTTCTTATGAAATTGGCCAATGGGATTTAAAAGCTTGGTCATGGTTTTCTAAGTGTAGCCCCAAATGCACTTCTATGTGGATTCACATAGCTTTGTTAGCTTTCTTACGTAGTTGTAACCCTCATTAATTCCAAGTTTTGGGAGAAAAAAAATCCTGAATTTCAAACCTGTTCTTGGAATCACTGGTTTATAAAATATAGACTGGGTTGAAAAATAACGAAGCATGACCTATTATGTTGGTTTTACTACATTTTTTCTTACAATTAATAAATAAGATAAAAATTATTTTAAAATGTATCTTAATCTTATTCTTCTTATTTTTGTACATTTCACAATATACATTTTATGTCAGTAAAGCAGAGTGTGTACATTACCTAAAAATAAACCAGTAGATACTGCATGTTCAATTAAAAAAAAAAATGGATGGAGGCCGGGCGCGGTGACTCATGCCTGTAATCCCAGCACTTTGGGAAGCTGAGGCAGGCAGATCACTTGAGGTCAGGAGTCCAAGACCAGCCTGGCTAACATGGCGAAACCCCGTCTCTACTAAAAATACAAAAATTAGCCAGGCCTGGTGGCACACGCCTGTAACCAGCTGCATGAGAGGCTGAGGCACGAGAATTGCCTGAACCTGGGAGGTGGAAGTTGCAATGAGCCAAGATCACCTCATTACACTCCAGCCTGAGCGACAGAGCGAGACCGTCTCAAAAAACAAAAACAAACAAAAAATGACAGGGTAGTGTACAGTAGAGAATTGAGAAAATCACCAAATAAGATGATATTCTACTGGTACTGAAGAGTTAATAATACTCATCTATCTTTGTGTTACTCACCTGTCAGGAACCTCCCAGGAATGGGTTGATCGTATATTTTATTGTACGTGTTTTATGAATGAAGTGCATTTTTATTATCGAATGAAGAAAGCGTATAGGACAATGGGGAATTATTTTTCTCTTAATCTATCTTTTCAGCTCTCCTCGTCTAGCATATGTTGGGCTCCCCAGTTTTAATTGTGAAGACTGGGAGATTTTGCTACATTAGGGATCACATCACTTTCTTTGTGTAGATAGAATCTCAGTCTCTCTTGCTCTTTTCTTTCTCTCGTGGAGATAATAATCTAACTCTGACATCCATGATGTGATGATTTGCCAGGTGCTCTATTTCTAGTTACAGCTACTAGGGAATTGCAAGAAGACATTGGGAAATGGTACTTGGCCTCCACTTAGCTTTATTCAGATTGGCTTGTTTCCCAAGGACCCACAGGATCAATGATGCGTGCAGTGCTAAAGGGCAGCTGCGAGGTCAGGGCGTATTTATTGCTTGCTGGGGCATGTTATTGACCAATAAGAAGTTAAACAGTTCCTAGCTACAGCTAAGACATTGCCTCTTAGGCAGGAAGACAAGAGATCACCTCGGGCAACTTTCGTTTACACAGAGAGGTGTGTAAAGTGGAACCAAGGCTTGCAACTCTAGGCATCCCTTGTGTTTGTCAGGATTTCAGCTTATTTGGGGTGGCTGCAAGGCTTTGAGACATGCCCATGATGCTATGCATTTTTCTAAACTCAGCCTTTGTCAAGGTAGTCAGGGATTGTTCATTTTGAAACCTCTGTAGATATCTGCATGTTTGCTGCAAAGGTTTTGTCTAGGTGAGATGGACTGGCTCATGTTTCCTAATGCTGATGCCCTTCCCTCCCTTCCATCTGTCTTTTATACACACAGATCTATTTATTACTTTCTTTTCTTTGAAAAGTATAACTTAGCTTTGGATAAAGGAGGAACAGGATCACATTTGATTAAACGCAAGCAACAGTTTACCTCGCATGGGCTTGGATGAATAAGGAATCCAAAAGGAGCGGTATTCAGGAAAAAATAAACTGTGTGTGTGTGTATGTGTGTGTGTATGTGTGTATAAAGTACAGATATATATATACACACACACATATATATATATACACGCACATACATATATATATATATACACTCAGAAATAAGTAGTGAAAAATCTCCTTTTAGCTTTATGAGATGTTCTGAGCTCAGCTCTGAGGTTTATGTTCTGACTATGAAAAATAAAATGATTTTCCTAAGTTTTTAAAGAATCTTTCTTTCTTTCTAGGTGTAAAAAGAACTTTTTTTGTGAACTATTGAATGAAGAGGTGAGGAAGGAGAGGCAGGAGGAAGAAAACAATACAAATCAGGCTGAAAGGCCTACAGATTAAAAACTAACACTGCCTCCCCTGCAGTGAGATAGTCCTTTCATTTTAGCTCCTTGCATTGAAATAGCATTGAGGATTAAATTTGTGTAAGCCCCACAAAATTCAAAATTTATGTGCTTTTCTGACCACTTGCCTTCTAGTGGAAATTTTAAGCATATTAGAGGATATGTTTCTGTGGGAGCTGATCAGAATGGTACTAGGAGTACAAAAGAATATCTAAAACTAAAACACAGCTATATTTCAGATCATACTGCTTCATCACATCGAGTGCATCTACAAAGGTAATAAATAGTATGTGGCTGAGTTAGGGCTTGGGACCATTTTCTAGAAGATTTGCCCTTTCTGCAATTCTAGTCTCTATAATGATTGGAGTGTAGGAGTTAAGTTGTGGAGCGTCTCATAAATTTAACTAGAATCATCCCCTCTTAAAATCTAAATCAAATATTGACATATTAGTCGGCCATTATTTGATTACATTTTTATTGGTTTAGGCAGTGAGAGATGTTTTGTGCAGAATCTGGTTGTTTTCAGCCCTAAAGTAAGGCATTGCATTATTTCTAAATAATCCTATAAAGCACTAAATTAAAAAATTAAAACAACCAACTTTATAAATGATGGCACTCCTAGTTTTCTATGTGCCAGCCTCTCATTCCGGAATTTCTGAAAGGAAGAAGGAAAGTAAATTAACATTGATCACGGGCCTACTCCATCCCTGGCTTTGTGTTTATACATGACTTATGTTCCCTCCCTTCTCAGAACTCTGGCGTGTTAGTGGTATTACCTTGCTTTTACAAGTGAAGAACGGTTAACTAATTTGGGGAAGGTTACTCAGTTAGGGAGTAATTGAGCTGAAGTAGGAATGCAGTGCTGACTTCTGTAATCTTTCTCTTTCAGTTTTACCAAAATGGACTCATTCTGACTCATTTGGGGGTTTTACAAGTTAGCCCTCGGTAACAAGTGCCCAGCAGCCTTGCCTGTATTCAGCTCTTCTATATTTGTGTGATGGGCACAGAACACCTTCATATGTATGCTTTCTTATCCTCATGATCAGCCAACAGAGGCATGAATCTACCAAAAGAGGCAAATTCCTCCTTAAAAAATGCAGAATTTTAGGCTGGGCACAATAGTTCATGCCTGTAATCCCAGCACTTTGGGAGGTGAGGAGGGAGCATCACTTGAGGTCAAGAGTTGGAGACCTTGTCTTTACAAAGTATTTTTAAAATTAGCCAGACTTGGTGGCACATACCTGTTGTCTTAGTGTACTCGGGAGCCTGAGGTGGGAAAGTCGCTTGAGCCCAGGAATTTGAGGCTGCAGTGAGCTATGATTGTGCCACTGTACTCCAGCCTGGGTAACAGAGTAAGACCTTGTCTTTTAAAAATGTAAAATAGGCTGGGTGTGGTGGCTCACACCTGTAATCCCAGCAATTTGGGAGGCTGAGACAGGTGGATCACGAGGTCAGGAGTTCAAGAGCAGCCTGACCAACATGGTGAAATCCCGTCTCTATTAAAAATACAAAAATTAGCCGGGCATGTTGGTGGGCACTTGTAATCCCAGCTACTCAGGAGGCTGAGGCAGGAGAATTGCTTGAACTCAGGAGGCGGAGGTTGCAGTGAGCCAAGATCGAGCCACTGCACTCCAGCCTAGTGACAGAGCAAGACTCCGTCTCAAAAAAAAAAAAAAAAAGTAAAATAAAATGCAGAATTTCTCCATATGCAGGAATGGCAGTGGGTTTCCTCTCTCAAAGAAGATAGATCCTTTGCAAAAGCATAAAACTGAACCATGAAGGATGTTACAGGGAAGGAAAGGCTGCTCAGTCAGGGTGATTCACTGGGGATGAGGCATCTTGGGGGTTCCTTGGGGAGCAGAGGTGAGCCCCAATGAAAGACAGCTTTGTATTAAAACCATGGGGGTTCAGAGTACTTATTAACTTATAAAATATCATCAGAATGAGCTCATCTGAGCTAATGTTTCAGACCAAGCACAGAGTAGGCTGTTTACTATTCTGTACCTCTACTGAATAATGGAAATTGTATTTTTTGGTTTAGCCAGTTTGTTTTTATCTTTCTTGATCTCTTTCTCAAAGCAATTTCTGTTTGAGTTAGTGGCTTTAACCACTTATCCCTAGGTATATATCAAGATTAGTAAACTATGGACCACCAGCCAAATCTGGCCCCTTAGAGACAGAGGTTCTCAACCCTGGTCTATATTCATGATTTTGGGGGTTTATTGTACCTTATGTACTTATTGTAAATAAATATAAATTCTTTCTGAAAGTAGGTAGGAGTAGAACTCTAAATATACATCCATCAACATATCCAAGTTGGTCAGACTGAAAATTGAAAATTACCCCTTTTTGGTGTGTTATGACGATTTGTTAAAAAAAATTATATATATATAAAGTATATTATATATAAAGTATATATATATAAAGTGTGTATATATATATATATATAGTATGACAACTATACCATACGGGGAAGGGCCAATCAATGCCTCAATTTGAGCATCTCCACTTTAAATTGTCCAGACATGCAGAAGAAGACTCTCCCTCTTCCCTAGTTAATGAGCTTCATTGCAATTGAGGATTTTGAGAGGGGTGCCACTTCCCTCAAATGGTATTCCCTGTTTAACGACTGCTACTGCTAAAGGTATTGTGGGTGTAACATGGAGAAGGAACTCAAGGCATCTTGCACTTTATCTCTCATTGTGTGCGAGAGCTGGGTAACATTATAGAGAAGTGTTCCAGAATTAAAGTAGTGCTCTGCTGGCCTGTACCTACAAGAGATAGTGATGGAAATTTTAGTTGTTTCTCCTATAAAAATGTTAGCTGCTTGGCCCAGAATGGGCTAAGATGTTCAATGACAGAGATTGAGTGTTCAATTGTGTTACAATGAGCCATTTGAACAATTTCTGTTTGTCCTCTGCCTGTCACTTTTCTCTTTCCCCTTTCCAATCCTGCTTTAAGAAATGTAGGAATAGCAGTTTTGCAAAGGATCTCAGCAATTCTAATATGAAAGATTATTTTTCTGGTTACCGAGTCTGCATTACAAATTACTCCAAAATTTACTGGCATAAACAGCCATTTATTAAGTTGATGGATTCTGGGGCCAAGCATTAAGATAGGACGGTGCACAGATGACTTGTCTTTGTTCCACGATGTATAGGGTCTCTGCTGAAGAGCTCAAAGGCTGTGGCTAAAATCATCTGAAGCAGCGTTGTGTCTGGTAGAACTTTCTGTGTGATGAAAATATGCTATATCTGTACTGACCAATATGGCAGCCACTAGCCGTACATGGCCATAGGGCAACTGTAATGTAACTAGTGCCATTATAGAATTGAAGTTTTTATTTAATTAATTTAGATATAAATACCCACTAGTGGCTACCATATTGGACAGCACAGATCTGAAGGCTTGCTCACCCATATCTAGCAGTTGGTGCTAGGTGACAGTAGACTTTAGTTGGGGCTCTCTCCATTGGAACACCTTTCTGTGGCCGCTTCCTGTAGTCGGCTGTTCCTCCTCATATGGTGGCTGGGTTCCAAGGGCGAGCGTCTTAAGAGAAGGAACCAAG
Source organism: Homo sapiens (assembly GCF_000001405.40). Taxonomy (NCBI): domain Eukaryota; kingdom Metazoa; phylum Chordata; class Mammalia; order Primates; family Hominidae; genus Homo; species Homo sapiens. The sequence goes on along the minus strand of NC_000008.11, from coordinate 117,996,126 downwards.
GGAAGTAGCCTTGGAGCCAGCAATCTTGCTTCCACTGTATTATATTTATCCTGTCTGGATTCAAAGGCAAGGGCAGTAGACCCCATTTCTTGATGAGAAGTGGCAAGGTTCTGGGAGAGCACCAGGACAAGAAATATTGCTATAATCATATCTGGAAATAATCTGCCACAGTTGTTCCAGGTACCCAGTCCATTCGTTCATTTATTATTCATTCAGCAGACAGTGAATCCCTACTTGGTTACTTGGCATCAGGTTACTTAGAGAATGGCAGTTGATGATAATGAAGCTCATAAAAATGTGAAGGAGGTGGTTGGGAAGGCATGTATAGGTATCTCCAAAGCTGTATGGTATATGCCATGATAATACATGGTAAGCAGAGAATGGATGATTAGCTTAGACACATAGGGGCATCTTTGAAGAAGCAACATGAAAACTGGATCTTAAATTTGCAGTAAACTAAGGAGTTTGCCAGAGAGAGAGAAAGAGATGTCATTTAGGCAAAAAGTTAAGCCTACACAAAGTCAGAGAGGCAAAATGGTAAGCTTTTCCTGGGGATGCCTCAACTCTACATTGCTTGTTCAGAAAAGAGCACTGTACAGCTACCCTGCCAACCACGTCCTTCATTTTCAGTGTGTGTCCCCACCCACGCCATGCATATTGAAAACCAGCCGCATACCCAGCAGGTCACCAATCCAGAAAAATCCATAGCCCAAGGGGATATCATTGATGAATTACAGACAAGTTGCCTATCAGCAGGAATCCTGGATTGGATTAGAGAATCCTCATACCATGCTGGCTTTTCTAAAGAAGATCTGGCTCTCAGAGAGGAACAAAGATGCCTGAACACATGGTCTGCATTGAAAACAAATATTGATTGGCCCCTGCTGGGTTGCTGAGCTAGAGTGGGTTAGAATCTGATGTCAAAAAGTGCTGGGGTGTGGAAAACCATTAACTCTGCTGATTGACCAGAATAAAAGCTCCATCTATTTTTAAGATCTTAAAAAAATGAGGGTGAAATCTTTAAGTGGGCGGAAGGGCAGAATTGATGGTGAGAACCCATAGTTAGGCAAAAACACTCTCTCTCAGTTTGTCTTCGTGACTCTGGACACAGATCTTAGGCCATTTGTCCCTATCTTCTATATAGCATTTTTTGGACCTGTGACTATTTATTAATGCTGCACTAAATTTACTCAGTTGCAAATTAACGTCCAAATAGCTGATGTTCTGTGGTGTTCAGATTTAGGATTCAGACCGTCTGCTGGGTGTTCTTATTACACTGGTAGAAAAATGCTCTGGCTGTATCTGATTGCATCCGACAGTTAGATATATTTCTGTCACTGCCAGATGTACAAGATACTGTAAAAGGAGCATTTTCTCTAGCAAATTAGACTTGCTAGCTCCATGGATCTAGATTGACTAAAACAGCTTGTTGCCCCAGGGATGTAGCTGGATTTGGCTTGGTCATTTCTTTTAAATATAGGACTTCAGAAACCTGATCTAGAGTCCTTTTCTTTTGGAGACAGTATCTTGCTCTGTTGCCCAGGCTGGGGTCTAGTGGCATGATCATGGCTCATTGCAGTCTCAACCTCCCAGGCTCAAGTGATCCTCCTGCCTCACTCTCCCTAGTAGCTGGGACTACAGACGTGTATCACCATGACTGGCTAATTTTTGTATTTTTTATAGAGATGGGCTTTGCCATGTTGCTCAGGCTGTTCTCAAACTCCTAGACTCAAGTGATCCATCTGGCTCAGCCTCCCAAAGTGCTGGGATTACAGGTGTGAGCAACTGTGCCCAGCTGATCCAAGTCCTTTTAATGAAGATTTTCCAAATCTGCTGCCTTTACTTTTAAACCTGAGATGTGTTTGTCTTTCTAGAGTAGCCCTCCCAATAGAACTTCTTATGATGATGACGTATTCTAAATGTACGTGGTAAGCATTAGCCACATGTAGATATTAAGTACTTGAAATGTGGCTTGGGCAAATGGGGAGCTGTTTAAAATTCAATTAAATTTAAATTTAAATAGCCATATGTGGCTAGTGGCTGTGTCATTGGGCAGCACAGTTCTAGCATCCGCTTTTAGAGATGGTATTTGCTTAGAGAAGAGTAAGAACTTTGCTAGCTCTGTAACTTTTTAGCAGTATCTTAATTTGAGTCATCTCTTTCCTCTAACAACAATCTAGGAAAAGAAGCCATTGGCCATTGGGGATGCCATTGGCCAACTAAGGGCTGGGATGGGGACTTGAGCAAGGGCCACTAGGCTGGCCATAAAACCTGTCACTTTGGCTTCTTTACTCATTTTCCTGAAGTATTCTCCGCAAGATAACCAGGACATTTTTAGTAGGTTCCATAGCCTAATCAAAGGTGTTTGGGAAGGCCTGGTTAATTACAGTTGTACGGGTTTCCTTCCAGAAGATTTTCTCAGCCTTAACTATACTCATGGATTGTGAGTCTCCAGATGAGGCTGTGGTATCACTGCCAAACATATTTGATATGAACAGAACCCCTTTTCTCTTTCTGGTGTTGTTCTGTGTAATAATATGCTTTGGGAAATGTTGGTTTAAGCAATGAGACTTCCTGCTACAATAGATGATAAACTTAAGGCATATTATAGGCAATTAACATATCCCTTTTCTGGACTTTGGTGGAATTTGAAATCTGCATTTATAGTTTGACTCTGTTCATCCTTCACTGTGTTTGCATTTTTAGTTAACTTTTCAAGTACATAAATATCCAGGCTGGCCTGGCTGTATCCTGCCGGGCCAGAGACTTGTGTCAAGTTTAGTTCTTATAGTTGGAGAAATGCTAGTGTTTCCTCCATCAGTAATTTTTTTATCTGTTGATCCCCATGCAGCTGTGAGTATGAATGCATACATATTTCTCCTTTTTTTTTAAAACTTGATCAGCCAGCAGGAGATGAAATAGAGCAGATCACAGCTCCCTGTTCATTTAATCATATGAGTTACTAAAGGAAGGAAAAAGAAAGAAATGTAAAAATGGAGAAATGTCTCCTCCCCTTTCTTTTTCTCTCTCTTTCTTTTTAAAAATTGTTCAACAAGTTATCTGCAGAAAACATCTGCCTCTCAAAGAATGAATGTAATTTGGGTTCTGAACTCATATGTCCCTCTGGTTGGAAGGAAGAGTTTTTTGCACATGAAGTGAAATCAGCTAAGATGCTGTCTGTGAAGCTGAAATATTGAGATTTATAAGATGACAGTAAAGTAGTGAAAAGTGGTGTTTTTCTGCTTGACACTGTCACCACTGTGGAATAAGAATTCCGGGAAGAAGAGACTTAGATACAGGGTCTACAGCTGTCTGTTCCCATGCCACGGAAGGTTCTTCCAGCCACCTTGTTATGGCGATCCTCCTGGCAGGGAATGAGAGCCATCTCCACTGCCTCCCTTTGAGTGGTTATCTGGCTTGTGTTGCTTGTCTTGTCGGGAGACCAAGGGCCTTGCAAAGTAGGTGCCTGTGAAGAGTGTCAGCTGAGGCCCTGCAGGGAGCTGGAAGCTTGGAAGGCCTGGGAGAAAATGCCTGGCTAATGTATGAGGCCTGGAAGACTCTTCTTTGTTAAGAAGATTCATGGGTCTCTGAGGAGTGGAGTAATCAGGACTAGGAGAAGATGTTGGGCCAAGCCTTCGTATCCTATATCCATCTGCTTGAACATTTTTTTTTTTTTTTTTTTTTTTTTAGCTAGTTGAAAGGAGGAGGTCCCGTTGAGGCTTATTTGAACAAATATTTGCTCTCCCTAATTATATACCCAGAGCTGCTCTCCTGAATGTTTAATGCAAACCTTAATATTTACAATAGCATAAGGAAGAGTTTATAATGTGTTTGGGAGGCTTCCGAAGTTGGGGCAGTAATTCTTCTTTGCACTTATGTAATACTTTTCTTCCTAAGAGACCTGAGCCATGTTTACCTTAGCCACTGTTCACATTGAGATGAAGTGAAGTGAGGGAGGGAGATGAAAACTCCAGAGAAAGGAGGAGCCCCTGTGGGCAGCTGCCAACATGTTTTATAGGTGAGACACTTGTCTTTGCCAAAAGTTGTGTGCCAGCCACAAACTTTTCTTTCTGGTCAGGAATAACATGTAAGCCTGTGCTTACAATTGCCTTCTGATATGGACGTGGAGAGTGTCACAGAGGTGCCATGCTGGGTTTTTGACCCTGATGGTAGTAGACTTCTTGCTCAGTGCCCTGCTGTATGACAAGCCTGACCCATTCCCTTATTAGACTCAAGATTTAGTGAGTCTTAAAAAGATATTTGGAGGCTAGGTGTGGTGGCTCATGCCAGTAATCCCAGCACTTTGGGAGGCCGAGGAGGGTGGATCACTTGAGGTCAGGAGTTCAAGACCAGCCTGGCCAACATGGTGAAACGCTGTGTCCACTAAAAATACAAAAATTAGTTGGGTGTGGTGGTATGTGCCTGTAATCCCAACTACTCAGGAGGCTGAGGCCGGAGAATCACTTGAGCCCGGGAGGTGGAGGTTGCAGTGAGCTGAGATCATGCCACTGCGCTCCAGCCTAGGTGACAGAGTCTTACTCCATCTCAAAAAATAAAAATAAAATAAAAAAAGGAAAATAACTCCAGTAGGGTAGTTGCCAAGTTCAAAAGGCCAAAGAAGAGACTCAGAACCAGCAAAAGATACATGGGATTTTATTAAGGGCTTAATTCAGGGGAGAGGGTCCAGTGGTGGTAGGCTGGACACGAGAACCACCTTATGTACAGAAATGGTCCAGTGGCAATGAGCCGGACAAAGTAACCACTGGCTCAGTGGCAGCAAGCTGGTCGGGAAAACCACAACTGCTTGCAGACATCATGCACTTTATATGGCATTTCACAAATATAAAATTTAGCTGGGCGTGGTGGCATGCACCTGTAGTCCCAGCTACTTGGGAGGCTGAGACACAAGAATTGCTTGAACCTGGGATGTGGAGGTTGCAGTGAGCCAAGATTGCGCCACTGTACTCCATCTAGTCTGGGTGACAGAGCGAGGGTCCATCTAAAAAAAAAAAAAAGACATCGAAGTCTGGAGAACTGAGTTTGAAACCTTCTTCCATTCCGTGTATGGACCTTGGGAAGGCTGTTAAGCCTCCTGGTGCCTTGTTTTTCTCATCTGTAAACAGGCATAATGAACACCATTTGCACATGGTTGGTACGAAGATTAGAAAGAGTGCAAGTCTAGTACCTGGCTGCATAGGCTCTTGTGTTGGAGCAGTGGTGATTATTAGTTCTGTCATCACCTGTAGAGCCTGTTGACACTTGAAGGCCACCTTAATTTTGCAGTTTGCATGTAAGGGTCCTCTGTAGTGATTTCCAGAGTTTTTCCTCCATGCACGGTGCCTAGAACGATGCAAACTGGGCAGTTACTTGGGGTTTGCATCTTTCCACAAAACAAAAGATGAAAAAGAGAGATCCTGCCAAATGCAAGCAAGATGAGGAAGCATGTGCCAATGCCCAAGACTTCAAGGAAGTCAGGTTGTGGGCAGTGTTTATGCAAGTGGGAACTGCATTCCCCAGCACTGGATCTGTGGGTCTTACTCTTAGGCTTGCCGGCCTTAGCATTATGGCAGCAGCCACTGGAGAGGCACAAGTGGTTCCTGAGCATTTTGCTGTCAGGGAAGGCATAGGTTCAGGTGAATATGTGTAAGCACTCATCTTCTAGGATGCTGGAATGTGTCGAGATATCGCTTCAGCTGAGTTGGCTTTTCCTTCTTCTCCAACTTTTTTTGTGAAATCTGGTTCTATAGATGCTGTGCCCAGCTGTCAGATTGTCTCAGTTCTCTGGAATTAGTTTAAAATGAAAGTTTTTCCTTGTCTGCTATAGACAGTTCTACAAACAGAATTACTCTCCTTTTCTTAATTGCTTCTGTCTTCAAGGGCAGGAAGAGATAACTTTCTCTATAGGAAGAGAGGGAGACCCAGTCTGGGTTCTTTTCTTCTTTTCTCTTTTTTTTTAGGCGGAGTCTCGCTCTGTCGCCTAGGCTGGAGTGCAGTGGTGCAATCTCTGCTCATAACAGCCTCTGCCTCCTGGGCTCAAGTGATTCTCGTGCCTCAGCCTCCCGAGTAGCTGGGATTACAGGCTCATACCACCACACCCAGCTAATATTTTGTATTTTTAGTAGACCCAGTGTTTCACCATGTTGGCCAGGCTGGTATCAAACTCTTGGCCTCTCAAAGTGCTGGAATTATAGGCGTGAGCCACTGTGCCCGCCTCCAGTCTGGGTTCTAAGGGATCATTTGCTTTTTCCCATTTTCCACATAAGCAAGTGCATTTGTTTTTTTGGCATAGTTGCTGTCACATGACCGTGTAGGTGAGAAAGCAGTGGGGCTCTTCTGGCAGGGCATGGCACCTGTTGTCCTTAGGCATGGACAGCAAATGTGAGTAGCTAACATCTCGCCCAGATGGATCTCTTTTGTATAAATGTTGATGCTGAAAACTGACTTCCTGTTCTGAACTTTTTTCTTTTGAGTGGCTGAGTGGGTGACTGTCCTAAGATACCAGTATGACTTGGCCGTTTGCAAAGGATTGCTCAACAGGGCTTTCCCCAAGTTGTTCTTCCCCATGAGAGGAACAGTTAGCAAACAGAATGGACTTTGGAGTTGGTCAGTTTAAAAGAGCTATTGAGTACTGCAGGCTCCATTATGAGGTCTGGGGCCACAGGAATGAACTGAACACTTAAGGGTCTTTGTTCTCAAGGAGCGTGTAATTGAGTGGAGGCAGACAGACAAAAAACATGGAAGCAGAAATAAACACAAATAGTGGGGGGCAGGGGCAGTGGAGTGGAAGCAAGGAGACCCCTTCGCTGGCTTTTGATGTACTCCAGACCATAGTAATGTGGCTTAGCCGACGCAGGAGCCAGGTGAGGCAGTGGGATGGGGGTGGGGGGAGGAATTCCTTTTGTATTTTAGAGCTAGAGCCAATGGGACTTGCTAGGTTTTGCCTCTGCTATGGCTTAGGTATGTTACTTAACTTCTCTTTAAAACCTTCATTTGTTTTCCTCTGAAAAAGGGAGATATTTCACAGAGTTGTGGTTAAAATAAAATAGTTTTTTTTTTTTTTTTTTTGAGAGGAGGGGTCTAGCTGTGTGGCCCAGGCTGGTCTCAAACTCCTGGCCCCATTGATCCTCCTGCCTCAGCTTCCTGAGTAGCTGGGATGACAGGCATCAGCCACTGCACCTGTCAGATTTTTTATTTTTAGTTGTTATTTAAGTAGTTATAAAAGAATGAGCACCTCAGACTGGATTTTAGAGGAGAGCCCCCTAGACTGTCTCTGTGTGGCCACTTGTCCAATTCTGGGTTGGACCGGCAGGAGCCTGTGCTCATCTGTCCACAGGGACCACCTCAGTGTTTGGCATTACCAGGCAGCGGTTGCGTCCATTGCCTCTACTATCCCCTTCTTCGCATTGGAGTAGACTTCCCTGGGGGCAGCATGGGAAGAGGTTCCTGCTGCACCTTGCAGGCCTCTCTTGACATTGGGGTTGGGAGGGTGCTGGAGGTGGAGGGAGGTGGGAAGCTCAGGCCTGCACTGTTTTCCTCTCTGCCCGGCCGATCCTGACCCCTCTCTGTTCCTAGCAGCTACCACTGTCTTTGCTGATGCTGTGGTTACCTTTACAGCAGTGGTTCTCAAAGTGTGGTCTGAGCGTCTTTTGCATCAGAATCACCTGAGATAATTATTAAAACTGCAGGCTCTGGGCCTTACTCTAGACCTACTCAGAATCACTTGGACTGGGCCCAGGAATCTACACTTTGTAATGACCTCCCTAATTTAGTGAGCCTTGTGTGCTCTAAATTTTGAGAATCTCTTATTTAGAAAATTTGATTTTCCTTTTGGAGTAATAATAACAAGTAATATTTGTTAGAGGTTAATTATGTGATGCTACTCAGTGTTTTATATGCAATAACCGAATTATTCCTCAAAAATAACAGTGTGAAAGAGAAACTAATATTAGCCTTGTTTGGCCAGTGGGAAAATTAAGGCAAAGAGTATTTGCTCTAATGTTGATTGAAGAGCCAATATGTATGTATGTATTTATTTATTTGTGACAGGATCTCACTCTGTTGCTCAGGCTGGAGTGCAATGGCACCATTACGGCTCACCACAGCCTCAACTTTCCAGGCTCAGGTGATCCTCCCACTTCAGTCTCCTGAGTAGCTGGAACTACAGGCACCTGCCACCATGCTCAGCTAATTTTGGTATTTTTTGTAGAGACGAGATTTTGCTATGTTGCCCAGGCTGGTCTCAAACTCCTGGGTCCAAGCGATCCTTCCGCCTAGGCCTCTCAAAGTTCTAGGATTATAGGCATGAGCCACAGCACCTGACCAACAGCCAGTATTTAAACCCACATCCCCAGCCGTATCCTTCACCTACTCTCTCCCAGCCTCCCTTATGTGGTGATATTACATGAATGAGTCTTCTTAATTTAAACTGACTACTGGATGGCTTCCTGTTATGTTAAGAGGTAGCAACTTAAACATAGAGCATTTTAAAATTGAGCTTTAACGTACATCAGAGCCTAAGATTTGACTCTGATTTTGATACCCTGAGTAAACTTAAGCACTTTTCTCCTTCATTCACTTTGGTAAATGAGCTGTGCAGCCATGCTCTTCTCGTAAACTTTTACCTGCTGTGCTAGGCTGTGAGCCACGAAGTGCCTGCACTGCCCTGTGCCAGTGTCTGGAACATTCTCCAAGTAATTGGCCAGTGCCTGCGCAGATAGAATGCAGGTAGAATGCCAGTTCTCCCCAACCCTTGCCATTGATCTGCATCTTGGGAGGCTGTGCAAGGAGTTGGAGGATCTGGGGTTTTCCCAGTGTCTGGTCACTGAAAGAAATTTTTTCTTTTTAGTGACTCCAGGTTAGTGTCTGAGAAAAGTTGGCCATCAAAACAGGACCAGCCCGAGCAGGTTTGAAGATAAAAATCAATCATTCCGTTCATAGTACTTTCTTATTTCATGTTCCTTTGCTTCCAACTCCCATAAGGAATTTGCTAAAGATACAACCTCAGAGATAGCTTAAGGTGGAGAGAAATTTTCGACCATAAGTTCCTTGGAGAATACGAATTCAAGTAGGGTGAGTGGGAAGAGGTTTCTACCAACATTTTCTCCTTGCATCTCAGGTCCTGAATCTTCCAAAAAGTGCTGCTTGTGCCCTACACTGGCTCAAATTTGCATTTCTGAAACTAGTTTGGTTTGCATTAATTTCACTGGAGTTGTGATCACATTGAAAATGCAAAGCCTAATTGTTAATTAAGAAAAGTCATTTTGAGATGTGATGGTGTTTTATACTCAACATGAGCAGGTTCTATTTGGTTGTGGCAACCTTAAGATTTATGACTGACTGTCCTATCAACACTTGGCAAATGTTTCCATGCTATGGGGATGCATTTTACAGGCTGTTAAATAAGAACCCACGAAGTGGTCCGGTATGTTTTTAAAAAATGAGCCTAGCACCAATGTATAGCTTTCTCTAGAATTTAAATCTCATTGTTAATTTGAAGTTCCTCTCTTTATTGAAAGCTGGGTATTGAATACACCTACTGGGAGATGTGGCCACATAGAGATAGTCTGGATTAATGGGCTTTGGTCTTATTTTTTAGACCTAAATTTATTCTTCATTAAAAGAAGAGTAAAATTCCAGGTGCGGTGGCTCACGCCTGTAATCCCAGCACTTTGGGAGCCTGAGGCGGGTGGATCACTCAAGATTAGGAGTTTGAGAACAACTCCTCAGTTGGTCAACATGTCAAAACCCCTCTCTGCTAAAAGTACAAAAACTTAGCCAGGCGTGGTGGTGCATGCCTGTAATCCCAGCTACTCGGGAGGCTGAGGCAGGAGAATCGCTTGAACCCAGGAGGCAGAGGTTGCAGTGAGCTGAAATCACACCACTGCACTCCAGCCTGGGCGACAGAGCGAGACTTCGTCTCAAAAAAAAAAAAAAAAAAAAGAAAAGAATAGTTAAGCAAGGTGCTTTTTATTTTCACTTGGAAAGTTTCTTTATATTTTCACTCAGAATACTTAGGGTTACATACAGTAATAAAATTTTTAGTAACTCTATTAAAGGAATTGCCTAACACTCAGGAGTCACCGCTTTCCTTAGTAAAAAAAAGTCAAGAATACACTAGGGTTTATGTAAAACAAGAAATCTCCAGTCCAAAATCAGTGAAATAAGAATACAGCATCAAATTATATTATTGAAGTTGAAGAACAGTGCACAGGGAGAAAACAAAGTGATAACTTAATTCAATGCTATAGAAAAGTGATTTGTGAGTCACTTTAACATTTCAGATTTGTTTAAACCATAAAAGTGATAAATTAGCCAAAGAGCTAACAATTGATATTATCTTAAGTTCACATAAATTTTGATTTAACTGAAGCAAATGAAATCAATGTAGTTACTCCCTTCCGATTGCTTCATCTTTGTACAGTTTATAAAGCTAAGAATAAGTAGCTCTAATGAACAGTTTTTTTTTTAAGCTTTTTTGTTGAGGTTTCTCTAATATGTGTCTTTTAGTAATCTCTTCATTTTTTTCCTCCCAGTTCTTCATCTCTTGGGCTCAGCATCTCCTTCTACTTAGAGCACCCTGAACATGTAGACACAGTGGTAATGCACCTTTCCTTGTGGCTATTTTGCCACACTAGGAACTCTTTACATTCCAGGGGTCCCATTCCAGAGATCCCAATATGCAGATATTCTACTGTCTATGCTCAGTGCTGTGAAGTTCTCTGTTAGGGACCGAACTACAAGGCATTAACAGGCAGGATTGGTGCCCGCTAGAGGTTTTCTCTCTGAAATCATCAGGGAAAACAAACAAACTCAAAGGGCAAATGTGTGCATAGCAAAAGGGAAGTCGTGGAAAGAGGTCTGTGGCTTGTGCCTTTGAGAGCTGGCAGAATGAGTGAGCAGCACAGGCTTGGTGAGTGTTCCAAATTTATTCAGAGATCCCTCAGATTTGGTTTGGTATGTATGGGCTCTTTTTATTACTTCCTTTGTTAGCGGTTCGGTGTTCAAAAGTTTCAAAGAGTCGCCACAGAGTTTCTTCATCATTCTTGGGGAGCCAGGCAGGTGGGCAACTCTTTCTCTTAAGCAGCCATCTGAAAGACCTCTTAAGCAGCCATCTGAAAGACCTTACCTCAGGATTACACTTGGAGAGTCAGAGCTGTGAGATGCCTGCCCGTCCGTAGCGTTCCTGACTGTGTTACAAGTCTGGTAGCCTGTCTGCACCTGGTTCCAAGCTTTTCGGGTTGTTGATCATTTTTGAGGTGGTGGAAACTGTTAATGTTTCCTCCTCATTTTGAGTTCGGGAGAGATTTGCCCAGCCAACTTCTAATCAGAGACTCTTTCAAATCCTGTCCAGTCTCTCTCCCTCCACTCCTTCCTCTAGTTATTCTCCATCAGGCCTTCAGAATGTGCTTTTTGGTGTGTCCAGTCAGATCATGGCACTCGGCTTCCTGTCTACACAAGGAAAAAATCCACATCATGTTCACCAGATGCTTGTTCAACCCGCTTCAGCCCCCCAGGTTTCCTGCTGCCTTCCCATCCTCTCCCAACACTCTGGCCTCAGGGCTTTTGTCTGGACCACTCTTCCCAAGGTATCTTCCCCTTTTGCTCAAAGTCAGTCATGAGGGAGGCGTTCCTTAATTGCCACATCTCTTTTCTTTTCTTTTCTTTGTTTTTTTTTTTTGTTTTGTTTTGTTTTGTTTTTGAGACGGAGTTTCACTCTATCACCCAGGCTGGAGTGCAGTGGCATGATTGCGGCTCACTTCAGCCTCCACCTCACCCTGCACCCCAGGTTCAAGCGATTCTCCTGCCTCAGCCTCCCAAGTAGCTGGGATTATAGGCACCCACTACCACACCCAGCTAATTTTTGTATTTTTAGTAAAGACAGGGTTTTGCCATATTCGCCAGGCTGGTCTGGAGCTTCTGACCTCAGGTCATCCACCTGCCTCAGTCTCCCAAAGTGCTGGGATGACAGGTGTGAGCCACTGTGCTCGGCCAGTTGCCACATCTCTAGCCCACATTGCCACTGGGTTGTCATTTGTCTTTCCCTGTAGCATGTGGGCTTCCTGAAAGTAGGATAGTTCTCTGTCTTGTTAATCTATCTAGCTTTAGCACCCAGAACAGTGCCTTGCATATTGTGGGGGCTCAGTCAATATTTGTTGCATCGTAAATAGTGGGTTTGTGAGTTTTCCATTTCTCAACTACAACTCTCTGAAGATTCCAATAGGAGGGAGAAACAGGGTAGTCAGAGAGATAATAAACAAAATCAGCCAACGTTGATAAATTCAGAGTATGGAGGACCAGGTAGGATGTGTCATCATACCTAAGAACGCTGCCTCTGCTTAAAAATTATTGTTAGCTCTAGAAACAATGACATATCTATTTGTGTAGCCCTTTGCAGTAAACACATATACATTAATTCATTAGATTCCCCTAAAAGATTCTATTAAAATGGTGTTTAACTTTTTAGTGCTGATAATGTAAGATCTTCTTTGTAGGATTGCCTCTATTTTGTTGTTGTTGTTGAAGGCCAGGGAGGGTATTGTAAGTGTTGGATGATGTTTAGAACATACCTGTGACATTGGGGCTGTTACTACTGAGCGTCCATGTTGCCATTTGGATTTTCTCTCTTTTTTTAAAAATATTATTTAAGAAAAGATATCTGTCTGTCTCCCAGGCTGGAGTGCAGTGGTGTGAACACTGCTCACTGTAGCGCCAACCTCCTGGGCTCAAGCAATCTTCTCACCTCAGCCTCTTGAGTAGGTGGGACCACAGACACATGCCACCACACCCATCTAACTTTAATATTTTTTATAAAGGCAGGATCTCACCACGTTGCCCAGGCTGGTCTCAAACTCCTGGACTCGAACAATCCTCCCACCTCAGCCTCCTAAAGTGTTGGAATTACAGGTGTGAGTCACAATGCCTGGTCTCATAGTTTTTATTCTGATAGTTTATGCTGTTATTCATGACTCCTTCTTCTAACCTTCCCTGGCTGGTGTTACTTATGTAGAAAAGGAAGACAGGTCTTGTTAGTTGCCTTCAGGAAGACTAAAAATCTTGTTCGGGAGAGAGAAACCATGAAATGAAACTAATTTATTGGCCTTGAAGAAGTGTCAACAACATTTAAGTCAAGAGCAGGAGAATGGTGCTGGGGAACAAATTTAAATTGGTTTTTTATCTTGTAAAAAATATTAATTTTGAATAATGGGAAGGAATGGTAGGCAGAACTCTATAGTCCCTAAGATTTTCATATCATGGTATATTTACATCTGTTTATCTAAACTAACATTAATGTAGGTGCTGCTCTGAAAATATTTTTGCAAATATAATTAAAGCCCTAGCCAGGCATGGTGGCTCACGCCTGTAATCCCAGCACTTTGGGAGGCTGAGTTGAGCAGATCACTTGAGGTCAGGAGTTCAAGACCTGGCCAACATGGTGAAACCCCGTCTCCACCAAAAATATTTTTAAAAAATTAACTGGGTGTGGTGGCGCACCCCTGTAATCTCAGGTACTCGGGAGGCTGAGGCAGGAGAATCACTTGAACCCAGGAGGCAGGGGCTGCAGTGAGCCGAGATTGTGCCACTGCACTCCAGCCTGGGTGACACAGCAAGACTCCGTCTCAAAAAAAAAAGTAATAATAATTAAAGCCCTAAATAGTTGGCCTTAAAATAGGGAGATTATCTTAGGTGGAACTACCATAATCTGGTGAGCCCTTAAAAGGGGCTAGACACTTTTTTTCCAGCTAAAGAGTCAGTCCATGAGGAAGCATCTTCTTTGATGGCTTTGACGATTGGGGGAAGGGAGCGTAGGCAAGGACGCAAGTGTCCTGTGGTAGCTGTGAGTGACCCTGACTGATGGGCAGGAAGGAAACAGATATGTCAGTCTTACACCCGCAAGGAACTGAATTCTGCCACAAACGTGTGCTCCTAAGAAGACCTGGGGCTCTAGACAAGGACGTGGCCGACTGACACCTTGTGAGACACTGAGCAGAGAAAGCAGCCACACTATGTCCCCAGACTTGTGACCTACAGAACTGTGAGCTAAAACATGGGTGTTGTTTTAAGTTGCTGTGTTTATGGGAATTTATTACAGCAGCAATAGAAAACTAATCATTGAGGGAAATCTCATTCTGACAAAATCTGGAAAAAAAATCTAAACTGTAAAAAATGAAATTTAGTTTAGTTTCTGAAAGAAAGTACTTTTTCCCTCCCTCCCTCCTTCTCTCCCTCCTTTCTTTCTTTCTGCCTGCCTTTTTTTTCAGTCTTGCTCTGACACCCAGGCTGAAGTGCTGTGGTGTGATCTCAGCCCACCGCAACCTCCGCCTCCCAGATTCAAGTGATTCTCGTGCCTCAGCCTTCTGAGTAGCTGGGATTATAGGTGCCTGCCTGCCTGCCACCAAGCCTGGCTAATTTTTTTTTTTTTAGTAGAACTGGGGTTTCGCCATGTTGGCCAGGCTGGTCTTGAACTCCTGACCTCAAGTGATCTGCCTGCCTTGGCCTCCCAAAGAGGGAGGGATCTCCCATGGGATTACAGCCATGAGCCACCATGCCCAGCAGAAAGTACTTTTTCAAGAACAAATGACCAACATACATCACCAATGGGATCAAGCTCCATGCTGCTTGCCTTGCCCCTTTGAGACCTGGTTAAATGAATAGATAAGAAGTGTTGTAATTAGTAGATCAAGTATTTATAAATTAGTGGGTAGCTCCAAAGTACTAGAATAGACCTAAAATAGTTCTTGCCAAATATTTATCTATTCTTGGAACAACCTTACTCATGCATTATAATTTGCTTAGCAATCCTTTGTTCATAGGCAGTGCAAAGATTAGTTACAGCCCTCCTACTGTCTGAATTACTGTACTTTCTGAATTAGTAGAGTTGGCATTGATAATCTTAAAAATATAAACAGTAAATAAAGCATTTAAAACCCCCCATGCTGCTGACTTCATATAAAGAGATAGTTGTTTTTGAATATTTTGATGTCCGTACACATTTTTCTACAGAGGCAGTATTTAAATGGGTTTGTATAAATAAGTTCTCTTTCTTGAAGCTTGTGCAAAGCATCTTTACACAAGAAGCTTATAAGCACAGTCAATAAATTCAAGAAAATGGCCCTTTTGAAAGGAAGCCACTGATGCATCTGTGGGCTGACTTCTGCATGAATGACAGCGCAGTAATAAGAAAGCAGACAACGGCTTCCTCCGCCACCACTGCCCTGCCGTGCTCACGCTGCATGGGGGTGCCCTCGCAGCGGGAGTGTGTGTTTGTCCTGGTGGCCGGGGACTGCGGCTTGGCCTTTTTGTTTACAAGAGAGAGGACAGCAGCCTCTGCCCTCCAGCTGCTGTGAAAACAGTGTTGGAAAACCAGAGCGAAGTTTCCACTGAAGAACTCACACTGGAAAAAAAAAAAAAAAAAAAAAAAAAAAAAAAAACCACCAACACCCGAACAAACAAACCTTCCCTCATAAAAGACCATCTGGGTTAAAGTACAGACCACTGGGTCAGAACCCAGATGGTAATGAGAATAGTTGTTCTTCTGCAAACTTTCCGAGTGGGATTTCCATATATTAAGTTGGAAGAGAGCCCAACGTTGAAAAACAGGAAACTAACTGAAGGGCTGTTAGTGTAGTTTGTAAGGAAGATTTTAGCAGTGGGATTAATTGTGTATGTTGGATAAAGGATCCCCATCACTGGAGGTCTCCTTCCAAGTGAAATGGGTGCTCCTGCTGATTTGAATTGGGAGGTGACAGTGGCGATGGCAGATGGGTATGGATTAGAGCAATATTTTGGAGGAAGTCTCAGCTGGGGTTGGGGATAGATTGCATCCTGAGGGGTGCAAAAGGGGAAAAGAGAGGGGGAAGGACGAGGATGACTCTCAGGTCATTTCTTTCCTCTCTTATCCTTTGTTCTTTTCTCATATTATCACTCAGGCAAAATGGGAATGGGCATGTGAGATGCTTTGATTAGTCAGTGCCAGCATCCAGCAATGTGGAATTCTCTGTGGGGCATCTTGAAGCCTCTGGGTGTTGATGTGGAGTGCTGACCCTCTCTGAATTAGTAACACACTTCTAGCTATCTTAGACAGGAAACCACAGTCATTACACCATGGAGATCTCTTCATTATAGCTTTGCTACCTTGTCCATGGTCACATTAATGACTCCTGTCCCAGTTCATCATTGATAACACCTACAGTAACCCATGGTGCTCTGGGAGAAATATTGGGGGAGCAGACATATGAACAAAACAATTTGTTTAAGTGGTAATTTATTTTCTAGCTTTTCTCTGTCACTCACTAAAGGTACAATGGTCCAAATAAATGCTGTCTTGTATGGATATTTCCCCTGGCATTCTGTTCTATTGCAGTGCTTTGGAAAGACGAAGAGTCATTCTACCCATTCAAGGGTAGAGATTAGGGGCCAAAATGTAGAACATTTTGTTGTGGAGATTACGCATCTAGGATAAATGGTGTTTTGCCCGGTCTAGTTACTAAAATGTGGAGGGGAACTGACTTTTTCATGTTCGTGTTACCCTTTTCTTTTGTAACTGTCTACCATGATACTCCTGGTTGCTCCACTGTCTAGATTTTTTTTTTTTCATTTTTGATGTTTCGTTTTGAGTTAGGTATCTGAGTTCCAGAACTTTTGCTACTTGATCACCCTCTGCCAAACAATCATTAAAATATGCTCCTGTAATCAGTAATGAAGACAGACATAAGTAATGGATAAGGATCTTTTTTTGTTTTGTTTTTTTGTTTGTTTGTTTGTTTGTTTGTTTTTGAGACAGAGTCTTGCTCTGTCGCCGAGGCTGGAGTGCAATGGTGCAATCTCGGCTCAGTGCAACCTCTGCCTCCTGGGTTCAAGCAATTCTTCTGCCTCAGCCTCCCGAGTAGCTGGGACTACAGGTGCACCCCCCCAGTGCCCGGCCAATTTTTGTGTTTTTAGTAGAGATGGGATTTCACCATATTGGCCAGGCTGGTCTCAAACTCCTGACCTCATGATCTGTCTGCCTCGGCCTCTTGAAGTGCTAGGATTACAGGCATGAGCCACCGTGCCTGGCCGAGCATTTGCTTTTTAACTCAACATAGTAACATCTTCTTCTTGGGGCCATGGCCTGGAAACTGATGGTGGGACAGGCATGTCACTTGGAGTCATTTCTAGGGGTCCACTCTGAGGTCTGCTGGTTTCCAGCTCTGGCCTTCTGTTTCTTCATGTTTAACATAATAACAATACCCATCCTACCTCCATTACAAGGTCAGAGGGAAAATTTAACATGAGTTGGCATTATCAGTGTGGTACAGCACACTGTCGCCACAGGTAGTTGTTAACTTTATTTCTGGACTATTCTGAGAGTGAACGGGGATACCCCAAACCAAAGCTAGCCTTTGTGGAGTCTATGTTCTGGTGATAATCACTGCTTTCAAACAAGTACCATTAGGTCAAAACTAAAAGCGTGAGTCACGCAGCTGTGATACATTTGTAAAGAAACCTTTCTGGGCTTTCCTGGGAATTTTTAGTTTATTATTCCTATATAGGTCATCCAGAGAAGGACATCTCTTCCCTACTCCACCTCATAATCCTCAAACAGAAATATGACCCAGTCTTTTTTTTTTCATTAATTTAGATAAGTTATGAATTTTAGGGAGAAAAGTTCAGATAAGAAGTACTTTTACATAGTTGAATGTGACCTCTGGATTCCAAAGAGATGATGTGCTTACTGGCTGAAGAAAGCCTGCAGATGGAGGATGGGGAGAAAGTCATGAACTTATTACTCAGTTTCTATTTTGTAACCACTTGGAATAAATATTTGTGTAAAATATGAGCGTAACAATGTGGTTTTAGTTAAAGCCAGAATGTGGTTGTTCAGAAATAACTGAGCAAAAGTTTGCCAGACATTCACATTTCACTGGGCACCCTTTATTGCTGTATACTAATTCTGGCCACCTTACCCAGGAAGCAGGGTATATGACATTTCCATTTATTGCATGCCACCTACACCTTTCATCAGCAAAGGGACACCTGTACATCCTGGGGACAGAGCAGATAGAAGACATGCATTCCATTGCCTTCTTTCAAATAGATACTTTTCAAAAGATTTTAGACCCTGAGTTAAGACAACCTCACTCTTAATTATTGTGGTCAGGAATTCTTTTCTTTGAAATGAAACCTGCATTAGCACTGTGTGTTTCCTTATTTACATTTTTGTTAAATTTCTGGACAATACGTAGCTCCCCTTAGGGACTTTCTAAGTTTGGTGGAGAAAGAAACCCTAGTGGCTAACTTCACTGTTTAGTCCTTAAATTTAAATTCTTTATTATGTACCCACCAGGCCACTGGTCATGGGTAGTGGGTATGGAGACATTTATGTGGATCTCACTCTGTCTCATCTGACCCTCCATGGATTAGATAGCCAGGCCAGGCA
Source organism: Homo sapiens (assembly GCF_000001405.40). Classification (NCBI taxonomy): domain Eukaryota; kingdom Metazoa; phylum Chordata; class Mammalia; order Primates; family Hominidae; genus Homo; species Homo sapiens. Next base: position 117,977,711 of record NC_000008.11, on the reverse strand, counting down.
ATGATTAGGAGGACCCCACAACCCAACTGAGGGACACCCCAGCATTTTCTTTCATGCAAGGATTAATTTGCCCTGTCTAGTGTCTATATTATTCTCCCCTTTTATGTATGTTCTTTGTATCCAGCTGACATATTTAAAATTGCTTGTGGTCTACTGTGAGCCCCACATCATCTTTACCTCTAAAATCATTAACTCATTCTAACTTCATTTCACATCTGACAACTTCTTTTCCTACTAACACTTTATTTTCCTACTTTGTGATATACCTGATGTCTCTGCTGAGTGGGCCCTTGGATATATGGTCTTTTTTTTTTTTTTTTATTTTGAGACAGAGTCTTGCTCTATTGCCCAGGCTGGTATGCAGTGGCACAATCACGGCTCGCTGTAGCCTCCGCGTCCTGGGTTCAAGCGATTCTCCTGCCTCAGCCTCCCAAGTAGCTGGGATTACAGGCATCCGCCACCACGCTCAGCTAATTTTTCTATTTTTAGTAGAGACAGGGTTTCACCATGTTAGCCAGGCTGGTCTCAAACTCCTGACCTCAGGTGATCCACCCACCTCGGCCTCCCAAAGTGCTGGGATTATAGGTGCAAGCTATCATGCCCGGCCAGATATATGGTCATCTTTTTAAAAAAAATCAGGATTAAGTGTCCTCATATAAGCCTTAACATATTATGTAGTAACTGATTCCCTGAATGATCAGTTCCAAAGATTTTGCTACTGTGCCCCAGGAAGCAAACATTAAAACCTCAGTATTCAGGGCCCCTCTCCTTTCAGGGGTCAAACTTGGGATACCAACGCCCTGACATCATCTTTTTTGCATAGCTACTCAGCTTATCCAAAAGGGTCTCTACCCCTCTCTCCCTAACCCCACCAGGATTGCTCATTAACTACTTCTTCACCTCCAAGCCCCTCTGCTACTATTTTAGGATTAAATCTTCTATGAGACTGAGATATCTAAACATATTTATTTAAAATTTCATTAAAGTATAAGCTTACATAAAATGCCAACTCTTAAATGTGCAACCGTATGAATTTTTGTGTATGTCTATACCCATGTAATTACCACCAGGTTCATTCAAAATATAGAATATTTCTAGCACCCAATAATACCCCTCATGCATTCTCTCAGTCAGTAATTTCTTTTGCATGTTTTTTGATTTCATACACATGGAACCCTACTGTATACAGTCTTTTGTCTGTAACTTCTGTAACTTGCCATTATGTCTGTGAGGATCCATGAGGTTGTGGTTATCTGTGGCTTATTCTTTGCTCTTGCTAGCAGTATTCGTTTTATGAATATGCCAGAGTGTGTTTACACGTTCTACTGTGGGTGAACATTATGCGTGTCTCCAGTTTGGGACTATTTATGAATAAAGTTTCTATGAACATTCTCATATGTATGTATTTTGATGGAAACAAACACTTATTTCTGTTGGCTATATAGCCTCAAAGGAATTGCTGGGCGGTAGGCTATTTGTGTGGTATTTTTAATGCAAGATAATAGATTTACATACTGAGAATTGTGCTTCATAGTAAGCTTTTCTGGGTGTATTTTTCATTGATAGAGAAATAGCTCTAATATGGGCCTAAATAGCTCATGTGTACATTTGCTTAAGTTCTTTATTCTGAGATAAATGATTTCTTTAAGTTACCAATGTCATTTTGAAGACTAATTCAGTTATGTTTTCTTGTTAAAGTCCTGGCTCACTTCCGTAGCTCATGTTACTGTTTTGTGTATTAGCCTTCTTTCTCTACCAGCATTTAGATTATTGTTGAAAAACTAATATAAGCGTCGAGGGTCAACACTATCACAATCTTTCTTGTAAAATTACTCCTGGGTTGACATTGAACTGCAGATGACAAGTATGTCAGATCATGTGAGGTAAAACTACAGAGCAAGGAGGTTAATTTTTCAAATGGATTTATTTGAGCAACAAGCATTTCTGAAGCACTGTATGAAGCCATTGCTCTGTCAAGTAAAGTAAAATATAGCCATTATTTTCAAGTAGCTGACAGTTTGGTGGTGGGGGCAGAAAATGAAAACCATTGTTTGCAATGTCCTTTAAGCAAGCATTGCCCCGCATGTTAGAGGGGAGGAAGGGAGTGGGGGGTGGTGATGAGAGAGCATGAATGAGGGCATCAGAATCAGATTGGAGATTCAGAGAAGGCTTCCTAGAAACATATATTTTGATGGAAGAAAACAAATTAGATATTTGGGGAGATAGAGTGAGGGTGAGGGCTTTGCACTGTAGGGGAAGGGACCAAATAGCATATTTAAAGGAATGGAGGCATGAAATAGCATTATCCATCTAGTAGTCAATTTAGGGGATAAAACATTTTTTATTCCATTGATGGTGTTATTGCCATATACATTTCTGGAATGCCTCTTTTGGAATGACTTTTAGAGCTAATTTTCAAACCACACCAGAAAATCACTCTTGATACTTTATAGCTTTGACCCAAATGGTATTTCCCAGCTGGACGCTCACCAGATTTGTCTCCTAAACACTTTTGGCTCATTCCAAAGAAATACAATCTGTCTTCAGAAGGTTTAAGGCTTACCACTATTGAGAACATTCAAAAGCCTGTGTGTGTCCCAGAACTCAGAAATCAATTCCAAAAGGCCACTTGTGTGCAAAAAGCACTTATCGTTGGAATAAGTCTGTAACCTCCTAACGTGAAAGTACAGGTTCCCAAAGACTTGGCTTTCAACCAAGGTTTTATTTTAGAAATTTTATGTCAAAATTGGATCATTTTATATGGTGGGAGCCAGGGGAAAGAGATGGTGGGGAGTGAGTGGGTGTGCTTTATACTAAGCCCAGTGCTTTTCATTAGTTGTCTTAGGATATGATAATTAACTCTGGGTTTGGTTAAACTGGCTCATAGATCATGGAAACAAGGGTTATCTGAGAGGTGGCAACAAAAGCCAAATCCAGGTAGTGAGGGCTGGGTGTGGTGGCTCATGCCTGTAATCCCAATACTTTGGGAGGCCAAGACAGGTGAATCACTTGAGGCCAGGGGTTCCAGACCAGCCTGGGCAACACAATGAAACCCTGTCTCTATAAAAAATACAAAAATTAGCTGGGCATGGTGACATGGGCTGTGGTCCCAGCTACTTAGGAGGCTGAGATGGGAGGATTGATTGAGCTGGAGAGGTCAAGGCTGCAGTGAGCTGTGATCTCACCACTGCACCCTAGCCTGGGCAACAGAGCAAGATCCTGTCTCAGACAAACAAAAATTCCAGGTGGTGAGAATCTGTGGTGTCAGCCTGTTTTGACCTCACTGTAAAGCAGCTTTGTGAAGCCATGGAGCAGATGAGGAAGCATGGAGGAGATACTACAGCAGGGAAGAGGGCTTGGGAAGGCAGGAGGGGGATCCCAGAGAGTCGGGAAACCTGGGACAGCTCAGACAACAATCAGTTAATTCTTTTGCCTTCAGTTGTATATTTTGAATTGATCTCTTCTTAGTTCATCCACTACTATGACTTTTAAACGATAATAACCTGAAAGCTCTTCTATAATCTGCTAAGATCAGTATAGAGCTTATCTGTTATGTTTCATATATTTAATTAATCAAACCTAGTTATTTTTGAAGATGAGAATAGTTTTGTGACCCACCTGGGTGGGAGGGGATGAGAAGAATTATAACCTTTTTACCTTAAAACTTTCCTGATAAGGCACTAAACCACTGGGCTGGTCTACACTGGTCCAAAAGACATTTATTTCCTTCCTTCCTTCCTTCCTTCCTTCCTTCCTTCCTTCCTTCCTTCCTTCCTTCCTTGCTTTCTGCCTTTCTTCCCTCCTTTCCTTTTCTTTCCTTTCCTTCCTTTCCTTTCCTTTCCTTTCCTTTCCTTTCCTTTCCTTTCCTTTCCTTTCCTTTCCTTTCCTTTCCTTTCCTTTCCTTTCCTTTCTCTTTTCTTTTCTTTCATCTCTTCTTTTCTTTTGAGATAGGGTCTTGCTCTGTCACTCAGGCTGGAGTGCAGTGGCGTGATTACGGCTTAGTGCAGTCTTGACCTACTGGGCTCAAGCAATCTTCCATGCTCAGTCTCCTGAGTAGCTAGGACTACAGGCAGACACCACCATGCCCAGGAAATGTTTAAATTATTTTGGAGTCAGGGACTCATTATGTTGCCCAGACTGATCTTGAACTCCTAGGCTCATGCAGTCCTCCCACTTCAGCCTCCCAAAGTGACTTTTTAAAAAAGATGTAGAGGCCCTGTGTTAAACTAGTGTGCTTTTAATTTGCACTAGTATAGCTGTTAATTTGCACATAGCCATCAATACCTTTGGGGATGGAGATCCTGAAGTTTGCCAGAGTTTTCATCTGTTTGTTCACACAGATTATATATTCCCATACAACACTGGTTAGAACCACACTGAGGATCAACCAATGCCCTCAAACCAAGAGGGTTTCCACTAGCAGTTACAGTGGAAAAGGAGGGACTTACTGCAATTCCCACTCTCCTGTCATTTTGTCTTGTATCACGTGCTACCATCAGTTTATTGTTTCATGAGGATGCCCACATTGAATCAAGGAGGGGTATCCAGAGAGATTTCACTTCCACACAGAAACACCAGCACTTAATTTCTCACAGAATCAAATATTTTACAATGGTTCTAAAATACTACATGGTTTGTGTTTGAAAATTATCATTCAGGCTTAAGGTAAGGTCAACATGTGTCTGTTCTTGGTTTTCTGAGCCTTTCTTTGGTTTCTAGTGAAACATATTGATACGGTTTGGCAGTGTCCCCACCGAAATCTCATCTGAATTTTAGTTCCCATAATCCCCATGTGTCATGGGAGGGATCTGGTGGGAGGTAATTGAATCATAGGGGTAGTTACCTTCATGCTGTTATCATGATAGTGAGTGAGTTCTCATGAGATCTGATGGTTTTATAAGGGGCTTTTGCCCCTCTTCACTCTGCACTTCTTACCACCACCATGTGAGAAGGACCTGTTTGCTTCCCTTTCCGCCATGATTTTAAGTTTCCTGAGGCCTCCCCAGCTACGCCGAACTGTGAGTCAATTAAACCCTTTCCCTTCGTAAATTACCCATCTTTATTAGCAGTGTGAGAACAGACTAATACACGTATCAAAACTATCAAAAGAAAGCAATTGGTATTCGATTTTGCATTTGCCACCATAGTATGTGTGCGTGAGTGTTTGCATTTTTTTCCCACTGGGATGGAAAAAGGCACTTAGAGGATAATGAAGTTGCTCTCCTGACACCTCTTCACCTCTTTTACCATTTGAGCAAGAGTGGTTTCATATACTGTTGTCTAGCAATTGACCTTTCCTGTGTCTATCTATCACTTAACTAATTTTATTTGTGCCCAGCACCCTTGCCACAAATTTGCTTTTCAAGTAGAAAACAGTAAATATACCTCCACGATATTTATTGCCCTGAAAAATGCATAGGCAAAAGTCATAAAATTTTGCATGCTACACAGTGGATCCTTTGACTGCACTCTGGAAATCCTGAAGCCTATTCTGGTCCCAATTCCATTTCATTTTTCTGTTTTTCATTTTTCTTTTTTTTCTTTCTTTCTTTTTTTTTTTTTTGTTGGAGTTTTGCTCTTGTTGCCCGGGCTGGACTGCAATGGCACAATCTCGGCTCACCGCAACCTCAGCCTCCCAGGTTCAAGCGATTCTCTTGCCTTAGCCTCCTGAGTAGCTGGGATTAGAGGCATGCGCCACCACGCTCGGCTAATTTTGTATTTTTAGAAGAAACAGGGTTTCTCCATGTTGGTCAGGCTGGTCTCGAACTCCAGACCTCAGGTGACCCACCCACCTTGGCCTCCCAAAGTGCTGGGATTACAGGCGTGAGCCACCGCACCCGGTCTTCTGTGTTATTAACAGCACTTTTGGTGATCTTGAATGCATTGGCATATAACTAAAAAATTTCCTTTTGGAAAAATGTCAAGAAAGGGGATACCATTTGCAAAGAGTTCAACCCAGATGATGATTAAGCATCTATAATTTACGTGACCACAATTAATTCATGGAGTGGGTTTTTTGGTGGAGAGCAGGGGTGCTGAGCATTCTTTAGCCCTTCATCGCCAATATTAATTTGAATGGCTTCTGTACCTCCTTGTAATTGAATTATTAATAATCACAAAGAGCTTATAAACTTCGAATTTAATCTTCATTAATATATAAAGCTCAAAGAGTAATGTCTTTTGACCATGAGTAGACTGCTTCTCTAATTTATCTTCAAAGTTGCTTTTTTTTCTTCCTGTAAGTTTCTGTAGTCCCCTTGACTCCTAAAAGTGAGTGTCATGGAGTGGCTTTGATCAGGGAACATACATCAGTAACTGTTTTGTGACCTTAGTCCCGGCTGTGTTTTATGGCTTGGCCAAAGTTTATCATATAATTTCCACTTTAGGAATTTGCCCACTTACTAAGGCTTTGAGGGCAGGGGAGGTGAAGTAGTATTGTGGGAGAGGAGTAATAAATGTGTTTTCTTTTCAGTTTCTACAGTGAGTGGTCTGTTTTGAAATGAGTGCAGGTGGTTGCAGTCCACTCCCTCCCCAAACAGGACAAATTAAGATCATTTTGCTCTTTCGGGAAGCTGAGGGCAAGCCTGCACAGGTGAGGTCACGAGAGGCAAGCTATGTGCACACCTGGTGTCCTCGTGCTTCTTGGGCAGGCCAGCTCCATGCAGTGCAGTGCCCCTGAAGGGAATGGGGCCAGGAGAAGACATAACAGGGCATGAGGATCTTCTCTGTGCCAAGAATCATGCTAGGTAACCCCCCTGAGATTTCTCATCCTCTTGAGAATCCTGTGAGATGATCCTGCTGCCCTTATTTTTCCAGATGGAAAAACGGATTACCCAGGATTCACCGCTTGTGAGTGGCAGAAAGTGGCAGCATTAGAACTGCTGCACTCCATGGATACATCCAGCACATGTGCTCTCCTCTAGTGTGTGATTCCGGTTCATTTAAGTCAGATTTTGGATTCCACTCAATGAAGTTTGTAACTGCTAAGTTGTGATGTGAGCACTTAGATCACCAAGAATTTCAACTAACCCACTATGCTCAAAGTGTGGTCCATGGACCAAGTACCTTGGAATCCCTTGAAAGCCCCTGTTGAAAATTCAGATTCCTGGCCGGGCATGGTGGCTCACGCCTGTAATCCCAGCATTTTGGGAGGCTGAGGCAGGCAGATCACAAGGTCAGGAGTTTGAGACCAGCCTGACCAATATGATGAAACCCCATCTCTACTAAAAATACCAAAAAAAATTAGCCAGGCATGGTGGTACACACCTGTAATCCCAACTAATCAAGAGGCTGAGGCAGGAGAATCACTTAAACCTGGGAGGCGGAGTTGCAGTGAGCTGAGATCACGCCACTGCACTCCAGCCTGTGTGACAGAGTGAGACTCCGTGTCAAAAAAAAAAAAAAAAATGTAGATTCCTGAGCCCTGCCTCAAACCAATTAGGTCAGAAGTTCTGGGGGTACAGCCCAGGTGTAGGTTCTCTGGGAGAGTCTGTCATGCACTAAAATTTGAGAGTCATGCCATAAAACCTCTTTATAGTGCTCCAGTATAAAAAAGATCTTGGGGTTAAGCTTAGCTAAACAAATACGTCTGCAGGCTGGCAGTTCATGAATTCCACCTAAAGACTATCTGGTTTATCCCTCATTTTACACAAAAGGAAACTGTGGTTTAGAGGGTTGAAGTAACATGTTAAAATTCTCATGGCTTTTTTGTGGTAGAGCAGACACTAGAATCAGTTCTCCTTCCTCCGGTCCATAGCTGGCTGCTTCTAATCTTTTAAAAATCAGCTAATCAAGGTAACTTGGATCCATTTCAATCCTGTCAGTGACCCTACGTTCAATATAAAAGATGAGTCCTGGGAGAACTGCCGTTCTGATTCACATTCATCTGAATGTTGAAAAAGTGCATTTCTTCAGAGTGCTCTGTAGGAGGTGGAAATATTCAATAAGCTTGCGAGAAAGGTTTCCATCTCAACCACACCATGTGTGCATGTGCATGCACATACACGCGTGCGCGCGCACACACACACACCACTGCCACCACCACATAGCTCAGATCTGTCACAACATGAGGGAGGGGACTCGCAAACATGCATAATTTATGCAGGATTTTCACGGATTTTTCAGTATTTGGAAGTGATTTCTTAAATTATACATTGAAACAGCTCCATAAAGATGAAGCTGGAGTTAGTTTCACAATAGCCTTAAAAGTGAGAGAATTTGCGTCTCTGGGATCAATGTGCATATTTCAAAGTGAGACGTTTCACTTTATAGAATTTAGAGGGTCTCAAGGCTGTGGTTGACATTTTTAGTTTGTTGGGCTAAACAACCATTTGCTATACAATACTATGGAAACGAATGGTGGAAGAGATTGCCCTGGAAAACTCTGTTCAATTCCGTTAAGAAATATTAAATTCCTGAGGACAATCTACTTGTTTATTATTTTCAATTTCTCTTAAAATAGTATAAAAGGATCTTCTTGGGTGGCAGTACAGGGATGACAAGGAAGGGACCAAATCTCAGTTGTTCACATTTTTACTTAGTTTGGATTCCAAATAATGGGGCTTCTCATAAAAGATTTGGACCCTGCCCCGAGGCTTTTGGTAATAAATGTGGCCGCTTTGTTTTTTTCCCTAATTATTTCATTCGTAAAAGTCTTATCTTCCCAATAAAGATGGTAACTCCTCTGGACTGGGTCTGCTTTTCGCATTTTCCTTCTTTTATATACCACCATGGTATAGAACTTATTTTTGCTTAATAAACAGTTTGGACATCAGGAAGAGACAGAGCTGTATACAATAGGTAGTTTACAGTCAAATATTTACTGCTTTAAATAAGGCAGAATTGGCTGGGCACAGTGGCTCACGCCTGTAATCCCAGCACTTTGGGAGGCCGAGGCGGGCGGATCACAAGGTCAGGAGATCGAGACCATCCTGGCTAACCTGGTGAAACCCCGTCTCTACTAAAAATACAAAAAATTAGCCGGGCGTCGTGGTGGGCGCCTATAGTCCCAGCTACTCGGGAGGCTGAGGCAGGAGAATGGCGTGAACCCGGGAGGTGGAGCTTGCAGTGAGCCGAGATCAAGCCACTGCACTCCAGCCTGGGTGACAGAGTGAGACTCCGTCTCAAAAAAAAAAAAAAAAAAAAAAAAAAAAAAAAAATAAATAAATAAATAAATAAATAAATAAGGCAGAATAAGTAGTATTTAATTAGAGCACAGACTTTGTGGTAAGGCAGGCCTGAGTTTGAACCTCAGCTGTGATACTTATTGCCTCATTTGAAAAAAGTAAATTTTGGCCAGGCATGGTGACTCACACCTATAATCCCAGAACTTTAGGAGGCCAAGGAAGGAGGATTGCTTGAGCCCAGGAGTTCAAGACCACCCTGTGCAACACAACGAGACCTTTAAAATTTCAAAAAACTACTAAAAATTTCAAAATAATTAGCTGGGCACGGTGTTGTGTGCCTGTAGTCACAGCTACTGGGGAGGTTGGGGTGGGAGGATCGCTTGGGCCCCCGAGATGGAGGCCACAGTCAGCTATGATCATGCCCCTGCATTCCAGTCTGAGTGACAGACCCTGTCTCAAATAAAAAAATTTTAAAAAGTAAATTTTATTGTTTATATTTAAGGCATACAACATGATGTTAAGAGATACATGTATATGTAGATAGTAAAATGGTTGATAGTGAAGCAAGTTAACATGTCTATCATCTTGCATGGCTACCCATTTTTTTGTATGTGTGGCAAGAGCAGCTAAAATCTATTCATTTAGCAGAAATATGGAATACAATACTATTAACTATAGTCCTCATGTACATCAGATCTTTAGACTCGTTTGTTTTACGTATCTGCCACTTTGTTCTTACACACTTGTGTGATCTTGGGCAAGTGGCTTCATTACCTCTCCACCTTTAGATTTCTGTTCTGTGAGTTAAAAGTAACTCTCAGCACTGTTGTAGCAGAATCCATGAGTAAGCACTCAATAAGTGGCAAGTGCAATCATTATTAGCAACAACCGTAATAATAGCCATAGTTCCATTATTAAAGGGGATGATTGCCCTTGTTATCCAAGTGCTCATCTCATTTGACTTTGGGCCTTTGGAATTAATAAAGCAGGCTTAGTTCCTGGGTTTGGTTTTCCTTTTTCCCCCAAAGTTTGTTTTGTTTAGTTCAAACCATATTTTATGTTTCCATTTATAAACACATTCTCTCAAGTGCTGAACTTTTAAGCATGGAAGTCTGAAGATACCTCCTCTTGTGAAGGGAAATTTAAAAAATATTTAATGACTGCTTTTTAAGTTTTTGGTCTGAGGAAAGAGCAGCATTACCTTGGTCATTGACTAAAATAAAGACATAATAAAGGTACTGGAAACTGAACAGAAGTATGGAGTTTGTGAGTGAAGAGTTGGTCACACAGACAGCTCTCCTTCCTCAGACATTCAGGTGCATTCTGGGTAAGTTGACTGATTTCAAAATGCTCACCTTCAAGTGCCAGGCACAAAATTATAATGAGCTTCCTTTCTCATAATTCTTCTTTTCATGATTTTCTCAGCTGGATTCTTCAAAGGATTATTTGTAAAGACCTTTATGGTGTGTTATGATTTAATCAGATGTAGCCCGAATTTCCCAAGATGTGTTAATTATCATTGCCACACAAGTGCAACAGAGGAAGCAAAATGTTTTTCATTTGGGCAGGTTGAGGGTTTGTTTAAAACGTACTTAGGGCCATTAGGATCACATCAAAATATAGTGCATGGTAATTATGCATGAAATAGAAGGTTACCTGCTGTTTAAGTAGCTAGTTTCTTGATAATGTTGCAATAAAGTATTGAGAGAAAATTGGTTTCTCAATAGCAGTGGAACACCTTGTTTAAGGGACAAAGTGAACTGCATTAGGCTGAAAAACGAAAAGGGGGAAAATAAAAATAGATTTTATCATCAAAGTTGTCAGTGGATATTGTTCTCAGTCTTAAAGAATTATTTTTAGTCTTTCCCTTCATCAAAATGGAGAATTATTTGTTTGCATGTAGATTGTGGTAGAGTTGGTATGTTTCAGATTTAATGAAATGCAGAACAGAATAAATCCCTCGGGAAAGAAAGGAAAGAGGGGATACGCCAGACTTAGTATATGAGAGTAGTCAAAAGCCTGGCTTTAAAAGTCAAAGAAACCCCAAAGTTGACACCTGGTCCCTATGCTAACTAGCTGTGTGACCTCCTCCATGTTACTTAACCTTTCCGACCTCCCAGTTTCTTTAGTAGCAAAATGGAGATGTTATTATTAATATAACAGACCTTGTTGAAAAGATGAAATGAGACATTGTATGTAAAGCACTTTAGGAGGACATGTCTGTCACATGGCTGTGCTAAATTAGATGTTATTATCCTGTCAACAGGCTGAATAGCAAGGGGGAAAAGTTCTAAACTTTGGAATCCTGTCGTAATACACACAGAGATCTCATTCCTTGTGAAAGAATCCTCGTTTTGGAATGGGATGCTGCCTTGGGGAACTGCCATGACAAGGATATGAAGTTACAACTGTGATGGTGGTCCTTTGAAGAATATGTGGAGACTTTTCTCTATATTGGATTATTATATTTTTACTTTTGGGAAATAATTACACTTTGAATCGTTTCATGATTATTTGGCTAACAAAACAGGTGATTTCTGTGAGTATATATATGTATATGTGCGTGTGTATATATGTGTGTGTGTGTGTGTGTATATGCATGTATGTGTTTATTTATTTATTTTACCATGGACATGCCCTTGATGAAAAAGAAATACTTTGCTTGGTTATTCCTCCAAGTGGAAATTTGGACATTACCCTTTGTTCATGGTGGGGAAGATTTTTAGTTATTCCACATATCAGAATTATCTACGTGAATAGTTAGCACATAATTAGGATTAAAAAGTAACTAGTTGCAGAAAACTCATTATTTTTTCTAATTCTAAGAAAGTAGCTTCATTTTGGGTATTAGAGAAAAGCTCAAGAGATTCACTGATTAATATGTATTGAGCCTGTTACATAGCTGACAATGTGCTAGTGTTTTCACAGTTTCTATCTAACTTACAAAATAACTGAAAGAGGAAGAAAAATATTCTATTCCATATGTATTAGAAAACTATCCTTTAAGTTCTAAAGTTGGCTTATGATCTCCTGAATTGCACAATATTTATCTGCAAACCTTGAAACTATTTAATCAGAGACTTCTGACCCCAAAATGCCAACATTACTCTTGGTGGTCTTTCAAGGTAATTCCCCCTTGTTTTTAGTGTATCCATTGAAACACTAAATGGAAATATTTAGTGCCCTGATGCTAAGGGAATATTCCAACTAGCGGCACTGATTCCACTCCAGGTTATTAATTAAACAGTAGCAATCAGCCCATCTGATCTTTAATATTCTATTGCTGCTGACTGATGCCCAGACATCAGACATTTTGTAATCTAATACAAAATTGCTCTGTGCTTAGGACTAAAGAAAAACAACACATAATTTATACTATGTTTTATCTTTATTTTCAAGTTCCAGAGGATACGCTGGTTGTGTCTTTCAATGATTAACTTAAAAAAACAAACAAAAAAACAAGACACTACGTATCTCAAGCCCAACATGAAGGGTATTGAGAGTAAATTATAGTTAAATCATTTATTTCTGACTTTTTCATTTTTATGTATTCATTTTTTCAACAAATATTTATTGAATGCCTACTGTGTGTCAGGAGACATCCTTCTAGGCACCTGAACTTATAACAGTGAGTAAAACAAAGATTTCTGGCTGAGCGTGGTGGCTCATGCCTGTAATCATAGCACTTTGGGAGGCCAAGGCGGGCAGATCACCCGAGGTCAGGAGTTCAACACCAGCCTGGCCACTATAGGGAAACCCTGTCTCTACTAAAAATACAAAAATTAGCCAGGCATGGTGGCACACGCCTGTAATCCTAGCTACTCGGGAGGCTGAGACAGGAGAATCACTTGAACCCAGGAGGCAGAGGTTGCAGTGAGCTGAGATCATGCCACTACACTCCAGCCGCCTGGGCCTGTCTCAAAAAACAAAAAACAAACAAACAAACAAACAAACAAACAAACACACACACACACAGACATAAAACCCACAAAAATTTCTCTTTCTGTGAAATTCACATTCCTCCCAAATGGAGGTTGTTGGAAAATTTTAAGGTGCTCTTTTGACTCCTGTGGTTGTACTTGGAAAGAAGAATTAAACCAGAAGAGGAGATATTCTACAAATCATATTTGGGTGATTTAATTAACCTCTGTCCACTATCCTCACTCCCCACTCCTTCACTGCTACCACCAACAAATATCATGCTTACACACATACCTTGAGGGGAGGAGGAAGGGAAGACAAATCAGAATTTGCTGTACATGCAGTACTCTAGAAGCCAATGTGGAGTTGACCTAAGGGGATCCTTATAAAAACTTAGCAGACAAGAATTATATGCACTTCATTGGAATTCCACTAATTCCAGATTTCAGATCAGCTGGGAGGGTTGTCTAGACTGAAGCTTTACATTGTTATCTTTAAAGATAATGTAAATTAAAAGGATGGAGGGGAAATAGGTAAAGTGTATAAGTAAACAAATGATACAAAGCACTGTAATTCCCCAAAGCAGTTTCTTTGGCAATGCACAGTGGTTTCTACTTAATACTGCATATTTTATAGTTTTCACTAACTTTAATCAACATAACCATTTAGCCAAAATTATGGTGACTTTCATCAAATGAACCTCATGATGAAAGGGTTGGGAGGGGATGTGGGTTGCATGTAATAAAATCTCCATATATTTTGCATAAACAAACACACACATCATCCTCTTGGGAATAAAATAGTTAGCAGGAGCATTTTTAGAGATAGGGTGTTACTCTTTTGCTGTTGTGCCAAACCCCAATTAACCTCAATAGGGGCCGGGTGCAGTGGCTCATGCCTGTAATTCAAGCACTTTGGGAGTCAGAGGTGGGCAGATTACCTGAGGTCAGAAGTTTGAGACCAGCCTTGCCAACATGGTGAAACCCCATCTCCACTAAAAATACAAAAATTAGCCAGGCGTGTGGTGTCTTCCTGTAATCCCAGCTATTTAGGAGGCGGAGGCAAGAGAATCGCTTGAACCCGGGAGGTGGAGGTTGCAGTGAGTTGAGATCCTGGCACTGCAGTCCAGCCTGGGTGATTGAGTGAGACCCTGTCTCAAAAATAAAATAAAAAAATGAAAAACCACCACCACCACCACAACAAAACTCGAATAGAGAAGGCGCCGTGTTCAAAAGGCCAAAGAAGAGACTCAGAGCCAGCAAATAAGACATGGAGTTTTATTAAGGGCTTAATACAGGAGAGAGAGTCCAGTGGTGGCTGGCTGGACAGGAGAACCACCTTATGTACAGAAATGGTCCAGTGGCAGCTAGTTGGACAAGGTAACCACAGGCTCAGTGGCAGCAAGCTGGTCGGGAAAACCACAGCTGCCTGCAGACATCATGTACTTTATATGGCATTTAACTTAACACCTGCCCTAACGACCTCCACTGGTAACCTTCATTTAACCTGAAACTCAACACCTCAATCCCCTATACAGCCTGTGTTCCAGGGAACAGGAAGGGAAGGAACAAGACTATTGGATGGGATGGGATGGGATGGTGGGAGAGCAGCTCAGATGTTCCTCATAGATAAGGAAAGACTCTCCAGATTTGTCATGTCCAGTTTCCTACCTTGGAACACACATTCAGGTGCATCTGCCCTAGAGGGTCATTCTAAGGGTATGCTTAAATTAATGCTATCAGGGGTGTGTACCCTACAGTCACCTAGGCTGGAGTGCAGCAGTGCAATTACAGCCCACTGCAGCCTTGAACTCCTGGGCTCAAGGGATCCTCCTGCCTCAGCCTCTAGATTAGATGGGACTACAGGTGTGTGCCACCATTTTTTCTCTTTTTTTTGGGGGTGGGGGGTGTGGGGGGATGGAGTCTTTCCCCATTCCCTAGGCTGGAGTGCAGTGGCATGATCTGGGCTCACTGTAACCTCTGTCTCGCAGCCCCAAGCAATCCTCCTGCCTCAGCCTCCCAAGGAGCTGGGATTACAGGCATGCACCACAAAGCCCAGCTAATTTTTGCATTTTTAGTAGAGATGGGCGTTTCACCATGTTGGCCAGGCTGGTCTCGAACTCCTGACCTCAAGTGACTGCTGGCTTTGGCCTCCAAAAGTGCTGGGATTACAGGTATGAGCCACTGTGCCCAGCCATTCTTGGCTAATTTTTTTTTTTTTGGAGATGAGGTCTTGCTGTGTTGCCCAGGCTGGTCTCAAACCCCTGGCCTCAAAATGCTAGGATTCTTCCACCTTAGCTTCCCAGAGTGCTAGGATTACAGGTGTGAGGCACAGCACCAGGCCCCCTTGGCTAAATTTGGTTTGCCACACTTTACAGAAGCAACGTAAGCAGTTTCTGCTTTTCATAGCATAGATTCATAGAAAGAAGAGTATTCCAAATAGATAATGGTTTGTTTACTATAGCCACTGGGTAGTCTGAAGCATATTCTTCTACCAGGAAGTGGTAGTTTTGCCTAGTACCTGGTGACTGAGGAAGAAATCAGTGACCTAAACTGACAAATGAGCCTACTGAGGTGGCATTGTTTAAATGCACAAATCTGAGGCAGTGGAAAGAAGGAATTGATTGCCTTGCTGGTATTTTTTCCCCTGCACTGACCCTTCTTAATTAATACATGAGGTACCATTTACCCAAACAGATTTTTCAGCACTCACTTATGGAGGACACTAAGTGGCGAGTTCATAGTTCAGGCAGAGAGCTGGCAGATCAAGACTCCTTTCAACTATGAGATCTGTGGTTCTATGCAAGGCGACCATGAAAGGAGTTGTTTAGACCCCGTTTTTCAGGCCAGCAGCAGGAGCTCAGCCCGCCATTAAGAGTTTGTTCTGTGTGCATGTTGTAAGCACCTGAAGTTTCTCTTGAATGTTCTCTTTAGAAAGATCCATCGTTAGGGTGCAAGAGCAATTCTTATTTGCTGCAAGAATATTTATCCTTAACAGCATATAGCTGAATCTCACTTTATATATGAATTCTTGAAATAAGTGCACGTATGTTTCATGCTTGCAAATTGCATCCAATTAGAATAGCTTATTTTAAAAGCTGTTTTAGAGAATTCAGAAGTATAGACTCATAAAATGTCAACTTATCCCCTAATATTCCTTTTGGTACATTTAGATTTCTAGGTGCTGGTTTTGCTTACATTCACTATAAATCTTAATTGCAAAGCATATTCAAGCCAATGATCAATATCAAAGAAAACTATTTTTTTTATCCTAAGGCCCATATGCCAGAATCCCCCTGTCCCCCAATCTTTATGCTTCTTCCTCATATCTGCTTCCAAATCAAGAAATGATTGGAATCTGGGTGCAGTCACCTGCACCCTGTAGTCCCAGCTGTTCTGGAGGCTGAGGCAGGAGGATCACTCCTTGAGCCCAGGAGTTCAAGTTCAGACTGGGCAACATAGCAAGACTTTGCCTGTTAAAAAAAAAGAAAGAGAGAGAAAGACAGAAGGGAGGGAAGGAAGGAAGGAGGGAAGGAGGGAAGGAGGGAAAGAAATGCTTTGGCTAAGAAAATGCCCTGAAATTTGGTCAAAGTTGGAGTTTCCTCAATGCCAAAGTAAACGACCATTTGCCCATTTACCCTCTACTTCCCACAAAAGAGTTTATGACTCTTGCGCAGAGTATTGCACCTTGTTCTTCTTTTTTTGATACTAGAATCACCAGGATAAGTGTGTAGTGTAGACCATCTCAGGCATATTTCATTGCTGTCGTGTTTTTCCCCGCTATTATTTGAAAAACAAAGGATTTCTTGTAGCTCTTCAGTGCACTAACACTCACACAAATTGCCCCAGGCTTCTCATAAGTAGGAAGTTCCAAAATTAAATGTCTAATTTTGCTGCTTAAACATCCTTTGTTGGCTCCGTGTCCAGGATGCTCTTATCACTTCCTCAAGATGGCCACCTTAGGCAGTCGATTCTGTTAGAACCAAATTGTAATTAAACTATTTTAATTTTATGCACTGATTACAACATTTTTCTCTTTATTATGCATGGTGAAAGTTCCTCACTACACAGATCCAGGTACTTATAATTATGTACAAAAGTAGTGAAACTGTTTTCTAAGCTGTATTCACTTACCTGATTTGTTTCTCTATCCAATCTCAGTTGAGTTCCTCTAAGACAGGGTGATGGTGGTGGTGAATTATTTGTGTTTGGCTTAGATAAATAAAAACTGGAAGAGTCCATTAAGGTTGGAGCTTTTTATAAGCTTTCAAAGAAAGCAAAGTTGAGGTGGAGTTAAAATGTTGGGGAGGATTGCATTTAGATTACATGTACAAAATAGTTTCAAGTTTTACCATGAAAAGTGCAAATTGCACTAAATTTGAAGACAAATTCACAACTTTGTATATTTTATTGGGTATCTATTTTATTTAATTTATTTATTTATGTATTTATTTTTGAGATGGAGTCTCGCTCTGTCACCCAGGCTGGAGTGCAGTGGCACAATCTTGGCTCACTGCAACCTCTGCTTCCCAGGTTCAAGCGATTCTCCTGCCTCAGCCTCGTGAGTAGCTGGGATTACAGGTGCCTGCCACCACACCCGGCTAATTTTTGTATTTTTACAAAAGATGGGTTTTCACCATGTTGGTCAGGCTGGTCTCAATTCCTGACCTTATGATCTGCCTGCCTTGGCCTCCCAAAGTGCTGGGATTACAGGCGTGAGCAACCATGACCGGCCTGGGTATTTATTATGTGCCAATCTGTTGTTCTATATAACGTTCATGACAACTCTGTGAAGTCACAATGAAGCTTTGAAATGATAAGTAACTTTACTATCTTTTAGAGAAAGTAGAGGCAGAAGTGGATTATGAACTTAGGCAGCCACCCTCCTTAACTTGGGTTCCTAGATGCTGACACCGGGCTCAAGTGCCTGATTCACTGTGGTTTGAGCAGCTGTATTATGAAGAAATATTACAATGCATTTAATATGAGCTTGGGCTGTGTAATCACACAAACGTGTGTCCAATATAATTATCTCCCTTACTGTCTGTGATCTCCAGTGTCCTCATCTGTGAACTGAGGAGGTTAAATAAGATAATGCGAAGTGCTTATCCAGCATCTGCCTCAAGCAGGTGATCATGATGACAGTGGTAAGGACTGTGCCGAGAACTGCCTCAGTTACATTGTCCTCTTCCTTAGTGGTATGCTTCCCATGGTTATAATTTGAAGACGCTTCTGGCCTTCAAATATAGTGCTAGCTAGCAAGGGCACAGAAGAATGAAACAGAGTTGTTTGTGGGAAACATGAAGCAGAAGCGAGTGATGGACAGAGGTGAGGCCAGGGGAACAGGCTAGAGCTTGATCAGGGCCGGCCTTGTGTGCTAGGCTAGAGCTTGATCAGGGCCGGCCTTGGGTGCTAGGCAGGAGAGTTCTGTCTCCTGCGGGAAAAGCTGCCTGTCCCTTGGCCAGCTTTCCCTAAGGCATGCAGCTTTCACAGGCACTAGCCATTCTTAAGCCATTTTCTCTTTCCTTCACTTTGTGCACAACCTGTTGGAATTTCTCAGGTCCAATGTGATGCTAATTGGAGGAAGTGTGGAGTTGGACCTCCTAGGAGTTCAAACAAGGGCCCCTTAGTGATTGCAGTTAGAACCTGGACTGTTTGGTCAAGGGAAGTAACTAGGATCAGTGCAGAAAAACCCAACCTATTGCTTGTTCTCAGTAGCCTCAGAAAGGAGATTTTGCATGTGGAGTAAAATGGGAATGTTTAGTAGGGGAGCCAGAGATGGTAAGTGCAAGAATTGTGAGAGAAATGGCATATTTAGGAAAGAAAAAAAGGCCTTGAATCTGTTTTCAATGGAATAATTTAACTTTAGTAAATTACATACTTTTGCTTAGGCTAGTTGAAAAGAATGCTCTAGTTCTATGTGCAGGTAGTAAAATTAGTGCCTTTCGGTACATAGTAAATGCTCAATAAATATTTAATAGACTTGATTATTGTGTTTCTCTGATATTAAATTTTTAGACTCTAGTTCACTATTATCATTGCTTTAATTTGGAAAGCAATTAAGCAACCAAATTATAGTAGAATGATTTAAATAGAAAGATTATTTTTAGTTTAGATGTGATTCAGATAAATATTTTGATGACCTAGTCTTGTTTTCATTTCTATGTGGATTCAGTGTCAATGTTTCTTCATTATCCAATTGTTTTTGGTGTTGGAGGGGAGAAGTGACACATTTAATTCAAATGTGAGACAAGACACATGTTTGGCTCTTTCGGGAAGTCAAGGTCATTTTAGAAGGTTTAGGGTCATATATGGGAAGTGTGATGATGTAGCTCTATAGATTTCATTTTCTAGGCTCTATCCATACATTCTGTTTCTATTTCTCCTGTGAACCTTCAACATCTGGATGCTTTCCTATGAGATGAATGTTGTTCACAAAGAAATTTATGCTTGAGAAAAGTCCTGAGGCATTCTTCCCTACTTTATGTTAGTCTCCATTTAAATAAGTTTCTAAACCTTTGAAGAGAAAGTGCACTTATTAAAAAAAAAAAGACTTGGTAACAGGAACTCTTGAGGTGGGTATTCAGTTTGTTAAAGGCATTAAATACTGTTCTCTTCCCTCCTTTTCCAAAATAACCATTAGGTTCCACCTTTACCAGTCTCATTAACTCTGTTTTAAGAATGAGCTGATTGTTTGAGTTGGTTAAGATAAGATCACCTCAACATCTGTTGGTGATAACTTTATCTCAAGTGTATCTTTAAGGAAGTCCATTTCAACTGAAACATAGTTAAGTATCTTGAACTGCACAGATATGCTTTCAACTTTGAGCTGGAATTAGCATTTTTATCTTCTTTGGGAACTGGACACAGAGAAGGAAAAGAATAAACTTTGTTTACTCCTTCCAGCCCAAACCCTCCATTAAAAATTTTTCTTAAAGTACAAAACGTTTGAATGCCCCATGAAAACATCTCAAATGATTGTGCTGGGTGTGTAAGCAAGGCAGGGTTTTACTGTTTTAAAAACGCACTTGGGGGAACCTTGAGGAGTTTGCCTTTTTATAAACCCCTCTGATCTTCTATGTGAGGAAACGGAGGTCCAGTGAGTGAAAGTGATTACTTCTGGGCAGAGCCAGGCCCGTGCCAAGGGCTTCCTGTTTCAGTGTCTGTCTCCCGTTGGGGCTCCCTCCGTAAGACCTGCAGCCTGTTTATTCCGGGCCGAGAGGCCAGGGGGAAGGGCCATTATGAACTCACTGCCATTCAGGGAGTTATTGGATGCTTATTAGAGGCCCCAGCATCTCTTTAGAGGCATTAATTTAGTAGCACTGTTTCGCTGGTTGCATAGTTTGCAACTTAGTCAAAAGTAATGAATTTAACCAATCCTCAGCTTTCATCTTGTTTTAGCAGTCTTCCAAAAATATCAGCAATAAGGGGGTGATGTAAAAAACTCTTAAAACACACACATGAGATCTTCTGCTTTTAATATTTGCTGTGGTTTCTCTGCACTTTTGAGGCTCTTCCCCTCGTTGTGTGTGTAACTCTTGGTGACTCTTAACACAGTGCTGTCGCCAAGACACAAAGCAAAGAGAACGTGCCATGAACTGCTTCCCCGGAACTATCAGATGGTTCCAGTTAAGAAGGAAATTATGACTCTGTTGTTACAGCCTGGGAAAAGTGAAACAACATGTTTCAAACTTGCCACTTCATGGTCACGGGATTGAATTGGGCAGAACATTTTCCAGGCCCCAGCTGGTAGTGCCTCCTTCACGGAGGCGGGTATCTTGTGCCCACTCTGGTGTATTTGCACTCCCAGAACCTCCTTCTTTCTCTCTCCTCTTCCCCCATCAGGAATATATGCTCATGGTTAAGGAAACCTAGCTTGGATTTCCTTGGAATATATGTCCATTTAATTTATAATTTTAAGGCTGGATGCAGTGGCTCATGCCTGTAATCTCAGCAGTTTGGGAAGTCAAGGCAGCCGGATCACCTGAGGTCAGGAGTTTGAGAGGAGCCTGGCTCATGTGGTGAAACCTTGTCTCTACTAAAAATACAAAAAAAAATTAGCCAGGTATGGTGATGCGTGCCTGTAGTCCCAGCTATTTGGGAGGCTGAGGCAGGAGAATTGCTTGAACACCAGAGGTGGAGGTTCCAATGAGTCGAGATCATACCACTCCAGCCTGGGCGACAGAGTGAGACTGTCTCAAAAATTTTTTTTTTTAGAGTTTAAGATGAGAAAGCAAAGGGAACCTTTTCCTCTATGTTGAAATACTTCCTTGGAATCATTTGGTAGATTCTCATAGAATGGTAGTCAGAGTCTTCCACCAGTAGTCAGGAAATTCAAGTTTCACATCCTTTTTATAAACCCCTCTGATCTTCTAGGTGAGGAAACTGAGGTCCAGTGAGTGGAAGTGATTACTTCTGGGCAGAGCCAGGCCCGTGCCAAGGGCCTCCTGTTTCAGCGTCTGGGATCCCCGACTTGTTTTTTTTTTTTTGCTGTTAAAAAAAAATCCGTAGTTATCACTTTCACTCCTTTTCCTGTGTGTGTTGTTGTCATTCATTAATAATGCTTAAAATAGATGGCAGAGGCTCAGATTATCTGTAAACAGCAAATACTCTAAAATCATTTTGATTTTTAAATCTGCTGCTGCTTTTCTCATTATGTTAATGTTCCATCTTTTTGAGTATTGTTTATTGTAATGTAAGAACCAGTCATGCCTGGGGTACACTCAAGCTGGATCCTTGCCATAAGGGCAGGCTGGGGTGAATGGTGGTACACTCTTGGTAAATGTGACATGATAAGAAATATATATTTGGGCCAGGCACATTGTCCTGCACCTGTAATCACAGAACTTGGGGAGGCTAAGGCAGGCAAATTGCTTCAGGCCAGGAGTTAGAGACCAGCCTGGCCAACATGGTGAAAACCTCCTCTCAACTAAAAATACGAAGATTAGCTGGGCGTGGTGGCTCCTGCCCGTAGTCCCAGCTACTCGGGAGGTTGAGGCATGAGAATCGCTTGAACCCGGGAGGTGGAGGTTGCAGTGAGCTGAGATCACACCACTGCTTTCCAGCCTGGGCAACAGAGTGAGACTCTGTCTCAAAAATTTGGTCTCTGCCCCTTGACACCCAACTGCTAAAACCCTTGTAATTTCCTGAGTGATAGAGGTGATAAGAATGTCTTCCACAGAATTCCCAAATCCCTTGGAATTTCCTGGGTGATAAACCTTTTGTTCTAATGAGGTGATTCTTAGTGGGTTCCTGGATAGCTTCAAAGTGGTGATGTCATCAGAAAGACTAAACTGTCATTAGAAGCTTGGAACTTCTAACCCACCCTACCCCTATTCTCCAGGGAGGAGAGAGGGGCTGGAAATTGTTTAATTATCTATCATGCCTATGTGATGAAACCCCCTCAAAATTTCTAAACTATGAGGTTTGGAGAGCCTCCAGGTTGATAACCATATCCACATGCCGGGAGGATGGTGCACCCCGACTCCATGGGGATAGAAGCCTCTGTGTTTGGGACTTTTCTGGACATCACACAGTGTACCTCTTCATCTGGCTGTTCATGTGTATCCATTATGTCCTTTTTAATAAATCAGTAATAGTAAGCTGTTTTCTTGAGTTCTGTGACCCCTTCTAGCAAACGATTGAACTTGAGGAGGGAGTCATGAGATCCCCTGACTTGTAGGCAGTTGGTGAGAAGTATAGGAGACCCAGACTTGTGATTGGCATTTGAAGTGAGGGATAATCTTGTGGCTCTGAGCCCCTAACCTGTGGTGTCTGCATTAACTCTGGGTAATTACTGTCAGAATTGAATTCAATCATTAGATATCAAGTAGGTTTCCAGGAAGTTGGAGAACTTGTTGTTGGTGTGAGGGGAAGAAACCCATAAGTTTGGTGTCAGAGCATTGCCAGTAGAGAAACAGGTCCCCCCCACATATGAGTTGGATGGTGTTATGCTCTTGGTAGGGCATTTGTTTTGAATAATTCACAGATGCAGAGTGTTTGCAGAACCGTAATGGGGTTTTGAATTATATCCTTGTATAGGTGGGATTACAAATAAGACTCCAAATATAGGCTGGTTTGAACCTCAGTTGTATTCATTGTTTGTATCATTTAGCAAGGACATATATAATCTAAATAACAACGAATAGAGTGGGAGGGGAGCTTCAGAGTTGGCTCAGTCCATGGCTCAGTCATATCCCTAGAGTTTTAGACACTTTACCTTTCTTCACTTTGCCATCTCAGCATGCCAGTTTGGGTCACAAATGGACATCTTATGGGGGCAAGACAGCTGTAGACATCACATCAGAGTATGACAACTTCTAGTCTCCTCCTTGGGTCTCCTCTTAGGAGCAAGAGACTTTCCTGGAACCCGTTAGTGGACTTCCTCTCTGCTTCTCTGTTTAAATCATTCACTGGCAGAATAGCAGTACCCTGGATAGCTAGGGCAGTCAGGAGCCATCCCCTGAGGGGCAGTCAGAGCTGGGCTTCCATTAGTCGCGGGTCAAGCAAACAGCCCCTGGGAAGAGAGGAGATACACAGGAGAGATTCTTCTAGAAAGGAAGAACAAGACCAGAAATGGATTACTGCAGCCTGTTTCCTTAGTTGTAAGGTGGAGATAATAATAGCACTTAATAAGATTATTGTGAGAACCGGATGAGTTAATACATATAAAGCATGCAAGACAGTGCCAGGCACATAATAATCTTTCGGTAAATAACAGTTTTTTTATTTTTATTTTTATTTTTTCTGTTGTTGTTGAGGTGGAGTCTTGCTCTGTCCCCCAGGCTGGAGTGCAGTGGTGCGATCTTGGCTCACTGCAACCTCCGCCACCCGGGTTCATGTGATTCTCCTGCCTCAGCCTCCCGAGTAGCTGGGACTACAGGAGAGTTTATTTGTTAATACATTGTATGTATTATTATTATGACAATATTGAAGGCATCATAATATATTGGTTTTATAAGAAATGTTAAAGAATGGGAGAGGTGATAAAACAGTTGCAGGGATGACCCAACTACATGGCTGCATAACACACTCTAATCTGAAATGGGAGCAGAGGCATCATTCACTCTCAGTAATTTGGCGCTGGTTGTTTGGCACATTGAGTCATAAGCATTTGAGTCTTCCACGGTGGCACTGTCACCATACATGTGACCCACAGATTAGATACGAGATAGGTGGAGTGGAGAAAGCAGAGTAGCTGAGAGAGTACTTGATGAGGCTGTTTGCTTCATTGGGGCTCACAGTGCTAAGAAAAACCATTTGCAGAATCATGGGAGCAGAATGATCATTTCTCCTATAATCTGGGGTCCCAGCCTTTAGGATGTATCCCTATTCAATGTAAAACACTAGGTTTTATTCAGTGAATGGCAGTCTAGCATGGTTATGCTAGCTGAATGGTCTTATAGGGAAAGATTATAGCAGATATATGTATATATATGTATATCTATCTATCTAACTATATATCTCTATATAATTGGTATAGTTGGCTAAGTGACAGCTGAGGAGCCAGCTGGATCAGAGTTCAAAATAAGGTGACAGTCTACAAATCCCTGGAAGACTGGAGCAACAAAAGAGGGAATCGTTATTTGGACACAGTGGGGAAAGTGAATGAAAAGAAGAAAGGCAAATTAATTAAGATAATTAAAACACAGACATTCTTGGCAATATTGAAAGCTATTTAATATTTGGCTTTCTAACTCTACTATTCAGTCATTTACAAAATATGGCTTATAATATGTCAATTGATGAATAACCTTTATTTTACTATAAAATTCATGAACTTCTTTGGTCTACACAAATCCATCTTCCATTTTCCATGGCTTACCTCATTTAAGCCAATGCAAAACTGAAAGTGGGGAAAAGAATATTGAGGCTTTATTATGAAATGCCTTCTCATCCACTTTTTTTTTTTTCAGTCTCCCTGTGTTGCTCAGGCTGGAGTGCATTGGCATGATCTTGGCTCACTGTAACCTCCGCCTCCTGGTTCAAGCGATTCTTGTGCCTCAGCCTCCCAAGTGACTGGGATTACAGGCATGAACTACTACACCCAGCTAATTTTTGTGTTTTTAGTAGAGACGGGATTTCATCATGTTGGCCAAGCTGTACTCTTGACCTCAAGTGATCTGCCCACCTTGGCCTCCCAAAGTGCTGGGATTACAGGTGTGAGACACTGCGCCTGGTGTCTCACCATATTTTTTGAGGGTTGATTATATTTTCCTTCTAAACATAGATTCCTTAAATGACTGTCATTCTCATCTTCCTTTTTCTGCTGTTTAGCAGGCTACCTGGAAGGCAGTACTACTCTGTAAATGTTTGCCGAATAGTTTTTGAACAAGTATGAACCAACTATATTTTAAAAGTAATTTGACACTAACTTTGTATTCAGATAACATTGTAGTATTTCATAATTTATTACCTATACCAGTAATGTGTATGCTATTTAATAAAGACAGAATGTGGTGATGTGTATTTAAAAACAGGATTTTTATGACTGATGTGTGCTGGGTGATTTTCCTAGGGTAATTACCGAATTAGTTCTTTTGGAAGCCACTAGGAGCTGTGTTTTTATGTGTTCTGATACTAATAATTTCTGACATTGGTTTAATTTACTCTTATGTTAGATAAGGTCCAAACCATCTAAACCAGGGTCAGCAAAATAGTTAATATTTTTGGTCTTGTGAGCCATATGGTCTCTGTCACAACTCTTCAATTCTGCCATGGTAGCTTGAAAATAACTATAGATCTTACATAAATGAGTGAGTGTGGCTGTGTTCCAATACAACTATTTAAGAACCTGAAATTTGAATTTCACATATTATTCTTCTGTTGATTTTTTTTTCCTAATGCTTTAAAAGTGTAAAAATCATTCTTAGCTTGCAGGCTGTACCAAAACAGGTGGCAGGCCAGATTTGGCCATGGGTTGTAGCTTATAGACCTGACATAGTCCACGTCATCTATTAAGTGTGCTACCAGCAGAGGAAGTGGTCTACATAAAGAGGATAATTTCTAAATCAAGAGTAGCCAGAAGAGTGGCTTGTATATAGTCATTTGTCTATGTCTCTATCACAGTCATAATTCCTTTGGTTCTTGTTATTTGTCTTTTTCCATAGGCAGCAGGTATCTTCCATGAAGGCAGAGCCATGACTCATTCTTCCCTTGTGTTCCCAGGGTCTAGTTTGTATGAATGTATGAATGAATACATGAATCAAGTTTACATCTCAGAAATTGGTGCTGTGGTTACTGAATTACAAAATATGAAATGTCTTTTGAGAAAATCACAAAAACAGGAGTCTGCTTATGCCATTATCCCATTTGCTGTGAGACCCTGAACCTATATTCTCACTTTCATAAACAGGCTTTGTATAACATGTGAAAGATAGATGAGTAAAAGAGGCCAATTTAGGTAGGGAAATATACAAATCATTTCAGAAAGACTTCCATTCCTATTGACTCCTGGTTGCCAAGTTATTTCTGTTCTTCCCTTAAAATAACCAGTCACGATAACACTCTAAAACATTACCTCTTCTCTCACTTTCTCCTTTTACAGAGGGATTGATTAGCTCTCAGAAAAGGTTTCCATAAGGAAATGATCTCAAATACAATTAGGTTTTTTAACTAATGTGTATTCATATTATTATTTCTGACATTGATTTAATCCTTATCTTATTTGGGGTCCAAAAATCAATAAGGCTCCCCCCAAAATATAATTTGCCTCTTTGGTTATAAGTATAGAAACTTACAACTTTTAAAAAAAAAATTTTTGTTTCTTCATGGAGTACAATGTAGAAAGCCAGTACAGTCCACCTGTTAAACATATGATAGGGTGATATGCCCAGTCTAGTTACAGAAAGCTCCTGGTTAGGACCCAGTAAAACAATCAAGGTGAACTTGAATAACATCTTTGTGTACATTTCATAGTCCATCTATTCTAATGGTCCAATATACCTATTTTTAAAAATCTCTTTCTGTGCCTGTTTTTAAACTCATTTCTTCTCCCAATGTGTTTATCCCTGGTTCTATCAGGGTAAGCCCTAAAGGGACAATTTGGACTTGACCCTGATATTGGCAGAAGATAGCTTTTCTCCTATTGTGGCCTCTTTCCTTTAGCCCTCGTGTTATCCTATCTTGACCAAGTAAAGGTTCATTGTGGCAGGAGTTTACATAAACAGGAATTGTACTCATACCCCATTTCTAGGAAAAATGGGAACAGCAGGCATTATCTGATGTAAAATGTGTTGAACCCTGAACAAAGTACTCAGTGTAAATCCGCATTTGGCTGTTACAACCAGCCAGCTGAGAATCAGTTACTTGAAATAGCTGCTGGTCGAAAGGTCTGTGGCCTTTCCAAAGATGTGTTGTTGACTTTATGGCAAGACTACTAGAACTTTCCTTGTTAGTGATTTTATTTTATTTTATTTATTTTGTTTGTGATGGGATCTTGCTCTGTCACCCAAGCTATAGTCGAGGGGTGCCATCTCAGCTCACCGCAACCTCCACTTCCCAAGTTCAAGCGATTCTCATGCCTCAGCCTCCCCAGCAGCTGGGACTACAGGCTCACGCCACCATGCCCAGCTAATTTGTTTTTGTTTTTTTGTTTGTTTATTTAGTAGAGTCAGGGTTTTACCATGTCGGCCAGGCTGGTCTCAGACTCCTGACCTCAAGCGATCTGCCCGCCTCAGCCTCCCAAAGTGCTGGGATTACAGGCGTGAGTCACCACATCTGGCCTCCTTGTTAGTAATTTTAGAAGAATGTTTGGATGCCATCTAATCCTCCCTAAGTCCCAGTTATCTTGTCTTAAAAATGGGCATAATGTCATTTGTCAAATAAGACTGATATTGGGCTTAAAAGAAGTCTTTTAAATAAAGTACTTAGGATAGTTTCTCAGATTAGCAGATCCTCAAGAATGATTCTTTTTCTCTCTTTCGTTTTCTAAATATCCCTTTGAAATCTTAATTAGTAAGATGTCTCTTTATTACCAGGTTTTATATTGTTGAGTATTTTCCATCATATTATTACTTATGTATGAAATAGTTGAGCTCTAATTACAATCTATTTTGTAATTGTGCAAATGATTCACAATGAAGCTTAAATGAATAACTTCCAAATGTTTGCACAAATATGATATATAATACGTATATATATTATATTTATATATCATATATACATGTATATATATGTATATGTGTGTATGTGTGTGTATATATACACACACAAACTAGGTACTGATATTAGACTTACCTGTGGATTATAAATATGTCAACTTTCTCTCTGGTCCATTATTATTTTTTAATGCTCTCAAATATTTCTAAAGCCATAAGTATGTAGGCTTATGATGGATGCATCGATTTTACATGAATATTTGGTATTCAAACTAAAGGCTATTTAACTGGTTTCAACTGCCTTTTATTTTATCCAGCTTAATTTTATCTTCCTTCTGAGGATAATTTTATAAACAAATTCCTAATATACTTAATAAGGATTACAAAATTGGGAACTTGCAGAATCATCTGGTTCTGAGGGTTAGCATGAGATTTTTGGAATATTTGTCTCCCAAGGATACATTAACCTATCTCTTAAATACTCTCAACAAAGAATATTAGAGTCGTTAGACAACATTTAAAATTCAGGCCTATCTGCCCTTCCAGTTTCAAGTTGGAATAGAGTTGTCTTCCACTGGGGAATAATTTGTCTCTATTAATTGAGAACAAATGTGCATGGGTGTTTTAATTACACAGTAAATTAGGAGAATTTAAGATGCAGAATATGTGAAAGCCAAGAATTAAAAACCAACAACCCAAAACATAAGTAGATAAACAGGAAAAATATCTCAGCATAAGAATGCAAGCACATCCCAAGATAAAGAGTGGGAAAAAATGAAGACCAAGACAAATTACTAGGGTTTTGGTCAAGTTCCTTCAAGTGGAATGATCCCATTTTTGGCTACAAGCCATTGTTGGCTATACATGGCAGGAGGAAGAAACCACACTCAAAGGATTACTTTGAGATGTCTGGCTTCAACTAGTGACCTTTTATGCATTCAGTGAAAATGAGTATTGAGGATTTCCTATACAAATTTCAACTTTACAGAGAACTCCCACAGCAAGTATTCAGTCTAGGTTCATGGAACCCTGGTACTATGTGTAAAGTTGTATGGTTATGAGTTTATGGGGGAAATAGGTCCAGAACGTTCTTAGATTCTGAATGGAGTCCGTGATCCTAAAATATAAGAATACAACCTGCTGCTTGAGCAGGGTGAACATTTGTTGACCTTGTTCTCTGTCACTTAAGATAAGTAAAGTTAGCATCTCATAAATTGTTACTACTCCTTTTTTTTTTTTTTTTTTTTTGGCAAGGGCAGTCAGAATGACTTCTTTCTGCCTCTCACCTCGCTGTGCATGCCAGATACTTCCAACCAAACTTGGTGCTTCCTTGCAAGACCAACCTGCTACTACTTCAGAGCACCCTCCTCTATCTCTTCTTACTATAATGTATTTAGATATTTCTTATTTTTTTTTACATTGCCCTAGGCATATGAGCCTTTACTGTAAGCTACCTTAAATCTTTTTTGGAAAGAGGTAGGATATAAATTAAACATACACCTCCCCAAGATCTCAGAGTGTTGATGGACTGATTACAGAGACGGGGAGCAGGTATTTCCTCATTCATCACTGGAGGCAGAAAAATCACCTCCAAATATTTGTTCTCTGATAGCAGTTGGGAAAAGTCCTCCTTAAATGAGAGGCCCACGAAGGGATGAATAGGGATTTTGGCTGACCTCCAAAGTGAAGCTAAGATAATGCCTGCCTTCCCAGTATTACTTGAGGCTAATTACTCAGATATAATTACTTGCACTCTGTGTTTTTGCTTCCAATAGGGTTGTGTCCTTGCTTTTGTTTATCTTGTATCCCCCATTAGACTTTGAGCTCTTTAAGAATTAAGGCTATCACTTCCTTTCTATTCATCATTTGTTCTTGAGGCAATGCTTTTCACAGAATAGTCAGGAATGCCATTTAAGTTAATGATTAAGATGTTAATCTCACATTGTTGCAAGTTAGGCAACTTTTGACCATCCTTTCTAGGAACCCCAAGTTATCCGCATTGTGAAGGACCCTAAAGTGAGCCTCAGGAGATTGTGGTGAAAGTGTCATCAACTTTTGGAAAGTTTCTGAACTTAGTGATGATTTGTGCTTTTTCAGGACAATTTGTGGTGCCAGCACTTAAGCGATAAACATCCCCCTTTAAATAGAGCTGATCAAGTTTAATTCACAGTAGTCGATGCCTAAAAATTATAGGATGCAGATGTATATTTTTCATGTAAACATTACCTCAAAAGAAATTAAAGGAAAGAAAGAAAAAAGTGACTTTGGATAAATGTCAAGTATATATAATTTATGTGTTTGAGCTCTGAACAAACTGCTAAATCGTTTGGCCATAGTTGGAGAGACAGAACATTTTACCTGTCTGTAGCTGGGAATCAAGTGTATTTACCCACAAGAGTGGCTTATTTCCTAGTTTATGTGGATTACACACATCTGTGTGTAATCATGTCTGCCCTTTCCTCTGCCTCAAATCCTAAATGGAATTAATAACTTATTGTGGTCCCTTTTAACAAGACAGAACAGATCTCTCTGCCTCAGGCTTAGGAGGCTCCTTTATAATAATTCTTGGCTCGGGTAACCCATATACTCCTCAAAAATCCGCCCCATAAATATCATAAAACTGGCCTCAAAGCCATCCACGTTTTCCTCTGTAAAATGAAGATGAAGCAATTGTGGAAGAAGGAAGCCTTCTCAAAGAGAAGCCAGAAGTCAATTCTGTTTCATTCCTCCATATAAGTTTCACTTTCCCCAGAGGAAGGTGGAAAATCCCTCCGAACGGTGCCAGGTGGTGGTGTAAGCACTGATGGTGAAGTTCACGTGGGAACAGGAGAAGTTAATAATTCAGAGGCCGTGGGCCCTCCCACCCTGCCCTGGATCAATGCCTGCTGTTTGCTGAAACAAGCTAGGAGCCCACGACTGGTCCTCGTGTATAGGATTGGCTCCATTTGTGGATGACGCTTTTGTCTGTTTTCCATGCTCGCCCAAGCTACGTGCCTGCCCGCTCCTGTAGGTTGCTCAGCGCCCTGGTTGTGTCTTGGCAGGCCCTGGTCTGTCTGTACCTTCCTTCTCTGTGACCAGCTTCAGGAGCAGGCCCCGGAGAGTGCTGGGATTAGGCGCCACAAATGCTTATGTAGGACTTTACTGTGCACTAAGTGCTTTGCAGTCCCTTTTATTCGTCCTCCCTCAGAGCGTTGACATAAAGTAAAAAACAAAAAACCATTACTCAAGTCTTTATGCCAAGGGGAAAACTGAGTTAGACACAGTCAAATATGCCTCATTAGCAAATGCAGATTAAAATGAAGACCCTCTAGACCCCAGTCATACTTTTGATATTAGATTACAGTTTCCTCATCCATAATACAGTAATCTAGGCCAGGCGCGGTAGCTCACACCTGTAATCCCAGCACTTTGGAATGCCGAGGCGGGCAGATTACCTGAGGTCAGAAGTTCGAGACCAGCCTGGCCAACATGGCAAAATCCCGTCTCTACTAAAAATATAAAATTAGCCGGGCATGGTGGCACGCGCCTATAATCCCAGCTCAGGAGACTGAGGCAGGAGAATCACTTGAATCCAGGAGGTGAAGGTTGCAGTGAGCTGAGATTGCGCCATTGCACTCCAGCCTGGGCAAAAGGAGCAAAACTCGCATCTCAAACAAAACAAAACAAAAACAAAACATAATACAGTAATCTTGTACATTGATATTTTTCAAATATTCTGTAGATGTAGAATTTCATGGGCAAGTCTAACATCTGAAATAAATAACCACAGACCAGGCGTGGTGGCTCACACCTAATCCTAGCACTTTGGGAGGCTGAGACGGACAGATCATTTGAGGTCAGGAGTTTGAGACCAGCCTCACCAACATGGTGAAACCCCATCTCTACTAAAAAATACAAAAATTAGCTGGGTATGGTGGTGGGCGCCTATAATCTCAGCTACTCCGGAGGCTGAGGATGGAGAATTGCTTGAACCTGGGAGGCGGAGGTTACAGTGAGCCGAGATCACACCACTGCCCTCCAGCCTGGGCAACAGAATGAGACTCCATCTCAAAAATAAAATAAAATAAAAACCACAGAGCACTTCAACTGGAAGAGGAAAGTGGAGTCCCCTGATCCTTAAACTTGCCCCCCTTTGCCCAAATGGCATCAAGAGCTCCGTGGAGTCCAGCTTGAAAAGAACTAGACTAAAAAATCACCAGGGTCTCTAAGTGCTAAAATGGAACCTCAGAGAGGGGTCCTGATGATTTGATTGAGGAAGGGTGATGTACAGGGGTTACAAGCATGGGCATCAACACCCAGCTTTACCAACTTGCTGTGTGATGTTCTTAACTTCTCTAGGCCTCAGTTTCCTCATCAATAAAATGGGGACTGTAAGTGAGATGATCTTTTTTATTTTATTTTTTTCTTGAGACGGAGTCTCGCTCTATTGCCCAGGCTGGAGTGCAGTGGCGCGATCTTGGCTCACTGCAAACTCCACTTCCCGGGTTCACGCCGTTCTCCTGCCTCAGCCTCCTGAGTAGCTGGGACTACAGGCGCCCACCACCGCGCCCGGCTAATTTTTTGTATTTTTAGTAGAGACGGGGTTTCACCGTGTTAGCCAGGATGGTCTCGATCTCCTGACCTCGTGATCCGCCCGCCTCCGCCTCCCAAAGTGCTGGGATTACAGGCGTGAGCCACCGCGCCTGGCCGAGATGATCTATTTTTTTAGCACTGAGCATAGACCTGGTCCATAGAGGTTCTCAGAAATGGTGATATTATTTTCATTGTTGGTATAACAATGTCAATAATAATTGCTGTACTTTGAATTTGGGGGATAGGCTTAGAAATAGCATCAGTAATGAAAATTGCCTGTTCTTTTAATATGTGTATTCTTCTTTAATAAGCATTTCAACCATATTTGAGTTTTTCCAATTTTAATGGAATTGTTCTGTCTTAAAACCTATTGTGTATGTGTCATGCCTACATAGTCTTCTGTGCAGAGTACGGTCATAGCCGGGCAAACCTGTTATCTAATAAGAATGTTCGCTTTTTCACATTCATCAGTCAGAAACAAATACTAAATAAACAGCTCTAAAGAGTAGTACCAGAACAATTAAGTTAAAATTAATGGAGCACTGAGACAATATATGCTGCCTTTGGGGCATTAACTCCGATTTCACTTTTTTATTTGTTTTTTTGGAGACGCTCTGTTGCTCAGGCTGGAGTACAGTGGCACAATCTTGCTCACTGCAACCTCCGCCTCCCGGATTCCAGGGATTCTCCTGCCTCAGCTTCCTGAGTAGCTGGAATTACATGTGCCCGCCACCACACCCAGCTAGTTTTTTTTGTATTTTTTTGTAGAGACGGAGTTTTGCCCTGTTGGCCAGGCTGGTCTCCTGACTTCAAGTGATCTGCCTGTCTGGGCCTCCCAAAGTGCTGGGATTACAGGCATGAGCTACCATGCCCTGCCAGATTCCACTTCTTTTACAGTAGTTAAAAGTAGAATTAGGAGAGAGACAACAGATAAAACCAGCCACACACTTTTGATCTCCCTTCTGTCTTTCATACGGAAATGAGAGTTTCTGAGAAAGGTAGTTGAAACTAGACAGCAGATAACAGCCTATGGCGCATACAGAGGGGGTGGGAGGGTGAAACCATACAGCTTGGTGAGGTTTGCCAGGAGTACCTGCTGGGGCCCTGGCATAGGTGACCCTGCAACCAAAACAGGAATGACACTAGAAGAATGAGGCCTAAGTAACCAGCACACTGTTAAAGGAGGTGGGAATATCACATCCCAGCTACGCACTTCCTGCCCCAATATCTAAAGGTTATTTCATATGGCAAGCTAGAAACAAAATACACACGTACATTATTACACATGTAATATCAATGGCAAAATTTAAAATCACTGATAATTTTACCTCTCAGATATTCCTGGTGATTGTGATCTGTGTGCTCATATGCTGATATGTACACCACAGGCATGTACGTGCAAACACTCACATGTACTTTCTTTTGCAGGAATATCATCACTGCCTCCTAAAGTGCTTCTTTCACCCAGCAGTCTACTCTAGGCAGTTTCCATTCTACTGAATATACTTGTATAAACACATTTTTTTTGTATGTGACTATATAGTATTCCTTTGCATAAATATACTATAATTTATCAAATAATTGTATGTCATTTGGTTGCAATATGCATTGTTACAATCGGTGCTGTGACTATTATAATCATAGCATTTCTTTACAAGCCTCCTCAGGTATTTCCATAGGATAAATTGTCAAATTGCCTTCCACAAAAGACCTCCCAATTTATTTTCTTACTAGCAGTTTGTAGTAGTGTCTGTTTACCCCTACTCTTGCCATTATCAGGCAATGTTTACATTAAAGACTTAAAACCATTTTTTAAAATTGCCTAAATAAATGCTTCCTTAGCAAATACTCTTTAAAGAAGAAAGTAGTTAGGTTTTCTGGCTAAACTTCTTAGGGCTTCTACATGAATGTTTTCACAAACATCCATTTCAAAGAGCTACTGGAAAATTGGATATGGACTATTTTGCTTTATTATAAATGTGAGTAGCAACAAGATTCTTTGTATTCAAAAAGACGTTTGAGAGTTTCTAGCCCAATGGCTTCATGTGCCAATAATCTATGGGTCCAAGAAGCTCTGTATTTCCCCAGGATCACTTTGACTGCTACGTGTCAGGGCTGGGAGTAGACCCTGGGCCATCCAATTTATTCAACTTGTAGAATTAGGATCATAGCGTTAGTATATATCAAGTGTAATTTTCATTACATATGAATGTTTAAAAAAACATTCAACAGAACTTGTTGGATATTTGAGTATAATCTTCTTTTTCTTTTTCTTTCGTTTTTTGGAGACCGAATTTCGCTCTTGTTGCTCAGACTGGAGTGCAATGGCATGATCTCAGCTCACCGCAACCTCCACCTCCCAGGTTCAAGCGATTCTCCTGCCTCAGCCTCCCGAGTAGCTGGGATTACAGGCGTGCACCACCATGCCTGGCTAATTTTGTATTTTTAGTAGAGATGGGCTTTCTCCATGTTGGTCAGTCTGGTCTGGAACTCCCGACCTCAGGTGATCTGCCCACCTCGGCCTCCCAAAGTCCTAGGTTTATAGGCATGAGCCACCGCACCCGTCCTTGAGTATAATTTTCTTATCATTTACTCCTACCAGCCTCTGTGCTAGGTTCTGGGGGTATAAAGACAGGGGCCAGGTCTGCCTTTCCCCTACATTATTACAGTCTCATAAGGAAGAAACCCAGAGGAGTGATGATAAATGTATGCCTCAAGTATGTAGTATATAGGTGGTGCAGTTGTGGTCTGTGCACACAGGTACAATGAGGATGCAGCAAAAGGTCTGATTCATTTGGGTTACAGACTTAATAGAAGGAATGAAGCTTGAGCTGAGTTTAAAGAGTAGAAGAATTGGATTTTAATATATGGATGGGTCCTCCATGTTAAAATTAATGAGGTTGGACATTACTGAGGCTAAGACGGTAGCAGCAGGTGATGGGAAGGTCATCAGTGTTGGGGCCCATTAGACCTATAACTCCTTGAACAACTTACTTTGATCCTCAGTTGTCCCATCTGAAAATAGGATGATACTGTGCATTCCACTTGTAGAACTAGGATTGTAGCATTAGCACAGGCAGTGACAGTCATGGCATTCACAGTGTGGAGTGACACAGCAAGAGGGGTGAGGCTGCCCAGCCATTTGTACGTTTTGCCTGTAGGTCTTAAACTGGATGGCAGGAGGCTTGAAGTTGTGATTTCTACCTCATGTTTTCATTATAAAATGAGTGGTCACTTGAAGAAAAGTGACAGTGAGTTTTGTGTTTGAAACTTTTAGAAGGATCCATTCTGGAATAACCAAAGATTTAACATGAGGGTGTGCCATGTATATGAACAGAGCTCTTCTGTGCCAGGTCTCTTAAGAAGGCTGGATGTGGTTTGGGCTGAAAAAATGATCACTCACCATCAACCCTTTCTGCGCTGTGTGTGGCGAATGCCTGGGTTTGCCTTCCTGACTACTTTGCAAAGTGTGTTGCTTTTTCTGCCTCTGTTGAATTTACCCTTTTTCCAGGTTCCACTCTCACTACCCTAGATCCAGCCTTACTGGAGGCTGCACAGACCACCAGCTTTCTGAACTATGGGCCTAGCCTATTCCCCCCTCCATATGTTATAGTAGCAAAGTCCCTGCTTTAAAATTTTGCAGCTTAGGAACTCTGATTTTCTTATCTTCCTCTAACTGTCCAGTGGCTGTGTATTTCCTGCATAATAAAGATCTGAACATCTTACCATGATACGTGGTAGAGCTGCCGGCATTCATCAGATATTCATGCCTGGATTGCCTGCACATGACAATCTCCCTACTTTGGTTGCTGCTCCCCCACTTGCCTCTGACTTAGGTAGGGTTCCCTAGAGGAGTCCCGAGACGGGGTTTCTCATGCAAGTGACTTATTGAGAGAATTATTTCTTTGTAGAAGCCAGTAAAGGAATGTGAGAAGCAGGATGGGGCAGGGCAGGAAGCTGGGGAAGGATGTGGGTCTAGTTGAAGTCCAACCTCCGCCTTAACCCCTGGGGAATCTGTAGCATGAATGGCATGTATGGCCCCATGGAGACCCCCATATCAGTCAGTAACTAACTGGCTGTAGGCTGCCTTTGGGTGGGGGTAGGTAATTACCCAGGCATTTCCCCTGCAAGATCCCAGCAGCCTAGGGGTGACTGCACTGACCAATAAAAGGAATACACGCAGGATGCCAGCAGCTTCCATTGTACCCACAGGTCAAACTCCTACTGATCCTTCAAGACCCAGACAGATTTCAATTTTGTAAAGTTTTTCCCAGACCAGAAATTCTCATTCTGAACTAATGATGTTACCATCTCCCGAGTCTTCTTATGCCTCATTCTAGGCCTTATCAAGATCACCTTGTATCACTGTGGATTGGCTTAATGTCTGGCTTCCTGCTAGACTAATGAGTTTCTTGAGGGTGCAGCGTGTTTTAATTCACCTTTAAATAGCTACTCCCCAGACCCCAGGGCTGTCCCTGTGTAGCTATTTAGTAAAGGTCGTTTGAATTGAAATGAGCTGTAACATCCTTCCTTGATGCCTAGTGCTTTTAGCCCTGTGGGAATGTTTCTTCAAGCCTTCCAGATACGGGGGGCTCTTCCAGGAATGCTAGCTCAGCTTGCCACTCTTTCCACCCCAGGATTCCATAGCCATTGAGATTATACCACAGGTTCCCTGTGCCAGCATTTTCTTCCACCTGCTCCCCTGGATGTCAGTCTACATCATCTCACCAGTCGGCCTATGTCATCTCACTAGTCAGCCTGGGCAGGTAGCCTGCTGTCATCTGCTGTCCACATGGGCTGGGCCCTAGGGTAGATGGCTTGAAACAAGTATTACTTCTTGGATGACATTCTGGCTGCCACTCAGAATCTGACAGTTGGTAAATCTTGGCCTGTGCTATTGAATGCCATGACTTATTGGTGTAATGGTGAAAATTGTTCAGAGGAAGACTGGGACATCCATGGTGGACCCAAGAATCATGTCAGGGGATGGAAAAGGGCCACCATGTCCTAGTTTGGTCTAGAACTAGATTCTGCAAGTTACAGTCACAATCCAATAGCCAAATAGAAGCACTCATTCATTCATTCATTTTCTCAACAATCTTCTGTTTCTTCTTTTCTATTTATTGTGTGCTGGGTGAGGGCAAAAGTGAATAAGATGTGGTTTTTGCGTTCAAGGAATTGACAAGGGAAGGAGATGAGATTGAGACAGATGTATGCACAACTCAGAATAATGAAAGGAATAAAGGATATGCACCACAAGAAAGAAAGTGCACAGGACATTGGTTAAGAATGTGGTATCTGAAGTTAGAGGGCCTTGAAGTCAAATTCCAGCTCCATTAGTTATCAGTTGTGGGACTTTAGGCAAGTAATTTAATTTTCTCACCTTCACTATTATTCTTTTTTCTTTTTCTTTTTTTTTTTTTTTCAGAGATGGAGTTTCACTCTTGTTGCCCAGGCTGGAGTGCAGTGGTGCAATCTTGGCTTACTGCAACCTCTGCTTCCCGGGTTCAAGTGATTCTCTTGCTTCAGCCCCTCGAGTGGCTGGGATTACAGGCGCGCACCACCATACCCTGCTAATTTTGTATTTTTGGTAGAGACAGGGTTTCGCCATGTTGGTCAGGCTGGTCTCAAACTCCTTACCTCAGGTGACCCACCTGCCTTGTCCGCCCAAAGTGCTGGCATGAGCCACTGTGCCTGGTCACTATTTTTCATCTTCAAATGGAAACAACAGTGGTACCTGCTTCATAGGGTTGTCTGTGAGGATTAAATAAGATACTGTCTGTGTAAAGTACAAATTGACACACATTCACAGATGTTGGCTGTTGTTATGAATGCTATTATTGATGGGCTAGTTCTTGCAGGGCTGGGGGACAGTCCATGGAATAGGTGGCATTTGAGTGGGGCTTTGAATTTTTACAGGCAAGGGAGGCTTCCATTGGGGGGAAAAAAAAACAGCTTGAAAAATAAAAGGAGGGGGCATGAGATTGTATAACTTACTTGGGAATGGCAAATGGCCGTGACTGCCTGGGATGTACTGATGGATGCTCGAAGGGTTTCCGTGGGAGCTGAGGCAGTGAATGTGTGCTAGGATGGAGTGCTTTGCAAATAGTGATTATTCAATAAATATTTCTTGAATTTCTTTGATTATTTTATGCTTATGTGTTAACACTTATTTATGATAAAAATGCCAGTGGGCATTGGGTCCAAATTTATCTTATTGAAAAATAAAAATAATTATGAGTATGCCTCCTTTAACAGTTATAGAGATTGGCACACTCCTTTTTACCATTGTAAAGAAAAATAACTGCTCATCCTCAGCTATTTTTTGACCCTTTCATTTGAAGATGTGTTATGCTATAGATTATGGAGCTGTCCAGGAGAACTTTCTGTGATGCCAGAAATATTCTCTATCTTTATTGTCCAGTGTTCCAGCCATAAGCCACATGGGACTGTGGAGCACTCAAAGTGTGGCTAGTTTGACTAAGAAACTGAATTTTAAATTTTGTTTATTATTATTATTATTGTTATTATTTTTGAGTTGGAGTCTCGCTTTGTCACTTAGGCTGGAGTGCAATGGTGTGATCTCTGCTCACCGCAACCTTTACCTCCTGGCCTCAAGCAATTCTCCCACCTCAGCCTCCTGAGTAGCTGGGATTACAGGTCCCCGCCACCATGCCCAGCTAATTTTTGTATTTTTAGTGGAGACAGAGTTTTACCATGTTGGCCAGGCTGGTTTCAAACTCCTGACCTCAAATAATCCTCCTGCTTCAGCCGCCCAAAGTGCTTGGGTTACAGGCATGAGCCACCGTGCCTGGTCTGTTTAATTAAATGGAAGTCACCCCATGGGGCTAGACAAGGGCTATCATAGTGGATAGCACTGCAGTCTAGAAACTGTTCTGGATCTCTGTAGAGGAAATGTGCGAATGTGAAGCATTGGGTTTGGAATAGTGTGGGGCAAATGAGATATTTCCTATTGAGGTGTCTGGTACTGCAGTTTCAGAAGTGAATACCCTCAAAACGAGCTGTTTATTTTTATCAGTTTTGTTTTGGAGAATATTCAGGCAATCTGTGACTAGAGTGAGCAGTGCTCCAATAGAGTGCTTTGAGAAATACCAGGCTGATTACAGACCCACAGGAAGCAATTGTCATAATTAGGCCCTGTTAATAAACCATGGGCTGCAATGTGTGTACACACACACATTCACACACTCTTTTTCTCCTTCTCTCTCACTGAATCCAGTGCTCTCTCTCTGGCATGTAGTGCATAAGAGTTATTTTTCTTCCTGATCTCAGTTTTCCAACAAATGGGAAAATGCTCTGAACGCGTTGCATACAGGGGAAAAACCTTACAGTCTTTATTGTATGTGAACAGCTAATAAGGAAACCGTTTGACAAGAGCTTGCTTTGTGTCATGGCTTCTGGCTTCCAGCCAGTTTATTTTCTTGCTGGGACAACTATATTCAGGCAGCAGAGTTAAGCAACAGGGAGGGGGCAGGATGAAGAAACACAGACTTCATAAATCAGGGCGATTCAGCAAAATTCCATTTGAATTGAATCTGGGCCAGGGGCAGGAGTGCCATGGAGCGTCTGTGTAGAAGCTGACATTTTAATGATTTGATTAGTTTAGGAAGAATATTTTTATGGATTGTGTCCTCGATTATATTAAGTACTGAGTGAACTTGTTACATTATGATGAACTTCCATTACCTACACTGGTTGTGTACAAGTGCAATGATTTCAGCCCAAGACCCTAAGGGTAATCTCGTGCAATCCTCTTAAAGAAATGCTGTTTAATGACTAAAGCTGTTAATCATATTAAATACATACAGCCACTCTGGGAAAATATGCCAAACAAGCATAAATCTAAAAAAGGTATTTGAAGGAGCTAAATGGTGTGTTTTGAGGGGATATTGGGCAGGGGAAGTAATAATGGAGGGAGCGAAGGGATGTAGAGATGGAAGAAGTCATAATAGGTACAGTGATGGTGTTTTCCATCTCCTGTGTGGCAGGTGCTGTGTTGAATGGGTTAATCAGAATGCTCTGGGCCACATCTAGAAGACATTCCAACTCAACATAGTTATTTATTTATTTATTTGTTTGTTTGTTTATTTATTTATTTTTTGAGATGGAGTCTCACTCTGTTGCCCAGGCTGGAGTGCAGTGGCATGATCTCAACTCACTGCAACCTCCACCTCCCGGTTTCAAGTGATTCTCCTGCCTCAGCCTCCCAAGTAGCTGGGATTACAGGTGCGTGCCACCACGCCTGGCTAATTTTTGTATTTTTAGTAGAGACAGCGTTTCACTATGTTGGCCAGGCTGGTCTCAAAATCCTGCCCTCAGGTGATCTGCCCACCTTGGCATCCGAAAGTGCTGGGATTACAAGCGTGAGCCTCCGGGCCTGGCCCCTCAACACAGTTTAAACAAGGAAAACTTATCTTCCTAAAAATAGAGAAGATAGACAGTTCCCAAGTGGTGATGGTGGTGTATTTTGTTTGTAAGTTAATCAGCAATTTGGTGATATCAGGGTTCTAGGTTGACTTCTCTCTGATTCTCTTGGTTTTCTCTAATTTGGTCATTTATTGTGATATTTAAGTTAACAAGTAAAAATGGCAGCTGCACTCACACTTCTTAACCAATGGAAATTTATTTGACTCACAAAGTGCATAGGATGGGAGAAATCTCCAGTGGACTAGTGGAGTCTGTGACAGTGGGGTATGTGGAGTATAGATCCACAGGCTGTTGGAATAGGCTCAGGTCCTCATCTGCTCAGAAGACAGGCAGGGAAATTCCAGTCTTCAAGGGTTTTGTTGGTGAGGAGAACATGGATATGGATGTAATGTCCTTCCCTTTTGTTTTCTTTGCACAAATTTCAGTGGAAACATGTTGCCAAGTCAGATCGCCATTCTACTTGAGTGAATATGGAATTTGTCCAGTTTTCCAAATGCAGAGCTTTTTGTGGGCTGATGGACTGAATAGAAAGAGGAACAACCATACACCCTTCTACAGATGAAGGCAAGATTTTATGAAAGCGACTTCATTCGTTCTCCTCTGCCTGGTGTTCCTTCTTTGTAAACCAGGACCAGGGAGCTTTGAATATAGCAGTATATTATAGAATTTGGTTTCATTAAATATTATACCTGCCCTTAGTGTTTATATTCCAGTATATTGACAACCCAGGTCCTCTCTGTACCTGTGATTGTCTGTGTTGAGACTATTACAGAGCTCCAAAAATTAAAATAAAAATAATAATTTTACAGAAATACATATTTGCATTGGAATATTTAAGAAAGTTGAGTTTGGATGCCACAAGATTATAGGAGTAATAGGAAGCTGGGCACAGTGGCTCACACCTGTAATCCTAGCACTTTGGGAGGTTGAGGCAGTGAGGCAATAGGATTGTTGGAGCCTAGGAGTTTGAGACCAGCCTGGGCAACATAGGGAGATCCTGTCTCTACATAAAGTAAATTTAAAATGAATTAGCTGTTGGTGCTGTTGGCATGTTGGTGCATACCTGTGTACCAGGCGTGTTGGTGCACACCTCCCAACCACTTGGGAGGCTGAGGCAGGAGGATCCCGTGAACCTGGGAGGTCGAGGCTGCAGTGAATCATGATGATGTCACTGCAGTCCAGCTT
Source organism: Homo sapiens (assembly GCF_000001405.40). NCBI lineage: Eukaryota > Metazoa > Chordata > Mammalia > Primates > Hominidae > Homo > Homo sapiens. The sequence continues at coordinate 117,935,363 of NC_000008.11, read as the reverse complement.
GGGCAACAGCAAGACCCTGTCTCAAAAAAAAAAAAAAAAAAAGTGATAGATAACTAACCAGGATTTTCTGGATTTGGGTTTGGGAAGTGGAGGAATGCCTGTGTCTGTGTTTAGAAATGACAAACCAAACCATGGACATGACACTATTAGCTCCTGTCCCTACAGCTGCTGTGTTGTTTCTTGAGAGCCCAGGATGGGTAGTAGGCCTCTTTAACCTCCGTTATCACTTAATTCTCACCATAATCCTAGGAGATGTATATGTCCTCATTTTAGAGATAAGGAGGACATTGAGGCCAAGAGAGTTTAGTAAGTAACAGAATGGATTTTCAAGCCAGGTCTGTCTTGATAAGAAAGCTCACATGCTTTCTTTCTTATGACACTGTTTAAGCTGTGTTCTGCTAAGTTCCTAAGATTCTCTAGGATAGATGCATGTGTAGGATCAATTCAGGGCGAAAGGGCTGGAGTGGCTTTGAGATTCCCAACCTCTGCTCCTAACTGGTTTTCTATCCTGAGTTTCTGCATACCATTTTCTTGGAAGAAGAGATTCTGTGCTTAAAAAAAATACGTACATAAAAGAAGCGTGCACATTGCTGTCCTGTACCGCAGTGCCTGAGTCAGGTATCCATTTGCATTGTGAAAGGAGCCTGAGGTGTGAAACAGTTCTGGGTTCTTTGCGCACCCAGCTGGCTGGCTTCCTGTGAACTGGCTGCATTTCAGATTTCATTCTCTAGCCAGAAGCTGAAAGGCAGGAGCCCTTTGAAGAGATACAGGGAAGCAAAGAGGGTTATCCAGATGAGAAGGAAGGGAAAGGGGGCGTGACAACTCCTTGGAGGGAATTTCCCCAGTGGGAACTGCCTCTGGAGGAGCTTACACAGGGCACATCAATGGGAAACCACGTCCTGGTCTGCTCGGAAGCCCTGGGGGGCCTCTTGCAACATGCAGGCAGGCTCCCCAGACTCAACCCTCTCTCTCTACCAGAGGCGCATGGACTGCGCCTGCTTCCCCCTTCTCTTATAAAGCCAGCTATGGGCCATTCTATCCCTCTGCCTCCCTGGATCCTTCGTCCATGCTGTTCCTGAAAGCAAGAAACAGTCCATTTTTTTTTTTCATTTAATACTTTTTTTTGCTAAGTGCTGCTGGGAAACACATGGAGGAGAACAAAACCCGACAAGCCTGGTGCTGCTCTTACTGTATCTGTGGGGTGGGGAATGGGGAAGTTCTGAAAATTTACAGGTGTGTCTCAGACTAAAGGGTTTCAAAACACTGTGCTGAAGCAGTGCGTGTTGAGGTAGAAGGCACAGGAGTGTTCCTGTGGTTGGGAGAGATATCCTGTGTCCAGAATTTGAGGCAGGAGATAGAGGTTTTGCTGGTGGGATTGTGGTGAGACTCCTAGAGCTGGAACCAGGAGAGGGGGATCCATTGCTCTGTGAAGAGGGCATCTTCACGTGGAGCAAGGCTGGACAGCAGGAGCCCACTAGGGACCCCTGTGAGCAGGCGTCTGGACTTGTTTGTTTGAAAACAATTAAGACGAGCAATGTGATGTGAAGCATTCAGAGTAAGGGTAGTGGACTGGATTAAATAGAGGGGCAGTTGTATCATCTTTCTGTGCCCCGTGCCTCCTGTTTCTTCCTTCATTTGTTCATTAAACAAATGTTTATTGATGGTTTATAATGTGCCAGACTTGCCTAGGTGCATGGGACGCAGCAGTAAGTGAGACCAAGAAGGTCCCAGTACTCACGGTGCTTATATTCTAGTAGACAGTGAATAAATAAACTTGCCAATCAAATCTCTGCCATAGCTCTCATCACTTTCAGACATAGATTAAAACATCTGAGAGTGCCTGTAATCCCAACATTTTGGGAGGCCAAGGCCGGTGGATCCCTTGAGGTCACGATTTGGAGAACAGCCTGCCTAACATGGTGAAACCCCGTTTCTACTAAAAATACAAAAATTAGCTGGGCGTGATGGTGTGCGCCTGTAATCCAGCTACTCAGGAGGCTGAGACAGGAGAATTGCTTGAACCCGAGAGGTGGAGGTTGCAGTGAGCTGAAATGGCGCCACTGCACTCCAGCCTGGGCGACAGAGCAAGACTCCATCTCAAATAAACCAAAAAAAAAAAAAAAAAAATACCCAGCAGAACATCTGAGAGTGATAAGAGCTATGGCAGAGATTTAAGATAGTTCCATGAATGCTAGAAACTGACTGGTTCTAAAAGACCAGAAGACCTCTTCAAGAGAGACTTTGGAGGCGAAAAGTGAGTGTAGCATAGAGCCAGTCTTGGGAGGTTTGGGGAAGAACATACCACTGAGAGAGAGCAGCCAGTATCAAGGCCCTGAGACAGGTGAGAGCTTTGTTCAAGGAACAGAAGGGGGCCAGTATGGCTAGGATGGAGTGAGCACGGGGAAGATGTTAGGAGCACGTTAAGTTTGCATTCCCTCTGGGTGTCCTTGGATAGGTTACTCAGCCACTCTGAGTGCTGCCCTGGCAGCCAGCTCTAGGCTTCACTGACTGGAGTTTGGCTATCCTTGGATGGAAATCCAAGCTCTTTTTTACTTTACATTTTTCATTTTGATTATAATCAAATTAAGAACAGTCATAAAAGTATTTTCTGGGTCATCTCGATGAAACTAGCACTAAGCAAAGCCATGGATTTCTTAACTCTGTGCAGGTATGTTCCTATAATTGTCATGTGCTAAAACGAAGGCTCAGGAAATCCAAAAGATTTTTGCAGTATTTGAATAGAAAAAAGAGGGGTGGAGGGAAGTGAGTGTGGGACAGTGAGGTGTGGGCAGACCCAAGAACCCTGGTGAGCGGGCAGTACTATGTTTATGTTTTGAGTGGGATTCCCATTTTTACGTAACAGCCTCCTACATTTGTTAGAAGTAGTCTTAGCAGTTGTATGGTATAGCATTTCCCTTCCTGCCCCCAGACTCAGTAATTGGTTTAGATGCCATTTAATGCAGTTTTTAATTCCTCAAAACTAGTCTTCTGTGAACAAAATATCTTTTCAGATTTACCAGGTAAATCTGTAAAATCAGTATGAAGGGATTGCTCCCCAGCCAGCATTTGGTTAAGTTGAATTCTGATTATCCTTAACCTGCAAGCAAAGCTTTGAAGTTCCTAATAACTTTTCTGTTCAATAGTTTTCATGCTTATGTAAATAGACACTCTAACATTTAGAAGTTAAAGCACCCCCCCAAAAACCTCAAATATATAACTTGGCCTGAGACTCTATTTTTCTACTGCAAAATTCAATATGGACAATTGAGTTTTAGTAAAACTACGTAATTTCGAATTGAAATAATTTAAATTGCTTTTGTTTTAAAAAATTTGTATTTGTGCATAATAAGTTACATTTCAATAAAAATAAAGTAAATGCATTCACTTGACTTATTTTCCGCGTGGGCATTTTCTTCTTCATATATGGTCCATAATTACTTAAGCTTGAGACTCACTGCTTCGACTTGCAAACAGAACATTTCAAGTGATCAAAAATCTAGGACCCAGAGGGAGTGAATGCACAACTTTAGGATTCTGACCTTAGCTGCAATAGAAACCTTGAGTGACTTTTAAGGCTATGATGTCCTGGTAAAGAAATATACCTAAAACATAGATGGATATGATAAAGTAATGGAATTTTGCATCATGCAGCTATTCTCTGCCAGCATGTCCGGCAACAGACATCTTTGGAAGCATATTTTTGAAAATAGGTATCCTCGTTCTCTTCATATCATTTTATTATTGATCTCTGAAAGACTGATAACCTTGGTAAAACAGCCAGCTCAATGTGTAGCCAATAACCACGCCTAGGTGTCTGGCTTCCCCCTCTCTTATTCCCACCTCCCCCTTTTCCATCTCCTTCTCTTCCTCCTTCCCTCCCTCTCTCATAGACCTCCCACACCCCCGCCCCACACAAAATATATATATCATTGTAGTTTATAATTTATAAAGATTTATCAATTGCTAATATATCAGTTATTTATTTATTTATTTTTATTTCTAAGCATGCCTCCTTTGAAGGGCATATGTATGTCTGTGTGAGTATATACAGGAAATGTATCCATGTCTGGAAAGGGGCCTCCATCTAGACGCCAAGTGAGAGTTCTTGGATCTTGTGAGAGAAAGAATTCAGGGCGACTCCATAGAATAAAGTCAAAGCAAGTTTATTAGGAAAGTAAAGGAATAAAGAATGGCTTTCCAAAGGCAGGGCAGCCCCGAGGACTGTTGATTGCCTATTTTTATGGTTATTTCTTGATTATGTGTTAAACAAAGGGTGGATTATTCATGAGTTTTCCAGGAAATGGGTGGGCAATTCCTGGAACTGAGGATTCTTCCCCTTTTTAGGCCATATAAGATAACGTCTTGGCATTGCCATGGCATCTGTAAACTGTCATGGCATTGGTGGAAGTGTCTTTTAGCATGCTAATGCAATACAATTAGCATATAATTGAGCAGTGAGGATGACTAGAGGTCACCTTTGTTGCCATCTTGGTTTTGGTGGGATTTGGCTGGCATCTTTACCGCATGCTGTTTTATCAGCAAGGTCTTTGTGACATGTATCCTGCTGATCTCCTATCTCGCCCTATGACTAAACACAACTAACCTTCCGGGAATGCAGCCTCCTAGTAGGTCTCTGCCTTATTTTACCCAGCCCCTACTCAAGATGGAGTCACTGTGGTTCAAACACCTCTGACAAATCTGTCTGCCTGTTGGAAAGGACTTTGTCAACTTGTCATGTTACTTATATAAATATAGAAATATGTATTTAAAACTTGATGGACACTTCACCATCACACTCTCTTCTCCTCTCCCACATCACTCTAGCACTGATCCATTTTTAGAAAAGGTTTTTTTGGGGATGGGGGTTGACCAGATGTGGATATTTAGAGATAAGTCTATAATCTTCCAACTGTAGAAGTCTTTATGTCTTTGAGTCTTGCTTGTGTGTGTAAATGTCCTATTTTTTTTTTTGATATATGAATAAAGTAATTAATTTGCATTTAGTTGCTTAAGCCTGTCTTCATAGCCTGGGGAGAAATGATGGCTGACACTTGTCATTCTCCACCCTTCCGCTCCCCACATTTCATTTGGTACTTCATTTCTTCCTCTTGAGGTGTGAATATCTCAAGAAAGATGTTGACTGGTCCCACTGGTTGGGATGACAATGAGTGATAGGTAGTCTTGCACTTCTTGATCAATGACAAGATCACCCATTTGGCAAACTCTTCCTCTTCTCTTCTGTCTTTATTTTTTTTTTTTTGAGATGGAGTCTCTCTCTGTTGCCCAGGCTGCAGTGCAATGTGCGATCTTGGCTTGCTGCAACCTCCGCCTCCCAGGTTCAAGCAAGTCTGCCTCAGCCTCCCAAGTAGCTGGGATTACAGGCATCTGCCACCATGCCCAGCTAATTTTTGTGTTTTTAGTAGAGATGGGGTTTCACTGTGTTGGCCAGGGTGGTCTCAAACTCCTTACCTCAGGTGATACGCCTGCCTTGGCCTCCCAAAGTGCTGCGATTACAGGTGTGAGGCACCACGCCTGGCTGCTCTTACACTTTTCTATGAGACACATTACAGATAGATGCCCATATTGAGATACATACCCATATACGGATAGATATCCATGCTGAGAGAAGCATGTTAATCCGGCTGTGAAAGCTTTATAGTTAGGAATTTCTGGGAAGATCTTCACCTTTGGCATACTCCTTCAGTCTCATCCCCTATGTCCCTAATAGAAGCAGTAATGGGGAATCTGTCATGATGACTTACTAGAAAAATCTATTGAGCCTGCTTATGATTCTTTGGTTTTGGAGGAGGAGGGCACTAATTTTCATTGGTTCATTCATTCAAAAATATTAAGTTCCTACTCCATGTCTAATAACTGCCTTTCTGGCTAGTCTGTGAGCATGGCAACGGACGGATGATGTCTTTTGTTTTCTGTTGTGTCTCTGATGTCTTTCACATTGAAGAGCAGGGAGGAAGTGCTCGTATCATATTTGTGCCAGAGTGAGGAGGAAGAGGGAAGCACTCAGAGCTGACACTTCCTGTGATTTAGCCTTCTGCCTGTGGATCATCTTTTCATCTTTTTTGAGCTCATGTTAGTTTCTCTACTACCTGTGCGTTTCTTTACCTTCCTTGGAGTATTTCTTCCTTGAGCTCAGTGTTGCAGGCACTGCTTGGTCAGGCTTAGCCCATAGACAGAAAATACTTATTGAGTACTTACTGTATATATAGCACTCTTCCATGCACTGTACATGTATGAACTCACTTGCTCTTTCCAGCAACTTAGGAGATGTGTGTCTTCATTATCACCCCAATTGAAGAAACTAAGGATGAGAAAGGATTCAGACTTAATGCAAATGATCCACTATCTGGGAAGCTATTTAATCAACCTGGGCTCAATTATTTCTGTTTTCTATTTGGCCGTGGGCTTTTGGGTTGTTTGTTTTAGTGGGCACAGAACTCAAGGTCCTTGGCTTTTTCATGCCCTTTTTCATCGGTGTCGTAAGTACTTGCTCCGTAAGGAAATGATTTTAATTTTACTTTTCTCTAAAAGTAAAAAAATCCTACTCTGTAGTGTAGTGGTTTCATCTTTTTTTTTTTTAATATTGACTGACATGTCAAGAGAACCCACAGGCTTTGCACATACACTTTTCCAGTCATTGCTTCAGATATCACATCCAGTGGAAATTATTAGATGTGATATCTGAACCAGTTGCAAGCAAGATCTCTCAGCCTCCTTCAATTGCTATGTTCCAGGTAAATGTTATTGCTGTGATTATCATCATCGTAATTATTTTGCATTCTCTGTTTAGTATTTTTATCAGAACAGCATTCTTTCCTTGAAAGATAAAAACTATTGAAGATTTTAAGAAAGTTTGAAGCTTGTTAAGGAAACTAGTAACTAAAAAGTTTAAGATTCTGTGCCTAGTGGGACATAATTTGTTGTTTTATTACCTTTTGTATTTGCTCGTGCATATGTACATGCCTGCATTCAACCAAATATTTGTTACATGCCAGGCACTGTGGACAGGTGCCTACTTAAGGTAATAGGCTGGGCAGACAGACTCCCACCCTAGTTCATCACACTCATTCAAATAGAATTTCTAGTGGTTGAAAGAGCAATGGCCTTGGTTTTACCCTCTTTGTCAGGAACTAACTGTTCATTCTCTGGTGAGTCACCCAAATGTCCTGGCTCTTCACCTGCAAAATGAGTCCATTGGCCTAGATGTTCTCTATCAACTCCAAAGGTCTAAGATATGTATGATAAAGGGTATGCCATCCAGTGAAGATCAACAGTATCATTCACAGCAGGCCTGTTCAATAAGGAGGAAGTTGCCATCTCAACTGGAGGCTGTACTGGACAAATAACATTCACTATTCTGCCTCCAAGGTTTCTCATTTAACCATGGGAGCTAATATGAAAAGAAGGTGTTCCTAAGCCAGTGAGATTAAGGTTTGCAGGTTTTAGCCTGCAAGCAGGACCAACTACCAATTTACAGGATCTAGCACAAAATTAAAATGTGGACCTTTTGTTCAAAAATTGTTCAGGATTTCAAGACACAGCAGAGCATTAAACGAAGCATGGCACCCTTCTGAGAAGACAGGGCTCTAGTGTCACCGTATGGGTCACAGGCAAACAAAGTCAGCCCTACCTGTAAATGGATCTGATTAAAGGCAGAAGTATCTTTCTATTTTGTAAGCAGATTGAGTGGTATGTTACTGTCTCACAATGTGTTATTATTTTTGCTGTTATGACTAAGATTATTATTTTAAGTGACAGTACCCCTGTGCCCATCTTCTCTTTTGAGAGTCTGAATCCCTTCAGATAAGGACTACAGCTTACCTAATTTGTGATTTTCCCCTCAGCTAGACTACTGACATGATGTGTTTGTTAAATGCAGTGAATGTAATAGTCATTTATCACAAGGAGAAATTGTGATTTTTTTTTTTTCCCCCAGAGGAATCTAGCTTAAAGAAGCCAAAATAGTACTTAATAAGGTGTTTGTGGGAACAGAGATGGACCATTGGATGAAATGCTCTGAAATAAAACTAGGCCTATGCAGTGTAAAAAGACTAAGACAGTGAGTTTCTGCCTTTTTTCTTTTTTTTTCCAAAAAACCTTTTTGATGTAACACAAGTCAGTATTTTTGTTGCTAGTTGGCACTTCATGAAAGATGATAGCCGGCTGGGGAGAGCCAAGAAAAATCAGTGAGTGGAATTGACAGACTTGCAGTGTTTGTAACTCTGCCTTTATCCTGTGTGATATTTTAAATAAATGGTTTTCTTATGTAGGGGACAGTTATTACTGTGCCTATCCCACACAGCAGAGAACCCAAAAGAGGACGACACACTGAAGGAGTCATAAATTGCACATGTAAACAGCTGGACATTTGGGTGTTGGTGAAACCTCTGAGATGAGACGGATGAAATATGTTGAGACATTCAAGGCTTTTGTTGCTAGTTTTTTTGTAGAATTTTTAGCAGACCTTTAAACCAAGAGACACTGGCAGTGCAGTTATTTTCAATAACCTGGACTCTCCAGGAAAATTTAGAAATCCATCCAAATAGAAGGTAAATAAACATGTTTATAGGCAAAGCCTTTTATATAAGCGTTTTTGTTGGGTCTGAATCTTTGATGCTGACAGAGTTGAACTGTCTGCCTTCTTGCTTTTCCTTATCCTGTTTGTCATCCGCTATGTGGCTTCGGCTTCAGTGACCCCTCTCTCCTTCCAGTTTCCTAGAAGCAAATTGCCCTTACGAGCGAATGCATTTGGGTCATTTGAATTTGCTCAGTCATTTTGGCAATTAATGACTTTTTGTGGATTCAGTTCTTGGGCACCTCCGCTGCATCCCACTTCTAGCCATGACTCCCTGCATTAGTGATTCAGCCTGAAAGAAAAAATGGCTTTTTTAAAAAGTGGGAGAAATTTATCTGAAGAGCAATCAGTTAGATGGACATGGAAGAGGCCCTCTCTGGGGTTTTACCTGGTCTGTCTTAAAAGGAACTCACTCGAGTTTTAATCCCTAGGATTATAGGCTGTAAAGCAATGGTCAGCTTAGATCCATTTCAGGGCCAATACATCTGTCTAAAATATTTTGAATACAAGAGGAGAGGAAGGATAGAGAAGCAAAGAAGTTTATGACTCAAATGATCTAGAGAATAATATCAAAGTTCCCCATGACACTTGCATTGGGATTTTACTTTGATTATAGACTTTATGTTCTTTATGAAGATCACAGTTCTTCTCAGGGCATACACATCACCATGCTAGCGGCTAGCAGATCTTAGGCCAAGTGCGGTCTCTTCTATGGACTTGATTTTAGACTAGAGGCAAATTGCTTAACCCTTTGGGTCTTGGTTTCCTTAACTTTAAAATTGAGAAGCCAAAAGAGATAACATGCGAAACGGCTATTGCAGGATATGAGGGATGAAAACAATTTCTTGTTTTTTTGTTTGTTCATTTGTTTTTGAGACAAGGTCTCTCTCTGTTGCCCAGACTGGAGTGCAGTGGCACAATCTTGGTTCACCGCAGCCTCAACCTCCTGGGCTCAAGTGATCCTCCCACCTCAGCCTCCAGAGTAGCTGGGACTACAGGTGTGTGCCACCACACATGGCTAATTTTCTTTTTTTTTTTCTTTCTTTCTTTTTTTTTTTTTTTTTTGTAGAGACAGGGTATCCCTGTGTTACTTAGGCTAGTCTTGAATTCCTGGGCTCAAGTGATCCCCCTACCTTTGCTTCCCAAGGTGCTAGGATTACAGGTGTGAGCCACCACACCTGGCCAATTTCTTGTTTTTATGTCAAAACTACTTCAGATCTGTTCTCATAAACCTGGGGTCATATGGCTTCCATAACTGCAAAAGGCTTAGAAGTGCTGTGAGGTGATAGCACTCTTTCTCTGTAGGCTTTTTGAGAGCAAGATACTTTTCTCCATGTACTTCTGCTTTATCTTTGAAATATGCTGCCAAATTTCCTCCTGTAATAACCGTAAAGGTTTGTTTTTTTTTTTTGAGGTGGTTGCATTGATTCACTCATTCTTCAACAATTATGTGTGTGCCAGAGACCATACTAAATGCTGTGAAAAGAGAGATGAATAAGAGAGACACAGCTCCTGTTGTCACAGATCTTAGAGCCTTTTCCTGTCATATGAGGAAAGCCATAGAATATAATCCAGGTGAGGGACAGTGACACCATATTTATGAAAGCACTTCAAATGCATTCCCATTTCCAGCCTAAAGATACCCACTTTAGAATCTGCGGGATTGGGATTGGGATAGCATTATCGTGGTTTCTTTTTACCTAAAAAATTACAGTTCTATGTTTTGGAATTTTTTTTCTCCATGGAAACATGTCACTAAATTTATAATAAAAGTCATTTTAGAACCAAACTTAACAGAACACATACCTGTGAATTTTAGGTTGTTAGAGAAATAGGTTGCAGGGTTTGGGGCATTCTACAGGGAGCCCATTACATATCAAAATTGTATCATTCATGTATACATTTCAAGAGGCATTTGCCTATATACACTACTAATAACTCATCTAGAATATAAGATTCCTTTTGAACTGGCAGACTCCAATATGGGGAATAAAGTGATGCTCGTTTGCCTAATCTTTATAAAACTTGGTTAGGTTTTATGCCTTTCCAAACTATACTGGACCAGATGTCTCCTTCCTCTTGCTTTTCTGCCCTCCAGGTCTGCTGTAGTGTAGAAAGCACTGTTCCTCTGAATTTCCTATTTACCTGTTTTGGCCTGTAGTGATAATTATTTTTCTCTGAAGTCGCACGATGATGTAACCAAGGAGAACAATGTGAGGTCAGTAGTATCCACATGACACAGTAATTACAGGCAACTGCTGATTGCTTTTGTACTCAGAAGGTTTGGAAAGATGTAGCATAAAGGTGTAAACAGATCATTTTCTTTTAGGTTTTGTTAGCAGTGCAATCCAAAGGGATTCCCATTCATTTAGCATTGTTCCCGTTGGCTTTTATAGCAGCCAAAAATAAAACCCCTTGAGTACTACTCTGGAGGGTAGCTGATGACATATAAAGTAAATCTCTTAATTGTATGTGAACTCTAGACCAGATTGATCAATTCCTTGTATATTCTAATAGTCCTGGCCCAGCACCATACATATGGTGGGCAGTCAGTAAATATTTCCCTAGTACAGTGGGGACAGAGAAGGGAATTTTCCCAAATCAGGCAGTTTTAGAGTTGGCCATATGAATCACCCAGTTATTTTCTTAAAATGCAGATTGTGATTCAGTATATCTAAGGAAATTCTCCAGTTCTAGCATGCTCCCACGTGATACGAATTCCTCTAATCCAAGAGTCTACTAGCCAGACAGAGCTAAGGCCAGAACACACCTATTTTAACTCTTAGTCTGGGAGTTATTCTCAGTATATCAACGATGGTGAATACATGTCTCTGTGTTTTCCTTCTCACTCTTACTAGACCCATAACACTAATTGATTGGTGAACTCATTCCCACTGAGCCAAGATGCAGCTTTGGAATTGTTCTCAATGTGGTGCTCCATGCAGCAAGTGCTGATTCAGAGAGTGTTATTCCAGTCACGCTTTGGGGATGAGTGGAAAGTTGGGTCATCTTTATACTCCGTGTTGCTTCTTTTTTTTTTTTTTTGAGACAGAGTCTCGCCCTGTCACCCCAGCTGGAGTGCAGTGGCACGATCTCGGCTTACTGCCAGCTCCACCTCCCGGGTTCACACCATTCTCCTGCCTCAGCCTCCCGAGTAGCTGGGACTACAGGCAACCGCCACCATGCCTGGCTAATTTTTTGTATTTTTTTTTTTTTTAGTAGAGATGGGGTTTCACCGTGTTAGCCAGGATGGTCTCGATCTCCTGACCTCGTGATCTGCCCGCCTTGGCCTCCCAAATTGCTGGGATTACAGGTGTGAGCCACCGTGCCCAGCCGCTTCTTTAAGTCAAGTAAACATGCTGAGAATTCAAAGCCCTTTTCTTCCTCCAGTCTCCTCGAGCCACCCACATCCCCCTGCTCACTGTCCTTTTTCCTTCCTTCTTTTTGTGTTTTTGAAACAGAGTCTCTGTTGCCCAGGCTGGAGTGCAGTGGTACAATCTCAGCTCACTGCAACCTCCACCTCCCAGGTTCAAGTGATTCCCTGCCTCAGCCAGCTACCTGGGGATTACAGGGACCCACCACCACGCCCAGCTAATTTTTGTATTTTTAGTAAAGACGGGGTTTCACCATGTTGGCGAGGCTGGTCTCGAACTCCTGACCTCAAGTGATCCACCCACCTCGGCCTCCCAAAGTGCTGGGATTACAGGCACAAGCCACCGTGCCTGGCAGTTTTAAATTTTGGGCTAAATGACTTTTGCTAAATCACTTTCCTCTTGCATCCTCCTGCTTCTTATATCTATAAAATGAACTGCCCATGGACAATTGCTCAGGATCCAGGCAGTACTAGCATTAGAAAGGGTTGCCTCTTTAGCCCATGATTAGTCCAGTGTGGGCTCTTTGCAGAAAGCAATGGAAACTGGTTAACTCAACCAGAAAAAGAAGTTATTAAGGAATATTGGACGGTACGCAGTATAGACATAATGGTTAGGACTGGGCTGGAGCTGCTGCCTGAGCCCTGTCCAGACAGCCGAGATACACTGGATGTTGGGCAGTGCTTTGGCTGGACATTGAAATGCTGCATCTGATTGGCTAATTTAGTTTCCATTTATATCCCTAACAAGGCAAGGGAAGAGAGAAGCCAGCTTCTCTCTTGTTCTCCTTCTATAATGAGAGACAAACCATGCCTCTCTCAGACACTCACAATGGAGAATTCCTCAATCCTAAGAAAGGTGGATCGGTTACTGACTGTGACAGATGACTGTCATAACTTTCATGTTCACGGAAACTTCTTTATAAAGTTTCTAAATGAAACGAAAACTTGGCTACCAACCTACTCTAGTAACGCAACAACTTGCCCCTCTGTTCTTTTGAGTTCTGGCTTCTGATTGTTTCTCACCACATTGTCAACTCCTTGGGAAAGTACTCTGTATGTTTTAAAGCAAATTGCCAGGGTTTTTGTTTGTTTGTTTGTTTGTTTACTTAGACCTCGGGAGATAAAATTAATCGACCTCTTTAAATACATGGAGGTACCCCCTTTCTCGTTTTTGAAGGGAGACACTTGGGAATTTAGAAATTGGGAGTGTGAGTTCTAAGGGCTGGTGTGGTTTAGATAGCCCATGACAGTTTCAGGAAGGTCCTGGTTTCCTTTCAAGCAAAAGGGGCCACCTCTGAACCAAAGTGGATTATCTCCTGCAGCAGCAAATCCAGTTGGCAGTTGAATTCCTGCAGTTTTATGGGAATTTCAGTGAAACTTTTAAAGCTGTAATTTTTGTAACTGGAGTTAAAAAAAAAAAAAGAAAACAAATCTGAATAAAGCGACATAATCCATTGCAGAGTCTGTACAGTTCTATTTCTTCTATCATGAATGTTTTCCAGGCAGATGAAAAAATGTTTTGAATGTTGAATATATGCAAACATTACAATCAAGGATAATTGTGTCTATGTGCTTTGACTCTCATTTTGCTTTTCTCTTCCTTCATCTTCTCCTATACCCTATAGGAATGTGATCATAGACATAGAAATAGAATTTGCATTTGTATAAATAATGCCCAAGCTGTTTGGAAAAAAGACTCCCTGTATTAGGCACAAGATTTAGAGATGGCATTTTCTGCCTCAAATCTCAGTTTGATTTAGATCATGGAAATAATGCCTTTTATCTGTATGGACATCAGAGTTTACTCAGCCCCTTTCCCTCTGCCCCCTTCATTTGATCTGCACTCTCTAACCTCATGAAGTTGTCTGAACTAGTGTTATTATTCTCATTTTGCCAATGAGTGAATGAGACTCAGAAGAAAGCATCTAGGTTAGAGATTTCTAGGCAATGTTTCTAATGTTTCCTTCAGTAAAATTGTTGTTGCTCTATCAAGTATATGAGCTGGTTGCTGTTTTCTGTCTTTGATGAGTGACAGGATTCCCTTTTATGTGTCTCACTGGGTCTGTCTCCTAGAGGCCTCATGAGACTTAATGAGTAGTATCTGTAAGGTGCTTGAGGATCCCCAGATAAAAGGAGCACCTGTTAGCATTTATGATGGAAGTAGCGGGGCCTCTTGAAAAGCTGTGCCCTTGTTGTTAATAATGCTGGCTAGAGGAGTTGCAGGCGAGGCTTTGCCCAAAGCCTTTATTAGTCATTACTCTCAGGAAATGCAGCCTCACCAGGATGTTACTTTGTAAGCTGTAATGCATTTTTGAAACAGAGAAAGGAATATAAAAACCACCCTTTCGATGCAAAACATTAAAGGATGACCTGTGATGGTGTATTTTACAAATTTGAAGATACAAACTTGTTCCAAATGTACATCCTGTATGTTTAGGGAGGGACGAGGGGAGTCTTGTAAATCCATGCTGGTGGTGGAGTCCTGCTTGATGATGTGTTGGAGGAGCAAACTGGTGGCACCCAAGGCTCTGTTCTGAAGCAGCCACTCCTGTTATCCCAGCACGATTGTGGCTAAGTTATCTTCACAGGGGTGGTCAACTTCCACCCAGCACAATTGTGGCTAAGTTATCTTCACAGGGATGGTCAGCTTCCTCCTCCCTAAAGTAATCCCGAAGATGATAATGCTGACCCACTTCTCCAGGAATTTGGAAAGAGTAACTAATGAGCGACTGTAAGGCGTATTGGTCGTGTAAAGGCATGCTGTAAACACTGATTGCAATAACTAGTAAGAAAGCAGCAGTCCCTCTTCCTTCCCAGGAGAGTTTGCATGATGATTATTTTCTGTGGTGTTTGCTTTGTTAAATGAAAATGTTGCCCGTGCTTAGGAGATAATGCAGGGAAAGAACACAGGAGGGATTTAGGAATGTTTTACTTATTGGTAAGTGATTTTACTGTTGAAGTCACACTACAGATACTGTTAAAAAATTTAAAAATTGGGCCAGGTGCGGTGGCTCATGCCCGTAATCCCAGCACTTGGAGGCCGAGGCGGGTGGATCACCTGAGTTCAGGAGTTCGAGACCAGCCTGGCCAATATGGTGAAACCCCGTCTCTACTAAAAATACAAAAATCAGCTGGTGTGGTGCCATATACCTGTAATCCCAGCTACTCGGGAGGCTGAGGCAAGAGAATCGCCTGAACCTGGGAGGTGGAGGTTGCAGTGAGCCGAGATCGCGTCACTGCATTCCAGCCTGGGTGACAGATTGAGACTCTGTCTCAAAAAAATAAAATAAAATAAAAATTGAATTTTCCCATTTCTGTTGCCTCTCTCTTTGTTCTCTCTTTAACCTCAAACCCCTGTTCCTTCTCATCAGCTCCACCATATCAACTATCAACATGATGTGGCGTGCTCTTGCTTCCAGTTAAACCCGAGAAAAAGAAATCAGGATTTAAAATTCTTCTTAACACATAGTAAATACATAAAATCTACATTCACTGTTTGTAATGTATTATCTGACCTTCTAAATAAAATATAGTTGATTCATTTCATATAATTTGGAATTTAAACCAGGAATATTTATTTAATGGTTAGCTCTTGGTCAGGTGTGGTAGCTCATGGCTTTAATTGCAGCACTTTGGGAGGCTGAAGTGGAAGGATCACTTGAACCCAGGAGTTAAGACCAGCTTGGACAACATGGCAAGATCCCATCTCTACAGAAATTTTAAAAATTAGCCAAATATAGTAGCACGTGCCTGTGGTCCTAGCTACTTGGGAGGGTGAGGCGGGATGATTGCTTGAGCCCAGGAGTTTGAAGCTGCAGTTAGCCGTGTTTGCACCACTGCACTCCATCCTCAGCAACTGAGCAAAACCTTGTCTCAAAAAAAAAAAAAAAAGTTTTAACTCAGATGTTGGCCAAGCGTGGTGGCTCATGGCTGTAATTCCTGCATTTTGGGAGGTCAAGGTGGGAGGACTGCTTGAGCCTGGGAGTTTGAGACCAGCCTGGGCAACACAGGGAGACCCCATCTCTACCAAAAACAACAACAAAAATAGCCTGGTGTGGTGGTGTAATGCCTGTAGTGCCAGCTGTTCTGGAGGCTGAGGTGGGAGGATCACTTGAGCCCAGGAGTTCGAGGCTACAGTGGGATGTGATCACACCACCACTCCAGCCTGGGTGACAAAATGACACCTTGTCTCCAAAAAAAAAAACACCTCAGATGTCTTCTTAATTAATTTTCACTTTAATGAGCATGAAAGTTAAGAAGAGTTCTCCTATTTTGCTATTTTTCTGTAAAGTTGAATTCTTTTTTTCTCCAAGGATGTGTGAGGCTAAAACAAAGGTCTCCACAGGAGAGGTAAGCTGTATTGAATTCTGCTAACAGTAGATTTTTGGAGAGGTAAGCTGTATTGAATTCTGCTAACAGTAGATTTTTTTTTTGCCTCAGGAATATTAGAGGGTTCACTTAGGGGAACTGATCCATGGATATTTCTCATATTCTCCTCCAACAGTGTGACTAACACATCATGTCAGTGGATATTCTCATATGTAATAAGACATCTGCAAAATAGTGCCTTAAAACAACTTTTATAGTTCCTCGAGATCCAGTGCCTTGACTGGGTTGGTTGTTTTTCCATTCCATGTGGCATCTGCTGGGGTCACTCCTGTGGCTGCATTCGGCTGGTAGCTCAGTGGGACGCTCAGTTCGCCTCCATGCAGCCTCTCACGCCCGCTCTGGACTTCCTTACAGTGTGGCAGCTGGGTCCCAAGAGGCAGATTCCTAAAGAGCAAAAGCAGAAGTTTCAGGCCACTTATGGGCCACACTTAAAACAGACACAGTGTCACCTCTGCAGCATTCTGCTGGTCAGAGCAAAACACAAAGCCAGCCTAGATTCAAGAGGAGGGGAAATAGACTTACTTCTGGAAGGAAGAAGCAGCAAATGCAATCAGGGAAGGGAGGAATTGATGAGGCCATCTTGGGAGACTAGCACATTCATGATATCTGTGCAGCATGGTTGTTACTGTCTACATTGAGCCTTATTTCCAACTAAAGGTGATCTGTGGAGCTCCTTTGGGGCAGAATCTATAATATTCCTAATGATACTCACAGGACCTGGCACTGTGTTGGGTGCAGCGCAGAAGCTCACTATTGTTGAGTGAAAGAACATGCAGTGAAATTCTAGAAAGTTGAATGTAATAGAAATCCTATGAAGTAACATTGCTGGGAAATAGGAAATACCAACTTCACATTCAGTGTAGTGACGTCTCTTTTGTTACAGCATCTCGTGCTGTTTAAAGCTGCATTACGGGAGGCTTTGAAGCTCAGCAAGGAAGTCATTTGGCAGATAGCTGTGCTAAATGGAGGCTTATCCCTGGAAAAGGCACAGGACTCCCCACATTAGTGTTCATTATGTCAGGATCCTTGCTGTCAGGTGCCTAACAGTGTGCTGACCAAGTTTTGGTTGTCTGTGTATTTCTGGAACGTAACACATACCACCCAAGGCACATGTTAGGCATTCAGTGAATGCCAGGTTAGTGAGTGGTGGTCAGCAGTGCCTGAATGAGTGACAAGCAGAAAAGGAATATAGGTCCTGTGGACTAACAGCGCCACCCACCAGCTACCTCTGGGATGGAACCTGTGGTTGCTTGTCCAGGCACACCTTCATCTGCTGTTCTGTCTTCTCTACAGTGGAGACCATTCTACTGACAGACAGAAAAGGCAGTGGTACCATACGCACATCAGAAAGTGTGAGTGTGCTGATCATACTAGGTCCAGCCAGAACTTTGCATCTTTGAGGTGAAACCATTCGCTTAGCTAAATGAATATTGCACCTCAAAAATGCTGGTGAGAATTTTACGAAAGCATATTATCAATGAAAATATTAAAGGAGCAGACGTGTTAGGATGTGTTAGGATGAAGGTTTTTTATTTTTATTTTTTGAGATGGCGTCTCACTCTGTCGTCCAGGCTGGAGTGCAGTGGCACAATCTCAGCTCACTGCAACCTCCACCTCCTGGGTTCAAGTGATTCTCTTGCCTCAGCCTCCCAAGTAGCTGGGATTACAGGCACGCACCACTACGCCTGGCTATTTTTGGTAGAGACGGGATTAAGCCATGTCCGCCAAGCTAGTCTCTAACTTCTGACCTCAAATGATCCGCCCGCCTCGGCCTCCCAGAGTGCCAAGATTACAGGTGTGAGCCACAGCGCCCAGCCAGGATGAAGGTTTTTTAAAAAGTCTGTAGTTGTAAGAAGCTATTTATGAAAAGATCTTTACATTGTGGTAGCTTATGAAAATCCTTTTTCTCATCTCCTTTAATTTTCTTTCTATCAGTATTATTACTGATATTACAATTTTGGTAAGATCTAGAGAGAAAAATTGATTGTGATAGGCTGTCTTCAATTACCTATATGTTTCTTCTTATCTATTACCTTCTGAAGTAGCTTTTTCTTAAACGGTATTGTTAAACTTTATTTTTTATTTTATTATTATTACTTTTTGAGACAGAGTCTCACTCTATCCCCCAGGCTGGAGTGCAGTGGTGCTATCTTGGCTTAAGGCAACCTCTGCCTTCTGGATTCAAGTGATTCTCGTGCCTCAGTCTCCCGAGTAGCTGGGATTACAGGCCACCACACCCAGCTAATTTTTCTATTTTTAGTAGAGACGGGGTTTCACCATGTTGGCCAGACTAGTCTCAAACTCCTCACCTCAAGTGATCCTCCTGCCTTGGTGTCCCAAAGTGCTGGGATTACAGGTGTGAGTCACTGCACCCATCCTTAAACAGTATTGTTAAACTTTAAACTGAAATCTGAACTCTCTGTTAAACTGCCTTTTCCAACTTTAATTCCCAGTCATTTTTTAATGCCTTCTATTATTCTTTCTCATTACGTATATGTTGCTATTCTCAAACTCAGTTGCAGAACAAGTACAGGCCTATATCCTGAGAACTATAAATCTCTTGAAGAAAGAGGAGGTCTTGCTGGGTTTTCTGGATAATGGATGTGACTGTGTGGGTGCGCACACCTGTGTGTGTCTGCGCTGGTGCTCTGGGCCCTGGAGACTGGTATCAGAATTACTCTGACCTAAAAATGCACTCTAGATTTTAACACACCTCTGGTAGAAGAGAGGAGGAAACATTTGCAGCATGGAATTATCGGTCCCATTACCACCCAGGTGTCAAGGAAATGAAACTTTTCTATTACAAGATTGCAGTAAATCACACAAGAGGATGACAGCTTCATTAACATGGGTAAAGTTACTGTAATTTATGTATAAATAACTTTTCTGTGTCAAGATATAGTATCATTCAGTCCCAACAGAATAGCATTTTTTCTATAAAAGAAGTGAAATGCCAAAAAAAGCAGTTTCTATCAAAGAAATCCACAAAAGACAACGGTTTCCTGTGATAAAACTGACTTTGACAGAGCCCACAGCACCTCTGCTTTATAGTTTTAAGTTTTTACATTCAGCCAAAACAGAATATTTCAGACTTTATCACAAAGAGTGACTTTTGTTTTGTTTTGTTTTGTTTTGTTTTGTTTTGTTTTGTTTGAGACAGAGTCTCGCTCTGTCACCCACGCTGGAATGCAGTGGCATGATCTTGGCTCACTGTAACCTCCGCCTCTTGGGTTTAAGAGAGTCTCGTGCCTCAGCCTCCTGAGTAGCTGGGACCACAGGCATGCGCCACCATGCCCGGCTAACTTTCTGTATTTTTAGCAGAGACAGGGTTTTGCCATGTTGGTTAGGCTGGTCTCGAACTCCTCACCTCAGGTGATCTGTCTGCCTTGGTCTCCCAAAGTGCTGGGATTACAGGCATAAGCCACCGTGCCTGACCTCAAATAGTGATTTGATATATTGTTTGTTATTTGGTTGTTGAAATAAATATTTTGATTTTTTTATAAGAATGAAAAATTTGAAATAACTTAAATTTCTATCAGTAGGAGATTGATTAAAAGCATTGTGGTACATCCATTTGGTAGAATATTAGGCAGGATTTTAGAAGAATGAGGGAGATCTAAATGAATGCCTATTCAGGTATATATATATATATATATGGTTATATCTATTAAGCAAAAAACAAAAATTTGAACATTCTATGCAGAATTATTCCACTCAAACAATATCAGCAGAAGAAGACTGATCAACTTGTAATAATTAGTCAGCATAATAAAACCATATTGAAATAGTTTCTTAGTGGAATATCAGGGGAACCCGCCCCCAATATTTCAATGTAGATTCTTTCTATCTTCCAAAAGTGTTGGCCGGCTGAGAAATAAAGAGAAAGAGTACAAAGAGAGGAATTTTACAGCTGGGCTGCTGGGGGTGACATCACATATTGGTAGGACCGTGATGCCCACCTGAGCCTCAAACCAGCAAGTTTTTCATTAAGGGTTTCAAAAGGGGAGAGGGTGTAAGAACAGGGAGTAGGTACAAAGATCACATGCTTCAAAGGGCAAAAAGCAGAACTACTAATAAGGATCTAATAAAGATCACATGCTTCTGAGGGAACAGGACAAAGGGCAAAAGCAGAACTACTGAGCACAAGGCAAAGGGTAAAAGCAGAACTACTGATAAGGGTCTATGTTCAGCGGTGCACGTATTGTCTTGATAAACATCTTAAACAACAGAAAACAGGGTTCGAGAGTAGAGAACCGGTCTGACCACAAATTTATCAGGGCAGAGTTTTTCCCCACCCTAGTAAGTCTGAGGGTACTGCCAGAGACCAGGGCATATCTCAGTTCTTATCTCAACCGCATAAGATAGACATTCCCAGAGCGGCCGTTTATAGACCTCCCCCTAGGAATGCATTCCTTTCCCAGGGCATTAATATTAATATTCCTTGCTAGGAAGAGAATTCAGTGATATCTTTCCTACTCGCACGTCCATTTATAGGCTCTCTGCAAAGAGAAAAATATGGCTCTTTTTGCCCAACCCCGCAGGCAGTCAGACCTTATGGTTGTCTTCCCTTGTTCCCTAAAAATCACTGTTATTCTGTTCTTTTTCAAGGTGTACTAATTTCATATTGTTCAAACACACGTTTTACAATCAATTTATACCGTTAACACAATTATCACAGTGGTCCTGACGTACATCCTCAGCTTACGAAGATAACAGGATTAAGAGATTAAAGTAAGACAAGTGTAAGAAATTATAAAAGTATTATTTGGGAACTGATAAATGTCCATATTAAAATGAAATCTTCACAATTTATGTTCCTCTGCCGAGGCTCCAGCCGGTCCCTCTGTTCGGGGTCCTTGACTTCCCGCAACAGTGGAAGATACCTGTATGGGCCATAAACTTCTAGGAGACACCATATAAATTATAGTTCAAAATAAAGAAATCATACCCCGCCACCCTACCCTTAGAAGTTAAGTAGGATATGCTGACTCTTCTGGGTCCTCAGATTGGAAGTCCAGTCCCAGCTTTAATGTTGACACAGCTTTGGTATAGAAGAACTTTAGAGCTAAAGCCTGCCCACCAAAGTTCAAGTCCTGAGGTGGGCAAATTGCCTAATCTTTCCCATATTCAGCTTTATTTAACCTCTGAGTCTTAAATTCCTCACTGGAATGAGTTGTTCATTCTTCCAATGTTGTTATTAAAAGCAAGTGAGATAATGTTTGTGGAATTATTTTGTGAATTGTAATGTGTTCTACCCTTATTACTTATTATAGAGTCATTGATGAAGTAAATCCAAGGAATTATCCTTACCACTTCCTACTTCCCTCCCAGAGTAAGAAGCTGAGAGTAGCAGGCCACCAGATCCTCTCTTTGCTGAGGATGACATTTATGGCATGAATCATGGAGATGGAAACCAGCTCAGGACCAAACTGGGTTAGCGTCTCCTTGGCATTCTCTGGAAAAGAGGCTGTACTGGTTAAAGAGAGTCTCTGCTTTTGATTTTATACTTAACTAATGACAATAGGAAAGAAGATTCTCCACATGGTTTAAAAAAGGGAGATTTTGCCCAGGTCTTTGGAACAGTTGAAGTGTCTGAAAAACAGAAGGAGATACCCTGAACTGCCACTATATACTGGGGCCCCTAGACTGGAGATGAGCTGAAGAAGTAGTTACTGAGGCATTTTCTGTGGTTTGATGTTAATTTCTAGCGAAGGGGACAGGGAAGCTAGGGGAACCAGAACCCTGGCATGCATTGTGTTCTCTTGGACTGTCTGACACCTTTTAAAAAAAATGGAGTCTCTTTCTGTCACCCAGGCTTGGGGGTAGTGGTGCAGTCTTTGCTCACTGCAACCTCCACCTCCCGGGTTCAAGCGATTCTCCTGCCTCAGCCTTCCAAGTAGCTGAAATTACAGGTACACGCGACCACCCAGCTAATTTTTGTATTTTTATTAGAGACAGGGTTTTAACATGTTGTCCAGGCTGGTCTCGAACTCCTGACCTTCAGTGATCCACCTGTCTCAGCCTCCCAAAGTGCTGGGATTATAGGCATGAGCCACTGTGCGCGGCCACATTTTAAGAAATGCTCAGTTGTCCCATTGTTAGCTCTATCACATAAATTTATCCTTGTCTTATTTAGTTCTTATGCACCAATTACCTGGAACCTAGCTCATGGTTTCCAGCATAGCCTCCCTACTGTTATGAGAAATAATTCATAAATTGTGGGAAGAAATTTTTCTTCAGATTGCTCTTGACTTTGGGACATTATATGTATATGCTTTCTGGTGGTCATGTTGTAAAATTGTAGATGATTCACTATTAGGGGATCAGGATCCACTCTAGCCAGAATAAACTCATCACACTTTGTCGCTCCTCCTTGGCCTCTGCCACCCAGTGCTCTGAGACTGTTGATGTGATCCAGGAAGCTGAATGAACACTGGCCCCCAAGTTAGGAAGCCTGCATCCCAGACTCAGCTTGATCTCTTGTAAGCCCATGGTTTTCTCTCCAACAAAGAAGACCACTGAAATTAATTATTTTCAAGATCTCTTCTAGTTCTGAAGGGAGATAATTAGTTTTTAAATACTAAATTGGTACCTACCCATTGTAATAAATAAATAAAGGAATAAGAAAAGGGATAAAGTAAAAAGTGAAAGTTCTCCTACCTGCCCCTTAGGTCCTAAAATAGAAAATTGTAAAGGGTAAATCTCAGGGCTTGAAAATTGTTGAGGCAATCTCTAATGATGGCAAGATCTAGCTCTGTTAGGACTTCTAAGCAGTATTCTTTAGTATACTCTGCTATAGGACAGAACCATTTGCAAGGAAAGGATGTTAATTTGGGTCTCTCTCTCCCTCTTGCAATATGGTGCCATTTTTGATCTCAGAGCCATCGTGCCTCATTTCTAACACCTTGTCTTCAATAGTCTTTTTTTCTTCTTCTTCTTCAGGTGCCTAAAAATTAGCTCTCTTATCCTCTCTCTCTCTTCTACTCTTCTTCCTTTTCCTCTTTTTCTTCTTTTCTCCCTCTTTTTGTGCATTTCTGCAGGGATATCCTAAAAATAACTAAACATAGCTCCCGTGAGAAAGAAGATTCATATTGCAGATTGTGTCAGTGTTTTTTAAAAATAAAATAATTCTGTTGGTGTAATCAACAAATATTTACTGAGTGCTTGCTCTGCAGAAGGCATCAAGCTAAGTACTAGAATAAAGTGTCATGATGTGATATTGAAACAATATTTGCAGCAGGCCAGCTCAGTTCAAAGTGAAAGATGAGGGAGAATTCTGGGTATCCTCGAACCTGGCACTTTTTGCTGAGCTCAGAAGACCCAGGTGTTGAAGAGACTGCTTTTTACAAGCTCGCAGAATAAGTGTTTGAGAAATGTGAAATTTAGGTCCACCGTTGGCCTTCTTTCTGAGGCCAGTCTCAAAGGGTTCCCCATTTGCCCTTAGCTCTTGACTTGCCTTCTCTTGGTGAGCAGGGCAGCTCTCTGAGCTTGAGTGGGCTGTGATGTTGGTTGCTGACTTTTGTCCCTTTTGTAGGCTTCATTGATGGGATTTAGACTCAGTTGCTCATTGGATAGGGAATCGGAACTGGCCATTCAGAATGAGGGAGTTTCATCTCTTGGGTTATTGCGGTTGGAGTAATCACTTATCAGAGCCTCTGCTTTTTTGTGATGGTTAGAGTAACATGCTTCCTGCCACCCTACAGCATACCAGGAGACAGGAGGCCTTTTCTTGTGCCAAGGTTTATTTGGAGCTTATCTGTATTTATGATCTTTTCCTGCCATTGGCTTAATTACACAACTGGGGAAATTTAATTATCAAAGAACTTAATAACACTAAAGAACTTGCCGTGTGCCAGGCACTGGGCTAAACACCCACTGGCACCTGAGGCAAGTGCTGTTAGTCCATTTACAGCTGAGGATGCTGAAGGTTGGAGAGCACGTGTTATTGTCAGGGTCACTTTGCCAGTGAGTCTTGCAGTCAGAAATCAGCCTTGGACAGCTCGACTCTAGAGTTCACGCCCTTCACCTTGATCCTTCTGGCATCATCCATCTCTGCAGCCTGACATCTAACAGATTTAGGCCTCATTGGCCTGTCTGTGGTTACATTGCATGTACCAGTGGCACCCAGCAGCAAAGCTATTTCTGAGACACATACAGAGCATTAGTTGACTATATTGTTTCTCCAGTTCAGGATCATGCGGATCCTGCCATGATTATGTGGAAAGAGTTTGCAAAGTAGAGTCAAAGCATTTGGTCCTGTTGCTAGGCTTTTCTAAGCTTCCGTCAACTCATATGTGAAATGAGGACAATGACACTTGGTGCTTAAATTGTATAACATATGAAGCAGAGACAGGCTCACATATAATTGATTCTCTGTTCATTTAATTTCCTTTCCCTTTTCCCAGTTGACTCTTCTTCCTCCCTCCTCCTATTTCATGATTTTCTCTCTGGCTGTCGCAGTAATTCAGTGTATCTGTTCCCAGGCTGTAGTTCCAAGTAGCAAGAATAAAGCAAAACTAGATGTGTTTTCGGCAGTCTCAAGCTCTCACAGGAAGTTTTTGTTGTGTCTGTAAGCTGTGGTTGGATCCCACACCGGGTGGACCATCTTTCCTGGAGTGGTGGAGAGGAAGGAGTGCCTAGCCAGGAGACAGATATGTCAGTATCTGTAAGGTGACCTACTAGTGGAAAACACTCTTGCTCTTATTTGCCTTCCTCCTGGCAGCCCGGTTTCTTCATCATCAGCAGCCCCCTTTGACCTCCTATGCCCTTACTCGTGTGGTTTAACTGGAGCTTGTGAAAATGATGACTAGTCTATTGTGCATCTGGCTGAGGCATTTAATCCACTGTGGAGACACCCTTATTAGAGGAAATGGAATGCAAGTTATGCTTATCATGGGGATAGTGTATTAGGGCCCATCCTGGACAGCTTGTAAAAGAATTAATGCTGGTGCGGTGGCTTATGCCTGTAATCCCAACGCTTTGGGAGGCCGGCACGGGTGGACCACTTGAAGTCAGGAGTTCAAGGCCAGTTTGGCCAACACGGTGAAACCCCGTCTCTACTAAAAATACAAAAATTAGCTGGGCATGGCAGTGCACAACAGTAATCCCAGCTACTTGGGAGGCTGAGGCAGGAGAATCGCTTGAACCTGGGAGGCGGAGGTTGCAGTGAGCTGAGATTGCACCATTGTACTCCCATCTGGGTGACAGAGCGAGACTCCATCTAAAAAATAAAAATAAAAAAAAATTAATTTACAACCTTTTCTGCAGCAGGATTTCCAGGAAATGAACTGGGAAATGGTGGCAATGAATGATGACAATAAATGATGGCAAATGCATGTACCATCCAACTATGATTTTGTTTCTTTTCAAACTATTAATAGCACCAGCTTTCAGATCCATGTCGGGCCCTCCTTCTCAAGGAACCCTTGCTCAGCTTAAATCTGCTTGTATTGTAAACTTGAAATAAATATAAAAAACATGGGAACAAAAAAATACATATTTTTTGAATTTATTCATTATTCACACAGTTCACTAAATCAAACTAGCATAATCTCTGCTGGTCCACAAACAGGATCACATACATTTACAGTTTTTAAAAGATGTTGGTTCTCCTTTTATTACATACTATTTGATCTCTTTAAACTCCAGTGTTCTCATCTACAATATGGCCTAATATGATGATAAAGATAACATGCTAGAAGTGAATTTTCTTTCTTGTAAATGAAAAACATAGTTTTAAATTTCCAATTGCAACTGAAGGGCCTGATTTGGCATTTCTCAATGTCTTACTCTTAGTTTAGAATAGGTTGCAATTATTGTTCTTTTTTAGCCATGACACCAAGTTATTCATCTATAGCAGCTTTTCTCTTTTTTTTTTGAGACAGAGTCTCGCTCTGTCGACCAGGCTGGAGTCCAACGGCCCGATCTCGGTTCACTTCAACCTCTGCCTCCTGGGTTCAAGCAATTCTCCTGCCTCAGCCTTCCGAGTAGCTGGGATTACAGGCGCGTACAACCACGCCCAGCTAATTTTTGTATTTTTAGTAGAGATGAGGTTTCGAGGTTTCACCATGTTGCCCAGGCTGGTTTTGAACTCCTGGGCTCAAGCGATCTGCCCTCCTCAGCCTCCCAAAACGGTCGGATTATAGGCGTGAACCACCGCACCCAGCCGCCTGGAATTTTTAAGCCTCAAGTTTGTTCCACTTTGAATGCAAGAAGCCACCTGCTCCTCTTTCTGTCATCAATTTAATTGTTTATAAATTGGGGCTAATAACGATTTCCTTAGGCCACTATATTCTTTACCCAGCTAGTTCCAAGTTGTTTTGTGTGTGTGTGTTTTGTTTTTGTTTTTTGTTGGTTTTTTTTGTTTTTGTTTTTGTTTTGAGATGGTGTCTCGCTCTGTTGCCCGGGCTGGAGTGCAGTGACACGATCTTGGCTCACTGCAACCTCTGCCTCCCGAGTTCAAGTGATTCTCCTGCCTCAGCCTCCTGAGTAGCTGGGACTACAGGCATACACCACCATGCCTAGCTAATTTTTGTATTTTTAGTAGAGGTGGGGTTTCACCATGTTGCCCAGGCTGGTCTTGAACTCCTGACCTCAGGTGATCTTCCTGCCTCAGCCTCCCAAAGTGCTGTGATTACAGGCATGAGACACCATGACCAGCAGTTCTAAGTTTTTATCATTGTCTGACCCTATTGTAAAATGAGTTTTTAAGAGACTGATTTGTAAGAGATACAGAATAGTTTTAAGTTTCATTTATTCTTTGTAAATGCAGTTTTGGGAAATAATTCTTTTGAGGGAACATATATCATCCCCCTTAATCCTGTATTACTGATAGCATTTGTTTGCTTAAAGAGTTTTTTTCCAGCACACAGTATTTATGCTCATTTTTGGATACCAAATGAATGTTACCTAAATTAGTGAAACTTTAATGTTTGGCTAAAATGAGCCAGAAAGCTGTTTCTTTAAACTTTAGATCCTATTTAAGAAATAGAAATGTATCCGATGTTTACGATTGCCCTTTAATTTTACAAGTGATGAAGAGGTAGGTATTTGGCTTTTTCAAAAATATTGCAGAGCCAATGCCATCTTACTGTTCAAGTGTAAAAACCCACATGTGGCAGGTGTATTTTATAGGCTTATAAATACCTGAACTTGCTCACAGGCTGATTACTAGACTTTATAGATCGCTTCAAAAAGTGAGAGTTTCCTAATAGTGGATAAATACTTACCCATTAATTTTTTTTTTAAATGTGAATTTAATCAGGAAGACCTAGAATAGATTCTTACCAAGTTCAATGTGGTATGAGAGTAAATCTCACAGCATAATTTATGAATTCATATATAATATGGCAGAACTGATAGCTATAATAAACAGCAAAGTGAGAGCATATTCCTAATTCAGAGTATCTCATTTTCCATTATTAACAATTAATGGAACTTTCCATTTTTAAGTGTCACTACTGAAAGTGTTAGCGTGCTCAACAGTAAGCAGGTGAATTCAGAATGTTATTTTAAGGCAATAGGGTTCCCACTGACAGCAAAAGTCAAAGGATGGACAGGAAGCACACTTCCTATTAGTAAGGGGAACCATCATGATGAAACAGATAGAGGCTTTGTCGATTGTTCTCTCCAACCCTTTGTGCAAGGCTCTGATGCTAGGTACCTAGAGCAAATGTTTCACAGTGTTTGAAAGCTCAGAAAAGTAAGGGTGAGGGTGGAGAGAAGTATGTTGTTAGGGAAAATTGCTAAACTCTTAGATGGACTGATTGCATTCGTTATTAAAAGACTAACAATTCATTTTCACCTTTTTATGTTTGGAGAATAATCAGGATATTAGTAGACTTTGCAGAGGCAGCTTTGTTGTTTGATCTGAGAATTGTTTGGGGGATGGAGAAAAGGAAGAAGGGATACCTTGAGGAAAGCTACATCCTTTATAGAGAAGTCAGGGCTGTATGTAAGTGAATGTGCATGGTCAGCCATGGTTTGGGCCATCTTAATTTCGTGGGGTGAGGGAGATATGCTACAGCAAACTGTTCCTTTTTTCTTGTTTGCTTTCTCTGCTTGGAATTCTGATTCTCCAAATGTTGAGTAATAGCCATTCCAAATTAGTCAAGCAATATTGGATGGGGTTTGTGGGGTGGAGTAAGACCTGTATGACAAGACCTCTGCCTTCTGCTCTGAGATCTGACACCTGCTCATGCCACCATCATTCTCCTTAAAATAGGTGTAAACCATACACCATTCTTTCCCAAGGAGACAACTGCTTTCCCTGTAAGACATTTTTAATTCGTGAATTTTTCAAGTGTTCATGATGTACATCATCTTTCGGTTTTGAGTATACTAGTTGTGTGTTAGAAGTTTAAGATACAGGGTATGAATTCTGTGCTTTAAGGAATTTCGTAGGAAACATTGCATGTGTTAAGACAGATTTGGGATACATTTTCTGAGGTCATAAGGTGTTGGAGAGCTGTCATACTGGAGGATATTTATTCCTGGGAATGACTAATAGATTTCAACTGATGGCAACTTAGATTGATTGGTAGTGGCTTCCTGGACTGCTGTGTTAGAAGAATTCTAAGGGTTCCTAAATTGAATGGGAAATAAATCTATTACTTTAGTCTGTCACAGGCATCAGTCTTATTATCATTATTGCTATTCCTGGTTTGTATATTCTCCTTACATGAAACTAGTTGGGTAGAGACTTAACATAAGCTAGTATTTAGATGGGTTCCGAACTTGTGTTCCAAGAATTAAATCAATCAAAATTAAATTTGAGCATTTGCCTTGTGAGAGATGCTGTGAAAGTAACACATGTTCAAAGTTAAAGTGTTAAGTGAAATAAGACCTTGAATGGTGAGGAATGGTCAAACAACTGCTGTAAGAAATACGAGGGATAGAATACCAAGCCAAGAGTCATGCAAATCAGGGATACTAAAGAATGAGGAAGCAGAGTTGGTTTTATGTAAGCAAAAGCAAATAGCAGGAAGTGTAGCCTTTTTAAAGAAATCTCAGTACCACAGCCTGTTGGGAGAGATTATTTGTGATTGGGAGAAATGGGAGCCATCAGCAAGCGGAGGGGCTTGGAAGTGATGGATTTTTTTCATGGTCTTTTTCTTCTGACTCCGTTCGAGATTATAGGTCCCTAGAAGGTAAAAATCTGGTCTTTCATTCCACAAAGTGTTTTTTGTTTTGTTTTTTTGAGACGGAGTCTCGCTCTTCTCCCAGGTTGGACTGCAGTGGCGCGATCTCGGCTCACTGCAAGCTCCGCCTCCCGGGTTCACGCCATTGTCCTGCCTCAGCCTCCCGAGTAGCTGGGACTGCAGGCGCCCGCCACCACGCCCGGCTAATTTTTTGTGTTTTTAGTACAGACGGGCTTTCACCGTGTTAGCCAGGATGATCTCGATCTCCTGACCTCGTGATCCACCCGCCTCGGCCTCCCAAAGTGCTGGGATTACAGGCGTGAGCCACCACGCCTGGCCTGTTTTGGTTTTTTTGAGACAGTCTCGCTCTGTCACCAGGCTGGAGTGCAGTGGTACGATTTCAGGTCACTGCAACCTCCGCCTCCCCCTTCTACAAAGTTTTATCAAGCTGCCCCCCATGTGCCAGGCACCATATTAAAACAACAGGACTTGGTGTGGACTCTGACCTTGATGATTTTTCAGAGCAGAGTAGGAATGGGGAAGGGAATAATACTTGTTGGTACCTACGTGCCTCTTGAAGGAAGTTACTCTTTACTCCATTATACAGAAGAGAAAAACCAAGGCTCAGGAATGTCAGCTTGCCCACGGTCAGCCAACAGAGCTAGATTTGAATCTAGGTCTCTCCCACTTGGAATTCTGGCTTCTTTTCACCAGAGTTCCTATAAGTACACTTTGATCAAGTGGTATATTTATAGGTCTTTTTGATTTAATTTTTTTCTTTGCTCAGAGCTAGAAATGGAATGTTCTTTTAGTTCTTTTTTGAAAGACACATTTAAAGTCAGCTTTTTTAATTGAGGCATAATATATATCCAAAAAAAGTTCACACATCTTAAATGTCCAGCTTGACCAGTTTTCACAAAGTGAGCACACCCTTTGTTACCACTTCCTAGAGTAAATCCTTCACTTTCTTAAAGTGAGTAGAAACTAACCACAGGGTAATTTTTTTTTTCTTCACACTTTTTTTTTTCCAATTTCTCTGTCCTTCTTTCTCTCTCTCTCCTACTTCCCTCTCCCCAACCTTCTCCCCACCACCCCACTTTTTCCAGCTAAAGCATTCTCTTGGACTTCTTGATAATATAATTTAGTCCCAAGAATTTTCATGAAGCCACCTGGTGTTGGGGGGCAGGTAGTACCCTGAGGTGTACCCCTCTTCTGGGAATCACTTGAGTTATAAGAGGGTAAATGTAAGAGTGACATGAATCATGAGTGTCAATTTAATTCTATATTAAGTCACATCCTAGCATTTATCATATATAACTACAAAGTACCGGCTCCTATGATATTTTAAAGAACATACCCATTTCAATCTTCACAAATATTCTCATTTTACACATAAAGCAATAGGTATGTTTATGCCTTAAAGTGACTTACCTAAAGTAATATACAATCTAGTAAATGGTAGACTTCCTTATACTCATCCATTTTTCCTTAAAATACACCATAGCTGCCTGCGTTTACCTTCATTCTTTGTTAAACATAAGTTTGCATGCTTAAAAATAAAACTAAACTAAGAAGGACATAGGCACATCAGGTTTGTTATAGGAACTGCTTTTTATTTCCCTTTCTTTTTTAGAAAAAGAAATTGGATTCCAGATAATTGTAGTCCTGGAAATAGGACAAAGTTTCATATTTGAGAAGTTATTCTCACGTTTCCAGTTATCCTTAAGAGCTGGTCTTTGCAGCCATGTTTAGTATCACTGTTAGCTTGAAGCTGTTGCAACTGATTTTCTTAGCAGAACCAGAAGTTCCTGAAGATAAGACACATTCTTTATGTTCTAGTTAATTAAAGAACAAATTTTAAGAACTTCAGGTCAGTTACTGTCTCTTGAGTAACGCGTGTTCCTAAGAAATACTTTACAAATTCTCTGAGAATTGGCACAAATGAAGTTCAAGAGAAGTGCATCTAAGAATTTGACTGTTCCCAGCTTCTGCCATTAGAACATCCTTTATAGTTCGGATTTTTTGGCTGAAGGCCTGATTCATTATTTTTAGTTATTTCTCATGTTTTTTCAAACCCAGTAACACTAACATGTTGGTATTGAGCCTGTCCGTACATTCCTGATTAGAGGCGCCATTTAATTTGATATTTTGATAAAGACTGTCTGTGGCAAGTTGTTGTAGGACTAATTTCTCTGGGCAAGCAAGACTGAAGAAAAAGGAGGAAAATGGGAGTTTAATCATTGGAGACTGAAAATAATTTTTAATACTGTCTGACTCCTTTCTGGAATGCCATATTAATTCATGTTTAGTTGAATCCATGATAAATCTTTAAATGTACGTGTGTTTTATTTTAAGAGTTGATTCTAACTCAGGGGTGATCTGCCACTTTGGGAAACTTATACAATGTTCTAATACATTAACAATAAACATAGAGTTTTTAAGTGGAAAATGAGAGTATTTTCTTTTCTCCCTTCATTTACCTGGGTGTTTTGGCTCACCAAAGAGTTGTGTTCTGCAAATGTCTGGGCAATCCATGGAGCTAAACTGGCATTAGAGTCAAGTAACACTCCTCCTCTCTCCCTGTTCTTTTCCTTAAAATCTTCAAAGGCATTGGGGGTTTTACCTTAGCAACTTGCTATTTCGTCTTCTTAGTTTGAACCTTCAAATATAGCTGGATATAATAAAATGCTCCTCAAATGAGGAAGTACCAGAAAGACCAGATGCATGGTCTCATGCTTCCCTTGTGCTGGGCACAGATCTAAACAAAAACAATGTTGTGTCCATATTAAGAGCTTCATAAATACAGATGGAGTGAATGAATGATTTATGACAGTGTAGGTTGTGGAGCTTGGTAGTAACACGCAGAATTCTCAGAATCATGCCTGTCCGTGGAATAAAAAGAAAACAACTTTTCTTTGTAAGGTTAGAGATTTGATGGGAAAATCAAGAACATCTAAGGAGCTAAAGAAAGAAATTCCTTATACCCAGATTGTTGGATGTATTTGCAACATTCCTCTCATTGTCTGACAACGATAAGGATTCTATTTGAAGATAATGTGTGTTAAATCAAGAATCTGAGTTTTTCCTTGGCAGGCATAGAGGAGAAAGTGAAAAAAATGAATGGAAGAAGATGCCTAATATGTTAGTTTTTCACCCTTGGATCCTCTTTCCTCTTTGCACAGGGTTACTGGAGGTTGTAGCAGGTCATTATATTGTTTTCCTAATATGTTTTGCCATTTATTTTGTTTGCCTGGGAAGCCATAAAAGTGCTGGTGTGAGCTAATTATAACAATGCATGGCCAAGTCAACAATGACGTCATAGAAGATGCTGGGCTTATAAGATCTTAATGGAACTGAGAAATTCCTATTAGCTAGTGGCATCATACCTGTTATACTGTCTTGGCACAATGCATTACTCACGCATTTGTGGTGATGCTGGTATAAACAAATCTACTGTATTGCCAGTTTTATGAAAGTATAGCACATACAATTATGTACAGTACATAGTACTTGCTAATGACAATAAATGACCATGTTACTGGTTTACGTATTTACTATACTATAGTTTTTTTATTGTTATTTTTAGAGTGCACTCATTCTACTTATTTTTTTTTAAGTTACCTGTAAAACAGCCTCAGACAGGTCCTTCAGGAGATATTTCAGAAGAAGGCATTGTTGTCATAGGAGATGACAGCTCCATGCGTGTTATTGTCCCTAGAGACCTTCCAGTGAGACAAGATGTGGAGATGGAAGACAGAGATACTGATGATTCTGACCCTGTGTAGGCTCTAGGCTAATGTGTGTGTTTGTGTTTTGGCTTTTAACAAAAAAGTTGAACAAGTAAAAAAAAAAAAAATAGAAAAAAGTTTATAGGCTGGGCGCAGTGGCTCACACCTATAATCCCAGCACTTTGAGAGGCCAAAGCAGGTGGATTGCTTGAGCCCAGGAGTTTGAGACCAGCCTGAATAACATGGCGAAACCTAATCTGTATCAAAAATGCAAAAAATTAGCCAGGTGTGGTGGTGCATACCTGTAGTCCAAGCTCCCTGGGAGGCTGAGGTAGGAGGATCACCTGAGCCTGGGAGGTCGAGGCTGCAGTGAGTTGTTACTGTGCTACTGCACTCCAGCCTAGGAGACAGAGTGACATCCTGTCTCAAAACAAAAAAAGGAAAAAGGAAAGAAAATATTTTTGTAAAGCTATATACAATATGTTTGTGTTTTAAGCTAAGTGTTATTACAAAAGAGTCAAAAAGTTAAAAAGTTTCTAAGGTAAAAAACTTACAGTAAGCTAAGTTATTATTGAAAAAAGAAAAAAATTTAAAATAAATGTAGTGTAGCCTGAGTGTACAGTGTTTATAAAGTCTATAACAGTGTACAGTCATGCCCTAGGCCTTTGCGTTTACTCAGCACTCACTCACCCAGAGCAGTGCCCAGTCTTGCAAGCTCTATTCATTTTAAGTGGCCCACAGAGGTGTACCATTTTTTATGTTTTATATCCTATTTTTACTGTACCTATTGTATGTTTAGATATGTGTTGATACACAAATACTTACCATGGTGTTACAACTGCCCATAGTAATGTGATATACAGATTTGTAGTCTAGGAGATACAGGCTACACCATATATTCTAGGTGTGTAGAAGGTTATACCATCCAGGTCTGCGTGAGTACACTCTATGATATTCACTCAACAGCAAAATCTCCTAATACCGCACTTCTTAGAACGTAACCCCATTGTTAAGTGACTCATGACTGTATTCTAAAGAGTGCTCTGGTCCCTGGAAAACGATGGATTTGATACTCTAGATCTCATTTCTTGCAGACCAGAAAGCTGGCTTTACTGGAACTTTTTACTGAGTCCTCTCTGCTTCATGTAAGACTGAGACTTTGTACAGGGTTTACCCAAGTATCTGCCTTGGTAGGAATTGGAGAATGCTCTTAGTGCTTGAACCCTAGATGTGCCAAGATTACTTGAGGAAAAGAATGTAAAACACTTAGCATCAAGAAGTACCAATAAATGGTAGCTACTAGTTTGCTAAAATTAATTTTCCCTTTTCTTCAGCCTTTTTTTACCCTTAGTCCCAGGAGCCATCAAATTTCCTATTGCTGAATGTGTGGCACCCAGGCTTGTGAGAGCAGAGGGCTTAGGAACAGCAGCCTGTGCTATGGAAGCTGGGTCTCTGGCTGGCCCCATGCCTCTGCTGACTCCAAGCCCAAGGATTGAATTTACTTACTTTGGTAGCTGCAACTTGGCAAATATAGCAGCTTAGCCCGTTTGTCAGTGAGGGGAGTGATTGCAGGGTAGAATGGAGACCTACCCCAGAATTAGACTTGGGGTGGTCAGCAGCCTCCAACAATGAATTTATTTCATGGCATCAGCCCTAAGGCTCTGTGCTGTATCCCACCGTTCTTAGTCATGAATTGGAATGAACTCAGGAAGCATTCATGCCCAGGTGTTCTCTGGCAGACAATAATCATATAATAAGATTGTTTTGAACTTGCTGTTAAAAACAATGTGAGGAGCTTCCTCATGAGTTTTCTATATGAAAAGCAGGTGGTGTGTATAAAATCCCATGCCTTTGGGGAGAAACAGTACCGACGTTGCCTTAGCAAACATCATTGCTCTTCTTCGCTGGGTGCTTCCAGACCATCAGTCAGCTCAGGCGTCATTTCTGGTCATCTTTCCTGACCTCTAGGCAGGACTTTTCTGCTCTGGGCTCCCACAGAACACTTCTCTTTAAGTACCCACCACATTGTGTGGAAGCGAACTGTTTTCTCATTGGATTTCCCACCATGACACATGCCCCTGGAAGGCAGGGACCTCCGTGTAGTCACCTCGGCAAATCCGTCTCTTAGACCAACACCTGGCATGTGATGGGAGCTCAGTCCATTTTGCTGTAGTTGAACGGAGAACTTCACCAGCTCATCAGGGGGCTCTTTTGCTCATGTAACTACAGTTTGAGTTTAGATCCACTCTTATGAGCACACGGTAAGATATTTTGATGCCCAGTGGCAAACAGTGCTCAAGTTGCCACATATGGTCATTTTTCTCAGACATGTACTTTCCTGACTCCCCAGCCCTGAAAGGTAGCATCATCTAAAACACCAACAACTGATAAGCTTTATTTTATATTGGTTGCATTTATCTTGCTACTCCTTGAAACACAGGCCTTGAGGGCCTTTGAGATGTAATCTTCAGTTTCCCCCACCCCTCTAGTTGGATTAATAGATTTATGTAGCTGTTGAACACAAGCTGCCTCCGAATGCTTGTGTTTTAACTCAGTAGGAACCCAGCTGATCGTTCCGAAAGCAGCTTTTAAGAGAAGCTGATGTCCTGTGAACACGTTAGCAAGCTGTCATTGTGACTTTGTCAGCAGGCTTATCTCAGAGCATCTGCAGACTCATTTTGAGATTGCCTAATTATTTATACACGAGATTTCTCTCCTTTCTGGTGATGGGCTGAGATGAAGCTGGTTCTTAAGTACGGGGAAGATATATTATGAATGCTTTGTCATTAAAATAGGTCACTTTTCTGTTTTCCTCCTATAGCTAGTATTAGGAAATTATATTTCTCCCAACTTCTAGAGTTGTAAAACTGTATTTTTAAAAACTCACCTTTCCAGTGTTTGCAAAATGTGAGCACAACATATACTACTGCCAGTCTAAAATGTGTGTGCATTTAGACAGATAATGTAAATTTAATCCTAGTAAGTGCTTATTCTGAAGACCATCTTCTCTCTAGCGTAAATGTGTGCTTATCAGTATAGAATAAATGTATTCAAAGAATAGGAGAGTAAATGGCCCTTTATTCAAATTGCTTTCATTTATTTTTTTCTTTTGGAAGTAGTGAAAGCTTTATTATCAATCACTTCATTTTTCACCAGCTTCAGATTTAGAGGGTAAAAAAAGGAAGCATTTGGGGGTCAGTGTTTTGAATCAAAACAAATCAGGAATTGATAAAACCGTAGTTTCCTGACTATTTACTGACCTGATTGGAGTCATATTCTTAGCTTGGAAGAGCTGTGTTCATTCATTTTTTTTTTTTTCCTGCCGTCTGGGTTTAGTAGGTAATGTGGAAACCATCTACCATAAATACATTGCTGCAAGATAACAAATAGAATTGGAATCTATGCTTGCATTTCCCTGAGTTTCTGTTTTTTTTTCCTTACATCCTGCTCTGCCTGGCAAGGCCAGTCACGTGCTTTTTAGGACGTTTTGTGCTCTAACTTAAAAACCTTCATGGGATCCACAGCCATTCACACATTTTACCAAACCTAGAAAAGTAACAGTGGGAAAATAAGTTCGAATTCAACTTGTACAGGTCTAACTAAACAATGGCTGAATCAAAAAGAGCCTTCTCAATATGAAAATACCATGATTCTGTTACACAGACTGCATTTGTAGTTTTCTTTCTAATCCAATGCTTTCATGCTTTCAAGTCCCTAGCTCCTTCTGTCCACTGAGTTTGCAGGATTGAAACTAGAAAAAAGAGTGAACATCTAGAACATCCCCAGGCTGGCCTTGCCTGGGACAGTGTGCCAGCCAGCCCACAGGAAGGTACTTCCTCC
Organism: Homo sapiens; assembly: GCF_000001405.40. NCBI lineage: Eukaryota > Metazoa > Chordata > Mammalia > Primates > Hominidae > Homo > Homo sapiens. Next base: position 117,898,301 of record NC_000008.11, on the reverse strand, counting down.
AAAGAACAGGTTCATCACACATTACTTCTGAGAGCAAGGAAATAAGGGTGGAGACCCCAGTATGGGATCTTGGAAGCCCCCAGAATGTATATGGCTAATTTGAAACTTTGGTTGTTAAACCACCACTGTGACACCTCTGATTTTGAGGTGGGTCCATGGGAGACAACAGGAAGTTATGGAAAGAGTATACACTTTGGGGTCAAGAAAAATTAAGTAGCCACTCCTGGCTTTGCCTTCTGGACAAATGACTTTATCTTTTATCTATAAAGTGGGTATAACAAGGACAATAATCACTTAGAAAGTATTTTGTGCCATGCCTTATGTTCAATAATATTCTTACCTATGAGGTGGCTTCTTGCATTCAAAGTGGAACAAACTTGAGGCTTAAAAATTCCAGGCGGCTGGGTGCGGTGGTTCACGCCTATAATCCGACCGTTTTGGGAGGCTGAGGAGGGCAGATCGCTTGAGCCCAGGAGTTCAAAACCAGCCTGGGCAACATGGTGAAACCTCGAAACCTCATCTCTACTAAAAATACAAAAATTAGCTGGGCGTGGTTGTACGCGCCTGTAATCCCAGCTACTCGGAAGGCTGAGGCGGGAGAATTGCTTGAACCCAGGAGGCAGAGGTTGAAGTGAACCGAGATCGGGCCGTTGGACTCCAGCCTGGTCGACAGAGCGAGACTCTGTCTCAAAAAAAAAAAAAAAAAAAAAGAGAAAAGAAGCCCGGCAATGGGCTACAAAGACACTCTTGGAAAGTGCTGAATCTGAGATTGAAAACAAGGCCTGCTTTAGATCCAGAGCTCAAGTCCTTAGCCAATATGACCTTTCAGATTGCTACAAGTGTTCATTGAAATAAAGCAGGAACAGTGCCTAGCACAGATTCCAGCACACAGGAGACCTGCAGTAAAGATAAACCCACTTTGGCACTTCCACTCGTGGGGGAGAGCAGTCAGCCCTTAGCTTGTCCCTTAACAGTAAGACTGCCACACCATCTGATGCATGACTACCAGCTCCTTTTGAATCTACTCGGAAGGACAATGTGCACGCTCTGTGCCCTGCTGGATATGGTTTAATTTTCTCATTTCTACAAGCTCTAGGTTACAGGGGATAAAGCCACATGCAGCTAGTATGGACAGAACAACTAGTTCTGGTTGAATTATTCAGTTCTTAACTGGCTGCAGCTTTGGGATCTTAGAAACACAGTCCTTAACCTTGCATTCTTTCCACTTGAAAAATAAAATGTAGGTGCCCAGCAGGGAAATTCCATGGACAGAATAGCTGTCAAGTAGGGGCACTTCTTAGAGCAGGGAGGAAGCTGAGCAAGTGGGGGTGAAGGGAAACATGGAGGCAGAGGCTGGGGGGCTGGGACCCTGGGTGGCAAGAAGCTGAGCACAGATCATCATTCTCCCTTAGGGCTAGAACCTGTGAACCTGAACCCTTCATTGAGGGGCACTGAATTTAGAAGGCAGCTCTTCTGTTTGTCGCTTGTTCTTTCTCTCAATGTAATTAAGAAGACTTTGAAGAAGGAATATTGTGCTAAAGCCTAGATAAGAACCTGTTCTCCATCCACCTCCCCAAATCCCTAAAGCCTTGTTTGATTTTAATATTTTTCTTTTGGATTTCACTTTGCTGCTGTGTGAAGGGGCAGCAGGTGGGGAGGGTAGAGAGGAGGGTTCCTGGGGAAGCAGAAACCCTTATGGAAACCCATTTTTAATCTGGATGATGGCTCGGTAATGTAAGCCGTGAGAGTTGGCAGAGGAGTGAAAACTGTAGGATTAATGGCCTTGGGCCTAATTCCCTGATACCTTTTAAAAGGCCAGCTAACCAGCTGGCTTCCTCCTTTTGCTCCATATACACTCCCTCCTCCCTTATCTTCATTGTTTTTTGCTTTCTTTTTTGGCTGATTTTTAACTCCTTCTCTGAATCTGAAAGAGAGAGTTGTATGTATATGATGATTTGTGTTAAAGATGCTTAGAAATTAATATACTAAAGGAAGCTCGTAATAAAATACAAAAGATGATGATTTGCATTGTAAAGTAATCTGGATTTTTTTGGTGCAAGTTGTCTTTAAATAGAAACTCTTCTTGATTTGTGCATGCATGTGCACACATGCACACACATCCATAGACAGGCATAAGCATGTGTGCCTGAATGTGAGTTTTCAAGTTTAAACCCTTAGAATATGTGTTTTCTGTGTAGGTAGAAATGAAATCCCACAAATGTTATCAATTCTTGTGAGGTTCCAGGTAAAATATACATGCATGACCTTCTCTACGTTTTACAACATTACTGCTTTCCCCAAGTGCCCGTTTATCTGTATTTCAGAAACCCATGTGATCTGTAAATCAGGTAGGCCAATGTGGAATGATATATCTGTGTGCTGGGATCTGCATGTGGGCTGCTGGAAGTTTGAGTTTGCAGGTAATGAGCGTTACTTTGGATGCGAACGGAGGCACTAGGCAGGGAGCAAAAAGGAGGGTAACTTACTCCAGCAAAGGAGGACATGATTAGTGTTTCCAGCATGAAACCTTTGAAGTGGGTCAGCAGGAAAGGAAGAAAAAGCAAAAACATCCAGACATGGGAGAATCAGAACATTTCTTGTTGCCTAGGTTATTCTGGTAGACTTTGAAATGCCAGTCCCTATTAGTTTGGTGGGTAAACATTCTCATTATTTTCTGTAATTGGCATTATTATTGGAAGGTAATTAACGACAGTAACATTTTCGTATAACACTCAGACCTGGATGGGTCTTAATGACTTCCCTTCAGTCTTGCGTGAAGTTGTTTTCTGTTTGATTTTTGAGTGCTTGAAACTACTTAGGGTTCTGGCTGTGAGTGGACTCTGCTGGCCCTGCTATGTTTTATAATATAATTGCATTGACCATGCCTGTCAAATTGTCTTCATTCTTTCTGTCCTAGCCTAATGCCTGGCCAGAACAGGTGCCCAATAAAGTGTAGCAGTTATTGCAGCATTTGTCAACTAAAACATTGAAACCCGTTTATAACTCCTATGGTCATGACTGGTTTATGTCCGTAGACAACGCTTGATATTTTTGGATTGTAGAATGCTTTTACCAAATCAGAGGTAAACCCCACAGAGACCCTATTAGAGCCGAGCCCAAGCAAGCCAGATGTTATCAAATCACTCACTGTAACTTCACAGCCTTCCCTGGTTCACGACCATTTTGATCATGTCATCTAAGATGACATCATGATCGAATTGACAGTGGATTATTAGTTCACCCATCAGAGGTTGTGACAATTTGATACAGCAAACCCAGAAGCTTATAGACATTGTATTTGCCAGTTGATGCTTAATCTAATCAGCCTATTTATATTCAGTGAAACTCTCATATCTACACATTTCCACATCTATTTTTAGCTCCTTTATCACTTCCTGTCATTTCCTCTTGCTGTCCCTCACCTCCTCAAATGAGGTGCCAGGACTAAACTGGACATTGCGAGAAGGGAGGCGGCCTTATTTAGAGTGTGTTGCCTATAACACATTTAATTTGCCGCAGTCCAGATCAGTCGCAGCCTCTCTAACTACAAGTGGCAGAGGTGGCTGTCTTGGGAAGAGGCACTTACACTGTCCATTCTCTGCTTTTAAACAGGGCCTGGTTGTGGTTGGAAGGATGTGGCATAACTAATTCATAGTCACTTTAAATTCAGTCCCCAAAGGGACGTATCTCTCCCGGGTTACTTAAAGAGGAATTAAAGGCAGGGAGCTGATGGGGGTGGTGTTGGGGGATCAAGTGATACTAGGAATATAGGTACAAGTAAGACTGTCGTTTTCATTGTTTTCTCTTTGGACTGATTCTGTTCATTATAACAGCGTTGTGAAGTAGAGGTGGGATTAGGAACCTTCTGCTGTAATCAACTCCCTTGCTGCCCAAACACCAGCCTCATACACAACACCAACAGGACCAGCATGGAGGGAAATATTCCAAGGGGTATTTACTCTGCTGGTGTCAAAGAAAAACACACCTGTAATCTCAGCCACTCAGGAGGCTGCGGCAGAAGGATTGCTTGAACTCAGTTGTTCAAGACCAGCCTGGACAATATAGCGAGACCTCATCTCAACAACAACAAAAAAAGTAAAAGAAAAGAGAAAAGAAAAGAAAAGAAAGAAAAACCAAAACCAGAGAGTGATTAGAGTAGTAAAAACAGATTTTAGTCAGGAACTATTGCAGTAGGGGCCCAATTCTGAACATACTTGAACAAGTGGGGATATGTAGCCAAAAGGCAGGGTTAGGGGTCAGTGGGTAGATAGCCCCTAAAAGGGAGCATCAGAAGTAAGGAAGATTCTTGCTAAACAGACCTAACAGGAGTCGTGCTGAAGGCAGGCCAGGGTGATCAGATCTCACCTGGGGAATGGTGAGAGATGATGAATTTGGTGAGATAACCAGCGTGGGGATTCTTTCTCAAGTGATGTAACAAGATTTTTGCTAAAACTAGGTGATAACGGGTCTGGCAAGGATGGACTTGTAAGATCGAGACCTTGAGGACTTAGAGGAACCTGATTTCATTTAATCAAGGAGGGAGTCTTGTTACTGGTCACTGTCTCATCTCAGTGACTCAGAAGTACAGCAACAGTGGCAAGCGTTTCACTTGCTCAAAGCGTGGTTAGTCCAGGCTGCAGCGAAAGGCGGAAGGCACCAGGGATTGGGACAAGCTCAAGTGTTCAGCATCACGGGGGTTTAGCAGCCTGCTTGAGTGCAAATATCTTGAATTGATGTTACTGTGCCCTATGGAGGTCAGCCTGGATCCTTCTTGCCTCACTGCCCAAATTCCATTTTCACCCAGCAATCCTCAGAGGTTTCCAAAGGCCTTTTGTTTCTTCGTGCCATTCTCCCTGTAAGCTTTCCATATGGCCTTGGCATGGAACAGGTTTATCCAACCCTGTGGTATTAACAGTGTGGCTTTTGTTGTTCTTGGAGACCTTTGCTTCTGTCCAAATGGCTTTTCTGTGCCTCATCTGTTGATAGATTGGAAAATGCTCATGTTTTTCTTTTACTTGATTGTACTTAGAATATTTTCGTTATTTATTTAGCAGAGAGTTCACTTGGAAAAGGAAGATGATGGCATATCGTGGATATTTCTGTTCTGAAAGAAATAAGTTCAAGGAAAGAAAAAGAAGAGTATGAATGGAAGATTATTCATCCATCAATCCATTCTTGCCTTCTGTGCACACGCACATATACCTATACATTCATATATAATGTGTACTGTAATGTTTCAGCTACTCTCTCAGGAATGTTTAGAAATGAAACAGTAAACACAATTTTAAATGTAGAAGATCATGCTGATATTTTGGAATAACATTCAAAACCAAGTTCTTGATTTCTGTCTCTTCACCCTCCCCAATATGTTGCTTCTGCAGTTTTCCCCCTTAGTAAAAAGCGAGCCTTTTCTCTGAGTTCCTCAGGCCAAAACCTTGCCGTTGTCCTTGACTCTTTTCTTTCTCTCATATACAGCCAACTCATCTGCACATCCTGTTCATTGTAGCTCTAAGATATATCCAGCATTCAACCAGTTCTTACCACCTCCACTGCTGCTTCTATGGTGCAAGCCACAGTTACCTCTCACCGGACCATGGCAATAGCCTCTCTCTTCTTCCCTGCTTCCATTTCCCACCTTGGCCCAACTACAAACTCTTCTCCACACAGCAGCCACCAGGGGAATCCTTTTAAAGGATAAGTCAGCTCATATCTCTCCTCTGCTCAAAATCCTCTGTGGCTTTCCATCTCACTCACAGTAATGTCCATATTCCTCACTGTGACATACAGGGTTCTGTAGTTTGATGCGACCTCCCAACCCTCTTCTTCCTCAGCAGTCTCCCAGTTGACAAGTATTCTCCAAACAGCAGCAGCAGCAGCAGCAGCAATAGTAGAAGTAGAAGTAGTAGCAGCAGTTTTCTTACCAGATTCAAGCTGGCTTTTGCTGGCAAGAATCCTCATGTCATATGTATCCTTGTGAGATCATTGACTTTGGGCATTGTCCTAGGTGAATGCATTGGAGCCTTTGCTGACAAGTCCTTAAGCATCACTTAGCAGTGGCCTGTGTAGTTCTGGGGTGTTTGGAATCTTTCTCTGCATGTTCAATGCTCAGGAGGTAAACTGGAAACAGAAACCACTGTCAGAAGAAGGATGGAGCCAACCTCTACCATCAGTGGACTGGTGCTAAGAAAACCTTTCTTGAATGGGCACGGTGGCTCACGCCTGTAATCCCAGCACTTTGGGAGGCCGAGGCGGGTGGATCACGAGGTCAGGAGTTTGAGACCAGCCTGACCAACATGGTGAAACCCCGCCTCTACTAAAAATACAAAAATTAGCCGGGTGTGGTAGCCTGTGCCTGTAATCCCAGCTACTCAGGAGGCTGAAGCAGGAGAATCGCTTGAACCCGGGAGGCAGAGGTAGCAGTGAGCCGAGATCGTGCCACTGCACTCCAGCCTGGGCGACAGAGCAAGCCTCCGTCTCAAAAAAAAAAAAAAAAAAAGCAAGAAAAAAGAAAACCTTTCTTGCCCTCACTCCTGCTTAGGATGCTGCCTTTAACCTTGGTCCTTAGAGTGGGTAAAGCTCTTCTGAATATTTTTTATGTGAGGAGGGATAAAAAGGTTCAATAAACGCAATGACAAGTGGTGCTGCCCCTGCATACAACTGTGTTCAGTGACTTCTTTTGAGTTCATAGGAAAAGCATATTTACATATATTGAATCCAGGGCCATGATTTTGATCACACCCACTCTGTCTTCCTGACTTAGAGCATTTTTTTTTCACTCAAGGGCATTCTCAACAAAGGAGTATAGCTTTCAGATTTGTAAACTGCCACCTTATTATCCTATTAGTCAATTACAGCTGCTCAAGAGCAGGGTAAGTGACAGTATGGCAGATTACAGCAATTTATTTGCCATTCTCATAGTCTTGTTTGGCATATCATCAGGCTGTTTAAATTTAATGATAGGAGTTTTACATGTGTTTTAGAGCAGTTAAAGTTGTAATCAAAATGTTTAGGAAAACCCCTACTGACCTGCATAAATGCTCCCTTCTTCAACGTTGCTTGTAAAGCCTCATTGTAATCTTGATTAGTAAAACTGACTCCAATTAGGAAAAGGAACTTATTTTCCAAAGAAAGAAAGGCCTTTTGGTGTTCTTGTGTACAAAGCTCAGGAAAGATGGGGCTGATGGAAATTATTTTCCTTGAGTTGGCCCTTGTGGGCAAATCAGTTGCATTTAAATAAGTCACCATAAATCCCCTGAGAAACTTGGTAGAGTCTGTGGGAACAGAAGGGCCTGCAGGCCTGGTCACAGGATGGGGGTGTATAGCATGGCACTGGGAGTAGTTTGGAGGAAGGAGGAAGGAGAGCTGTGGGTAAAAGAGGAGAAAATAATTGCCCTCCATTATGTCTGGTTCTCTTTCAAGCTAACGGTGATAGTTATTGTAGTAGCGGCTGCACTGAAACGAAAAACATCTCTAAAAAGAAAAGTTGAGTGCTTTTATAGAATCTTTAGATCTTACAAGATGGGATGAGATCTTGGAGGACCTGCTACCTTGAACTTGCTCACACCTTCACCTTCACTGGTGGAAATGAAGGACTATTGTTATTAATGGAATGATCAAGAGACCCGAACCTGGGAATACCCAGTTTATTCTTTGCTTCCCTATGCTAAGAAGCTAAGAATACTGTCATTGTCAACAACTATAGACTCTCTTCATCTTTATTGAACTCTCAAGGTGCTATGTCATTTGGAAAGTCAACATTGCCCTGCCTACTATGAGTTTAATATGCATTGCTTCAAGCCAATGTAAGACCAGAGTTTCTCAGCCTTGACATTGTTGACATATTGGGCCAGAAAATTCTTTGTTGTGGGGGCTCTTCTGCGCATTGTAGGATGTTAAACAGCATCCCTGGCCTCTACCCACTAGATACCAGAAGCACCCACCCATTCCCCAGTTGTGACAACTGAAAATATCTCTAGAAGTTGCCAAAGGTTTCTTGGGAAGCAAAATTGCTCCTGGTTGAGGACCACTACTATTGACTGATCCAAACTTTATATTATCACTTGCAAATAACTTTTGATATTATTCAAATAACTTTTGAATCATACAAACTTTTGGTATATGTTAAAAAATATTTAGTGAATCTCTACTGTATGTAAGTCAGCACAGAAACCACTGAAATAAGTTACTATTCTTACTCTGTTGTCCAGCATAGACAGTATGTATTGCATGTTGATGTAAAAGATACAATGCCAATTTTATAGTAAATTTGGGGGGACAAATTTTTCATGCATTTTGATCATATGTTTTCTGAAAGCTATTCTAAGTGGTTTTGTCAGGGAAATTATCATTTTTTTCATATAAAAACTGTACATTGTGTGCCAGAACCCAGCTATAGGTTTTTCAGAGTTGGCAGAGTAATTAAATCGCATGGTTATTCTATGCTGTAAAGTGAAATAATGGAGATGTTGTTCGAATTTTCCTATGTAGTTAGATCTCACGATGATTTTATAACTTTGGCACATTGCTTTCCTTCCATAATATAGTGCCATTGTATGCAAAGTAATTTTTGGATACTGTTTTCTGAGGATAGAAAGGGAGGATGAACACATCTAATCTGCCAGCAATATCAAAACAGGTATATGAGGCACTTTTTCTGTGTATAGCCATGCTGATGACTAAAATTGCTGACCTTTAGGTACTTGCATATCATTGTGGAGGTAAAACACATATCTTTCTATAGTCATCAAAGATTTATTGGGCTCCCCTGATCCAGGCTCTGTACAAGTCCCCTAGGATATGAAATCACATGAGAAATAACTCTAGCTTTTTAAGGAAAATATGGTCTAGTGCTTATAGATTAAAAAAATGCTAACACCGTTACAGGCTATAGAGCAGAGAGTCCCTGAGCTAAATTTGTTGAATGTGTTTTAACTCACGGTGTATATTTTAAAAACTTGAATTAGTTACGGTGTGGATTAGGGTGATAAATAGCTAGGAGTGACAGAAAACTCAAGGAAATAGTGGCTCAAACAAAATAGAAGTGTATTTTTCACTCACCTGAATTTAGGTAGCTCAGGCCTGGTAACGAGGCTCCGTGATCATCAGGGACCCAGGCTCCTTCTGCTTTGTTGCTCCACCATTTTAAACACATATCTTACATGCTGGAGTCCAAGATAGCTGCCCCAGCTCCAGCTATCACAACTGCATTCCATCTCATAGCAAAGGAATGGAGAAGGGCCTCTCCCTTGGAAATAACACTTTCTATACCCTCTTACGTGGCTGCAGGAGCTCCTGGTGAACCACCATCAGGGCTTGGAATGTGCTTGGTTGACCGTAGGAATATCATCAGATTAGGTTTTTGCATCAGCGAGAAAGATTGAGTACATTAATAGCAGAAAGAGCACAGGCATGGGCAGGCTGAGGTTTGAAGATAGGCAGCATTACTTACTATAATAGTTAAGGGAGCAGAAGGTAAGTGCTAAATGACAACATGTATTAGCAGAATTCAGACAAAGGATGATAGCAGGGGCTGGAGATGATATGGAAGGCAAATGGGGAGGAGGTGGAACTCGAACAGATCTTGAATAAGCAGAGAAATAGGGAATCCCAAGAGAGTCCACCGTAAAGAGAAACATCAGCTTCTGGCTTCCTTAGATGCCATGTTTTAAGGGCATTTAGCTAAAATCTGAGATCAGAAAATGGTGAGGTTCCTGGGTGTCCAGCAAGCATTCAGCTTTCTCTAGGCCATTTATAGAACACTTAACTAACCCATGTTGTCCTTTCTAGGATATATATATATATAGTGGTGTGACTCTATGTGGCAATGGCCTTTGGGGTTTTGCAGAATGAGAACTATTATATTACTTTATTCAGCCGATTTCCCAAGCTGTTAAGCAACCAATTTTGAAGATCTGAAACTCATGCTGTCTCCATCCACAAGGACCATGAATCTATATGAATGTAATTGTTTTATTTAATCTATTATTATATCATCTATCATTTTTATTTTCACCATAATCTTGACACAGTTCATTATAGCATAAAATGATAACCTCTGTGAAAATGACTTCATGTGTATTTCTATGAACTGCATGTTTGTCTGGGTTCTGCAAGTCTGCAGACTTTTTGCTTTTACTATGTTCTTAAAAATTAGTGGTCTGAGAAGAGGCATTATATTTATTTATTTATTATTAATTATTATTATTATTATTATTTTTGAGATGGAGTTTCATCTTGTTGCCCAGGCTGGAGTGCAATGGCGTGATCTCAGCTTACCGCAACCTCCACCACCTGGGTTCAAGCAATTATCCTGCCTCAGCCTCCCGAGTAGCTGGGATTACAGGCATGCACCACCACACCCGGCTAATTTTGTATTTTTAGTAGAGGCAGGGTTTCTCCATGTTGGTCAGGCAGGTCTCAAACTCCCGAGCTCAGGTGATACGCCCGCCTCAGACTCCCAAAGTGCTGGGATTACAGGCGTGAGTCACCGTGCCAGGCCCGAGAAGAGGCATTATATTTAAATATAATAGTCTTATTGTATTTTATCAGTTTCTTGATAATAATCCTTTAAATTATGGATATTTGATCAAAAAGAGAGGTCAGATAAGCAATGAGAAAGAGAGAAACTAATGAATAGAAAGAGTAAGAAAGGGGGCTGGGCATGTTGGCTCACACCTGTAATCCCAGCACTTTGGGAGACCAAGCTGGGCAGATCACGAGGTCAAGAGATCGAGACCATCCTGGCCAACATGGTGAAACCCTGTCTCTACTAAAAATACAAAAATTATCTGGGCGTGGTGGCACGCACCTGTAGTCCCAGCTACTCAGGAGGCCGAGGCAGGAGGATCGCTTGAACCTGGGAGGCGGAGGTTGCAGTGAAATGAGATCGTGCCACTGCACTCCAGCCTGGCGACAAAGTGAGACTGTGTCTCAAGGCAAAAGAAAAAAGGGTTGAAGATGTTCCTGGAAACATGTTTTGCTTGATGCAAACTCCTTACAAAATATTTTTGGAAAATTTCTCCTGCCTTAGTCAAGGAGAAGGAAATATCTCAGAGTCACGTAAATACTATTCTGAAAGACCTACCTAAAAAAATAATTGGCCAATAGATATCTTAGAAAATTAAGGTATGGTCTAGAACATAAACATAACAATATTTGTTATATATTACAAATAAAAGACAAAGGTGATCCCATTTTATGACAAGAAAGCTTTCTTGGTTGAACTGTTAAACAGAGGCTATATCGTCAATGGCATGCCTACTATGATTTATTTCATTCCTGTTATATAGATGCATATTAAGGTACAGAAAGATCAGTTATCCTGCCAAAAGTCACCTAGCTGGGAACTCATAAAACTGGGATTCAAACTCTGGCCATCTGACTTCAGATTCTAAGCTTTTTTTCTTTTTTTAAATCTTAAGCTTTTAACCTCTGTCCTATATTATTTGGGTTTTCCAGCTAGGAAGATTGAAGCCCTTGAATAATTTTGCCCATTTAAGCACCACTTCATAGCAGGTAGAAACCACCCCTTCTGAAATTGACAAATGGGAATGGACATAATTGCCTTGAACATGGAATGAGACGAACAGGCAGATGGCAGAGATCTAGGAGTTTCTGCAGGATTTTGCCCAGTGGTGGCTGATGACTGGGTAAATATCTAGTTTTTATCTCTAAAGTGTAGCTTTTCTTTGGAATTTGACATTTTGGTGCTTAGCCAACTTGCAGGAGAATCATCCGTCACATAAGTTGAGTAGTGTGGCAATTTGTTTTAGTAGCTATTTACTAAGTCAACAACCTAACTGCTTTGTCTTTGAAAGTAGGAGTATTCATGCTCATTTATATTTGGGGGACATAGCAGGTAGCACCAAGTATTTGTGTCATCAAATTGACTGGCATGCCACTTGTGTAGTAGTATTTCTAGTAGAGCTCCCACTGGAATGGAAAGAAACTAACAGAACACTGGAACCCTAGTGAATAGCATTCACCATGAGAATGAATTCAGTGCAGTATAAGGTGGTTTCCATTTTGTACTACATCAAAGAGGATTTAATTCCTGAAATACCAAAAAACAAAACAAACAAACAAAAACTTTATTCTGAAGCCAGCTCATTTACAAGGTACAATTTTATATATACTGCTATTTTTGCTATTTTTTGCTATTTTTTGATCTTTATATGTCAGGTATTTAGTAAATATATTCATCTCATTCGTGAAGTGTTTATTATTTGTTCCATCGTATACATTTTAAAACTGAGATTCAGGGAGAGGTCACACAATTGGCTTGCACACAGTCATGCAACTTTTAACTGGTATTTGAAACCAGGTTCAATAGGCTCAAAATTCTAAGCTCATTCCACCATACTCTAGGATCTCCTGCCAGCCCTTGATTAAAGGTCAAAGGGCCAATGTCCACTGGAGCAGTCCACAGAAATGCTGGCTTTTACAGAGATAATGGAGTTGGGAAGCCCCCAGGTGTACATGTGGATTATAGTGACATATGAGAGAAGGAAAAAGATTAATGAATTCTTTCATAGGATATCTACTAGGGAGAAGCTCTAAATTTCCTCAGAATATGTGAATGGCTATCAAAAATACAGAGACAGGACAGGAAGAAAAGTCTTGGTGGAACAAGTTGGTAGGAGTCTCTTGAAGAACTTCAGTATCACATTTTAAGCCAAGAAATAGTTTCCCCTCCTCTAATGGTATGTTACCATTTTGTACCTGTAGGAGGCACTGACATGTGTCTTCATCACTGTGTCTCAAAGATGACATTCTAGATTTCTTTCTTTCTTTTTTTTTTTTTTTTTTGTCTGTTACTTTCCATTTTCAGGGAAAAAAAAATCTATTTTAGGGTTTCCTTCTCCTCCCCTGCCAGTACGGTTAATATTGCCAGAACAACTTTAGACTTTAGATATTAAGAAACATTGGCTTAATATGACAATTTGATTTTGCTGTTAAATTTACATGTAAATCTCTAGGCAAGTTCCCATCTTTTGATATTTACTTAAAATATTTACTTTCACATGTATACATGGCACTTGGAAGGAATGCATTAAGATGAGTGTTGATTTATTTGCTTTATTCTTTAGTACCTAATACTTTCTGTCCTGAAATGAATTAGAGGGAAGTTATTATATAAGTAATTATTTATCTTGAAGAGTATATTGATAGGTAGGCTGTACCTTGACACCATTTTCTCACCTTCAACAGTGTATGGTAGCTGGATGTTTTGGATGTTTTCAAAATAAACACCTATTTGTAGCTATGTTTTTAGATTCATCTCTAATGCTGCACTCACGGGAAAAAATCAGCAGGCCTGTATTAACTAGAAAACCACTTTTATGTTGTATTTCGATCCATTGAAACTAAAGCTGATTAGCACTTTTTGAAAAGTGATTCTAAATCTTTGTGCTAATCAAGGGAAATTGAGCCAGGTTGCTGCTACAGAAAGCTGGAGAGAAGACGGGATGTGATGGCAAGTTCCTTTTTCATTCATCCTGCAGCATGTAGCTGGGTGCTATACCCACCCCTTTCCCAACAAACCACTCTCCTAAGTGCTTGTTTAATAAAGCAGCACAGCAGGTGAATATTTAAGTGTTAGTGGGATTCACACAGTTTCATTTCAGTGCAATGAACAGAATAGAAGAGAATTTGAGGGGCGGGGGGCTTTTTTCTAGCATGCTGTTAAGAAAAGTATAGAGACTGTTGCACACTAATGATACAACGGTAATTTGAAGCAGGATGTGTTTGATGTGCATTTGCTGTGCGTGTTTACTGTAATCAGTGGCTGTTTATCCTTGGGTGGTATGAAGCCGACTGCCCACCTTCTACATTTGGCAGTAATGATTGCATCTAAGAAAAAGCTCACTTACCTCCAGCACCTCCAAGTGGCTGCAGACTTTAACAGCTGGACAGCCTGAAGGTAGGCTTGACTTGTCACAGATTTCTACTCTTTCCCAAGCAATGACACCAAAGGGATATTTGCCAATCCCTTTCCCCCTTCATTCTTCTTTGGGGGCTTTTGGGAATGGAAGACTCTTTCTTGTTTTCCTGCTGTCTGGGATGGAGTAGCAGATGCCAAGGAATGGCGTGGAGAAAGGAGAGGAAGGTATGATAATATTTAGTTTTCTTCTTTTCATGCTTAAACAGATAGAAGGAATTTTCAGAGCAAAATCTTGTTTCAAGTGTATGGCCATTTTTCAATTAAAGTCACTTATTAACCTCTATGTACATAAGCAGAATCTCCTGAGTCTCTCTGAAGACACAAAGAGAAAAGATTTCCTTCCTCCCTCCGACTCTCTCCAAATCCCCAAGTGACACTCATAAGCTGGTTGAGAGGGTGAAAAGCTCACAAATGTGAAGGCAGAAGTCACTTTGCACCTTTCTGGCACGAAAACTTTGAAGTCTTCTTACAGAGGAACTACACTGTGTAATTCAAATTTTTAAAATGTACATTCAAGTCGGACTGCAGTTTACCTGCTAATGCTGTTAGACGGCTGCCTGGTCTAAGCTCCAGCTGATCTGTGGTCTCTGAAAAGACAGCCACACAAAGCTGCTTGCATAGTTCCCTACCACTCCAAAGGGCTCTCCAGGTGCACTTCGTTACAAGGATTGCTTCGCTAGTGGACTTTGCTGACATTAGCTCTAGTTTGGGTTTGTCTGTTTGCCTGCTATGAAGGTATTGAGGGATCTTAGAAAGCCAGAAAGAAAAGAGTTGTCAACAGATGTGCCTTTAGGAGAGAGACTGAGTGGACTCAAGGATTAGTCCCAGCCTTTCGGAATTGTCTGTGGCTGTTTCATAGCTGTGATGATTTTGATGAGCTTTTATCATTGCTTTTCCTGGCAGCACCATCCAGGGCAATAAGGATAAGCCTTGTCGGATGGTTCCTGAAATTACTTAGAAATAAGTTGTAATCTCAAGAATTGCAGTGTAGCGGCCAAAGAAGTTTTACAAGAAGTTGACCAGGGGATGATGTCAAACAAATGGAACCTTAAAAGTTGACTTTTTCCTCCTCAAAGGCTGGGTGCCCAGGACTAGTTTTAAATGTTCCGATACTCAAAAGAAAAATTCAAATCACATAAGTGAACCCTCTTATTTATTGGTGATGTCAGACAAGACTTATACCTCTGGGGTGTGCTAGCTGGGTTAGAACCCCTCACTGAATATTGAGTATGCATTAGTATTCGAACATAATTTCTTTTCATTTTTTTCAACCTTGATATTACATGGGCTTAGGCCTTTCTTTCTCCCAGACAACAAATTCTCTTTGAACAAAAGTATGATGCCGTATCATTTTTTTTCTTTCTTTTTTTTTTTTTTTTCTTTGAGACAGAGTCTCATTTTGTCGCCCAGGCCGGAGTGCAGTGGCATGATCTTGGCTCGCTGCAATCTCTGTCTCCCCAGTTCAAGCGATTCTCCTGCCTCAGCCTCCCGAGTAGCTGGGATTACAGGCCCCCACCATCATGCCTGGCTAATTTTTGTATTTTTAGTAGAGACAGGGTTTCACCATGTTGGCCAGTATGGTATCGGACTCTTGTCCTCAAGTGATCCACCTGCCTCAGCCTCCCAAAGTGCTGGGATTACAGGCATGAGCCACTGTGCCTGGCCGCCATATCATATTTTTATACCCAGAATACCAAAAAAAAGTGATAGGCACCAAGGACTGATTTAGTGTTCCTGCTTTGGAGAAAATGAGTTGACTTAGGGTACCCCTACAGCTTCATAGTAATGATTTGTGTCCTTGTTCTACCCTGGGGAATTTTACTGAGATGAATTAGGAATTAGTATGGGGATGGGGAGGAAAGGAGCCTTAATCATAGTGGCATTAACAGGCAAGAGGAAATTAAAGTAGGACTGCTAGACACCTCTCAACCAACCAATCAACCATCCTGCCACTTGCCATTCAAAGTTAACTAAACGAGCTGGACGTGATGGCTCACGACTGTAATCCCAGCACTTTGGGAGGCCAAGGCGGGCGGATCACTTGAGGTCAGGAGTTCGAGACCAGCCTGGCCAACATGGTAAAACCCATTCTCTACCAAAAAAGACAAAAAAGTAGCTGGGTATGGTGGTGCATGCCTGTAGTCCCAACTACTCAGGAGGCTGAGGTGGGAGAATTGCTTGAACCCAGGAAGCGGAGCTGCAGTGAGCTGAGATCATGCCACTGCACTCCAGTCTGGGCGACAGAGTGAGAACCTGTCTAAATAAATAAATTAAATTAAACAACAATAAAATTCTAGCTCACTTGGTTTTGTCTGGTTACAGGTTCCTTAACAGGTGTTAAATGGCAGAAAATTCCCAATAGATTGATCAGCACTTGACTTTTTCGTAGTATTTCCCACCAGAATAACGTCTGTAGAAGCTACTCTATCCAGGATAGTCCTGGGGGATCTCTGGCAGAATATAAATATTTCTGCTGTGTGCAGCAGCAGCTGTAGCTTAGGAGGAGCAATGGGCGTGGGTTTTGTGGTTTCCTTCTGACTTTTCAGGGTAGCTCATCACTTCGACCACAAAATCACTGCCAACCTTCAGAAGAGGGAAGAAGGATTGGCCAACCTACATTTTCTTTTCTTTTTAGGGACAAACAGTGACTTGAGTTTTTGCAGACCAGCCGGCTTAGTTGTGTTTGGAGTTTCCCAATATAGTCTTTGCAGAAATGTGAGTTGGTTTTTACGTTGCCGCAAACCAATCATCTGCATTACAATTGGCCTTAGTCCTGGAACCACAGAGGTGGTTTGCTTTACCCCTTGACTCAAGTTGCCTAATTTCTGTGTCACTAGGAAGAACCAACACCTCTCACCAGCCCATGAGTTGTGAGACAGTAAGCACTGAAATGAGTGATGAATGCGGGGTAGCCATTTGTTAAAAACCAGGAGTCATTTATTCATTCATTCAACTGGTATTTATGTAGCCCTCCTAAATGAGTCAGGCATTGCTCCAGGAGCTGTGGATACTGTAATAAACTAGATCCCTAGTCCCAAATATTCTTTTTTTTGAAGTTCCAGATAGTAAATATGTTAGGCTTTGTAGGCCTCACCATTTCTATTGCAACCATTAAACGGTGACATTTTTTCTTTTTCTGTAGTAGCAGCCACAGAAATACATAAAACAAGTTCAAGCTGCGTTTTTTAAAAAATCTTGATTTATGAAAACAGGCAATGCATGAACCATAGTTTACCACCTCTGAACTAGACCATAACTTGCCCTTGTTGAGCATACATTCCAGTCACCTGCACTTGATTTCTACTAGATGGCTTTATTGTATAAGGAAGATATGTTCTTAAATACTACACCTAATCCAAAACAAGAGTAATGCAAAAGCGTTAAAAGATGCATAAGGTAAAAAAATCCTAAAAAGGTTAATAGGTCGATAAACCCAACAAACAAAAGAGTTCATAAAAGAGTCAAAACAGGCCGGGCACGGTGGCTCACACCTGTAATCCCAGCACTTTGGGAGGCCGAGGTGGGTGGATTGCCTGAGGTCAGGAGTTCAAGACCAGCCTGACCAATATGGTGAAACCCCATCTCTACTAAAAATACAAAAATTAGCCAGGCGTGGTGGCGGGCGCCTGTAGTCCCACCTACTCGGGAGGCTGAGGCAGGAGAATTGCTTGAACCTGGGAGGCGGAGGTTGCGGTGAGCTGAGATTGTGCCACTGCACTCCAATCTGGGTGACAGAGCAACACTCTGTCTCAAAAAAAAAAAAAAGAAAAAAGAGGCAAAACATAGCAATATATATTTTAAAACTTTCTGGTGACTCATTGGTTACTAATTATGGAATACGTTTTTCTAGATCTTAAACATTCATAAGAAAACAAAATCATCTTTAGCTTTTGATGAATTGACCATTCCTTTAATACTATGAAGGCAGTAGGAAAACCTGTCATGAACTTCAGAAATCTAACAATTTTAAGAACACTCCATCCCATTATATACAAACTACTGCAAACTCCATAAATAATTTAAAGGAACAAGTTCATAAACCTGGTGAATTTAGAAAATTGGTCATTCAGCACGCTGTCTTTGGTGAATTGACCATTTGTTGATTTGGTAGCTTGGCATGTTGCTTGAAGCAAATGAATCTAGAACTGGTAAGCAGAGTTCTACACACATGTTGTAACTTAAAATGCTCTTTGGATGAATGGCCGAATACATGCCTGGGACCAAACTTGCTTGTAGAATGGTATTTATTGTTTAGGTTATAGAGGTTGTCAAAAATTCCCACATGGTAAGGGAATTTCATTCATGATTATGCATAGAGAATTATTGCTCCTGGGGTTCAAAGGCTAACTCATTATTTTCAGGCTTACTGAAGGTCCAGGCTTACTCATTATTTCCCCCTAATGTTTTATTTATAAATTAACATAAATGTTTAAACATGTAGAAAAGTTGAAAGACTCATCCAAAGCACACCTTATATGGTGTATGGATTTTGAATCATAAGTGGTAGGCTGTTTCCAAAGTGGCTGAAATAATACCAACTCAAATCTGTTTTAGGACCACATCTTTTTAGGAGTGACCAGAGACTGATCTGAACTATTTCTAGTTCTCTTTTGTGTTTTGGGGGGAAAATGCATAAAATACTCCTTAACTCTAGATTGTGCATGTTCTTGTAGTTGCTTGGTCACTCTTTTGAAACAAAGGCCAGTGATGCCCATTGCAATTGCTAAGGTATGTCTTTCCTGTATTCTAATTTCATCTAATTGATGCATAACAAAAATTCAAGAGGTTAGTGTCACCATAACCTGTCTCCTTCCTCCTGCCTGTATAAAGTACCATGTGGATCTCAGGAAGAATTTACTAGCTACAAAATAAAATATAGAATGTAGTCTTCCACATTATAGAGTTCCTTTTTTTTTTTCATGTGGAAAGGAATGATTGAGGGGGAAAATGAATTGTTTGACATCTAACCATAGAAAGAAAAATTAGTTTTCTCTAACTTCTCCAGGCTCTGTTTTTGTTTCACTTTACGTTCTGTGTGCTACTGGTCTGGGGAGAAATTATGACATGAAAGGGAGTAGTTTCCCTTCAGAAGATTCACTCACAATTTAATAGTAATCACATGTCTGGGAAAATGGAAGGGTTAGAAATATTTTCCACATCTTTTTTGGTAGTCACCTGCATTCTGATAAATGCTACAACCTATTCATCACTGAGTGTTTTGTTTGCTGTTGCTGCCTGTAGGATGATATATTCTTGAGCTGTTGACATCTAGCTGTATTATCTGCTTTGGCCAATGAAATGAGAGCTCAAGTCACCTGTGCCACCTAGGAGGAAAAGCTTTAAGCGCCATTTTATGGCTTCACCATTCTCATGTTTCCTTCTGCCATGAAAACAGTAACGTCTCAGAGGCCAGGTGCTCTACAGCGTGGGTCTCACCATGAAGAAGTGGAGCATAGCCCACAGCCAACCCTCAATGGATGTGTTGTTGAAAGCCATTGAAGTGATGGGGTCATTTGTTACTGCAACACAGCCCACTGGCATGACATCCTCATCATACTGTTGTGCCTGTTTATAGTTCTCAGGTTCTAGAATGGAATCACTGGAAGATTCTAAACCTGGACTTGTGGTGATGATGAGAATAAGAAAGGGCATTGAGGTAGTTGCATTTACAGCACTGGATATTCTTATCTGCAGAGATTGGTTGTTCTAGAAATCTTTCTCCTTCTTTAATGCTCCTCACTTCAGCCCTTTGAGAGATTTTAAGCTGAATCACAAACAACTTGGCCAACCTTATGCCAGGTCATCTAATTTCTACAACATGGTTTGTGTGTTTAATGATAAAATAAGGGCTCCATGAAGGCAGAGGTTTGTTCTTGATGGTGTATCTCAAGTGCCTGGCACACAGTAGATGACCACCAAATATTTGGTCGATGAAATGTGCTATGTCATTTATTTTCAATGAGTTTTTCCTTTGATTTTATTTTACTGAAGTGTATACTCAGGATAATCACATTCCTTTTTCTGCCTCTAATAGAAAATCTGACTCTGGATAGTAGGTTGAATATGTATTTGTTTATTTATTTAGAGACGGAGTCTCACACTCTGTCGCCCAAGCTAGAGTGCAATGGTGTGATCTCTATTCACTATAACCTCCACCTCCCAGGCTCAAGTGATTCTCTTGCATCAACCATCCTAGTAGCTGAGACTACAGGTGCCTGCCACCACGCCTGGCTAAGTTTTGTACTTTTAGTAGAGATGGGGGTTTCACCATGTTGGCCAGGCTGGTCTGGAACTCCTGACCTCAAGTGATCCGCCCACCTCGGCCTCCCAAAGTGCTGGGATTATACGTGTGAGCCACCGCACCTAGCCGAATATTTATTTCTCTAAATAAATTGACACCACAAGTGAAATCACCAAGGGGCATAGCCTCAGTTTATTATAACCAAGGTGTCTTTAATCACTTGAAATACTAGTAGTCTTTGCGTAATTTTAGGGAGAAAAAAACATTAAAACTTGTTGTTTAACAGAAAAAGTTGACTGTGAACTAGTACTTTCCTAAAATTCAGGATTCTGCTTGACTTTTGAATTGTGTCAGAAAGGAAGCATATATACCACCATATTGTACTCACAGCCTCTCTGAGCCATGACATTGATTTAAGCGGGAGGGGCTGCTATATTTCCACAGACTTAGCCCATTCACTCATTTCCTCTGCTTTGTCATCGTTAGGTTGGATTTAAGTAGCATTACTGTAAAATTCCCCACTGAGAAATTTCAACATGAAGTGGCTTTCTGATCTCTTTAAAATAAAATGGTTAAAAATAGACCTTGTGGGAACAGTTTTCCACTTCAAGAACAAAACCCTGCAAAAATGTTTTAATGCAGATTTGGGACCTAATTATTTTTTTCTCACCTCAGCTTGGCTGTAGTTGTGCTACAGTGGAGACAACAAGTCTCAGTGTTGCAGAATCTGGCCAGAAAATGCTCTCCACTCCCTGTGAAGGTTTCCTATTGGGTTGGCCATTGCTTACTTCCCTTCCCCTCCCTGGAGCTTTTCTTGGGGTGGCGGCTCCAACTATGAAGAGCCTACATCTGGTTCCTCATTAATTCAGCGACTTCTCTCATGAGGCTAGGGAAGGCCTGACCATTTCAGTTGCGCCGGCCTCCGGTTTTTGCAAACATTAAAGTCTGCACTGGGTAAAGATGAACTGACTAAAAGGAAAGCAGCGTGCAAAAGATACTCTGTCATTAACATCCAGAGTCTTCAAGGTACTCAGTCATTAGGGCTGGTTTAATCACGCCTCTGTGACATGACCAGAGCCTTAGTTAGCTTTGAGGCACATCCAGGGGTTCTCTGTTAGAAAAACGGGTTCCTGGCTGGCCATATCGTTTTCTTATTTCAATGTCATCCTTTTTTCCCACAGCCTGGTAGCTGAAATGTCTATGGCATTTCAGCTTACTTGTGACATTCCTTTACAATTTTGTTGTTTACTGTTGTAGTTCTAATACCTTAGAAAGATGGCCTCCGACTTAATACGCGCTTCCGTAAATATCTGTGGAAGAATGAATGGTAAACAAATGAATCTCCAATCACTAGTGACTAGTAATTGTTTAATTTTGTGTCAGTCTTCATTACTTTCCTGCCTGATAGGAAAGTAATGAGAGAGAAAACACAAAGTGTTAAGATCTTTTATAAATAGATGCTATGCCATGCCCCACATCTCCCATTTATTATCATTATTATTGTTATTTATTTTATCCTACGTCCTTACCTCTAGCAGGTAGAAAATTCTTTTTTCAAAATAGTAAATAACCCAAATTCTATTTTATCAACAAGGAATGGAATGCATTTCTTAAAATTCCCATTGGACCACATATGTGGAACATTTTAAAAAAGCAGTTTTATAAGCATCCATCCTTACTCTCTGGGTCTGGAGTCTAGTATGTTTTAAAATAAATTTGGGTGTTTCTGAAATAAATTGCTCTGTGTTTCTGCCTTTTCTGTTGCAAAGTTCTAAATTATGGCATACTCTTTTGCATTCTCTCTTTTGACACAAGTACTCCTTGTTTCTCTGTCTCTTAAGTCCTGTCATTTAAAATTCATTTCAAGTGTCATTTCCTCTGGATATATTCCTTGTGAGTTAGATGCTTCTCTGTCCCAGTATACCCCGATACACTCTGAGTACACTTCCACATAGAGTATTTATCACCCTTTATTGTTGCTGTTTGATTAATGGTTAGACTATTAGACTCTTAGTGCCCCTAGGCCAAGGCCTGAATATTATTTATCTCTACATATTGGGCATCTCTTATAGTTTCTGGCATGGATAGGTGCTCAGAATATTTGTTGCATGAATTCATTTGTGTTCTTTAGGTTCTAAGGAAAGCTTCAGTTCAGCTTTCAGTCTTCAGCATTTCTCTTTTCACTAGCCAGTTGCCCTCTTCCCTGCCTGGAGGGTTTGAATTTAGAAACTGGTTCTACCCACTGCAGTAAGCACCCACGGTCACTGCCCACTGCTTGCATGGGGAGAAGGGCCAGATGGGCATTTGCTCATCTGGAAACCTGGAATCTTGGGGCCTGATCTATGTTTTTTCAGCTTTTCTTTATATTCTTCTCTGTCCTTTTTTTCTTCTTCCCTCAACTCCTCTCCCCAAAGATGGTACTTGGCAACGGATAATTTTTGCTTACTTAGAAACTTGAATACCGTGGAAATCTAACAAATAAAAATGACCCTGAAAAGTCTCTAGAATGCATTGGGAGGATTGCCTAAAACAATTTTGCATGTGGAATTAGCAGTTGGGGCTCTGAAATTACACCTGTTATTTTAGAAACAAGAGGCTAGAAGGGGCAAATACTAAGGCTTCTTCCTTTGCCATCCCCTACCTTTATTATTTTATTTATTTATTTATTTATTTATTTATTTATTTATTTATTTATTTAGAGAGGTAGTTTCACTCTATCACCCAGGCTGGAGTGCAGTGGCACGATCTCAGCTCACTGCAACCTCCACCTCCCGGGTTCAAGCGGTTCTCCTGCCTCGGCCTCCCGAGTATCTGGGATTACAAGTGCGCACCACCATGCCTGGCTAATTTTTTTTTATATTTTTAGCAGAGATGGGGTTTCAGCACGTTGGTCAGGCTGGTCTCGAACTCCTGACCTCAAGTGGTCTGCCTGCCTTGGCCCCCCAAAGTGCTGGGATTACAGGCGTGAGCCACGGCGCCTGGCCCCATCCCCTACCTTTAAATGATCATCTTAGGCGGCTGATTTCCAGCCTTCATATCAACTCACAGAGAAGAGTACCAATATTTCTATTGCCACTGTTTTTTAACGTCTAATCCATAGAAAACCTGACCAACATAACAATACTTTGTTCCTTCAAGCTGCAGTTTAAAATCTTTTATTTTTGCACCTTATATGTGTAGAAAGGAGACTATCTGGCTAACACTATTGTCAAAGCCGCTAATGGACAGTTAGGAAGAAGGAATTCAGGAAATGAAACAGTGCTGAAAACTGGGCAGTGTTTAAGATGCAGTCACCTGTATCTGTGCTTTGACACTAAAGAAGATGGAAAAGGAATATATTTACTAGTTTCTTCTATCATTGGTATTGGAATCCATTTGGATGAAAGACTTTCTGAAGCTCACATTGTCAGTAGTATGCTGCCTAGATTTTTGTGGGCACATGAGTAGCAGAGTAGATCAATTGAGGGGATTATATGATAGCTCATCTATCAAATTACCCAGGATAATTGAGGAAAAGGATTGTTCTTTTTTTTTTTTTTTTTTGAGGCAGAGTCTCACTTTGTTGCCTAGGCTGGAGTGAAGTGGCACGATCTCAGCTCACTGCAACCTCCGCCTGCCAGGTTCAAGCGGTTCTTCTGCCTCAGCCTCCCAAGTAGCTGGGATTACAGGCATGTGCTAACACACCCAGCTAATTTTTGTATTTTTAGTAGAGACTAGGTTTCGCCATGTTGGCCAGGCTGGTCTTGAACTCCTGACCTCAGGTGATCTGCCTGCCTCAGCCTTCCCAAAGTGCTGGGATTGTAGCTACCACGTCCGGCCAGGATTGTTCCCTTTAAAAAGATATAATGGAAAAAACATTAAAGATCTAAATTGTCATACAAACTTGACAATATATATTCATAATTATGCATTATGACATACTCTACCAAAGCCTTTTTGTACCTCTCTGTTCATTTCTATTTAAAAAAGAAATGACCATTTAAAATTAGGAATTTCTCATTGTTAGAATGAACTAGACTGGCTCATTATACCCAAATTTACTCACCAGCTGCTTTGCACCTACACTAATGCTGAGGCTAACAAGAGTGAAAAGGATTAAAGTATGTTAGTCAAAGGAGATACCTAAGAAATTCTCCTAGGCCACTTTGTAGCATATTTACCACATTACTTGTCTTTTCAAATGGAGGAAGATAGCCATAGTATGTTATGTTTTGTTGGCATTTTAAACAAACAAACTAGAAATACCAAATAAATCTATTTTGAGTGTTGATAAACTCATTTTTTATATGAATGTTGAAAATCACCCCAATCCTATTGGGATGCATATCTTTAGATGTCACTTTAACTCTCTCCTTTAAAGTGAGACTGGGCGCGGTGGCTCATGCCTGTAATCCCAGCACTTTGGGAGTCCAAGGCGGGCAGATCACATGAGGCCAGGATTTCAAGACCAGACTGGCCAACATGGCAAAACCCTGTCTCTACTAAACATACAAAAATTAGCCAGGCGTGGTGGCATGCACCTGTAATCCTAGCTATTCGGGAGGCTGAGGCACAAGAATCACTTGAACCCGGGAGGCAGAGGTTATAGTGAGCCGAGATCACATCACTGCACTCCAGCCTGGGTGACAGAGCAATACCCTGTCTCAAAAAAAAAAAAAAAAAAAAAAAAAAGTCACAGGACAACATTGGTCTTAACCATACTTGCTAATTTTCTCCATTTTCTTAACCCCTCTCAACTTCATGGGAAATTGTAGTTTCGTTGTCAGAAAGAAGTTTGCATATATAGATTACCCTTTTAGGCAACTATTATGAATTGACCAATCCACGTTTTAACTGTAAGAACTCAGTCTATTTGGGCTGCTAATGAACAATAGAAATTTATTTTTCACAGTTGTGGAGACTCAGAGTCCGAGACCAGGGTGCCAACATGGTCAGCTTCTGGTGAGGGCCCTCTTTCAGGTTACAGACTGCGGGCTTGTCATCGTATTCTCATGTGGCTGAGATGGTGAAGAATCATTCTGCAGTCTCTTTTATAAAAAAGATTTCCACCCTCATGACCTAATCACTTCCCAAAAGCTCCACATCATCATCCCATCGGTATTTGGGTTAGGATTTCAACATATGAAATTTGTGGGAGACACACATTCAGACCATAGCAAATACTAACACTCTTTCTCTTTAACTTCTCCCTAACCCTTGAAGAAAATTTAGAATCTATTTATTATGTAAAAATCCCATCTTGGCTTCCTCAACCCTAAACTGGACATGCATTTCTTTCTTTTTTTTTTTTTTTTCTCTGCTTCAGTATTCGCTTTAATATGTGTTTGGAGATCTTTGAAAGTGATTGAATAGTAGAAAAATTTACATTATAGAAATAAGATACCAAAACACATTGTATAATATTGCCATTTCTTTCTTTTCCATTTTGTGAATAATCAAAATAATAATTTGTCTTGAATAAAAGATAAATAACAAAATCAGCTTTGCTTTAATGCTGCACAATTAGCAGCTATCCAAACATATTATCAGAAACATATTAAAATCCACATTCCATATTTTTAGGTAACAACACACTGTGCATTGAGATACTCTTCATTTTGTAAATTAGGTAATCCCCCTAACATTTGATAGTGTTATTCTGAGTTCTTATCTGTAGCTATACAGTCATTGAGCTGGATAAATTGTTGCAATGTAGCAATTAAGAACATCCTTTTTTTTTTTAATCCACAAGTTCAGTAAATTACAACTTGATTGTCTGAGTAAACAATGTTACCTGCTGTGGCTGCTTTCTTGAAGAACAGAGTTCTGCATGCAAATTAATAGCAGTTAGTAATTCCCAGTATGATAGAGCATACTCTTCCCATAGCTTAAACTTCCCTTCATCCACCCTAGGAAAACAGACTAAGTGAAATATGTATCATCATCTTATTTTTTCTTTCCCTCCCTCCCTCCCTCCCTTCCTTTTCCTTTTCTTTCTTTTGAAACAGGGTCTCACTCTGTTGCCCAGGCTGCAGTGTAGTGGTGTGATATAGCTCACTGCAGCCTCTATCTACTGAGCTACTGAGCCCAAGAGATCCTTCCACCTCAGCCTCCCAAGTAGCTGGGACTACAGGTACACGCCACCCCATGCAGCTAATTATTATTTTTTTTATTTTTAGCAGAGACAAGGTCTCGCTATGTTGCCTAGGCTGGTCTCAAACTCCTGGACTCCAGTGATCGTCTTGCCTCAGCCTCCCACGGTGCTAGGATTACAGCCATGAGCCACTGAGCTGGCTTATTTTTTCTCCAATTCCTTGGCCCCAGGCAACCGTGCCCACCCCAGCCCTACCCTAGGGGATACTGTGGAAGCAGTTTTAGAAGACAAGCCTCAGAGTGCCTGATGACCCCTCTGTCTCACCAGTGCATTTAGCAGTACCTTACTGAAGCACACACAACCTAACCTGACCATGGTAACTCATTTTCTCATTAGGGAATAGAAGTGCTTGTGGACCAGAGCCCACCTAGCCGTTCTTGCATTGGGGTAACTTGTGGTATTTCAGTGAGGTCCCGCTCTTGTGTACTGTATATGGTTCAGTGTCAGATAATTTAACACCCAAGAAAATCTGCCTTGCATACATTAGAATATATTTGCAAATTAATTGGTTAATTAGATTTTAGATATCTCTAGGGGACTGAGCTGAAACAGATGTGTGCAAAAGCCCCTCACGGGGATGAGGATAAAGTCTTCTTACAGGCTTTCTGAACGAAGAGTTCTATCATTTGATCCTATTGTTGGTGCCAGAGTATTCCAGTACATGCATTTATGTTGAAAGAAACAGTACTGCATTTTTGTCTTGAAGTTATAGGAACATGCTCAGAAGGTTCCATGCTCTCAAAATAATTGTACTGTAAAATAATGAAAACACTATTAGGGTTGATTTTTTCCTTGATTATATCAGAAAACCATGGGAGAATACAGCTAAAACTAAACAAGGGCAGATTAGGGAAGGCTTTTAAATACTTCTGTAAGATGCAGGCAATGCATAGGAAAATTCTATACAACAGCCAAAGATTGTGCTCAGGACTTGGAGTTAGAGATCAGCCCTTTTTACATTTTTTTCCCAGTTACATCGGCTAGAGATTTGCTCTTTTAACCTTTTTTCTCTCTATTGCTTTACCCTTCTGCAGAATAGAAACTCAGTTGGTATTCCCCTGAATGCTGTTTATAATACTAAGGTGATGTTTTAAATTGGATCATTAAAAAATATGTTTTTTATTCCTTCAATCTTTTGTGTGTGTGTGTGTGTGTGTGTGTGACAAAGCATTTATGGTATACCCACTGAGTCCTGATGTGGATACGGGACACCAAGTAGAGTGATACTGTCCCTGCTTTCAACAGGCTCCCAATCCCTTTATCCTTTGTGGAATGGTAAAGTTCATCTGTA
Source organism: Homo sapiens (assembly GCF_000001405.40). Classification (NCBI taxonomy): domain Eukaryota; kingdom Metazoa; phylum Chordata; class Mammalia; order Primates; family Hominidae; genus Homo; species Homo sapiens. Next base: position 117,870,694 of record NC_000008.11, on the reverse strand, counting down.
TTTTCTAACACTTGGAGTAGGAAGAGGCCTCCTACTCTGGAGCAAGTTGCATGACAGTAAAATAAATGTGGATGGAGCTAAGGACTGATTATGAATGAGCCATGTGTCCACAATTCACTCTAGGGTAAATAGTACAGACTGATGGACAACTTGCTAGAATTTGGAAACAAATGGTGCACCCAAGATCAACATCAGACCCCTCCTTGCTCCTTCTACTTAATGCCCGTTGATACACTGATTTTTAGCTCAGAGGATCACCTTTGTATCCCCTGTGCCTAGGAAAGTCCCTAGCAAATAACAGACTAGCATCAAATGTTGAATGTGAGCAGATGCTCAGACATAACAATTCTCAGATGTTTGAATAAGAGAGACCTACACCTTGGCAATCACAGAGGAAAGTTATTGGTGGGAGATGTGTTTTAATGCCACTGAGCATCCAATTTTACCATGAGATTTGAGAGATATGTCATTATCACATCTAATTCCTTCAGTTTTAGTTTTGTTTATGTGTTAAGAGAAATGAGCCATCACGGAAATAATTGAATAGTTTGGTCATCTTTAGATGAAGTTTTTTCATTTTCCTAATTTTTTTTTTAAAGTAAGGAGCAAAGTCTTAAAACTACAGAAACAACATTTTCATTTGAAATCAATAGTGCTTCAAGGTTGGGGGACATTGATTCTCGCAACAGGGGTAGCAACATCACCTCATTGTTTTCTTCCTTTGTCTCTCATAGAAAAATGAGTATTTTTCTGAATCTTACAAAGTAATTCATGATCCAAAGGACTATTTGATTTGATTTTTTGGAACTACATTTATTAAAAGTACTACTCACCTAACATTACCTTATTTCAAGGAGATATATATGTGTGAGTGTGTGTGTGTATGTAAATATAAATATGAGGGAAAATGAATGTTTATGGCTAAGGAATTTGAACTCCACCCTTCCTTTTCAAGTAGAATCCATTAAAATGTAGCTTAATGAAATAGGATTATTTTAAAATCAGGAATAGCATTTATATGCTAGAGATTATTGCGTTTGACATTAAGATGTAGATAGTATAAAGTGATAAGTTATATTGAGAATGAACTTTGTTCCTGCTACATCATCCTTCAATAAAAGCCAGTATTGCCAGAAAAAGAAGGAAATTTACTAAGTGTGTTTTATTTGAATTTCCAGTCATAGTTTAGGACAAGGAGGTAGATACTTTGGAGGATTTAAAAAACTTCTGGTAATTGACTTCATCATGCACTTGAGACCAGAACATTCCTGTGCATCCTGGACTCAGAGAGTTGACCTGTCTGCCAGCCCCTTAGCCAGCTCTGAGTTGAAGCTGAGCTTACAGTTTGTCCTTCCAATCCTCTGCGCCAAACAAATAAATCACTATTTATGGGCAAGATTGAGCTTCACCACCTATTGGAACTTCTGTTCCAGTATTAGAGATTGGCACATTGGTTTTCTTTCATTAAATTCTTCCTCATGGTGGATATGGAGGCAGGCTTGGGCAGGCTCACTGGGGTTCACAGAGCAAACTGGAGGACATGGGTCTGGAGAGAAGCCTCATCCGCCAAAGTGGGGCAGACACTGGGTGGGGGCCTGTGGGCGCTGGCGGGAAGTCCAGCCCGCCAGGCAGAACACACACAGCAGGGAACATAGAGTTGTGCAAAAAGTGAGATTTTTGGCAGGCACTTGGCTCCGGGGAGGTCCTGGGGGCCCCAGGCCAGGTTAGTGGAGGAAGTCCAGGAGGCAGCCTGTTGAGGGCTGGCTACTCCACATCAGCATTAATGTGGCCTGGCAGTGGGTATCAGGCCCTGCTCTATGGGCTGGAATTTTGGCAGGACTTCAACATTTGTTCCGTGACATATTTTCATAGTAACATACCCCTTGGTCGTGAGGATGTGTGGAAGAATATATATAGCCTCTACCTACCTCTACTGCAGATACTACCGGCACTGACTTGTCTCATGCCTCTAATCCCAGCACTTTGGGAGGCCGAGGTGAGAGGATTGCTTGAGCCCAGGACCTCAAGACCATCCTGGGCAACATAGTGGGACCTCGTCTCTACAAAAAATAAAAAAGTAGCCAGGCATGGTGGCATGTACTGAGGTCCCAGCTACTCAGGAGGCTGAGGTGGGAGGATTTCTTGAGCCTGGTAGGTTGAGGCTGTGGTAAGCTATGATTGTGCCACTCCACTCTGGCTTGGGTGACAGAATGAGACCCTGTCTCAAAAACAAACAAACAAAACATTTTTAAATTAAAATTAAAGAAGCTGACCAGCCATATTGGCTTCAATGATTCCCAACACCATCCCTGAAAAACTGTGGCCTGGGAAATATGATGATGTGCTTGTGGCTTATACTTAGATCACATGCTGCACCCTAGGAGTGGTGATCAGTCCCACCTAAGCCAAAGGGACTGAGTGGCTCCCCATAAGGGAATAGGTGAGGGAAAGGAGGATAGCAATTATCTAAGGTGGGAAGCCACAGGGATGCCACATACAGAGGGTTGCAGCTGAAATCGCCTTAGCCTCTCTTGATGAGGTTGTTAACCCTGGTGTAGGGATCATTTGCTTGGAGAAAAGAATGAATGAACATGCTGGTGGCTGGTGGTGATCCCTGGAGCCAAGTTCCTGAGCCTGGAATATAAAGTTAAGGACTTTGTGTCTGGAACAAGGGAAATTCCAGCTGTAAGAAGCTGAGACAGATAATTAAAAGTGCTTATGGCATTAGTCGTGTGCTGAAGCCCTCAATATTGAGCCCAAGTTTCTCAGGGCTTCTCTATTAGAAGTAAACTGGTTTCTAGAACCGGGGGTTGAATTAAACTTATAGATGAGGCAGTCATGCAAGCTCATATGATGAAACACATAAATGGTGGTGTTCATACACATTGACCATTACCAGGCTGGTTGGTTGATAGGTATGTTTATGTTCAGAAAAACAAACAGCCTCCGAACTGCAAAAGAGCTTTTTAAGGAATAAAAGCAAAGAATGAAGAGGGCAGGGAGAAAAAGGTATTTAGAAGTGGGTAGATCTGAAGGAGTCACAGTCTCTTTGTAGATTGGTAGGAGGTTATCAAGGCTTTCATCTCCAAGTTTCCAATCCAGCCAGGTTGTTGGTGACTAAAAATCATTTTCCTGTGACCATTTGCTGTTTGGTGGAGTGTTTGGAATGAGCTAGTTAATCCCAGTCCAATTCATAATGGGCAGGTAGCCAGTTCACACAAACCACCTTGAAAATCCACACTAATTGGTTTGTCTCCATGGAATAGCCAAAAATGGAATTGCCCATGGACGGACATTTTCTTCTACCCACCCCATTCTTTCATCTCTCCCCACTCCCACCACTACCTCTAGCAGGAGTGATTTTACATTTAAATAGCATCTCTTCCCCACTCATTTTCCTGGGCTATAAATTTCCTCAAGCTTTTTTTTTTTTTCTGAGGTGGAGTCTCACTCTGTCGCCCAGGCTGGAGTACAGTGGTGCAATCTCGGCCCACTGCACCTTCTGCCTCCTGGGTTCAAGCAGTTCTTCTGCCTCAGCCTCCCAAGTAGCTAGAACTACAGGCACGCACCATCATGTCCAGCGAATTTTTGTATTTTTAGTAGAGACGAGGTTTCACTACTTTGGCCAGGCTGGTCTTGAACTCCTGACCTCGCGATCCACCCACCTTGGCCTCCCAAAGTGCTGGGATTACAGGCGTGAGCCACTGTACCCAGCCTCCTCAAGCTTTCTTTTTTAAAAGAAGGAGTGGCTTAGAGGCAAGGAAAGTAAACTGAATGTCCTTGAGACATTTTCAGGGTCACCAATGTTTTTAGAGTTGGTCTTATGGCCAAGAGTAGCAAGAAAGAAAGCTATCTGTGAACAGAACAAAATGCACTTCATTTTTTTTTTTTTTTTTTTTTTGGGTAGGCCAGGGAAGCAAATTCCTAGACAAAGATTCATACAACCTGAAAATAGTTTCAGACAGATCTACTTAGACACACAAAAACTTCTAACAGCTCACAGAATCATCGTCAAGAATGGCTAATCATGCACTACTGGGAGATACCCAACAATGGATAAAATTCTAGGTTTCCGTAACTTTGATAGCTAGTTCCTGCATAAATCATCACACTTTACACCTGTACAGTCAGTTCTGTGCCATCCCCACTGTCCTTGAGCTTGGTTAATTCTCTGGGCATTTCTAAGGGCAAGTGGGATTGATAGTATTTGCTCCATTTTATAAACAACCTGTTCAGTCGGCTGGCTGGGCAGCCAGTAGCTCATTACAGCACGTTTGTGATGTGGAGCTGGTTAGAGTCCTGGCTGTGTCCTTCACCAGCTGTGTCACCTTGGTCAGCCACTTAACTTCTCTGTGCCTCAGTTTTTATCAGTTATCTCTGAGGTGAAGTCTCTGCTTAATTGAAAATTATATTTTGAATTAAAAATATTTTTAGTATTTTTCAGATTTTAATAGTTTAACTTCTTTGTTTGAGACTGAGTCTCACTGTGTCGCCCAGGCTGGAGTGCAGTGCCGCAATCTCAGCTCACTGCAACCTCTGCCTCCCGGGTTCAAGCGATTCTCCTGCCTCAGCTTCCTGAGTAGCTGGGATTACAGGCACGTGCCACCATGCCCAGCTAATTTTTGTAGTTTTAGTAGAGATGGGGTTTCACCATGTTGGCCAGGCTGGTCTCAAACTCCTGACCTGAAGTGATCTACTCACCTTGACCTCCCAAAGTACTGAGATTACAGGTGTGAGCCACTGCTCCTGGCTTAACTTCTTGTATGTTGAGAATATACACAAGAAAGACAAGCCTCCATGAAATGATAAGCTCTAATACCCTCTTCCTTTATTAATGTGATATTGCTCACCCCCTTCTCCCTTCAACTGATGGTAAATTAAAGCAATATAACTCGGTGTAAATATTTGTCAACCTAGATGCATTTCTAGACTTTCAGTCTGTGAAGACACCTGGTTATTTACACGATTTATACGATTAGTGCCATCATCTCCAGACAGGATGAATATTGTAATACAAGCAAGTTTTGCTATGAGTCTTGACAGTCAGAAATAAATAATCTTATCTATAACTACATTTGTCTGTAGAATGAGGAAGATAGGGAACAATGAGTGTGAAATTCTCCAGGCCCCCCAGGTTACAAGAAGGATGAAGGAAATAAATCTCTCAGTAAGTATAAGACAAAAGGAAGTCATTTCTAAGTAAGTCCACTGGATGTTTTTCTCGCTCTATAATCACAAAGTCTAGATACCACTGAATGGAAGATGACCTCATAGGCTCCTCTTTACCACTGGTTAAAAGTAAGGGAGACCAGCCTGGGCAACATAGTGATACCTCATCTCTTCAAAAAACCTTTAAAAAATTAGGCAGATTTGGTGGTGCAGACCTGTAGTCCCAGCTACTCAGGAGGCTGAGGTGCCAGGATTGCTTGAGACCGGGAGGTCAAGGCTGCAGTGAGCCATAATTGCACCACTGTACACCAGCCTGAGCGACAAAGCAAGACCCTGTCTCAAAAAAGTAAAGAAGATTTTATTTGGGTCTTCTGGCCTCTGTGAAAATCTAATAAGTGGGAAGTGAAATTTACAGAGGATTCAAGCAAAATCAACAAGTGTTTGTATGGAGTCAGTCAGCTCATCTCAAACACACCTGGCTCTGAGATGTTCATTTGGGTTTCTGTCATGGTAATTAATTTCTGATGCAAATAAATGAATACTAGTGTTATGAACTCTATTTTTTTAAAAAAAAACAGCTTCTACTTTTTTGAAAAATCTGTGTATCTTTGGAGAAGAGGAAGGAAGTAGGGATTATCTAGACCAAGCTTGTCCATCCCACAGCCCTTGTGCCACATGCAGACCAGAACAACTTTGAATGTGGCCCAACACAAATTCATAACTTTCCTGAAGCATTATGAGATTTTTTTTTTTTTTTGCGATTTTTTTTTTTTTTTTGAGGCAGAGTCTCGCTCTGTCGCCCAGGCTGGAGTGCAGTGGCGCTATCTGCGCTCACCGCAAGCTCCGCCTCCTGGGTTCACGCCATTCTCCTGCCTCAGCCTCCCAAGTAGCTGGGACTGCAGGCACACCCCACCATGCCCCGCTAATTTTTTGTATTTTTAGTAGAGACGGGGTTTCACCGTGTTAGCCAGGATGGTCTCGATCTCCTGACCTCGTGATCCGCCCGCCTCGGCCTCCCAAAGTGCTGGGATTACAGGCGTGAGCCACTGCTCCTGATCGCGATTTTTTTTTAAAGCTCATCAGCTATCATTAGTGTTAGTGTATTTTATGTGTGGCCCAAGACAATTCTTCTTCCATCCTGGCCCAGGAAAGCCAAAAGATTGGACACCCTGGTCTAGACTGTTCCCAAAAAAGGCAAGCAAAACTTAGTGACAGTGCTGTGTGTGTAAATCACTGGATAAGGTCAAGGATACTTTTAATTTAGGGAGAAAGAAAAGTGTGTAAACCTGTTCCTTAGTCTGGGAAAGAATGAAGTCTTTTTAAAAATTTTTCTGATTTTTGTGTTTTTGTTGTTGATTTGCAATATACGCTTTAAGAATTTTTTCTTAACATCTTTTTGCTGGGACCTATTTCTCAGCGTTGTTCTCTCCCTTTTGAGAGGACGGAGTAGGTATAGAATTGTCTTGCTAATATGTCAGTGCAGGAAAATTCCATACAACCTGTTGCCTATGGAAGAGATTGGAATGAATTGTAGCAGGTGACAGGTTAACTGGTAGCAGAAACCTTTTCTGCAACATGTAAACAACTTCATCCTTTTGAAAATCGGGTCCAGGTAGTAAAAGCTGGCAGTGATTTATGCTGACCGGGCTTAGAGCTCCTCATATGCATATATAAAATACCTCTGGGCTCTGCGGGGCTTCTTAAAGAACTACGTTAGTTCTGCTCCTTCCACCTTCTTCCTCACCCTGCGTTGCTGACATATCTGAAGTGCCCGCGAGAGGAAGGAGCAGGATGTGGAGCCATCTGGAGCCGGGCAGGGTAAGCACAGGACAAGCATCTGCTGGAAACTTTGCAGAGATATCTAGTGCGCTGATTTACTGTCCTTTGGGGAGTCCATGTACAGAACCCAGATTCATGAGGAAGCCGGCATCTGGCAAAGGTTGGGGTACACAATTGTGCTTGATTATCAGGACATATGATAAATCTGTCTAGGCGTGTACTCTGTGCCAGATTGTGGATTTCTTATTTGGCCCGCATCAGCCGTCTGCCAGCAAAGCAATACAAAAGTGTCACAACAACAAACAAACAACAAACATGCCAAAAAAAAAAAAAAACCTAGACTTAGCATAGTGATATCAAAATATACAGAGTCACCTTGAAATAAAACAGTGCTTCTGAGAATATAGAAGTGAAGAGCATGCACTTTGGAATCAGACCACTACCGTTCCAGTCTGGGTTCTAGTGCATAGTAGCTGTGTGTCTGGGGGCAAGTCACTTCACCTCTCTGTACTTGTTTTCTGCTCTGTAAAAAGAGGATGATACTAATAGTACTTGCCTTTTAGAGTTATTGTGAGAAATAAGTGAAGGTTATATAAGTAAAAAGTTTAAAATAGCATCTGGAAAATTAAGCACCATATAATTTTGTGTTTGTGTTTTCTGTGGAGTACATGAGTATGCATCAAAGCTAACAACGCCCACTGCCCTGTTAGTCAAATACCTTTGACCATATCACTTCCCTTCCTTCCTCTGCCAACACCTCCACCACTCCCACCCAGACTGGCTTAGTTTCCATTGTTCCTTGAGTGTGTCCAGAATGTTGCAACCTGGGGCTCTGCATACATGCTTTCCACTTCCCGAATTATTCTTCCCACAGCTCCCTTTAGGGAGCTGGCTTCTCCTCTGTCCTCAGCCCTCAGTTTCAATGTCACTTCTTCAGAGAGGGCATTTCTGAGCACCCCATCTTTACTGAGATGCCACTGTCCACCCATAAGCATTCTCACGCCCACCTGTTTAGTTCCCTGTCATGATTTGTAGCCACAGGTGACTGGCATTTGCAGGACTTCAGTGTCAGTAAGCCACAGTCTCCACGGACCACATCCCATTCCTGTCTAATTCCCCTTTGTAGATCTAACATCCAATTCCAGCAGTGCCTGGATGGAATGAGCACTCAGTAAACACTGGTCCCCAGTAAGAATAAGCGACTCACTGACTACTGAAGGAGGTGCTTTTATAGAGTGGATTCAATATATTTCTCCCTTCTGAGGTGGTCAACCCTGATTCCTCCTAATCCCACCAGTCTCCACCCGTTTTATTTACATTGTCATAGGAATGAAAGAGAAGTTAAGGAAATAATCAAATACTTCTTTTAGAGATGAGGTGCAGCCTCACCTTCTGCATTTGGCTATCTCTGTAACTCTTTGGTAGGGGGCTATAGAGCAGGAAGCAGGGCCTATTCTTTCCCACCTGGCTGGTTCAGTGAGGACGCTTGCCATGTGGATGTGCCCCATCTACTGGTTGAATTGCGTGGCTGCATTCTTAATGATTGTAATGCCCTGTCCATTCAGACTCTTTAACAGCAGCTGAGACTGTGCTAGAGTTTGTATCACACTTTATTATCCTGCTGGCAACAAAATTAACCATGAAGTGTGATTTGCTTACAGAGCGCATGATTGAGCATCTCTAGTGTCTAAATTTTCATCAGTGTCGTACAAATTCTTTTGTGTGGGTTTTGAAAGTTTGAAGCTGTAAAGTTTCACACTAATGTCCGTGGCTTAAAATTTATAGTTTAACATCAGTTTTCACCGTTTGGTTTGTCCCCTGTGTGCATTATGTTCACCAGATTTGCATCATTTAGGGATTACCTCTCTGCAAGATGTCTCAGAGATATGAGCACCACAACCATTTTTTGGTCTTCTCTTGAGGATCTGGGTTTTTAAGACAAAAACTTCAAGGCCGGGTGCAGTGGCTCACATCTCTAATCTCAGCACTCTGGGAGGCTGAGGTGGGTGGATCACTTAAGGTCAGGAGTTCAAGGCCAGCCTGGCCAGCATGGTAAAACCCCATCTCTACTAAAAAATACAAAAATTAGCTGGGTGTGGTGGCACGTATCTGTAATCCCAGCTACTCAGGAGGCTGAGGTGCAAGAAAAACTTGAACCTGGGAGGCAGAGGTTGCAGTGAGCCAAGATCATGCCACTGCCCTCCAGCCTGGGTGACAGAGCAAGACTCTATCTCAAAAAAAAAAAAAAAAAAAAAAAAGATAAAAACTTCAGGGAGCAAATGGCATTTCCATGCTCTCCTTTCATACATACCCCCCAAAATCGGGACTTAAATTGCCTCATAAAGCTCAATAAGTAAATTGGAGAAGATAGACTTTATTGGCTTACTTAAACATAATTATTTTAAAATAACAAACTAGTCCCTGTGTTGATAAATGTTTTATATCTTAGCTGCTATGTCTGAATGCCTTGTGTAAATTATGAATTAGCTAGTAAATGGACTTCGCAAAGGATGCTCAGTGGGGCCTGTCAGCCAAGGGCTAAGTGGATAGCCTTTCTGACATTCTACTGCTTTTTAGCTGTTGTGTTGGGGACGTAGATGTCTGTAGTCTCATTGTTAGGGCTGAAAGATATGTTTCCATGAGGACCCAGCAGAGTAATAGTTCCAGTGGGTAGATGAAGGCCAGATGATTTGGAAATAAGCTCAAAATGTCCTGTGTCGAGTTTGGATAATTTTATAGCCCACATAAAACATTTCATATTAAAGTCAAATCGTTCGTCCCTATTTGGACTAATGACAGCTGCTTATTTCGACTAAGAAAGCTGCTTCCAGCATCTGAGATGAGTTGTATCTGACCTTTAGCCCCTTTACCTGTAGACCAGGGGTTACTAACTCAGATGCCTACAGGGGCCAGGTAAGTGATGTAATAAATGAATCAAGCCAGCTCAGCTTCTGCTAATTTGCCGTGAGGGAGTACAGCAGGTCCAGTGCTGCCAAATCTTCCCATTTTTCATGAGATGCCTGAAATCCGGATTTTGGCATGAAATCTCATGATTTGAAAATGTTGGCAATTAATTTAAGAAAAATGTTTAGATTCAACAGGGACTAAACCAAATATATCTGCCAGAAGGATACTGCTTGTGATTCTCCAATTTGCAACCGCAGATAGTCCCTGGCAAAGATTATCTATGTAATAGATACTCTTTCCTTTACAAAGGACATACTGAATCACCAATTATTTGAAATAGATTTAGGGGGCACAAGTGCAGTTGTCTGACATGGACATACTGCATAGTGGCGAAGGCTGGGCTTTCAGTTTGCCCATCATCTGAATAGTGGACATTGTACCCAATAGGTAGATTTCTTCTTCTCTCATCCCCCTTCCACCCTCCCACCTTGAGGAGTCTCCAGTATGTGTTCTTTCACTCTGTATGTCCATGTGTACCCATTGTTGAGCTCCCACTTCTGAGTGAGAACATGCAGTTTTTGGCTTTCTCTTTCTGAGTCATTTCACTTAGAATAATGGCCTCCAGTTCCACCCATGTTGCTACAAAAGGCATGATTTCATTTTCTTTCATTTTTTTTTTTTTTTTTTTTTTTTGAGATAGAATCTTGCTCTGTTACCCAGGCTGGAGGGCAGTAGCGTGATCTCAGCTCACTGCAACCTCCGCCTCCCAGGTCCAAGCAATTCTCCTGCCTCAGCCTCCCGGGTAGCTGGGATTACAGGTGCCCACCACCATATCCGGCTAATTTTTGTATTTTTAGTAGAGTCAGGGTTGCACCATGTGGGCCAGGCTGTTCCCGAACTCCTGACCTCAGGTGATCTGCCCACCTCGGCCTCCCAAAGTGCTGGGATTACAGGCGTGAGCCACTGTGCCCAGCCTCATTTTCATTCTATGTGTGTGCATGGCTGAGTTAGTATCCCATGGTATATACATACATACCACCATTTATTTAATCCAATCATCCATTGATGGACACTTTTCATGTTGAAAAGATGTTAAATACTATGCATATGCATATAATCAAAATATATGTTCAGTAAAACCAAAAAGCTTCCAAAGTAACAAAATAGACAGTAATATCTCAGAAGAATAAGGTTACTGGACACATTTCATTGTTGAGTATTTTTCTTTTGGCTCTTGCTTTTGATAGAAAAACCCAGAAGCAATATATGTGTATACACCATGAATGTACATTCAGTTGGGTGTGTTATACCTTTAACTTGCACTACCCTACAAGGATTCACCTAACATATCCATCTAGAAGAATCCCCCTCATACCCATACCACACTTTCCAGATTTCCAAATCAGGAGTAGTGAGAAGATCATGAAACCATCTCTCAATTATTGTTTTCTTCTTTTAAAAATACATATATATTGTGTAGTTGCTGACTTATTCTTCCTCATTTTTATTCTACAGTCTCCACTTAGCCTCCCAAGGGGAAGGTTTTGAACTAGTGGCTGGGTTTTGTGCCTCTGTTTTTGAACACTAAGTTCTAAGACACACGTCAGAGATATTGTGTGTTTGGTTCCAGACCACGAAAATAAAACAAAGAGCACAATAAAGCAAATCACATGATTTTTTCTGGTTTTCCAGTACATATAAAAGTTATATTTACACTATATTGTAGTCTATTAGGTATGCAATAACATGTCTAAAAAAACCTCAATATATATACCTTAATTTAAAAATACTTTACTGCTAAAAAAGTACTTGTGATCATCTGAGCCTTTGGTGAGCCATAATCATTTTGCTGGTGAAGGGTCTTGCCTTGTTGATGGCTGCTGGCTGATCAAGTGGTGGTTGCTGAAAGTGAGGGTAGCTGTGGCAATTTCTTTCTTTCTTTCTTTCTTTCTTTCTTTCTTTCTTTCTTTCTTTCTTTCTTTCTTTCTTTCTTTCCTTCCTTCCTTCCTTCCTTCCTTCCTTCCTTCCTGCCTTGCCTTGCCTTGCCTTGCCTGCCTGCCTGCCTGCCTGCCTTCCTTCCTTCCTTCCTTCCTTCCTTCCTTCCTTCCTTCCTTCCTTCCTTCCTTCTTTCTTTTCTTTCTTTCTTTCTTCTTTTTTTTTTTGAGATGGAGTCCTGCCCTGTCACCCAGGCTGGAGCGCAATGGCACAATCTCAGCTCACTGCAACTTCCGCCTCCCAGGTTCAAGCCATTCTCCTGCCTCAGCCTCCAAGGTAGCTGGAACTACAGGCATAGGCCACCATGCCCAGATAATTTTCTTTTTTGTATTTTTAGTAGAGATGGGGTTTCACCATGCTGGCCAGGCTGATCTTGAACTCCTGACCTCAAATGATCTGCCTGCCTCAGCCTCCCAAAGTGCTGGGATTACAGGCGTGAGCCACTGTGCCTGGCTGACAGTTTCTTAAAATAACACAACAGTGGAGTTTGCCGCAACGATTGACTCTTCCTTTCATGAGAGACTTCTCTGTAGTCTTCATGAAAGAATCGTTTTCTCCATAGAGAATGCTGTTTGATAGCATTTTACCTACAGTAGATCTTCTTTCAAAGTTGGAGTCAATCCTCTCAACCCCTGCCACTGCTTTGTCAACTAAGTTTATGTAATATTCTAAGTCCTTTGTTATCATTCCAACAATGTTCAAAGCATCTTCATCAGGAGTAGATTCCATCTCAAGAAACCACTTTATTTGCTCATCCATAAGAAGCAATTCCTCATCCATTCAAGTTTTATAAGATTGCTGCAATTCAGTCACATCTTCAGGCTGCACTTCTAATTATAGATCTCTTGCTAGTTCTACCATATCTGCAGTGACTTCTTCTGAAGTCTTGAACTCCACAAAGTCATCTATGAAGGTTGGAATCAGCTTCTTCCAAACTCCTGTTAATGTTGATATTTTGACCTTCTCCCATGAATTATGAATGTTCTTTATGGCATCTAGAATGGTGAATCCTTTCTAAAAGATTTTCAATTGACTTTGCCCAGATCCATCAGAGGAATCACCATCTCTGTCAGCTATAGCCTTATAAAATGTATTTTTAAAATAACAATACTTGAAAGTTAAAATTACTTTGTTTTTTTGAGTCAGTTTTGTTCTGTTGCTCAAGCTGGCAAGCTGGAGTGCAGTGGTGCTGTCATAGCTCACTGTAACCACAAACTCCTGGTCTCAAGTGACCCTCCTGCCTCAGCTTCCTGAATATCTGGGACTACAGGGGCATGCTGCCATCTGGGACTTTTTTTTTTTTTTGGCGGGGGGAAGTCTTGCCGTGTTGCCCAAGCTGGTCTCGAACTCCTAGGCTCAAGCAATCCTCCTGCCATGGCCTTTCAAAGTGCTAGGATGATATAGGATTATAGGTGTGAGCCACCATGCCTAGTCTGGCTGAATTTTTTGATTATAGAGATGAGGTCTTGCTATGTTGCCCAGGTTGGTCTTGAACTCCTGGCCTCAAGCATTCCTCCCACTTTGGCCTCTCAAATTGCCAGGATTACAGGCATGAGCCACTGTGCCTGGCCCCAAAATTACTTCTTGATCTATGGGCTGCAGAGTGGGTGTTGTGTTAGCATGCATGAAAACAACATTAATCTTACACATCTCCATTAGAGCTCTTGGGTAACTAGGTGACTTGCCAACGAACGCAATATTTTAAAAGAAATTTTTCTTTCTAAGCCGTAGGTCTCAACGGTAGGCTTAAAATATTCAGTTAACCATGCTGTAAACAGATGTGCTGTCATCTAGGCTTTATTGTTCCATCTATTTATAGAGCACAGGCAGAGTAGATTTAGCTTTAAAGCTAAATATACAGCTTTTAAGTTAATTCTTAAGGGTCCTAGGATTTTTGGAGTGGTAAATGAGCATTGGCTTCAACTTCAAGTCACCAGCTGCATTAGCCTCTTAAAAGAGAGTCAGCCTGTCCTTCCAAACCTTTACACCAGTCATTGATTTCTGTTCCCTAGCTATGAAAGTCATAGAAGGCATCTTCTTCCAATCTAAGGCTATTTCATTTACGTTGCATGTCTGTTGTTTTGTAAAGCCACCTCATCAATGATCTTATGGATAACTTGCTGCAGCTTCTAGATCAGTACTTGCTGCTTCACCTTGCGCTATTATGATATGGAAATGGCTTCTTTTTTAAAGCCTCATGAGCCAACCTCTGCTAGGTTCAAACTTTTCTTCTGTAGCTTCCACATTTCTCTCTGTCATCATAAAATTGAAAAAGCCTTGGCCAGGCGCGGTGGCTCACGCCTGTAATCCCAACACTTTGGGCGGCCGAGGTGGGCGGATCATGAGGTCAGGAGATCGAGACCATCCTGGCTAACACGATGAAAACCCGTCTCTACTAAAAAAAAAAAAAAAAAAAAAAAAATTTAGCCAGGCGTGGTGGCTGGCGCCTGTAGTCCCAGCTACTCGGGAGGCTGAGGCAGGAGAATGGCATGAACCCGGGAGGCGGAACTTGCAGTGAGCAGAGATCACGCCACTGCACTCCAGCCTGGGCAACAGAGCGAGACTCCGTCCCCCCACAAAAAAAAAAAAAAAGAAAAAGCCTTACTCTGCTTTGGCTTAAGGGGAATGTTGTGGATGGTTTGCTCTTCTAGGCAGACCACTAAAACTTTTCCAAATCAGCAATAAAGCTGTTTCTCCCTCTTATCATTCATGTGTTCACTGGAGTAACACTTTTAACTTCCTTCAAGAACTTTTCCTTTGCATTCATGACTTGGCTGTTTGGCATGAGAGGCATAGCTTTCAACCTGTCATGCCTTTCAACATTCCTTCTTCACTAAGCTTAATCATCTCTAGCCTTGGATTTAAAGAGAGATGCGGCCGGGCATGGTGGCTTACGCCTGTAATCCCAGCACTTTGGGAGGCCGAGGCGGGTGGATCACCTGAGGTCGGGTGTTTGAGACCAGCCTGGCCAACATAGTGAAACCCTGTCTCTACTAAAAATACAAAAAATTAGCCAGGCATGGTGGTGAGCACCTGTAATCCCAACTACTCAGGAGGCTGAGGCAGGAGAATCGCTTGAACCTGGGAGGCGGAGGTTGCAGTGAGCCGAGATCGCACCATTGCCCTCCAGCCAGGGTGACAGTGTGAGACTCCGTCTCTAAATAAATAAATAAAGTGAGAGACGTGTGACTCTTCCTTTCACTTGCACACTTGTAGGCCATTGTAGGGTTATTAATTGGCCTAATTTCAATATTTTTGTGTCTCAGGGAACAAGGAGGCCCAAAGAGAGAGGGAGGGGAAATGGCTGGTTGGTAGCATAGTCAGAACACACACATTTTTCAAGTTCACCATCTTAATATGGGTGAGTTTTGTGACATCCCAAAACAATTACAGTAGTAACATATCAAAGAGCATTGATCACAAATCACCCTAACATACAATAACAATAAAAGTTTTGAAATATTATGAGAATTACCAAAATGTGATAGAGACAGGAATTGAGCACGTTGTTGGAAAAATGGTGCCGATAGACTTGCTTAGGGTTGCCATAGACCTTCAATTTGTTAAAAACAAAAACAAAAACTCAAGATCTGCAAAGTGCAATAAAGTGAAGCTAGGCCCATATTTACAACTAGCTGAGCAGACCTGCCACTTAGTTTGGTGTTTTAGGTTTGAGATGATTTCCGACAACTTTACATGTGCTTAGCATCCTATCAAAGCAGTGGGGAGAGAGGATATGACTGCTTTATCTTATCCAGAATGCAGCAATCAGAAAACCTATAAACAAGCCATTTTAATGTCAGCATAGCATACATATAAGTTCTGCATTTTAAGGTTTAGTAGTTCATTATTTGAATTACTCATTGCAATGGGCACCAAAATCTTTTCAGTGCTCATTGCTTTGAAAGATTTCATTTATACCTATTTCTCCATATGGCATCAAAACTGCTGGTAAAAAAAATGCAAGTGAAGTTCAGCAGCATCTACTTCAGATTCAGAGGGCTATGTTCAGGTTCTAGTTATGCTTCTCTGGCTATATAACTCTGGGCAAATTATCACATCTCTGTCAGCCTTGGTGTGCAGCTGTGAAATGGGACCATAGTATTAGTGTTACAGATTGTGACACTTAGGACGCAATACTGTATGTAATTAGCATAGTGTTCAGCGAATGAGTGTGCTCTCAACAGTGTGGCTGTTATATCATCATTATCATTGTTATTTCTACATGCTAAGGTATTATTTTATAAACATGTTTTATATTATTGGCAACAAGCCTTTCCTTTAACACTTACCAGCAGCTTTCTTTTTCTATGCAGGACTTTGATTTAAAGATGAAAAATGTATTTGGTGGTCTTTAAATATATATATGGTGTGTGTGTGTATGTGTGTGTGTGTGTTTTCTCCCCCTACTGCCCTCTCCAACTTTTTCTTCCAGTTTTTTTCTAAGAGATTAGCAGCCTTAAAGTTAGAGGTGGCAATGGTTTGGCCTGGTCTACCTTCACAATATGATCCTTACTTTGCTGCATCGGAGGTCCCTGGGTAGGTCCTGTAATCCCTAAATTAGTCTAGGAGGCAGATGGATGAAAATAGTGTCTTTGCTGGATGAAGCCCAGTTGTGGCTTTTCCTTTGTTCCCAGCTCCAATCCAAACTAATGCCTTAATAACTGAAATTCCCTTCTTTACCTCTCTTACCTTAACAACTATTAGAGTCAATGGGAAGGACTTGTCACCATAGCAGAAAGATGTCATCTTAGGGCTTCTCCTGGCCTGTAGGACCTCGGCCCAGGCCTCATAGCAGTGAGTACTTGAAGAAGGGCTGAGGCCAGCGCTCCTGGGCGTTCTTCCTGTGAGCAGCTTCCTCCCCTGAGTGTACCATCCCAGCAGAAGCTCACTGCTACTTCATCATAAGGCTGCCTCTTTCTGCAATTAAGTCATTTCAGTATTTTCTAACATGGTTTTCCTTCTTCGTAGAGATGCTCAATGTTAGGACAAAACACAGGCATTCAAACTGCTCATAGCATTTAGGGAGTTAGGGAATTTGGCTTTTAATTACCATCAAAATGTGATTATTTAGAGACTCAGCCCCATTTCTACAGAGCCTGTAGAATTTTGCGGCAATAGGAAAGGGGCTTATAAATAAGTGCTAAAAATGTGAGTTGCCAGGTTTCCAGGGAAGAGCAGATAAGATGAACTAGAACAACTTGAAGTATCTTTCATTAACTCTAATCAAGTTGTTAAGGCTCTTTTCTGATGCAGCTTTACTATCTGTAACGTGGGTCAATGTCCGTTGCCTTAGTTATTGCTTAGCAGGTATGTGGAATCTGGAATGCTCTGATATGATCAACATGTTTAACTGAATGAAAGTGTTTATCCATCCAGACACGTGATTCTCCTGCCTCAGCCTTCCGAGTAGCTGGAATTACAGGTGCACACCACCATACCTGGCTAATTTTTATATTTTTAGTAGAGAGGGGGTTTCACCATGTTGGCCAGGCCAGTCTTGAACTCCTGACCTCAAATGATCTGCCCTCCTCAGCCTCCCCAAGTGCTGGGATCACAGGCGTGAGACACCATGCCCGGCCTCAGACATCCAGTCTTTAATCATTTTTCCAGGCAGCATGGAGTCCTAACCTTTGTTTTGCAAACCATCCGATGGATTTAGTCTACATCACAGCAAAATATTTTTGACTTTTTGAGATGACTAATTATGGTACACATACTTCGTTTTCCCAAAAGTACTTTAAATTTCTTGATGACTTTTGCATCTACTGTCAGCACTGCTCAAAGCACTGCATTCTGAACCCCAGTCCTGCTGGACACTTAGCGCTTAGGTTTCAGCTTCGTCCCCACCCCCTGACTAGGTCAAGTTCCTCTACCATGTGTGCTCTCACAGAACCATGAGTCTCTCCTTGGAACTACTATAGCTGTTGATTTTATTATATGATTAATTATTTACTATCAGTCTCCCTACGCAAGACAGTGAATTCCATAATTCTGAATGGTAAAGGAACAGGATTTTTTATTTTGCCCACCATTGTATCCTGACAATAGAATGCCTGGTGCTTAGTGGGTACGTAATAAGTGCTATTGGTAAATGGATGGATGGATGAATGAATGGAATCTCATTGTCTCCTGCAGTATTTGTTTTATGTCTCTTCCCAATTTTGTCCATATGGGCTTAAAGACCTGCACACATAGTAGAGACTCCACAAGCTTATTAGGGAACTAAAATTCATGTTGTGGGTCTTGGCACCAAAGCCTCATGATGGATTGGGAAACTAAGAGTCATATAAAGTCTTAGGAAGAGGCCTTGAAGTTTCTATGTTCCATTGGTGGTCCTGGCTGAGATAAATATAGCAAATGAACAGGCATTTATTTCTCACCTGTTCTATCAAGTCCCCAAAACCTGGAAGTAGTGTGTGAGATGGGGCTGACCCTGGGAAAGATGTTATCTCTTATTCAGAGCCACATAAAAGCTCTCTCCCCATGTCAGGCACATCTTTGGTTAGAAGACATAAATTAGTCCCTTGCATTTCATAGTGGTTCTCATGGTGTCCCTCATGACAGAGCTCACTTAGCTAGCCAATGGGACATCTCCAAAAAGCATTATGGAAAGGAGGCAACGTGCAATTGTGTACAATAACTTGGGTCCTGAAGTCACAATGCCTCAGTTCAAATTATACCCACCTGCTTATTAAGTGAATTTAGACAAATTAGGTGTAATCCTCAATTTCCTCTTCTACAAAATGGGAGATATAATGCTACTTACTTCATAGGATTTTTGGAAGAGCAAATGGCCAAATGGACATAAAGTGCTTTGCAGAGAGTTGGGCATGTAATAAGTTCTCAATAAATGTTAGCTAGAGTTATTACCACCATTTTTATTCATTGAAGGAGTTTCATTGCAATCCCAAGCCAGTCCCTATGGATGCCCTTCCATTCCAACCCTTTTCAGACTATACTGGGGCCCATGTTGTCCCCTGCCCTTTCAGCCCACATGACTTTGGCCCAGGCTTTTACTACCAGGGCCCAAACACAGTGTCCAAGAATGGCACCAATTATACTGCATATTGCTGTATATTATTTTATCCAGCACTGTGAAGGCCAACCTGAACTGCCTGAAAAATCTTTGTCATTTAGTGGTTTAGGGTATGTGCACCCTCCATACAAATGCATTAAATAAATTAAATAATGGTGTGTGTGTGTGTGTGTGTGTGTGTGTGTGTGTCCAGCTAAATTGCACTGCTTTCTTAGATCATTTAAGCACACTTAATCTAATGGAACATGGTAGGATTTCAGCAGCTTCTGAATAGAAGTTGGAGAGAAAAAAAAAAATCCGAAACGTGGCACCAACTAAAACCCCCATGTAGTTATTTAAGGCAGCTTAAGCACTTCTGTGGAAACTGGGCTCCGTTGAAGAAATAGCCACTCCTCTTACAGAATGAAACCTCACTTTTTTTTTTTTTGTCTTTTTAAAAATTCTTCCTTGTATTTTTAGATTTTGGGTGAGAATGGGACTCTAAATCTATTTTCAAGCTTTCTTTTCCTTTCTCTGCTCACTCAGAATTATTCTTTTTATCTTGGTTCTGCCCCTGGTGATATCTTGGGTAAGTTACTTGACCTCTCCTGGCTGCTTTTTTTCATCTGGATATTTGGACTGGATGATCTTTGTGGTGCCTTCCAGCTGTTAACATTTGTTTGATTTTATGATTCCCTCCCTTGTTATTACAGAAAGCACAAGTGTTGTGCCTTAAGCATAAGATAGGAAAGTATCCCTTGATCAAGTTGAAACATCTCCACTTTCTAAGTTCCAGGACTCTTAGTTTGAGCTTAGAGAGTTACAGTTGTTTCCAGGCAGTTTTTTGTGCTAAGGGTGGTTTGGGTTTTATTTCTGTTTTTCTGTAGACCTTATTGGATATATGACCATTTGGTCTTGGTAGATAATATTGTGTCCTGACACACACCAATGGTCTACCCTTGGGGTGTTTTGGAAGCCTGCAGGCAGGGTCCTGAGGCTGCCTGAGTCACTGTTAATGAACCAAACTGCCTGAAATGCTCCAATGGTTGACTTTTGGCACTTGGCAGAAAAATCCTTTTCATGTTAGTTTCAAGGTTGTCAGATATCATTATCCCCAAGTATTAAAAATTTCAAAGAAAGGAGGCAGTGTGTTTGATTTATAGAATAGTTATCTAGCTTTAGCTCTGACTTGGCTTTGGAAATGGTTTTGCAAGCACTAGAAAATTAAATCCATTTTTTATGGCACTACAAGGTATTATCTCACAGCAAATGATAATTAAACACCTGTGAAATCAATTAGCCCTTTAAGCAGGGAAAAAAAGTTTTCCAATTATGTTTTCACACCTCCAAAACTTTTATAATTCCAAAACCAACACTTGTGGAGAGGGATATGGTCGACTGGCCGTTGCTGGGTTAACTTTCCATAAAGATTATCCCTAAATTTTGCTTAGCCTTAATCCTGAGGAAGGCAGTTTGTGATACCAGCATCCTTCCAAAGAGACTGCAATCGCCTTTAGAGCTGACTCTTAGCAGCTATCTATCTGACACACAGCGGAGCTGTCAACGACTCAACAAAGGAAGTTACTCACTTTGTGTTTTGATGCCAAGTTTTACTTGACAGTTTATTTAAAAGCCAAGATACCTTAATGGAAACCAAGCAACAAGAATTCCATGTGACAGAAATGCTGTCCCATTAAGGGCCCCGTAGCCAAGAGTTCTGAGCCATCTACATTACAAATTCATACTCTAAAAACAGACTGATTGGTTAATAGCTGAAACCCAATACAATGGAAAACTGGGACTCATGGCCAGCCATTCAGCCCCACAGTATCATGTGTGTTTAATCACCGGCTTTGGTAACAAATTAGCTATTCCAGATGCTTCTTTTGGAAAATGATCTATACTTCTGAAGCAGTAGATGGATTTTGGGTATATGCCATAATAATTTGGGACGCAAAGAAAAGGCAAAAGAAACATAACAATGCCAGGCCTTTGACATCTTCTGCATTTTACCTCATATGTACAAAAACTGTTCCAAGAAAATTTTTGGCCTCATCCTTTCTAATATTCATAAATGCTTTAGTTATTAATTTGTGCAGGGTTTCATTGTATCACTTTACATAAACATCTCTAAAGATGTTCTTTAAGAAATTTCTTCTGCAGACATTTTTATTGGGCTCTTGCTTTCATAGCAGATGGCATTTGGAGAACTTGACGAATCATACCATTAACTAGAGAGAGAAAGCTAGCGTCGTATAAAACAAAGATGAAAGAAAACTTCTCTATATCCTTTTAGAAACTTGTCATATGAATTATCCCTGCAAACATTGCCAGCAGTTCAGACACTTTATGACCTAGGCTTTATAAACCCATGAGGAATGGGGTGAGTGTTGAATAATCTGACATAGGTTCAACAAATATTTCCTAAAAGATTACTGTGGGCCAGGCATAGTACAGGGTCTGGGGTCACAGTGGTGAATAAGAACAGGAACACTCCCTTCTCTCATGCAGTATACATTACATTTGGGGAGAAAGAAGGTAAGCCAGTAAAACAAATACATGTGTGAATTCTGACCTTGGTAAATGCCAGGATGGAGATGAAACAGGGCAACAGAAAGAGAGTGCCAGGAGCACAGGTTGGTCTGTGCTGGCCTCTCTGAGAAGGGGCTATTTGAATGCTTATAGGCAGCTTGAGAGACATCCTGGAGAAGAATTCCAGGCAGAGGGCACAGCAAGTGCAAGTGCAAGAGATAGAAGTTAGCATTCTCTGTCAAGAAATTGAGAGCCGGACTTTGTAGCTGTAGATGGTGACTGAGGATGGGGCAGTCAGAGATGTGGGCAGAGGCCAGTTCTCATGGGACCCAGTCGGCCAAGGTGTAGGGCATGATTATTATTCTAAGTGCCAGGAGGAGCCACTGGAGGGTGTTCAGACTGGGGGGGTGACATTTGAAAGTTGTCTTTGGCTGCTCTATAGACTATGGACTGCAGGAAGATACGATTGAACTCATTCTGTTTAAAACTAGTAAGAACCAGAGTATGGTTTCTGTTGCTCTGTTCATGCACGCTTGAGCTGAAGGAGGAATGGGATTAAGGAGGTATAGGAAGAAGGGTGTGAGGAGACTCTGGCTGTCACTGAATTGCAAAATCCATGAATGGGCAGCTCCTGGAGTACTCTTGCTTCATGGCGTCCCAGTGCTCAGAGTGCTACCTGACATGTAGGGCCTGCTCAATACTCCTTTGTCCAGTGAGTAAATATCAGGGCATGAAGGCATCCTTTGGGCCATCTGGTCCACCTCTCCTCAATCCAGTGCTTAAATTTTCTTTCTGTCCCACAGCCTCTTTCCAGAATGAGAGTGCCAGGGAGCTAGCTGGCTCTGTCTGCTTCTCAAAGGAACTGTGGGAAGCATGGCCAGCTGGAGGAGGAGGAGGGAGAGGTGATTCAGCTCCACAGACCATCTTCCCCAGGGTACTGTTGTACTTCTGCCTAAGGAAATGGCAGAATCTAGACTTGTGGGCCTCTCTAATCCCTAAGGACTCAACCTTCATGCAAAGATATTCCTGTAAATCAATAATATGTGGCATCAAATCTTCAACCATAACCCAAATGTTATGTCCCATGGATACACCCATGTATCTCTACATTTATGCATTCACATACCCAGACGGGAAAGATTAAACTTTCCATAGACAACTAGCTTCATGCAGCGTTCATAGTAAGTTGGGTGTTCTAGAATTTTTTGTGAATGTGCTATATCAGCCTACACAGAGTTCTGAGGTCTTGTTTGTGTATTCGGTACCAAAGGCTCAGGAGTGAGGTGGCAGCCCTGACTGTCAAAGTCACAAGGCAGAGGCTAGTGATGCAACAGTGGGAGAGAAAATGGGAAGGTGAGGTTGGTGGCATCAGCTGACATTCCACAAACTGTCATTGGATTCTCAAGATATTTTATAACCACTTAAGTGCAGGGGCCAGACAAAAGGATTAAACACTGACAAGAATGCAGGTCACGGGACAGACTCTGCACAGTGCCTGCCCTGGGGGTGAGAACAGTAGGAATGCCAAACATCCTCCTAATCCGAGGCCTGATCCAGGCTGGCCTTGCTGGAAAGGATATCTTGGATCAAGAAGGGAAGTGGTCAGACATTGGTTCGAGCTCAGTTTTCTGTGCAGAGGGAGGGAGTCATTGCTTTTTGGACTGGTGCAGGGTTTGTCATTGCAGAAGCCATGAGGAGGTTCTACAGCTTTTTATTCTTCAGTTCAGACATGGAGGAAGGCCAGGAGAAGGTTCAGTTTGAACCGCACTGTGCATGCATTTAACTTGATTTACAAATAATGCTATTTGTCAGGGCTGGTGAAACACAAATTTTCTACCCTCATCAGCGTGCAGGGAGAAAATGACATTTTTAACAAGCTGCCAGACCTGTAGAAATAAAAACAGAGAAGGGATTTTAAAATGTACAAAAGGAAGACTAAATAAATAACACGATTTTTCATTCCCCAAGTAAATTGGGCTTGGTGTAAGCATAGGAATGAACTCATTCTTGGAAGAACCCAGCATAAATCAAGAGTTGGGCATGTGTTTGTTAAAGTGGACATTGTTGTAATGAAGGGCTTGCATCTTATCTTTGTTATCTTCTTGCTTCCATAGCCCCTGTACACTTTAATGCAAATTGGTGGACACTGAGCACCTTACATTCATTTAACAACTCTTTTTTTGAGTAGTTACAGTAGGCCGGCCCTTAAGGTAGTTGTTGGGTCAACAGAAAGTAGGACCAAGGTCCTGTGTCCCGGAATCCAGGGGAAGGAAATGAGAAAAATGGGCAACTTAATACAGAGTGAGCAATAGAGAGTTAGCACAGGGTTCCCAAACTCCAGGGATCAGGGAAGCCTTCCTCTAGGCAGCAGGAGTGGAAGTTAAGAAAAAGAAGGAAAGAGGGGCATGTAGGGAAGAAGTGCTCCCTCCACAGCCAGCCTCCTGGGACTCAGATTGTCCTAGGTGGGGAGCTGACACCCTTAGAACAGACACACTGCGCTGCCCACCCCTATCCTGGTCTTCTCGGGCTGCTGTCCATACTTCCTGGCTCCATTCCACTTAACCAGTCCCATTGGCTTAGAGCCTGGCGAAAGGTAGTTAATGGTAAGATAATGACCTCAGGCTTCCCCATCACCATTGGGCCTGTGTGTGACTCTTCTGGACCCATTTATCCATCTGAGTTCACTGTTGCTGCTGGCTCTTTTATTGTTAATCCCCTCTTTTCCCCCTGCACCCCCTCCCTGCCACTGTACTCAGGTAGCCCTTTATTTAGCATTTTCAAAAACGTTTTGTTTTGAACCAGAGAATTTAGGCCCATGTGTCTTGGAATTGCATTTCTCTGAGAAGAGTTTTGGAAGTGGGTATTGCTGTGTATAAAAGCTGGTGCTGGCCAGGCACGATGGCTCACGCCTATAATCCCAACACTTTGGGAGGCCGAGGCAGGTGTATCACTTGAGGCCAGGAGTTCAAGACCAGCCTGACCAACATGATGAAACCCCATCTCTACTAAAAATACAAAAATTAACTGAGCATGGTGGCACACACCTGTAGTCCCACCTACTTGGGAGTCTGAGGCACAAGAATCACTTGAACCCAGGAGGCAGAGGTTTTAGTGAGCTGAGATCATGCCACTGCACTCCAGCCTGAGCAACAGAGCAAGAAGACTCTGCTCAAAGGGGGGAAAAAAGAAAAAGCTGGTGCTGCAAAACCTCTCCTCTTTCAGAAAGCTTCCTGAGATTAATGTCATGGGCACGATGTATTAAATGTCTCTTATTTTCACCTTTGCTGGCACCTCGTTACTCTTTCCTCCTAGGTAGGTTGAGAGATGACAGAGCTGGTCGTGGATCCCATCCTCCTTGCACAAACCGAACAAAACCTGTGACACTTTACTTCATCATCTGTAAACTGGGGTCAGTAGCACCTATTCTCCATGATGGTGGTAAAGATAAGGCACAGTAAAGATTACAGATTGTGCAGCTCAGTGCCCCACCCACAGGAAATGCTTAAAAAGTGGAGGTATTGTTGTTATTATAATTTATATCTGGCCAGGCATGGTGGCTCATGCCTGTCATCTCAATACTTTGGGGACTGGGAAGGATGTGGGAGGATCACTTGAGGCCAGGAGTTCAAGACCAGCCTGGGCAACATAGCAAGACTCGTCTCTATAAAAAATTAAAATTTAAAAAAAGTTTTTAAAAAGTTGTTATTAATAGCTATCTTTTATTTATTTTTTTTTTTTACTTACTTTTATATATTAGCCATTGAGCTGTTATTTAATGAGCAGGAATTCAGATGGTCATCTTTTACCCCTCTTGAAGTATGAGCTACACCTGGTACATGTTGTGTTCATTAATATACACAGGTAGCAATTACCACTTGGGCTAAGTTTAAGGTTCTGAACTGTCAGTAGACATTTAACCTAAGGATGGGGGGTGGAGTTTAGAGTTGATAAGAGATTATGACCTGGCGTGTTCAGTCAAGATGTTTGAGTCCAAGGACTCTTCTGACTCCCTCATCCCTGTGAAAGACAGGTGTATCTTTCCCCACGTCCCCAGTGGTTGTGAGGCTGTCATGAGATCATGGATATGAGAGTGAATGCCTCCCATAGGGGTTTCATGCCTCAGCCCCAGCCCACAAAATGTTATCTGCCTCCCTTCCCTATGCTGAAATGGATTTTAAGAGGACATGAAAAGGAGACTCTCTTCTGTGGAAAGCCAAGAAGTGTGAAAGGGTGAATATAAATTCCTGGCCCTGGTTTTAGCCACGCACTGCTCTCTGCGGTGGACAGCTTGGGATCAGCAGCCTCAGACTGAGGAGCGTCACAAGGAAATAAATTCTTAATCCTTGGCATGACTGGGGAGGTGGGGAGTGGTGTGGCAGTTCTAACAGCAGGCAATGCTCAAGGCAAAAAACTGTCTTGAGTAAGGAATTGTACCACCTCCAAATAGCGAGTGCCTTCCTGCTTGGGGACGCCAAGCATCCCTGAAGCTGCAGCCAACCTGGTCAGCCAGTCCCAGAGCCTAGCACTGCACATTTGCATAGCTCATTTGTACTATAGCAGCTCATTTGTGTGCACAGAGACTCTGTGTGAGTAGGTGTCATGGAGAAACTGTGGCTCCTTAAGTCCAGAGAATTCTCAAAGACACCAGGGACCTATACTTTTCCATATTCTATGTTTTCAAGTCTCCTAATTGAGATGGAACAGTGGCCAGTTGGACCCATTTTCCAGCTAAAAGATTGGTTCCCACTTATATATGTTTCTCAGTTCAAATCTTTGCCTTGGGCAATTCCGTACGACTGCATGCTGTAAACTTCAGTTTTCTCAAAAATAACTGAAATTTTAGGCCAGGTATGGTGGCTCACTCCTGTAATCCCACCACTTTGAGAGGCTGAGGTAGGAGGATCACTTGAGCCCAGGAGTTCAAGACCAGCCTGGGCAACAAAGTGAGACCCCATCTCTACAAAAAGTTTAAAAATTAGCTTGACATGGTGGTACATGCCTGTAGTCCCACCTACTCAGGAGGCTGAGACAGGAGGATTGCCTGAGCCCAGGAGGTCGGGGCTGCAGTGAACTGTGATCTCACCACTGCACTGCAGCCTGGGTGACAGAGCAAGATCTTGTCTCAAAATAATAATAATAATAATAATAATAATAATAGTAATTGAAATTTTAAACTGTTAAACCTTTAAAGGCCAAGGAAGGGTCTAAGGCAACATGGTTAGTAAATAGATGACAGAGTACCTTCTTAAACTGAGCTCCTGGTAGTGATCTGGGGTGAAGTTTTGAATGGGAGAGAAACAGCCCTTTTAAATTGGCAACGAATAGCCCATGCTTGAAACTAGGTGAACTGCTTAGGACCTGGCTTCATAAGACATGTCAGTTTTAGACACTGCATGTTGTATGGGCTGACCAAGGAGGCAATGTGATGTAATGGAAAGAAAATGGGATTTAGAATGAGAAATCCAGGAGTTGGAACACAGGCTGGTTGGTCCTAGCTGTGACCTGCATTGGAAGGGTTTTTGAGGTCTCCAAACTTAATTGCTTCTCTATGAAATTGGGTTATATGAAGTCCTGAGAACACCATTGGTACCATGTCATTCTTCTGCTCAAGCCCTTCAGTGACACCCCAGTCACCTGCAAGGGATCATCTCTGAGCTCTAGGAGATGTCATAGAAAGCCTTCCTAGTGGCAACCCACCAGTAACAGCAGCCCACACCCCCATACCTTCCCCTCCCCAAACTGGGTGGTTTCTCTCACCTTGGTGCCTTTGTTCCTGCTATGCTATCTCTACCCCCAGGAATTCCCATCACCTCCTCTTACCCCTGTGCCTGGTTGCTTCTTGTACATCCTTTAAGATTTAGCTCAGGGTCTCACTTCCTCCAGGAGGCCTCCCTGCCTACATGTGGCCATTGCTTCTCTTCTCTGTATAACACCCACCTCTACCTCATGTCCAATCCTAGCACTCCTCTCGCTGACTAATCATCATTTGATAACACATGTTGTTTATTCTGGACAGTGAGCTCCCTGAAGAGTGCCTGACACATGGTAGACATTCAACTAATGCTTGGTGAATGAATGAAAAAGGCGCAAGGAGGTGCTCAAAGGATGTTAATTTCATTTCTCTCATCCCCATGCACTTTAGAGAACTACAACAGTCATAAATTATTTTTATTTTCTTTCTTTCTTTTTTTCTTAAGGGATATTATTCAAACTTGTGTATAAGGAAAGATTAATTACTTATGAGGATGGGGACTGGAGGGAGTAGATCAGCTGTAGATGTTAAGTTACTTTATGAATAAATACTTGAGACAAACTGTGACAACATCATGGGGAGGCTAGAATTGTGTGAGTACAGAGATGAGAGGCTGGATCACTTGTTTCTTCCCTATCGTCTTTGGTTAGCAAAAAGCAGGTTCACTTGGCAAATATGCGTGCTACAGAGGGATTGTGGGAGCCACAGGAGGACCTGTGAGCACAGTGCACCAGCAACATCCTTGTCTATGTAGCTTTTGATAATAAGGCAAAAGCCTTCAATTAGAAGCTGCTGTTCTGTTGTGATTCACAGCTTCTGTTTCCATTTTACTTTAAAGGGTCTGTTCCACATTTGTCTCTTGGCTCTGTCTTTGGGATACTGGTGTAGTTTTCATTCTTTTTAATTGTTACTAGGGGTTTTAAAAATGTTTATATCCCTCTTATTCTGATATAATTTACCATAATAACTTGCAATTGCATAGTGCTTTGCCATTTATATTCAATGTACATGATTTCATTTGATCTTCAAAACTTTGAGGTTTGGAGAAGTTGAATGATTTGCTGGGGTTACACAGGAAGTGGTAGATCAAGAACCCAAATTCCTTAGCCCAGATTTTCTAACTTGAAGCTGGCTGTGTTTTCCATTATGTTCTGTTATCTTCCTTCAGTCATAATGATAATAGCTACCTTTTATGGTTTGCTTATAATATGCTCGTGCTTTGGTTAAAATGTATCACTTAATCCTCACAGTATAAGTATTATCCCCATTTTGCCAACCAAGAAACTAGGATTAAACAAATTAAATAACTTTCTCAAGATTACTCAGTTTATAAATTGAAAAGCTGGAATTCGAACCCAGGTTTTGCTGTGTCTGAAGCTGCCTAACCACTAAGCTTTTAATTACTAAGCTCTTAACTATGGTGCCAGTGGTTCTGAAAATTTAGGGTGCATCATAATTATCCAGAGGGCTTGTTAAAACACAGAATTCTGGGCTCTTCCCCCAGAGTTTCTGATTCAGCAGGTTTGGGTGAGGCTGAGAATTTGCATTTCTACCAAGTTCCCAGATGATGCAGATGTTGCCACTGATTGGAAGAACACACTTTGAGAACCCCTGCTCTATGCTACACTCCCCCATCTTTCCCAGTTGCACAGAATGGCTGCCAGCAAAAATGTGTTTCCTACAGAGGGGCAGGACTTCAATTGTGCATTATTGCATAGTCCATTTTAAATGGGGTGCATCCCATACATTGTTCAATACAACTTTAAGTATAAAATGATTATGGCCATAGAGTGGTACTAGTGTCTAGGTTAAATTCAAGGTCATGTCATTTTTATTGCATTTTTCTTTGTAGTCGTTTGTGAAAATTCTTCTACCTTTTGTCCTTCTTTACCTACACGTGGGGAACTTAATGCCCATCTGAAAAGGGTAGCAAAACCATTTATTAGAGTGGCAAATTATCTGGGGTTAGTTGTCTCCCTCACCTACTTACCTTCTTGCTTAGGATATCATATGTTTCTTTTAAGTAGTGTGTGATTATGTGATTCACATTTCTAAACATAAGAAACGAGGGAGAATTAGTCCATCTTAAAACACTGTGTCCCCCCATTTGACCTCTCAAGTCTCCCTGTCTTTCCTCCTCCCCCCAACCAATGGCAACCTCTAAGTGTTCTTTATCCCTGTAACTATGTGATTTCATGAATGTCATATAGAAAGGATTCAACAGTATGTACACTTTCGAGGGTGACTTTTTAATGCAGCATAATTTCCTTGAAGTTGTCGTGTGTATCAATAGTTTGTCCCACTTTATTGCTGAGAAGGATTGTAGGCTATGGATGTACCACAATTTGTTGAATCATTCACACATTGAAGGACATTTGGGTAGTTTCCAGTTTAAGGTTATTACAGACAAACTGCTGTGAACATTTGTGGACAAGTTTCTGCGTGAAAATAAGTTTCCATTTCTCTGGGATACATGCCCAAGAGTGCAATTACTGGGTCATATGGTAAGTCCATTTTTAGTTTGAAAAGGAACTGCCAAACTATTTTTCGAAGTGGCTGCACCGTTTTACCTTCCTGCTAGAAATGTATGAAGGGTTCTAATCTCTTTACATCCTCATCAGCACTTGCTCTCATCTGTCATTTTGCTTATAGCCATCCCAGTGGGTGTAAAGTGGTATCTCATTCATTGTAGTTATGATTTGCTTTTCCCTAGTGACTATTGATGTTGAATATATTTTCATGTGTTTAGCAGCACTTTGTGTGTCTTCTTTGGAAAAATGTTTATTCAAATCCTTAGCCTCTTTTAAAGTTTGATTATTTATCTTTTTATTGTTGAGTCAGAAGAGTTCTTTATGTATTCTAGATGAAAGTCCCTTATCATATATGATTGGCAAATACGTTCTCTCTTTCTTTTTTTTTTTTTTCTTTTTGAGATAGAGTTTCGCTCTTGTTGCCCAGGCTGGAGTACAATGGCACTATCTTGGCTCACTGCAACCTCCACCTCCCAGTTTCAAGTGATTCTTCTTCCTCAGCCTCCCAAGTAGCTGAGATTACAGGCATGTGCTACCATGCCCAGCTAATTTTGTATTTTTAGTAGAGTTGAGGTTACACCATGTTGGCCAGACTGGTTTCAATCTCCTGACATCAGGTGATCTGCCTGCCTGGGCCTCCCAAAGTGCTGGGATTACAGGTGTGAACCACCATGCCCGGTGGTTCTCTCTTTCTGTAGGCTCTTTTTCACTTTCTTGATGGGACCTGGGGGGATGGAGAGCCCAGCCTTCCTGACTGCACTGCCCCAGAGTAAAGCTCCTGTAAGGCAGAGCTAGTAGGGGTTGGTCATGGAACAGGTCAGGGACCAGATGCCACAGACTCTCATGGTTCTTGCCAAGATTTGGTAGATTTTCTTGGGTGACTGTTTCTCTATTTGTCATTATCCCCTTAGGACAATTCTCAGAGACTTAAAATGTTTTTATGATTGTTACTAAATTGCTGTTTTGCTGGGGAGAGTGGCCACAGACTTCTTTGTGTATCTTCTGAAAGGTCGGCCTTCTATAATCTCCTCTTATAATGCAAATACTCCCAGGAGATGTTTATATCTTAAATTCTCATCTCATCAGCATTTTCTCATTGTCAGGTGCTTCTTTGGTAGCTCCAGCAACTAGAGAAGACCTTCTCTGGACTCTATCTGTTGAAATGGGACAGTGTCTGAAACATAGTATTTCTTGAAAGAATGAATGAATAAATGAGTGGATTTAAGCATCTACAAGGAGGTTGATGTGCAGTGTGAAAGAGCATCACAATGGGCTGAGTAGGAGAGGATCAAGCACGTGGTCAAACTAGAATAGTTGTCTGCCCACTTGTGGGGCATCATTCTTCCTTCAGGTAGAACATGTTAGTAATTCATAGATTGACTGTCCAGAGAGTAGAATAGAGAGGCTGGTTCACAGGCTGAGCATGCATAGAAATCTGAATGAAAATCATTGTTCTAAGGTATGAGTGTACATGTTCTGTATGAGCCTCTATGTGAATACACACATATGTTAGACATGCACTGCATACATATGAACAGATACGTATGTATATACATATACACACATATATGGGTATGGAATTGTGCACATATACACATACATATAATGGTATGGACACCTAAGCAGTGGGATATTCTCAAAGGACATTCCTCTTTCTTACCCAAAAATGATAAGATAAAGAGTAATCAAGTATTAAAACTGAATCTATAG
Organism: Homo sapiens; assembly: GCF_000001405.40. Classification (NCBI taxonomy): domain Eukaryota; kingdom Metazoa; phylum Chordata; class Mammalia; order Primates; family Hominidae; genus Homo; species Homo sapiens. The sequence continues at coordinate 117,839,301 of NC_000008.11, read as the reverse complement.
TCATCTAGCCCAAGTAGTTCATTTTGCAGATGAGGAAACAGATAGAAAATTCATGGGTTTTTTAAGTCTCACAGCTACCTAGTGGTTTCCTAACTCCTGCAAGGGTATTCTTCCCACAGCTCCTATTACCTATTATGTGAAGGAATACAAGCTTCGATCATGTCAATCTTACTTGCTATATCAGCAAATAGTCCTTCTATGTAACCATTTAAGCAACCCACTATAACTGTCATTTGAATTTTTCCTATAAGTTTTCTGCCCTTCCTCTTCCTCCACACATTCCCTAAAGTAAATTCTGCAACTAGGAACTTTGAAACTTGTTACAATGCAGAACATTAATAGGATTTTACATTTTTAGTAGGCTAATGATGAGAATGTGGGACCTTCTGTGCTAGTCCCTCAGGGGTTTCTATTCTGGGTACTTATTAAACCTTGCTGTAGTCTGAAGTATATTCGACCTTTCTGTATTAAAAAAAAATCAGCTTAAACTTTATGCATATATTTTTGTGAGTGTGTGTGTGTGTGCATATTTCTCTCTGCTCCATCTATTAGGCAGAGATTAAAACATTATCAACATTTGAACTTGAAGATATTTGTCAACCATTTTCCTGTGTTTGGTGAGGATGAAGAAATCACTACCATCTAATTTATTTTTTTTTTATATTTAACTAAATTCAAGCCTTCTTAAAAATCTTTTTTACTTTGAAGTCTATTTTGCAATTTAATTAATGCAGCAAGGGTTTTAGAAAATTTTTACTCTCAATGGAGATAATCTTAATCCATTCACGGTGACCTTTTCTTGTGCAAATTAGTTGTACACGCTTGTTTAAGCAAATGGTCCTTTGCATGATGTCTCTTCTTAATGGCGGGTTTATAATTGAAAATTGGCTTACTCCCGTATGCCTAGTTTGTATGAGAATATAAAAATAGATGTGGACTTTAAAAATATAAATGTATATACCAATATACCCAAAAAGAAGAGGGAAGAATTCAGTGCCTTTAGGCTATGATTAAATTAGACTATTAGAGTCAGAAAGTGGTGGTGACATATGCTACTGTCAAAGTCACACCTGTCTGCTCAGCATTGGAAGCTCTTGAAAAATGAGAGTGATTTCATCTTGGCTCTAAGAATCGGGGCCTTTACAGGACATGAGCCATCTCTACTTTCCCAAGTTTTCTTAAACTCATAATGTACTTGAAACTGCCTGTGTAGGAATGTGTTTGTGGTAATCACTTTAAAAGTGACAGTCCTAAACAAAATGAAATGCTTTTTATCTTTCTTAAACTTCACTGGCATAAAGAAACAGGTAACACTCATATTTTGTATGTTTTTTCGAAAAGCAAAAGCAATGTAATATCATTAAATGGTATTTGAGTAAAATAAATTCATCTCTTCTGTAGACCAGTTTCCTGTACCCCCTCCTAGTTCAGGTTTTTTTTTTTTCTTTTCTTTTCTCGTTATTCTTTCTTTCCCTTTCTTAGGCTAGCATCCTTCTCTCTCACCTCCTCTTTCTCCTGTGAGTTATGTCAGCCATTCTTAAACAGGAATATTTTTCCTGGGTAACTGAACGTTCTTGGTTAAGTGTAGAAACTCCATCTTGAAAGAGAAGACAAATGTTGTTTTGTGCCTGTGATTGAGGTTTTCTGAATAGTTTTTAATAGCATGGTTTTGAAGGGGTGGGGAACAAGAACAGTCTTAGTTTTGCTGAATGCCGTATTGTTAAAGGAGAAGGAGAAGCACCAGTAATTTTCTCTTCTTCTTTTTAAGACTATGGGGCAACATATTTTATCAAGACTTAAAAATCTGATTTTGGAAGCAAAGACTGGGCAAACCAAATTGTTGCCAGAACGATCAGACTTGTCTTTATATATACTGCTTGCAAAAGGGATCCTAATTGCTTTGTCCAACATGATGATTCATGTTTACTCTTCATGCAGCAACCCAACCTCCTTCCTCAAAATGGAAAAGTGAGAGCTGCCTGCTGGTGGCTTTCCCGAGTTGCTTTGCGTAAATTCATGCACATGGGCGCCCACCTATGGTCAATATCCCCACATTCGCAATGAGTCTTCATTTGCTGTTTACTCCTCTTCTCTTTCTAGGTATGATTATCGGGAAATGCTGCACAATGCCACTTTCTGTCTGGTTCCTCGTGGTCGCAGGCTTGGGTCCTTCAGATTCCTGGAGGCTTTGCAGGTAAGAGGCCCTGGAGCCTTCCCAGAATAGGGCTGAGGACCGAAGCCAGATTAAGTGGGTTTAACATTATCACCTCTCCTGGGATAGCTAAAGAGAAGGTGTGGTTTCCCTTGAGGATCTGAAAATATTTTCAAGAAAATCTAAAACATTTTTGACAAGTGAGGGGTGGAGGGAGGATTTACTCAGTAATTTTAGATGTAAGAAATTAAATGGTGGATTCTTCTGGGTCATGTTTAGAAACAGAAGGCAAATCTAATTGCCAGCTTGGCCTACCAGGCAGCCTAGCTGGACTCTAAAAAGCAGCCCTACACTTTCCCTTTATTCGTGGTACTCTCTAAAAGCAAAATTGTCTTTTCTGCCTGCATCTTCATTGTCTCTCAGTTCCTTTCAATTTTGAGAATGATCCCCAGCATGGTGGTACTACTCAGATGATCCAGCTCTTCCAAGGCTCTGCAGTTCAGAGGTCCTGGCTCCAGCCCTGGAGCCTTTGTGGTGGGAGTTTCTCAGCTCATCAACCTCACTCTGCAGAAATGTCCTCTTGAGACAGTCATCCACATTTCCCACCTGGAAGTTGCAACCAGCCTTCTTTGATTGCAGAGAGAAAGCATGCCCTCAACCTCTCTCATCCTCCATTCCTTGACCCTTTGCTACTATGTTCTTTCCTCCTCTTGCCCTGCACCATGCCTAAATCTGTGCTTTTGCTGCAGTGCCTCATAACTTCTTATCTCTGCCATCTTAACTGCAAATCATTCTGTCATGCCCTCCAACAGAAGAGCTTCCTTCTCTGGAATGTCTTTTCCAAGTTGCTCTCTGTGTGTGTTCTGCATAGCATGCCATCACTAATGTTCTTGTAGCCTCCTGGGATGCTGCATAAAGAAAAATTGTTCTCTGATTTGGATTATGAGTTATTTGGAATCAGTATTTTGTCATTAACCTAGTGTTTCTTGGCTGTTTATTTCCCGGCACAGACCATAAATTGGTATGACTGTGGTTTAGATCACTCCACACTGAAAGGAACAAAGTTCTGGTTTGGGTGTTTGCAGAGCAAGGGAAATGTGAACACTCTATACTGGTTAAGTCCACGAACTGCTGCCTAGGAATGCTGAGCTTCATTCTGCTCTTTGTTGCTCATGACATTGGGGTAAACCACTTTGCACGTGGACTTGTGGGAGTTACGTTGACCAGACTGTTTATATTCAAGGTTGGTTCTATACTCAGATTTTGTTGGTGCGAGCTTTTGTTACGTCAATAAAAACTTCTCCAGCAAGGCCAGTCGTCTCTATGGAAGTAAGGTCAGCCAAACCATGTACTAGAATAGAAATGGGGTTTTAGCATTCTAGGGCAAGACTTGCAAATATTAAAATCTAGTCTGGATACGTACAACCTTCGTGTGACTTGATAACTCATAAAAGCTTCCTTTCCTTCTGGCCTAGGCAGTCCAGGATTCATGCAGTGTCAAAAATGCCAGTCATTGAGTTTGTACTGATTTCACCTCTGATTGGAACAGCTTCTGCTGTCGCTTTCCTCACATTCACGAAGTCCCCTTTTTTGCTCAGGCTGCCTGCGTCCCTGTGATGCTCAGCAATGGATGGGAGTTGCCATTCTCTGAAGTGATTAATTGGAACCAAGCTGCCGTCATAGGCGATGAGAGATTGTTATTACAGGTAAGGAAGGGGCTGTGGCCTTCAACACATCAGCAGATTATTGCTGCCCCCGTCCAAACTTTCAAAGAAGATGAATCCAAAAGGTCAGCTCTATAAAAGAAATCTTATCAGGAGAAAATTACCTGTGTCATGGTGAATATGAAGTCATTTAATATGACATTGTTCACTTTCCAACAAAATCTCCCCAGGTCCCCAGAATATATTCTGAAAAGAAGTTGCAGGTAAAGAATGGGAGCTTTGATTTTCAAGAAGAAGTGGATCTCCACCCCTTTCAATAACCAGAATTTTTAGAAATATTACCAGAGAGTTTTTATTCTACCCTACTGTTTCATATTCTTTTCCTCTGTTTCTGCACTTGCCTTCAGATTAATTTTCAGAAAGAGAGAGGTCTCTAGGGCTTGTTCTTGTAATTAGTGTTATCGTTCCTCAAATGATCCAGTCTGGGTGTCTGAGCGAGTGTTATCTTTAGGATTTATATTTAAATGAGCAGCCCCTAATAAAAGTTTGAATTGCTCAAGAGCTGCCTAGGGAGGGGGATACGATACTCAGAAAAATCTGAGGGCAGGAATGATCATGTATTATTTTTTTTTAAATTACTAAGGATTTCTAAAGCCCTTTGTATATTCATATTTTAGGATCAACACAAGTTGCCGTGCTCTTTTCTCCTAAAATTCTAGAACTTTAATGTTTTTCTTTTGTTGTACCATACACTTTATCTTTGAATTACCACAAATATTTGTAGAATTTTTTTTAATGTCTTTGCCCTTTTAGTTTTTGGATATTCATTAAATTGAGTTTCTAAGTCTGTGTGTGTGTATGTGTGTGTGTTTGTGTTTTTTGAGATGGAGTCTCACTCTGTCGCCCAGGCTGGAGTGCAGTGGTGTGATCTCTGCTCACTGCAACCTCTGCCTCCCAGGTTCAAGCGATTCTCCTGCCTCAGCCTCCCGAGGAGCTGGGAATACAGGTGCACACCACCACGCCTGGCTAATTTTTGTATTTGTAGTAGAGATGGGATTTCACCATGTTGGTCATGCTGTTCTCGAACTTCTAACCTCAGGTGATTCACCCATCTCAGCCTCCCAAAGTGCTGGAATTACAGGTGTGAGCCACCGCGCCTGGCCTCTTAAGTCTGTTGTTGATTCTCCTTCTGTGCTGCTGCCCAGTCTGCTAGCTGACTGCTGAAGTAATACAGCACTTTCCCTAAAATAACAAATGAACTAACTGTAACTGAGAGACCCATGGGTTAAGCAAACTAAAGTGACCACAGCTCCTGAAACATTACTTCTGTCTGGCACTCAGTTTGTGATCTCCATAGTCCCTATTATCTCAGAAACAAAGGAGGAATGTGACAGAATCTGTTTTTGGGGGAATAAGTTATTCTGCCCTGAATACAACTTAATTTCTTAGGTGTTCATTGAGAAAGGGGTCTGGAGTTTTTGTGAAAGGGCCACTTTTATGCCAATGATTTCCCACTGTGATTCCTTAAGGAAAAGAAGTCCTTGCAGAAACACTGAGGAAGAGTTTTCCCCATGCAGAGATAGTGTATGCTAAAATCATTTATTCATGAAAAGCCAAACAAGAGTGATGCATGTTGTGCTTGTCCATGTAGCCTTTTTTCTTCCTTTTTCAAATGTTATTTTAAAAATAATACATGATCATTAAAAGAAATTTGAGAAATAAAGGGAATAAAAAACACCACCCATAATTTTCCTTTTATATACCAATGCTCCCATGAATTTGATGTGAACAAATTGAAAGTTTGTCTTTGGTATGGAGCGCATTTTAGGATACTTAATTGTGGTTGTGCAGTTTCTTTCTTTTTTTTTTTTGAGATGGAGTCTCGCTCTGTCACTCAAGCTGGAGTGCCATGGCATGATCTCAGCTCACTGCAACCTCCACCTCCCGGGTTTAAGCGATTCTTCTGCCTCAGCCTCCCGAGTAGCTGGGATTACAAGTGCCTGCCACCACACTCAGCTAATTTTTGTATTTTTAGTAGAGATGGTGTTTCACCATGTTGGCCAGGCTGGTCTTGAACTCCTGACCTCGTGATCCACCTGCCTCAGCCTCCCAAAGTGCTGGGATTACAGGCGTGAGCCAGCGCGCCCAGCCACTTGTCCAGTTTCTACCATTTCACCAAACTTGATGGGCATTTCACCTTCTGAAGCAACTTTTTGGCTTGACTCTAAAGATTTTGATTTTTGTCACCCCCACCCACCCAGACTTGCTGGTGTTTTTCCCCTCTCATATTCAGTCTGTCTTTGCACAGCTGCCTCCATATTGAGCAGCAACTGTGTACTATCATTAACAATGGTTTTAAAGAGTTGGCACCCAGCCCAAATGTCTGCTCTGGGAAATGTTTTTTTGTTATGTTACAATTTTTTATTTCCTGTTTTAGAACAGCTGGGATGTTTTTATTTGCATATATTCTTGTCATCATGTCACCAAGAGAGCTTAATGTGACTTTCTTGTATCTATTCTGGTGCATTCCATTTGTTTTGCTACCATACATGACCTTTTATTAAGACTTCATTGAGCTCGGCAACTTCCAAAACAATCCAGCCAAATTGGAATTAATTTATCACTTTCCCATACCTGTCTCTCAGGACAAGCAGATTAATAACCAATAGCCAAGTGCCATTAAAACTTGGAACTCTGTCTTTTCAATCAATTGGAGTTGTCTTCCAGAGCACTTTGCAGAGTGCTGTCAGACACTTGTATCATATCACAAGCCGGTAGAATACATTGCACTTGATGTAGTAAGATGAAGATGCATGTTATTTAAGAGAGGGGAACAGCATTGGTAGGTGAGTCTGTGATATTCCTTTTCTCCTTTCATAACCACAGCAGACTCAATTTTCTGGAGACTATATAGCAATGACAGCTTTAGGCATTTTTCTTTTCTTTTCTTTTCTTTTTTTTTTTTAAGACAGTCTTGCTCTGTCACCCAGGCTGGAGTGCAGCGGTGCAATCTCAGCTCACTGCAACTTCTGCCTCCCAGTTCAAGCAATTCTTCTGCCTCAGCCTTCCGAGTAGCTGGGCCTATAGGTGCACACCACCATGCCCAGCTAATTTTTGTATTTTTAGTAGAGATGGGGTTTCACCATATTGGCCAGGCCGGTCTTGAACTCCTGAACTCGTGATCCGCCTGCCTCGGCCTCCCAAAGTGCTGGGATTACAGGCTGAGCCACCGCGCCCGGCCTTAGGCATTTTTCTAATAGACTGTTTCCTTGTGGCTACGATAAAACAGTGATGCCAACCTATATAACTCTTAGCAGTTACCTCTTGACATTTAGAAGAGGGTATGATTATGAAAATTGAACAGGATAGTTTTTTTCTAATCTTTCTTTGGCCATCTAGGTAACTTTCTCAGTGAGTAACTAAAAATAAGTTTCCTTGCACTGATAAAGGTTCTATGATATAAATGATTTGTCTACCTTCTCAAAGAATGTTTTATTTCCATTTGACCTTGGGCTCTGATTACAGGCTAATGTTTGCCTGCCAGTATTTCTCCTTTACATGTTGCCTCTGTTTTTTCAGTGTTGCAAATCCAGGTATACACTTTGGGACACAGATTTAGTATCTGGTTTTGGACATTGTCAAACCAAGTGAGCTTTTCCTTCTGTTCTTACTGTGAAGCTATTTTATTGCTCCTCCTAAGGGGAGTGCTGAATTAAAAAATGTGCTACCACTTCCTTCCCCTCCAATGGAAACTCTGTTACAGTCTTAGTCAAATGCCATGGGTGACTTTCCTATTAAAGCAGCTAACGGAGCATTTCTCCTTCTTGCTCAGACTCCCATATCTGTCGGATTAGTCATATGTTATGGAGGCAAGCATGCAGAAAGAGGTGAGCACAAAAGGGCAATTGCAAATCACAAGGAATCTTCCCTAAAGACTATAGACTCCGTAAATGAAATAGACCTTGAACTGTAGGTGAAAATAGGGAACAAGCCCAGAAAACTTACCAGACTCAGGAAGTACATTTCAGAGCTCCAGACCCAAGTAGGTTCCCTTGCAAACATTAAGCAATTGATCCAGCTTTTAATAGCATCACCCTGATACCAATAATGATAATAGTAGTGATGTTACATTAATTAAGTTTTCCATGTTTTAGGCACTGTGCTAAGCACTTATATAATCATCATTAAAACCTTAGTACTTTATCCCCACTTTATAAGTAAAGAAGTGGAGTCTTTGAGAAATCAGCTAACTCATTCAAGAAAGCACAGGTAGTAAATGCTGCTAGAGGCAACACTCCTTCCTTGATCTTTCTGACTTCTGTGCCCCTGTGCCTGACCATTCAGTTATACTACCATTAAAAATAATGACGTCCCTGTGGTGGCTTCAGATGGTTATATTCACCTCCTATTTCTTAATAACTACTATATAAAATCCACTCTGCTAACCTGAAAATGTGTAGCAGGATAACAAGATATAGGTCCTTCCTTTAAAATTGTATACCCTGGAAGAGAGCAGTGATGGCTAATCATATATGAACAATTGAGAGATCCAGTTAGACTTGGGTAAAGGCTGAAGGCAGAAAGAGAGATATAGGGAGCAGAAAGGCTCAAAGGTGAGGTAGAAGGTATGTGCACATAAAAGTGACTGACCCTAGCTTCAGATTGGATGGGAAGGCTCATAGACATTCTCTAAAAAGTCCTTTTATAGATATTTTATAGTTCCTGGGGTGACCAATCATAGAAGTGCTTGGGAGATAAAGTCTTCTGGCCTTTCCCCAAGACCTATAGTTACCCCTCTATAAAATTTGGTTGTTCATGTGCAAGGTCAAGGATTTCTGGAAACAGCAATTGTGACTATAGACTAACCTAAGCAACTGATAAGGTGCTACTGAATCTTAGAGGTGAACTGTAACTTTCATACATCAAAGGCCATTGGGGTGGATTCCCAGTAAGTGCTCTTTGCAGCTGACACTTCTTAAGGTCATTTCAACTTAGGAATTGATGATTTTTAGTAGATCTATATGCTAGAAGCCAAATGCTATGAAGAATAAAAGCCTAACCCAGTTGGGTTATTTTGATCAAGTGCATCTCTTTGTTTTACAGTTATAATTCCTATGTGTTCACCTTGTGTTACAGATTCCTTCTACAATCAGGTCTATTCATCAGGATAAAATCCTAGCACTTAGACAGCAGACACAATTCTTGTGGGAGGCTTATTTTTCTTCAGTTGAGAAGATTGTATTAACTACACTAGAGGTAAGTGAGACCACTTGGCTCTTGGGCTTGAATAATGGTCCTTTATACACTTCTCTCAGCCTTCTGTTTTGCTATTAGGGATGTGTGATTGGTCCAGTGGGGCAAAACCAGATTCCTGTACTTGGATATATTGGTTAACCTCTTTTACCTGCTTTGCCATGGCCAAGAAAATACTCTCATTCCTGACAAACTCCACAAAGGAAAACCTACATGGGGAGAAATTATACTTATTGACACAGAGATTGACTCTGTCTTACATCATTTCAGGGATATGTGGGTCATGACTGTCTTGTCATTTACACTCAATGGCATCCTTCGAAGACATATTTCTGGAGTTCATTTAGAAAAAAATATTTAATGGCTTGGCACAGCGGCTCACTCCTGTAATCTCAGCACTTTGAGAAGCTGAGGCAGGTGCATCACCTGAGTTCAGGAGTTCAAGACCTGGCCAACATGGTGAAACCTCGTCTCTACTAAAAATACAAAAAATTAGCCAGGCATGGTGGCACACGCTTGTAATCCCAGCTACTCGGGAGGCTGAGGCAGGAGAATATCTTGAACCTGGGAGGTGGAGGTTGCAGTCAGCTGAGATTGCACCATTATACTCCAGCCTGGGCAACAAGAGCAAAACTCCACCTCAAAAAAAAAAAAAAAAAAAAAGAAAAATATATATAATGGCCAAGTAAGGGCAAATCCTCTACCATTCCAAAAATATGAGTAGTTTTCTGGGCACCACAGTCCAATGGCATTGCGGGACAGCAGAATTCTCAAGACTTAGGCAAGCCAGCCAACCAGCGTCAATGTGGCAAAGTTGTGTTAAGAGGAGAATCAGGATCATACCCATGTGGCACAGAAAGTGTTAAATTTGTGAAAGCAGAAAATCTTTTAGGCAGATGGGCGCCCGTCCTCAAGTTGCTTTTTTTTTAAGGCAGGACGGAAAAAGAAAAAGGAAGCATGGAGATGATTAAAACCTTTGGAAATAGAGCAGATAGCATTGGCCTGAGGCTACACCGAAGTAGCACAAAGAGCTAGGAAAAGATTCAGGAAACTGCACACGCATGCATTACAAGCTTGAAGAAAGGAGAGCAGAGATCTTCGTTGAGGTGATTCTGAGGTGTCCCAAAATGAGGTGGGGGCATTGTGGCCTTCCTTTTGGAGAATTCACTCTGGAAGAGTGATGACTGCTCTAAAAGCTAATGTAATATGGAACCTACACTGAGAAATCTGAGTAATACCAAGAAACTGAAGTCACCCTACTTGGTCCACATCGCTGTTTTCTTGCCATCCTGACTATCAGAGCCAGTGCTGGTCATGCTCCAGGCACACCAGGGCATTTATCCACCCCATGCTGAGCTTGGGCTCCTGCTCCCACCCTAGGGCGAGCTCTGGTCAGTGTTCTCTTAGGCATAGTGTGTATTTTTTTCATCCTGGAACTGGGTAAAAGGGGCTGTTTAAGACCCAGGCCCATTCCCATGAAGGGGACAGGATCATAATGACTTCCAAGGGCTTCCTTCCTGCAAGCAAACTTTTATCCCTCCAAAAGCAATCTCCTCAATTAAAATCAATTGAGTTGTTACCTCTGTTCACAGTAGCTAATAGAGTTACCCTTTGCTTTTTTAATCCTGTCCTCCATCTAAGATCCTTCCTAGGCCCTTCTTAAAGAATGTTGAATGTTATTGTTTCTCCCTTTTTGGAGTGCAGAGTGCCTTTCTTTTTTTTTTTTAGACAGGATCTCACTCTGTCACCAGGCTGGAATGACCTTAAGCAATCCTCCCACCTCAGTCTTCTGAGTAGCTGGGACCATGGGCGCGAGCTACTGTGCCTGGCTAATTTTTCATTTTTTGTGGAGACAAGGTCTCGTTATGTTGCCCAGAGTGGTCTTGAACTCCTGGCTCAGGCAGTCCTCCTGCCTCGACTACCCAAATTGGTGGGATTAAAGGAGTTATTATTAAAGAAGTATACATTCATTTTAGAAACTAATAGAAAACACTTAAAGCATAAAATATAAAATAATTCATTCATGTAAAACCACTATTGATATATATATCCCCACAAACATATATATTCATTTTTATATGTAAATTTAAAATTTGTTGTACTTTTAATTTTAAAAAGGAGTCTTTATATACTTGCATTGTAACCTGTTTTTCTGCTTAATAATGTTAATATTTTCTCATGTTATTACATTTTTTCTCCATTTAATGACTATATGATATTCCATTTATGATATCATCTAATTATTAAATTAATCCCCAATTTGGGTAGATTCCAGTTGTTTCTGGCTTTTTTCCTTTATGTACATCATTGCAGTAAATCATCTCAAGGTCAAATTATTGTGCAGATTCAATATTACTTCCTTAGGATAAATTCCTTGAATTTGAAGTCCGTTTCAAATAATATGCCAAATGTTAAGATTTTTTTTTTTTTTTTTTTTTTTTTTTTTTTGAGACAGAGTCTCACCCTGTCCCCCAGGCTGGAGTACAGTGGCACCATCTCAGCTCATGCAACCTCCACCTCCCAGGTTCAAGCATTTCTGAGGCCTCAGCCTCCCAAGTAGCTAGGATTACAAGCATGCGCCATGGAGATGGGGTTTCACCATGTTGGCCAGGCTGCTCTCCAACCCCTGACCTCAAGTGATCTGCCTGCCTCGGCCTCCCAAAGTGCTGGGATTACAGGCATGAGCCACCATGCCCAGCCCCAATACATTTCTTTCTTCAGTGTTTTCTCATGACGTTTTTATGTATCTTTGGGTTGTTTCTGGCCTTTCAATTCTATCCTATTAGTTGTTTACCTCTAATACATCCAGAGCACATTCCAGTGTTTTAATTTTTTTTACTCTATTATGCATCCTATTGTGAACTTCTATTTACTTAAACCAATATGCCATTATTTACTATTAATGTTCTTTTTATTTTTTATAGATAACTATATCTTTATCTAAGCAATGACTTTCTACATGTATCTTAAACTACATCTCTATTTCTTTAGGATGGAATCCCTGAAGTGATTTTAATGAGCCAAAGAGCCTAGGCATTTCTAAGGCTTATAATATATTTTGCCAAATTATTATCCAAAAACATTATATCCACCTAGAATCTCACAAGCTGTCTGGGCGTGACTCTCTTTTGCTGTGCTCTTGTCAGTCTTACAGATCCATAATTAAAACACACACATCTATCACTTTGCTGATTTGCCAGATGAAAGATGGTATCTCATTAATTACATGTCTTTTGCATATGGTTTATTGCATGAATATGGTCTCTCACCTATTAAGTTAGCAGTTCTCAATTTTTCTATTGTAACAGTTGAATGTCTTACATTCATCAGAATAGGATCAAAATAAGATCAAGCTGTTTTCATCTCTGAACCTGAAAAGGCCTTTTCCCTTTGTATTTAAACCATGTATTATTATTATTTTTTTTTAGCAACACAGTTTTGGGGTTTTTTTAAACACTAAAAACCATACACTTCATTCGAATTTATAGCAACTGTCAAATCTCTTTATATAGTTCCAAGATTGGATTGTAACAGTTTGACCTCTCAACCAAGTTGCATGACAGGTACTACCCAGTTTCCCAAAATACTTCATAACTCAGATTACCCCAGAATTCAACATAATCAAAAAATCAGGGGAAATAGAAGAAAATGCCATCCACAGATACAAATAACACAGCAAATGTGTTTATAAGAACAATTTAAGTATCACGTATCAAAGATGTGAACTTGGCTTAGAACTTAGATAATATACTTCATTTAGTCACTGCTGGAGCTACTAAGGCACGAGAATAATTCATAGTTACTCACAGTTACAGCATAGAGTTGAAGATCCTGGGCTAAGGATGTTCTGTACTCAGACTCTAGGTCTTTCTCCTTGCTTGGTATATTCTAAGCCATGGGAATGGGATTATGGGGTCTTCAGCAATTATGAGCCCTAGAGTTGTAGGTAGAGTGCTTAGACTCAGTTGAAAACAGGACATCTCATTTTCTCTTCAATGCCAGGGTCAGGTTGTTAGTACGTTTCATTGTACAGAACTCTGTCTAGGATTCTTTTAGTTTTTCCAGTTTGATTGAAATTCTCTAATGCTGCATCTTGGTAATAAGGAGCTATTTAATCAAACTAGGCTCTGTAGAGCTCAGTACTTTTGTGAAAATTGAGAACTAACAATGAGGACAATGAAAAAACACTGCAAAAACAGTGCTCCTTCATGGATTCCATTATTTGTCAGAATATTGCACAATAACCTGCACTAAGGATTGAATCATTGGAGCTTAGTCATAATCAAGATGAGTGAAAGAAAGTGCCTGAGATTATGATAATATGTGAAAAGAGCCAGTGGTAGCTAGGAAGGTATATAGTTAGTGGAGTTTTAATGAAGTATGCTTCATTTTCCTCCTCAGTTATCTAATCATGCACATACGAACCATAGTATTGCTGATGCTATCATACAATGATATTTAAAAATCAATGGGGTAATGGAAATAGACAATTGATCTGGCTTCAAGTGAGGTGGCATATGGTGGCATCGTGTATCTTAGGCTACAGTGCTCTGGTTAAAAGATGAAGGGCTACATAGAATGACTTTAACCTATAACCAATTGTCCATTATTTGGAAAACAGAGGATACATAAAAGTAAAATAAGGAGCCTGTCATTCTTCCCTTTGAATTCACATCAATTAGAAATATTGTCCTTATCGAGGGGGCCATCTAGGACCATAACAAAAAAAGTCTTGTATTATCTGTTTGTGTATGTGTGTGTGTGTATTGATTTTGTTTATAGCCAAAGAAGCATCCAACCTCTAATGTGATGTCTTCTTCCACCACAATAAAGACTAAGCACTAAGTGCCATGAAAAGATTCTGGGAGCTATCCAGGGTAGTGATAGGAAGAATTGCAGAGGGAAAAAAATGATCTTTCTATATGGTGAAATGAATTCCATATTTCTTTATGCTTTTAGAAGGCAAGTTGATATAAACCTTTTAGAAAGACACTTGGCAATACTAATGAATAGCCTTAAAAGTATTTATACCCTTTGACAAGGTCCTACAGAATCAATTCTGGTCTGGAGCGGTGGCTCACACCTGTAGTCCCAACACTTTGGGAGGCCGGGGAGAAAGGATTGCTTGAGCTCAGGAGTTTGAGTCCAGCCTGAGCAACATAATGAGACCTTATCTCTACAAAAAATAAAAATAAAAAATTAGCTGGGTGTGGTGACCCTCTCCTGTGGTCCCAGCTACTCAGGAGGCTGAGGCGGGAGTATCCTTTGAGCCCAGGAGTTTGAGGCTGCACAGAGCCATGACCACACCACTGCACTCCAGCCTGCGTAACTGAATGAGACCCTGTCTCAAAAACAAAAACAAAAACAAAAACAAAAAAAGAAAAAGAAGAAGAAGAATAATCAATCCTAAATGTGGAAAATTTTATTCGTAAATATGTTCATTGCTTTGCATGGAAAAAATTGCTAAACTGGTCATTAAGAATAATGAATCATGAATACTATTAATATGTAAAAATAGCTGTATTATGTAATATCTATACTATTACCACTATGTAATAAATGGAAAAACCAATGCCTAGAAAACGAACACAGGAGTGAGTTTCTTTTTAAAGGCAAAAATCAAGCCTTAAGTATAACAACTTAGGCAGCTATTCTTAAATTCTGAGACGTTGTTATAATTAATGTGGTATTTTATTGTTTTATTACAAATGAGGAAAATAATACACAAAGGTGGCAAATTGCTTGACCCACGTTAAATTCAACATTTGCTACTGCTTTCGTACCTGTCCTATGTCTTTCTGTCAAGATCCGTTGGAAGACAGTATAAAATGCTTGTTGTTATTTCAGAAGAGTGCTATATCTTATTATCATATCTTTGAATTTTAAAAGATAACAATGTTGTGATGCCGAACCAAAAAGATAGTCTATGACAATGACAAGCATACCATCCAAAGACCTGATGGGAATGATGACCCATTTTGTGACAGCTGTGAGTTCCATGATATTTGTCTGTAGGTTCGATTTATAATGCTGTCTATTGTCAATTTATTTTCTATCTTGATATCCAAACTTATTTAAGTGACCACATCCTAAAAGGTACATAAATTTGAAAAGAAAAAAACAAAAAAAGGAGGATCTAAAGAGAAACTATAAAAAGGAAATAAATAGACAGTACGTTTGGAAAGTACAAATAATAAAAAGCAGGAATAAATGTTGTACAAAGTGAAATTGCTAACCATGTAAAAAGTCCTTCACAACTATGACAATTTTCTCATAATTAATGCCAAGACAACAGCATTTTAACATATCCCTGTTGTACCACAAAAAGTAAAAATAAATATTTTCACTAGGTTCCTAAAGTCTCCACCAAATTAGAAACCTCTATCCAGCCATATAAAATTAGCAGTTTTGATCTGGGTGAAAGATAAGATGCAGAAATCATTGAACTAAGATATTTGAGTTCTTTTGAATTTCCTCCTTGCTTCCTTCTCTGTCATTAGGAAAATAAACATAAGATTTGCAAAGATAAATGTAGCCCACTTTATTACTTATCTAGTCACCATGTGGAATGAGATGAGGGTGTTAATAACCTTAGCAAATAATAAAACTCCATTTAAAATAGTCTGTACTTAAAATCACATTGCATTAAATGGAGACCTGGAAAATGGTGATTTGGGTCTTAAATGTCTTAAAACTTACGGCAGGATTTTTTTCTTTTTTTTTTTTAATGTAAAAAAAATTGCTGAAAACATAAAATTCTGTACCAAGTTAATTATTTGCCAAATCATATTCTAATGAGTGGATGGTATAATTGTAAGAGTTTGAAAGTCACAGAGAGAAAGCTATAAAGTGGACTAATCACATTCAACTGACAAATGATTCGGGATGGGAGGATGTTTGACTCTAAATGTAGAATTTAATGATCTGCAAGGTCCCAAAGTCCAAAGAAACTAATGAACTAGCTTGGCTATTATTAGTCTTCATATGCCATGGTTCTTGTCCTATTATGTAGGATGTTTTAAGCAATTGTTAACTCACTACTTTTCAAGATGAAATATAGAAAAACTTCAGTAACCAGCACCCAAAGTCCTCCAATTGACTTTGAAAGGAAAATGAAATATGACAAGTATACACATCTACCTCTTGAATTAAAGGAACAGCTGAAAACCTCAATAGCTTCTAGAATGTGTCATGTCTTGAATATGCTTTCCGTTTAGCATCTACAGGTCTACATTGACCTCTCTTGTTCTCTGAGAACAGATCTTCTTGATAGGGGCCTGGAACCTATCTTAGTTCTTAGAAGTTTAACCATCAGGGAAAGACTAACTGCTCCACACAGTCTATTTTGGAATGAGCATGGACTCATTATTATACAAAGACAAGATAGAACTTATGGTTTAACTGAAGTTTAATTAGGAAATTTGATTGGCTATAATTCATATGTTTCTCTCACTCTTTTTCATTGCTCCATTACTCTCTCTGTCTTGCAGACATTTTTATCCGGAGAATTAAAGTGGGAGGGAGGGTAGAGTCACTACTCTGACTGCCACCATCTTTCGAATTTGGATTGAGCATCATCCTTTCCAAATATCATCAGGATCTCATCCTCACTGTGTGCTATGTTTTATTTTCTAGATTATTCAGGACAGAATATTCAAGCACATATCACGTAACAGTTTAATATGGAACAAACATCCTGGAGGATTGTTCGTACTACCACAGTATTCATCTTATCTGGGAGATTTTCCTTACTACTATGCTAATTTAGGTAAGTGAATTTCCTCCAGGGAGTTGCCCTTGTTTACCCTGAAGATGTCATACAGAACTAAAGGCCTTTATTCTTCTACTCTAATGGGGTCCATCTAACACCCTGCATTGAAGATTGCTTTTTCTAGAGCCTTGTTATAAGTGACATATCAAGTTCAAAAACAGAGCAGAGCATTGCAAAATGGAAAAAAAGAAAAACTTCTTATCTGTGCAGCTCTACTTCATATTTAGTAGAGTTATTTCTTTTTGAGAAATAGGCTCCCCAAATTATGGATCATTTTGAACATGGCAATGGGTTAGCTATCATTTTAAGCCTCATCATATATAAAATGGAGAGCTCTCCCCAATTTTTTTTTTCACAATCCCAATATCTCTATTCCTTACCAAAGAAAAACTGAATAAGAGGAAAGGAGAAATAACTAAGAATGTGTGACAAGCACAAATTTATTCATTTTTCCAAGGTTTATTATGCTCCTTCTATGTGCTATGCTAATGTATTGCTGGGTACTAGAAATAAAAAGTCAAATAAGATACAATCTCTGCTTTCAAGCGGTTTTCAGTCTAATCACAGTAGGGAAAAGGGAATGGCGGAGGGATAAATCTCTACCACCGGCTACTGTTATTGCCTTAGACATTTATGTATTTGGACCCCCAGTTGCTCTCATGTTAGAAACATCATGAACATTTCCCATCAGTTACAGTTCTAAACTTGAGAAAGCCTAGGACAGGAAAGCATCTTCCAAGCTGATACAGCAAAAAGACAAGATTTTCCATTCAGTGCCGTTGTTCTCCGTAACACCCTCACCCTTTTAAGTTGTACATGTTTAGTTTGAAACTGATGAGATGAAACCTAAAGAAATGCATGGCCTGAAGCATCAACCAGTGACAAAGCACCTTTTAATCCAAACCAAACCTGTTATGGGAACCATCTCTAATTCAGTATATTGTTGACATTTGGGTAACAGAATTTAGAAATTGTCAGATTAAGGCACTGGTTGACAAGAATTTCTGTATATTTCTTGTACAATATTTAGATCTTCCTTTGGAGTTAGCACATTAGAGGTGTATAAATGATGCTTCTTAAACTATTGCAGGAAAATTTAAAGACAATGACTTGTCGTTCCTGTTTAAAAGGCAATCCCTCAATCACGCTTATTCTTCTTACTCGGCAAAACTTTGAATATGTATCTAGATATTGGGAAGGTTAACTTCTTTCTAACATACAATTAAAGTGCTGCTGGATGATATAATTTTCTCTACAAAACCTTTGTATAATCCTGTAATACACATATAGTCTGATTCTAGCCTTTATCCCATCAGTATCAAAGCGTAACTTGAATGTCCCTGCACTGTGTTGCTCGCAGTTAAGCCACTAAAGTGCCAAATTAGTGGGTCTAAACTAATGAAGTTTTAAAAGGCTCTTAACCTGTCTCTAATTTCTTAGTGAGTTCTTATGGGAAAACTCCTTGGGGGGAAGCCATCTCACTTCTGTCTCTTTGGTGACAGTGGTTGTTTTGCATATCTATGATCCTTTTTAACCTAGGGCTTCAGAGCTCACAACTGGCAAAAGTCTGCCTCACATACTTTTTTTCTCAGCTATATCACTGCTACACGAAGAAGAGATTCTGGGAATATGGAGGCTTCTTCTCCAAAATAATAATGTTGGTGAGGGTGATGATAATGGTAGCTGCTGACATATATTGAGTACTTGTCATTTGTTAAGTCCTGTTCTAAGTGCTTTGTATGCATTAAGTTTTTTTTTTTTTTCTAAGACGGAGTCTTGCTATGTTGCCCAGGCTGGAGTATAGTGGCACCATCGGCACCATCTTGGCTCACTGCAACCTCTGTCTTCAGAGTTCAAGCAATTCTCCTGCTTCAGCCTCCCGATAACTGGGACTACAGGCAAATGCCACCATGCCCAGCTAATTTTTGTATTTTTAGTAGTGACGGAATTTCACCATGTTGGCCAGGCCGGTCTTGAACTGCTGGTCTCAAGTGATCTGCCCGCCTCAGCCTCCCAAATTGCTGGGATCACACGTGTGAGCCACCGTGCCCAGACAAACTTACTGAATTTTCAAGATAACCCCATATTTGGCACTGTTACTATCAGGTCTGTTTCCCAGCTGTGGAAACACAGAGGGTTAAGTAATCTTTCCAAGGTCCCCCGACCAGTAAGTGGTAGATCTGGGATTCAGACCTAGACAGTCAGGCCCTGGATGCTCTTCCTTTCACCTTTTTTCCCACTAGCTAGTTATTTGAAATACGATTAGTCAGGTAGAACCCTTTCATTACATAATTAAAAATCAGACACATGCAAATACCATGGGAGAGACAGCACATGAAGGGTGGTGAGTGTTGTGTGTATTTGGACACTGGGTACCTAAAAAGCCAAAGGGACATCACAGAAACATCACCAAGAGGGGCAAAGGATGTCAAAGCAAGAACCTAGAAGTGGACATTGATCTGGAATTTATTGAGGTCTCTAGACTCAGGCAGTAGCTAACCAGCAGCTTTTCATCTTGTTTCTGTCCTGTCAGGACATAAGAAGCAAAGGAGAAATCATCCAGGAGGGAACATTTGCTCCAGCATGAGGCAGCGGAGCAAGGAGGAGTAATTTTCTAAGTCTTGCTTTCCAGCGCTTCATTAGGCTCTACTCTCCTTTTTATTTCAGGTTTAAAGCCCCCCTCCAAATTCACTGCAGTCATCCATGCGGTGACCCCCCTGGTCTCTCAGTCCCAGCCAGTGTTGAAGCTTCTCGTGGCTGCAGCCAAGTCCCAGTACTGTGCCCAGGTGAGCGGGAAGTTGACAGAGAAGCCCCTGCCTGCTCCAGCTCCAGACCAGAGACTCCGCCCTCCTTACCTGTTATCCCCCGGGCTCCCCAGGCTCCCCGGGACTTCTCTAACATCATACCCTGCTACTCCCTTTCATTCATCCTGCCTCGTTACACCCTTTTCATCCACTTAGAAATTCTTGGAAGTGAAATCTGCACAGGGAAGGGATGGGTTACAGAGAGACCTTAGCACTGGTATAGAGTTAAAAAGTATATATACATACACCAACATAGTCTCTAAAGAAGATACAAGCACATGATTTTGTTTTTAAATGTCAAAATGATAAAGTAACATCCAAAAAGCCTCTGGGAGGACCCAGACAACTAAGCTTCAATAGAAGAAGCAGACTTGTTGGTGTCATGAAGTGTCAACTTTTCTTTTCATAGCAACTATGACTAATTATAAAATTGGGAGCAGACGATTATGCCTATGGTAACAATATTTTCCAAATCAGTGTTCCTCCCATATTGAACGGTGGTTTTTCTGATTTGTGAATTAGTTTATACAAGAAGGTTTACAAACAAGGAAAGAATTCAATAAGGAAGTATGCATTTTTGAACTAAATGCCTTTATTGGAAATTATAAAGTCACATAAAATCAGCAACCATTCTAGAGCATGCAAAACATGAGCTCATCTTAGTTCTAGCTTGAATTTTTTTATTTCTCCCACATTGCCTGGTGTAGTGCAAGTTCAGAGCAGATGTTCAGATGCTCAGTATACATTTTTATTTAATTTGATCAGAGTTGTTATCTCACACACCATCATAAGATATCAGAATTTAGGAAACCACTTTATTAAGCTCCAGCCACCGTAATTCTTTTTCCTGCAGCTTTCCCCTATTCCCGGACACAGTTGGTTTTGTTTGTTTGTTTGTTTGTTTATTTGTTTGCTCTTTCTGTCCTCTCTCCAGTTGTTGGGGTGATAATGTTCTGAGGTTGTGTGGGAATGGACTCACTTTAAAACTCAGTTTTGATGTCTGCCGTTTTGTCTTGCTGAGATTTCCAGCTCCTCTTTCTCTTTCTGTCTCTGAGAAGAGGCTTTGGGTTGGAGGCATACATAAATACATCCTACCCCAGCCATCTAATGAGCCCCATCCCTTTCAGATCATAGTTCTATGGAATTGTGACAAGCCCCTACCAGCCAAACACCGCTGGCCTGCCACTGCTGTGCCTGTCGTCGTCATTGAAGGAGAGAGCAAGGTAAGACTCGAAGGGGACCTATATGTGGAACCACTGTGGAGCCTTGGTTTCTCCATGGGGCACTTTGGGTCTTGGCCCTAGATATCTTCTCCCTGTTCCTGGATTATTTTTTCTAAAACTGTACTTTTCTCAGAATATTCTCAGATTTGACCACAATAGGCTTTCAAATCAGGGAAATCTGGGTCTTGATACCAACTCTTTTATAGCTTTGTGACCTTGTGTGTATACTTAACCTCTATGAGCCTCAGTTTCCTCATCTACAAAGTGGAAACAATAATATATACCTTGTAGGGTTGCTGTTAGGATTAAATAAAGTCAGGAGCTGGCAATAGTTATCTTTCTGTAAATGACAAAGATGAAGATAAAGCTGATGGTGGTGGTGATGGTTTGCTTGGCTGATTAATCTGAATGAGCTATGTCTATCAGAATGGTGTTTCTTTCTCCCATTCACTTTAAAAAGGACATTTTCACCTTAATTTTGTTTGGCATCTGCCTGTAAAGATTCTCATGAGTGCTACATAGCCGGCCTCTCTTCTGTTCTCCAGTTCACTTTGCCTAGAGCTGAACTATCTTTCTGATCATCTCCCGGCCTTTTTCTCCATTTGCTAGTGCTTCCAATTAACATTTGAGGCCATGTGTAACCTGGCCCTAGCCAGCCTTCCAATCTTTTCTCTCATTGCTTTCCCCTACAGACCCTGCCCCCTACTACATTTGATCATTTATAATTAGCTGAATTGCGCTGTGTCTCTTCCTACCTCTAATTTTGACTTTGCCATTTGTAAGTCTTGACCACCCCTCAACTCATCATCTCTGCTTGTCAACATTCCCATATATTCTTTAAGCCCCCGTTTGCATGCTACCTCCTCCTTGAAATTTCTTCTACTAAAGAGCAGCTAGCTCTTTTTTCTCTAGCTTCTGCTTGTTACTTATAGATCTTACGCATTGTGAAGGAAATAGTCACTACTAAATGAAATTGAGATTGGTGAAGCAGTGCCATCTAAAAAACTTTCCTTGTCAGTCCCCAAGGGGTCAGGTCATAAGAGAGTGGCTCACACCTTTGCGCCAGAATGACAAAATCAGTTTATTAGGCTGAACCATTTGATATCATCATCGACTCACCAAAAGTGGCAATTTCATATGGTTTGACATAATGCAATTGTAACTGTCACAAGGACAAGATGATCAGTGCATTATCTATTCAGTTCCATTTATGAGTGCCTACTGTGTGCTGAGCTCCTTGTAACAGGCTTGGAACACAGTGGGGAATGTGACAAATATAGCCATGGCTCTCATAAGGCTGGAGTCAAACAACCTGTTTGTTAGAGAGCTGCTTGGTAAGCATTTAATGAGAAAAGGTGGATGTTGGAATAATCACATGCCTCTCTCACAAATCAATCTCACCATAAGCACAGTTTCATGCAGGCCCTTATATCCATCCCCCCCATAGAATAGCCCATCATAGGAATGGCAGTGTTCCAATTCCAATGCCTGAAGCCATGAACAGTACTCAGAGGCAGGCAGTTAATGTTGAACTTTGGGATTCTTTGTTTTGTATGCTTCCATGGGTCAAGGAGACCAGCTCTGCTTCTGGTGGATAATGTCTTTCTTTGGATATGTCAGGATATTCAGACACAATCCAGTCTGTCTGGGAGCCATTCTGATTTCTTTAGGTAGTATAGCATTTTCATGCTCTGA
Source organism: Homo sapiens (assembly GCF_000001405.40). Classification (NCBI taxonomy): domain Eukaryota; kingdom Metazoa; phylum Chordata; class Mammalia; order Primates; family Hominidae; genus Homo; species Homo sapiens. Next base: position 117,816,739 of record NC_000008.11, on the reverse strand, counting down.
CTCACTGATTGATTTTATATTTTCATTCTCAGTGAAAAGAAACTCCCCGTTTCTTTCTTTATAAAATGGTGGTGATAATAATAGTACCTTTCTCGTGGGCTTTATCAGATGTCTCTTACAAGATGCCTCAGATCCTCCCAGCTGCATCTATATTCAGGCCCCTGGCATTTGTTCAGTCCTTGCCTCCACCTTGGGCACTGAATCCAGTGGGCTGGGTTCTTCCTATGTCTTTTCCCTGACTCTCAGTGCCCTGGGATTGCACCTCAGAGTGAAGCGTTTGCACTTAAGTCTTGCTTCAGGCTCAGTATTCTAGAAAACCTGGGCTATGACATGGGCCCATTTTGAGGGTTAAATAAGACCATTCCATATCAGGTGCTTAGTCCTATGCATATTATACATGCACCAAGGGTTCAATAAATGTTAGCTCCTCTTCTGGGAGGCATCATAATCTTATGATTTGTATTATGGGCTCTAAAGTCAAAATTACTTTTGTGTGACTTAAAGCAAGTTGCTAATCCTCTGTGTCTCGATGCCCCCTTTCAATAAATGGAAAGAGTCATAATATGTAACTAATAAGGTAGCCAAAAAGATCAGATTATATGAGATACATAAATAAATGTACTGAGAAGTGTGGGCGCACTGTGGATACTCAATAAATCTTAACTATTATTGTGTTTTATATAATTATTTGTGTACATTTCTTATGTACCTCCCTCCCCACCCCACACACACACACTACAAGACAGTAAACTTCTTGAGTCTTGGTCATTTCCTAGGCATGTTTGTTAATTTTTTTTTTTTTTTTGAGGCAGAGTTTCGCTCTTGTTGCCTGTCCAGGCTGGAGTGCAATGGCATGATATCGGCTCACTGCAATCTCCGCCTCCTGGGTTCAAGCGATTCTCCTGCCTCAGCCTCCTCAGTAGCTGGAACTACAGGCATGCGCCACCAAGCCTGGCTAATTTTGTGTTTTTAGTAGAGAGGGGGTTTCTCCATGTTAGTCAGGCTGGTCTCGAACTCCCAAACTCAGGTGATCCACCGCCTAGGCCTCCCAAAGTGCTGGGGTTACAGGCGGGAGCCACTGTACCTGGCCAACATGTTTGTTCGTTTTAAAGGAGTTGGGCTTTCACATGGTAGCTAAACCTTTCTTAAATGAACTAACAAGGAAAACCCAGTTCACTCAGGTTTAACTTTGTAAATACATTGGTTTCTCTCATGCTAATCCATTTAAGAAGGTCGCTGAGGCAATGTGTTTGAAAAAAGCCTCTCATTTCTGCATGAGAATTCGAAAATGGATGGCTTATGGGCTTTTTACTTCTGTTGATGAAACAGGTTCAGAAAAAAAGGAAACAGATCCTTTTAAGACCTGTGGTTGGGCAGATGATGAGGAAGAAGCCCTACATCTTCCTCATTCTCCATTTTAAAATCTCTATCTCCATGAATTTAGAAGCAATATATTTGCTGCTTTGGCTGAAAAATTCTGTTTTGAATTTATAGGCGTTGTCTTTGCAGTTTTCCCCTGTGGGCTTAACAAGGGAAAGGTCAGGGCAGTGCTAAGCTGGCAGCTAATGGTTTCTGCGTTAGTCAGTGGACATGTAAACAGTATCAGGAGGATTGCTTCAGGCTGAGAATTCTGAGCACTGTGTCTATGAGGTTGCTGATCACTTTGTGTTTTATTTCAAAAGCCTGAGAAAGAAAACAACAACAACAAAAAACTTGACCCAGTTGACAGATGTGTAGGAGCAACCCCTGAAGCCATGTGTGCTACAGCTATGTCCCTTGAGCTCTTGGAGATGAGTTAGAGTGGCCACTGTCCATGCATTAAAGTCCTAGGTGCTCTGGTAGCTTCGCCGGCAAAGAAACCGAGTTTGAGATGAGGCCTGCAGATGAGCTGGCTCCTAGGGGTACTCAGATTTGGGGAGACTGCAGCTCTGGCAGCTGGCTAGGTACCTCCCTTTTCCTCTTTCCCTTTGTCTGCAGTGTTAAGTTGCTTCTTTCCCTGGCCTTTGTCTCTTCAAAGTTGATGGCAGGTGTGAATTCAGAGAGGATGTCATCATCCTTACTATAACTTCTGGAAGAAGGTGATGAGCATATGATTGGCATATGTGTTCCTAAATTCACTTTTGAGGTCCTTTCCATTCAGATACAGCCCGGTGGCCAAGGTGCTCTATAGAGTCACACCATCTGGGGGAAAATCCTGGGTCCGTTTTGGGCAAGATACTTAACCTGTGTATCTCAGTTTCCCTCCCTGTAAAATGGGGTTGTTATAAAGATGAAACACGATGATATATATGAAGGACTTGCAACATATCCTGGCACACAGTAAATGTTCAAAAAATGTTATTCTTATGGTGTCAGCATTCTTATGGTTAGTTCCTCTATGGTACATTCAACACAAAGGTTTAAGTTGTGACTATCACAGGGTAACCTCTCCACCCTCAATTTTTCCAGCTGATGCCATAATCTCCAAAGCCCCCACCACACACACACACACACACACACACACACCACTGTGTGTGCACACGTAGTCCACCTTTCCTTATTCCAGAACTGCCCAAACTTTATGCATACACCACCTTCACAATTTTTCTAAATCCATGGATCATATGTGCTATTATTTAATATTTTTTCTTCTTCTTCTCCTTCTCCTTCTCCTTCTCCTTCTTCTCCTCCTCCTCCTTCTCCTCCTTCTCCTCCTTCTTCTTTCTTCTTCTTCTTCTTCTCTTTTTTTGTTTTTGAGACAGAGTCTCACTCTGTCACCCAGGCTGGAGTGCTGTGGCACCATCTCAGCTCACTGTAACCTCTGCCTCCCGGGTTCAAGTGATTCTCCTGCCTCAGCCTCCCAAGTAGCTAGGACCACAGGCATGCACCACCACACCTGGCTAATTTTTGTATTTTTAGTAGAGTCAGGGTTTCACCATGTTGGTCAGGCTGGTCTTGAACTCCTGGCCTCAAGTGATCCACCCACCTCAGCCTCCCAAAATGCTGGGATTACAGTCATGAGCCACCACGCCTGGCCTAATATATTTCTTTAAATCAGTATACTTCTCATTTTAATGAAGTTATTTGTAACTTTAATATTACCTTTGATTGCTGTAGCTGCTAATATATGTGTATATATTTTTTCTAATCTGTGCTAATACATATTTTAATTTGTAAATGTTTGTAATTTGTAAAAGCAGCACTTTCTACAGTGATCTGCTCTCCCCGTGGTTTGTGTCCACACTTGGAATCACTTCTCCATCCATTCACTCTTTCGGTTGGGAAGAGTGGGTGTCAGGATGCAGGTTCTCTGCTCAGTGCCTCTGCATCTGCCAAGTCTTGTCTTTAATACTTCATTACTATCTATACCTGGTGAATTCTTTCTGCCCATCAGGGTCCTGCTTAAATGTCACTTCTATGAGGCCTTCACCTGCTCTTCCAGACAGCTAGTTGCTCCATCCTGTGGTCTCCTGGCATTTTTTGTATCAAGCAAAGACTGGTCATCTGCTTCTTGGTCTCCTCTACAGACCATGAACTCTTCAAAGACAGGGAACATGTCTGATTTATCTTTGTACCCTCTTTGACAAGCAAGATGTCTGCTACACAGTAGGTGCCCAATAATTGTTGAACAAATACATCTGCATTGATGGGAAATGAGATTCCTTCGGTGTTGAGGGGTGACATGATAGTAGCGCATTCTTTATGCAGGTGAGGATGGGAGAATTGTCCTGAAAACAAGACTCTGAAGTTACCTCTTTCCCTCATTCCCTCCCCACTGCCTACTTCTACTTCCTCCCAGGTTATGAGCAGCCGTTTTCTGCCCTACGACAACATCATCACAGACGCCGTGCTCAGCCTTGACGAGGACACGGTGCTTTCAACAACAGAGGTAAGAACCCATGCCTGAGGAGCAGCAGGTGGGCTGTTCAGGCAGTCACCTCATGTTGCACGATGCTAATGCTTCTTTTAGCCGTGCCTTGGCAGAAGTTGAAAACATTTTTCAAAACTTCCTACAGCGCTGGTTTTAATCAGCCCGATTCCTGTTAGCACCTTGCTGCCACCTGGCACTCTGAGGCGGGCATCTCCCCTTTGTTGTCTCTGCTAATTGGCTCCTCATTTGCATAACTGGGCCTCACCCCTCCTCCCAGGCCTGCCCTCCTTTTTTGTTTTTAAACAGCACAGTTGTGAGCAGTTGCGCAGAACTGAGGGGAAGGGGGAGGGTGCGTGTTCTGCATTAGGTTGAAACCATGCTTTCCGGAGGAGATAATCCCATTCCTCTCCACGTATCCTATTGCCTCAGTTAGGAGACTCTATGTGGAGCTCTAAAGGCAGCTTTTCTGTCTTGGTTTAAAGAGCTCATTTTCTTTCACCTATACAAGAGCAAACGGTTTCACTTCAAGGTTGTGATGGAGATTCCTATTTCAGATGTTCAGGTAGTTGTGCCAAAAATAAGATTGCCTAAAGAATGCGCGTGGAGGAGAGAGAGAGGAGGAAAGATAGATATGGTAGAAAACCAATTTTTACAACTCGAATGAGTATTGATCTCTGAAACCTTCCTTTAAACCATGCAGAGGACCAAAGACAGCTATATAAAAATGGAGTATATGAGAAATACATTATTAATGGCAACTACTAAAAAGCATGGAGACGTAACTACTTACACCTTTCCCCTCCCTCTCCCTGTCTTTTTTCCTTTTTGTTCACAATCATTTTCCTTTTAATGTAAACATCAGTGTAACCTGCATTTTCCTGGACACCAATCTAGTTCTAATGGCCTGCTGCCCACAGAGCCAAGACTCAATGTTGGCCTAGGTGAACTCAGTGTCTCCTTGAAATTCCACAGATGTGGCCTGACGCGGTGGCTCACGCCTGTAATCCCAGCACTTTGGGAGGCTGAGGCGGGCAGACCACAAGGTCAGGAGTTCGAGACCAGCCTGGCCAATATGGTGAAACCTTATCTCTACTAAAAATACAAAAATTAGCCAGGCGTGGTCCAGGTGCCTGTATTCTCAGCTACTCGGGAAGCTGAGGCAGGAGAATCGCTTGAACCTAAGAGGCAGAGGTTACAGTGAGCGGACATCGTACCATTGCACTCCAGCCTGGGTGACAGAGCGAGACTCCATCTCAAAAAAAAAAAAAAAATTCCATAGATGCTTTCAAGGTGCCATCAGATAGAGTTGCATAGATGTTATGTCAAAGGGCAACCTAAATAATCCCAGGACAAAATGTCCTGGACCTCACCTTGTTAAAATGCTTTCTATGCAGCCGAAGCTCTATAAATACTTGTTGAATGAGTGGTTGGGCCAGGGTGGGGGGATGCATGCTTTGGGGATTAAAGGTGGACACACCGCCAATTGTGTCATGTGTAGGTTGGCAGGAGGAAGGGATGTTGATAAGCTTAACATTCATAGGGAAAGACAGCTATGGAATACAGGGTACAGGTCACTCTGGCTTGCATTTTTCTGCCACTTTCTGCAAGGGAAGCTGGAACACATTCATTCAACAAGTATTTATTGAGAGATTTCTTTGTCCTGGTCTCCATGCCAGGTACTTCAGTTACACAGTTCCAGGCTATATCCATCTGAGTCCTGGCAACAAACTGAATTCAAATCAGATGATTCAAATGAAGGAACTTTGGATTCCTTAGGGAGGTGTAGATGGGGTTAAAAGACCCCATAAGAGAGAATGAGGCACCTGGTGAGTAATGACAGCAGGAAGCAGCTCCTCCCTTTGGCCTGAAGGAGTTAGAGAAGGAACTCCTTCTTTCAAAGGCCCTGAGAGATGGCACTAGGATGGAGAGGCTGCTCTACAAGTGCTATGATCATGGAAGGACGTGGCTACTGCCAGAACTCTAATGGCAAAGGAGAGAGGGAGCAGAGAAGAGATACACTGACCTCTCTCTCTATCCTGCCTCGATTTTCCTGCCGGTGACTCCCATTGACCTAACCCAACCAGGTGATGCAGTCCATAGGGGTCCATTATCTGAGGGCACAGGGCAGGACAAGAAGAGTGGATAGTGGATTTTGGAGGGCAAACACAGGCAAAGCAGCACACCGCCATGGTGCAACAAATGGTCAAGACAACTACAGCATGTACCTTAATCATCATCCTATGACCTGAAGTATTGATTCATCCTCTATCTTTCCCTGGGCACAAGGCAATTAGTCTCACTCTAGGATTGTTTTTCCCTATCCTATGGTGAAATAACTTTCAACTGCTGTGATGCATCCTCATGCTGGTGAATTTCTTTTCAAAGAATAGCAATTCCAACCACTCAATGCATGCTGGGAGGAACATGTGTTGTATGTGAAGTAATTAGAAGTCAACGTGGGTTGAAAATGATATGTAAATCTAAGAGGCTGGCAGTCTGGTTTGCTTTTGCCTGCTGATCAGTGGAGTGGTTGTGTTGCCTAAAATGGTCCTGGGCAAGGATTTCTCTTTTCTCTTTTTTTAGGTGAATAGATGTTGGTTCACTTTTCTTTTCCTCTCTAAGGATCTCAGATTGTTTAAATGTCTCTCTGCAGCATTAAGGATGGATTTTTAAACAGCATCCTATAAAGGGCATTATAGTTGGTTTATAGTTATTTACATTTATCTGGATTGCTGCAGACGCTGCTCAAAAGAAAACAGATGTTGGTTTTTGAGAGAAAGGGCCTTAAACTGACCTTTGCCTTCTTTGATGTGTTAATAATCTGCATGAAATTAGAGCTATCACAAGAATCATAGTTTTATCTGAATTTACTTTTGAGTTCCTTTGAAATGACTTGAAACAGCCTTAAGATAGTAAGAAATTCATGCGATGAGAACACCCCATTGGGTTCTGTAGTAGTTGCTAGTGCATGTGTTTCCTTTTCAAAGAATGATAGAAAACCCCAAAGAGTGCTGACGGCCAGGCTGATCCTTTGACAACAGGCTGCATAATATACTGTCCCATCAGTTGTCTCCATTAGTATTGACCACTAGTGAAAAGGTGTAGGTAATCACAACCTAATTTCAATTTTCTAGCAGATGCTCACCATCCCCTGCTACCTTTTAACTTTGAGATAACGTGCTCCCTACCAAGCTTTCTTAATGTCGGTTCCACCACCCGGGTTTTTTCCCCGCTCTGGATTTTTTTTTTTTTTTTGACGGAGTCTCACTCTGCCGCCCACGATAGGGGGCAGTGGCACCATCTCGGCTCACCGCAACCTCCGCCTCCTGGGTTCAAGCAATTCTCGTGCCTCAGCCTCCCCAGTAGCTGGAATTACAGGCGTGCAACACCACGCCCAGCCAATTTCTATATTTTTAGTAGAGACAGGGTTTCACCGTGTTGGCCAAGCTGGTCTCAAACTCCTGACCTCAAGTGATCCGCCCACCTCAGCCTCCCAAAGTGCTGGGATTATAGGCGTGAGACACTGTGCCTGGCCCCGTGTGGATGTTATAGTTTTGGGGAACAAGCCATATTTTTAAGTCTTCCTTATCTTAAGATAGGGCAGTGTATTAGGATTTTTCAGGCAAACAGAATCAATAGAACATAATATATATATATATATATATATATATTTATACACACACACACATATATATACCTACACACATGCACATACATACATACATACATACATACACTGAGAGAGAGATTTATTATGAGTAATTGGCTCACATAATCCTGGGGGCTGAGAAATCCCATGATCTGCCGTCTGCAGGCTACAGACCCAGGAAGGCTACTGGTGTAATTCTAGACAGAGTCCTACAGCCTGAGAACCAGGGAGCCAATGATGTAAATCCCAGTCCAAGGGCAATAGAAGTTCGATGTCCCAGCTCAGCCGGCAGGCAAAAAGAAAAAGGGGAGGAATTCCTCCTTCCTTCACCTTTGTTTTGTATTCAGGCCCTGAACTGACTGGATATTGCCCATCTGCACTGGCGAGGGCAGTCTGCTTTACTGAACCCGTGGATTCCAATGTTAGTCTCATCCAGAAACACCCTCACAGACACACCCAGAAATCATCTTTAATCTGGGCACTTCATGGTATACTCACATTGACACATACAATTAACCATCACAGGTCCTGCTTTGGAACCTCTGAGAGGGCAGGACCTGGACCTAGCAGCATCCCTCCGTCCCCCAGCTACCATCACAGTGCCAGGACTCAAAATATTTGCGAAACAGATGAAATTTCCATTTGTATTGCTTATCCAGAAGAGATACGGCAAAGATAACGAGGTGAATCATAGCGTGTATAAGAGACAAATTGCTTTTAACACTGGAGTAACAGAGCCAAAAGAGAAGTTTTGATAAAGTACGTAGCACATTTGAAACCAGACTGCCTGAGTTTGAATCTTGGCTCTGCCACTTATTAGCTCAGCAAATTACTTGAACTTATATCTTAGTTTCCCTTTCTGTAAACTGAAGAATGTAAAAGCCCCTGCCTTACAGGGGTATTGTGAGGATGGAATGAGTTAAAATGGATAAGCACCTATAGCTGCACCTGTTGTATTATAACATTTCACAATTATGAGCATTATATGATTGTTTGCTGTCACTATTTTTGTTATTTTTATTTTCTGTTTATTATTTTGATTTACCATTCATCAAATGATCATAGAAATCAGAAGTGAGTTTATGCATTTGAAAACAGATCACTTGCTAACTATAAGTGCTGGTTTATAGCAGGTTCAGAAGCACCTGCTTTGGGCTACTATAAGCACCGGAGAGACATTTAGCTGCATTTCCTTTAAAATAATTCTGTGGCTTCAGTTGTTCTTGTCCCCACTTATTCTTAGTGATTTTCACTGTTGATGCTTTCTTCTAGTGTCTCTTAAACTGTGCATCTTCAAACCTAAGAAGCCTGAATTATGTTTTCTTTATGATACCTGCTCTGTATTCCTGTTAGAACTTGTGGTGTTTTTTTTTTAAAGTTATTTCTCTTACTCTTAAGAGGGTGCTTTTATTTTAGGCACTTTGGCTTTGATATATGCTGGGTATGATATATGTTGTATATTCATTCTTTGGATATACATGGGAAATTTCTCATTTATAAAACAGATGTGTTTGTGTCTCACGTGAATCAAGGCACGTGCACCTTTGAGGAAGGGGGAAAAGAAGCTTTTTCAACTTATGTTTTAGCTTGAACAGACTGGATTTTTAAAGGGCATATCAGCAAATTTTTTTCTTCCTTTCATTTCCATACTACTCTGAAGTTTCTTTAACAGAAAACATTAAAATGTGCATAATTATGGGGCAAAATGTCAAGCAGTCAGTTTAATTTGCTGATGAATACATAGAATTAATGTTTCGCCACAGTCCCCGGATTTTGCATTATGAATTAGTGGGGAGAAGGTAATGTTTTGTTGACATTTGTTAACACTGTTGATTGCTTGTTTGGCTTGTGTTCTGCCTGCAGGTGGATTTCGCCTTCACAGTGTGGCAGAGCTTCCCTGAGAGGATTGTGGGGTACCCCGCGCGCAGCCACTTCTGGGATAACTCTAAGGAGCGGTGGGGATACACATCAAAGTGGACGAACGACTACTCCATGGTGTTGACAGGAGCTGCTATTTACCACAAGTGAGGAATCTGGACATGTCTCTTACAGACTTTACATAGCTTTTTATATTGGCTGCTGCATAAATAGGAACTAAGGCCAAATCTTGTTAACAGCATTGAGGAAAATTAGTCTGTATCCCCGCTTAAGTTTTGCTGATGTGTCAAATGTGTGTTTTTGAAACCAGTGAAACCTCTTGGCATGTTTCATTTCCAGAAATTATGGTAGAGTAACATTTTCAGTTGGTCTGAAGTGTGAAAATACTCTCAGGGCATATTAGGTAACTGAATATTTAGAATAACAACAACAAAAGTAAATACCTAAGTCAGCACCCAAGGGCACTGTTCTAGGTGCTTGGGATTCATCACTGAGTAAAGCAGAAAAAATTCCTTGCCAATGCAGGTCTTATATTCTAACAAAGAAAGACTGTCTACATAATAATTCCATAGTTTATTAAGGAGATAAGTGATATAACAGACAAAGTGTAGAAAAGGATCAAGGGTGCTGAAGGTGGAGATGGGGCAGATTGGGGGTGTCCAGGGTGATTCTGATTGCACAGGTGAGATTTGAGCAGAGACTTGAAGGACAGGAAGTCAAGAGGACATGTGCACCAAGAGTGTTGTGGCAGGAGAACAGCGAGAATAAATGCCCTGAGGCAGAATACTGGAGAACCATCGAGGAGACCACTGTGACTGGGTGGAATGGGTGACAGGAAGTCAGAAAAGTCAGGGGGCATGGATGCACGACCTTGATGTCCATCATGAGGACTTGACTTTTTCTCTAAGTGATATGGGAGGAGGGCAGGGTTTGAACAGGGTGTGACATGTACAGCATGTCACTGTACCGAATACTGTAGGCAGTTTTAACACAGTGATAAATCCTGCAGGACCTTGATGTCCATCATGAAGACTTGACTTTTTCTCTAAGTGACAGGGGAGGAGGACAGGGTTTGAACAGGGAGGAGAAATCCGGCTTTTCTTTTATGCATCCACTGTGGATTCTATGTTGAGAAGAGGCTATAACAGACCCAGAGTTGAAGCAGAAGCCCTATTAGGAAGTGATTGACATTATCTAGGCAAGAGATGGTGGGATCCTGGGACCAGGAAGTGAATGGTGGCCATGGTAAGTAGTGATCAGATTATTTTGAAGATGCTTTAGCATGATGCCTAGAGAGTCTGGATGTAGAGTTTGATGACTCCAAGTCTTTTGACCTGAAACACTGGAAGATTAGAGGGCTGATCAACAGAGATGAGGAAAACTACAGATGGAACAAGTATGAGGGAAAATATATAGGTTCAGTCTTGGACATGTTAAGACATCCAAAAGGATATATGGAAAAAGCTCAGGGGTGGAGATACAAATTTGGCAGTTGTTTGCATATATTTGGTCTTTAAAGCCAGGGGACTGGAGTAAGATTGCCAAACTAGTGAGGGTAGATAGCTAACATTCCCCACTCAACCAGTAACAAAATACCTGCTCTTCTATCATTAGTGAACACACCAATCTTGCCTTAGTCTTTTTAGTAAAGAATAGGGAATTTTGCTATCTCAGGGATAGCTTGGAAATGCTCAAGGCATAAACATTTAGGCTGACTGATTCTTGGTCTCAAGATTTCACTTCTTGAAAGTTCATTGTTCCTATTGCTTCTGCCACCACCACTCTAAGAATTTGATTCACTCAAATGATTTTTCCTATAAATATATGCTATATGTATATAAATACATTTTAAAAACAGTAGGATGAGAAATAATTCAAATTAATTATGGGTTTTCTGTTACGATTGACCACCCCATTAATTCAGATTTTGCTCTAACAGGATTGAAATATATATGGTTTATAGGGCACAAATATAGAACAGTCTATTGTTGGACTCAGAGTCAAGGGATAATATTAAATACAGTTCTGATTAAGCCAATGATTAAAATTGTTAAGCAGCTTTATAATATATAGATCATGTGTAAATAACTTATCTTGCCATCTAATTATTTAGTTCTTCTTTCTAACTCACCTGTCTGATGTTAGAGTTAGACTGGACAAGCAATGTCTGTATGTCTGTATCTCTGTGCCTTGTTTCCTCATCTGTAAAATGGGAGTAATAATAGAACCTGCCTTGTAGGCTCCTTATGAAGACTAAATGAAGCATTTCTTGTAAAACACTTTAGAACAATATCTGGTATATAACAAGTACCATAGAAGTGATAGTTATCGTCATCATCATCATCATTATCATTACCATTCATGACATGTTTAGGGATTCAAAGAATGGGTATGTGTTTTCTGTCTCAGAAGTCCACTTGTCATCATGTGATAATGGCCCCCTGTGAAACCCATCTTTGATTTTTACAGATATTATCACTACCTATACTCCCATTACCTGCCAGCCAGCCTGAAGAACATGGTGGACCAATTGGCCAATTGTGAGGACATTCTCATGAACTTCCTGGTGTCTGCTGTGACAAAATTGCCTCCAATCAAAGTGACCCAGAAGAAGCAGTATAAGGAGACAATGATGGGACAGGTAAGTATAGAAGAGCCCTCTTCCCTTGCTTCACTCACTGGTGGTTCAGCCCCAGGTAATGAGGACTCACGTTCCTCTAGCTGTTCCACCCAGGAGCATATAATGAGGAGAAACCAGGAATGAACTACATCTGAAAGCTAGAAAAGAGTGTATGATTGGTGCAGGGATAATTAGGAAGACACAAGTTAAGAGTATCTTTATGCCAAGGATGTAAAGCTCTCCTATAATCTTTAAGGTGACATGAGAAAGATATGTCTTTAGAGTTTGTCTTAGTCCATTTGGGCTGCTATGACAAAAATACCATTGACTGGGTGACTTAAATAACAGACATTTATTTTTCATAGTTCTAGAGGCTGGAGAGTCCCAGATCAAGGCACCAGCAGATTTGGTGCCTGACAAGAGACTGTTTCCTGATTCATAGATAGCCCTCTGCTCATTGTGTCTTCACATGGCAGAAAGAAGGGCAAGAGAGTTCTCTAGGGTCCTTTTTATAAGAGCACTGCTCCCATTTGTGAGGACTCCACCCTCATGACCTAATCATCCCACAGAGACCTCACCTGCAAATATCATCACATTAAGAATTAAGCTTCAACATATAAATATTAGGGGGCACAAACATTCAGCCCTCAGCAGAATTAAAGCCCTACAAATAACTTATGAAAGTTGATTGTAGGTACCTTATTTAATGTCTAGCAAACCATACTCTCTTTAACACAGTTTTCTGGTGCTTGCAGTTGAGTTGAATTGTGTCTTGGTGACATAACAGGAATCACAATATTTAATTTTCAGTTCTAGAATCAGGATTTAAAATACAGGCAAGTCAGTAACCTTCTGAAACTCAGTTGGCTCATCTTTAACATGGAAATGGTGAAATCTACCTTACAGGGTTGAAATAATATGTTTGAAAGCTTTTATAAAAGTGAAGTAAAATATTGTGTTGAGTTATACAATTTTAGTATTAAAGGTATTTTCAAGGAAATAGAATCCAACATTTTCTTTTTATAAGTAAGAAAACTAGGACCTAGTGAATTTAAGCATATTGCCACAAGTTGCCCAGTAAGTTAGAGACAGAATTGGGAATTGAATCCCAGGGTCTGTGGACTTCACTGCTTGTCCTTGTACACCCCACCATCTTGGTATCAGGTCCACCTGGATATGCCGAATTTCATCTATCTTTATTCATCTTGAGCAGAGCCCCTACTATATGTAAGAAATCAAAAATCTTAGCCAGGCACAGTGGCTCATACTGATAATCCCAGCATTTTGGGAGGCCGAGGCAGGCAGATCACTTGAGGCCAGGAGTTTGAGACCAGCCTTGCCAACATGTCGAAACCCCATCTCTACTAAAAATACAAAAAATTAGCTGGTCATAGTGGTGCACGCTTGTAATCCCAGCTTACTCGGGTGGCTGAGGCACGAGAATTGCTTGAAACTGGAAGGCAGAGGTTGCAGTGGGTTGAGATCATGCCACTGCACTTCAGGCTGGGTGACAGAACAAGGCTCTGTCTCAAAAAAAAAGAAAAAGAAAAAAGAAACAAAAAACCTTAAGAAAGAGCATTAAGATTCACTCACGTTAAATCATGGAGCATCCAACAGGATTGAGGTTAATCTGAATGAACATACTTTAACATGGTTATATTAGTTCAATTTTGAGGGGCTTTGCATGTGCCTTGTTCTCACAGGCATTGGAAAACATATACAAATCTAGCTTTTGCAAAGGAAATCTTAGCTAGGCCTCATGTTAAGCTGATAGTTTTTCATTCACTAAATTTAGTAAGCAAAAATTTAAAGTTTATAAAGAATTTAAAGTTTATAAAAAGTTATTTAGTACTTAGTGAGCATGTTACCAGGCACTGTTCTAGGTATTGGTTATGATGAAAGAGCTGTCCTTAGCAAAGAGTCTGGCAGAAAATTCTGTTTCCTTCTAATTACAGAAAGAACAGATAAGAGGATTTGTAAAAATTTTTAAGGCTGAGAGAATATTCGAATTCAAGCAAGATGTATTGTCTATTATGTGCCCAAACATTTTTATTTATATTTTTTATTTATCTCTTAAGAATGAGGATACATTCTGAGAAATGCATCATTTGGTGATCTTGTCATTATCCAAACATTATCAAGTGTACTTACACAGCCCTATATGGTACAGCCTACTATAGCCTATTGCTCCTAGGCTATAACATATATAGCATGTCACTGTACTGAATACTGTAGGCAGTTGTAACACAGTGATAAATATTTGTGTATCTAAACATTTCTAAATACAGAAAAGGTACAATAAAAATATGGTATTACAGTATATGGGACAATAGTCATCTATGTGATCCAACATTGATTGAAATGTCATTATGTGGTGCATGACTGTATATTATCTCATTTAAGGACATGACATTTTAAAAATATTTTTTTACTCAGAGTTCTTCAGAACACTCACTAAGTGGGGAATTCTAGTCATACAAGGCCTCTTAGGGGGTGGATTTGTGCTATTTTCATAGATTAGCCTAATTCTACCAAACAGTATTTCTAGTAATTCATACATCTTTAACAAAAAAATCTAAATTTAACCTTAGGTCTAACTAGGTGTATTCAGGTACTATATTTGCCCCCTTCTTTCCATCATACACATTAATTTATTGAATGTTTGTATGACCGGTAAAGTAAATAGATATCATCCTCTAGGATTAGGCTTTTATTACATAAGAAAGGCATCTTTTCTAATAGATGTTGGTTGACTCAGAATAAATGTTAACATCTAGAAGCAAAACGATACCTGAATGATTCAACTGAACTTTAAAAAAAATTTTTTGAATAGGAATGAGTGTAAACTCTAGACAGTATTTCTAGTTGCATATATGAGTATTTTGCCTGGGTACAGCACCCTTTGGGAATGAGTGGGCCAATCAAAAATGGCCCACAGGCCGGGCACAGTGGCTCATGCCTATAATCCCAGCATTTTGGGAGGCCAGAGCAGGTGGATTGCTTGAGCTCAGGAGTTCAGGACCAGCCTGGGCAAAATGGCAAAACCCCATCTCTACTAAAAATACAAAAATTAGCCATGCATGGTGGTGTGCACCTGTAATCCCAGATACTTGGGAGGCTGAGACACAAGAATCACTTGAACCCATGTGGTGGAGGTTGCAGTGAGCCAAGATCATGCCACCGCACTCCAGCCTGCGTGACAGAGTGAGACTCTGCCTTTAAAAAAAAGAAAAAAAAATGGCCCACAAACTCATATCCATTTAGGGTCAAAACAAGTTACATTTGGGATTGTCTACTCTGATATGAACTCAACCAGTCAGCTCCATTTGATATCTTTCTCTGATTTATCAAGTAGAGTTCCCCTCATATAAAGGCTGAAGAATGAAGCTTGAGTTCTGCCCCTCTCTAGCCTTGAACAAATAACTCTAACTTTCTTAAACTTGCTTCCTCAGCTATAAAATGGGGATGTTATTACCTGGGTAGATACTTCACCAGATTGTGGTGAGATTCAAATGAACTCCATGAAAACACTTTACAAATAGTGTTTTGTTTGTTATTCTGCTGTTCAGAGGTAACTTGACATTTGTGTTTATCTTCAATGTTATTTTCGAGCATGTTGACACTATGATTCTGAAGTGACTCTTACTGCTTCTCACACTAAAATGTATCTTCCCATGAAAGTATTTTTCTAAAACTGTGAGTACAACAAATACACAGAACACACGTGCATACATATACATCATTAAAGACTTGCCTATTGACATAAATGGGCTTGTGGGGGTTCCCCCATAATTGGGCAGCCCATCTTTTCCATGTTTCATAAAAACAGGGATTGAAAGACAATGTGCTTAGTCATTCTATTTAAATTTCAGCACTCCAGTCATTAAGGCATTCTTTTTAAATCAATGCCAATCATTTGCATGATCTAAAAATATTTAACCAACTTTAGGGGCAACACAGAGAGCTAAAAACATGGTAGCCATCTTTTCTATTTGTCGAGAGTTAATCTTTATTCTGGGTGAGCAGTGATTCTTTGGAGGGCTGATTGCCCTTTAAAAAGTAACCTTTGGGGGTTTTAGTCAAGCAGGAAAGCCAACAATTCTTGGGTTAAGAGAAGAACAGAATTTTGAGATTTTAGTATAAAGTTAGTCATACAGCAACATGCTCTATATACCACTGAATCTCACCTTCTCATCCTCATGGAGTCACGTCAATGGGGAGGCTACAGAAGAGAAAACGGAGTTTTAGATGCTGCGTAACACTAGCCTTGAGTGACATGTAAAAGGCACTATTTTGTTCTTCTTCAACTATATATGTGAATTTTTAACAAAGGATTTAGTAGGACCCTTATAAAGGTAAAGAGATAGTAGAAGGAAGGAAGTGATGGATAGAGAGAAAGATAGACTTCTAAAAGTTGGTGGGTATTTCTAAATCAACTACATAAACAGGAAGGATTTAGAAAACTCTTTGAAAGCAGAAACACATCTTTAATCTTAGTACTTGGTCCCAAGTGCAAAGAGAGGTTTTAGATTGAGTCACTGTAGTAGTCGAGTTTCAGTTGCTAAGTCGTGGACTGACCAGAGAATTAGTCAATAAATTTTAGAGAATTAAAGTCAACATGAATCTTTGTTTTTGTGTTTTTAACACTGAGGAACGTAGCATACCTTGGGAAAAACCAATATCAGCGATTGCATTTTCAGCAGGTGCATAGATGGTGAGACTTGGTGGCCGGGCCAGACCCCAAGCTTTGCTGCTTGCTCATTTGCCTGACTCCATTTTCTGCAATGTTTCCATCTCACCTTGCACTTCTCTCATCATTATCCTTGTTTCTCTCCTTCTCCCTAGACTTCTCGGGCTTCCCGTTGGGCTGACCCTGACCACTTTGCCCAGCGACAGAGCTGCATGAATACGTTTGCCAGCTGGTTTGGCTACATGCCGCTGATCCACTCTCAGATGAGGCTCGACCCCGTCCTCTTTAAAGACCAGGTCTCTATTTTGAGGAAGAAATACCGAGACATTGAGCGACTTTGAGGAATCCGGCTGAGTGGGGGAGGGGAAGCAAGAAGGGATGGGGGTCAAGCTGCTCTCTCTTCCCAGTGCAGATCCACTCATCAGCAGAGCCAGATTGTGCCAACTATCCAAAAACTTAGATGAGCAGAATGACAAAAAAAAAAAGGCCAATGAGAACTCAACTCCTGGCTCCTGGGACTGCACCAGACTGCTCCAAACTCACCTCACTGGCTTCTGTGTCCCAAGACTAGGTTGTGTACAGTTTAATTATGGAACATTAAATAATTATTTTTGAAATGATTGCTATGCAGGTTTAAACTTTTTTAATGATCAAAACTATTAAAAACCAGAGTTCTTTGTTTAATCAAAATTGTGTTGGTTGTGAATATTTCAAAGCTGCTATTCCTTTTCCCACAGACATCATTGTCATGGCCATGTAGGGTGCCCTGCAGTTTCAAAAGCTCAAACTTCGTGGAAAACACAATAAGTCACTCTACCCATTATCAAGAAATAACTGAGCATAAGTTGTAACTTCATTATTCAACTTTGCCAGTGCAAATTGTTTTCCACTTCGAATCTTCAAATCCACTTGAACTTTTATCTCTAAAATGTCGCTGCATGAAAGAAAGTATTACGACTTCCAGGTAGGCAGTTCTAACTGAAATCTCTATGTTTGAGATAGATATATATGATAATCGTTTTTCATTGGGGGGGTGGGGGGAATTAGTACCAAGAAAACACTAGTATAATTAAGAAATGTTCAGTTTGCACAAAGAACTATCCAGATAACCCACCAGCATGTTAGTGAGATGGAAATACAGACCCACAACAGTAACCCAATACTTGCAGGGGTTGGGGGCACGGTTATAGATTCAACCATTGACCTAAGTCTGCGTAGCACTGGGAAGAGGCTTTGGTTTAGAAGCCAAGGAATAATGAGTATATTGGGGAGAACAGATTATTTACAAGATGAACTCTTTAATGTTTGTGAGAATCTCAAGTTTCAGAGTTTCTCTTTTGAGAAAGAAAAAGGGGTAATAAGGTAGAAATTCACACCAATGAACAAGAGGATTGCTGCAAAGTAACTGAGGAGATGTCTCGCCATTGGGACCCTAATGCCATTTTTGGTCAAACATTGTTTTGAGCAAGAATCTGGCAAACAAAATAATCAACAACAAATGTGAATATAGTTTCATTTACTTTTAATTTTTAAATCTGTGGAAAAGTTTAGTTGTGCTTCTTGTTAAAAAGAACATTTCTATCCCTGAAAATGCTATCTTGGGCTTATGATTATTGTTAAACTCCAAGTATAAACTGAAAAAAAAAACATATCCCTAACTCTGTTATGAAAAATGGAGACTTCTGATATTAAATGCTTTCTTCTACTTGGAAGAGGCCAGAGAAAACAGGGAAGAGAAAGACATTATTGAGTTTGACCATGTATTATGCTGAATAAACAATAAGCACTTTAGAGTCCCTCCCTCAAACTCTCATACATTTCATATTTCTTTTCCATTTATTTTCAGTTTTGTTTTAGAAGAAAAGTTCATCAGAGAATTTTGTTCTGATAATTTCAAGTGGCCATCTTAGGTCAGTGGAAACCGTAAGTCCATTGGACTTTACCTCATCCTTTCTTTGTAGACATCTGGGAGAGGAAGAGGAGCTTGTAATGATAGCACGGGGATGGTGCTGTAAACAGGAGTGAAAGTGTTTGTGGAAGTCCAGAGAAGTGACTCAACAGGCTACCTAGCTGCAGAACAAGGAGTAGAGCCCACATATCCAGATGGTGTTTTGAGAGGTGCGTAGACAGTGAAATTCAATTAAAGAGAGGATTTTCTCCTCAGCCTCATGACTCAGAACAGCTCCCTAAATACCTCTCTCATCTAATTGGACCCATCCATAGTCCATTCTCAAACATGTGACATTTTCCCCTAAGTAGATGTGATTATCTCTTAGGCATTTGTTGAAAAATAATTCTTAGGTCCATGGTGCTTGCACTTGTGTCTTTTCTATAAAATGTTTGGTCTTACAGGTTTCATGTCATTTAAGCTGCACTTCTCAGCAAGTTAAAAGATTAGCAGTTAATCTTTATTCATTTGGCCTTTGTGAATTTGTATTTAAATTATTTTTTTCAGGATTGGCAAATTATTCTTGTTTCTCCTTTACCAAAAAATAAATGCGATATTTTGTTCAATGACCCCAAAACCAACTTGAAACTTAGGTGGTCATATTGGCTTGCAAAGCAATGTCCCTAATTGTACCAGTCAGTCACACAAGTGGATTCAAGGACCTGCTTTGCCAGATTGACCTGTCACCAAGCTCACAACACATATCCTCCACAAACAACATGTGTTATGTGAAGAAAAATGGTAATTATAAATAAGAACAGGATATAACACACCTTTCATCCACTTTAAATCTCCACAGTTTCATTTTATGTCATTCTCTGAGCAAATCTCTTTGGGATGTGAGCTAGCGTGTTCTTCTCCCATTTGGAATATAAGGCTGGGAATAGAACAATGCTTAACAAATCAGTGAAGCTCGACAGTAATATGTAATTTTAATTCAGTTAGGAAAGAGTTGTATTGCATTGCAACAAGTTGACAAATCATAGCCATCTCTGTAGGGTGTCAGGAATTATCTCCTGGTCAACTTTAATGATAACTAGGGGTCCCTAAGTGGGCTAACATGTGCTGCATTGGAGAGAAGCCAAGGGCTGAGAGTACAGTGCCAACCACGTAATGAATTGCTTGCAGAAATTCCAAAGAGGACTCAGCCACTTATGGATTTCCACACAGCATCTTTTCCCAGCTCCACATTAAGACACAGGATCTTAAAAGTAATTTTTTAAAAGCTGGCTGTGTATTTATTTATATGAAAGTGTTATAAATATCAAAGCTTACAAATACATTAATACATATCACCTTTGTTGAAGCTAGCAAAATGGCTCAAAATTGAGACTGTAGAGAAAAATCCATGAAATAATCACGATAGTCATACCACAAAAGATAGCATAGCTAGGTGGGCCTACCTGGTCGTATCAACACACTTTCAGATAGATGCTTCAAAAAAAAAGGGAAAGCTTGTTACTGGAATCTTATGTGCATTACAGTTTAATTTCTTCTTGTGACAAATGGTGCTCAAAGAAGGATCAATCCGGTTGCATCCTTCAATTTCCCTTTTAGAATGACTTTTGGTTTTCATTACAGTAGGCTATGTTAGCCTTTATTTTGGTGGTTCTCAAATACCTGGTGACTTGAAAGAGTATTATGCTGGTGGCCTTTCATAAAGGTTACTGAACTTTAATCAGGGGTGAGATGAATGAATGTGAATAGGCCTATATACTATTTTTTTTAATTAAAAAAAAAAAAAACAGGGCACTTGATTTAAGAACAAACCTGTTTAAAGGGCAGGATCAGGGGGAAGACAGCCTTACTAGGTTGGAATCTGAATGAGATTCTTGCTGGACAAGGCTGAATTATGGATGCAAAAGCCAAGCAAACTTCCCAGACCTGGAAGTGTCTTGTGTTCCCTTGGGTCTCTTGAGATCTCCAGTATTTAAAAGTAGCAGTTATTGCCATGAACTCTCAAATAAAAATGCTCCTGCCTCTTACTTGTGAATATAATCAACATGCAGCCAGTACATCAGGACCGCAGTTGCTGAATTCATTTACCTAGTTCCCCTTTACAGCGACTATGGACAAGAACCTTTCAGTTGGTTTTGTCATTCTTGGCCAGATTTAACCAAGAAATTTCTTTCACTATCAGCCTCATTTTCTCAGGCATGCTTACAGGGACAAAGTTGTTTTGAGTTGAGTTCTCAGCAAATAAGCATTAATATCAAACTGTGCTAAACTTGTCTCACTTGGTATAAGAACTTCAGCATAAAGAGATTAGTTTATCCTTTGACACCAAGTCTTTTTTTTTTCTTTGAGACAGAGTCTTGCCCTGTCACCCAGGCTGGAATGCATTGGTGTGATCTCAGCTCAGTCACTGCAACCTCCGCCTCCCCGGTTCAAGCAATTCTCCTGCCTCACCCTGCTTAGTAGTTGGGATTACAGGCATGTGCTACCACACTGGGCTAATTTTTGTATATTTATTAGAGACAGGGTTTTGCTATGTTGGCCAGGCTGGTCTCAAACTCCTGACCTCAGGTGATCCACCTGCCTCTGCCTCCCAAAGTGCTGAGATTACAGGTGTAAGCCACTGCGCCTGGCCCCCCTTTTTTTTTTCTTTAAAAAAAAAAAAAAGCTTGGGGGATTAAGTACCCTAAGATAGTGGTCTCTCCCATCAGTTCAATAATGCTGTACAGAACCTCTGGATAAAAAAGCTGTTATTTACACCATAATTGTGATGATGGATTTGACTCCTCAAAACCATCTCTCCCCTTTTTGCCCTTTCCAAAAATCAAAGGCTTTTGTCTCCATGAGTTTTACCTAGTAGGGATTGTAGTTGTCACTGGTCTAGAGTTCCAATACATTTTATATCAGGAACCTCAGTGAGCTACCCAGAATTGGAACTTAACATGGCCCAGCAACTAGGAGAAGAAGGCAAACCTTGAGAAAGCTGAGCCCTCAGGATAGCACAGTCTCACCCTTGTTTAAAATCAAGTCAGGCTAGCCTTTCAGTCACTCTGGTTTTGTAATGATTTGCCTTTTAGGCCTCAGGCCATTTGATTTCTGCAATAGTTTTCTGTTCTTCTCCTACAGGAATACATCCCTGTCCTTTCGGTTGTAACTATTACTAAAACTAGGGCTATGCAAATGACCTGGTTACCATGTAATGAACCTTGTGTACTTATTTTGAGAGAACAATATGTATAGGATATGTTGAGGGGCAGAAAGAAAGACATCAAAAACTGGAACTATTTTAGGTGGCAAATTGTAACGCAAAAAACAAAAGTATACCTTATTTTGTATACGATGTACACTTGGGACAGAGTTTTCTAATATGTTGCCAATGTTTTTGTAGTGTCACCACAGGTCTTTTCTGAAGTGTTTTTCCCATTTGTTATAGAGTATTAATGACTTAGCGTAATTAAGCCCTCAAGTATGTGTGAGAGAGCGCGTGTGAGAAAATACAAAGCCATAGATATTGATTTACTTCACTGACCTGTGTAACTTTATGTCTGGGTTTCGCCATCCAAGATAGATTGTTTTATAGAGAGTGTCACCAAAGACTTTTTCCTTCCAATTTATAGAAGAAAAAAAAAAGAAATTATTAATAAATGACATGACTTTTCATCTGTGTGGTTTTCATTCCATCTTTTCTGTTGACTGCAGAAAGACGCCAGTTCTCAGGAGGATTCTGTGTGCCAGGAAAGGCCAAGCTTCCTTGGGGGTTCTGGGGTAGACAGGCAGATGAGGTTGGACGGAGAGTGTGCTGGATGTAGGTCCAGCACTCGCAGCCTGGCTGCAGCCCAGTGCCCAACCTTATGGGGAACATAGGGCCGCCAGCCATGGCCATCTTCCAGGCCAGATGCAGCCGGTGCTGTTGGAAGCAGGCCAGGGTGAACAGTGGTGATATGCCCAGTTCACAGCATTCCTTCGCATGAATGCTGGGACAAAGTGGCAGGGCCGAGCCCCAGAGCATCTGGATCCTGACAGCTGTGGCCATTACCCCTTTGGTTTCAACTACTGCATCGAGTTCATGAATTGCTGGCTTGCGAGGCGTATGTCACACTGGCATTTCTCAAAAGAATTTATAAGTGCTCCAGGTGTGTTGCAGCTCCATGATTCAGGGCCACTGTAGTAAGGTTTTATGTTCTCGCAATACTCCTTCCTCCTTTCCTATTTTCCTCCCTCGCTCCTTCCATTCCAGTGGTAGCTCTCCCCCAACTCTGTTACTCTTCTTCTATTCTCTTTCTTTGGGCATTTTTACAGTAAGAACATTAAGTCACCAATTTCACATATTTACAGGAGAGCGAATGGCAAATTGCATTTGGGAGCATTGATTTGCTTTATGACATCAATCACATTTTGTGTTCTGTATTTCACTTTGTCCATCTGTAAAATGGTGACTTTAAAATAGTTACTTACAAAGACTTTCTAAACAACAACTGCCTACTGAGCACTGAACAAGGCAGATGTCAAGGTGAGCTTGGACAAGGCCAGTCCAAGGCAAATCATCAGAGTAGGCTCAGAAAGGAATGTGGTGAACTCAGGTCCTAAGCTGGCACACTGTTATGATAGTGCCACTTGTAAAATCTGGCCCCAGGGTGTGTCTAATGATAGAATCATTCCCAAGTTGGAGAACAAATGAGAAGGCTAGTTGGAGAAGTAACTGTTAAATTTGGTTCTAACCTACCTCACAGATATTTCAATGAATGCTATAGCATGCAAAGATACCTTGAGCAAACCTCAATTACAGATGGTGTTGATTTATGGTCTGAGCATTTCCACTGAGTCCACTCATGAGATGAGAAAATGACAAGTTATGTGTAGATGCCTGCGTCATCCTACGTTAGCCTCCCCTGACTTTGTGCAGCCTCTGTGGTATGCAGGAACTCAAAATATTGGGGGAGAAATTAGACTAGGTTGGGTACTCCTCTAGGCTGAAACATGCTTTAGAGGATACAGTGGAGGTACTCACCTACTAGAGTGGATTCAAGGTTTTTATTAGCTTTTGGCCTCATGCAGATGAAACTGTCCAAGTTTACAGGTTAAAATTACAGTCTTTGGAGCCCAACCACCTGGGATCGAATCTTGACTCTTTGTCTTCACAGTTTTGTGACCTCATTGAAATTACCTGATCTCTCTGTGCCTCAGTTTTTTCAGGTAAGTAGTAGTCTATACTTTATAGAGTTCTCCTGAGGATTAAATGAGTTAATAAATGTAAAGTTCTTAAAATAGCACCTGGTACAAGCAATATGTAGTTTTTACCCATTAGTAATAGTTAATATTTTGCCAAAATAGTTTATTTTAACCTGTTGAAGAGGAAATATTCTTAGTTTAATGTTCAGGACCTTAATACTAATCCAAATTAAACCGTGGTCCCTCTAGTGTCACAGGCCCTCTTGTTTTCAATTATAATCATGTTTTAATGCCTCTTAACATGAAATCGTCATAACATTCAGGAATCAGAAATCCATCAGCAGAAATTGTGCTAAGTCACAATTTTTTTTTTTTGTCTGCCTTTGAGGGATGGCCTGTTTTTCATTCTACTTAGTGGAATGTAATTGAGGTAGCTCAGTACTGAAATGAAGTTTAGGTGCCAATTATTGTTTCTTTCTTGGTGACATACATTTTATAAAGAAAGAAAACATGCTTCTGTCAATATGCAAATTATTTGCCAAGTTTGAATTTCTGTTCCAAACTAAACTGCAAATAACTTGGTTTCCTTGACCAAATATGCTGGTAAAACAGGCCTAAAATGTGTCTTTAATCAGACAGGATCGTAGCATCCCATCTTAGAGCAGAAAAAAATGTTAAGCTATAAAGAAGGAGACTTGGAGGCTATTTTGGCTGCTCCCCAAAGATGTCATTTTAGAACATTTTTTTTAAACTTAATGTATAGAGAACATATTTCCATGTCATTAAATCATCTTATCTAATCAAATGTTAATGCTGCATAGTGCTCCATTGTCTGGCCATTTCCTATATTTCATACTGTTTTCACTCAACTTCTACTCTTGGAAATTTAGGTGTTTTGTAATTTCTTACTATTGTATGGTAAACATTTAAACAACAGTTTAATGTAATGAATGCAGTGGTAAATATTCCTCAAGATAAATCTTTGTTCATATCCCTGACCACTGTTTTAGGACAAATAATAAACATGAAATTGGCAGGTCAAATGTTGTAACTATTTTAAAGATCTTCACTGCATATTCACAATATATTTCAATATATTATAAAGTCTAGCCGGGCACGGTGGCTCACACCTGTAATCCCAGCACTTTGGGAGGCGGAGGCGGGCGGATCACGAGGTCAGGAGATCCAGACCATCCTGGCTAACACGGTGAAACCCCGTCTCTACTAAAAATACAAAAAATTAGCTGGGCGTGGTGGCGGGCACCTGTAGTCCCAGCTACTCGGGAGGCTGAGGCAGGAGAATGGCGTGAACCTGGGAGGCGGAGCTTGCAGTGAGCCGAGATCGTGCCACTGCACTCCAGCCTGGGCGACAGAGCGAGACTCTGTCTCAAAAAATAAAAATAAAGTCTACTAGTAGAAAATCTAAACTTCTCCAATAAAAAGCTATGTAGAATTTAAATAAGGAAATTAGTATATTTATTTTTGGTTGGCCACCAGGTTAATTGCCACGCAGTTAAAAAGAAGGGAAAATAATGCTGAGCTATAATTGCTAAGAGTCTGTGGTTTAATATTTTTTTGATAATTGCAGTTTGGCAGCCAAAGTGTTTGAAATAAATTGGGGTCCAGGGAAGTGAAATTAACCAAGGGGTCCTCAGTGGTTAAGAAAGAAAAAAAGTTGGCTATCATTTCCTTGCAGAGACCAATTTACTGGTATTAGCCATCTTATTGGATGTTGGAAAATTTTTCCTGGGTACCATGTCGCTTGTGTCTTGTTTTTAGGTTGAAACACGTACAAATTAAGCATTCCTCTCAATTGTCTTTTTCTTCTGGTAACATTCATATCAACTAAGTTTTAATTAAAGCATTTTAAATATCACCCCCTTGGCAGCTAGTGCCCTTTCCTGCCAAGAGCAGCCCGTTTTCTCTTAGGGAAACCCACCTCTCTTACCCTCATAGGACCTATGATTTGGAAGATGCTAGTCTAGCCCCTCATCCTTACTCCAAGGGAGATAATAACCTGTCAGGTCACGGAAACCCAATTCTAGATAATCTGTGAGCACTTTGTTGTTGTTGTTGTTGTTGTTGTTGTTGTTGTTGTTGTTGTTGTTGTTTGAGACAGAGTTTCACTCTTGTTGCCCAGGCTGGAGTGCAATGGTGGTGCCATCTCAGCTCACGGCAACCTGTGCTTCCCAGGTTCAAGTGATTCTCCTGCTTCAGCCTTCTGAGGAGCAGGGATTATAGGCATGCGCCACCACGCCCGACTAATTTTTGTGTTTTTAGTAGAGACAGCATTTTGCCATGTTGTCCAGGCTAGTCTTGAACTCCTGACCTCAGGTGATCTGCCTGCCTTGGCCTCCCAAAGTGCTGGGATTACAGACATGAGCCACCACGCCCCACCCTGTGGGCAGTTTTAAGAAGGAGGTCTCATATTTCCCCTAGCATTATGTACACAATAGAAAATGGTGATGATTACACTAGCAGTGTAGCAAGGCTGTAAGATATGCTGGGGCTGACTTCATGGAAGATATGCATTTAACTGACATCTTAAAAAATGAGTAGGGATTTAACTAGCTGAAAAGGGTATGAAGTAAACCTTTTTCTTACAAAGGGACCTAATGGACACCTTCCACCAGAAGTAAGTGGCAGATAGAAAAGTGAGGGTCTAAATCTGTGTGAAAGACATTGTCATAACACAAAGATTTAGTAGGTTCAGTTTGATAGGGCTCAGGATGACTGCTTGGCTAACAGCAGGTACTCCCAGAAAAAATTTAAGTAATAATAATAATAGTTCTCTTGAATCTCATCTTCCTTCCCCCTAATGAAAAAGTTTCAGTGCAAAACACTGAAGTGTGGGTCATATCTGATTCTATTGCACTTGCCAGAGAAAGCATGTGGAGGATAGTAGAAAGCATATTATTTTCAAAGTCGTTAGAGAAGATCTGGCTCTGAAGACTTTGGGCATGAAATAATTGACTTCCAAATTTTTGGTTACGATGTAGAAAGTTACAGGAGTTGCACTCTCATCCTTATAATGAGTACAATGAGTACAAGTTCAATAGGCTGCAATATTGCGGTCAACTTAAAGCCTAGCAGAGAGCAGAAGATGCAAAGAAATTTAAATAAACCAAATCTTAGGAAGACACAATGCATTCCTAGGAGAAAAGTGTCCTATGACTGCTTTCATTCCTAGTAACTCTAGGGTGTTACTCCGTTATAGAGTGGGGTAAGGAGAAATCAAGTAAACTGCTAACAAATTTTTAGTGGCCATCAGTGGGTTGGCATGAGAAATTCAAATTCCAAGGTAATCCAGTCAAATATTGATCTTTACCCACCTGCCAATTTTTTCCCATGGGGCATTCCCCAAGTGGAAGTAGCAGGATACTCAATGCTAGAGGCAGGATAGGAGGTCCAAGAGAAATCCGCCTGAGGCACACTGGATCTTTACTGGGTAAAATGCAGTGGCCCACCAATGACTGAGGACAGGGCAAGAACACTGAGAAAGATCCCCTCCATTCCAAGATGCAGAGGACCATAACAGTGCAAGGCGGTGGCCTACTAAAGACCAGGGGAAGAGCAAGAAAGTTGAGAAAGATTTCCCTGAAGCACACAGAAAAGATGTCCCCACCCAGGTATATTGAACTTCCGCCGAATACATGGCACTGGCCAATCAAAGGCTAAGGACAAGGACAAGGAAGTTAAGAAAAATAACCCTGAGGTTCACAGGACCTTCACCAAGTATAAGTCAGCAATTCCCTAAAGCCTGGGAGCAAGGCATGAGGGCTGAGAGAGTCTATTTTGAAGGTACACAGGACCTTAATCAAATGCAAAGTAGTGACTTAATGAAAGCTGGGGAAGGGGCAGGATTGCTGAGATAGATGCCCTGAGGTGCTGTCATCAAGTGCAATGCAATGTCTTGCTGAAGGCTGGGAGCAGTGTGTAACAGCCTGGGGAGAAATAGATCTCCCAAGGTAAGGAGACCTAGGGGTAGAGATGAAAAGCAAAGGAAATTTCTCTGTTCCCCAAAAAACTGGCAGCTGAACTATAAAGCACAGAGCATTTTCATGGTACTTGGAATTCTGGAAGCTGAACTGTAAGCTATAGAGACCTTTAGAGTCTGGTGGTGGTAGTGCTGAGATCCAAAGCCCACTGAAGGGAAAGTCTCAACCCCATCCTCAAATATTTGAAGCCAGTGGTGAACAGAATCTAACTAAAGCTGCAATGAAGCCCAGACCCTGCTCAACTACAAATCAGATTGAGATCTCTCACCAGCAGCCTAACAGAAGAAGAAGCATGATATTTTCTGAGCACAGTATTACTGCAGTCATAACTATCATTTTTATACACAATTTCTAGTATATAATACAAAATTACAAGACATACAAAGAAACAGAAAAATATACCTATGATAAAGAGGAAAAAATTAATAGAGGAGATCCACATACAACCCAACTGTTGGAATTAGCAGAAAATAACTTTAAGATAATTGTTATAAATATGTTAAATAATCTAGTGAGAACAATGCACAACATTATTGAAAAGCTGAGGAGTTTAAGCAGAAACATGAAAAGATAGAAAAGAACTAAATGGAAATTCTATAGAAATATCAGAAATAATTTGTTTGATGGGTTTAACAACAGACTGAATGTAGCAGACTAAAGAATCAGTGAACTTGTCTGTAATCCAAGCACTTCGGGAGGCTGAGGCGGGCGAATCACGAGGTCAGGAGATCAAGACCATCCTGGCTAACACAGTGAAACCCTGTCTCTACTAAAAATACAAAAAATTAACTGGGCGTGGTGGCGGGCACTTGTAGTCCCAGCTACTTGGGAGGCTGAGGCAGGAGAATGATGTGAACCCAGGAGGCGGATCTTGCAGTGAACCGGATCGTGCCACTGCACTACAGCCCAGGCAACAGAGCAAGACTCTGTCTCAAAAAAAAAAAAAAAAAAAAAAAAAAATCAGTGAACTTAAAGACATATCAATAAAAATTATCCAAACTGAAATGTAAAAAGAAAAAATCATTTAAAACACAAAGAGAGCTTCCACAAGAGAAGGATAATATCTAACAGTCTAACTTTAAATAATTAGAGTCCTCCAAAAAAGAGGTTAGAGTGAATAGGGGAGAAAAAAATATTTGAAGACACAATGGCTGAGAACTTTTCAAAAATGGATGTAATCTTTAGATTAACTCACAAATCCAAGAAACTCAATCAATTCCAAACAGGATAAATATGAAGAAAAATATACCTGAGCACAAAATAGTCAAGTTATTGAGAATCAAAGATAAAAAGTGCCCTCTAAAAATATCCTTCAAAAAGGATATGAAGAGACACTTCTCAAAAGAAGACATTTATGCAGCCAACAGACACATGAAAAAATGTTCATCATCACTGGCCATCAGAGAAATGCAAATCAAAACCAAAATGAGATACCATCTCACACCACTTAGAATGGCGATCATTAAAAAGTCAGGAAACAACAGGTGCTGGAGAGGATGTGGAGAAATAGGAACACTTTTACACTGTTGGTGGGACTGTAAACTAGTTCAACCATTGTGGAAGACAATGTGGCAATTCCTCAAGGATCTAGAACTAGAAATACCATTTGACCCAGCCATCCCATTACTGGGTATATACCTAAAGGATTATAAATCATGCTGCTATAAAGACATATACACATGTATGTTTATTGCAGCACTATTCACAATAGCAAAGACTTGGAACCAACCCAAATGTCCATCAATGATAGACTGGATTAAGAAAATGTGGCACATATACACCATGGAATACTATGCAGCTATAAAAAATGATGAGTTCATGTCCTTTGTAGGAACATGGATGAAGCTGGAAACCATCATTCTCAGCAAACTATCTCAGGGACAAAAAAACCAAACACCACATGTTCTCACTCATAGGTGGGAATTGAACAATGAGAACACTTGGACACAGGAAAGGGAACATCACACACGGGGACCTGTCATGGGGTGGGGGGAGGGGAGAGGGATAGCATTAGGAGATATATCTAATGCTAAATGACGAGTTAATGGGTGCAGCACACCAACATGGCACATGTATACATATGTAACAAACCTGCACGTTGTGCACATGTACCCTAGAACTTAAAGTCTAATAAAAAAAAATCCTTCAAAAGAATGGCAAGAATATTTTCAGACAGACAATAGTTGAGAAATTTCATCTCTAGCAGACCTTAATTACACAAATGACCAATATGAGGAACAAAAGAGAGAACATCACTATACAGGTATTAGAAGGTATTAGAAGACCAAAAAGAGACAACCTCTTAACTTCCTTATGCCTCAGTTTCCTTATCTGGTCAATATGGAGGTATTTTGGTTTATTTATTTATTTATTTATTTATTTTTATTTCCATAGGTTTTTGGGGAACAAGTGGTGTTTGGTTATATCAGTAAGTTCATTAGTGGTGATTTGTGATATTTTGCTGCACCACGAGGCATAAGGAAGTTAAGAGATTGTCCCTGGTCACATAATAATTACTAGTAAATCTACGAATCAACCAATCTATTTCCGAGTGTGCTTTCTATTATATTCCACTGCCTGTCTCGATTCAGCAATCTGCAAAACCTTCCATGGTGAAGTGCCACATCACATGGATCTCTATTGCACCATTGCATTAGGTGTAGACAATAATATGGAACTCGGTCATAACAGTCACATGCCCCAGCTCTGAGCACGTTACTGTTGATTCACTCATCTGTATTGTGTTTGTGGTGGGGTCTACAGCGTATTGGGGCAAATGGGGATGTGGTTGTTAATTTGCATTTTCAAGTTTTTCTTTTTTATTTTAAAAAATAATGTACACTCATTAAATTAAATTAACTCTTAAAGACCAAAAAGAGAACATTATGAAAAATTAATACCAATAAATTTAACAAGTTAAAGTGAAAAACTTTTTGAAAAATACAAATTTACCAAAACCAACACAAAAAGAAACAGAAAATATAAATGGCCTTATATTTATTAAGGTTTTGAATTTGTAACAATGACCTTTTCTTTAGAAAATATCAAGGAACAATTGGATTTTTAATGAATTATATCAAATGTTTAAAAATGAAATAATTTCAGTGTTACATGAACCCTTCCAGAAAATAAAAGGAGGGAGCATGTTCCAATATATTGTATGAAGTTAGCATAATGTTGATTAATAAAACCAACAAAGATATAACAAGAAAAAACAATTACATACTGATATCCCTCATGAAATAGACACAAAAAATAAATATATTAGCATATTGAATACAGCAATGTATAAAAAGGATAACACATCATGATCAATTGGAGTTTTTTCCTGGGACACAAGGTTGATTTACACAGAAAGTCAACTCAAGGTTACTCACATTTTTAGCAAAGAGAAAAATAATAAGATCATTTCAAAAAATACAGAAAAAGCATTAACAAAATTCAACCACTGTTTATTATAAATAGTCTCAGTAAAATAGAAACAGAAGGGGACTTTATCAACCTGATTAACTTTCTCAACATGTTAACCCTACAGTTAACATTATAATCAATGGTGAATCATTGAGTACTTTCCCTCTAAGATCAGAAACAGTTCAAAGTCCACTCTCACCATTTCTATTCAACATTGTACTGGAATCCCAGCCAGTGCAGTAATACCAATAATAAAAAATTAAAGTCATAAAGATTGAAAAGGATGAAGTAAAGCTATTTCAATTCTACTTAGAAGTATTTAGAAACCCCAAAGAATCCACAAAAAACTAATAGAAATAAGTGAATATATGAAGGTCTTACTATACAAGATCAACATATCAAAAGCAGTGGTATTTAAGAAAAGGTTGGAGACTATTTTTATGACCTTGGAGTAAGAAAACATTTCTTAGGACAAACAAAAAGTAATCATAAAAAAAAATATGAAATAAAGGAATAAAAATAAAAATAAACAATTTTGATGAAAAGTTTCTTTCAGTGAAAAGTTCATTAGAAGATGCCATTAAGAAAATACTGTTATGAAGTTTTGAAATTGGCAAAAATAATTTGTGATGATAATAATAAGAACAGTGGTTGTCTCTGCATTGGGAAGGAGGTGAGAAATAACTAAAGCATTATGAGAGAAGTGCCTAGGGTAATTTAAATCTTTTATATCTTGATTTGGGAGGTGGTTACAAGTGTACATATAACTGTCATAACTCAAGGAATTGTATACTTAACCTCTCTTTATGCACTTTACTATGTTATACTTCAATTTAAGATGTGTTATGAATATGCAAATTCACAGACAATAAACGAAATGCATTTTTGAAAACAAATATTAGCCAATAAGAAGACAACACAGCACCTTTCCTAAAAGTAGATTGGCTATACCATAGGGAGACATTCAGGACTTACGAAAGTAGGCTTTGCATTACTGTGGAAATGCTAGAGCAATTGGTTTTCAAGCTTGTTGGGTCCCACACTTCTTTAAGATTCAGTTAAAGTTATGACTTCTGGCCCAGGGATACACATAAGCACATGCACACAATATTTGACATTTCATAATATGACATCATTAAAGAGTTTCATGGACTCCCTAAAGGTTATCCAGGGACTCCTTAGATTCTACTAATACTGGGGTAAGGAATGCCTTCCTAAATGCTTAAAATCATAGAAAGTTACAGCAGAAACGGCCTGTCTCTTACTAAGTAAGACAGTCCTATTTCTTAGCAGTCTTTCCATATATTGGATTTTGATTTTGTAGGAAGATTTCATCCTCCAGTTTATATGACATTTCCACTAAATATAGCACGTGAAATCCCACCAAATCTTTTATTTTTTGCTATCCTATCTTGTGGGAGTGCTCAAGGTTAACAAAAAATAATTAATTACCTGTAGTTTCCAAATAAGGTTGAATTAATTGGCCTGAAGATTCTCAGTGGGAAAATGAACCCATTTCCAAACCAAGTCACCTTGAGTCAAAGGATCAACCAGTGTGTTGACATTATCAATAATACAATTTAACCACGTAGAGACGATGGTCATGATAGGCAAAACTGCTTCTGAAGATGGGAGGGGAGGAGAGGGCTAAGAGTGATAGACATTTTGCATTTTTGACAGATATGGGAAATTATCTGTATCGGGTGACTAATATGTTTTGTTATTCTTCATGATCCCAAACCCTTGGTCTAGCTCTGACTTAGAGCATCTATGAATGGATATAATCTGACCTAGTTTTCCCAACAAATGGGTATGATATTCCACCCCCTTCCTTAGGTAAGAAAGAGAACATTCAGATTTTTCACTGAATATTATATCTATGGCCAATCTGTTTCCAACCTTTTTGAAGAAAAAAGTATCTTTAAGCCAAGCATATCTCAGAAGCATTACATGTTGGTTTATTCCTTTTCACTCCCTAACTCTTTATTTATAGCTTGTAGAAATTGGCAGGAACAAATTCCTTTAGCTATTTTTTGCATAACATTGTCTAAATACTTTATTTTGAGGCCCCCTTTTTTCCTCGCCCATCATCTTGTAGTTTCTATAAAAATAAAGCCTCAAACTGCTTAAAGGCAACAACTCTGCAATATATCACTTAATCTTTAATTATGGAAACAACTGTCTTCATGTTATTTAGGTGAATACCTTATGCATCCTACATGAATGCTACAAAACCGCTCCTTAAATAACCATGCAAAAGCCAATTACCTTTTTGAGTTAGCCTGGATCACAGATTATCTAAGGGAATCACCCAACTAAATTACTAAAGGTGGGCCATGGCTCCTGCAAGAAAATTGGGGTTGCCTTATCCAGCAATTTAATGATTATCCTACTGTAGTTTTCAAAAGTAAGGACACATTCTCACATGAAGTTAAGACCTCATTCGAGGGAAAAGGTCATTGATAATGCAAGTAAACAAAAAGAGATAGAGTCTATGTGGATGAATCCTTGGCAGTTAAGAGTTGAAATCTAGCTCTCTTGGTCCTGATCAATGGCTCCTGAATTTGTATGCCTATCAGCACCACTAAAGGAGCTTTAAAAAACATATAGATTTCTATGCCCACATCCTAAGTCTGATTCAATAGGCATGGGGTATGTCCTATCATCTGACTATTTTAACATATGAACAGATACTTCTGATAAATGGTCATATTTAGAATTATTCTCCATGCCAAGGTCCATGATCCTTTTGGGTCATGGATACCTTTTAGAATCTGATGAAAGCTATGGGCCACTTTTTTAGAGGAAGGCTGTATTAGTCCATTCAAATTGCCCCAACAAAGTACCTTAGACTGGGTAATTTATAAACAACAGAAATTTATTGCTCACAGTTCTGGGGGCTGGAAAGTCTAAGATCAAGGCTCCAGCAGATTTGGTGTTTGGGCGGGGTCGGGGGCTTCCTCATAGATGGCACCTTCTATGTGTCCTCATATGGTGGAAGTGGCAAAAAGCCTTCTTCAAACTTCTTTTATGAAGACACTAATGCCATTAATGAGAGCAGACTCCTCATAACCTAATCACCTCCCTTAAACCCTGCCTCTTAATCCTCTCACATTGGGGATTAGTTTCAACCTATGAAATCTGGGGAGACACAAACATTCAGACCATAGCAAATGTACATATAGAAAACAAAGTATAGGGAATGGTTTATCTAAATAACAAGTCTAACCACATCCCTCTGCTACTTATAAGCACTCAATGATTCTGCATTGCCTAGGAGATGGAGTTCAAACTCCTTTACATGGTTTTCTAGGTCTCATAATCCCAACCCTGATGCCTCTTGCTATTCTTCCAAGTGTCACTTTCTTTTTCAGCAATAGTGAACTACTTATGGTTATCAGCACATATTTTATTGTTTTTAGTCTTCATGCATTTGCTAATGTTGTCCCTACTGCCTAGAATTCTATTCTCTTCCTTTCCCAAACCTACCCCAGGTGATTTTTCACTGATTCTTTAAGAGTGAATTCAGTCAATACTTCCTCCGGAATTTCTGTTCTATTTTTCCCCACAGCCATCTCAGGGTATACTAGATCAGATACCCTTTACCTGTTCTACCGTAGCATCCTGTGCATATTTCTTTCACAGCATATACCACATTATAGTGGGGGTTTCTGTTTAGGTGCCTTTCTGGCACAAGATTGGGAGATATGTGAGGGCAAGGATAGTATTTTAGTCATTTTTGTGTGCCAGTGATTAGATAGTGCCTGATCCAGAGTTAGTACTCAATGATTGTTTGTTGAATAACTTGGAAGAATTTCGAAGGCTTGGGAAGGCACATTCAGATAGGGATGGTTGAATATGTCCTCTAAGACATGGAAACAGAGTAGGTAGTTGGAAGTACTTTGTTCAGAGGGTTATGTGTTGATAGAACTGAATTTTTAAAACTTTTATTTTAGGTTTGGGGTACTATGTGCAGGTTTGTAATATAGAGAAACTCATGCCACAGGAGTTTGTTGTACAGATTATTTCGTCAGGCAGGTGCTAAGTCTAGTACTCAATTGTTATTTTTTCTTATCCTCTCCCTCCTCCCACCCTTCACCCTCAAGTAGGCCCCAGTTTCTGTGTTCCCATCTATGGGTCCATGTGTTCTCATCATTTAGCTCCCACTTATAAGTGAGAACATGCAGTATTTTGTTTTCTGTTTCTGTGTTACTTTGCTAAGGATAATGGCCTTAAGCTGTATTCATGTTCCTGCAAAAGATATGATCTCATTCTTTTTTTAAGGCAGTATAATATTCCATGGTGTATATGTACGACATTTTCTTTATCCAATCTGTCATTGATAAGCTTTTAGTTGATTCCATGTCTTTGCTATTATGAATAGTAATGCAGTGAACATATGCGTGCTTGTGAGTTTATGGTAAAATGATTTATATTATTTTGGGTATATATCCAGTAATAGGATTGCTGGTTCAAATGGTAATTCTGTTTTTATCTCTTTAAGGAATCACCACACTGCTTTCCACAATGGTTTTAAACTCCCACTAATTTAAACTAATTTAAACTCCCACTAACAGTGTATAAGCATTCCCTTTTTTCCACAACCTCACCAGCATCTGTTATTTTTTGACTTTTTAATAATAGCAATTCTGATTAGTGTGAGATGGTATCTCACTGTGGTTTGATTTGCACTTCTCTAATGATCAGTGATATTGAGCTTTTTTTCATATGCTTGTTGGCCATACATATGTTTTCTTCTGAAAAGTGTCTGTTCATGTACTTCGCCCACTTTTTTTTTTTTTTTTCTCAGTTGGAATCTCACTCTTTCGCTCAGGCTGGAGTGAAGTGGTGTGATCTTGGCTTATTGCAAACTCCGCCCCCCAGGTTCAAGTGATTCTCCTGCCTCAGCCTCCCAAGTAGTTGGAATTAGAGGTGCCTGCCGCCACACCTGGCTAATTTTTGTATTTTTAGTAGAGATGGGGTTTCACCATGTTGGCCAGGCTAGTCTCGAACTCCTGACCTCAGGTGATCCGCCCACCTCAGCCTCCCAAAAGTGCTGGGATTATAGGCATGAGCCACCGCCCCCGGCCCTTGGCCCACTTTTTAATGGAGTTGTTTGTTTTTTTCTGGAAAATTTGTTAAATTCCTTATAGATGGTAGATATTAGACCTTTGTCCGATATAAAATCTGCAAATATTTTCTCCCATTCTGTAGGTTGTTTACTATATTGATAGTTTATTTTGCTCTGCAGAAGCACTTTAGTTTAATTAGACCCCTTTTTTCAATTGTTGCTTTTGTTGTGAGTGCTTTTGGAGTCTTCGTCATGAAGTCTTTTCAGGGCTAATGTCCAGAATGCTATTTCCTAGGTTTTCATCTAGGGTTTTTATAGTTTTGCATTTTAAAATTTAAGTCTTTAGTCCATCTTGAATTGATTTTTGTATATGGTGGAAAGTAGAGTTTTAGTTTCAATCTTCTATACATGACTAGCTTGTTATCCCAGCACCACCTACTGACTACAGAGTCCTTTCCCCATTGCTTGTCTTTGTCAGCTTTGCTGAAGATCAGATGGTTATAGGTGTGTGGCATTATTTCTGCGTTCTCTATTCTGTTCCATTGGTCTATGTGTCTGTTTTTGTACAACTACCATGATTTTGGTTACTGTAGTCCTGTAGTATAGTTTAAAGCCAGTTAACATGGTATTCCTTTTGCTTAGGATTGCCTTGGCTATTTGGGCTCTTTTTTGGTTTCATATGAATTTTTAAGTAGTTCCTTCAAGTTCTGTAAAGAATGTCATTGGTAGTTTGATAGGAATAGCATGGAATCTGTAAATTGCTTTGGGCAGTATGGTCATTTTAATGCTATTGATTCTTCCTATCCATGAGCATGGAATGTTTTCCCATTTGTTTGTGTCATCTCTGATTTCTTGGAACAGTGTTTTGTAGTTCTCCTTATAGAAATCTTTCATCTCCCTAGTTACCTGCATTCCTAGGTATTTTATTCTTTTTGTGGCAATTGTGAATGGGATTGCGTTCCTGATTTGGCTCTGAGATTGGCTGTTGTTGGTATACCCAAATGCTAGTGATTTTTGCACAGTGATTTTATTTTTTAAATTTTTTTATTATACTTTAAGTTTTAGGGTACATGTGCACAACGTGCAGGTTAGTTACATATGTATACATGTGCCATGTTGGTGTGCTGCACCCATTAACTCGTCATTTAACATTAGGTATATCTCCAAATCCTATCCCTCCCCCTTCCCCCCACCCCACAACAGGTCCCGGTGTGTGATGTTCCCCTTCCTGTGTCCATGTGTTCTCATTGTTCAGTTCCCACCTATGAGTGAGAACATGCAGTGTTTGGTTTTTTGTCCTTGCGATAGTTTGCTGAGAATGATGGTTTCCAGCTTCATCCATGTCCCTACAAAGGACATGAACTCACCATTTTTTATGGCTGCATAGTATTCCACGGTGTATATGTGCCACATTTTCTTAATCCAGTCTATCATTGATGGACATTTGGGTTGGTTCCAAGTCTTTGCTATTGTGAATAGTGCCACAATAAACATACGTGTGCATGTGTCTTTATAGCAGCATGATTTATAATCCTTTGGGTATATACCCAGTAATGGGATGGCTGGGTCAAATGGTATTTCTAGTTCTAGATCCCTGAGGAACTGCCACTGTACAATGATTTTATATCCTCAAACTTCTCTGCAGTTTTTTATTAGCTGAACAGGCATTTCGGCTGACGCTATGGGGTTTTCTACATATAGAATCAAGTTGTATGAAAACAGGGATAGTTTTACTTCCCCTCATCCTATTTAAATACTCTTTATTTCTTTATCTTGCCTGATTGTTCTGGCCTGGACTTCAATACTGTGTTAAATAGGAGTGGTGAGAGAGGGCATCCTTGTCTTGTGCTTGTTTTTGTTTTCAAGGGGAATGCTTCCATCCTTTGCCCATTCAGTATGATGTTGGCTGTGGGTTTGTTTTCAGAATTTTTTTTTTTTTTTGATGTAGTCTCACTCTGTCGCCCAAGCTGGAGTGCATGGCTCACCACAACCTCCAGCTCCTGGGTTCAAGTGATTCTCCTACCTCAGCCTCCCGACTAGCTGGGATTACAGGGTTGCACCATCACACCTGGCAAATTTTTTTTTTTTTTTTTTTTTTTTTTTAGTATTTATTGATCATTCTTGGGTGTTTCTCGGAGAGGGGGATTTGGCAGGGTCATAGGACGATAGTGGAGGGAAGGTCAGCAGATAAACATGTGAACAAAGATCTCTGGTTTTCCTAGGCAGAGGGCCCTGCCGCCTTCCGCAGTGTTTGTGTCCCTGGGTACTTGAGATTAGGGAGTGGTGATGACTCTTAACGAGCATGGTGCCTTCAAGCCTCTGTTTAACAAAGCACATCTTGCACCGCCCTTAATCCATTTAACCCTTAGTGGACACAGCACATGTTTCAGAGAGCACAGGGTTGGGGGCAAGGTTATAGATTAACAGCATCCCAAGGCAAAAGAATTTTTCTTAGTACAGAACAAAATGGAGTCTCCTATGTCTACTTCTTTCCACACAGACACAGTAACAGTCCGATCTCTCTTTCTTTTCCCCACATTTCCCCCCTTTCTATTCGACAAAACCACCATCGTCATCATGGCCCGTTCTCAATGAGCTGTTGGGTACACCTCCCGGACGGGGCGGCTGCTGGGCGGAGACGCTCCTCACTTCCCAGGCCGGGCGGCTGCGGGGCAGAGGGGCTCCTCACTTCTCAGACTGGGTGGCTGCCGGGCGGAGGGGCTCCTCACTTCTCAGACGGGGCGGCTGGTCAGAGACGCTCCTCACCTCCCAGACCGGGTGGCGGCGGGGCAGAGACACTCCTCAGTTCCCAGACAGGGTCGCCGCCGGGCAGAGGCACTCCTCAGTTCCCAGACGGGGTCGCGGCCGGGCAGAGGCGCTCCTCACATCCCAGATGGGGCAGCGGGGCAGAGGCGCTCCCCACATCCCAGACGATGGGCAGCCGGGCAGAGACGCTCATCACTTCCTAGACAGGATGACGGCCGGGAAGAGGCTGCAATCTCGGCACTTTGGGAGGCCAAGGCAGGCGGCTGGGAGGTGGAGGTTGTAGCGAGCCGAGATCACGCCACTGCACTCCAGCCTGGGCAACATTGAGCACTGAGTGAGCGAGACTCCGTCTGCAGTCCCAGCACCTTGGGAGCCCGAGGCAGATCACTCGTGGTCAGGAGCTGGAGACCAGCCTGGCCAACACGGCGAAACCCTGTCTTCACCAAAAAATACAAAAACCAGTCAGGCGTGGCGGCGCGCGCCTGCAGTCCCAGGCACTGGGCAGGCTGAGGCAGGAGAATCAGGCAGGGAGGTTGCAGTGAGCTGAGATGGCGGCAGTGCAGTCCAGCCTTGGCTTGGCATCAGAGGGAGACCGTGCAAAGGGGAGAGGGAGAGGGAGAGGGAAAGGGAGAGGGCACACCTGGAGAGGGAGAGGGAGAGGGAGAGGGCACACCTGGCTAATTTTTGTATTTTCAGTATAGATTGGGTTTCACCATGTTGGCTATACCGATCTCAAACTCTTCAAGTGATCTGCCTGCCTTGACCTCCCGAAGTGTTGGGATTACAGGCATGAGCCACTGTGCCCAGCCTGGATTTGTCATAGATGGCTCTTATTATTTTGAGGTATGTTCCTTTAGTACCCAATCTATTGAGTTTTTAACATAAAGGGATGTTGAATGTTATCAAAAGACTTTTCTGCATCTATTGAGATAATCATGTGTTTTTTGTCTTTTGTTCTGTTTATGTGATGAATCACATTTATTGATATGTGTGTGTTGAACCAACCTTGCATCCCAGGAATAAAACCTACTTGATTGTGATGGGTTAGCTTTTTGAGGTGCTGCTGGATTTGGTTTACAAGATTTTCTTGAGGAGTTTTGCATCAGTGTTCATCAAGGATATTGTATTGGCCTGAAGTTTTATTTTTTTGTTGTGTCTCTGCCAGGTTTTGGTATCAGGATGATGCTGGCCTCGTAGAATGGGTAGGGGAGGAGTCCTTCTTCCTCAATTCTTTTGGAAGAGTTTCAGTAGGAATGATAACAGCTTTTCTTTGTACATCTGGTAGAATTCAGCTGTGAATCCTTCTGACTCTGGGCTCTTTTTGATTGGTAAGATATTCATTATTGATTCAATTTCAGAGCTCATTATTGGCCTGTTCAGGGAACCAATTCCTCCCTGATTCAGTTTTGGGAGGGTGTACGTGTCCAGGAATTTATCTATCTCTTCTAGGTTTTCTATTAATAGTTTGTGTGTATAGAGGTGTTTGTAGTTGTCTCTGATGGTTGTTTGTATTTCTGTGGGGTCAGTGGTAACATGCTCTTGGCCTTTTCTAACTGAGTTTACTTGGATCTTCCCTCTTTTCTTCTTTATTAGTGTAGCTAGTGGCCTATCTTTTTTTTTTTTTTTTTTTTGCAAAAAATTAAATCCTGGATTCATTGATCTTTTGAATGGTTTTTTGTGTCTCAATCTCCTTCAGTTCAGCGTGGATTTTGGTGGTTTCTTGTGCTCTGCTAGCTTTGGAGTTGGTTTGATCTTGCTTCTCTAGTTCTTTTAGTCGTGATATTAGGTCATTAATTTGAGCTTTTTCTAACTTTTTGATGGAGCCATTTAGTGCTATACATTTCCCTCTTAACACTGCCTTAACTGTGTTCTGGAGATTTTGGTATGTTGTATCTTTATTCTCGGTAGTTTCAAAGAACTTCTTGATTTCTGCCTTAATTTCATTATCGACCCAAAAGTTATTCTGGAGCAGGTTGTTTAATTTCCATGTAATTGCATGGTTCTGAGTGATTTTTTTAAGACTTAACTTCTATTTTCATTGTGCTGTAGTCTGAGAGTGTGCTTAGTATAATTTCAATTCTTTTGCATTTGCTGAGGATTGTTTTATGTTTGATTGTGTGGTCAGTTTTAGGGTATGTGCCATGTGGTGATGAGAAGAATGTATATTTTGTTGTTTTGGCATGGAGAGTTTGGTAGACATCTATCAGATACATTTGATCCAATGTTGATGTCAGGTCCAGAATATCTTTATTAATTTTCTGCCTTGATGATCTGCTTAACATTGTCTAATACTGTCAGTGGAGGGTTGAATTCTCTCACTATTATTGTGTGGGAGTCTAAGTCTCTTTGTAGGTCTTTAAGAACTTGCTTTATGAATCTGTGTGCTCCTTGGTGGTTGCATATATGTTTAGGATAGTTAGTTCTTTTCATTGAATTGAACCTTTTCCATTATGTAATGGCCTTGTCTTTTTTGACCTTTGTTGGTTTAAAGTCTGTTTTGTCTGAAATTAAGATTGCAACCCTTGCTTTTTCTGATTTCCATTTGCTTGGTAGATTTTCCTTCATCCATTTATTTTGAGCCTATGGCTGTCATTGCTTGTAAGATGGATCTCTTGAAGACAGCATACCATTCAATCTTGCTTCTTTATCCAGCTTGCCACTTTATGTCTTTTTAATGGGGCATTTAACATATTTGCAAAGTTAGCATTGATATGTGAGAATTTTATACTGTCATTGTGTTGTTAGCTGGTTATTACTGTGTGGTTGCTTTATAGTATCACTGCTCTGTATACTTAAATGTGTTTTTGTATTGGCTGTTAATGATCTTTCCTTTCCATATTTAGTGCTCCTTTCAAGATCTCTTGTAAGGTGGGTGTGGGGTTAATGAACTCCCCCAGCATTTGCTTATCTGAAAAGAATCTTATTCCACCTTTGCTAAGGAAGCTTAGTTTGGCTAGATATGAAATTCTTGGTTAAAGATTTTTTTTTCTTGAATGTTGAATATAGATCCCCCATCTCTTCTGGCTTGTAGGGTCCCTGCTGAGAGGTCTGCTCTTAGCCTGATGGGATTCTGTTTGTAGGTGACCACTGTGCATTCTCTCTGGTTACCTTTAACATCCTTTCTTTCATTTTGACCTTGGAAAATCTGATGAATTTGTGTCTTGGGGATGATCTTCTTGTATAGAATGTTGCAGGGGTTCTCTGGATTTCCTGAATTTGACTGTTGGCCACTCCAGTGAGGTTGGGGAAGTTTTCACAGATGATATACTGAAATATATTTTCCAGGTTGTTTGGTTTTTCCCTGTTCCTTTCAGGGATTCCAGTGATTTGTTGATTTGACATTTTTATATAATCCCATATTTCTTGAAGTTTTGTTCATTCCTTTCCATTCTTTTTTCTTTATTTTTTTCTGACTCCCTTATTTTAGAGTCAGTCTTCAAGTTCCAAGATTCTTTCTTCAGCTTGGTCTGTTCTACTGTTAATACCTGTGATTGCATTGTGAAATTCTTGTAGTGTGTTTTTCAGTTCTGTCAGTTTTGTTAGGTTCTTTTTTATACAGGCTATTTTATCTGTCAGCTCCTGTATCATTTTATTGTGATTCTTAAGAACTCAATTTTTGAACACAGAGAACATTGTGTCTTGCCAAACAGAATAGATGATCTCATGCTTCTTTTGTTTTTCTTTTTGTTATCCCCCAACTTTAGTAAAATAACTTTTTAACATACAGGCCCTTGTTTTTCCTGTGCTGTGAGAAATCTAGAGCAGAAAGTTAAAATGGATAGTCTACCTTATCATGCTCCCCAAGTAGCAGATCTCCTTTTGTGCTAGTCTTAGGAGAACTGGATTTCTGTGTTTGTTTGTTGTGTTTTGCTTTGCTTTGCTTTTGGTTTTTATTGAAGAAGGAATGCAAGAGTCCACTAGTCATTCAATTATTCACATTCATTTATTCACTCAAAAATTATTTGCGAAGTGCCTGTCAGCAAGTTCAAACACTTGACTACCTAAATAAAGTTTTCTCCTCTTCTGGAAAAAAAGCCCTTAAACTATAAAAATTGATTTAAAAATCATCAGAAAGCCATTTCTCATCTATCAAGCTGTTAGTATACATGAATATGTGTGCATGTGCACATGCACACACAGGCATATTAACTGGATTTGTCTGCAAGAGTTGTCACTAAAGAAAAACTTTCTCACCTGAGAACCTAATGCTTTCTGTTAATGCAGGGGAGTTTGAGGCTGCATCTGACATCAATCTTGGCAAGCTCAGTGCTCAGGAAAGAAAACTAACAGGTGAAGCAGGAAGCTGAGGCCCTTTTTGCCATTTTTGTTTTTAATATTCACTTTCTTCTTTATACCACCAGATGAGTGGTGGTTTATCCCTTGATATATTTAGCAGCCTGCTGTAAAAATTACTGTACTCTGGAGGGAAGAAGGAATGAGTATAGATGGTATTTTTTAAAAACCGATTTATTATTATTAAGTTAGATTTTTTCTATTTTGGTAATGGGTATGCAAAGCAGCAACCTTAAAGTCATGTAATACATTATGAATCAGAGTATGAGAACACACAACAGCTTTGTAAATAGGTCTGGAACATGTTTCAGTATATTATTCTACCATAAGTGGGATGTGAAAGACATGATGTGGCTTATACCCTGGTTCTGCTGTATAGACTAGGGTAAGCTATTAAAGTCTAGCTTGGCCGGGCGCAGTGGCTCATGCGTGTAATCCCAGCAGTGGCTCACGCCTGTAATCCCAGGCGGGTGGATTGCGAGGTCAGAAGTTCAAGATCATCCTGGCCAAGATGGGGAATCCTAGTCTGTACTAAAAATACAAAAATTAGCTGGGCGTGGTGCCAAGCTACTGGGGAGGCTGAGGCAGGGAATTGCTTGAACAGTCCGGGAGATGGAGTTTGCAGTGAGCTGAGATTGAGCTACTGCACTCCAGCCTGGGCGACAGAGCAAGACTCTGTCTCAGAAAAAAAAAAAAAAAAAAAAAAAAGGTCTAGCTCTAGTTTAACCAAAGGCTTGTGACTAGATATCTTCTGAGTGGGTATTTATTTGGGGGAATCTAAAAGAAATATAGACAGTGTCTGCATCAAGGACAAGGGACATTATGGTCCTGGGGGATCAGGGATATCATCATCCCCATGAAAGCTGGGTAAAAAAAAACAAGAAGATTCCATATGGTGAAAATACGTCACAAAGTTAGAGAATATGATAATCAGAAACAGTACATGAGCTATTGTGAGTGGTGAGCCAGTGAAAATCATTCAAATAAAAGGCTATGGACTTCTACTTCTGATGATGGTGGTGTCACTTGTAGTAGACCAAACCTACTGTCAAGAACAATTAGAAAGGCACAAAAAATATGTTTGTATAAGTGGGGAAGCTTTCAAGGTATGCAGAACTTGAGGCACGTATTGAGAGGAAAAGGGAACTTAATGAGGCAAGCACAATGTTCTGTCCCCTAATTTATCCATGGGGTATTTGCCTATTGATAAGCTTTGTTAGATG
The DNA here is from genome assembly GCF_000001405.40 of Homo sapiens. Classification (NCBI taxonomy): domain Eukaryota; kingdom Metazoa; phylum Chordata; class Mammalia; order Primates; family Hominidae; genus Homo; species Homo sapiens. The sequence goes on along the minus strand of NC_000008.11, from coordinate 117,772,218 downwards.
AGTGGCTGAGAAGCTGAACAGAGAAATGACACAAGAGACAGAGAATCCAGCAGAGCCCTTGGGAATCTCATGATGCTGAAGAGATAAAAATTAGATTTGTGACAACAAAAGCAGACATGACTTGAGAAATCAAGATTCTGGGAAGAAGATTTTGGAGAGAAGGGAAAATGTCCTAGATTTTGAGTAAAAGTCATAGGATAAAAGTCAAAAGGAGTTTCATCAGCTTTCCAGTAGTAAGGAGACACAAATGGTAATCTAACAGCCACAAAGGAAGAAAAGTTCTAAGTACCTTGGACTCAGTCGTGACCCCTGAAGGGCTAACTCTAGGACTGGAGGCAAACAGAAATTGCCTAAACTTTCAAAGTCTGAAATGCCACCTTGAATTTGTTAATTAGAATGACATGATCTACTTCACTATGTTTTTTCCTCTTTTGATGTTCATTCCCCGAATCTGCCATATGTATAAATATGCCCTGAAAGTGACCTTGTGTGATTTCTGAGACTAAGACTATAAGAAGCGTTGCTGCTTTCACTTAGGCCTTTTGGAAAGTTCTCTACTGACATGCCCACTCTGTGGGAAGCCACTTGTCATGAAGAAGTCATACTACCTTAAGACCACAATGTGTTGAAAGTGAGTCTAGCCAACTCTCATCTGTTCCAGCCATCCCAGCCCAGGGAATAAATATGTGAGTAAAGGAGCTAGCTCCACAGGAGACACCATGTGGACAAAAACAGAGGCTCCATACATAGGGCTTTATTTAAGTTGTCCCAATTGTCTTCAGCCATTTGAATCACCCCAGCTGTGACTATAGACAACATGGAGCAGAGCTGAGGTATCCCTGCTGGATCCTGCCTGAATTCCTAACCCACAGAATCACAAGCTTGATAAGTGCTTAGTTTTGTTTTGTTTTTGAGACAGAGTTTCACTCTTGTTGCCCAGGCTGGAGTGCAGTGGCACAATCTTGGCTCACTGCAGCCTTGACAGCCTGGACTCAAGTGATCCTCTCACTTCAGCCCCCGAAGTAGCTGGAACTACAGGCATACGCCACCACTCCCAGCTAATATTTGCATGTTTTGTAGAGATGGGGTTTCACTACATTGCCCAGGCTGGTCTTGAACTCCTGGGTTCAAGTGATCCTCCTGCCTCGGCCTCCCAAAGTGCTGGGATTATGATTTTTTTTTAATGCAATTAACTCTGGGTAATGTTGTTACGCAGCAATAGTTAATGGAGACATGTCCTATTTTCGCTATCTGCCATATATGATTGAGTGAATCTTCTCTGGAGGAAAATAACATGAATGGAAGTGCTTATAGTTTTTCATATATAATATCCAGCATTCAATCAAAAAGTATAATTTCTATCAAAAATAAGACAAAGAGAAAAATAAATCATAGGAACAAAACTACAGGTGATACAAAATTGGAGTTAGTCAGACATAAGCTTTAAAGTAACTGTGATTAATATGTTAAAGGAAATAGATGACAATATGGGAACTTTCACCAAATCTGAGATCTATTTAAAAAACAAAGAATTAAATGGAAACTGTAACAGATTGAACATAGCTGAAGAGGTTATTACTAAACTGGAAAATCTAAAGTAGAAAAGTCCAGATTAAGCATAGAGAGAAATAAACAAAAAAGATAGAAAGGAAAGAAGGAGAAAAGAGGAAAGGAAAGAAAGAAGGAAGGAAGAAAGCAAAGATGAAGGAAGGAAGAGAGAGAGAGAAAGAAAAAGAAAAGAAAGAGAAAGAGAAAAGAAAAAGAAGGCAAGAAAGAAAGAGAAAGAAGGAAAGAAAGAGAAAGAAAGAAAGAGTGGGCATAAACAATTTATGAGGCAATAAAAGTACCAAACATATGTAGATTTATAGTTTTAAAAGAAAAAAAATGGACAAACAATATATGAATAGAAAATCATTGAGAATTTCCCCAAATTGATTAATGATATCAAACCATACATACACAAATCCATATGAATTCCAAGCAAAACAAATGCAAGAAAAGCACATTGAGATGCTTCAAAATAAGCCTGCTGAAAACCAAGGAAAAGAAAATTTGAAAAACAACCAAGCCCAAAAGGATCAAACTATAAACTTTGCTCTAATTAGATAGTTGATTTCTGAACAGGAAAACAGGAAACATAGAAGACAAAAAACAATGGAAAGAATATTTACATTTCTGAAAGCAAAATGATGCCAACATAGAATGCTTTACCCTGAAAAATTATCTTTCACAAGTGAAGATGAAATAAAGACATTTTCAAACAAACACTGTGAAAGTCAATTTCTAGTAAGCCTGCATGAAAAGAAGGAATGAGAATTCTTAAGTAGAAAAAAAATGACTCTGTTTGTAACCATGTGTATTAGTCCATTCTTGCATTGTTAGAAAGAACTACCTGAGACTGGCTAATTTCTAAAGAACAGAGGTTTAATTGGCTAACAGTTCCTCAAGTTGTACAGGAAGCATGGCTGGCGAGGCTTCAGGAAACTTACAATCATGGCAGAAGTTGAAGGGGAAGCAGGAACATCCTACGTTTCTGGAGCAGGAGGAAGAGAAAGAAGGGGGAGGTGCTACGCACTTTTAAACAACTAGATCTCATGAGAACTCACTCACTATCCTGAGAACTGCAAATGGGAGGTCTACCCCTATGATCCAATCACCTCCCACAAGGCCCCTTGTCTAACACTGGGAATTAGAATTTGACATGAGATTGGGGAGGGACACAAATCCAAATCATATCATTCTGCCCTGTATCCTTCCAGATCTCATGTCCTTTAACTAATTTCAGCATTAACTCAAAAGTCCATAATCCAAAGTCTAATCTCAGATAAGGCAAGTCCCTTCTGCCAATGAGCCTGTAAAATAAAAAAAAAAAAACAAGTTAATTACTTTCAAGATACAATGAGAGTATAGGCACTGGCTAAATACTGCCATTCTGAAAGGGAGAAATCAGCCAAAACAAAAGGGCTACAGGCCCCACACAAGTTTGAAACCCAGCAGGGCAGCCATTAAATCTTAAAATTCCAAAATAATCTCCTTTGACTCCATATCTCACATCCAGGCCACACTGTTGCAAGGGGTGGCCTACCAATGTCTTGTGCAGCTCCACCATTGTGGCTTTGCAGGGCTCAGCTCCCATGGCTGACCTCAAGGGCTGGCATTGAGTGCCTAAAACTTTTCCATGGTGCAAAGCTGTCAGTGGATATACCACTCTGGGGTCTGGAGGATGGTGGCCCTCTTCTCAAAGCTCTACTAGGCAGTGCCCCAGTGGGGACACCATGTGGGGGCTCCAACCCCACATTTCCCCTCTGCACTGCCATAATAGAGGGTCTTCATGAGGACTCCACCCCTGCAGCAGACTTCTGCCTGGACATCCAGGCATTTCCATACATTCCTCTGAAATCTAGGCAGAGGCTCCCAAACCTGAACTCTTGCCCTCTGTGCACCTGCAGGCTAAACACCATGTGGAAGCCACCAAGGCTTACAACTAGCACCATCTGGAGCAATGGCCTAAGGTGTATCTTAGGCCCTTTTATCTATGGCTGGAGCTGGAGTGGCTGGGTTGCAGGGATCAGTGTCCCTAGGTTGTGCAGGGCAGCAGGGCAGCAGGGCCTGGCCCACAGAACCATTCTTCCCTACTAGGCCTCCAGGCCTGTGATGGGAGGGCCTGCAGTGAAGGTCTTTGTAATTTTCAAGGAATTTTCCCCATTATCTTGGCTATTAACATTTGGCTCCTCTTTGCTTGTGCAAATTTCTGCAGCCAGCTTGAATTCCTCGCCAGAAAATGGGTTTTTAATATTCTACCATATGGCTGGGCTGCAAATTTTCCAAACTTTCATGTTCTACTTTCCATTTAAATATAAGTCCAGTTTTAGATCATCTCTTTTCTCACACATATAAGCATACACTGTTAGAAGCAGCCAGGCCATGTCTTGAACACTTTGCTGCTTAGAAATTTCTCCCACCAGATACCCTAAGTCATCTCTCTCAAGTTCAAAATTCCACAGATCTCTAGGGCATGGGCATAACGGCTGAAATCTCTTTGCTAATGCTTAACAAAAGTGACCTTTGCTCTAGTTCTCAATGAGTTCCTCACCTCCATCTGAGACCTCATCAGCCTGGACTTCATTGTCCATATCGCTATCAGCATTTTGGCCACAACAATTTAACAAGTCTCCAGGAAGTTCCAAACCTTCCCTCATCCTCCTGTCTTCTTCTGAGCCCTCCACACTCTTCCAACCTCTGCCCATTACCCAGTTCCAAAGTTTCTTCCACATTTTCAGGTACCCTACTCTTGGTACCACTTTTCTGTGTTAGTTCATTCTTGCACTGATATAAAGAACTACCTGAGATTGCATAATTTATAAAGAAAAGAGGTTTAATTGGCTTGTGGTTCCTCAGTGTGCACAGGAAGCATGGCTGAGGAGGCCTCAGGAAACTCACAATCATGGCAGAAGGTGCAAGGGAAGCAGGCATGTCCTATATGTCTGGAGCAGAAGGAAGAGAGAGAAGGGGGAGGTGCTACACACTTTTAAACAACCAGATCTTATGAGAACGCACCCACTATCACAAGAACAGCAAGGGGGAAATTTGTCCTCCATGATCCAATCACCTCCCACCAGTCCTCTTGTCCAACATTGGGGATTACAATTTGAAATGGGATATGGGCAGGGACATAAACCCAAACCATATCAACATAAAAGCACAGAAATATATTTAAAATGTTCAATATTTCAATAGATACTATTTTATGTCTGCTTTTGGGGATATTCTACTCTATGTCCATCATTGTCTTTAATTACAATCTTTACATCCAGGGACACTCTGTTATGTTCATTCCATGCAGGTCCCATTCCTGTTCTTTGAGCACACCAGGCAAGCTTCTGCTCCAAAGCCTTCACATTTTCTGTTTCCCTTGCCTTGAGTACTCTTACCTCAAGATATCTGCATGGTTGGCTCTCTCACTTCTTTCAGAATTTCACTTCAAGTCATCTTTTCAATGAGTGCTTTCCTGACCACTGCATCTAAAATGTCAAACCCCTTGAGCTAACACTTCCTTTCCCTTTCTCAGATTTTTCTTTTCTCTATTGTACTCACCACTACCTAATATATTACAGATTTTTCTTCTTAATCTTATTGTTTTCTCCTCTAATAAAATGTAAGCTCTAAGATAGTGGGGGTTTTGGTCTGTTTTGTACATCCATTATGATGTCTCTAGTGCCTGTAGCAGTAATAATACCCCACTCAATAAATATTTGTATAATTAATGGATAAAATGAGTTGAATACAGTGGGAAAGCTATGGTTTATAATTGAAAAATAGAGATGTTTGTGCAACAGCAGAAAGGTAATACTTACTGGATTTTCAGAAGATGGATAGATCACAACTGGTGAATATGTCCTCCAAGGCCATAACATAACAGCTGGATCTAAGAGGATAAATGGTAGGTGGAAATGGAGATTTGAGGGATTCCAGGTACAGAGTAACTCTTGGATAGGAATCAGAGAGGGAAACGTGGGGTATATATGGGGAATTTTGAGAAGTCTTGTGAGAATGAGAATATTCAGGGGAGAGTTAGAAGATAAGGCTGGGGAAATCAGAACACAAAAGTTCTTAAATCTAAGACAGGGATTGTGATGTGTTTTTGTAGGGAAAGTGGACTTTTAAAGTTTTTCAGTAAGCAGGGAAGTGACAGAATTGGAGCTGTGCTTTATGAAAATCAATTCAGCGGGCCGGGCGCAGTGGCTCATGCCTTGTAATCCCTGCACTTTGGGAGGCCGAGGCAGGCAGATCACAAGGTCAGGAGATCGAGACCATCCAGGCTAAAACAGTGAAACCCCGTTTCTACTAAAAATACAAAAAATTAGTGGGGCATGGTGGCGAGCGCCTGTAGTCCCAGCTACTCGGGAGGCTGAGGCAGGAGAATGGCATGAACCCGGGAGGCGAGCTTGCAGTGAGCCGAGTTAGCACCACTGCACTCCAGCCTGGGCGACAGAGCGAGACTCCATCTCAAAAAAAAAAAAAAAGAAAATCAATTCAGCAATTAATAGAGTGGTTGGACAGCATAGGGGCAGGAGATGAATAGGCCAGTGATGAAGCCATGTTAATAATCCAACAAGAGTTAATGAGGGTCTGAATTAGGCTGACAGCAAATAGAATGGAGAGGAAGAGGCAGAAAGAAAAGGAGTAAAGGAGATAGAACTGACAGCTCTTGACAGCTGATCAGAAATGGGGGATAAGGGAGAAGAAGTCACATGTAACCGTGAAGCTTCAAGCTTGAGTATCTGACAGATGATGAAGACATTAACAAAATAAAAGAATTGAGGGGGAGAAACTGCATTGAGGATGGAGTTGGGATTTAGGTTCTTGATTGGATTTGGGATCCCTTATAGCACGCTTTGTCTTTGAGGGAGGCTTCACCCCTTCTTCCTGGGCCATTTTCCTCTGCCCTGTGGAAGCCCACGCTTTCTAGTCTAACCTGATACTGTCAGTGCTTAAGTGCTGTGGTGTCTCTATGGAGCAATCCCAGTGGGCTTTTCTGGGCTCTGCCATAAGATTTGGTGAAGCCTGAGTATGGTTCTAATTTCTTCATTTGTCTCTATTGGTCTCCTGCTGCAAAGCTAAAAACGATAATGATTCTCTGAGCCAAAGGATCAGGATCAATTGCCTGGAAGGCTAGGCTCAAAGAAAGCAGCCTCCAGTGCCAAGACATCTGTAGGTAGGAGCTCCAGCTTCCCCGGCACTTCTCCACCTAGTCCCTAGGGGATGCTCCACAGCTGAAAGCACCAGGTTGGCAGTCATGATGACTTACTCTTGAGAATGCTTGCTTATAACTTACTGAGCTTTCATTAAGTGTGATGTACCTACTTTAATGAGCAGCAAAATACCGTTTGTAATAAAGCAGTGGCTTTTAGTGTTCCTGGAGTAGTCCCAGTTACATTTAATGTCCTGAAAGTTGGAACGAGGGAGGGGATGATTTTCACACAGGAGGACATGGCTTAATGTTAGTAACTTATTATCGAAATCATAGGAAAATCAGAACCTTCAATATTGTAGCCTCTTTTAATTACTAGTAAGAACTTCACTATTTAAAGAAAACTTACTGTCCTTTTGCGAGGAAAACAGCTATTTAACAACGTGATTAACCATTTTGTCAATTACTTGTAAGTTGTAAAGATTTTTCAGATAAGAAATGACATGGTAGACAGGAAGGACCTGGCTCATGTTTCAGTTGAACCACCATGGTAGACAATGCTGATTTCCTATCTCACATATGTTTTGCCTTCCTCCTTAAGGGAGCCATATTTTTTTTGTTGTTCAGGAGTGTGCCTGATTGACTTAAGACAATCTTCTCCCTGCTTTGGCAATGATTGGTTCCTTGATGGACATGTGAATCCAAATTGGACCACTGACAAATAAGAAGGGATCTGACTGAGGGATTCTGAGAAAGTTCTTGCTCACCCTTCAGGTACAACTTCTTTAAGTGATTCTCTTTGTCTACTGTATTAGTCTATTCTCACACTGCTAATAAAGACATACCCGAGACTGGGTAATTTATAAAGGAAAGAGGTTTAATGGACTCACAGTTTCACATGGCTGGAGAGAGGCCTCACGATCATGGTGGAGGGTGAAGGAGAAGAAAAGTCACGTCTTACATGGCAGCAGGCAAGAGAGCCTGTGCAGGGGAACTCCCCTTTATAAAACCGTCAGATCTCATGAGACTTACTCACTATCATGAGAACAGCATGTGAAAGACCCACCCCCATGATTCAATTATTTCCCACTGGGTCCCTCCCACAACACATGGGAATTATGGGAGCTACAATTCAAGATGAGATTTGGGTGAGGATGCAGCCAAACCATCTCATCTACTGAGTGTGAAAGAAAAAGCCTCCATTCTATGACCATTAAGGGAGCTGTTTTTAGGGCAATACTAAAACTGTGAATGTCAGAGGGAATCTGAACTCTGGAGCACACTATGGAGCTTCTAGATTAAAAAATCTTGAATTACATACCACTCCTGGACTTGCAGTTATGTGAATCAGTAAATTTCCTAATTGTTTACAGCTGTTGAATTGTTACTTGTCTCTGAAATCAGCTTAATTGATACAGCCACTGACTAATTTGAGACCTTAAGCAGATTGCTTTACCACAATAACCTCAGAGAAAAATGAAAAGGAATGGAGAAGTTTGTAAACTATGGAATTTTACAAGTGCTGCTTGGGGATCATCAAAGTTAACCTCTCTGATGTACTAATATTTCCACTAATGGCCGTGGATTCTTCTAAACAGGTTGAGAGGTTTCTCTGTTAGCCAGGACTCAGTGACATAGCTATATAATTTGCATCTTCTGCTTCAGAGGTGAGAAGCAGCAGCTGCTTCTTTTTTTTTTTTTTTTTTTTTTAATTCTTGATTCCTAAATGGCCCTAGTCCTCAGTCCAATGGATGTTAGGCAAATTCTGCTGCTGGCATATTTTTGCCTTTGCCCCACTGACCTTTTGTCCAAAGCATCTTCTGAGTTTCAAAAAGGACAGAGAACTCAGAGTCCTCTGAGTTTCCAGACATGCTTGTGTGACTGTTTTCAGCCACCTGTCAGTAAATGACTTATTTTGTACTGTGTGAACTGAGACTTGCTTTCATTAAAACTGGGTGTCAGCTGCCAACTGCTCCATTTCTTCTTGTAGTCATCCAACAAGTATTTATTGAATACCTACTGTGTGCCAGACACTTTTTTAGGCCTTGGAGATTGTATTAGTTTGCCCAAGCTGCCATAAAAAACAGCACAGACTGGGTGGCTTAAACAACAGAAATTTATTTTCTCACAGCTCTAGAGAGTGGAAGTCCAAAATCCAGGTGTCAGCAGGGTTGGTTTATTCTGAGGCCTCTCTCCTTGGCTTCTGATGACCATCTTTTTTTCTGTGTTTTTACATGGCCTTCCCTCTGCTCATGTACGTCTGTGTCCAGATTTCTTCTTCTCCCAGGGACATCATATTGGATTAGGGAATCATCCTAAAGACCTTTAACATATGAGTTTTGGGTAAACACAATTCAGGCCATAAAAGGGATATAGCAGGGCACAAGAAAAACAAGTGCTAAGAGGCAGCTTCTTCTGAATGTGATCTATTTGCCCACAATGCTCTGTTGTCTTATCTCCTGAGTCACCTCACAGTAAAGTAATACACTGAAGAGCAGCATACAGATTCAATTTCAGCAGCAAAGGAGCTCTTCTAGATGGGGTGCTGAATCCTTCCTCTCCTTTGCAGGAAACACTGATCCTTTACAAATATATGCCATTACTCACTGACAGTATACCCTATTACAGTTTTTGCTGATTCCATGCAAAGCGATAAATTTAGCCTAACTCCTACTGAGTTGTAGGTAAAACACATTTAGAATTACAGAAGAAGAAATAGCAAGCTGTCTGCAAAATGTATTTAGTGGCGGGATGACTATAATCTGTGAAAAGTGTGTTCAGCTATAGCTATAATAGCATTGTGGCTTGCTTTCACCAAGCATTTGTTCTATTACAGGCTTTGTGCTAAATGTGTTATGCACATTACCTCATTAATCCACAAAACAATACCTTAATATCATCATTCCCATTTTTCAGATGAGGTGAGGTCACTTAGCCCAGGTTTGGGCACTTGTCTACTTGCATCCAGAGCCTGTGCTATTACCTGCCAACAGCACTGCTCAGGAAAGGTAGGCGTCAATTCTTGTCTAGGGAGGGATAGAGTAGGAAGTGATAGTTGGTGAAGCTTTGCTGAACTTTAAATTACATAACTCTAGAATTGGAAGGGCCTGATGAGATCATCTAGTCCTTGCTCAAGGACATACCTTTAGGTGAGTTAAAAAGTTATAGCTATATACTTGGGAGGCTGAGGCGGGCAGATCATGAGGTCAGGAGATCAAGACCATCCTGGCTAACACACAATGAAACCCTGCCTCTACTAAAAATACAAAAAAAAATAGCTGGGCGTGGTGGCAGGAGCCCGTAGTCCCAGCTACTCGGGAGGCTGAGGCAGGAGAACGGCATGAACCCGGGAGGCGGAGCTTGCAGTGAGCCAAGATTGTACCACTGCAGTCCAGCCTGGGCAACAGAGCCAGGCTCCATTTCAAAAAAAAAAAAAAAGGTATAGCTATATACATAAGCAGAAAATACATTTTTTAAAAAAGGTTACAGCTGTAATTCTGGTTTTCTGATTCCAAATCTGGCATTTTTATCACCAGGAGGTCCCTTTGATTCTTCATTTATCATATAACAATAACCACGACAAAAAAACATAATAAATTATTTCTACAGGGCCTATTAGATCTCTAAATATCTTCACCTACTTAAAAACAAACAAACAAAATGGGCTTTAATTGGCTAAACAGGAAATTTCCTGGGCTCCTCTAGACAAAGTGAAATTTATTCATGAGAAACAAAAATTGTCTTAGAAGCCATGTTTCTTACCAATGTGAGTTGTTTTAAGCCTGAATTCCAGCTATTAATGGATTGACTAGAATGAGTAGGCTATAACTCTTGGGTGTCACCCACAGGCAGGAGCAAAAAGCTTTCCGAATCAGGACATGAGACACTCAAGGTAAAGAGCAGAATTGCAGCATGAAGGAAATTCAAGGAGAAGTCATTTCCAGGGTAAAGTAAGAGATTTAATGTATTATTAAGATTTTTTGGTAGCAGGCAACAGAATCCTATGGTGGCTAAAATATGGAGATGCGGGGGGTGATGAGTGTGGAGAGATGTATTGTCCTGCTAGAATGACAGGAAAACTGAAGAAACTGGGCTTGTAACAGAGAGAAACGAGGAACCTCCATATGGTCTCAAAAACTAGAATGAATGAACATACACTATATCTTCTACTGTAGTTTCATTTCATTCAATAACTAAAATGCCAGAAGAAAAAGTCCAATTGGCCAAGCTTAGGTCACATGCCTGCCCTTGACTGTACTGTGTGGTTAACGCAAGCACCTGTAGAGGCAGCATCCCAGTACGGCTTCAGCTGCCATAATAGGAGCACAGGCACCTGAGTTTACCACCCTTTCCATTAAGAACACAAAATGATGTCAGGACCCCTTTATACTCTTAATTATTGAGGATCCCAAAGAGCTTTTTTTTTTGTAGATTCCATGTTAGATATTAAAAATTAACATTTTAAATATATTTATTTATTAATTCATCTATAAGTAACAACAGTATACTCATTCATATGAACATAAATGATATATTTTAAAAACGAAAATTACTGTATTTTCCAAAATAAAAAACATTAGTGAGAAGAGCAAAAGTTGTTTTCTGTTTTTGCAAATCTCTTAATGTCTGGCTTAATAGAAAACATAGAAATTCTCATATCTGCTTTTGGATTTACTTTGCTGTGATATTTTATTTTGGTTAAAGTATACGAAAAAAAGCTTGCCTCACACAGATGTGTGGTAGAAAAGGGAAGGAGTATTTTAATAGCCTTTCAGATAATTATGGAGATTCTTTCTTGATACTATACCAAAACTCAATAAGTAGTAGTTTCTTAAAACTGTGAAACCTTATTAATAAACTTTTTATACTCAGTTACATTAAAATCCATTAGTATTTCTTACACTTTGAATGAGGCTTGCCCAGGCACAATTTTGTATCATCATGCGTTGATCATTCAGAAAATACTGGTTCACTGAGTAATGCAGATCTTCCAAATATTGACCCATTTCATTTACAATATACAAAATCATAGTACTTAATATCACTACCAGTCTCATCAGAAACATATTTAAATATTGGGAAGCTGTCAAGTGTCATAGTGTCAGATACTAAGTTTTCTAATTATCACATGAAACCTCCTCAAAGTTTATTATTAGCAAAAAATCTTGTCAGTTGTTTTCCTTGAAGTGACAGGCTCATTTCCTTCATATTTGAGAGAGTGTCTGCTTGATAACCATCATTTGTCTGAATAACTGTAGTTTGCCTGCCAATTGTCCTTTCAACTCAAAATGGAATTCCATGGACAGAAGCAGCGACTGCAGCTCAGCCCTCAAGCACGTGCACACCTTCCTGCGTTTCCTTGAGACAACATCACACTTCAGCACACAGCAGGAGTGCTTTATGTATACTTCCCATTTCCCAATATTTGAGTCTTCCCAATATTAAAATGACGTGTACTCAGGGCACAGAGCACAATAAAGTTAATAATTCTTATTATTTCATCCATAACATTTAAACATTAAACCAGATTCTTCTTTCTTTCTTTCTTTCTTTCTTTCTTTCTTTCTTTCTTTTTCTTTCTTTCTTTCTTTCTTTCTCCTTCCTTCCTTTCTTTCTTCTTTCCTTTCTTTCTTTCTTTCTTTCTTTCTTTCTTTCTTTCTTTCTTTCTTTCCTTCCTTCCTTCCTTCCTTCCTTCCTTCCATCCTTCCTTCCTTCCTTCCTTCCTTCCTTTCTTTCTTTCTTTCTTTCTCTCTTTCTTTCTTCTTTCTTTTTTAAATTGTGAGTATGTGGTGGTGAAGAACACACCACAACACCTACTACCATTTGGGGGCACTGCCTCAATTTGTTCAAAACACCAGTGCTTTGCTCCACCATTGCTTTTGTTATTTTAAATTTTCTGTTTGGAGACATATTTAACTTAAAAATTTTCAAAAATAAAAATAATTCAAGGAACACCCAGATACTCTTTATTTTGATTTACCAGTTTAAAATTTTTCCCCATTTGCCTTATCACTTACCCTCTTTCCCCACCTCTTTTCTTCCCCTGAATCATGAAGTTAAGTTACATACATCATGGCTATTTACCCTTAAATATTTCAATATTTGTTTGCTAAGAGGAGGAATTTTCTCTTCAATAACCACAGTAGAGTTATCAACTTTATAAAGTTACATTGATAACATTTTTATTGTCTGTATTCCAGTATTGTCTGTTGACCTAATGTGATAATTTACAGGTACAAGATCCAGTATCAGGTAGTATTGCATTTAGTTCTCTTGTCTTTTCAGCCTCCTTTTATCTGAAACATTTCCACAACCTTTTTTTTATGACACTTTTTTAAGAGTAGAGGCCACCTTCCTCCATGTATCCACTTATAAAAAGAAAAAAACAGAGCATCCTTCATTTTGTGTTTTTCTGATGGTGCATTGTGATTAGGTTCACATTATGCATCCTATGCCAGAATACTGCATGAGTGTCTTTCTCAGAAGCCACATGTGAAGTCACACGATCACCATATGCCTTTCATTAGTAACATTAACTGTTATCATTATTCAAGGCATGGTTCGAGTTTTCCAGTCTTTAATTTTCCACTCTTTTAATTTTAAATTTATTTTATTTTTCTCTTTTACCACAATAAGTAGTGTGTGGTGAGATCCTTCAAGACCATGCAAATTCAGCTTCTCATAAAAATCTTCTTCTAGATTTAGCATCCAATGATGGTTCTTGCCTGATCCAATCTTTGGAGATTGCAACTATGGAGATTGCAAAATGATGATTCTCCAGTTTCAGCATCCCCTCCATGTGTGCCAATTAGCCTTAGCATTCTACTGTAAGCAAGAGCCCTCTGTTCTTCTCCTATGATCTTTCTATCATCTATTTAGCTATCTTTTATTGGCCTAAACTCATGAATTTGTGTTTTTTTCAATTGTTTATATTATTTCCCAGAACTTACTTATTTTTGTCCTAAAATTGTCCCAGATCTGGCCAGGAGGAGCCTTCCAAGCTGTATCCTATGTCTGTGATGTGTCCCAATCATTATTTTTTTTCCTTGAATACTTTCTCACTTTCTGGCCTAATAAATTGTTGCTGGCTCATCTTTGTACTGACTTTGCTCCAGTCCCTGGCTCAGCTATTTCTTTGAGAAGGCCTGGTTCCTTTTAACTCTCATGCTTTTGCACCATCAGTGCAAATGTCAAGTGAAAAAGGCATGTAAAGTCTTAATATTATTATGAAAACCATTTTAACCTCTTGAGTTTCCTGAAAATATTTCAGGGACTCCTTGTGGTCTATGGACACTTTCAGAATTACTACTGAATATAAATGAATACTACTGAATATAAGTTAACTGCATGGTAAGGTATTTATAATTTGTCTTGCATAATGTGTGTTCATCTAGCCTCATTGGGGAGCTAAAGACTCTCAGTAGCTACAAGTTCTTGGGTACTTACTTTGATATGCCTGGAATTAGGGATAATATTACTTACTTCTCAGGACTGTTGATAAGTAACTCATCTAAATGCCAGATTCAGGGCCCAATACAGAGTGAATGTTTAAAAAGTGATGTCTTTAGGAGGCAGATAACTTGTCTCTTTAGTTCATACATCTTCAGATACAGAAACGGTAGTCAAGGAGAGGAATCCAAGGAGCTTCACCCACAGCATATCTTACTTAGTGCATGAGATCCTGACTTTGAGATGATGCTGTAATGGTATGGGATACGGTGGTCTTGGGAGAAAAGATGAGTATATGTCACATATGGGAGAGAAATAAAATGGGAGGATTCTGGCAAAATAGAGTTTCCAAGATGGTCATCATAAGATCCATTGCACACACTCCTCTTACTATGTGACAGTGACGCTCCTTTCATCAAGAAGTGAGGTCTATGTTCCCTCTCCTTGAATCTAGACAGAGCTATGGGTATGGCAAAGTGATACTGTGAGACATCCAAGGCCTAAAAGTTGACCCAGCTTCCAGAGGATCTGTCAAGCTGCTTCTCTTAGAACCCAGCCTTGTGCTGTGAGAAAGCTCCAGTCACATGGAGAGGACACAAATGAGCCATTAAATGACAGAACCAACCACCACACATGCAAATGAAGAAGCCTTCGAGATGTCTTCAGTATAGGTCACTGTCTGGTTGCAGCCACATGAGAGACCCTGAGCAAGAACCATCCAGCTAAGCCCAGTTATCCCTCAGAACCATGAGAGGTAATAACAAAGTGATGATGTTGTTGTAGGCTACTACATTTTTAGCATGCTCGCTTACAGTCAGAGATCACAGTGCGTATACATGGGTGGGAAAGGCTAGAAACTAAGAATGGGTGGCCTGCACCCCAAACATGAACTACAAAGTAGGTCATGGGGATATGTGGACACTTGTGCACACTTGGAGAATTCCCCAGTAAGAAGCCTGATGATGAAAGATTCAGAAGAGAGTTATATGTATTGACTTTTGTTGTGCTGGAACCAAATTGTAAAGTGTATGTAGTTTCTGGTATTGATGACAGATCACTGGCATGGATGACACACTCTGAGTGCCACTTGAGGCAGCTGTGAATGTACCTACATCCTTTCCTTTCCTGTATCTCCCTCTCCTCTCCTGCACTTGTCCTCACATTTACTCTTCCCTCTCATAGCGGTTTGATAAAAAAGGAAAAGAACATAAATTTTAAAGTTAAGAAGTCCTAGGTTTGAAAGGAAAAGAAATCATTATATAAAAAAGATACCTGCACCCATAAATTGATCACAGCACTATTGACAACAGCAAAAATCAGCCTAAGTGCCCATAAATGAAAGACTGGATAAAGAATATGTGTTACATATGCACAATGGAATACTATTCAGCCATAGAAAATTAAAATCATGTCTTGTGCAGCGACATGGATGGAACTGAAGGTCATTATCTTAAGGGAAACCACTCAGACACAGAAGAACAACTACTGCATGTGCTCACTTACAAATGAGAGCTAAATAATATGTCTACATGGACATAGACTGTGGAATGGACAACAGAGATTCAGAAAGGTGAGAGGATGTGAGGGCGATGAATGATGAGAGATTACTTAATGATGATGTATGTTATTTGAGTGATGGATACCCTAAAAGCACTGACTTCACTACTATACAATCTATGTATGTAACAAAATTACAGTTCTACCCAATACAGTTACACAAATTAAAAAAAAGAAAGCCTAGATTTGAACCCACTTATTAGTTGCTTGACTTTGAGAAAGTTATTTTTTTCTCTCCTAGCCTTACTTCTTCTAAGTTGAAACTAATACTATATGGAGACATTGAGATGAGTAGTTGGCATAATTAAAAGCATTCAGCACATTGCTAGGCACATAGTAGGTCTAAAATACACAACACATGTTGCTTTGATTAACTTTCCCTTAAACACAGCTGGAGTTTTCTCTTTTGCTTACTTCAAAGTTCCTTGGCCTCTGTCCCTATATTATCCCATTTCACAGATGCTGTTTTGTTTCCACTCATGGTTAGCTCTGCCAATGCACACAGCATACCTACAAATTCCAGATGTAAGAGAAAAGCCCTTGATTCAGGCTGAATGAGGAGATAATATTTGCTAAAATGCAGATGGCACATTAGGTACCTGTGGGAAGCTTGTGTATTGGATTGGAAACAAACAAAAACAAAATTTTCTGGCAAAAATAGGCCCTCAGTAGAGGGCAGGCAGGAAGGAACAGAGGTAAATGGAGG
The DNA here is from genome assembly GCF_000001405.40 of Homo sapiens. NCBI lineage: Eukaryota > Metazoa > Chordata > Mammalia > Primates > Hominidae > Homo > Homo sapiens. The sequence continues at coordinate 117,755,815 of NC_000008.11, read as the reverse complement.
CCAACTGATATTGCAGTGCTGCCCTCCTGGAGCTGAAATTACCTGAAATATCCTAACCATGGCCCAGGTACAAATGAAGTAGATGCCCTTAGAAAAGAGAAAGTGGCTGTGTTTCTGGGGAAGAAGAGTGATTTATCTGTAGGTTATGAAGGGAGAGCTCTCAGGAAGCTCCAAGGGATTCAGGCAGACAGTACTGCCAGGAAACCCCTTACATCTTGGAGAATGAGACTGAAATCCATAGAATGTTTAATTATCCATCTTTGTGTTGAATAGTTGTGCAGATTAAATGGGCCTGATCAGGCAATGAGTACACAAAGTCAATGGGAGTTTCGAGGGCAAATCAAGCACACCACGAGGAGTACTGTGAACTTTGCAACCAAACACGGGCAGACGCAGAGCCAAATGGTGTGATGAGGCACCACACAAATCTAGCTAGGCATGACAAACTGAAAGGGGTCACAGAGAAAACTGCATGCATTAAAGACCATTGCAATAAGCCACAAGGGTGGAAAATATGACTCCAAAGGAGAAAGCAAGAGCTGTTTTTGTCCAAGGATCCTCTGACAGATAACTTGCATTTCTAAACAAATCTTTGTCTTTTGGCAACTGGTTTCTATTTTCTAAACCCTGATACAAGTGTTCATATGGATCCACAGATTGTTAGTGCTAAAGAGAAACTTAGAGATCGATCATCTCATTCCACCCATTGTATCTTGGCTAGGATACCTGTAGCCCAGAGAAGTCTAATGAATTCCTCAAGGTCACACAGCTAATTTGGGGTATGGCGAATGCTAGAAGTTTTGCTGGTTGATTCCCAGTCCAATAGTCTTTCTTAGTCCTTCTTTTCTCTATATCATCTCGAAAATTACAGACTCTGCTCTTTCTTTGGTCAACCATCACTCATGAAAAATATTTATTAGATGCCTCCAGGCAATTCTACACTCATGTCTTTGCTCTAAGTGAGGTCACTTCCCCCTTCAGGGAGGTTCCTAATGATTTGAGCACAGAAATACACTTTAAAAACAGGTTATAATTCAGCAAAAACTAGTTCAAGATTATTTATACGTTTATTTCACTGATATTTATTAATCATCTACTACGCGCCAGCTACTGTGTCAATTGCCATTGTTTCAGTACTTAACAAAAAAGACAAACACAGAGAACAGAGACTCAACATATACATAAACAGTAGAAAGAGACCTGGCATTCATAGTTGACCATAAGTTTAATACATTGTGGGGAAAAAAGAAGTGTGTTTTATGAGGGCTGGGAAGTGGTTATTTTTGCTATGAATTAGTCAGATCTCATAATGTCATATTTGGCTCATAAAAACTGCAGAAGAATCAGAAAAAAGATTATTGTAGAGATTTTAAAAAATGACTCCCATACTCCTATAAAGACAAAAATAAAATGCAATGAGGTATTTAGATTTGGACTTAGAAACATAAGAGATGACTTGAAACTAACTTCAATATGTGGAAATGCTAACTGCTTGTGTTCTTTCTTCCTAAAGAAATTTGCAAAAGAAAATGAGCTTAAGATACAATAAGAGAGATTGTAGTTGGACATAAGAAAGAAACATTTCTTAGCACTCAAGGTGATATACCTAGGCTTTTGGATCTGTAGAGTGGGGGCAAAACTCCTTCTCTTGTAGGTGAGCCCTCTTCAAAGTTCTTGGTCAGAACTGTTAGGATGATCTTTGCATTCTTTTCCCCAGGGTTTTTGCAAATTCATGAAATCTTCCAGGAGTTGCAGCCCTTGAGTTCCCACTCTGCCCCTCTGGTACTGAGCCCTACCACTTCTGATGGCAAGAACCACCTTTCCAGGGCTTAGTGCCCTGGAGTTCTGTCTGCAGCCACCCAACCATGTCCACTAACACAGGGATTAGGGCCTTGTACTCAGAGTGGGGTTCTGGGCCCAGCAATATCAGCACCATCCAAGAATCAGAATCTATAGTTTAATACAATCCCCAGTGATTACTATTATTTGAAGTTTGAAAAGATTTTTTATAACACACTGGCCCCTGGGTCAGAAAGACTTGATTTCAGAGCTTGCCAGTGCCATTATCTGGCTCTATGACTTTGGCTAAGTCACCTAACCTATCTGAGATTCAGTTTCTTTATCTGTAAAATGGGTACAAGAATTGTTACCTCTTAGGCTCTCAGAAATGCCCTTCCTTGTCACTTTATTTTAAATGAACCCTTTCTAATATATTTACCTTGGTCTTTTATTATTGTTTTTTCCTTGAGAACAGTTATTACAATTTTGATTTATTTTTGATTATACTGTTTGAATGTAAGTTCCATGAAGGTAGAGACCACGCCTGTCTTGTTTATTCTAGCATCCCTGGGGCTTAGCACAGTGCTTGGTACCTAATGAGTGGCTCAATATTTGTTGAATAACTGAATATTGTAAGTATTAAATTAGATGATGCAAGAGAAGCTCAAGGTCTAACTTAGAGAAAAATCTTCACTAAGTGACAGCTGTCAACAAAATTGACTGTGTGATGTGTACTGCAAAAATGAAAATGAGAGACTTTTGCTAAAAAATGATCAAGCATTTCATTTGGCAATAGCAGATAATTAAACTAAGCACGGGGCCCTTTCATCACTGTGCTTTTCATGACTGCACAGGTAGTGTGCCCAGGAAGCCAGTTTTGGCTATTGGTAGTGTTACTATAATAGTGATGATTCTGCCAGAGATGCTGCCACTACCGAGAATGCGCCATCTCCCCCTTCTTCTTGAGGTGTGAAGTCGTGGGCACATGCCCCAGAAGTCACACTGCCTTCCTGGGCTCAGCTCCCCCTTATTCCCAGGCTCAGGTGTGGAGGGCTAGAGATAACCTGAAACTTGAGAAAGTACCAACTGGATGCTGTCAGTTCAGCCGGCCCTAAAGTATTCCCCACAGCAAAACGCTGATTTACACATGATTGGTAAGTGAGGCATTCATTGAATCAGCAAAAGTTCTGCAAATATGCACTAAACAGAATTTTAAATGAGTTTCTGTAATGTATGGCTTTTAATTTACTTGATAATGTAAAAATACAATTCGAGATGAGGAACGAGGCAGACAGTCACTCAATTCTAATGTAACAACTTTTCTTCATGAAAGACTGAAAATAAGAGCAAGGCTCAGAATGTAAAACAGTTATGAGGAATTGAAGCTAAAAAACGTGGAGAGATGAGCTCACTCAAACACAGCCAGCCTGGCCCTGGTTCCAGGATTGGCTGAACTCGGGGGAAGGTGATTACAGAAAGCAAAAGCAAAGTGCCTGCAGGGCTCCCAGCCCTGCTGGGTTTAGAATGACATCCTGACTGGGCTAAGTTTATCATCAGAGCCTTGGTCCCTTTAGCTGTTGAGTAGGGAAAATCATCCACCTCCTGCCTGCCTCGCAGATGTAAAGAGAAAAAAGGACATTGCTCTTGTGGAAATGCTTTGTTCAACATTATGGTTTAAATAAGAAAGGTGGTATACTCCTCAGAAAGAGCACTAACTTGGAAGTCAAAAAACCTACTTTCTGAAACCAATTATCGTATTTATTCACTGCCCCATCTGCAGTCTTTTGGAGCCAGGTAAATAGATCTGTGTGAGAATTCCAAACCTGCCACTATGCAGCTGTGTAAATGTGGTCAGGTTCTTGGAGTTTTAGTTTTCTCATCTGCACAATGGGGTTGAGCTAAATCCTGGGCAGTATTTAGTTCACCTGACACAAGACGAGTCCTTAACAAATCTTTCTCAGCCTCACTGTTTTCTTCTTTCGAGGGGGATAATAATGTTTAGAAAATGTCAGAGCACTCTCCTGACATATGATATTACTGTCTGCTAAATTCAAGCTGGGAAAGACTTGTTGCTCCTGCAGCTCCACTTCCTTTTTCCACTGTCCCAAAATTCCCAGGAGTTTTCTGGTTCTGTTGCTGCAGGGTCTTTTTGTTCAGATTTGTCTGTGAACTACTCTTTCCAGGGCTGTTAATTTGTAACTATGACAGGAGCCCTCTCATAGGGGTTTGCACTTGAATTGTGAAAATTTGAAACTAAAAGGGGTTTCCAGAGGCAAAAAAGCAGCAGGCAGGTGGAGCTCATATTTTGGGACATCTGGCCCTACTGGATGTCCCTTCAGGTCAAAGAGCTCAGATCCCATAGATGCATTAGGTCTACTTGACATAAGATCTTAAATACATGTTTGGCTAGAATTGCAAATATATCTTAATAGTTTTGCTCAGCCTTCATAACTGTGTGATTTTGATGATGACCACCATTCCACCATCTATTATTTTATTCTGCACAATACTCAACTGTACACATAAGTCTGTTTAGTAGACATAAATCATGGTGGCTGTAGAGTTTATGATTTCCCCAGCAGGCATGTATGTGGTTCCCCAGCTGCTTCTAATACCAGAATGCTGCCCATTTCTAGCTAGCCTTGTAGACGCAGGACCTAGGCTGATCCAACTGCCATGGCTTTCCTCTGGCCACAGTAAATGGTTCAAGAAGTGGCTATACAAATCAAGGCAGGCCAATTGATTCCTTTCTCTGGATTTTCCCAACAAACTGGGGAACACAATGAAAAACGTGAGACCAGAATGGTCTATGGCCCCATTTCCCTGTTGGCACACAACGATAGAAATGAGAGACAGATGGGCAGTCACACAGAGCATCCTGATGATGTTCTCTGGCCAGGTCCATTCCTGCCCTTTTCAAGGTTTGGGCATGTGAAGCAGTAAACAAACACTCCCTTCCCCCTTTAGTCTTGAATAGGGTGACTTAGTTTCTTTCATTTATAAACGGAAGTCTTCTCTGCACAATCTGATACAAATATCCATGTGGTTGACCAAAAAGAAGTCATTTCTCTTGGAGTTGTGGTGACAGATGTGCTATTCTGGGGGTAATAGAGTGAGTGGTGGTGATTAAGTAGAGGCTGGTGGGTGCACATTACTTTTGCAAGAATGTTGGTGGAGAGTGAGAAAAGAAAGAGATCAGGCAATAGCAGGGTAGCAGGCTCAAAGGAAAGAATGTTTTACAGGCTATAGGAAAATTTTGACTGCCTGGGTTATCTCTCTTCTCTTTAAGATAGGGAGGAGAGAATCAATGGAGCAATGTCCCAGGGAAACTGCAGAAGAGAGCACCAGAAGCAGCAGCAGCAGCATTGGTCAATACGGAGATGCTTCTCTTCTGAAAGCACAAAAAAGGAAGAAAAAAGTGATAATAGAGAAAAACAGAGATGGAGACAAGTTGAGGAAGCTCATGCTAGAGTGGCCACAATTTTCTTTCTGCAAGAGAAGATTTGAGGGGTTTAATTGCTATTTGAACAGGAGTGGGGTCCTCCAGCTCCCAGCTGCGCTCCCGTCTCCCTTGGAACTACTCATAAGCCAAGGAAATGAGAGGTGGTGGCTACAACAGACTTCAGGAATGACAAGACCTTTAGGATTGATCCCTACATTGTAATTGATGGGTTGACATTGACTGTCATAGTTCATCCTCCCTTGCATGGCAAGGGCATCTGTTGGGGCTATGCATGTGCCTCTAGAGAGAAGAGAGATTCTGTTAAGTCAGTCAACCTGATAGAGCAGAGAAAATCATGGGCCATGTGCCCACGTAGTCTTTATTTCATGTCCTAGTTAACTGCTGGAACAGAATTTCCCAAAGGGAAATTTTCCGATGTCCCAATCCATTGGGATTGTGGAGCATGATTGTCCTGCACTGCCATGGCTCCTGATTCTCTTTGGTCCCCAAGGGGGCAGACTGATGTGAAGCCTTGAAAGAACTGCTGCTGTCTTAGCAACTCCTATCACCTTAAGAATATTCTGAATCTAGGGCATGCCCATTGTTTGCCAACTTAGCTTTTTTCTTTTTCTTTTGGCCTTTATATATCTGGTTAGACAGTATAGAATGTAGAGGTTAAGGGCACTGGTTGCAAAATTAGGTGGACTGGATTTAAATCTCATTGCTATCTCTGATGACCTTGCATGATCTTTATGGAGTTATTTAGCCTCTTTAATATTCTATTCTTTATTTTTTAAAAAAATCAATGAAAATATCTATTTAATATTTTATGAGTATTAAATGAGATAACATGTAAAGTTCTTAGAATACAGCTTGACATATAGTAGAAGCTCACATAGCTGAATTAAGTCAGATAGCTAATAAAAGAATTCAGAGTTCCTTATTCCTTCTTCTATAATGAGGATTTTTAAAATTTGTTTTTGCTTTTCTTATTCTGTCCAGATTCCAATGTACTTAGGCATTTATTTGTACAATTAACCAGAAAGTCAATTTAAAACTGCCATTATTAGCTTTATTTTTAATTCAGTGATTTATTGAAAGGTAAACCACTAGGCTTCACTGGTCAGTAAGTTTTATCATGTGCTAAATCTAATCCATTGATTAGATTTGGAGCATAATTGTGAAGATTTTCTAGGCCAAATTACAAAGAGTGCTGTGATTGATTAATAATGTCTGCCATGGACATGGATAAGGCAGTGACTTCATCTATTTTTCCATATGTGCTGACTCTGCAATAGATGAATTCTGCCTCTGTCATGGGTCACAGGTGCAAGTCATAGGCCAGGGAGTGTTACCTAATTTCTAGAATTGCTAATGCTCATGGAGAAGGTCCCTAATAACTGGAAAAACTAGAGAAGCAGCTGTCATTAAACTCAAGGTCATGGAAGAATGGATAGCTATAAAGAGAAAGAAACATTGCATTTTGTAGTTTTGCACTTGGAGAATGACAGTGCAGTGTTCATATATAAATCAGGAGCCTCCAGAATTGACAGGTTTAAGACTGTCTGCACAATTTCAGGGAAACTGTTGCAAAGCTAAAAAAAAAAAAAGCATCAATCGACTAGTTGTTGCTGATGTCAGGACTTGCCTGATTTCTTGCTTCTCCTCTGTTCCTCCCCACATCTGGATCTACTTGAGACCCACTTGCAGATTAGCTGGTGCCACCCCATACCCTGAACCTAGTTCTTCCCTCTGCCAACAGGGGCTTTAAAAACCCTAGCGGGCTTCTGGGTAACCTGGAGCCACCTACCCTGGTGTGTGAGCCAGCTCTGTTCTGAGTCTGGCCTTGTAACCTTGAGCCCTTGAATCCACCCTTGGGATCGACTTTGCTGATATCCCTGAACACAGCCCTGTTTGTCCAGATCTCTGAATAAATTTCCCCCAGGATTCTACATACTCACCTGTCAGGATGTCCTGTTATTGCTTACTTTCACATATCAAAGCCTTTCTTAGATTACAGCCCACATCTTACAAGTGAAGCTTTTCACTTCCACAGTAGTGATGGAAGCAACGGAGATAGCATGGGCTTTGAAATCAGCCAGACCTAGGTTCTAATTTCAGCTCTGCTTTCTCTTAACTATGTGGTATTGGATATATGAGCCAGTTTTCTCCTCTATAAAATGGTATGTTAATAGTAACATCACAGGGTGTTTTATCCTAAAGAAAAGAGACAAAATAGGTGGATTAACTAGTACATAATAGCTGCTAACACACAAACGACAACAATAAAATGACAATAACTACATCTAGCATTTGTTGAGCACTTATAATCCATGAGGCATTGAGCCAAGTGTTTTACTTACATTATCCTAGCCACCATAAAAAAATTAATATTATGATCCTCATTTCACAACTGAAGAAATTGAGGCTTGGCAAGGTCAGTAACTTACCCAATGTCACCCAGATAATAAAGGGCAGAGCCCGGATGTGAGCCAAGATCTGTTTGTCCAATTCTAAAGCCTGGTGTCCTTTAATCACACTATACTGCCAACAAGTAGGATAACCATCTTCCACCCATTTGGATGGATTTTTTCCTGTTCTCAGAAGCTGGGTTTGACCCAGGCATTTGCTATGCCCCTCTGAACATAAGTGATTATGATTTCTCTCTTCCCACTCCCCCCAGTATGCCCCATTCGGTTCCCAGGGAACATTTTATGACTGGCCATGTCACAAGATCTGACAGCCTCAACTCTATTATGCCAAACAAATTTGAGTTTTAAAACATTTAATTGGTTTTAGATACAGCCATGGGAGTAATTTTAAAATCTGGGCTCTCAACCAACAAAGTAATTTCCCTTTATTAATGGAAAAATAAACATCCCCTGGAAAGAACGTTGCCTTCCTTCTATGGCCCTTGTCCTCAGAAATGCAAGGCAGGATGGGCATCATTAATGCCAGAGGGTGTTATGTGATACTAGGTGGGCAAGTTGTTGACCCTGAGCAGACCTTATGTATGTGTCTACCTGGCCCTGTCTTATGAGTTTGATTCCTGCTTCCTCAGTTCTTATTAAAGATTGTCTCTGTGTTCACATTAAAGTTGGGCTCTCATCACGGAGGGAAGCTTTTTGAGGACATCTGTAGCAAGGCAATGCCTTATGAAGGAGTTACTAAGTTTTGGCCACTTGGAGGGACCTTCAGCTGATCTAGCAACAGAGAGCAGAAAAAACTGTAATTTATTGATCCACAAATATTTTCCTAAGTACTTTGTATACATTATCTTTTTTCATTATCCAATAATCCTATCATGGAATCATTATTATTCTCATTTTTCTAACACTGTGGTCTGGAAGAAATTAAATAACCATTTCAGATCAAATAGTTACTAGATAATGGTACCACCCAATACATTCTATCATAAAGATACTCCATTTTTAAGGTTCAAATAGTGAATAATGAGTGTTAACTCTCAAAACTGGTGTCAGAGATTCTCATTAATTCAACACCTATTATATCAGATTCATAATTAGAATCTACCCAAAACTGATGTGAGTTTACAGCCAGAGTCTGAAATTGAGAGATGTCGTTCAGCTATTTGCATACAAATAGACTACAATTATTATGAAGTATGGTCCATTATGGAATTCAGTTTAGCTTGAATTTTAGCTGAAGCCATAAAAAGTCAGCTAGGAAAGAGTTAGTTTTATCAATTACATTTTTGTGAACACAATTTTGTTCTTTAAAGTTTCTGAATTGATGTGTTCAAGAAGGAAAAAAATAGCCATGGGCTAAAATTGTGCCATCAATATTGTGGAAAATAAGATTGAAGTTTTTGAAAGTTTGGATCTTTTTCTAAGGAATGTTCCAGAAACCTCAATATCAGTTTGATTTTGTTTCTGATCTCAATGATCTCAGTGCTGGACTGTCAGCCTTGAGACAGGTTTTAGGTAGTATGGTCTCCCTGGAGCAGCAGATAATTCCTGGATTCCAGGCTCATCCCTCTAGCTGTTTATCTTTTTCTTTCTGGACAAGCACTGAGGCCATTCTGCTCAAGGACTACCATGAGGCATAATGTACGGGATTTAGAGTTAGACAGACATGGGTCTGAGAACTATACCATTGCTTAGCTGTAAACAATTTCTTTTACCTCTGTTTTACAGTCTCCTCATCTGAAAAAATGGGGATTATAATAGCATGTATCTCAAAGGCTTGCTCTAAGAATTAAATGAGATAATAAATGTCAACTCCTTAGTACAGTGAAATAATTGTACGTATAAATCATTATCATTGCTATGGAATTAATTTTTAATGTGCATAACTTTATAAATTCAGTGACCACTGTTGTCATAGAGTGGTGTGTCACATTCAAGGGAACATAGTGTAACAACTAAAGGCAGTTAAAAGGAACTAGAAATTTCTACTTGAATTTCTTGGAGAACATCTAAGAGAATTCCATTACTAAGCCACCTTGGTGCTTCATAATGCCACCTTTTCTTTTTCTCTCCAATTCCCTTATACCCGCAGTTGCTCTAGTGTTTCCTTCTTATAAACTTGAGCTCCAAAAAAACTCTTCCTTGATAACCAGGCCACAACCCCTTTATCACTTTATTATGTAGGTCAACTTAGCTTCTCTCTCAGCAAGCAAAAATCCTTCCTTAGTAGGACTGGGAGGGAGTGGGAACCTAGAAGTCAATGCTGGATTATTTTTAATGGGCTGGAGGTGGCTTGGGGGTGGTTGCGAGTACTCATATAGACTAATAACTTTAGTTACATTACATAAATATAATTTCCAGTGCAAGGAAAGTTCTGGCTTCTAAACTGCTCTTCCTATACCTGAAGACCTACTTCATGAGGAATGCTGATATATCCAACCATGTAGAGAGGGAAAGACCAGCAAAAATAAACCTTTTGTCAATGAAAGATCATTCCATAGAAAAAGTATTAGAAAAACCTGGACAAAGGAAAACTCGGGGGTGACATGATAGCTGCCTTTAGATAACCCAACATGGCAAAACTAGAATCAATAAAATATACAACAGTGGTTTTTAGCCCAGTTTAATGAAAAATGTTCTTATAATCAGAGCTGTTGAAAGACAGAATAAGCTTACTTGGGATTCAGTGAGTTCTTCCTAACTGTAGATACTTAAAGTGAGGTGGATGACTTCTAGGCAGACATACTGTAAATGGTGTAAAACATGTGAGAAGGGTTATCTTTCCATGCTGAGATTCTATAATTCTATTAATCAGAACAGTGTTCGATACATGCTTTGAATGTTGACAACTTGTAGCTCCGAATCTGAGGTCCTTCCACTCATGGTGATAAAGAAGTAATTTGTGTGTGTGTGGGATTCTGTACTCTAGTGCCTTCTCTGCCCTTGTACCATCTTTATTTGGTTTCAGTAGCATAGTTCTCCTCCTCCACCCAGTCCAGGTCTTAATTCCATTGAAAGTGATTGATATGATTTCAAACTTCATTGCCTTCTTCTGGACAATCTAGAGGGTCAGAGGACTCATGCCTAGCAAACCAATATTATGGCAAGGTGCTCATCTAGATCTTAGAAGCCCCAGGGATCTTGTCTAGGCTCTAACACTAACTAATTCTGTAAGACTCATCACCTCCCTGGGTCTCTGTTCTTTGAACTCATAACTCTAAGGGTCTAAACTCCCCCAAGTAGGAAGTTAAATGACTTGGGAAACTTGTTAATAAACTGAAGCAGCATTTGGAGTCTCAGTATGATACTAGTCAACAAACATTCATTATGTACTTACTATGTGCCATGTACTCTTTTAAGGCACAAGGGATCTAGCAGCTGACAGGGTAGATGAGGTATTTGCCTTTATAGCATCTTACATTCTAGAAAGCTACAGAAGTTGTAGAAAGATAAATAAGTAGACAAACTCATTTCATATTATGAAGAAGACAAAATAGGGTATTATTTTGAGACCGGCTGCAGAAGAACAACCTAAGGAAGTCCATTTGAGCTGACTTTCAAATCATGATAAGGGGCCAGCTCTATGAAGATATAGGAGGGAGAAGAGTGAGAGCAACGGCTTTTGGTTTGCTGAAGGAGCATCAGGAAGGCTAGGGTGTCTAGAAAATAGTGCTATACAGGGTGCATGATGTTAAGAAGAGGTAAGGCAGCACCCCGCTCAAGAAACGTGGGAAGAGTTGACATTAATTTCACGTGGAATGGTTTGTCATTTGAAGGTTTGGGGCAAATAAAATCAATGATGTTAATGGTAAAAAAAAAAAATCAGCAACCAGTATGTGCAGAATGGATGTAAGAAGAATGGATGGCCAAGATGGTCATAAGAAGTTCAAAAAAAGGGCTATGATTTGCATAACGGTCCTGGACTGGCATGGCAGCAGGTGAAGTGGAGAAGACCCATTCTCAAAGCATGACATGATAGAATGGATATGGGCTGGGAGGCAGGAGGCAATGGAGGAATCTATGATCATTCTTTGATTTTTCTCTCCGAGCACTTGATAATGGTTATGTCCCAGGAAATAAACAGATCTTATTAAAAATAATAATGGCTATTTGGATATTATTTGTTGAGCATTTGTTACAGAAGCCTCATGGGGGTTACTTTTGTCTGCCTTATGTCTCTAGTTCAATAAATTTGTTCAAAGACAATGAATGTCAGACACTCTTTTAAGAAACTTGACTATATTATTTGATTTAATTCTCAAAATAATCTTAGCTTGTTTTTATTTTACCACAATGACACAGGGAGACTAAGTAACTTGCTCAAAATAACACAGCTAATAAGGTACAGAACCAGGATTTGAACCCAGGTCAGTCTGATTCTAAAATCTAGGTTTTTAATATCTGTAAATTTATTTCCTAGCACACCAGACAGCATGTAGGGAGCTGCTAACCAACTCTGGGGACCTGAGTGGTCTCCTGAGAGACTTCCTCAGAAAGTCCCATCACGGAAACATTGCCATGAGCAATGATTTTATTTATAAACATTGGAAAATGCTGGAAATTAATTTGAGCATTTGAAGCTCAACTAAATAAAGCTTCTATACTACGGCTTCTCCTAACCACAATCTTAGCAAGGCTTTAACATTGTTTCCCAAATTTAACTTGGAAATCTTCAATATTACAGTTAAGTTATACGATGAAGCCCAAGTCTTATGTAAAATAGATAATCACAAGTCTAGTCAATGAATATCTGGATTTTTTTTAGCTGGCAGAAAAAAATCTCTTTCTGTAGAGAAAGATAGATGAAAGTGTAATTTCAACCATCTAATGATATCAAACAGAAAAAATGTTTTTTTCCTTACATGCACATAATTACGAAAACTTATGCACACTGGGTAAAATGTTCTGATTTTCTATAATTCTGAAGCCAGTTTCATCTTTAGAGATAAAAAATAGCCTTTAGGCTGGGTATGGTGGCTCATGCCTGTAATCCCAGAAATTTGAGAGTTTGAGACAGGCGGATCACTTGAAGTCAGGAGTTTGAGACCAGCCTGGGCAACATGGTGGAACCCTGTCTCTACTAAAAATACAAAAAATTAGCTGGACGTGGTGGCAGGCACCTATAATCCCAGCTACTCGGGAAGCTGAGGCATGAGAATTGCTTGAGCTCAGAAGACAGAGGTTTCAGTGACCATGATCACACCACTACACTCCAGCCTGGGCAACAGAGAGAGACTCTGTCTCAAAAGAAAAAAAGAAAAGAAAAAAAAAGCCTTGCAAACAGAAACTTCCAGACTGAATCCAGAAACAGGAATCAAACTAAAGGAACATATTCTTTAGCTTATAATTCTAGGAAGAGATTCTCCTTTCCCTATCTTAAGACATTAGTAATAACAACTGAAATTGACAAAGCAATAGGAATTAAGCCAATTTTTGCAGTGATAAGCTGGGGTATTGCCAATTACTCACTGTTTTATCATTATTCACTGACTGCCTTCAAAGACTAATTAAAGTTGGTAAAGCTACCTCTCTTAGATCTTGCCAACTCCTCCTTCCTTTGATATACTTTTATTCCTGAACCATTATTCTCTTGTACTTAACTAACAAATTACAATGCTGCAGGATTACATGTTTGTCAACACTAGCCTGTGAGCACCTTGAGAACTGATTGTATTTCATTTGTCTTTTTCATGTGTTCTATAAGTTAGAATATGTATGACTGCAAATAACAGGGGCAAAAAAAAAAAAGCGCAAAACTTAAGCTAATGTGAATAAGGAAATGTACTGGATTCCTTTACTGGACGCCCAAAAGTAGGGGTCTATGAAAACTTGACTTAATCTAATGGCACTGACTCTGTTTCTCTATAGTTTTTTTTTTTTTTTTTTTTTTTTTTTTTGCCCTTGCTTCTCTATTTGCAAGCTGGTGGCAAGATGTAAGTGGTAGTTAAGGACTTCACATCCATGCTTGGCATCAACCAAGGGAAAAGGTGTATGTCTTCCTGGGATAGTTTCTTCAGACCAAGGAGGAACTTTCCCAGAAGTTTCAAGCCAATTCTTCTCAACATCAATGGTCATTTAGGAACCAATCACTGACAAGGTGAATGAATTTACCATGCTTGGCTCAGAAGAATGAATGACCCAGCTGCATGATGGTTATACCATGGGGGGCCGTAGGAAAGAATGGAAGACTGCAGGGAAGAAAGATCCCAATGTCCTCCACCTACGTTCAGAGCCTAGCACAGAAACTGGCACTTGGATGGTACTCAGTAAGTGTTTGTTGAGTGAATAGGTGAGTTACTATAACCCATTACCTGATGTGTCCTTTCCAGAACTACTGAATTTATAATCGGCACCATTTACTTGGCTCAGTGCTTAATTATATACCTTCTATTGTTCTTTGATAATGTCTTATGTGTTAGTCTTCTCTTAACAACCAGATAATAACCTGTTAAAGGCAGGGTCCATGGAAATTAAATGCTATGGATTGAATGTACAATACTTTCTTGGTGACCACTCAAGTATGGAGATCAGGAACAGACATGTAAGACATGTTGTGGTTTATTAGTGAGTTTTACTATATAGTGAAGAGCAAGGCAAGTGTTTCTTTGACAAAAAAAAAAAAAAGAAGAAATTTTGTGTTTAATTTAACTAACTCTCTGTGGAGCTCCATTTAAATAGCTGGATCCAATAAGAAATTAATCACTGGATAAGAAAATCTTAGCTCTTATCATAATGCTTTCCTCTGTGTTAGAGCAAAGAGAAATAAATGCTTTCTTCTCTGTTTGCTTGAGTGAACCTAGCATGGATTATCAGGTATAAAATATCTGGGAGATGACCTGTACTGGGTATTCTCTCAGGCTGACTAAAGTGTCCACATGGCTGTAGAGGTGGCTGAAAAATGCCTCACAACTGCTAGCATTTATTGAGCAATTCAGCTGCGCTGGGTTGTTGTTCTAATTGTTTTGGATATAAACCATTTTATCTTCTCAAGAATTCCAAGAGGTAGGTGCTATTATTGTTATTATTATTGTTATTATTGAGAGGGAGTCTTGCTCTGTTGCCCAGGCTAGAGTGCAGTGGCACAATCTTGGCTCACTGCAACCTCCGCCTCCTGGGTTCAAGTGATTCTCCCACCTCAGCCTCCCCAGTAGCTGGGACTACAGATGTGCACTACCACGCATGGCTATTTATTTTTATTTTATTTTTTTGGTATTTTTAGTAGGGATGGGGTTTTGCCATGTTGGCCAGGCTGGTCTCGAACTCCTAACCTCAGCGGATTCACCCACCTCCGCCTCCTAAAGTGCTGGGATTACAGGCATGAGCCACCGCGCCCGGCCAGGAGCACTGGACTGCAGACCAAGAGGTAGGTGCTATTATGAGCACCACTTTACAGTTAAGAAAATTAAAGTTTAGAAAATTAAAATAACTTGTCCAGGATCATACTGTTAATAAATGACAGCATCAGGATTTGAATTTAGAAAAACTGGCTTCCAGCTTCATCCATGTCCCTACAAAGACATGAACTCATCCTTTTTTATGGCTACATAGTATTCCATGGTGTATATGTGCCACATTTTCTTAATCCAGTCAAAAAACCAAACACCACATGTTCTCACTCATAGGTGGGAACTGAATAGTGAGAACACTTGGACACAGGAAGGGGAACATCACACACTGGGGCCTGTCGTGGGGTGGGGGAGGCGGGAGGGATAGCATTAGGAGATACACCTAATGTAAATGATGAGTTACACCAATATGGCACATGTGTACATATGTAACAAACCTGCACATTGTGCACATGTACCCTAGAACTTAAAGTATAATATGAAAAAAAGAAAGAAAAACTGGCTTCAAAGCCAGTTCTCTTACCCACTGCTGAAGAAGGTCTCAGGTTCAGGACCCAATTCAAGAAGCAAGGAAAGATCATCCGTCAGAAGACAGACTAGAAGGTTAAAAGCCAGGAAAAATAGTGCAGGAAACAAGAAATGAGATGAATTAGAGTGAATAGTTCAGGACTATGGCATGAATAATGCAAAACATTGAAATATGGTCCCGTTTTTTTGAACCCAAGTGTGTGGTAAGTTTGGAGGGAAGCAGTCAGTCCTAATGGCTTAAAGTTGCTTCTAGAGCTGGATCGTCTCTGCCCTCCTGCATGTAATGATCTAGCTATGACAATGAGAATTATAGGGCTGGGCATTGTGGCTCACGCCTGTAATCCAAGCACTTTGGGAGGCCGAGGTGGGAGGATCATTTAAGCCTAGGAGTTTGAGACGAGCCTGGACAACATAGGGAGAACTCTTCCCTACAAAAAATAAAAAAGTTCACTGGGGATGGTGGTGCATGCCTGTGGTCCTAGCTACTTGGGGGAAAGAGGTAGAAGGATTGCTTGGTCCTGGAAGGTTGAGGCTGCAGGGAGCCGTGATCACACCACTGAACTCCCTCCAGCCTGGATAACAGAGTGAGACCCTGTCTCAAAAAAAAAAATTGTATAGGGAAAAGATCAGTAAATTATTTCAGAAAGCAGATACTCTGGATTACATGGAGACTGTATGAGAGGCCTTTTTCTCAATTGCCATAACTCTGTTTTATAGAGATTGAGTTCACAGGCAAAAACTGGGCAGAGCCTTCCCCAGAGTCTGAAGTTCTGAGTGCCAGCGGACATCTGTCCCTGTAGTCTATGGAATTGTCTTTATGAGCAGCACTTTGAGAAAGCTGGACAGAGTATCGCTGGCTTACTCAGCTACAGTATGCCCAGTGGTGCTAGAAGAGGAGATTTTGCAGCCGGTTTGCATTGATACCTGACCTTGGCCCTTGGATACTATTCATGTGGGCCTTTCCCGAGAAGGCTTGTTTCCTTACTGTATTTGGCTAAGACAGCGGTCCTGTGGGTGGCTTCAGTATTATGTTTGGAACAGGGGAAGTATTGCAACACATGCCAAGAATTGACTTTTATTTTTAAAAGCTGCTTTTTGCAGAATCGAATATCTGTGACCTTCTTTGGTTACAGCAGATCTACACATGGTAATTGGCTTAAGGTCAGTGTCTTGGGCATCTTTTAGTGACAGGTATACACTTTATAGGACTATTCTCAAGAGGTACCACTTCCTTTCAGGACCACTTTACAATTTCTCAAACTCTTCATTATGGTTCTCATCTCTGCCCTTGTTTACACTGATTTGCTTTAGTGTCATGACAAGCTTTGTGCTCAAGATAGATTGCTTTGCTTTAGGAAAGAGGTGTATTTTGTCGTTTCACACTCCAGTGTCCTGTTCCTGCATGTGAGCACCAGGATCAAACAGTTCAAACATAAATCTGGGAGGTGGGGTTGATGGAGCAAATCAAGACCACCAATGTCTTGCCCTGTGCCTTGAGAAAGGCATTCACTTATCCTCTGCTTCAGGTGCTCCTTGGTAACCCAGGATGAGGGCATTCCCAAAAAGATCGGATGAGAGAATTGATGCATGACAAGACATTGGAGAGGTCTGGATAGATAAAAGCCTAGAAACTCCAGTGACACCATTACCTTCCAATCCCACTGGTCTCCAGTCTTCTCTTAATTGCTTAGTTGCAACTATGCCCTGATTTGGAGGGGATAAGTGTACTGGTAACCTAGAGGACACTGAGAGGGAATCCAGATTTCAAGAATTCAAAAGCAAAAGTGACCCAGTGGGTATCAGTAGACAATGGATATTTGTTTTCCCACTGCAGCATGGGGATCTTGATCTAGCTCAGTGAAGGTCATAGGCAAGATCAGTGTGCTAATGTGAGTGAGGCATTAGGGAAGTATGAAGTAGTGTTGTACTGCCTGCAGGTGGTCTACTTTCTCCTTCCTCAGCTCTGGCTCCGGAAACTGGAGGCATCCCTCTCCATCCAAGACTGGCCTGCCAAGCTGCCTGCTTAGAAGGACTTTGGAAGCAAGACAGAGCAGTGTCTTCATCAGATACCTGCCAAGGCAAGTGTTGCTCAGGATTGCCATCCAGTTGGCTATGTCTTCCTTTGAAATGTGCTTTTAGTTAGGTGATTGATGTATTTGATTTTTGACTTTGTTTAATATTGGGTATTAACTCAACGTTCTGTCTTGTGAGCTGTCAGCAGTTGAAGCAGTTTTGGAGGGAGGTTCTCAGAGTAAAGACTGCATCTCAACCTTTCAGATGTCTCTTCTTACCCAAGGGATTGAAAGGGTGAGGGATGTAAGGTGTAAAGAGAGGCCCTCTGACTCTTCCCCTAAGGGGTTAAATCTTACAAAACTTTCAAGGGATATCAAGGGTACTTTAAATTGATTTCAAAAATATCACCAAAAGGTAGAGCCCAAGAGAGCATTGTGCTCTGAGACACAAAATCTTATTTATCCACAGAAGGCAAAGGGATGCATGCGTGTTGTGTGAGTATGTGTGTGCAGCTTCCAGCAAGGAAAACGTGAGGAGAAAGGTGACAAATGAAGATTCCAGAATTCACTGGAAGAAAATTCCTGTTCTCTTTTCCCAAGACCGAACACAGAGAACTCATGAGAGATAAGGCATGTACGTTGAGTTCAAGGTCAAGAGAGATGGGACCAAAAATGCAAAGATGCAAAGATGTGGTAGAAAAACAAGAAACAGTAAGGTAAAAGTACCACAGCTCAAAGTAAGATAGCAGGTACCAGGAAAAACAAATCGCCATGTCTTCAGAGCTATCCTGGCCTCTGAGGGAAGCTCCTCTTCTACACCAAGCTCCAAATTGTATCCTCAAGGATAAATGCTGATAATGGATTAAGGTCAAGGCCATTTACTGTGCCACAATGCTAGAGGCTTGAACATCTTTGCTAATAAGTAAGGGGCATCCGCCCTGGGTCCCAAGTGGCAGCAGTTTCTCTGGAGTCCTTTGTCATCTCTTGGAGCATTCTTTCTCCTTCTCTCTTTCTTCCTCATGACAGGTGCAGAAATAGGCTCCATGCTGCACCTGCTTGATAGTTACTCTGCTCTAGGGATGCCCTGCAGTTGCCCACTAGACCAGCTAAAAAGGGCAAATGCTCTCTGGCTTGCTTGACCTTGGTGGGATTCTCCAAGGACTCATTTCCCCTCATCGTGGCTATGAATCCAGAGGGAAAAGAAGCAAGGCCTGCTTAGGTCTGCTTTTAGGCTGGGCAGGGCCTTCACATCATCCAGCTTTGTTCACTATGCTAAATTCTCATGTAACAACTGTGTGTTTTTTACTGTTCTTCTCTGCGTATATCTTCTTTGGTCCTTGAAAAGGGAGTCTGTGGGAGGGCATAATTCAAGACTTTGGGATTCTGCATCTTGGCCAAATACAATTTTCTCAATGTCTTCCTGTCATATCATGATTTATGGCCCACAGAAGCTGAAACGGTGGAACAAGGAGTTTGGACACAGGGCCAAGGTGCCAGCAACTAGGAAAACTGTAGAAATTAAGAAAAAATATTCATTCAGTCTCCATCATCCTAAAAATGTATATGTCAGTGCTGTATAAGATGGAGTTACAAATTTACCTAAGGCAGGATCCCTGTTGTCAATGAATTCACTATTTAACAGGTCAAATAGACTTAAAAATGAATAATTATTATTAGTGGGTGGCATGCTGTATTGACAAGGAGTGTTAACAGTAGATCTCAACCTCAGAACTCCTATCTTTCTCCCCCATAAACCCATCTTCATTCTCCTCCTCTTCCCATCTTCCCTCTTTTGTCCCTTTGTAATTATTATTATTAACATTTGAAACATACAGGCGTACCTCAGAGATACTGCAGGTTTGGTTCCAGACAGCCACAATAAAGCAAATATTGCAGTAAAGAAAGTCACACAAACTTTTTTTTTGGTTGCCTAGTGCAAATAAAAGTTATGATTATACAATACTGGCATGTACAAACATCTGGGGTCCAGCATTCAACCAGTAACAACACTTTCTTTTCCTGGCCCTGTCCCCTGTGTGCATATTTCCCTAGAGAACATCAAGGAGTATGGTTGTGACAGGTCAGGCCAGGGGTGGGTGTTTTCCCATTGGTGATTCAAGCTCTTTAATGAAGCTGAGGTGGGTGGCTGGTGGCTGGAGATGAACCAGGGATGAGAACACCTATGAGGAGTGGGATGTTGCCAAGAATGGGTTCCTTTTTTTCCCCTCCTAGAAGGCAGAAGTTGCCTGATGTTTGGCAACTACTAAAAAAATGTATGCTTGGGAAGATAAAGGCTAGAGAGTGTTGTAAGATTAGTAGAATCCCCTTAGTAGTTACCCCTCTGCTGGTAACAGAATGTGAGACTCAGGCTATGGAAGTGGGTCAGCAATGCCTTCCTAGTGTAAAGGAGGCATATCCCGGGTGAAAGCTGGCTTTAGCAGTAAAGGACTAGTTAGAATCTTAATTTTATTACTGGAACGTCGCCTGGAACCTCTTGGGCAAATTATTTAACTTCGTTAAGTCTCAGTTTCCTCAACCTTCTTATAGAGATATTTCATTTCTCACAGGCTGTGTATGGACAAAATGATATGCTACATATGTGTACATTGATAGCTCTTGGCAGTCTCTGGCACTTAAAAAGAGCAGAATAAATGATACTTTTGCTGTTGATATTAAAGAGAATATTGTTGGGAATATCAGGGCATAAGCCAGCCTTCTCAAACTCTCAGTGTAGGTCAGAGGCAGGCTCTCTTCCTCTTGGTGATTCAGGAAGGTGCATATTGGGCTGGAAGAGCAGAGTTCACTTCACATCTGTGCTTGGTGCTATGGTCAGACCACTATTTTGGTTATCTAAAGCTGCAAAACTAAATGATGGCTTAAAACAACGTTTATTCTTCTATTCATTATTCTGAAATTTGAACAGGAGTTAGCAGGATCAGCTCATCTCTCTCAATGTAGCATTGGCTAGTATGACCCATGAGGGGAGGCTCAATAGGTGCTGGAGGATATTATTCCAAGATGGCAGGCAAGGCAAGTTGATGTTGGCCGTTGGTGGAGAACTCAGCTGAGGCTCTCAGCGAGGGCCTCAAATCTCCCGCTTATGGTTAATTTGTGCTTCTCACAGCACGGAGTCTAGGTTTTAAGAGTGTTTGTTCCTAAAACAAGCTTTCCAAGAAGACAAACATCTCTTTACATCATATTTGCTAATATCCCATTGGCCAAAGCCAGTCCCATGGGCAAGTCCAGATCCATTGGATGGGGTGTGGGAGGGGATGACACCAGTCATGGGTGCTGGCATGCATGGTTTATTAGTGGCCACCAAAGTAAGGTTTACTACAGTGAAAATTCTCCAGCCACCAGCTTCTAGTCTTTATTGTAATAGATGCTTATAAATTATTCTTTGAATCAATGCACACATGATCTTTAAATAGCCCGGGATGGTGCCAAGCAACCTTTGCTAATGTGCTTCTTCCCTCACCCTCTGCTTTCCAAAATATAAACATTTTAGATTAGTGTGCAGAGTCCAGGTCTAGGTAGATCAATGATTTAGGTCTAACATGTACAGTTTTCTTGAGCATGAACGGAACCATCGAAAAATGTCCTCAAATCAGCTCACCTCCTCCTGTTCCCCCTGCATAAACAACTGTTTTTTAAAAAATTTCATTGACAAAGAATGAATTCTCTGAAACCTGCAGCAGAATCGGTATGTTACCAATAGGTGCACATTACCTGAATAAGTGAATAAAAGGCTTTATTTGCAGGCAAAAAACCAAAAATTAAATTCATTTAGTGATTGAAATAACTTGCTCTTTTATAGCTTGTAACATTAAATAGCCTGCCTCTTTCTCTTCTGTTTTAAAAAGAGCTTATTTTAGTTGTTGTCTTTTCCATATCCCTTGTTGTATGTCTGCAGTTTCCAAATTGATACAGGGCCTGCTAGTAAGATCTCAAAAGTAGGCTTGCATTGCTTTTGAGAAAGACAATTTTCAATTAATTATAAATGATTTAATTTAAAAACTCAGAAACCTACTGTGTATCCTGAAACTAGTACTTATCTTCTCTAATTGCATGAAGTGGAATGCAGAAATAAATTTGATTGAATATGTAATTGGCATGCTTGTGTTGAGGTTACTGTTTTAGCCTATTTTGGCTTCCCAGAGAATGAAAACTGAAATCTCCACCCCCCAACTCAAAATTTTTGAATTCTTTGACAACAAATGATTTAGGATTGGAAACAAGTGAGGCACCCCCAGCTGGCCTGAAGGGAGGGCAGAACGGAGCAGCTCTCCCTTGGGGCCTTCTCCAGACGTCTTGGTGTGGATCAAGTGTTTGCAAATGTTCCATGTTGCTGATTTGTCTTAGAGACACAGGCATGAAAACAACCACAACATTCTCATACAACGTAATTTTATCGCTCTCTCTCTTTTCCTCCTTTTTTCCGCAGCTGAACCTCCTTCTTTGTCCTGGACTTGCCTCAATGCCTACCCCCCGCCCCAGAACAGTGTTCTAATTGATTGAATTAGGATTTACTGAGCCCTTACTGTGTGCCTGGCACTGGACCACACTATTTACAATCAGTGTCTTTGAACTCTAAGATGTGGATGTCATTATTCTTCTCTTACAAATGAGGAAATCGAGGTGTAGAAAGGTTAAATGATCTGTCTAAAGTCACACAGCTTGGTCCTGAGCTTAATTCTGAAGTGCATTTTCTTAATCATTTCTTTATCACCTTTCATGGAAGTTAAAAGAAAGTTACCAGGACACGTGAGACTAAATTCCCTTGTGCAGGTAACTTCTCTAAGGAAGGACATGCTGTGGAGGCAATAGGGCAGGGTTTTGAGGCATGACTTTGGGGTCAGCAGATGCCAGATCCACCTTTGGCTATCTGTGTGACTTTAGGTCATTTATTTTATTTCATGGAGCCTCAGTTTTCTCGTGTGTAAAATGAGAATAATAATACCAGCCTCAGAGGAGCACAGTGTAGCAGTTAAACCTGTGACCTATCTGGCAATAAAAAGTAATGAAGTACTAAAACATGTTACAACACGGGTGAACCTTGAAAACATTATGCTAAGTGAAAGAAGCCAGTCATAAAAGACCACATATTATATGACCCCATTTAGAGAAAATGTCCAGAAGAGGCAAATCTGGAGAGACAGAAAGTAGATTAGTGGTTGCCAAGGTCTAACGAAGGAGTATGGGAGAGATCAGTAATGCGTGGAGGGTTTGTTTTGGGGGTGATGAAAATACTCTAAAATTCATCATGGTGATGTCTGCACAACTCTGAATATACTAAAAAATCACTGAATTGTATGCTTTAAAAGAATAAATTATACCATATATGAATTATATCTCAATAAAGCTGTTATTGGCAGGGTGCGGTGGCTCACGCCTGTAATCTCAGCACTTTGAGAGGCCAAGGTGGGCGGATCACGAGGTCAGGAGATCGAGACCATCCTGGCCAACATGGTGAAACTCCGTCTCTACTAAAATACAAAAAATTAGCTGAGCCTGGTGGGACATGCCTGTAGTCCCAGCTACTCAGGAGGCTGAGGTAGGGGAATCGCTTGAATCCGGGAGGTGGAGGTTGCAGTGAGCCGAGATGGCACCACTGCACTCCAGCCTGGCGACAGAGCAAGACTCCATCTCTAAATAAATAAATAAATAAATAAATAAATAAATAAATAAATAAAAATAAAGCTGTTATTTAAAAATAAATAAAGGCATGATCTAGGAGATAGAAATCTAGGTTCATACTGGACCTCCCCCAGTCAGGACTCCTGTGATGGTGACACCATTAAATAACTCTGTGCCTCAACTTCCTCACCAGCAAGACTGGGGTCATAGTAAATACTCCATGGAGTTGTTGAAAGAGTTTAATGCATTAAAGTATGTAAGTACATAAAGAGCATGGAACCGTGCTTGCTACCTGGAAGCTCTTAATAAGTGTCCTTACTTTTTTTATTGTGTTATTGTGAGGATTGACTGAAAAATGCTTAATAAGTGGCAGATACTTATAATAGCAACTGGGTTGTTAGGGCTTTGCTATTTAATTAAATTAATTAATTTATTTATTTATTGAGACAGAGTTTCACTCTTGTCACTCAGTGCAATGGTGCCCATCACCATGCCCGGCTAACTGTTTGTATTTTTAGTAGAGACAGGGTTTGAGGTCAGGAGTTTGAGACCAACCTGGCTTCGCTATTTTGAAAGAATCAACTGAATTTTAGAAATTCCATGGTGGGACTGCTTTTTAAAAGTCAGGCATCACAGACCTAAAAAGCACCCTGCTTGTCCTGCCTAGTAGGCTCTCATTTTGGGTTCTAGACCTTCTCTTTTGGATCTGTGCCCTTGAGCACGTCATTTAGACAGAAGTCCAGCGACATGTTGCCATTATCATTGGGAAAGTCCCAGAGTGACTTCCTCCTCTCGCCAGACTTTGTGTAGGGCAGGACCGCCCACTCTTAGGAGGGACAGGAGGCTGCTCCCCCTGCTCCTGAGCCTTTCTCAGGAAAGAGATGTGGGGGCCTGCCTCCCCGCTTTTCAATATCCGAATTCCTCAGTGTTGACATGCACACACTTGCAATCTGTTCTTTTTTCTGGCTTAGCTTCAGGAAAACTTGAAGCCAACATTGTGCCCAAGAATGATAATCAACTCGGTTTAGGCTACGAGGAGCATTCATCCCTTCTGTTTCCTTCCAATGAACTGTGCTGTTTTATTCTTAAATGGTCAGCATTGTTTTCTTGAAGCCTATCAGGAGCAGACGGTGATAGAAACGTTAACTTAATGAAAACACAAACAAACTTAGACATCTCAACTATTTAATACCTGGAAGTCAAAATGATGTAAGGGGAACTTTTTTTTTTTTTTAAATTCCTAATGTGAAAGCCATCCAAAAGCTACACAGATTACTCAAAACCAAAGAAAGTTTAAGAGTGAAGAAAGAAAACAAGGATTAGATTTGTTTTTCCACTGTGTTCATGAAACTTCTGGGATACTTGAACACTGAACCAAGAGAGGAAACATCCTGGCTACCTGAGAGTAAAATGATGGGGAACCACTGAGAGGCCAGGCCTTTGGCCACCTCATCACTTACCTTGTCATTTACCGAGGAAAGTTGAGTGCCACATGCAGGCTTGACAGAGCTGCATTTACTGGCTGATATCTGGAGATATCAGCAATAGCTGGCTTTTTTTTTTTTTTTTTTTTTTAAGAGGCGAGTTCGTGTGAAAGTCTCCATTCCTCACATGGCTGCTATGAATCATCATTGGAGCGGGGTCCATCATGGAATGCCAAGAGTCTGATCCAGGCTGATGTGTTGCCTTGGCCAAAAAATCTGGGAAAGCAGCATTGTGATAAAGTTGCTTGTTATTTGACTGCCTTTCTTTTAAAATAGAAACTTCTGTTACTCACAGGAAGGTGCCAGTGGCTGTTTGCCTCTCCTTTTTTTTCTGTGCAAAAGTGCTTGATTTTTAAGCAGCCTATTTTTATCATCCTTTCCCACCATCACTAGGACTTTCATATTGCTGTTTTGGGGCTTTGGATAAATGTCTTCTGAACTTGAACATTAGTAATATGGGCCATGAGGCTGAGGGCAAAGGGATGGGCCACGTAGTTTGCTTGGCTTTTATTCTATTTGGAAACTGGAGAAGAAAGTCACATTTATGGTAAAAATTAGAGTAGCTGAATGTAGAACAACTGCGAGAACCAGATTTCTCCCTGAAAATGCATTCATTTCAAATACGTGCATTAAATGTCTATTAAGGGCCAGGTGCTGTGCTACGGGCATGGGAAATGAAAAATAGTAAGACATGGTCTCTGAGCTCCAGTGAAGGGCTAATGGGGATGTGGTAAAGGAGACAGGCTTGTAACAATAATGACAATGAAGTATTATGGTTTCTTTGCTGGAATTATGTACGGGATATGGTTGGGGTGCAAAGGAAAAGGTGATTATTTCTCCCTGTGGGGTGTTAGAGAAGTCTTCATATTGGAAGTGGCACTTCTGAGTTTCAAGGGGAATTAGTGTTCACCCCAAGGACAGGGTATGAAGAGCATGCCAGGCTGAAGCAGCAACCTGAGAATCATTTTTGCTCCAATGATTCATCCCAATTCAACTTCAGGAAATGTATGTAATGCAACAATAATTCTCCCCAGTAAACAACAGCAAGGACAGTGCTTATACTCTTGACACATCATTGGGTGAGAACCAAAGGGAGCTACTTTGGATTATAAAAGGCAACAAGACAGGTCTGTGGCACTGTTGACATTTTGGACTGGATAACTCAGTTGCGGGAGACTGTCTTGTACAGTGTAAGATGTTTAACAGCATCCCTGGCCTCTACCCACTAGATGCCAGTAGCACCTGACCCCACCAGTTGTGACAACCAAAAACATCTCCAGATATTGCTGAATATCCCCCAAAGGGCAAAATCATTGCCACTTAGGAAACACTAGGCTAGAAAGACAGGTAGTACAATTCTGGAGCTGAGAAATGGTAAGATTAGCTGGCAGAACTTCACAAATATTAGACACTTGCAAGCCCACATGGAGTTGCTTGGGAGAATTGTTGACCATAATTATATAAATAACTCCCTGGAGTTACTCACCCGGAGACTTGCCACTCACCTGGAGAGCAATGTGGAGGTGCTCATGTGAGAAGCGGCTTGATGATACATCAACATCTGTGATTCTGAACATCTGATTTTCCATTTGGAGCTTTTCATTGAAACCATTACTGTTTCCCTCAGTCTATGGAGTCTTAATTCATAGAGCAGGTCTCTCCCAATTTGCAGCCAAACAGCTTTGCATTCATTTCCATACCAGCTTCTCTGAAAGATGCCAGTCTTTCTTTGTGAGGTGACCCCAGAGTCTCACCAAATAAATTTCACTTTTAAGTTATACATCACAAACATACTCATCAAACATGTATAGATTCATGTGATCATGATTTGGTAAGATACAGAGAGAAGTTCCATTTTACTAAATGAATATGTTAAGGTCTTTTTGAAGCATTGAGCTAGTGATCCTTTTTGAGAGCTAGACCATTGTGAAGGGCACACATATGGGAGCTACATTGTCCCTGTTATCCAAAAGCCCAGTCTAGAATTCTTGGTGATGTTAAACAAGTTACTTAACTTCTCTGTGTGTCAATTTCTTCCTTGTTGTAAAGCAGACAGGGATGAGATAATAAAATGAGATAATATAAATACACAACTTCTTACAGTGACATGAGTATTGAAAGCAGGTCATCCAAGTGAACCACACAATACCTGGCCTTCAGTAAGTACGTTACACATGTTAACTGCAATTTATTATCATCAATATTTTAAATGCTGTAATAAGCACATGGCCAGATGTTCTCAGAGCACAGAGGTGGGATGTTTAGTTGAGAATGGACAATGGGAGTTAGGCAAGGCTCCAGGTAGCAGGAGAGATCCAACCTGGAGGATGAATTAGATAAGGGAATCCAGGCAGGAAAAGGAGAACAAGGATGGGTTTTCAGCCTTGCTGTTCCCTCTGCTGAAACAACCTGTCTCAGATATCTGCAAGACTCACTGCCTCTCTCCAGGAGGATTTTGCTCAAATGTATTCTTTTTAATTGAGGGCTCCCTTCACATCCCATTTAAAATTGAACTTCTTGTTCTATCGCACTGTATCTTCTTTCTCCTTGGCACATGTCACTATCTGACATTCTTCTTATTGATTTCGTATATTGTCTGTCTCACCATGTGAGAAGGGAGGCTCCCTGAGGGCAGAATTTTTATCATGTTTGTTCCCAGCTATATAACTACCATCTAGAACAGTATCTGGCATAGATTTGGAGTTCAGTATAATATTTGTTGAATAAGTGAGTTCCAGGCATGTCAGCAGAAGCATGGAGGTGAAAGAGAGCATCTGTATAGGATCATGAAAGTAAATTGATGTGACTTAAGTGTACAGTGTATGCTTGGAAGAAATGAGAGATTAGACTGGAGAACTAAGCAGGGATTTGGTTATAGATGGCCTTCTTTGATCTTGGCCTTTATCCAAGGAACCACCAGAAGGTTTTCAGGGACTGGTCATATTTTCATTCTAGAAAGTTTATACTAGCATCAGTATTAAGGATGTAAAGAAGAGGGGGCCGGGAACAGTGGCTTATGCCTGTAATCTCAGCACTTTGGGAGGCCAAGGTGGGCTGATCACCTGAGGTAAGGAGTTTGAGACCAGCCTGGCCAACGCGGTGAAATCCCGTCTCTACTAAAAATACAAGAATTAGCTGGGAGTGATGGCACACGCCTGTATTCCCAGCTACTCAGAAGGCCAAGACAGGAGAACCACTTGAACCCAGGAGGCAGAGGTTGCAATTAGTGAAGATCACATCACTGCACTCCAGCCTGGGCGACAGAGCGAGAGAGAATCTGTCTCAAAAAAGAAAGAGACCAGACTAAGGACAGAGACATCAGTCACTTGACTCTTGTTTGCCAAGGGAAAAAGGATGAGGGAGGGCCTGAACTGGACATAGAGGATGTGGATGAGGAAACATCTTTGAAGTAAAGAGGCTGAAGTGGCAACATGTGATGATCAATTGGATGATAAAGGGAAATGGAGAGTGAGAAATCCAAGATTATATCGATATTTTGAACTTGGGCATTTAGGCAGCCAAAAAAGCAGCATTAGTCCAAGGCTTAGTCCACCTAATGCTCTGGCCTGAGACTGAGTCTGGAGTGAGGCTTGCAGAGAGCATACCGCTGAAACTTCCAGGAGCCCTGAGGCTGCAGCAGTGCTCTGCACAGCAGCGTGGGCAGCCTCCTGCTGAGACGTTTCCCATTGCTTTCCTTTTTGCTTATTTGCCCTGTGGCTCTGTCTTTATCTTGGTTTGAATTAATTTCAGAAATGGCCACTGAGCCTGAGATTTGAGTGAAAATAGTTTATTAGGGAGATGATCCCAGAAAACACTGGTTAGAGGAATAGGAACATCACGCGGGGAAGGGAAAGAAGTGAAGAAAGAGTGAGTTACTGAGTAGGTTACTACGTGAGCAACTGGGGCTCATTTCCACTGGGACCTCTGGGAGATCAAGTACAAATTGGTTCTCAAAATATGGTTGTAGGGCCAGCAGCATCAGCATCACCTGCAGACATGTTAGAAATGCAAGTTCATCTGACCTGCTGAATCAGAAGGGGTGCATAAAACTATCTTAACAAATGCTCCAGGTGATTCTTACACCTATTAAAATTTGAGGACGACTGTCATAGTAGATTCCCTGAGTGTTAGCACCATGAACAGCAAAAAGTTGGGTGTATTTTTCTACCATCTCCCGTTTTGAGAGGGGTCATTAAACATAAAAGGAAAGAGTAAAGAAGAAATGGATGGTTATACTGTAACCTTGAGTGAATTGACTTGGCACATTTAGCTAAATAACAATTCTGTGCCTTGAAATGCTTTCTATGAGTACACCCAAATTTGGCTTACAAGTGAGCTAATATTTTCCAAGCACTGTAGGAAAAACTGAAATTGGTCTTATTCTGTTTTTTTTTTTTTTTCCCCCTTGATGGGGGCTCTATGGCACCAGCTGTCACATATTCTTCTCACACTTGATACCTCTTTTCCTTGTGCTGGACCCATAGTGAGCTGGGCATCATGTATAAAAATCACAGAGAAAAGGAAAGAGAAAAAAAAGAACAGGAAGGGGTACATGCTGAAGTGCATATTCATGAAGCACTAAGTAAGTGGCAAAGACCCACTGGCTCTTGAATTGAAGTTTTTAGTAACCTTGGCTAGATTTCTGAACAATCTCAGAAAACCTCATAGACTCAGAGGCTGTTGCCTAAATGTCAACCTAGGGACTGATGTGGGGAGGATGGTATTTGGCATTTGGCTCTTCCTTTTGTAATCTACTCAGTTCATTTCCATAAAGTGTCTGAATGGTAGGATTTGATAGCTACCCTCTGGCTTCTCACATGGAGATTTCACTTGGTTAACAGGGCTAACAGAGCTAGTGAGAATACAAACACTACAAATTCGCGGATGGCACTCTTGGGGGAGAAAACTTAATACCTAGAAGTAAATAACACACATCAAAAAGAGTATTCCTCTACTATCACTTAACAAGGCTTCTTATATCCCATAGTGTTGTACCTTTGAGGATGAAATTTGGGATTGGGAGAGGGGAGGAGATGCCAACTACTGGGGTGGCCTGGAAAAAATCATAGAAAACATTCCTGACACCTTCATCCTATCATCTTAATGGAAAGTAAGTCTGCCCATTATTCTTTGTGTACTCAAAGACAAGTCCTTCCCAGTGACAGTTAACAGTAGCTAATTATAGCCATAACCATGTCTCATTCTCTTAATCTCTTTCTTTTCCCCTTTCATTTTTTTCTTCTCCCTAGGGGATCACCTCACACTCAGGGCTTTAAATATCATCTATGTATGTTGACAAATTTGAAATTTATATTTTCATCTCAGTCATCTCGTGAGAGACAGAGAGAGAGAGAGAGTGTGTTTGTGTGTGTGTGTGTGTGTGTGTGCGTGCTATAGACTCGAATATCCAACTGGACTGCTAGCAGCTTCTGTATATATCTCCTAAATCTCAACTTGTCTAGAAGGGAGTTCCTGATCCTCCTCCAGGTTCCTGAATGCGCTCTTTCTGCAGAATTTCCCATCTCAAAAAAAGGACACCTCCATACATGCAGTTGCTCAAGACAGAAACTCGGAAATTATCCTTGTCAGTTTCCTTTCCCTTGTCCTCTGCAACTCTTCAATTACTTAGAGCTGTGTGTTCTAACTCCAAACTGTATCCTGAATCTATCCTTGTTTCTCCATCCATCGCTCCTGTAAAAGGCCCAGCAGAGGCCTCTGAACTGCTCTCTTAGCAAACCATTCAGTATGTGGCAGCTATGGTGAACTTTTGAAAACACAGAACTGATCATGTCTCTTCCCTGCTTAATATTCTTCAATGATTTCCTATTGCTTTTAAGATCAAATTCAAAAGACCTGAAACACCCTCTGTGATATAGCTCATAGAACTATATGTCATTGAGCAGACAATTTTAACCCATGGGATTAGGGAAGGTCTTCTTCGGAAAAGTTTCCCATGCTGAAACAAGAAGCAGAGAAGAAAGAAGAACCATTTCTGCCTTGGAGCCCAAATGTCTAAAGAAGCAAGAGGTTACCTTGACAAGGCTCAGTGAATGACAATTAACCAATTAGCTTTGCTACTCCCTCTGTCCTGGGAAGAGAGTAAACCAGTAGCTGATTGAACAAGGGGATAAGCATGCATTGTTATATGCCCACCTTACTGGAAGAAAACAAGCTCCTCTGCTTGTTTTCTTGTATTTCGTGAGGAGAAATAAGGTTTCTCTTTTGTGGCCAGGAGATTGAATGCCATCACATGACTTCTTACCACCTATGAAGAGGATGCTAAGAATTTTTTCTTTAATCTATTAATATGGTGACTTCCCATTGCACTTTCTATCCTCATTCTTTATATCCTTTATATTATTTGAGTATTATGATCCCTTTATAGATCAGTGTCTCTAGTAGCTTTTGAGCTTTGGAGGAAGGATCACGATTTTTTATTGTTGTTGCCATTAGATGTAGGCAGAATATGGCACACTTTAAATACTCAATAATATTTGTTAAATTAATACATGTGAAAAAAAGAGTGGTCAGGATTTGAAGGTGATGAGATATATTTGCAGCATTCCAGCTTTCAGGAGGCTCCCATCCTTTGCTGGTAACCGTGTAGCTCTCATACTGCTCTGAAGCACTAAAGTTAACCCATGTTCATTACACTCTAATTCCCTAAATAATCCATTAGTATATATTTCAATACCTTTTTTTTCCCCTAAATAATCAAAGAGACACAACAGGCAATCATGATTCTAACATGCAAGGTCGACATCGATTTGCAGGACCATTTGAAGACTACAAAAATTTCAGGGGCTTGTTGTGTTATTTAGAAATAATGAACCAAAATGACTAACCTCCTCATGTGTGCCTGAATGACAGCATGCTTTTTATTTCTTAACCAAGGTTTTCTGTGTGAGAGTGTAGGGAGGCACTTTGAAATTAGAATAACTGGTACCCTGCTTTTATTGAGGAACCAGAAATAATGAGATTATAGAAACAGCATGAACTTGACACTGCATGGTTTATTTAGCCCACGAATTTTTTGTGACTTAACAAGACAAAGGGTTTAAACTCCACTGATGTTTTTTTCTCTCTCTAATGATGAATTTACCAAAACACAAAGATGTGTGACACAACTGCTCATGTTTTAAACTAAGAACTATGTTTTTTCTCTTTGCTATATGGTTAGTAGAATGAGTCAGTTCCCAAGACATGACCAGTTTCAAAGTGGAGTGAAAATGGAGAGGTTTTCTTCATGATACTTCTCAAAGTCACCAGGAGACTATTAAAAGATTTGAGATGAAGTAACACAGTAGTAAGATTCCTAATAGAGGAGGTTTAGTTGTTAAGAGAGTCACATACATACTTTGTTTTGTTTTGTTTTGTTTTTTGCTTTTCTGAGATGGAGTTTTGCTCTCGTTGCCCAGGCTGGAGTGCAGTAGCGTGATCTCAGCTCATCACTGCAACCTCCACCTTCTGGTTTCAAGCGATTCTCCTGCCTCAGCTTCCCAAGTAGCTGGGATTACAGGCGCTGCCACCACGCCTGGCTAATTTTTGTATTTTTAGTAAAGACGGGGTTTCATCATATTGGCCAGGCTGGTCTCGAACTCCTGACCTCGCGATTCACCTGCCTCGGCCTCCCAAAGTGCTGGGATTACAGGCATGAGCCACTGCACCCGGCCACATACATAAGTTTTAAAAGTAGAGACCTGTTGCATGAGAGAAAGAAACATTAAGTTACTTTAAAAGAGGTTCTTAGACATAGGCACTTTTTGAAGATTGTTATTTTAGTGTAATTCTTTAGAAATTAATGAAACAGGATTGGGAAGACATTGTGATGCTGAGCCGTATGAGCCTGTCATCTGTACTTTTGTGAATAGGATGAAGGAGGGAGGTCTCAGGTGAGTGTAAAAGAGATTCAGGATGCCTGGGCTTATCTATGAAGTGGTAGAGACAATAGCCTTTAGCCTTCTATTTATCTGAGGTGCTTTACATCAGATTAAGAGGACTTCTTCTAAGAAGAGAATGATGTGCCTCCTTTTGTGAGAGGGAAGAGGGTTGAAGAACATGAGGAGAACATCAGAGTATCTGAACACAAACCAACAAATTCATACTGATGTCTGATGGAAAGGGGTCTGGTAGAGGTTGAAGAACCCATTTCTACCAGTGAGACCTGAGGAGAAAGTCCTGTTTGGGAAAAATATGGGACAATATATGACAGAGATTTTGAAAAAGAGATACCTTCCTACTTCTGAAGGACACTGCTTTGGCATTGTAAAGATTTGTTTACAGATCACAAGTAATTTACGCTTGACATTGACATCAGTATTGACATGGCCCTGGACCAGTTGTTTAAGTTGGAGGAAGGAGGAGTTCAAGAGATACCTGATATTCTTAGAACTCTGTGACAAATAAATGGCCTATAGTCAAAACTACATCGCTGGATCAAGACCATATGGACCCACGCCCACACTAAGCATGTCACCACGATCACACTCTTCTCCATAAAAACTTGCAGTATGTCTCATGAAATTTCAGTGCTCAGGATGAAAACTACCACAACCTATGCAATTTAGGATGGCTATTGCTAGTAATTTAGAATGGCTATTGCTAGTAATTTAGGATGGGTATTGGGAAAGCCCTAATCAGTTAAATGCAACAACAACTGTCCTTCATTGATAAAGAATACTTCACAATATTGAAAAGGACCTCAGAATTCTTCAGCGCTACTTCTCCTTTACCATCCTCCCTCAACAGGAGGATATTTATGTGAATATCAAACTGGAAGGATAGTTAATGGGCCACAATGCTGTCCACACAGTTTCTTTCTTGGAATTCTTTTTCCTCGAATACGCAGTATTCTTGAGAGGGATAACCTGTCACTCACCATATACAAGAATCAACTCAAGATAGATTAAAAACTTAATCGTAAGACCTGAAACTATAAAAATACTAGGAGAAAACCTAGAGAAAATTCTTCTGGACATTAGTCTAGGCAAAGAATTCAGTGACAAAGACCTCAAAAGCAAATGCCACAAAATCAAATATAGACAAATGGGACTTAATTGAACTAAAAAGCTTCTGGACAGCAAAAGAAATAATCCTCAGAGTGAATGGATAACCTAGAGAATGGGCAAAGATATTTCCAAACTATGCATCTGATAGGGGTCCATGTCCAGAATTTACAAAGAACTCAAGCAACTCAACAAAAAATTCCCAAATAATCCCATTAAAAAGTGGGAAAGAATATGAATAGACACTTTTTAAAAGAAGACATACAAATGGCCAACAAGCATATGAAAAAATGCTCAACATCACTAATCATCAGATAAATGCAAATTAAAACCACAATGGGATATCATCTTACAGCAGTCAGAATGGTTATTATTGAAAAGACAAAGAATAACAGACGTTGGGGAGGATGAGGAGAAAAGGGAACACTTACACACTGTTGTTGGCAATGTAAATTAGCACAACCTCTATGGAAACAGTATGGAGATTTCTCAAATAACCAAAAATAGAATTACCATTCTATCCTGCAATCTCACTACTAGGTGTATATCCAAATGAAGAGAAATCATTATGTCAAAAAGATACCTACAGTTGTCATACGTTTACTACAGCACTATTCACAATAGCAAAGATATGGAATCAATCTAAGTGTCCATCAGTGGATGATTGGATGTGGTATATATACACAATAGAATACTATTTGGACATAGAAAATGAAATCATGTCTTTTGCAGAAACATGGAGGGAACTGGAGGCCATTATCTTAAGTAAAACAATTGAGAAACAGAAAGACAAGTACCACATAGTCTTACTTATAAGTGGGAGCTATATAATGTGTACAAATGGACATAGAGTGTGGAATGATAGACATTGGAGACTCAGAAGGGTTGGGGGGTGAGTAGAGGGTGGATGATAAAAAATTACTTAATGGGTTACAATGTACATTATTTGGGTGATGGATATACTAAAAACTAAGACTTCACCACTACACAATATATCCATGTAATAAAATTGCATTTGTGCTCCTTACACATATACAAATAATAATAAAGATAATATATACAAACTGGTACTTAGGGAAATGGGTTATTTAATGAGGAAGAAAAAAGGCAGGAAGAAAAGATCATATGATGGATCACAAACTTCACTACCATTACAAGTTATTGTGGGGCTAGCTTTGCTCAAAGCCATTGCCTGTTTTCAATGGGCTACATCCATCTTTGGCATTCCCATCTTAAAATGCAATTTTGCCTTCTCTAACCTTATGAATTCAGAGCAAAAGTATTCCTGAAAAGCTTGAAACCAATATATTACAACACAGTGTGGATTTCACAACATGATCAATTCTGGTTTTGCGCTCGTCATAATACAGGATCTTTCATCCAAGCATGACAAGGTGCTTCATACTCAGTCTATATTCTTCTCCACCTTTGGCAATTAATGGAGAAAAAGGTAGAAAGATGGCTGGCTGGCTTGAAAACAGAAGCAGAGCCAGAAATAGAACCTAGAAGTCTAACTTCTTTTTTTCACACTCTTTCTAAAATTATAGGACCATTTCATTCCTCCTCCTCCTTGTTCCATTGCTCTTCCCACTTGTGACTGTTGTTCACACCAGTGCTTCACGGAAATGACTTCCCTGGAAGTAAAAAAGATAGAATTGTGAAAGCAAAGTCCTGAATTTTCAACCGCCTATATTCTTGGAATGCCAGAGTAGGATATTTCTCATCATTTAGAGAGATGTTCAGAAATCATTATAAAAGTGTTAGGAAGTTTGTTCTCACATATAAGTCAGATATTATCAGACTTTGTTTCTTTATGATAAAACCTGGTGTTATGACCTGTTAAATGGAAGTAAAATTATATCCTTGGTGAGTTTTATGAGGATTAAATGAGATAATTTATATAAAATACTTAGCTATCTTTAATTTTATGGATATAGATGGATATAGATGAAAGGAAAAAGGGCACCATGTTACAACCTTCAATTTAATACAACTTAAATAATTTTAGTTTCATAAATACTTCCCGTGTACCTTTTTGTGTGAAGAAGTGCCCTGTCCTCCTTGGAAGAGGAGATGATACATGAGTTACATCAAGTTTTCATTCTATGTGGGTGATTATGGGAATCACCGTGGATGAAAACAGTATACCAACAGAGTTAATGTCATCCTTGTTGAACTTTTCTTTAACATAGTGGCCCAGAGAACGTATTCTAGAACTGAAGTTGCCTTGGATCTAACTCTGGCTCCGGGCCTTTCTGAGTGTGTGGTCCTGGGCAAGTTTCTTAATCTCTCTGTGTTGCAATATCTTCATAATAGTACCTATTTCATTGAGTTGTGGTAGGGATTTAAAAAGTTCAACTCATGTAAGATTTGAAGAATTCAGCTTGGCTTGGTGATAAGTCCTCATTTACTCTTAACTCATATCCTTATTTGTTTTAGTTTGTCCAGACAGGATGTACTGCAGGCTTGGCTGGACATTCATCATGGCCTCAGAGGAGGAAGTGCCTTGGAGGGTCACCGTATTCTAGAATCTAGTCTTCCAGTTCAAACTCACTGTCTTGTAAATGCCCTGAAACTTATAAATCTGAAGGCTAATATTTTAATATTAATTTGCCACAATAAATATAGTTTATCTTAGTGGTTAAAAGCAGGAACTCCAGAGATGTGTTCTAACCTTGCTTTGGCTCAAATACAATTAGTTCCCTGTTCTTCAGCGAGTTACTTATCCCAGCTATACTTCTGTTTCCTCTCCTGTAAGATTACAGTACTCTGATTCTACCACCGTTTAAGGAATGTGATAAGGATTACATAATATAATTAATATAAAACATTTAGTACAACAGGCAGAGATTATTAGGGCATGACAATTTCTATGCTCTCTTTTCTGAGTACTCAGAAAGTATTTCTCAATTTCTCTTGCAGTCAGATGCGACCATGTGAATCACTTCCCACCATTGGAATGTGAATACGCATTTTATGTCCATTCAAACTGGCCCAGCAAACCTTCTATGTGCAATTCTTTCTCTCTTTATTAATCTATCAATTGAAATAAGAGATCTCTGAGGACCTGGGGGACGATGGTGTCAAGGATAAGAGAGGCCTAGGTTCCTCGTTGAATGTGTGGATTAGGGCTTCCTCATCCATTCCCACCCAAGACTCATGCATGACCGTAAGTGAGGGAAAACACTAAACTTTTATTGGGTTAAACCACTGAGATTCAGGGTTTTTGAAACAGCACTTTCGGCCTATCCTGAGTAATATAGCTCAGTAAGTGACTGCTCAGAATAACTAACAAATGTTACTTAATAACCATGATGAGCAGCCAGACCTTGGTGCTCAGGGTCATATTCGTTCCTCATATGTGGCTTCCCATGGGAAATTAAACAAGGCCTCTCTACATTTCCCAGGACATTTCTGAGTAAAGGGATCAGAGCAAAGGGAGGTAGTTCTAACCCAAAGTGATTGTAGCTAGGCAAGAATGATACAGAAAACTCCACTTATCCCTCAACAGTCAACTTTTTCTATTAACCAGAATACTTCTGCTTCCTGATCCAAAGTCAAGACAGGGCTGGTAAATGCTGATACACTGTTTCCCTTTAGGATGGCCTGCCCGTCATCCCCGGGCATGCCCATCATCCCCGCCATGCTTGCACATCCTTTCCTTCCAACGAGAGTCAATGCAGTTGATGAAGTGTCAGCTCTGGCCAAATTACCAAAAATCAATTTGTTTTTCTCTGATAAGTTAGCTCATGTTAATGTGCCAAGCTGATGCTGTGTGTATGCAGTTTTAGGTAGACTAGTATCATCTGTGCTTCCTCGAGGCTATTCCCTAAGTATTTTGATTAAAATTTGAGCATTTCCCCAAACTCTAACAACTGATTGGTCAACATTGATAAATGGCTCATATTTCAGGGATAGATTTTAGCAGTTTTATCTTCAGAGACTAACCTCATTTTGAAGTTCTTAAAGTCACCTCACTTTTGCTACACTATTGTCTTACTGTTTTGAATTCTATTTATGTTTTGCACCTTCCCAAGCATTCACTGACGTCACTTCACATTATTGGACATTCTGTTACATCTCAGCATTCCCAGGTGTCTGCCAGCTTCTAAGCTCATGTGAGGTTGGTACTTTCAGAAGCTTGAACATCTCCATGTGGTAGCTGGCATAATTTATTGGCCCAACATAGTGGAAACAATGAATTCCTAGAGATATACCATCTGGACTGCACCATCAGATGAGTTAGAGAGAGCTCTCTAAAAGGGGAAACAGATAAACTTATGCCCTTCCATTACTATAATTCTGTAAACTCAACAATTATATATTGAACATCTAGTAGGCTCC
Source organism: Homo sapiens (assembly GCF_000001405.40). NCBI lineage: Eukaryota > Metazoa > Chordata > Mammalia > Primates > Hominidae > Homo > Homo sapiens. Next base: position 117,717,809 of record NC_000008.11, on the reverse strand, counting down.
AAGAAGTAAAAGTCTAATTATGAGTTGGTCATAGTTTTATGCTGGGGGAGCATGTTGCCAGTGGGGAGAAATCAGCTATATTATTATTACATGACTTTTTTTTTTTTTTTGAGACAGGGTCTCACTCTGTGGCCCAGGCTGGAGAGCAGTGGCATGATCATGGCTCAGTGCAGCCTCGACCTCCATGGCTCAAGCAGTTCTTCTGCCTTGGTCTCCCAAGTAGCTGGGACTACAGATGCATGCTACCACACCTGGCTAATTTTTGCGTGTTTTGTAGAGATGGGATTTCACCATGTTGCTCAGGCTGGTCTTGAACTCCTGGGCTCAAGCGATCTGCCCTCCTTGGCCTCCCAAAGTGTTGGGATTAAAGGCATGAGCCACTGCATGCAGCGTGACTATTGCTTTAATGAATAACTTGTTTTTGTTTGTTTAAGGAATGTTTAAATAATACATAACTTTTGTTTTGTACCTTTTAACTGAGGCCTAATTCACAAACAGTGAAGTAAACAGATCTTAGGCATAGGATTCAATAAACTCTTACATCTATGCACACTTATGGGATTATCATGCAGATCAAGACATAGAACATTTCCAGTGCCCCAGAAGGCTTGTTCATGACTCTTACTACCAACACACACCACCTGGAAGGACATCTCTAGCACTATGGTTTAGTTTTGTGATTTTGAATTTCATAGACATGGATTCATACAGCATGAAGCTGATTGTGTCTAGTTTCTTTTGTCTAATACTCTCCGTGAGATTCATCCATCCTGCTCTTGGTATTTCTAGTTAGGGGATATGATGACAGAGCTGCTGTGAAATAAGCACACCTTTTGGAGGGGTGTATACACAGGATTGGAACTGACGAGTTATAGAGACATATATGTTTGCTTTAATAGATACTAATAAACAGTGTTAAAAGGGTATTAATTTGTGGTTCCTCTAGCAGTGTCCGCAGATTCTGGTTGTTCTTTATCTTCACCCAAACTTAATTTTGTTAGTTTTTAAAATTTTAGTTATCCTTATGTAGGTGTGGTAGTATTAGGTTGGTGCAAAAGTAATTGCAGTTTTTGCCATTACTTTGCATTTTCTTGACGACTAATACATTTATTTGTTAATTTACATTTGTGTATTCTCTTATGTGAATTACCTTTTAATGTTTTTACTTTTGAAAAAAATTGGATTATTTGTTTTTCTTTTTATTAATTTGTAGTAATTCTTTACATATTTACATGTTCTGGCTAAGAGCATTTTGTAGGATATATTTATTGCATTATCCTTACAATTTCTATAGAAATTGCAAAAATGGCTCTGCTTTTTTTCCCTTGATATTATGTCTTCTATCTTTTTTTTCTTCATCAGTGTTGTTTGGGGTTTAACAAGTTGTTAATATTTTTAAAACATGTGTTTTTTTGCCTTTGTTGATTTTTTAATTGCTTTTCTGTTTTCTAGCTCACTGATACCTACTTTTATTATTATTTCCTTTTTTCTACTTACTTTAGATTTAATTTTACTTCTTAGTGTCTTAAAAATGAAAGTTTAGAACATTAATTTTAAATCTTTTTTTCTAATATATGCATTGTTTTTGCTTTATATCGCAAGTTTTGACATATAGTATTCTCATTGCCATTCAGTTTAAATAATTTTTAATTTTTCTCATGACTTTTCTTTAACCCTTAGATGATGACTGCAGATTTGTTTACTTCTCCTTTTATTTCTGTCAACTTTGCTTTATATATACATTTAAATATTGAAATGCATGTTAAGCATGTATTTTTAATAATAATTTATTCATTTGTTCAAGCATTTTTCATTTGTAAAACATGAAATGAGAAGAATGCAAAACATAAAGCTATGTCTATGTCATTTCATCATTTTATATGAGGTAACTTGTCCAATGCCTGTCTGTTTCAAGGAACTCATAGTCTGGTAAGGAAAATACATGCATAAATAGGAAGAAGTGTTTATTTTGTTTGAAAAAAAATGTTTTGGTGATTAGATCGGGTCACTCATATGTCAAAAATATCCCATAGATTTCCGCTGGAGTGAAGAAAAAAACCTTTTATGTGTTCTGCCACTATCTGTCTCTGTCTTCATATTTTACGGCTACTTTCTCACTTTTTTTTTTCCAGAACACACAAAAGCTTGTTGCTGCCTCAGAGTTTTTGCCCTTATAGTTCTTTCAGTTTATAACCCTTGTCTCAAGTTCATGGCATGGCTGATTTTTCACCTCTCCAACTCTCAGTTCAAATATCACCTCTAAGGTCAGGCCATGCCTGGCCACTCTACCTTAATTAGTCACCATCCACCTCACAGGTTACTTTCACATCATCACAGTTGGAAAGGACTGTGTTTATTCATTTGCTTTGTGTTCCTTCTACTAGGATGTAACCTTCATAACAATAGACATCTTGTTTTTCTTCATCTCTGTGTCCTAATTAGCTCACAGATAGGGGATACTCAAGAAATAATTATTAAATACATGAGGGATTTTGGTATGATTTGAGTCCCCACCCCTTTTCCTATACTCTACTCTCATCTCTTGCTGTTCCTTCCTTCCAAGGCCTGGATGTTAGTTGGTACCAGAATTTGGGGGGAAATTGCTCTGTATACATTGTGTGAAGAAATTGAGGAATTATATTGCTTATAAGAGGAGTGCAGAGAGGGGTAAGGGTAGGAGCAAACAAGATGGTAGAAAGTGGAGTGCTAGACTACTTGACTCCTTTTGCTGCCCTCCCTTCCAAATTACGAGGCGCATGAAAAACTGACATTGATGTATAATAGAAATTAAAGGTGTTAAATTTTATTCCCAAGTGGTGTAGTGATAGACAAAAGCAATAATAGAGGAAGCTGGAGCTTGAGAGATAGAACAGAGGAGGAGATGTAAAACCCTTGGGAATTAGCAGAAATATTGAGGGAGCATTTCCTGAAGCCATGAAAGGAGAAAGTTCAAGGCAATGTTGCTTAGCTCTCATGGGGTAGGCAGACAACTAAAGTCTTTGATACATACAGAATTGTGCCACATAGGCAATAATAGAGACAATGTGGAGGGAATGACTAAGACTGTCCACTGAACAAGGGAAAGGGGCTTCTTGTAAAGTCTTTGTATACTGTACATGAAAATTAAGATATATCTTGCACAATCATTCAATGTTTTCCAGGTAGATAAAGTGATTGGGGTAAAGTGCATTTCGGAAGAATGGTGGCACGAATTTGCCTTCATTAAAATAAATTCATTAAATGAAACTTTAATGGTGCCCACTAAATCCCAGACTCTGTACCAATTAGGTAATTGAATGGGTCTTATATTGGAATGGGATTAGAGTTGACAGCATAGGCTTGAGTCAGATCGACTTGAGTTCAAATCCCAGCTCCACTACTTCTGAGTTGTGCAAACTTGGGCAAGTTATTCAATCTCCTTGTGCCTTGATTTCCTTATCAATAAGTGATTTGTTTTTAAAGAAGGATTCACAAGCAAACATATCTGGTTTTTTTGTTTGTTTGTTTTTGAGACAGAGTCTCGCTCTGTTGTCCAGGCTGGAGTGCAGTGATGCGATCTTGACTCACTGCAACCTCCGCCTCCCAGGAGTTCAAGCGATCCTCCTGCCTCAGTCTTCCGAGTAGCTGGGACTACAGGCATGTGCCACCACACCCAGCTACTATTTTTGTATTTTTTTGTAGAGATGGTTTCGCCATGTTGGCCAGGCTGGTCTTGAACCCTTGACCTCAGGTGATCCACCAGCCTCGGCCTCACAAAGTGCTGGGATTACAGGTATGAGCCACCACGCCCAGCCTGCAAACATATGTTGAACTCTTTGCACAGTGCCCTGCATGAGATAGATGACAGCTCCTTCTTCCATGTTGTTAATTTGGTGTGAGTATATGTTATATGTATGTATATGCAAGATAATAATCTTCTTGTAACCACTGACAGGCCTTTTTGTGAATGATGATGGAAAAAGCAAGAACCTTGTCCAGGTTCCTCTCCAGGGAGCAGGGGTGGGTTGTGATTCTTGATTTCATTCCTTTAGATATGAAGAGTTTTCACACAGAGGCAGCACGAATTTGTCTCTCTCCTAGAGGGTGGGGAGAGTTGCTGGGTGGATATAACTGCATCACAGCCTTTCTGGGTAAACTGGCCACTCCCTACTGATTTGTTATCATGCTAAATGTGTCTCCTCCCTTCCTTTCTGGAGCTTTTGCAGCTGTTCCTGGAAGGAGACCCAGTTGAAAGGGGTTGTTATGGACCAGGAACAGCTGGGATCTTTAATGATCTGTGAGCAGCTTACAGCAAAGTTCCAACACCCTGAGGTAATGATGGGGGTGGGGGATGTCTCAGAGGAAGAACTGATTATGCAATAAGCTGAAAGTCCCTTTGAAATCTGGTGACACAGTTATTGAGAGGCCAGCAGGATGGAGAAGGACGTGGGGAAGGCTGATGAGAGGAGAAGTTCCTCTCTAGGGATCATTTGGGGCAAACAAATGAGATCCAAGGGGAGTTCCAATATAGGAAATAGGAGAGAAATCCTAGGGCCCAGGAAATTACAGACTCATAATTAGCTGGTCAAAGCAATCAATAGTCATGTAGATTGTCATTTGCTTGCAAATTGCACACCTGGGGTCCCTTAGAAAAACTTGGCTTCAAGACTTAAGTTGCTGCTTCTGAAAGTAATGAACAATACTCTCTGTTCTGTTACTCATTACAGTATCAGTCCCCAAATCCTTGGTCTTTGCATTCCAACACAAAGTAAAAAGGATTGAGCAGGTTAGTATTGAAGAGCTTGGAAGCAGTGGCATTTCCAATGACCCCATTTGTTCAGTTTTCATGAAGACTAATGAGGTAAGAAGGGGTTAGTTATTTTTGGATTTTTTCCCCATAATTAGAGATTACTGTCTTGTGTTTTTCAGGGTTTTGGTTTTGGTTGCAAGTAACAGAAACCCAACGCTAATTAATAAACGGGAAAGTGTGTCAGTGGAAATGTAAGTAAGAAGAGATTTCATTTACTGGCCAATTCAAAAGATGACAAGCTTTAGGCGTGGCTCAGTCCAGTGGCTCATGATGTCTTCAGGACTCAGTGTTTCTCTGTTGTCATCTCTTAGTTCTATTATTTTTTCTGTGTTGGTTCATTATGAGGTTTCCTTTAGAGGGTGGCAGAGAAAGCCACTAGTTGCTTCAAGTCTTTATTTTACCAGCTCCACAAGTCCGACGGAAAGAGAAAACTGCTTTCCCAAAGGGTGTAAGAGGATGAAAGGCATGTCATCAGCTGAATTGCATCAGGTGTCCATCTTGGAATCAATCACGGTGCCTCTTATTAGCAAAGCCTGAGTCATAGGTGAGTCTATACTTGGATGGGGTAGTAAGGAAATCCCATGTTGATTGCATGGATGGAAAGTGGGGGTGTTGTGGTTTCATAATGGCTTATTAGGGTTCAATAATCAGAACACCAAATAATCCATGCTGGGAGGTAAAAATTGCAGATATTTTACTTTATGCCCCAAACTAGACTTCAAATCTGTGCTGCTCTTCCAATCATGAATCCGCAGAACAGAGGATAGAAAGTTCAGGTCAATTCAAATTTGACAAACACTTTCCGAGCACTTACTATGTGCCAATATCCGTGGGAGGCCCTGGGAAACCAAAGATGAATGAAACACAAACTCTGATGTCAGAGACCTCACAGTCTGGTGTTTAAGACGATAATAGTCTGGATTAGATTCTGGTGTGATGAGATGGATTGTCTCATAAAAAACAGAGGGAAGGGATTATTTAACTCTGATGGGTGGCTGGGTGCTGAGAAGACCCTCAGAGGGTGTAACCTTTGAGTCTTAAGGAGGATTAAGTTTAAAGGGGATTTTGTTGGAGGATAAGCATCAAGGAAAGCATTCCAGGAAGAGAGACGGGCATATGCAAAGGTATAGTGTTGTGACCTCTGATTAAATATGGATGAGACAGGACAGGGAAAAACACACTTGTTAGATTGTGGCAAATGCCCATGTGAAGTGATTAAGTGACTGAAATTGGGCAGAGGTGGTGTGCTGGTAGATTCTAAGGTGACCCCAGTGATCCATGCCTTGTAAAATCTTCTCCCCTGTGAGTGCTCCTTGGTGAGCAGGTGATGTTATATTGGGAGATTGACTATAAGAAGGGGAGACTATCTGTGTGGTCCTGGCCTAATGACATGAATCCTTTAAGAGCAGAGCTTTCTCCAGCTGGTAGAAAAAGGGGAAGTATGAGACTTAAAGGTGGAGGTGGCCCCATGGAAAAGACCTAAGGGTAGCCTGCGGGAACTGAGAGAAAACCCCAACTGGCAGCCAGCAAGAAAACAGGGACCTTAATCTTACGACCACAAGGAACTGGACTCTGCTACCAGAATGAGCTGCAAGGGAGATTCTTCCTCAGAAGCTTCAGATAAGAACTCCACCTGGCTGACCTTTGATTTTGGTTTTGTGAGAACTTTGGCAGATAACCCAGGTGAGTCTTCACAGTCTGAGTTAACAAGTTGGTATTGTTTTAGGTTGCAAAATTCGTGGTCATGTGTTACTCATCAGTAGAAAATGAATACAGGTGAGAACAATGAAGACATCATCATTAGATGACTCCTATTAGAGTCCAAGACCCTCAAAGAGGTGTAAGCTCTTCTGGGTTGGGTGTGTCTGTATATTATCTATCAATTTATAGTCAGCACCTATCACTCTGCCTGGTACATAGAAGACAGAAAATAGTATTGGTTGAATGAATGGTTGTGTGAATGATCAATTCTCACCACTACCACAGGAAGGCTTCACTTTGCACATCCTCCAGATGCTAATGAAGGTATGGCCTCCCTTTCTTAGAGTTGACAGTAAGACCCTGCCTACAAAGCTGAATTCCCAAGACAACTCAGTTCACCAGGAACACAGCGGCCAATGGTTTATTCCCTCAGTCAACAAATTATTTTGGAATACCAATCACACACACAGAGCTATGCTAGCTTTCTACAGGTAGAACTCAGAGGCAAACAAAACAAAAATCTGCCTTGTATCCTCAAGGTAGCAGACTTATTGGGAGTCAAACTCATCCAACAGGATATAATTAGAGACTGTGTTACGGAACAAAAAGTTAAGGAATTTGTAATGAGAGGACATAAGTTTGAGACCTGGCTCTGCCACTTACTAGCCATGTAACCTTAAGCTATTACATAATACTCTTTGAATCTCAGTTTTCTCTCCTCTTAGAGCACAATAGTTCTATTTATCTCTCCTTGCTTTTGGGAAAGTTATCCACAATAATGCTTGAAAAAGGTTATTTGCAAACTGTAAAGTTGTAAGTCCACATTATTAATAAATGAGATCATGGGAGTGTTAAATATATCCTAGGAAGTGCTAGAGAGAAAAGCAGAAGAAGACACTGACCTCACGAATGCTCAGGCAGGCCAAAGTACTTTAGGAAGTCTTCCACACAAATTCTGGCTTGGGTTGAGATTTCAGAGAAGCTCTGGTGTGGCTTGGTAGGAGGAGGCAAGGGTCTGGAAAGGGGTAGGTGGCTCTAGAGCTCTATTATATCTAGAATTTATTCTTGAAACTCTCAGTGTACAATCTTGAGAAGCTTTTCTCTTATTGGGAGAAAAACTGCATTCACCAAGTGCTGGCAAATTTGGCAAACAGAGACTTTTAGACACTTGTATTGTTCAAGGAACCCATCTTTTCAGCGGCTAGAGGAATCCAGTGCCTTCTGAAGATTTTGGAGAATAACTGATCTCAACTAGAAAAAACAAATGACTTGATTAGAGTAACTACCAAGTGCTTTTTTGACAGGCTGATGGAGCCAATTAATAAGCTCAGCATGAATTTCTTTCCTGTCAGAAAGGAATGCCTAGAAGCAGAATTCTCTTGTGTGGCATCACCAGGGACTTGCTCCAGTTACCTCAGACCCTAGGTTTGAATTAGTCAGAAGGTAAATCAGCTTCCCCAATCCTGGGATGCCCACTCTCTTTCTGCCTACTAAACTATCAATTACACTTTGGCAGTGCAGGAAGGGGTGGAGCCAAGGGGAGACACTGAAGGAACGTACTGAAGTGACTGCAGGACGAGAACAGTGGCAAGAAGATGGTAGGAAGAAATCTACTTAATTAATTAATTAATTTATTTATTTTGAAATGGAGTCTCTGTTGACCTGGCTGAAGTGCAGTGGCGTGATCTTGGCTCACTGCAACCTCCACCTCCTGGGTTCAAACAATTCTCCTGCCTCAGCCTCCTGAGCAGCTGGGATTACAGGTGCCTGTCACCACACCCAGCTAAATTTTTGTATTTTAGTAGAGAGGGGGTTTCACCATGTTGCCCAGGGCGGTCTCGAACTCCTGCCCTCAGGCAATCTGTCTGCCTCGGCCTTCCAAAGTGCTAGGATTACAGGCGTGAGCAACTGCGCCAGGCCAAGAAGAAATCTAGAATCATGTGGATCCCAGGCAAAACCTTTGAGCTGACTGAGTCTAGAAGGAGGTATCAGCTACAGGACAGTGATGGACATATGTTGGTTTGTCCCTCTTCTTCTGGAACATAACCTTTCTCTATTCTGGAGCCTGTATGGGGCTAACCCAGCTGGCCCTCTCCTCTAGTCTCACAGGTGAACATGTGACCTAGATGTGTCTAGTAAAGTACCCCAAATTCTTGGCCATAGTGATTCAAGATAGACACATGTCCAGGCTGGGTAAAGCAATCAAAATACTCCTTGATACATGTTTTATACAAATATTAGGGAACATGTTTTTTGTTGGGCTGCTGAGTTTGCTATGTTAAGTCTTGGGCTACTGGAAGCTATCACAGAAAAGAAGTATGGAGAGACATGTCTAAGATATGGAGAGAGAAAGAAACAGAACCCTGCTGACTTTTTTTGAATGTCCGTATCCAGTATTACCTGAAGGTACTCATTTGACTTTCCTGTTCTATGAAACTAAAATTACTTTTTGCCTAAATCAGTTTGTCAAGCCTCTATTGCCTACAAACGAAAGTGTTTTAGGAAATGTAAGTTCCAAATCCAAAGATCAAAAAGCTTCATGAACCCTAAATATCTGAGACAGGTCTCAGTTAATTTAGAAAGTTTATTTTGCCAGGACTGAGGATGCACGCCCATGACACAGCCTCAAGAGGTACTGATGACATGTGCCCAAGGCAGTCAGAGCACAGCTTGGTTTTATACATTTTAGGGAGACATGAGACATCAATCAACATATGTAAGATGAACATTGGTTCATTCTGGGAAAGGCGGGACAACTTGAAGCAAAGGCGGGATGTCATAGGTAGGTAAGAGACCAATGGTTGTGTTCCTTTGAGTTTCTGATTTGCCTCTCCAAAGGAGAAAATCAGATATGCATTTGTCTCAGTGAGCAGAGGGGTGACTGAATAGAATGGGAGGCAGGTTAGTCTAGAGCAATTCCCAGCTTGACTTTTCCCTTTAGCTTAGTGATTTGGGGTACCCAAAATTTATTTTCCTTTCACAGTTTCTTTCCTTGGCAACACCCACATTAAGTAATTAGTTTATAGAGGCATGTAGGCATTAAGGACAAGACATTATTCTAGATGACGGGGGCCTGCTAAGATTCATCTATCTATCAATCTGTAAGCATTGACTGAGGTACATGCATGAATCAGTTACTGTGGACACAGAGCTCATTGTGACACAGTTTTTTTTTGCCTTTGAAGACATCACAATTTAGGAAGATGTAGAAACCAATCTCTAAAGTCCACTTTACTTCTAGAGTACAGAGTATGATGCTTCATGGTTAGAAATGACTTCCAAAATCAGATAAAGATACAAACATCTGATAAAAACGCCTAAAACATGGATCTTATTCTTAATGAATTTGTTAATATAAAGAGGAAGGGCATAGGGATGAAAACCCATGGGCTAGAAAACAGAATGGGGTTGGAACCAAACAACAGATGGTCTAGTCAGCTGCTATGGAGCTCAGACAAGGGAGAGATCCCAGAGAGCTATCATTCAGCAGGGAAAGCTTCATTGACAAGATTGGCTCTGGAAGGGGCTTTCAAGGCTAGATTGGATTCTGGTTGGTTGCCTAGGTGGGAACTTTAAATCTCTGGGTAGGCGGGCCAGTAAGAGGGTGAGCAGGCAGTGCCGACCAAGCAGATTAGCCTTGCCTGGTGGCTGGGATCCCTATGGGGGAGGCTTAAAAAGTGCCTAAGGTAAGGATTTGTCATTAACAATGCCTGGATATTCGAAGATCTCCTAATGCCTCTGTATTAGATCAGATTTAGTTTCATCTGAAACAGCAAAGACTCAAGTATCTGTAGTTTAAGCAAGAGAAACATTTCTTTCTCTCTCAGATAGCTGAACATAAGCATTCAGGGGCTCACATGATTTCTCCATGGTTCGGGGAGTTAGGTTACTTCTATGATCTGAATGTTGGTATACCCCCAAAATTTATATGTTAGAACCCAATACACCAGGTGATAGTATTAAGTGGTCAGGACTTTTGGAAATGATTAAGTCTTGAGGGCTCCATCCTCATGAATAGGATTAGTGCTTTTATAAAAGAGACTGGAATGAGCTTCCCTTAACTCTTTCACCACATGAGGACACAGGATGAAGATGTCACCCATGAAGCAAATAGAGGGCCTTCACCAGATACTGGACCTGTTTGCACCTTGGTATTGGACTTCCCTGCCTCCAGAACCATGAGAAATACATTTTTATTGTTTATGAATGACATAGTCTGGGGTAATAGTGGCAATAATATTGAGTATTACTAATACTTAGTAATAGACTGAGACATTCCTGCACCAATTCCTGTCAAATTCCTGAGACCCTGGTTATAGCAGCAGGAAGGACTAAGCTACTATTATCTTGTTGTCTGCTTTCCAGAGGTCAGTGCCCTTGTCCACATTGTCTAAGATGATTAGCCACTGTGTCTGCGTTTCAGATACAGGAAGTGGGAAAGAGAAAGACACACATTCCTCCCCTATAAAGGCAGGACTTAGATGTGCATTCATCACTACTGTTCATAATCCGTCAGCTGGAACTCAGTCACATGACCACAGCTAACAGCAAGAGGGGCTGGGGAATGTAGTTTTATTCTGAGAATCCTTGTATTAAATCTCAGGGATTTCTAGACTGGAGAAAAAGAGAGGCATCAATTTCAGGACACAACCAGTCTTGGTTACAACCTCTTCTTCCAGGGAGCTGTTGAAGGGTTGAAGACCAGGGAGTCTTGAAGATTAAGAAACACATGTCCCAAGACTCTTAAGAATGGCTAATCCACTTCTTTCTTCCAGCTTCACACATTAGCTACATAATGAAATTAGGGGAAATGTAAGAAAAATAGAGATGATTTTTGCTGAGCACTGTTTCAGGAACTTTCCACAGCAATTTAATCTTCACAACATCATGATGAAGTAGCCATTATTATTGTCATTTTAAGGATGACGAACTGAGATTCAGAAACAGGAGATAAAGGTGAGAAACTAGCATCTTTGACTCATTAGAAAAGCCAGGCACTTTATATCCATTAAATATGCCAAGCATTTTATGTTTAATAACTCATTAAATCCTCATGATTCAATCAGATAAATACGATTTCCTTCTATATATGGGGACATATAGATAAACCTAGAATTTGGATCTGGGTCTAATTCCAAAAGTCAAAATATTTTCATTGTACAGATGTATTACTTATTGCTACTGTCAGCTACAAAGTTTTTTGGTATGGGTTGATTATTTTATTTACTCACGAGTTAACTAATTAATTAATTTTAACGAAGAATTTTTAAGCACCCAGGAGGTGTCAGGCACAAGTTCCTGACCTCTTAGAGCTCACTTTCTAGGTGAGGAAATATTCATTTATTGAAAAACAAACACTTATTATATGCTTCTTATGACCAAGACCTGGTATTACAAAGACAAAAAAGTATAATGATTGCCATACAATAGAAATCAATAAATATTGAGTTAATTAAAAACATAGCCCTTGGGAACACCACAATCTATTAGTGGTGGGATGCAGAACAATGTGAATTTGGGAGAGGATGGTTTGAATACTGTGCTATATTGGCTACAGCCGCCTATCCAAAGACTGTCTTTGGAAGAGCTGAATATGAAGGAACTGTTCTTCCCTGAGCTCCCTGTGAGTAGGATCTGCTTTGTAAACCAAGGACATGCAGAAGCGTGGGAGGAAGCAGCACCTGAACCTGGAGCCAGTGACTAGGAGATGAGCTCAGTCCTTGGCCAAGCCTGCTGCAGGTGTTGACTTTTTCTGCTAAAAAACCTGGTCATGACTTCAGGGTGATGAAGGGCAACTTGAGAAACAGACAAAAAGGCAAGAACTCCTTAAGTACATCTGTGTTAAATAATTTCTGGATTTGGTAATGAACTCAAGGTGTTTCTGAATCAGGTGAAAATGGGGGAAAATGTTGAGGAACACTTTCTGTTTATGCCCTTTTAGTTTCTCCCCCACCTCCTATCTCCCTCCAGGGTACTTCTGATCACACATGTAAGACTTATCTATGCTGGAGCCAAGGGTGATGATGGCTTTGTGACGGAGATTTCTTAAAGGAAGATACGAATTTTAATGTCTGGATAGGTGCTCAGATGGAAAAGGGTCTGAAAGGAGAGATTGCTGAAATAGAATGTTTCTAGATTGAAAAATGCCCTGGAAGGGAACATGGGAATCTCACCATTCCAGGCACCCCCATGGGGCTGCTGGGCTTTTTTTGTGGCATGATTACCATCTCCATTCGTATCTTATGGTTGGGCTGTTGATAGTTGTCAAGAGAATCTCTGATTCAGAGAGAGGAAAAATGGAGGGTAATAGCAGTTCTTTTTTGAACTGGGGCTATCTATTAACCTACCTTCTAATGGGATTGTATATTGGATTGGGAATAGCAAAACATTCTTTAAGTATAAGTACTTTTAGTCAGTGTGGGTACACACCCCCATAGTGGCATCATGTGTGGAAGTTCTTTAGGGGGAGAGAAAAAGATTAAAACCAAGACAAGCAAAGTAATCAATTCAAATATTTACATCCAAAATCAATGTTACTATTTACTTCATTACCTTAGAAAGCTGCACACTGATTCCAGTGGAGCTACCACTTAAGAAACATTTTTGGACTTTCTTTCTCATTTGTTTTTCAAAATGCCTTTACAGTCATGGTCTGTGTCCTTCAATAAAGTACTTCTCATTGCTTTTCAGTTGTTCTTTGTTTTAGAAATACAAAAGGTGGTAAAAGAATTAGAAAAAAAATAGTTGATATCTTAACATGGAAAGAAATTGCATTCTTTTAAATTGTAGAATAAATAGTTTTTGTAGAAAATTTGGAAAATAATAATTAATACAAAGAGGAAAATAAGAATTTTCCTATAACCCCATCACACAAAGAAAAACACTTTCTTCAAGGCTTTATAATGCACACATATGTGGCAGGTTTGTTGACTTGTTTTCACTGCTTAAGTGAGAGAGAATAAAATGATAATTAATTTCCCTACTTCTCTCATTTCACCCTTTTCTTTTCTATCCTCTTCTCTCAACACATGCACATACCTCTGGGAAAAAAAAATTCAAAAGCCACTCATGCCTTTGAATTCTAAGGTTTAAGCTCATCTGTGTGTGGGTTTGTGTGTGCCTCTGAGTATAAGTGGGCAAAGGTATATGGATTGGATTTAAAGGATGGAGACTAACAGTTTATTTGGGTCTTGGGGTCATCAAAGAAATAATCAGGCAAAACATTAGTTTGGAAGATTAGGTTAGTCATAGAATTAAGGCAGAATTGTCCTACAAGAAGAGGAGAGAGATAAACTGGAGTTTAAATATGGAAGGTAAAGTGGGCCGGGCACGGTGGCTCATGCCTGTAATCCCAGCACTTTGGGAAGGCGAGGTGCAATCACCTGAGGTCAGGAGTTTGAGACCAGCCTGGCCAACATGGAGAAACCCTGTCTCTACTAAAAATACAAAAATTAGCCGGGCATGGTAGCACATGCCTGTAATCCCAGCCACTCTGGAGGCTGAGGAGGGAGAATTGCTTGAACCCGGGAGGCAGAGGTTGCAGTGAGCCATGATTGTGCCACCGCACTCCAGCCTGGGCAACAGAACAAGACTCTGTCTCAAAAATAAAATAAAATAAAATAAAGTGGTCCTAGAAAAGAGGTGAAGTATCCAGGGGAGGTTGAGAAGAGAAAATGATCACAGGTCTTCTAAGACCTGCACCCCCTCCCCACACACCAACAGTGGCAAAACCTCTGATGGTGCTTCTCCCAGGACAGAACACCAACCCCACTACTTTGAGTACAATGGCAGAAGCCTCCTGTAGTCAAGCCTGTGACAAGGCCAGTACTATGAAAGGCATTTCTCTTTCCACCTTCCTTCCAGAACTGCAGCCCTTGTCAATACCAGGTATATTTTGAGGCATTATGGCAGCAGAGGCAACAACCATGGCCTGAAAACCTGCACATTTTTATTTCTTGGTACCACAAGAAGCATTGGGATAGTCAGAAGATCTACAGGAAGATGTGTATGTGTACAGGGTGTGGTGTGGGGAGAGGGAGGCCCAGCTGTTTTTAATAAGGCTCTTTCAGCCATGTAGGATGGGGGTTCTAAGCCAGATTTCATTCGAATTAGAAAAAGAAATGTGATAGTTCTTGCACCTGCACAGAAAGAGCAAATTCATGCCTGATATAGCTGTGCTTTTACAAATGCAATAAGAATGGAATCACACTGTATAATGTATCATAATCATTCCCTGGTATTAAATATTCTCTTGCAACATAATTTAAAATAGCTGCATAGTAACTCATTGTGTAGCCAAAGTATAATTTTTCTACTTCCCTGTAACTAGATGTTTAAATGGTTTCTCCTAGTCTCTAATATACAAATTTCTGAGATGAAGCAATACAATTGCTATATATCTTTACTCACATTACTTATTATTTCATTAAGATCATTTCCAAAATAACTCCTGGGTCAAAAGTCTTACAGAATTCTAAAGTTCTTGAAGTCTTGATTCATATTAATAAATTGTCCCAAAGAAAGTTAGAATCATCAACTTACTCTCCACCAGCAAGTTAGGAAATTACCCATTTCCTGGCACTCTCTTCTATTCTCGGAAGTAACATATTTTCAATGCTGGCAGTTGAATTGGTGAAGAATAGTATTGCCATGGTTTAATACAATCTTTTTTTAAAAAGGGTAATTATTTCTGTTGCTGATATTAGTTTCAGACTTCTGACTGATTTATAGACCTGATTCTCCTCCCTAGAGCAGCATGTGCCCTGCTAAGGACAGGCTACAAGATGTGCTGTCTGCCTTCTAGGAAGGTGGCTCCATCTGGATGCAAAAGAAAGGATGGGTTGGGGGAGGGAGTGAGCAGCCCTGGGAAATGTCCCTGGCTCAGCAGCTCTTTCTCAGCAACAATTCTGCAGTGTAGAACAGGAAGCATGCATGCTTTTGGGGGCAGCTAGCCACCTTGTGACAGCTGTTTACTAACTGCAGAGCTTATGTGCTCTTGGATGGGTTACTTCTCTTCTCTAGGACTCATCTTCTCAAAAGTTAAGTCAGGAAAGATAATCATATCTCCCTCATTGGCTTATTGGAAGACTAAGTGAGACAGTTCATAAAATGCATCGAGCACATTATTAGCACTTAGTAAGATTTCAGGAAGTGTCAGTGGCTATTATTAATATCTAAGTCTTTATTTTGGGATTCTGACATTACAATTTACTTTTTAAAAATGGCCAGCATTGTTTTTACTTCATTTATCCAGGTACATATGAATGTCTTGTTTTCCTGAATAAGACTTTAGCTTTTCAAGAAATGCACAGTGCAAAGATTGAGAAAGTTTGAAATAGAGAGAAAAAGAAAAAAAGTCCTAACAACACAAGTTTTCCTGTATTCATCCTTGTCTTTCTTTACTTGCATGTGTTTGCATAGCTATAATGATCGTCCATATGTAAATTTATATCCTAAGTTGTGCGTTTATGTTAATTTTTATATTGGTATTTGGTCTTTGTAGTTGCCATTTTTGGTGTCTGCTTATTACTCCCTTGAGTGAATGTCCTGAAATTTCTGTGATGATTCCTTTATTATTGGACATTTGGGGGTATTTCTAATTTTTTGTTATCATAAGCAGCATGATTGTAGACATTGTCTTTCACATGGTGTTTTTCATATTTTGACTTTTTCCTTAAAGTTCATGGCCAGGAGTGCATTGCCAAATTGTATTTGCCAACTGACAATGCCATCAGCAAACCAAAAATATGTTTTATTGCACCCGAAGTAGCAAAGCTTTCTAGCTTTTGGTTATATATATTATGCAAACTTGCAAAAAGTAACCCCATTGCCTTTTGATTTGCATTTCTTTCATTACTTGTGATGAACAGTTTTCTCTCTTACTGGAGCTAGTTGTTCTTCCTCTTTTATGATTTTTCAAAACCATTATGATAGCTTCTTGAATTACCTTAAAAATGGTTTTCTGTGTACCTCGGAGCACTATTACATTGTCATCAATAGTTATTTAGTGCCTACCATGTGCACAGAACTGTCCAGGCACTTGCTGTGGGCTTGCTAATGCAGGAGAGCTGGACTGGACAATAACATGCAAAGGAGTGATAGGGAGATAGGGCTTGGCCGGTAGAGCAGGTGCCACCTAAAAGGAGAACACGATGAAACTGAACATCTTCTCAGGTATTTATTGGCATTTGATTTATTCTTCTTTGAATCGTCTAGTTGAGTCACTTGTTCATTTTTTCTATTTTATTTTTTGAGATTTATGGGTGCTCTTTGTATATTTTGATGTTTTGAAATGTCACATGTGTCTGTGTGTGTGTGTGTATGTTGTATGTGTGTGTGTGTGTGTGTGTGTGAAAGAGGCAGAGAGAGAGATAATGATACTATATATCTCTATATGAATTGTATTAGTTTGCTCAGGCTGCCATAAGAAAGTTCCATAGGCCGGGCGCGGTGGCTCACGCCTGTAATCCCAGCACTTTGGGAGGCCGAGGCGGGCGGATCACGAGGTCAAGAGATCGAGACCATCCCGGCTAAAACGGTGAAACCCCGTCTCTACTAAAAATACAAAAAAATTAGCCGGGCGTAGTGGCGGGCGCCTGTAGTCCCAGCTACTTGGGAGGCTGAGGCAGGAGAATGGCGTGAACCCGGGAGGCGGAGCTTGCAGTGAGCCGAGATCCCGCCACTGCACTCCAGCCTGGGCGACAGAGCGAGACTCCGTCTCAAAAAAAAAAAAAAAAAAAAAAAAAAAAAAAAAAAAAGAAAGTTCCATAGAATGGGCATTTTATTTTTTATTTTTTTAAGATGGAGTCTCATTCTGCTGCCCAGGCTGGACTGCAGTGGCACCATCTCGGCTTACTGCAACCTTCGCCTCCTGGGTTCAAGCGATTCTCCCACCTCCACAGTAGCTGGCATTAGAGGTGCCTACCACCATGCTTAGCTAATTTTTGTGTTTTTAGTAGAGACGGGGTTTCACCATGTTGTTCAGGCTGGTCTGGAACTTGTGACCTCAAGTGATCCACCCATTCGGCTTCCCAAAGTGCTGGGATTATAGGCGTGAGCCACTGCGACCAGTCTGAGTGTTTTAAACTCAGAAGTTTATCTTCTTACGGTTCTGGAGGCTAGAAGTCCAAGATCAGTGCGTCAGCAAGTTTGGTTTCTCCTGGAGTCTCTCTTGTTGGCATATAAATTGTCCCCTTCTCACTGTGACCATTGCTTTTCCCTCTGTGAACTGGTGCCTTAATATCTCTCTCTGTGTCTAATTTCCCCTTCTTATAAGGATAGCAACCACTCAAATAGGATTAGGGTCTACACAAAGGACATTATTTGAATTTAATTACCTTTTTAAAGGCCTTATCTCCAAATATAGTCACATAACCAGGTACTGGGACTAGGACTTCAACATATGAATTTTGGGGAACATAATTCAGCCCACGACATCGAAATAGATTTATACACATATGTATGCATACATAGAGACATAACTTTTTAAATGTATTTATATTTCTGCATAATAATTATTTACATTTTTATTTAGTTAAGTCAGGTATCAAGAGTTGAGTTTCCTAGACACAGACACTGAAGCAGAGATGTCTGTTTGTTTGCTTGTTTTGTTTTGTTTTGAGACAAGGACTCACTCTGTTATCCAGGCTGGAGTGCAGTGGCACACTCATGGCTCACTGCAGCCTTGACTTTCCAGGTTCAGGTGATTTTCCCATCTCAGCCTCCCAAGTAGCTGAGACTACAGGTGCGCATCACCATGCTTGGCTAATTTTCTGTATTTTTTTTTGTAGACATGAGGTTTTGCCATGTTGCCCAGGCTGGTCTCAAACTCCTGGGCTCAGATGATCTGCCCTCCAAGAGATTTATTAGTTTTTCTTGAAAACTGTATGTGAAATAAGGGAATTAGGATTCAGTTTTAAGAAAACTGTGAGTAAAGTGAGAGAATTAGGATGAAAGAGAGGAAGAAGCAAGGATGTGGGTTTGGATTAAGTCTAGCCTCAGCTTCACGAGGCTAGGGAGAAGAGCTGACAGAGACTTCCAGCTCAGGAGGCATAAGTTGCCAAAGGACAGATCTCCAGAGAGGGTTTTGTGGCAGTAACTGTGGAAACTGGCACATCACGCTTCCAAGAGAAAAAAAAGAACCTAGGTGCCTGAACCAGGCATATACAGCATCTACAGCATCACTTTTTGCATCATTTTTGCTGAGACTTAGTCCATAGGTAGAAGAATTGTCTCCAATGTTTGATCATATTTTCTTCCAATATTTTTATGGTTAAAAATCTACTTGTAATATTTTTCTATATGGTGTGAGGTAGAGATATAATATGATATTTTCCCAATGGCTAATGAGTTTTCTCAGCACCAATCACTGAAATAGAGTACTGGGGCCTAATAGGGCCGGACTAAACAGGAAATTTCTGCTTGGTGCCAAGCTGGGTGTGGAAGTTGAGAACACGGGCTTTTGGCAAAAGCTTTTATTCCCAGCTTTCTGACTAGTTCCCCTTGGTCTAAGACCAAATGTTCAACCCAACTCTACTCCCATAAGGAGCAAGTAATAGGGAGAGAAATGATGAAACTTGGCAGTGAGAGAAAACTTACACCCAGCATTGACATTCAGCTCTGCCAGTGAGGCCCTACCATTATTATGAGAAGGTTTGTTCTCAGGGACAGTGCCTATTCCCTGACCTCTAAGAATTGGGACTCTAAAGAGATGGAAGTCGTTCTCCTTGCCTCATGTGCTCGAAGTTGCTTCTCTTCTTTTCAGGAGCACTGGAAATTCCTGGCTTGAGTATTTCCAAATGGACTTCCAAGGCTTCTTCCTCCTGGAGATGTTTTTGCCCCAGTGGTTTTCATGATTGCATTTTCTTCTTTAAGGAAGGTACTTCTGCATTGGCACACAGTGCATTTTCCTCCCTGGTGAGCACTGAAAAAACACATTCCTCCATTTTTTCTGTAATGTCCAACTCCTCTGGCAAACGACCACTCTTCCTATCTTGGCAAAACCCTGATGAGTCCTTAGTTGGCCTCTTATTCCTTTTATAGTAGAAAAAAAGTTGTTCTATTATCTGTCTTAACTTCTAATAAAATCTTCATTTTATTCTCTAGTTCACTTTTCTTATCATTTTGAAGCACTCCCTTCACCTCCCAGTAAACTTCCCCTTCCTCTTGGGTAAAGTACCTGATGTGTATACTTTTATAACTCCAGTGGCTTTTTCTTATCTCTGATTACTTCACATTGAATTAGCTCAATCTGGCTGGGGGCACTCACACACATGATTGCTTTAGTGATATAGTAACCTTGCTGGAAAGGTCTCCTAGTATTGCTGATGAACTATCTGAAAAATGCTGACTTTAGCCTGGTGTGTGACCCATGTCAGGGATGGGAATGGGATGCATCCCTGTCTTCAGATCTGTAATTTGCTTGCTCACTCGAGTCTCTTAGAAGCTAATGTAACAGGAAATATGGTTTCCCGACTATAGCAAAGAAGGAAGTAGGGTGACTTTCCACAGTAAATTATAACATATGGTCATTAAGTAGGACGATGATCAGGGAAGCCAGTGAATTTTCAAATAGATGCAGTGATTCCTTTGAACCAGCCTGCATATGACTTTGTCAAGGTCATAGTCAATGGAAAAGACATGGTCAATGATCATTAGGTCCAGCTTTGGACCCTGAACGTGGTGGCACACACACTGGGTGGCAGTCACTCCTGAAGCTACCTGTAATGCTGCTCCAATAGGTAAGGCATGCTTGAAAGATGAGACCAATAGAGCCTATTTGATCCAGCCTGTAACTGATTAAACCTCTCTTACTCCCTCATTCATTCATCTTTATGTAACAGGAGCAGGCTTACCCCAGTTCAAAATTTTGAAGAAGGCAGTTAATTTTCTTTGTGTCTATCACCTCATTTTGAGTTGGGCATTCTGCTTCTCCCCCTCCATCCTCAGAGGCTGTCATATTTGCTCTCACCCTTCCTAGATTATTCTCCTCACCATCCTACATACATGCTAGTGCTTTACTCAACTCATGCTATTTCTTCAAAATGTACTCCTTCATGGTTCTATTCCCACAGAGTCAGAGATGAGTGACTGGCTGGATGATCTGGTTCACCACTCATCTAAGGTATGACGACATGGCAGAGTTAACTCAGCAATGAGTTACCAATATGTGAATTTCCAGCATCAGTGGAGCTGGTTGGATAAGTTTTTTACAGAGTGCTGGCATTGGAGCAAGTTAAGCTCATTGATGGAGAATATAAAAGTGGTTGCCTACTTTCAAAGTAAAATTTTCAAAAAGTTAAAAAAAACTTTTATGCAAAATATAATGAATTCATGTCAAAATGAATTCATGTCAAAATGTATTCAGTTTATCAATGAGTGAACCAAAATATGGTAAAGCTAATTCAAAGAAAAATAAAGGAACTACGTATTGACAGACAATAAAAGAAGAATGTTAGATGAACATTGCCAAATTAGAGATAGACTTCTAGATAAGATACAAAGCTGCATAATATCCTATAGGGTGATATAACTGCAACCTTAGGGGCTTTCTTTATTACTGGACAGAAATCATTTGCATGTGTACTGGCTACAAATGTACAGGTTAACTTTGAACAGTATCTGAGTTCTAATCAATAGAAAGGAAAAGGTCAAACAGAGGTATATTCCTCTAGGTAGTTCAGTAATCTTTGGGTGGGCCTGGAAAACGATGTGACAGTATGACACTAAAGAAGACATGCAGTCCTCTTTCTTCTTTCCAAGTTTTGGACTCTCTCTCTTTCTTTCTCTCTCTCTCCCTCCCTCCCTTCCCTCCCTCCCTCCGTAACAACTTCTAAAGCAGTGACTCTGCAGCTTGATAGTGCACTGGCACTGGTACCTAGATACTGCCCCCAGAGATTCTGCTTTAAGTAGTTTGAGTATAACCTGACATCAGAGTTTTTCAAATCCAGTCCTGATAATGACCTTTATCTCTTCTCTTAGGGGAGACTTTCTGTAAATGACAGAGAGGTTTTTTACCCCATGCAGAAAGAATCCTGTGGTATCTTTTCTGGATTCCTCAGTTTTCATATATGCAGATTTTCCTTGGTCTCATGCTTCTTCATGATAAGGGCAGGAGAGTGAAACATCTCCTTACCTGGCCGGCTAAAGTAGCAGGACTCCAAACCAGTGTAGAATCTGCAGTCCCTGCCAGGAATCTTGTAGCCTATTAGGATGGGGTAGCCAGTTTGAGAAGGGTGCATGGAGGCACAATCTTCCGTAACCAGGGGCTATCTGGTACATTCAGGGAGGAGCATTTCAAGCACCAGCCTTCCTAGGTGTACCACCTGTGCAGAGAGCTTGGCCGTGACAGCGTTTACTTCCTTTAGCAAGAGCCACTGCTTACTCTCTTCTTGGAAAACGTTTAAAATGTTGAGACTGCCTTGACATGTTCATCCTGTCATTTCTCAGCTAAGGATGTTATTTTCACCTCCCCACTGTATTTTCCCCCTTTCCATTCTATTCCTCAATCCCATATTAGGTGTCAGGCTCAGTTTTCTTCAAGGTCTTTATCCTCTGGCCTAGCTTCTAGCACTTGTAGTGACTTTTCAGATGGAATGAGAGGAAAGCATCAGAAAAGGGAAAGAGAGGCTGCAGAAATGCAGGGCACGCATCCAAGAGAGGGCCCCTGGGAAGGTAGTCTCTGCTTCCTCTGTTTGTCCCTACATGCACTAGAACTGTTTCCTCCAAAGCCTGCTCCTTGGAGGTGGAAGCATCTATAGACCCCCCTTCAACAGAGCAGCCCTGCACTTGATTTTATACCTTGGGCCCTATGTAAGGTATTATTTACAAAAAAACAACTCACTTGCCAAAAAGGTTAGAAAGCCCTGAAGGTACCCCAAAATGGGGGCTCTTTTTTTCAGCATTTTAATGAACCTTCCAAATGTTCTTTCTCTAAAATGTTTTCTTAGTCTGCTGGGCTGTGATAAGCTCCCTCTCACAATCAGCTGTTTTCAAGGCTGAACAATGGACTTGCTTTTGGAAATACTGGGTCAGAAAAGAGGAAGGGTCCAGGCACTGAAATAACTGGTCTGACTTCTCAGGATCCAGAGATGCAGTGTTTGACCAAGTCCTTCTCAGAGAGCAGGGCCTGGGAGCAGCATGGCTAAACGGGGGTGCCTCCATCTGGCAAGGGGAGAATGAAAAAAGTGCAGAGCCTCATTACTGAGACAGCTTGTCAGACCCCATGTTGGTTTCCAAAAAGAAGTCTTAGCTGGGCTGGGACCCTGCCTAACCTCCCTGGTCCAGGGTCATGCTCACCACCTTTGCAGCCACCTGTTGACACTGCAGTGCTCTCTTCAGAAGCGAGGGTTCATTTTCATCACTGGCATGTGTTTTGAGCCTCCTCTATTATGTACTGTTATGAACTTATATTTTTTAGAGTCGGGGTCTCAGTGTTTCACCCAGACTGGAGTGCAGTGGCATGTTCATAGCTCACTGTAGCTTCAAGCTCCCAGGCTCAAGTGATCCTCCCTTGATCCTACCTCAGCGTCCCAAGTAGCTGAAACTACAGGAGTGCACCACCATACCCGATTAAAGTGATCCTCCCACTGCAGCCTCCTAAGTAGCTGAAGCTACAGGTGCACACCACCATGCCCAACTAAATTTTGAAGCACATTCTAACCCTTCTGTTGGCCTCCCAGAAATCTTAGCTCTCCTCACTGACCCCCATGCTCCAATAACATTGCACCACCCACTCATGGAGCAGCTTCTGAGGTCTTAACAAAATTCGAGGGCACTTTAAAACAAAATTTAAGAGACAGGGTCTTGCTCTGTTGTCCAGGGTGGAGTGCATTGGAATGATCTTAGCTCATTGCAGCTTCACATTCCTGGGCTCAAACAATCTCCCTGCCTCAGCCTCCTAAGCAGCCAGGACTGCAAGCACACACCACCACACTGGGCTAATACATTTTTTTTTTTTTTTTAGAGATGGGGTCTTGCTACGTTGTCCAGGCTGGTCTCAAACTCCTGGAAGGGCACTTTTATAATAACACCCATGACCAGAGAAGCAGGAAGTGAAGAGCTGAGCATTATGTAGCCTCAGCATTTGTGCTAAGCATGGTTCTAAGTGCTCTTGGGACAACCCTATTCAGTAGACACTATTGTCTTCATCTAACAGATGGTAAAACTGAGCCTCAGAGAGGTTAAGTAAACTGCTTGATGTTGCAGGTCAATAAGTGACAGAGCAGGAATCAAACTCAGGCAGGCTGGCTCCAGAGCTGTGCTCTGAAGCACTATGTCACACCACCCTTAATGAATATTCACAATAGAAGGGCTAAAATACAAGTTTGGGTGTGTTTGGGTGTATTTGGGTGTGTTTCTGACACTTAAGAGAAAGCTTTGAAAACAATGGGAAAGGTTCAGGTTAACAGTGATTCTCAAATTAACAGGGATATTACCTGTTGTACAAAGACCATAATAAGGACTGCAGTAAGTAGTGAATTAAATTGTCATTGTGAAATTTTTTACCAAACTCACATGTGGGAGATTATTACAGCTTCCCTTTGGGCATTAGGCCAACCTAAAGGAAATGTTAAGTATTAAAAGAGACCTCTGTCTCAGCCACAGGAAAATGGCTATGCATCTCTTAAGAAGGTGATAAATACCCAATATGTGTTATTGTCATTTCTATGTCCAGTTTTGCTCAGAAGGTAGCAGTCTTTGCCAAAATTTTCTGAGAAATGCATGTAAGCATAGAATTATGTCCTGTAAGTACTGCACACTTTTAATTTTATGCTGGTCGTATGGGCCTTCCTCTCCAGGTTGTGGGATTGAAGTGCTTTCTGGAATGAAAGCTTTTGCCACCTGTAGCTTTGGCTGTCTCAAGCCTCCTCTGGATACAAGTTTTCAGTGTGATTTCGGTGGTGGGGTCCAGGATGGACATACATGCTGGGTGCCCAGGTCACCCATGATTGATGGCCATAGCTGCCTGGCTAATTGGTATATAGGTCCTTTCTGCCTCCCTGCCATGCTGAGCTGTAGCTGGGGATTTGTTGAATGCCCCTCTTTGCTTGTCTCTGTATTGGTGGAAAGTGCAATTTCCAGCATGTGGAGCCGCAAGCTCCAGTTCAGCCAGGCTATGTACTGGCGAAGTAATTGGAGCCGGAGCCTTTGTTGGACTCACACTGCCAGCCTGACCGGGAGGTTAAAAGACACAACTGCTAATAGGCACTGAAAGCAGTGGTGTCTCCCTGGAGGCACAAAGAAGCTCACACAGAAAATCGATATGGCAGAGATTACCCTGCTTCTACCATTGTCCCTTTTCACCAAGACTAGATAATGGAAGGGATGTCCCCAGAGTACACTATTAATTTTACATGGAGAATTGGAGGTGAGACCAGAGGAGGCAATAACTGCTTGTTCAAAGTGCCTTCTGCTGCGGACTTTTGATTTTAGGACACTGACCAACCTGTTTTTCTAGACAGGAGATTTTTCTCTTAAAAAAGAAAAACAAAGCAAAAAACATATCTTATATGGAAATTCAGAAATTGCTATATGGAAAAACAGAGTGGAGCAGGTGCAGCAGAAGCCATGGATCCCTTGCCCCAGGTTATGTGGCCCGCTGAGGTGTGAGTGCTTCTCTACACACTAGTTTTCTTCTGCAGCCTCTACACAGGCTCTCAGCTGGTCTTCAAGCTAGCATGGCATTGAGGGGTTTCTTACACCCTCAACCAAAGAGGTTCCATTCACGGTAGCAAAATAGCTTCTTATCCCTCAGTGGGAAACATGTGGGATACATGGATGGTCAGAGGGTTTCCAACAGATCATGCCCCTGTGGTCTTCAGAGATAATCTATTCATGAGTATTCCCTTGGTGGCTGTTTCTTTCATTTTCACTATCCTCACCTATGCTTCCTGAGGTCATCTTTTTTTTTTTTTTTTTTTAAACAGAGTCTTGCTCTATTGCACAGGCTGGAGTGCAGTGGCACAATATAGACTCACTGAAGCCTGGATCTCAAGTGATTCTTCTGCCTCAGCCTCCCAAGTAGCCAGGATTACAGGTACCAGCCACAACACCCACCTAATTTTTGTATTTTTAGTGGAGATGGGGTTTCACCATGTTGGCCAGGCTGGTCTCAAACTCCTGACCTCAAGTGATCCACCTGCCTTGGCCTCCCAAAGTGCTGGGATTACAGGCATGAGTCACCACACCTAACCCGTGAGATCGTCTTTCAATGTGTCTTAATCCTTGCCTCAAAGTCTGCATTTGTGGGAATCAAACCAAGATAGCAGAAGTGCTCCAGTGTAGGATGGGATGAGGGCCAGCACTAGACTATTTGGTTTTCTTTTTTCCCCTCTCTCTGGCCTCATCTTCCTAATATAATTGGTCCCTGAAACCCCTATGGAGCTCCAGGTATGCTATTCATAAGCCATTGATTCCCTTTTCAAAATGAAAATGCTGGAGACTGAATTTATGTTCCTTTCCAAGTCCTGCTCCTTTCCTCATGTTCCTTACCTTTGACAATGGCCCCACCATTCCTCCAGTTCCCCAGGGCATGAGTATAATCTTATACTTCTTATGTCCATCAGCTAAACACTGTCCCTCCTCACTGCCTCCCATATGGAATTAGCTGCGTGTCCTCCCAATTCTACCATCTAAATAGTTCATGAGTACCTCATCTAACTACCTCCGCTATCATTGCCTATTTCAGGCTCCAACTGTCCAGGGGGAGGAGAGTGGCTGTATGAAGTCCTCCGCAGTAGATGTTATTGGTGCCACACTCCAAGCCCCTTTACAACTGCTATGATGGTGCAGTGAGTGCCACAGCCAACAGCA
Organism: Homo sapiens; assembly: GCF_000001405.40. Taxonomy (NCBI): domain Eukaryota; kingdom Metazoa; phylum Chordata; class Mammalia; order Primates; family Hominidae; genus Homo; species Homo sapiens. Next base: position 117,691,507 of record NC_000008.11, on the reverse strand, counting down.
TCCACCTGCAGACTTCTGCAGAGCATTACCCTAGGCTGACGGGATCGGCCTCACTCAGCGATACTGGGAGCTGACATCTCCTACTCCCCAGAGGCATACAATAACTGACTGACGCAGGGTGCAGGTGATGCTCCAGGTGTGATAATTGTGTCATGCAATTTATACTCCAGAGCACCCTGTGGGTCAGGTCAAGGGCTGACTTTATCTGGGTCCACATCCTTGCCATGTTTCTCCCTCTTCCTTATTCTTTCCTCACTCCCTTAGCTGTTTTTTCTGGACAGCAATCCCTCTGTAAATCATGCACACTGGAATCCTTGTCTCAGTTTTTTCTTCTAGGTATCCCAACCTAAGAATCTTAATGAACTCAACTGTAGGAATCCTTTAGGGAAACACTGGCCCCTAGGATCAGACACTCAGGCAATTTTTCCAGGCAATGCCATCCATCGTCTGCTTCAAACCTTCTTTGGGCCAAGTTTCCCACATTTCCTTTTGCTGCCTCTTTTCCTGAATTGTCTCTTTCTCCTGGACTTCTTCGGATCAAAGCCCTGTTGGACCATAACATTTTGTTGCTAAATATTTTAAGAATTTTTGGATCTATTTTCAAGGGGAATATGGGCCTATAGTTTTTTTTTTTTTTTTGAAATGTCTTTGTCTGGCTTTATCAGAATAATGCTGGCCTCATAGAAAGAGTTGGTAAGCAATGTAGAGTTGGTTTAAATTCTTCTTTAAATATTTGGTAGAATTCACCGGTAAATCAATTTGGGCCTAGTGTTTCCTTTCTTTTCTTTTTTTCTTCTTTCCTCCTCTTGTTTAACTGCCCATACTTTAGGGGCAAGTCCTGCCCATTCTCTGCTCTGTCTAGCTTAGGCCTGGGACATCACAATTTTTAGCCTCTGGATTCCAGTGGATATTGCTTGTTCGTCTCCTAGAGAGACATGGAGATACCCTCTTCTACTCCCGCGGGGCTCCTTTCATGGGTTGTACCCAAATCGTTATGTGGTAGCAAGCTGTCTGTAAAGTAAACCGTGTTGTGCTTATAGAACTTTCTTCTCCGGATTCCCCAGCCCCACTCACAGTGCTGTCCTGAGACTTTCTGCAGCAGGTGTGGAGATGACTGATACTGCCATACCTAAGCTGCACCCAACAGCTCTGGGCACTCTGTGTGCAGCTACAGCTGACACAGGTTTGAAATCTGGGCCCAGGAAACCCAGGCTACCCGCACCCCTGCTTGAGGAGGAAACTCACCAGAGATCACATCACCCTGCCCCTCTCCAGTATCAAGAAATATTCAAATCTAGTTCCCAGCTTGTATCTTCCTTTTTGGTCTCGATGGAGAAGGCAGAGAGATAGTGATGGCTTTCCTCTATTTGAGGACTAGACACGCTTTCAGGGAGAGATGACAAACATTTGGGTACCTCTTCTATGTGAGATGGCCCAAAATGACAACCGTAAGCCCTGGAGGAAGGAATAATCAGGCACCGGGAAATGTGTCTTCTGCTTCCTCTCCTCTGGCCTTGGGTGAAAAGACATGGTCTGCTCATGTGGTTTTCTCCCAAGCAAGGGCATAGTTGCCTCTCTAACATCCTCTGGCACAATTGCAGATCGGTGTCTTGAAGTCCTGGGGCATGGAACTGAAAAACACCACAGAGGACAACTTATACATGCCACAAGATTTTTTATTTGGCATCCTTCAATGAACCTTATTCCTAGCCTGCTCTTATGGAGCCCATGGTAGGTTCCCACCACACAGGGAGGAATTCAGATATCACCCATCCTTGGAGTAGAAACCAAACTGGTTCTCGGTGCCAGAGTGGGGCAGGAGATTCTCCTTTGCCTTGGCCTAGGACCTCTAACTGGAGTGTAGCTATTCCCTTTCCAGGTTGAAAAATGCCTGGGATGAACTACAGTGGCAATGTCCATTCCCTTCTGAAGAAATCCCACCTTCTCTTGTAGCTGTATGATCTAGCCCTATGGTCAGACAAGATATCTCACAGCCACCCAAAACTGGCAAAATTCTCAAAGTCTAAATCAGTCAGTCTTATGCAGTGTTACCCATGGTCATCTTTCTAGATAAATGTAAAGACCTCTGCTTAGTGCCAAGATCATAATTCCCAAATTGTAGCCATTACCATTGATTGTCATTGTGATGATGATGATGATGACGATGGTAACTGCTACACCACATCCTGGTTTTAGGCATTATGTACCTGCCTTTGCCATTCGTATCTATTTTCCCTTCTATGCACCTAGCCTTTTAAATTCCAGAATGCTACAAGGCCTGTTATGGCCATGTTACCATGCTCTGGGACTTATTTTCCACATTTATAGAGAGTGTTAGAATATACACATTTTAAAGTCCCCTGCTATGTTAGCATTCTGTATTTCCAAGATTAATTTGCATGCAACTTAAATTTTTACCTATTTAAAGAGGAAAATTTTCCATTCACCTTGGTGACTGGGAGTCCTGTTATTTCCTTGACTGATACAATAGACTCTGCAGATGCACTGCAAGTATATAAGCATCAAGCAAATATATATTTCTAATGAATTATTTACATTGTGTGTAAGCTTTAGTGCAAGTGGTTTTGTTGAAATGGAATTACAAGTCAAAAATCAGTGCTAGACAAAGAGGAAAATCTTTCTCCACTTCCAGTTAGTTGGAGAAAAATATTACTGGGGGAAAGTGGAGGTTTTAAGGACTTTTGCCTGAAGGGAGGAGAGGAGGCCTGAAGGTATTTCGGCAAAGAGAGAGAAAGAAACTAATCTATTCATAGGGCATGGAATAAAAGAAAAATTAAAATGGAGAGAAAGAAGAGGAGATTTTGTTTACTTGGGTGGGCTCTGTGCAGGCTCTGTGCAAAACAAAGCAAAAGCCTAGGGCTCTCCCTGTTTCACTTACAGGCCAGGTGGAGCCTGTGTTAATGCCCAAGAAGAGTATTACGCACTTCATTAAGGAAGTAGACAAGAAACATTATGAAAATAATAATATCAATGAGACATAAGTATAGCCAATATTTATAGAGTGCTTACTGTATGTCAGGTCTTGAATAGAGTGCTTTATACATATGACCTTGTTTAATCATCCCAACATGTGGATGTAAAAGGTAACAGTATCACCTCCCCTTTACACGCAAACACACTGAAGTGTACAGCTGTCAACAATTTGCCCAAGGTCATGCAACTATTAAATGTTAGAGCTGGGATTCAAATTAAGGTTTGTCTAACTTCAAAGTGCTATACTAATTCTGATGCACTAAAATTCTTTGATTTTCATTTTAGTTCAATTCTTTGATTCTGATGTACTACATTGATTCTGATGTACTACATTGATTCTGATGCACTAAAATAAATACTTAAATAAATAAATAATCCAAATGTCCAGAAACAAACTAAGCTCTAAGGATATATTGTATTAGCTGAGCTCTTTGGTTGAGGTGAGCCTAGCTCATAAGCTTGAAATGTTCCCTCTTCAGAACATGGGCCATTTACACCCTCCAGACTTTCTAGAGAGTCAACCCATTTTCTCAGAAGTTGACTGCATTTCCTTTCCTGTCTAAGAATTGTAATTGGGATAACTTCATCACTGGTAGCTAAACCTTTGGAGTCACATGAATATAAAGAAATGTTATGACCCAGTGTGATGACTCACACCTGTAATTCCAGCACTTTGGGAGGCCAAGGCAGGAGGATCACTTGAGCCCAGGAGCTTGACGTTATAGTGAGCTATGATCATGCCACTGCACTCCAGCCTGGATGATAGAGAAGGACCCTATTTTGTATAAAAAAAAATTGATGTGTGATTTTCAGAAGAGGAAAGGTTATCTTTTTATATTTCCTCCCTCTCTCCCTTTCTTTCTTCCTTGCCAGTCTAAATAAAATCTGCCATTTGCCTCTCATGTTCCCCAAAGTCTTGCCTTTTGGAAGAAAAAAATGCCTGTCAAGTTTTACCCCAAAAGATATTGGAAGGCAAGTTTCAAGCCACCAAACCTGATATTATTTCCTGTGAAATAATTGCTATTAATTGGGCATTTTTATGCATTGAACATTGTACTTAGCAGGTACATTATTTCACAACACCTTTGTGGGTTGATGCTGTTATTACCCCTAGTTTAAGTGCTATTATTATTTCTAGTTTTAAAGACAATACACTGAAGTTTAGAGAGGACAAGTCACTTGCCCAAGATCACACAGCTAGTAAGTGGTAGAAGGAGGACTGAGCCTAAGCCACCTAATCCAAAGACAGTGCACTTAATTATAACACCGTATTGCATGTTACCAGTAAGACAGCCAGTCCTGACAGACCCATAGGAGACATGGACAGTGATCTACCACTGGGTTTCTATTCAATGTTTAATTCTTTGTTTAATTCTCTTTGTTTAATTCTCCCATCCATCCATCCAAAAATATTTATCATGTACAAGCCATTTATCTTCACTTTAAATAAGCAGAGAAATCAACTGCTTGGAGTTTCACATCCTCTTAATATTCCATGGTGTTTCTAAAAAGGATGGAACTGGCCGGGTGCAGTGGCTCACACCTGTAATCACAGCACTTTGGGAGGCCGAGGTGGGTGGATCACCTGAGGTCAGGAGTTGGAGACCAGTCTGATCAACATGGTGAAACCCCATCTCTACTAAAAATATAAAATTAACTGGGTGTGGTGGCATGTGCCTGTAATCCCAGCTACTTGGGAGGCTGAGGCAGGAGAATCACTTGAACTCAGGAGGCTGAGATTGCAGTAAGCCATGATCACACCACTTTAAAAAAAAAAAAGGATGGAACTGAAGAAAAGGATGAGCTGAAAGAGAAAAGTTGAAAGTCTTGTTTCTCCAAATAATTAAGGTAGTGTGTGGGCATAAGCGGCACAGATTTAAGGGGCTGGGCAGAGCTTTAAAGGTAGGGTCAGAATGATGCGTCTCTTATTCTGATTCTTGGCACTTTCTTATAATGGGGACAGAAAACATGATATGAGTCACTCAGTTTGCCCCACTTCCTTTCTGCGGTAGCAGGCAGGCCCAACAGATTTCCCTATACAAAATCTTGCTTCTAAGGACTCCTTCTGTTTGGAATATATCCAACAATATTCTGTATCTACTATATGCCAGGCTTTGAATAATAGAGCCTCTATCCTGAAGCAGTGCTCAGTACATAATAATTTTTGAATGTGTTAGAATGCAGTGGTTTCAACACTGAATTCATCACAATTGCCTGCAAGTTTCATAGTCATTATTTTATTTTATTTTTTGAGAATCTGCAGAACAAAGTGATTAGCAGATTCTGAAGCCCAACTACATGGGTTCAAATCCCAACACTGCATGGCCTTAGTCAAGTTACTTTGCTTCTCTGGGTTTCAGTTTTCACATCATTAAGGATGATAATAACAGTTCCTAATACATTGGCTAAAATGAGGACTTAGAGAGTTAATATTACATATAAAACACTTAAATGAAGGGTCTGCCATGTAGTAAGTGCTATAGATTATCAGCTACAATTATTATTAAAAGTATAAATCACAAAACTCCACTCAGATGAATTGGATAAGAATTTTTCAAGTTAGGACCCAAGATCCTGATCTTGTCGGTTTTCCATACGATTCTGCCTCTGAGTCTGGGTTTAGACCCCTGATATAAAGTGTGCAGCAAAATACTCCAAATGGGAATCTGTATCCTAGGTCTCTTTCTCTTTTTAGCCAAATTGCTTTTTCTCCTTTATGTCTTATTGGAAATCTCACTTATTCTGAATATCCTTTTCTTGTCTGGATTCTATTGCGGCCCCCTCTTAAGATGTGATGATAATCAGGGACTACTACTCAGAAACTTCAGCTGATTAAGTCTTTCCTCTGCATGTGATCCATCTTCCCCAGTTGTTTGCAGTTTGGTTGGCTCTGTGAGGTTTTAAATCCTCTAGTGTAGATCCACACCTATAGTGTTGCACACAGTCAGAGCTCAGTAACTATCAAGTTTGGTAATGATCCAGACTCACAGTTTAGGCAGGCATACTGATTATATCTGCTGCAATTATTACAAGGGCCCCATTCAGCTGATGGGAGTACATTTCTTGATACCTGCCATGATACATAAGTAACTATTTTATTTTTATGAATCTTAAAAATATAAAACCCAGGAGGAAAAAAAAATCACATAGTGAATAAAATATGTATTTGGGTTTATTTGTCTGTTAAATATCGAGGGCTCACTGTTTATGTGATGTTGACCACACAGCCTAAGAGTAACAGAATCAGGAGAGGTTTCTAAGCAAAGGAAGTTAAGTGTTTAAGCATGTCTGCAGATAACTACATACCCAGTGACTCCAAGATGAAGGACAATAACTTTGGAAGATACAAATTGGGCTTCCTGGTCAACTACAATCTTCCTAAGGCTATCTATAGGTTGTACCTCTCCTGTTCCAACCATTGATTCTGAAGTTGGCTGCCATCCTGATTTGTCAAAGGAGTTGACAAAAGACCTGTGCTGGGCCAAGCAGAGACCCCTCCTGGGAGTTCATGAATTGAAGCTGCAGATGAGGATCATCTAGGTCAAGCTTGTCCAACCCACAGACCAGGACAGCTTTGAATGTGGCCTAACACAAATTTGTAAACTTTCTTAAAATATTATGAGATATTTTTGTGATTTTTTTCTTTATTTTTAGCTCATCAGCTATCATTAGTGTTAGTGTATTTTATGTGTGGCCCAAAACAATTCTTCTTCCAGTGTGGCCTAGAGAAGCCAAAAGATTGGACCCCCCGATCTAGATCTTCTTTAGGCCATAGCCAGCTTCATGTGGTTGGTAGCTCAGAGAATACATACAGTAGGCAGAGAGATACATTGATGGGAGGCAGTAAAAGGGATGAGTTGCAGCAGCGTTTGGAGCTCTGGTTTTACTTCTAGCCTTACTCCAAACCCATCCTCTCTGCAGTGTAGTATGTGAAACGACTGCTTTCTCTTTTTCCTTATGTTAATATAAGTTGGTTTTATTTGAACACTATAGAGTTATGACTTGGTAGAATAAAATTAAGGTTAACGTTGAGACCCTCCAAAACTTTCTTCTATGAATATAGCTGTATAAATACGATGCTTCTCAACTTATGGAGGGGTTATGTCCTGATAAACCCATTGTAAGTTGAAAGTGTTGTAAGCAGAAAATGTATTTAATACGCCTAACCTACCAAACATCTTGGCTTAGCCTAGCCTAACTTAACATTCTCAGAACACTTAAATTAGCATACAGCTGGGCAAAATCATCTAACACAAAGCCTATTTTTAATAACGTGTTGGATATCTTATGTAACTTATTGAATATTTGACTGGAAAGGAAAAACCGTGATTCTATGGGTACTCAAAGTATGGTTTCCCCTGAATGTGTCTTGCTTTTGCACCATCATAAAGTTGAAAAATAGTTAAGTGGAACTATCATAAATCTGGGACTGTCTTTCTACATTTTTTTGGGTCTAAATAGTGTCACACTGTTAGCTCACAGCAAAGAAGAGGCCAACTAACATCCCAGACATTTTTCAAATAAATTGCTGTCAAGTAATAACGCGGCCTTTTTGCAATGGGCATTTAATTCTTTCAACTAAATGCAAGATTTTATCTTTATCTTTCTTAAATTCCATCTTCTTAGTTATGGCCCAGTATTCTCACTTATGAAAAGTTTGAACACTGATTTTTGTCATTTATCATAACATCTCTCCCTTCTGAGTTTGTGTCATCTACAAATTTGATATACATGTGTTTTATATTTTCATTCATGTCTACAAGTTATACATGTTTATAATGTTCAAAAAAATGAGTGTTTTTGATCTTGCAATTTCCCTTCTAGGCATGTGTCATTTCACATCTGCATAAAAAGACATGCTGAAGGATGTTCCTTGCAGAATGGTTATAGAGAAAAATGGGAATAACCACGATATAAAGTAACAGGTAAATAGATACATATAGTATACTTATAAAATGAACTATATTGCTGTAAGTAAAAGAAATGAACTGGAATGCTAAGTAGGAACACTGGCTCTTAAAACACATTGATGACAAAAGCAATGTGCAGAGTGATATATACAATGCAATATGATATTATAGCAAAAATGTTATACGACAAAATGTTAAGAATGGTTGATTCTGAGTGGTATAAGCTTATGTCATTATTGTGTTATGCTTTTGATTATCTGTGGTTTTTAGTGTCTCATTGCACTAGCTAGGACTTGCAGTATGATGCTGAATAAGAGTGATATGAAGGGATTTTTAAAAATTTTATTGTGGTAAGAACACAACAATTTTGAAGTATACAGTACAATATTGTCAACTATAAGCACAATGTTATACAGCAGATCTTTAGAACTTATTCACCTTACGTAACTGAAACTTTATACCTGTTGAGCAATTCCCCATTTCCCTCTTCTTGAAGACCCTGGAAACCACTATTCTATTTTGTCCTTCTATAAGTCTTACTATTTTAGGTACTTCATGTAAGTGGAATCACATAGTATTTGTTGTTTCATGACTAGCCTTTTTCACTTAACATAATGCCCATAAGTTTCATCTGTATTGCACAAATGACAGGATTGCCTTTTTCTAAGGCTGAATAATATGTATGGATATCATGTCACATTTTCTTTATCTGTTAATCTGTTTGATAAACAATTACGTTGTTTCCACATCTTGGCTATTGTGAGTAATGTTGCCATGGACATGGGAGTGCAGATATCTCTTTGAGATCCTGATTTCAATTCCTTTAGACAAATATGCAGAAGTAGAATTGCTGGATCGTATGATTGTTCTATTTTTAATTTTTTGAAGAAATTCCATACTGTGTTCCATAATGGCTGCCCCATTTTACATTCCCACCAACAGTGTGCAAGGGTTCCAATTTCCCCACATCCTTGACAGTACTTGTTATCTTTTATTTTTATATAGTGGCCATCCTAACAAGTATGAGATAATATCTCATAGTGGTTTGATTTGGGTTCCCCTGGTGATTAGTGATGTTGAACATACTTTCACATACCTGTTGGCCATTTGTATTTTTTTTAATTCCAAAATATAATATTGGGCCCTCCAATAGCAGCATCCATCAACCTGCTTAATAAACTTATTAAGAAAGCAAATGAATTTGGTTTGATGTAAGTTTTGCAGAGACTGGCTAGAATGCTCCCAGACACCATTCTTCTTCTTGGGCATAGAGAAGGATTATGTTTTGCAACATTCCTTGCAGTTTAGTCTGGGCTATGTGACTAGATGCCGGTCTATGGAATGTAAACAGATGTGATGGAAGCCACTTTGAGACCTGGTCATCAAACTCCCTGCACAATCTTCCATGCTCTCTCCTCTCTTTCATGATGACTGTGGAGGCCAAGGGATGAAAACAGTTACCATTCAGAAGATGGCTGTCCAGGGCATCGGCTTCACTGCATCAGAATATGATGTAAACAACTGCTAAACCTCAACTGTGTTGAGTCACTGAGAACCAGGGAATTACGTTTTAGTGGTTAGCGCTGCTTATTCTTCTGATGTACTGGCCCTTGTACAGAGATTTATTGAGATTTATTGAGAGTAGTATTAAAATATTAAAGGAAAATAAAAACAGATAACTTTCCACTGTCTTAAATCAGCTTTTAACATGATTCCCTTTTCACTTTCTGTTATAATCTGCAGACACATTTTAAGAGAGTTGTAATTAATCTGTTGCAAAATAATTGAAATAATTATTCCCTAGGGACAGGATTTTTGAGTAAATCTTTCTTCCTTCTTTTGAGAGTTATCTTAAAATACATTTTTGAGGTGGAAATCTATTTAACATTTTTCAAAATAATTATATCAATTTGTAATAACATCAACAGTTTTCCTGCAGCATTACAAGCATTAGCTTTCAATAATTTTATTTTTTTAAATGAAAATGGGGGGTGGGCTCAGTTTCTTATGCCTGTAATCCCAATGCTTTGGGAGGCCAAGATGAGAGGATCACTTGAGCTCAGGAGTTTGAGACCAGCCTGGGCTACATAGGAAGACAAAAAATAAAAAGTAAAAAAAAATTAGCCAGACATGGTGTCATGTGCCTGTAGTAGTCCCAGCTATTTGGGAGGCTGAGGCAGGAGGATGACTTGAACCCAGGAGTTTGAGGCTGCAGTGAGCTATGATCATACCCTTCCACTCCAGTCTGGGCGATAGAGGGATGCTCTGTCTCAAAAAGAAAAAAAGAAAGAAAAACAGTTTTACTTTTCTGTATATAAGAGTACTGCAATCTTATTTGAAAACCATAGACAGTCCAAAAAGATTTAAAGAAGAAAGAAAAATCATCCATACTGCCATTATCCAGTACCCAATGATGACATTTTGGTGTGGAGTCCTCAGTTAGTATGTATTTGCACAAATACACTCATGCACACACACAAATAAGTTAATTTTAACTGCTCTCTAAAATATCTTATCAATAAATTATGAACATTTTTATTGCTAACAAATACAGATCTATGCCATCGTTTCAAATATGGGCTGTTCTGTTATCCTCTGCAAACCAACACAGGAACAGAAAACCAAACACCGCATGTTTTCACTTATAAGTGGGAGCAGAATGATGAGAACACATGGACACTTTGGGGATAACAAAACACAGTGGGGCCTGTCAGAAGGATGTGGGAGAGGGAGAGCATCAGGAAGAATAGCTAATGGTTGCTGGACTTAATACTTACGTCGTGGGTTGACCTATGCAGCAAACCACCATGGCACATGTTTACCTATGTAACAAACCTGTGCATCCTGCACATGTATCCCCAGAACTTAAAACAAAAATTGAAGAAAAAAAATATGGATTGTCCAATTTGGAAGCTACCAGCCAATGTGGCTATTTAAATTAAATTAAAATTAAATCAAATACCTTAAAAATTCAGTTTCTTCAGTCATGCCAGCCACATTTCAAATGTTCAATAACCACATGTGATTAGTGGCTACTGTATTGCATAATACAACACAGACATAGAACATTTCCATTAGTGTGGAAAGATCTATTGGACAGTGATGTTATAAAGGTACAAAGATTTGCACAGGTTTATTGAACAAATTCTCTACTCTTAGTTGTTAGATTTCCTTCAGTTTTTTTTTTAATTACTCTAAGAAACACTTCAATGAACATTTTTGTAGCAATCCTTGGGCTATAAAAGCTCTGTGATTCTTTCTAAACTGTGAGGTAGGGCCTAACTTCAACATGATGATACATGATCCTTTAGTTTTGCCCAAGCTTTTGCCACAATTATTTCCCAATCGTTTTTTCTTTGACTTTGCTGCCTCACCGTTAATCTCATTTGGATATCTCGACTTGTCATGTTTCAGCTGTTGCTTCATCTGCCTATTTTATCATTACTGTCTCTAGGTCTATACAGCAATTATTGTCCAAAACACTCTACTGTTTTCTGGAAGTAAGTTTTTGAAAACATTTTCTTTTTTACCTTTTACTTCTGTATCAGTCAGTATAGGCTACAGTGTGCTGCAGTAATAAATAACCTTGACTTCTTAGTGGCTTAGTATAATAAAGCTTTTTTTCCTCACTCATGCTTTAGCTATTGATTGGGGCTCTGCTTCAAGTTATCTTCACTTCAGCATACAAGCTGATGGGGCTGCCACCATGTAGAAGGTTGCTATGATTGAGAAAGAAATCACTTGATGAATTCACACACCAACTTTTTGTTTGTTTGTTTGTTTGTTTTGGAGACGAAGCTTCACTCTTATTGCCCAGGCTGGAGTGCAATGGTGCGATCTTGGCTCACTACAACCTCCGCCTCCTGGGTTCAAGCAATTCTCCTGCCTCAGCCTCCTGAGTAGCTGGAACCACAGGTGTGTGCCACCATGCTGGGCTAATTCTAATTTTTGTATTTTTAGTAGAGATGGAGTTTCACCATGTTGGTCAGGCTGGTCTTGAACTCCTGAACTCAGGTGATTTAGCTCCCAGAAGTTAAACTATGACTTTAATTCCCATTTTAATGATCAAAACAAGTTACACCATCCTGCCTAACTTAAAGGAGACAGAAAGTACATCTGTCTGGAAGACTAGCCAGAAATATTTGATTAAAAAAAGCATTAATGATGTATCCAAAGTTTATTGTCTTTATTAATTGCATTTTTTTTGCTTAGACATAATAAAATAGGGACAATGATAGCAATACCTAACATTTACCATGTGGATATTTGGGAAAGTATTTTACATACTGATTTAATCTTTGTGATGATGACCCTTATTTTATAAATGAGGCATAGAAAGGTTAATTATCTTGCCTAAAGTTGCATGGCTAGTAAATGGTAGAGCTGGGATTCTGATTCTAGATGCTGCATGCTTAAATAGTCCCCCCTTACTCTGTGATGTCTTTTTAGATCCATACTGGTGTTTTCTCCTTATTTATCTCTGTGAGAAGTTCTATTCAGGCTTGCTATTTGTTCCTAAATAATGCAAATAGGTAATCTTTCTTCTCTAGTTATTTGGGTACCACTGGGCTCCTCCCCATAGAAAGTAAGTGGAGGGATGGATGAGGCAACATCATATGAGCAAATATGTCTTCATTCAAACCTAAAAAATGATAGAAATGCTTCTTGAGCCATGGGCATTGAAAACCTGGGTACTTGGCATAATTTTTCTCTGTTGAAACTTCTGCAGAAGGGGTGGCCTCACTGAGCTGGAGGTGTATCCAGTCACTTGGGGAAGGTCTTTCCAGACCTGTATTGAGCCTCAGGCTTAGGGCAAAGAAACACTGCTAGAAGTAATTCATTTATGAGAAAAAGTCTTTGGCCTATGGGTTTCCTGAATGATGTGGCTAGAAGTGTATTCTCCCAAACACCTGCCTTTCCTTCTGTTATTTATATTTGATCAATCCTCATCTCTCCAACAGGATGCCTAGACCTTACAGAAATTCCACCCCACACCCCACACCCCACACCAGCCCATATTCAACTGACTACCTCCACTAGTAAGTTGCCACATATGTGAAAAATGGCTAGGAGTGGCTCGTTGCTTTCTCTTCTCTTTGACACCAGAGCTGTGGATTGTCTCCAAGCATAGGGAGAAGGACTCCACATATGGCCGTCTGTCATCTGCTTGTGACCTGCTGATGAATTTCACCATAGTTTCCTTCTCTCCTTTCTTGCAACTGCCATTGAGGAAAGGTTGTTATTCTTTTTTACAGTTGGTATTGAAACTGGTAGAAATTCCTCACTTTGTGCTTGACATGTGGTTGGCACCATTCCTGGTTCACGGCTGATGTCCTACCCCCACCCCATCTCCCTCCACTTTGGTAATTTCAGCCGTTTTCCTGGAGGGGAGCAGAGACTACGTTTATGTTGTCATTCTTCCTGTAAGTCTGGTTTTTATTTTTTCAAACTTTTTTTTTAAACTTAGCAGATGTTAAAAAGTTGCTTAAATTTGCATTTCTTGATTACATGTTAGTTGGAACATTTTCCCAGACATTTGTTTCCTATTTGTATTTTCTCTTGTGTAAATTTTGTTTGTTTGAGACATGATCACTTAGTTATTGGAATCCTAAGGGTAATTTCTAAAAATATAGGTATGTGTTCTGAGGTTATTAAGGAATTGTTCTTTTCTGTCGTTTTTGATGCACATATTTTCTTATTTGGTTATATTTCTTTTTTATTTTATGTACATTTTATAATGGCTTCTCTAATATGTGATCACTCTCTAGAATTATTTTCTTTCCTAATCCATTTACCTAGTATTGCCTGTCTTTTCCTTCTAGAATATAGGCTTCTTGGCAGCATGGACCCTGGATATCCTGTTCACCAGTAATTCTCTAATACCTAGAATAGTACCTGCTACAGAGTAGTTGCTTAATAAATATTTATTATATAAAATGTATATTTGATTACTCAAACTCTCCAAAGTGATCATCTCTTCTTAATGGTATAAATGTTTAATCTGTGTCTTCTGGATTTATTTGACTAATTAAAACACTTAAGATTCTTGGAATTTACTGAAACATATCTATGTTATTTTCTCTTGTTACTATTATCTTAACCCCATATATCATATGGTATTTCCTACTTCCATTTTTTATAGCAGTATCTTTTAAATCACATGTTAAATTATCCTGTTCCCTGGATTGAGTTTCTTAATTTTGAAATATTACCATATGGGTTCCATTATTACTGCTTTAAAAAGTTTTAAAACAGATCTCATAAGTCTAATTTCTCTTCATAGCTATTTTAAGAATATTCATTAATAATGCTACACATATACTTTCAAGCTAATTTTAGAATTGTTTGGGGGGTCTTTACTGATGGCTCCTCATAATCACCATCATCTTTTCTAGATGTTCAGAAAACAACTAATTGTTAATTTGGTATAGATGAACATCAAACTTATCTATTTGTCATTTCTAATATCCAACTTACCTTCCCCACTTCTAATATTCTCAGTAATATTTTCCTATCTCTATACTTTTGAAGCCTCTTTCATTTTTCATAATTCCTTGAATGTTAGCAATCATGCTGAGATTATACCTGTGAGTTTCTTTAGTATGCCAGAATGCAATTCTCTTTGTATTATTGATTAAAACTTATTAAACGAATGAGGTACTCTTTAAACTCTGTCCTCACTGAAATCTGGAGTTGCAGTTTTTACCCCATTTGTATTCTGCCTTTCTACTTTAAAAACTTAAACCATAGTTAAACCAGTAAACAAACTCATCGTCTTTTATATAATCTATGTAGCCATTTATTCACTGTCTGCAGTCATTCAATCAGAGAAGTACTTGTTTTCCAGGTTCCATACTAGGCTCTGGGCTTATGGTGATGAGCACAGTGGGCACTGTCTTTGTCCTGTGTAGCTTAAACTTTGAAGTCTTCTTTTCTTTCTTCAGTCTCAAAAATAACTGGAAGAAGGGATAAAGAGGGATAAAGGCGTTGCTCATCTTTTGATTTCTAACCAAAACCATGGAATTTTGAGAGACACATTTCAGTTTTTTCCCCCAACTTTGTCATTTTTCCACAGTTAATCATCAAAAGTGAGTAGCAATTTGTGGGCTTGCTGAGTCTTGTCAGACTCTTTGCCACATCCTGGATGTATGTTTCAAGACCACAAACCCACCCAGTTGCCCGGCCAGGTCTGAGCCCATTAGACTTTACAAACTACCTTGATGAGTTTCTTCCTTTTTGAGGAACTAGCATCATTCCTTCCTAAAGTATGATCTTTTAAATTATTAGCAGTCAGCATAAAATGGTCCTATGTCATCAGAAGGTTTGACATTTCTTTGCCAGAAGGCACTCTGCTGTGCTTTCTCTACCCATCTTTCCTCCAGCGTTACCTTCTCGTCTTCTAATTCTTACCATTCGTTTCTCTATTCCTTACCAGTGGAACCTGCTTGATTGCTTTCTGATTGCATTCTTTCTACCATCTCATTTTAAAATTTATCATCCTTTCTTATAGGGTAATTTGGGAGAGCGTTTTTCAGTTCTTTCATTCATTTTCTTTTCTAACAGGTTGTATACGCAGCAAAAGCAGTTAAGTCTTCAACAGAACCTTTGAAAGTTGCTAAAATAATTTTTTTATATTCATAATTTTAATGATCAGATTAACTCACAACTTCAAATGCCCATCCCACCTCTTCTTTTCCCCAAGAAACTTTGTAAAGCTTGCAAATAGAATTGGAAAGAATCAAGTTGTTTGTCATGCAAATTATAAAATTGAGAGATACAAATATGGACCAGACTTCTGTAATACGTAGGCCCTGATATTAGGAATCTTAAGGAGATACTTAACTACCTAAAAGCAGATAATGATATACTAGATAAGGAGGGATAGGATAAAGGAAGTGCAGAATGCAATGCAAATATATAGGAGAATCAACAAATCTGGATTAGGTATATTGGAAAAGACTTCCAGGGAGGAAATGACTTCACATCTGAGATCTGAGAGGGAAAACATCATGAGCCAGTCAAAAAGGAGATAGAGATGGGTCTAACTGATGATCCTGGCAGAGGGAACAAGATAATACAGATATTTTATATCATCAAGGTATGTTAACTTTAGCCTTCTATTTTATCATAAATTAATTGAATCAGAGAGCCATCGAAAATCCAGTCTTTATCCATCTCCACTGGAATTATATTGCCCTATAGATTAAAATGCTCTAATAGCAAAGGCCCTCTTCTCCCTAGACGGTGTTTGGCTGGGCACTGACAATGTTGGCCCTGGTGACTTCCTTTTTTTGCTTGTTTTCATAATTGAATGACTTATGTACCAACTTATGTATCTCTTTCTTTACCCCCAATCCCAAGACTGACATAATCTAAAAACTACAATTATACATTCAGATAGGTTCCTGCAACCTTCTTTTGGCCTAGAAACCATCCTGTCTCCATCAAGTTTCTCTATATACATGTGTTCTGACCTGTAGTTTCTATTTTGCATTCTGAGTCATAGAAGGCAATTTATTTTTCTGTTTCTAGGAGTCACCTAATTGCGACTCTCCAACTTACAGTATTGCTAACTTATTGTTTGCTTTCTTTTCTGTAGACAGAAAAGAGCACAAATTTAATTTGGAATCAAATTGATCTTCTGCCCAAAAGGCTGCTAACAATGGATGTTGCCAATCATTGGAAATGTTAAAGCATCATTTGGGGATTATCTATCAGAAATGGTATATATGTGATTCGAGCAGTACAAGGGAAGTTGACTCTGTTGTGCAAAGATCCTTCACACCCTAGACTCCTTCTTTTTTTTTAATTTTTTTTTTTTTTTTTTTTTTGGAGATGGAGTCTTGCTCTGTCACCCAGGCTGGAGTGCAGTGGCATGATCTCGGCTCACTGCAACCTCTGCCTCCCAGGTTCAAGCAATTCTCCTGCCCCAGCCTTTTGAGTAGTTGGGATTATGGGCATCCACCACCACACCAGCCTAATTTTTTTTTTTTTTTAGACAGACTCTTGCTCTCTTGCCCAGGCTGGAGTGCAGTGGCATGATCTCAGCTCACTGCAACCTCTGCCTCCTGGGTTCAAGCAATGCATTGTCCTGCTTCAGCCTCCCAAGTAGCTGGGATTACAGGCACTTGCCACCACACCTGGCTAAGTTTTGTAGTTTTAGTAGAGAGGGGGTTTCACCATGTTGGCCAGACTAGTCTCGAACTCTTGACCTCAGGTGATCCGCCTGCCTCGGCCTCCCAAAGTGCTGGGATTACAGGTATGAGCCACCGTGCCCAGCCCCTAGGCTTCTTCTTAAAACTAGCAGAGATAGAGATAGTCATCAGAAGATAAATGTGAGGGATAGAAGACTACAAATAGGGTGCAGTGTATACTGCTCAGGTGATGGGTGCACCAAAATCTCACAAATCACCACTAAAGGACTTGCTTATGTAACCAAACACCATCTGTTCTGCAATAATCTATGGAAGTTAAAAAAAAAAAAAGACCCTCACAAAACCTAAAAAAAAAGAAAGAAATATTCTTAAAAAAAAAAAAAAGAATATACAGGTAGCTAATGTCAGAACCAAGGATTAATTTTACAGAGAGGCTCTGTTTTTTTTCTTAATAAAAACTTATATTGTGAATAGTGCTGAAATAAAAATACATGTGCCTATGTCTTTATAGTAGAATGATTTATAATCTCTTGGGTATATACCCAGTAATGGGATTGCTGGGTCATATGGTATTTCTGGTTCTAGATCCTTGAGGAATTGCCACACTGTCTTCCACGATGGTTGAACTAATTTACTCTCCCACCAACACTGTAAAAGCATTCCTATTTCTCCACATCCTCTCCAGCATCTGTTGTTTCCTGATTTTTAATGATCACCATTCTAACTGGCATGAGATGGTATCTCATTGTGGTTTTGACTTGCATTTCTCTAATGACCAGTGATGATAAGCTTTTTTTCATATGTTTGTTGGCCACATGATGTCTTATTTTGAGAAGTGTCTGTTCATATCCTTTGCCCACTTTTTGATGGGGTTGTTTTTTTCTTGTAAATTCATTTAAGTTCCTTGTAGACTCTGGATATTAGACTTTTGTCAGATGGATAGATTGCAAAATTTTTTTTCCCATTCTGTAGGTTGCCTGTTCACTCTGATGGTAGTTTATTTTGCTGTGCAGAAGCTCTTTAGTTTAATTAAATTCCACAACCCAAACGCCCATCGATGATAGACTGGATAAAGAAAATGTGGCACATATACACCATGGAATACTATGCAGCCTCAAAAAATGATGAGTTCATGTCTTTTGCAGGGAAATGGATGAAGCTGGAAACCATCAATCTCAGCAAAGTAACACAGGAACAGAAAACCAAATACTGCATGTTCTCACTCATAAGTGGGAGTTGAACAATGAGGACACATGGACACAGGGAGGGGAACATCACACACTGGGGCCTGTAAGGGGGTGGGAGGCTAGGGGAGGGATTGCATTAGCAGAGATACCTAATGTAAATGACGGGTTGATAGGTGCAGGAAACCACCATGGCACATGTATACGTATGTAACAAACCTGCACGTTCTGCACATGTATCCCAGAACTTAAGGTATAATAATAAAAGAAAAAGAAAAACAATTCTAAATATATACATTGATATAGTGTGTATAAAGAGAAAAATGAAAAAACAAACAAAAAGAAGATAAATGTAAAGTTTATAAAGCCCAAATGACATACCATCTTGTAAATAAAGGTGCAAATGTCAAGAGTAAAAGCTCTTGAGGGCTATTGTTCTCATTGCATGGGGAGTGGGGGGGAGCTATCTTGATGAGACTCTTGGCTGAATAATACTCCCGAAAACTTACATCATTCTGCACTTTTAAAGTCTTAGATGACCTTTCTGGCCTGTAGAAATTAGTGGAGAAAATTTTAGTGATACCCAGATCTGTTGACATTTTACATATTGAACTTTCTTGGAGAAATCAGGGGACAATGTGCCATTTTATAAAGTTTCAGGTCTACTTCTTTTCTCTTACTGTTACAGCTTCTCATCATATACTTTTTTTTCCTCTTTGCTTTTTTCTAACTTTTTCTATAAATGGAAATGCTTTAGGAAATGTCATTCTTGTGAGTTTTGGTCAATGTTTCAGGGTTTGTCATTTTTATTAGTCATCAGATGGCTCAGTGTCATTTATGTCAATACATGAGAGTAACTGACCGAGAAAGTTCATTGACTGATAATGTTGATCATTCATACACACACATTTAGACCTCTCTGCAGTAATGTTTTTAGAAGAAAGCTCTCCTTAACTCTCATTTTCAGTCCCTGAGAAGTAACTTGCTCTGGCAGAGTTACATGACCTTTGACCTCCCTGCATGAGGGAAATGAAGAGTGACTTGTATGTGGGTAAACATGTAATAATCCTTTGGTTATGAACTCATCTAGAGTTGACTGGCCAGTGTTTGTGCAATAGTTACACAAGGCCTCAAACACTGTGGGTGTATTGAGAGGTATCTGGGAGATGTAATGTACTTTAAATTACCAAGAAGTAATTTGATCTGAATAAGGCAACTCCAAGGAGAGCTCATTATGTTTTACCAAAATGCAATTGCAAACTGTAATTGGATTTCTTTTTAAGATGAACAGCAAACCCAGGAAAGTGGTGCATTTATCATTTTTGTCAATCCCTTTCTAGAACTGGAACACTAGGGATGATGGCATACAGTGTCATCCCCTTAGGAACAGAGAATATACCATAACTCAGATAAGGCAGGCAGGTATTGCTACCACTCTTCTGTACACAGCAGCCATTAATGGGTTTTTGAGCAAATAAGGCATTATTCAGTGGACACTTTTAGAAGGCTAATCTGGGATCAGTGTTTAGAGAAGATTAGGGGTCAGAAAAAAAATAGAGGAAGATAGACTATGAGATTGTTGTACTAGTCCAAACTTATAATGTTGGGGGTTTGGACCCAGGTCAGGAAGATGTGGGTATGAGTAATAATTCAATGCAAGTGCACCCACAGACCTTAATAACTAGTTGCATATTGGAGATGGTGTGCAATGGAAATAATCCTGGTCTAAGCATCAGGAAGAAGGGAATTTTCAAGGTAAGGTGGAGGCTTAGTTTTCTATTTTGTAAAATGAAAGAATTGAACTAGAATGATCTCTAATTCCTTTCCAGGACTAACATTTTAAGATACAAAGATTGTAAGTCATTACAAGTTTGCCCTCCATTCCCTGTAGGGAGGCCTCACATCAGGAAACAACAAAAGGTTCAGCTCCTATTTGATGTCTCCCTGACTTCTCACTGACACCCAAGCACCCCACATAGATGCCTGGCTAACTGAGGTCCTCAGTTTTACAACCATATTACCCTTTCTGATCTTTCTCTAGAGCCAAAAATTGTCTGTCTTAGATGTACTTATGTTGGTGGATTGTGTCTCATAAACTAACTTGTAGTAGGGGATAAAATAGCCTATAATGGTTACAGCATTTTTTTTCTAGGAGATAATAATATTTTATCTTTGTATAGTCAGTCCAATTTTTAGAAATATTCACATTTCATTTAGATTTTTCAGGAACACTGTAAGGCATATAGACATTGGTGGTATCCTTATGCATTTTTCACAGATGAAGAAACTGAGACTTGGAACAATTAAGTAGTTTGTACAAGATCACACAGCCAGTAAGTGGCAAAGACAGCATGGGATACAAGCTTTCTGACTCCAAGTCCAACGCACTTTCCGCTATATTAGCATAATTGTGAACATTTTAAGTCCCTGGGCAAGAATATAGAGGAAGTACTTTCAGGCCAGGGGCATTTGAAACCATGCAAAGATCACCGTTTGGCCTGTTTTTCTACTTCCAAGCACAGTCCCTGCAACCATCTCAATACTCTGCCTAGTAACCCAGAGCAATAATGGTCATAATTACACTTTCTCTCTGCCCATCCCAAAGAACATTTAGTATATTAATGTTGTTAATTAATCTTCATGACATCCTAGCAAATGAAGCAGATTGCAAGTCGGAAGTCCCACTTGGCTGACTGGGAAGCTGAGGTAGAAGGCAAGGTTACAGAACTGCCTCAAGGTGAGAATAAATCAGCTGGGTTGCTGAGCCAAGAATAGCCTTTTCACAGTGAAAGCTTAAAACTCTATTGGGGAGGGGCTCTCACTATTCTCCTTAGAAGATTACTGTTCAGTCACTAGAAAAAAAAAATTGCCACTTTAAAGCCAAGATTTTCTTTTCTTTATTATTTCTTAATGCTTTTGAATTTGCTGTATCTCTTTCTTTGGGGTTCCCACATTTTTGCAATTGAGGTAGTTCAATCTTTCTCTCTTCTGGGAAAACATGCCTGATTTTTCTGCAGATGACAATCTTCTGTACCCCCTTAGTGTCACCTCCCCATTATCTTCTCTGAGAATGGGTTACACCAATTTTTAACGGGCTCTCAGGAATTTGTCTCATTGGTCTTTCCTTCCCTTACTCAGGGATGTAGAATGGAGCCTTGGCTTTACAGCATACATTTCTACATTGGAAAAGCATTTGTTTCCAATGTTGTATTTTAATGTTTTACTGCATCAGAGAAAAGATGGAGTGACTTCATCTCTCTGTGTTAAAAATGATGACTATGTCCACAACCACGTGGTCAGTCCACATTCTGTGTGGTTTCTGTGGTTACTGCAGCATTTGGGGATCAAGCTGGTGTACCAATGACTGATTACCCTGTGGCAAAGCTGAAGAGGAGAGTGTTGTTTCTCTGTGGCAGGGAGTCCGGTTACACTGGAGGAAAGGGGATGGGATTCCTGTAGGCTGACAGGAAGACTGTAGTTATCTGTGGGAAAAGGAATGATTATGTTGCTCTGTTGTTGGGAAATGTGGTTGCCTTTAACCTTGAGCCTGACCAAAGAATCCTGTAATGATTTACTTTGACACTGTATTTACACCCCCTACAATAATTAACCATCTTTCAAACATCACGAGGAAGTGGGTTATCAAAATAATATTACTCTGACGGTAAAAGTATCTTAAAAGCCCAAGCCACGGAGTTCAGCAAAGACAAAAAGGCCAAACAAAGCCCACACCAAAACATTACCAAAATATTTACTGGGCCTCTTTTCAAAATCATTTTCTGTGACCTTTTTCAAAAAGCTTCATGTGATACAGACAGGTAGTAGAGGCATGGGAAAGAGCCCAAGTTGTTTTTCTGCTCATCTGCTTGCTCAATATTTATCTTCTGTGATTTGGGACAGACCAAATGGTACAAAGAAAGATGAAAATGCTGATAGAGTTCTAGCAGCTTCAAGGGTGGGGAAGGTAAATAGATACTATACATGATGCTGCCGCCTTTCCTGAGTTCACCACACACATCAAGAATGGATCACATCCCTCTTCCCTGCTGAGCCTGTCCTCAGTTTCACAGTCTTTCTCATCAAGGCACTAAACATAGCAACGACCAAGTTATAGGACTTGGTTCTCCAGTTGAAAACCTTTCATAATGTCTCTGTTTTAGAGATGTTTTAGTCCATTCTCATGCTGCTTTAAAGATACTACCTGAGACTGGCTAATTTAGAAAGAGGTTTAATTGACTCACAGTTCTGCATGGCTGGGGAGACCTCAGGAAACTTACAATGATGGCAGAAGGTGAAAGGGAAGCAAGGGACGTCTTATATGGCAGCAGGAGAGAAAGACAGAACGAAGGGGAAGGGCGACACATGTACAAAACAACCAGATCTCTTGAGAATTATATCACTAGAACAGCAAGGGAGAAGTCACAATTTGAGATGAGATTTGGGTGGGGACACAGAGCCAAACCATATCATAGAGCAAGCTGATTAGCTCTGCTTTTCTCCAGAATAAAACCAAAGGTACAGAGAAACATAGTGTGGGTGGTGAGTATGTTGGGTTGGTGTTAATGTAGTTAAGATATTTTCCAAGAGATCTGGGTGAATCCAAATTCTGGGACTGTGATAGAATTATCTCCAAATTTAGGACACTTAAAAATACTGCATCATTAACAAAACAAATGCCATTAAAAACATTAATGTTTTACCTTTTGAATTAAAAGTTTGATAATACAAAGTCTGGAGAGGGTTTGTGGACATGTATCTCATATATCTTGGGAAAGAATTAAGGGATATCATACTTTTGGAGAGCAATTTAGGAATATTTAAAAAATTAAATTCATAAACCATTAGTTCAAGTAATTCTACTTCTACAAATGTGTTTCCACAAGTATTTAAGGATATCCTTAAAGTTCTAAGGATGTCTATTGCAGCATTGATTGCAAAAATAAATAATACGATTGATATGTCTCTTAATAAAATACTATGCAGACATTCAGAAGAATGGGGCATAGGTACAAATGTAGTAGGAGACATCGTTTCTTGTTTTTGTTTGTTTATTTGTTTGTTTGTTTTGAGACAGGGTCTTGCCCTCTTGCCCAGGCTGGAATGAAGTGGCACAATCAATCACAGCTCACTGCAGCCTCAACTTCCCACACTGAAGTGCTCCTCCTGCCTCAGCCTCCTGAGTAGCTGGGACCACAAATGCATGCTATTACACCTGCCTAATTTTTTATTTTTAGTAGAGATGAGGGCTTACTGTGTTTCCCAGGCTGGACTCAAACTCCCGGGCCCAAGCGAACCTCCTGCCTCAGCCCCACAAAATGCTAGGATTACAGGCATGAGCCACTCCACCTGGCTGATATTGTTTCTTTACAATTATTTAATTACTTCCCATCCTTGCCATGCTTCCCTGCCCCCATTGACTTCATTCTTGGCCATATAAAATGCCTTGACCATGGGATAAGAATGGGTGTGATATTTGCCACATTCTAAAATTTGACTGCCACCCGGCACAGTGGCTCATGCCTGTAACTCCAGCACTTTGGGAGGCTGAGGTAGGAAGATTTCTTGAGACCAGGACTTTGAGACCAGCCTGGGCAACATGGAAAAAGCTTGTCTCTACAAAAAAATACAAAAATTAGCTGGGCATGGTTGCACATGCCTGTGGTCCCAGCTACTCGGGAGGCTGAGGTGGGAGGATCATTTGAGCCTAGGAGGCAGAGGTTGCAGTCAGTCAAGATTGTGCCCTTGCACTCCAGCCTAAACAATAGGGTGAGACCCTGTCTCAAAAAAATAAAATAAAATAAAATAAAATAAAATAAAATAAAATAAAATAAAATAAAATAAAATAAAATAAAATAAAATAAATAAAAAAAATAAAATAAAATAAAATAAAATAAAATAAAATATTGCCTACCTTGGCTGAGGCCCTTTGTTCCAGCCCTCTATCACATGGGCATAATGTCACACAGTGGCTACTTTGTCAGCTTAGATTCCAAAATGAGAAAAATGAGTTGGGCAGAACTTACCAGGGCAGAGCCATATGAGCCCAGCTAAACCAAACCCACAGAACAACAGATGCACTGCAACTCTCATGTGACATAAGCAATAAATAAATACTTATTGTGAGGCACTGAGATTTTAAGGTTGTTTATTGCATAACATTACTGTAGGAAAACCTGACTGATAGGTCTAATTTACAGAAAATGTCAGGAGGATGTTAACTGAAAAATGCAAATTCCATGACAACATTATCAATATGGTTGGCATTAAAAAAACTGTTTATCCATCCATCCATCTTTGCTTGTATTTGTATAGAAAATATCTGAAAAGATATATAGAAAACTGAATAGGCCAGGCGTGGTGGCTCATGCCTGTAATCCCAGCACTTTGGGAGGCCAAGGCGGGCAGATCCCAAGGTCAGGAGATCGAGACCATCCTGGCTAACATGATGAAACCCTGTCTCTACTAAAAATACAAAAAATTAGCCAGGCATGGTGGCAGGTGCCTGTAGTCCCAGCTACTTGGGAGGCTGAGGCAGGAGAATGGCGTGAACCTGGGAGGCAGAGGTTGCAGTGAGCCGAGATTGTGCCACTGCACTCCAGCCTAGGTGACAGAGCAAGACTCTGTCTCAAAAAAAAAAAAAAAAAATTATAGAAAGATATATAGTAAACTGTCAACAAATGGAATTTTGGGGAGTGGTTGGGTGCAGGAGGGATAGAGAGTAGACAGACTTGGTATTTAATTAATTTTCTTTACTGTTTAAATTTTTCATAACAATGTGTTACTTTTAAGAATAAAATACTAAGAAAAGTCTCATTTTAGTGTTTGCTAGCTTGAATATTTGTTCTAATTTTGATGATTGATTTTTATTTTATTATTATACCTGTAAAGTACTGTGAGTCCTAGTAGAAACAAAAATCTATAAGCAATGCCAAGGCTCTGATAAACAAAACACAGAAGAGTTCTTTATTCATTCTGTAGAGACATAACCCAAGACTTAACTCCAGAGACTGTTCCCAAATGCTGAGGAAGTAGGAGGAGAATGAGGCGAGGTGGTAATGATGAGTTGCTGCCTCAGTTTACCTTCCTGAGTCAACAGAACAAAGACAAAAACTGAGAAATTTGAATGCTGGGTGGCAAATAGTCTCTCTCTCTCAAGGCCAATATTGACTTTTCCTCCAGGAAAAACCAGGAATCATATTCATGGAGTGTTGAAATTATTGACTGATTGATTGAAATGGCATCTTGCTCTGTTGCCCAAGCTACAGTGGAGTGGCACAATCGTAGCTCATTGCAGCCCTGATCTCCTTGGCTCAGGACAACTTCCTCCCTCAGCTTTCCAAGTAGCTGGGACTATAGGTGCAAGCCACCATACCAGGCTAATTTTTTTTAGTTTTTGTAGAGATGGGGTCTTGCTATGTTGTCCAGGCTGGTCTCAAACTCCTGGGCTCAAGTGACCCTCCTATCTTGGCCCCCCAGAGTGCTGGGATTACAGGTGTAAGCTGCTGTGCCCAGCCAACATATTTACAATTTAAAAAGTAATCAAAAAGTCTGATCCTATGCAAAATGGTATTGGGGCTCAGAAATCGATACCCCAAAATGTCGTGCTTTGACCTGCTGAAATGAAGTCTCTAGGTATTTTGGGCCTCCACCCCCGCCACCCTGCCCCTCAGTCTTCTGTCTCTCCCAAAACAAAGGATAAAATTGTTATCTGAAGTTCCTAGATAAAAGTCCAGAACCCTCAAAGAAGAAATTTTGAACAATTACTTTTGGTCTCTTGGCGTTTCCATTAAATGAACTCACTTCACAGGAAGAAAGACTGTCTATCAACATACCTGAACAAATTTTTTTGCCACAGCCATTATCTGCTCTGTGGGTCGAACAACTTTGTTCCAGGACATTGTATGTTCTTTAAGCCATTGAATTCCCTTAAAAATCATTTACTATCCCCCTAAAATTATCCACACTTCCCATGTTTCTCGCCCCCTAGAATAAAAGTATATAACCCCATTCTTTGGTGGGGCAGTCACTCTGTGATTCTCCCCCATGTACGCTAATAAATTTGTATTCTATTTCTTCTACGAATCTGCCTTTGATTAGTTGATTTTCAGTGTACCTTCAGATGGTGAAGGCGGGGAGTTTTCCATTAGCCCCCACACTGGTTTCTGTTGTACCCCAAGCCAAGAAAACCAGTGTTTCCTTTGTCCTATTAACTTGTGATTCCTATGATGGCAAAACAATGATCTCTTTTTCCCTTGAGTCTGTTGTCCCTACTCTTCCCTCTCCAGGGAATATCTCTTCCCTGACCCTGCCTTTCGCCTCATTAATTTCTGGTTAACCCAGGTCTCAGATGTCACCTCATCCAGACACCTGTTCCCCAAGGCCAGATAGCTGCCCTTCTGTATTGCTCCAGAGTGATTGTGTCTATCACAAATGTATGGAACTATCATGCTCCACTGTTAATGCCCATTTATTTGCTTTTCTTGCCCACTAGACTGTAAATGCTTTAAGGTCTGGCACTGTGGCTTATTTATGTTCACATCCTTAGTACTTCATCCTGTGTAAATAGGTGCTCAATAAATATTTGTTGAATCAATGAATAAAGTGTGCTGATTTGATAAGTATCTGTGCTTAGATTTTAATGTCCCTTCTTTTAGAAATTTTTGCCTTTAAAAGCAAAGTGAATAAATTTTAGAAGATTTTTTGATTAACAGGCTGGTGGGGGACCTATTTTTGCCAGGGAAGTTTCCTGATGTATAGGGTGACTGAGTGTCTTGATTTATCTGGGACTCAGGGGTTACTTGGGATGTGGGACTTTCAATGCTTACATGAGGACCGTTCTGAGCAAATTGGGATGGTTGGTCACTCTACTTTGAGGTCAGTCACAAAAAACCACTAGTCCTTGTTGTACACAAATCAAGACAAATGGTATCATCCTCTTCTCACTGAAAACAATACCACAGTTAACATGGTATTGTCAATATTTCCATTTCTTCCACCTCTCAGGGAACCATCACATCTTCATTTATAACTCATGTAGTTTCTCAATGAAAAAATTAAAGGTATTGATTAAAATCTTCTATCCTTTTCTGCTGTGTCCATGAAAGATTGTCAATCAACATGAGGAACTTATTAAGTGCATACTGTGCAATACTTAAAGGGCAGGGACTATGGCTGTTTTTATAGTGATAGGAATAGTACGGAAGGAATACTGCTTTCTAATCAGAGACTTTCATGCCAATAGTGGTGATGAGAGAGAGAAAGGTTTCAAGACTGTTTAGCATACTGAGTTACAAGTGATTCGTTCTGTCTAGCAGTCAAGGACCTCTATGTAAACATAACTCAAAGAGTCCTCCAAGGAATGTATATGCTAAAACCATACAACAAGCTCTTGTCTTTGTCAAGTCTGCAGGTTTCTACCAGAAGTCAAACTGCTTCCTTCCAAAGGGGAAAGGGTTGGATAAGACCAGCTGGCGGGTACGTATGCGAAATGCAGGGATTTCCAAATCCCAGTGCTGTCAGGAAATCAGCTCTCTGGCCAGCAGCTGCACTCCAGCTGTGACAGAGCAGAAAGGGCTCTCCCAGAAGACAGCTTAGCACTAACCAGATCCCTGCCCCGACAGCTCAGCCTCCGACACCAAAGTCTTCTCTGGAAGCATAGATGACACCAAAAGACAAGAGCGTTCTCCAGACTGTGGCTTGGTGAATGCATTGACCTCTCCAGTCTTTCTCTTTTCTCTGTGCTTTTCAGAAGAGCCAGAAAGAGAACATCAGTGCAAACAAAGGAATGCCTTGACCATTCATCCAGTCAGCAAATATTTACTGAGCACCTACTCTCAGCCATGTGTTCTCCATAGGAGTGGGAACAGAGCAGGCAGCTGAATCTGTGACTTTCCTCACTTCTGTCCACTGGAAGAGGCTTTTAGAGCATCCTTGAGAGGGCCACCAAGGTGCTGTACTTCCAGGTAGAAGCATATTCTACAAAAGGGAAATGTTTAAAACTTTTTTAAAAATGAAACATGTTAAAAAGATAATTATTTGGATTCCCTTAATAAGGTGTTAAGAAAAGTAGTGTGAATTCAAGGCAGTGGAACAGAGAGGGAAGGAGGCAAGGAGTGGCGTCAAGGATTGGCTGTGAGCCCATCCATTCATCCTTTCCCTACCCTCAAATTAGGTTTGCTCTCGGTGTTACAACCTGGGTAAGCCTCTTATTCCAGGGGTTACTATGATGCCTGCCTTTATTTGCTTCTCCAATGGCTCTGGGTAGGGATGATTTTCTAGGATGGGAGCAGTAACCATGAATGATGATATGGCAAAGCAACATCTATCCCCGCAGAAGGAGTAATTCCTGTCCTAGCTACTATTATTGAGCTACAGTAATAGAGTAATGCAAAGCACTTCAGAACTTAATGGAAAAAGATGACCATTTTATTTTTCTTTTGGATTCTGTGGATCAGGAATTAAGGCAGGACAAAGCAGGAGTGGCTGGTCATTGCTCCATGATGTCTGGCCCCTTACTTGGGAAGACCTGAAGACTTGGAGTGACATGAAAGATGAAGGCTGAAATTATCTGGAGGTTTATTCACTTACATCTTTGGAGGTGATTGCTATGGTCAGAATGTTTGTATCCCCTCAAAATTCATATGTTGAAATCTTAACCCCCAAAGTGATGGTATGAGGACATGAGGCCTTTGGGAGGCTTCACCCTCATGATTGGGATTGGTGCCCTTATAAAAGAGACCTCAGAGAGCTAGCTAGTTAGCTCTTTACCATGTGAGGATACAGCTAGAAGGCACTGTCTATGAGGAATGGGCACCAGACAACAAATCTTCCAGCACTTTGATCTTGGACTTCACAGCCTCCAGAACTGTGAGAAACAGCAAAAATAACTTAATTAGATTTATTTCCTCTTGCAGGGTATTTAATGATGCTGGTATTTAATTTATTTACCATGTACATACATGTGTTTAAAAATATTTTCCCTGGAAAAATTGTAGTGTCAATGGTAGCATCCTCAAAAAATCAGAAGCTGTTATTATTATCATGATTAGAGACAAGGTCTCACTCTTTTGCCTAGACTGGTGTGCAATGACATGATCATAGCTCATTGCAACCTCAAATTCCTGGGCTCGGGTGATCTTCGTGCCTCAGCCTCCTGAGAAGATAGGACTACAGGCATGCACCACCATGCCTGGATAATTAATTATTATTATTTTTAGAGGCAGCATCTCATTATGTTGCCCAGGCTAGTCTCAAACTCCTGGCCTCAAACAATCCTGTCACCCCAGCCTCCCAAAATGCTGGAATTACAGGCATGAGTCACTGTACCCAGCACTAGAAGCAATTATTTTGTAAATAAGGAAAAGATGAATCTAGAATTTGATAGTCATGTAAGGATTGGATTGAAAATAGGAAACAGGGATGTTCAGATTAAACATCTTAGGAAGGAACGGTGGGACTTTTCATGGAGTAGCAGTGGAATTGGTTTTTGCCTTGCAGTTATGTTAGTTAAGGGAAAGTATAAGGTAAAGATATTTGTGTAAGGTATAGAGTATCAAATAGTACTTTTAAGATAATGGTCTCTGAGTTAGTAGTTGTAATCTAGGGATGGAAACCAGTCGTTCCTAAAAACATATTCCCTTAAAAATGAAGCTTCATGTGTTGCTAAAGGCAAAGAGGTCAACAAAGGTAATATAAATAGAAAAAAAACTTGATACTCTCCTTGGATAAAGCTAGTATCCATGTGAGAACAAAGTGTGATTCAACCCATAAAGTATTTGGCACATAGTAAGGCCTCAATAAATGCCAGTTATCATTATTATTTGAAATGGGGATAATAATAAGACCTATAGTGCTTGGTTATTGTGATGATTAAATGCACCTAAAGCTCTTGGCAGAAAGCACAGCACAAAAAAGTATATTCCAGTTGTTCTAATGGCTTATTAAGGAAATATGGTATCAGTTCATTATAAGGAAGATCTCTGACAATGAGTTGTTAGAGTTTAAATGGAGCCTTACATAACCACTGAAGAGCAGATAAGCATTTTACAGAAAGATGTGAAAAGAATTCTCACTCTGGAAGAAAAATTGGTGTTTTAATATGTTCAGCCTGCTATGACAAAGTACCATAAACTGGGTATTTTATAAACAAAAAAATTATTTCTCATAGTTCTGGAGGATGGGAAGTCCAAGATCAAGGTGCTAGCTGATTTGGTGTTTGGTGAGGGTAGCTTTCCAGTTCACAGATGGCACCTTCTAGCTGTGTCCTCATATGGTAGAAGATGCTAGCCAGTTCTCTGAGGTCTCTTTGATAAGGGCACTAACCCCACTCATTCATTGTGGTGGAGATTCCTAAAGGCCTCACTTCCTAATGCCATCACCTTGGGGTTTAGGATTTCAACATATAAACTCTGAGGGGACACAAACATTTAGACCATAGCAATTAAAACGGACTCTGAAAAATGGCCTCCAACTCTGCCCGGACATGTGCGTGTGTCTAACAGCAAGAGCTAGGAACATTTCCCAGAAACTTCAGATAGGTCAAGGTAAGATACAGTTAAGGCAAAAATATGACCCTGTTAAAGAAAAGTTATACCAAACTTTGAGAATATACATATGAATTTGCTTGCTCTGTGATCCTGAACCCACTAGAGCACTGTGAGCCCATTCCTAATCTGCCTGCAAACCACGCCTGAGCTTTTATACATAGAGAATGCTCAATCTCAAGGAAACCTCACTACCCTCTCCTTAACCATGCAAATGATACCTTTCTGGATTCAGCCTTATTTGCCTAAAACTCCGTTTTTACCCAATTTTCTTGCCCTTCTGGTTTTAATTCAGAGTAATTGGCTGCACTGACTTTTGAGTGAATTGGCTCTCTCTTGCTTGGCAAGCAATAAACTCAGCTTTGATTATGTGTTTTATCAGCTTGGGCAATCTTTGTGTTTTGATTTGACAATGCAGGTGGTAGTAAACCTAAGAATTTTTTACTTCATTTTAGGCAATCCTCCTAAAATAGATATAATATGACTATATGGTAATAATACCAGCTAGGAGGCTGTAAGCCTTCTACAGGTTTGGCCAATTCTCTACCAACTACAGCCTGTGCTGCATTCGTAGTAGATGCTCACCAATCATTTATAATCACTTGTTGAATAAATGAACAAATGCATGGCATTGAATGGGTAAATGAGTGAGTTTTTCCTCTCACAGGTCTTGGGTCTATGCCACAACCACCATGAGGGACTACAGGAAAAAAACTTCAGAATTATATTTGCAGACAATGTTTACTAAATCCTTTCCCCCAAAAAGCATAAGTAAGTTTGAAACCAAATCCCTGAAACCTTCATCAACTTAGTCCTTTCAGCAACCTTAGGCACCAACTTTTCCCTATAGTGTTCAATGAATCAAAGACCCATTTAGGATTAGACATGGAAGTACCAACAGAAAATGTTTTCCAGCAATGCAAAACCACTTTTAGAAAAGGAGCATAAGAGAAGTCTGAGAACACACAATTTTAAAATTATTACTTTATAAATATTTTTGTGACATCTGGGATGGGTTAAGGATGCGACAGTCTCTTTTCTCCCTGTGGAAGAGAAGCAAAATTTTAAATAGCTCCTCCTTTCCAGCTTGCCAGAGTTCTGACTTCAGCGGATGCCTCTAATTGCTCAGAAGCAGAACCTGCCCTCCTTAAGCATCCTGGCAAACGATTTAGGCATTTTACTCTTTCTCTGCAGCTTTTCCTGTCCTCCTGACGACCCTCCCAACAATAAACATCTGCCAAACTTCAGACTCCAGGCACCCTTTTTTGGAAAGATTCTACAGCGAATGAGCAAAAGATGTTCCAATGTCATTGGGCCATTCTTAATTTTTCTTAAACTAATGTTAACTGTACTCTGATTACATAGATAATTAGCATCAAATATGCAAATGCCTGTTTCATTTGGGGAGAGTTCGTGGTCAAGATGTCAGGGATTATAAAAGCTCCAAGGAGGAAAAGAACTCAAATGATTCAGAGGCAGAGCCTTCATGCAACAATATTCCTGGATCTTACTTCTTGTAAGAGGCTCTCCAAAGCCCATGTGGTCCCATTTCTCTGCTGCCAATACTGTCGCTACTGCCACACATCTGAACTCCCCTCCAAAGTCAAAATGAGTTTAAAAGAAGCCATGAATAATTTCTAATTTGTAAAATACAACACTCACTTTCTGTTGGAGGTCCACAAAGTGACCCAGTACCCAAGAGCCAGGCTAAAATGCTTACCAGCTAGTGACTCTATGTGGCCAATTTCCACTCCTTCCCCCAAGCCAAGGTTCCCATCAGGGAGGCCATCTGATTACCACGCTGTTGCTCTGCAATTCATCCTTTCAAAGTTCCACCTTTTAGCATTGCCTGCAAATGAATGACGGAAGTTTGTAGAAATAATGGTTACAGGCAAATGTGGAGTTTTCAGACTGAATATGTCAGAATTTAAGATTTAGCAATTTTTCAACAAATATTTTCTGAGGGGACTGGGGAGCTTTCAAAGGTAATCTTTATAGACCAGCATTTTCTTCTTAATGAGTTTCAGCCCAAGGTTGCTGTCTCAGACCCTTTTGTTCCCTCCTCTCTTTCCGATTCTTTGTAAAATGATTGATTGAAAATGTATTCTTTGAGCTAAAAATCATCGATACATAATATGGTTTGGCTCTGTGTTCCTACCCAAATCTCATCTCGAATTGTAATTCTCACATCAGGAGAGAGGCCTGGTGTTAGGTGACTGAATCATGGGGGTGGACTTCCCCCTTGCTGTTCTGCTGATAGTCAGTGAGTTCTCAGGAAATCTGGTTGTTTGAAAGTGTGTGGCACTTCCCTCCTCGCTCTCTCTATCCTGCTACCATGTAAGACGTGCCTTGCTTTCCCTTTGACTTCTGCCATGATTATAAGTTTCCCTGGAGGCCTCCCCAGCCATGCAGAACTGTAAGTCAATTCATCCTCTTTTCTTTATAAATTACCCAGTCTCAGGTAGTTCTTTATAGCAGTGTAAAAATGGACTAATACAATACACTTTTCTTTCCTGTTTAATGTTTTTTTTTTTTCTCTTATCAAGCAGAATTTCAGATATGTCATATTGGCTTTGGTTGTGGCTACATTATGCCCAGCTCTATCCAAAGATGTGGTTTTAAAGAAGGGACACATGGCAAGAAATGTAAATTGGTGTATTCTGCTCCTCAGCCATCAAATATCCTTTGTTAAACATTCTCATTTTCCATTAAATGAGCTATTGTTGCTACAAGTCAGTGGTTCCACTACAGAATTTGTAGCACAGTAAACAAAGTGTAAAATGTATGTAATGAGGATTGCTTCTAATTTCCTTTAATTGCACATTGAGTTACAGCCAGCGCGACCCTGACAGCAACATTACTTCCTCAATACATAGCCTTGATGTACAGCACATTTTTCTTCCGTGACAGGTTTATTTCTTCATTGAAGAATTGTTTAAGAGATATTTCATTGTATGTTGCAACGATGTAATTGGGCTCTGGCTGGTTTATTCACTTAATAGGTATGGTAATAATTATATATCACTTTTTAGTGTATGGGCCCCTCAATCCTCTCCAGGTTGATTGCTTTATCTAGGAAGCATCTAATGGAGTTGCTCCAAAATAACATTTCGGGAAGATGAACTGCAGATTTATTTCTCTCCCTAAACTCAGGGCTTTGGTGTGTTCAGAGAAAAATGGCAGCTTTATATCAAATAAAGCTAAAAAATAAAGGTAGTGGAATCTGTGCATAGGATTACTTTTACTTAATATTTAAGGTATATTTTTCCTGAAAAATTTTGTGAGAATGGCAGGAAAAATCTCTAGAGGTATTACCCACTGAACACAAAAGAGATGATGTACATTGGGATTAAGTTTCAAGAAAAACATTCACGGTGGTGGGTGATTTCATCTACAACATATCCCTTAATCCAAAATTGTTTTTTATTTTATGCTTTGCACCTCCAACCTTAGTCCTTGCCTAATCCGTTTTGGATGTTGTTCTTATTCTTGTATTTTATGGGTCTCCATTTGTTTTCTTTATGTGGAGCCCAAGCTATATTCATCATAAGATTCAGAAATATCAGCATAAACATTGAGGATGGGGAGATCCAAGGGTAGGAAAGATGCAGAAGTTTAGAAGGGATGGATATTTACGGGCAGAGCACAATGAATGAACTCCCAGCAGTGGTATGATCTGAAGGGTCATTGGCTTGGGTGCTAACAGGATGGCATGGCTTGGACAAGCAGCAGGATTGGCATAGCTACAGTAACATTGGTGGTGACAGGAACATGGTTGTCTCAGTGACCTTGTTGCTCTGTATCCTCAGTGATGGTGGAATCAGTGGCAAGGCCTTCATTGGTCCAAGCAGTTGTTATTGTGCCTTCAGTGAGTACCAGAAGCATGACTGACATTTCTTGGTGTCAGAAGTGACTGAAGGTATCACCTTACTAAGCCAGAGGAAATGAAGAGGAAGAAAGCCAAATCCTCATAGTTTCCAATTAAGCTACTGTCCCAAGAAAGACACACAGTTTTGGATTATCAAAACTATAAGGCCAAGCTTTGGGTATGGGGTGGGAGATTATTTTTCGAGGAGAACCGAGAGGAGTAAAGGCAGAGAGTAATAGTATATCTCTTATAAATTGTTGTTAGAGTCAATGCAGTAGTACACACAAAGCACATAAAAATGCCTGGCACATATTACAAATTAGCTAATTTTATTATTATAACAGTATTATTGTTACATTTCCCTCTTGTTAAGCACTTATTAAGTCCAAGTGCTGGACTAAGGTGTTTACGTGCATAATATAGACAAAAAATTTTTGTTTCAAGTTAAGTTCATACACTGTTATGGCTAGAAATTTTTCCCTCCATAATGTATATATTATAGCCCTAACCCTCCATGTGACTGTATTTGGAATTCAGTGGGGTCATAAGGGTAGGGCTCTAATCTGAGAGGACAGGTGTCCTTATGAGATGAGGAAGGGACACCAGAGCTCTCTCTGTCTCTCTGTGCACATAGAGAGAAGCCACATGAGGACACAAACAGAAGGCGCCATCTCCAAACCAAGGAGAAAGGCCTCATCAGAAACCAATCCTGACAGCATTTTGATCTGGAATTTTGAGCCTCTATAACTGTGAGAAGATAAAATTCTGTTTTCTAAGCCACCTTGGAAAAGTCTGTGGTATTCTGTTACGGCAGCCTGAGCAGGCTAGTACACACAGTAAAAACAAATATAAGAACTAACTCCTCCCCTAGTCTTCCTTTATTTTCCGTAAGTCGGTCAATTATTTTCTCTGACTTTACCTCGTGCTCTCCCACCCTACTGATGGGGAAAATATTTGTTCTTAACAATTAAAGTGTTCTCAGCTTTCTGGCTTAAAATGGAGGGCTGTATGGATTGTTAATTCCCCTCTCTTCCCCAGACAGGCCCTGGGAGCAGAGGAATATCTGCTTCTTGAGGTGTTGGGGCCTGAGGTCCCTCTGGCCTTCTCCTCGGAAAGGGCTCATGCTGTAGCCCTTGCTAATGTGTCTACAGCAGGGTCACTTGTTTGCACATCTCATTTAAGGCCTGGTGATTTCTCTATGGTGGACTTGAGTCTCACCTTTGCTATCCCTGGAGCTGCTGATTCTTTGGGGCTGGCTGTATCTCCTGTTCCATTTCTAGGCTCCTGGAAACTTCAAATTCCCCACAGATCACAGGGAATGGGATAAAGGCTGAGTGGAGGGCAGGGGGTGGGAGAATGCTCTCTCAAGTCCTTCCATCTGGCACGTTCCTCATTCATTTCTATTCCAGCATCTACACCATGTTGGCCTTGCTGCCATGGAGATTCAAGTCATCTCTGAAAGGCATGAGCTCTGGGGAGGCAAGGAATAAGCACCTAGTTTTGATATTCCCTGACCCTAACTATCAGTGTCTAGATCCAGCCCCCACCAACCCCCAACATTAACTGGAAGGGGATGGGAAAATAAGTTCACTTTTCTGCATCTCAATTTTGCTTCTCCCCATCTTAGGCTCCATCTGCTGATCTTCCATTCTAGCCCTAGGGACAAAAACTGCCCTTCAGTCCAATTCTCACTCTTCCACACATCAAGACTCATGCTAAATAAAACCCCTTGCCTCTTAATTTGTAAAGCTCAGCTTTTCGAGTTCAAATAATATACCTCATCAAAATCCTGGATTCTGAAAATCAAAGTTCACAGAATTATAGAGAGGACTGATGGACAGCAAGAGGTCTGAGATCAGGACAACAAAGCTAAAGGCAAGGACCTTTAGACCAGAGGCATTAGCTAGGAGTCGCAGCAAACCATCACAAAGGTCAAGTGGGACCTGCTTGATTTGAATGGATGCCAACTCAAGATGTCCAGGGCTTGGTGAGAGTAACTTCACCAGAAGAGATGAAAAAGGACAAAGGCTGGTGGCCAAAGGCCAAGCAGAATGAGTTCTCTCAACTGAAGACCAGCAAGGGTTAGAGGCTAGGACATTATATGACATTCCTCTCCTCTCTACCGACTTACCATCAGGTAGATGGTGAGGCGCAGTAGGGGAAGCCTTAGAAATGATTAATTCTTACCCAAAAATGTCTAAGATTGGAACGGGATAAAGACTGATAGAATGATACTTTAAGTGGCTTTATAAAAATCACTGAATACAAATTGAGTATACTGCAATGTGATAAAATATATTTTAAGCTATGGGCAGACTAGGAGTTTACACATGAAATTGAATTTACTTATTAAAAATTAAGTTACCTTTTTTTGCAAATCTGAGTTTTATACTCACCCACTATACAAGTTTAATATTTTAATCAACCCTGTGAGGAAAGTAGGCTCAGAGAGATGAAATAATTTGCCTAAGGTCACAGCTAGTAATTGGTAGAGCCAAGATTTGAGACTTTAATTTATTTGATATCAAGGTTTGTGTTTCTAACCACTATGCCTAAGCCTCACAGTTCTATGGTTATTATTTTTACCCTCTGTATTGTTTTTAATTGCTAGGAGTGTGTGACTTGAAACATAAGAGTTATAACCACATCCTGTTGTAAATGTTCATTATTTGCCTTTGTCTTTTGTTCTTGTTTTTCCTACTCTGATTCTCATGTTTCTCTGACTTTGTTCCTTTTATTTTCATAGTCCTCCATTTTGCCTTTCACTTACCACCCTGCTGAGCCCCCAGAGTTGATAATTAGTTTTCTGGAGCCACCTTTGCCTACACCTAGCTGTGTGGCCCTCAGGACATAAACTATATTACATGGAACCACCTGATCAGGCATTTCCCCACACTTCAGGAGGCAGAACATGAAGACAGTCCTGTCTTTGGATTAGAAGCCTACAAATTAAGAGTTCATTGTGTTTGAGAGGTCCAGGAGAATTGGATTTAAGATGAATGGAATAATCATCTTCCAGAGAAGTAAATTTACTTGGCGGGTTTCCACTAAAATGGATTTTTTAAAATGTCAGATGGAACTAAAACATTTAAGACATATGGTGCATTAACTAAATGTTTAAACATTTGCCTTTAGCTGCGTGAACATATCATTGATGAGATGAGCTCAGTGAGCTATGTTGAACATATCTGACTGAATCACTGTCCAGTAGAGAGCTCTACTTCTTGAATCTCTATAATATAAACCATCCCCAGATGCTTACAACAGATACCAAATATGTGTTATAATTTTACTGCTGAATGCAAATGCGCATAAAAATGAAAGGTCTAAATGAGAAAATGTATCTGTAATCTCAGTCATTACCTTTTATTTGAAATAGATTCTACAAGAGAAGGGTGCAAAAAGAATATTTTCAGGCCTGATGCCTGAAAGTCACTGGGATGCCACCACCCCATTCTACTTTCTTCCAGAAAATCCCTTCACATTATAATGCATGGTCAGCAAACATGCAGCAAGTGTGGGAGTTCTCCCCCTCACCCCGCGTCCATAGCAGACATTGTTAATCAATCACAATGCTTATTTTTACTGCTGAGCCTGCACTTGGCCTGAGAATTTTTCTCCACCCAGCACTTCAGGCAACACTGCCAATTGATCCAAGTTGGCACTTAAAAAGAAACCTATTTGCAATCCCCAGACACAGAGCAATGGTAGAGCAGTGGGGTGTTCCTATATCTGATATGTCTAAGAAATGTGATAATTATGAGGACCAGACCATTGGATACTGTTGGGATTTATTCCTTGAATTAAAAGGATGGTTTTGGGGATCCTTGGGTTCTGGCAGAACCCACTAGGATTTAGATTAGCTTCTGTCTAGTTGTATAAAGGGCCAGTCTTCTGTCTTCCAGGAAGGTAGACTGATCCCACATATACTTACATGGCTTTCTGTTTTATCTTCTGAGTTTCACAAGCTCCATGAAAATGCTGAAAATCCTAGAACCACTAGAAATAGAATAAGGCAGGAACTACCAGAGACCATGATATGAAGATAATCACTTGCATTTTGGATACTACGGAGAACTTCCTGGGGTAAAGATCTGTGTGTGTAGTGGTGGGGGATGGGGGGTAATTCACGTTTAAGTCTGACCTTATATGCATTCATATTTTCTAAGTAGGTTGTAAATACTACTACTGTGTATGTGCCTGGCAAGAAGTTAAGCAACAAAGCACAGGCACTTTTATTCACTCTTCAGATCTTCCCCATGAAGTACAACACCCCCAGTATATAGATGATGAAACTGAGGCTGGCGATGCTAGGGAACTTATCTAAGATCCCACAGACAGTTCACATCTGTGTCGGAAGGAGTGGTGATAGAAACAGATGGCAAATTCTTAAAAGATAATTGAAACAGTTTAATGATAGGATTATTTATGGAGACAAGGGTAGGATTAAGGGAACCAACAAGACATAGTTCCAAAGTCTCCAAAGATGAGCAACAATTAGAATCCTTTAGCATCCCTAGAAACAGTGTTACTGAAACAGCAACAACTAACTGTGTGAGAGAAATCCCTCGATGGGAGCTATAGCTTTAAGGAAAGGAAGTCCTTTCCTGCCCAAATCAACCTTGTCTTGGGTAGTTGTGAGGAAGTGAGGAGAGAGGAGAGCTTGTGTCTCACAGCGATCTAGGAAGAGGAAGCAGCCAAGGGGTGCAGTTCATAGAGTTCAGCACAAAGCAGAGAATGCATCTAGGGGGTCATGAGAATAATGAGCTCAATGGAGGAACGGCAATTAAACACAGTAATGCTCTGGGCCTATTCTCATAACCGCTACTTTATATTCTACCTCTTGGCTGGGGTTTAGGAAGTCTAGGTCTAGAAGTACTAGCCAGCGCTTGCTTTTATTTGAGAGGAGAGAGCAAGAGAACTTAAACTTCCCGAGTGCACAGTGGTAGTACACACAGTCCTTGACACATAACAAGTGCTCAATGCCAGCTATTTGTTATTACCATTTCTTCTTATTCTTTTTCCCAATTCTCCCTTTCTGTGCCTTAGGTCCATGACCAAAGTGATGGTACTCAGTGCAAAGGAAGTTGATATGCAATTTCCAATGCTTTACTGACAGAACTTATTTATAATGATATATGAGGTCAGTGAGTATTTATTTCTAATTTCCAGAAGAGGAAATTGAACCTTACTGATTTGAAAGCCAGTGTCCTTCTAATACTTGAAGTTTCCTCTAGTGAATCAATGGTAATGACTCTTAAAGTACAAAAATAAATAAATAAATAAATAAAGTCGTTAAAAAGATGATGGCTTTTAAAAAATTGTTATACTTATTTCAGATTTATCAAGGCACAGATTACCCAAGATATGAACCATAGAAAGTCTTGGGATTATTACTCACTGCATATGCTCCTCTCCCGGCCCCTTCTCTCTTTTTTTCTCTCTCTCTCCTCTCTGTCTCTCCCTCTGTCCCCTCTCTCTCCCCCTTTGCCTCTTCCTCTCCTTGTTCCCATCTTCTCTCTCTCTCTCAGCTCTCTTTTCCTCCCTCTCACCAGTGTTTTCTTCTTTATTCCTCCTCACTCCTCTGATCACCACCTTTCACTTTTCTTCTTTCCACTTGCCTTCACCTCTTTCCCATCCCTTTCCCCATATTTTCTTTTTTCTCCTCTTTCTTCTGCTTCTACTTTCTCTACAGTGTGAAGAGATATAGTTTAGGGGTTATAATTGCAGGCTTTAAATGTAAACTGCCTGGATTCAAGTCTCTGTTCCGTCATTACTGGGGATGTGACTTTGTGTAAATTATTTAATCTCTTTGAGTCTCAGTCTCCTACATATGTAAAATAGGATAATAAAAATACTTACTCATAGTGGTTATGGAAAAATTAAAAAACGAATATAAAGAACTTACCTCCACAGTTACTATTTTTCCCTGTTCCTTTTTCCATCTTTCCCTTCCACCTTACATCTTTCTGACAAAGGTTTGGTACTCAGTGCCAAAATATTTGCTGACTTGTAAATTAATAAAAAGCTAGAGGATGATGAATTCTGCAACTTGAGTTCTGGGAGAAAAATGCAGTGAAGCAGCAGGCACTCTGGGAAGTGTGTTAAGGAATGTTTACCAATGAAAAATGTGTTGTTTGTGTATATTTTGAAAATGTTTATTTTTGTGGTGAGAGGGTTCTTGAAGGCAATGTCTCTGCTGCATTCAGTTGAGAGACAGCAGCAGCCTCCAGGAATAGCAGGTATTGCTGCAGAGACTTTCTTTTGGACCAGAGCTGGAAAGACCCACGGGTTGACAAAAGAGTTGCGTAATTGTTCAGTATTTAACTCTCCCTGGAATGGCTCAAAGAGGGAGCTATGTGTGAAGGAACTTGTGGGTAAATAACTCTGGCACAGAGCACCACACCATCTGCAGACATTGCAGAAATGAGCAAGGGAAGCCAACGAGCTGTGAGTGACAGAGATTAATCTTCAAAGTCACAAAGGCATGTAGTTCCGTTTGGAATTCAGGCAATGCTGGAGAGCGTCACGGCCCCAGAACAATTCTCTGAGGCAATGAAGACATTTATCAGCCATAGCTCTCAGGTGACTGCTGTGTCCTGGAATCCTTGATGCTGGTGAATCAAAAAGAACCCAAAAGAAAGACACTTCCCTTTAAAATTAGGAGGGGCAGCAGAATAATTATGTTCAATTTTTTACTTAAAACAACTGTCCAAAGAATTCACCATGGTGCCTTGGATGAAGCTGGCCTTCCATATCCAGGGAACTGAGATGAAAACAAAGAGTGTCACTTACCATACCCTGCAGGCTGTGCATACAGACTCCCCGTTTGGGACAAGTAGCTAAATAATTGTTAGACTGCAAGGCCACACTTGAAAATTAAAATTATGCTTTTTGGAATATTCATTTGTTAATGAATACAATTGTTTTTATAAAATACATTTGTATTTATAAACTAGTTCTGTTAAAAACCATTTTCAAAAATAATTTTTTCCTAAAAATGAAAATAACGCATATGCATTTACATTTAAGCAAAATAAAAATCTTCACTTTGATTATTACATCAATTATCTGAAACATTAAAAATAACATAAACAATAATAGTCTTGATACACTTCACATACGTTAATCAATTTCTTTGCTATATTTGTTTCTAATGCCATTTGTCTGATATTTTTTTCAACATAGTGTCATTAAAATTTCTTTCATAAAATTGCCTGCAGTCTTACTCTAAGTAGTTTACGGCTAATGAAAATATCCACCATGTAGTAGCATTTTTTTTTTTTTTTAGTTTTCCAGGTACTTTAGTATCTGAAAAGAGCATACTTACTTAACTAAAAATATTATAGTACATGGATGAGTAAATTAAATATGCTGATCGTTTCAAATTTAATTCCATTTTAAAAATAAAAATGTGTACGTAGCTCAAATATTTTTCACACATACTCTCTTTTTACCTCCATATCTTTCTTTGAAAAATATTTTAATCAAAGTTTTTCAACTAAGTTGTATCTATGATTCCTTTGACTGTTTCTCTAAATTCAGATGCTGGAAAATCATAAGCATTCTTATTTTCACTCCTTTCTAGTCAGAATATAAGTTCACCTGATTAAAAATAGCAGTTCCATCAAAAAAAATTACACCACAAGTTGAGATACTCTAAAGTGCATTTATAGTATTCTAAATTTAAATATTAAACACAGCACTCCCTTGAGGGTTCAACCTTTTATTTGTTCTTTCCTCTTTTGGTGTTTTAATATGTTTAGTGATAAGTTTCAGTAAATCATTACTTTCAAGAAAACCTGCACAAAGTAACTACTAGCTTTTGAAATGGATGCTGATGTTTCTTTAGTAGACTTGTGCCTTTTCAAATGATAATTAATATCATTACAGTCCCCAAGTTAGATGTCAAATGCCAGCAAACATTTTGTGTAAGTTACATATTTGTCAATTTTCTTACAAAATAGAAATTCTGTACTTAAAATTTTATTAAACATGTGCTTCCCCTCCCCTTAGAATTTATTGCTCCTGAAAAGAGTTATAAAGTTTTTAAAAAGCTACCAAATAATAACATAAATAAAAAGTTATTGATTTATAGTATATAATAAATGACAAAAACCACTGTACTAGGAAGTATTCTCTATATGCTCTGTGAAAGAACTCTCAGTTTTTATTCCCACATGTTTTATATATACCGAATCTACCATTTCCAAGCTTTCCTGACTTTGCAGCCTGGTTTGATGTTTCATGCATCTTGTAGGCTGTAGCACAGGCCATGCTACCACCTGCATGCCAGCTCCATTTGATTGATAGG
The DNA here is from genome assembly GCF_000001405.40 of Homo sapiens. NCBI lineage: Eukaryota > Metazoa > Chordata > Mammalia > Primates > Hominidae > Homo > Homo sapiens. Next base: position 117,648,540 of record NC_000008.11, on the reverse strand, counting down.
GGTAGGCCTGTTGGACACTTCTGCCACCATTACCACCACAGACTAGAAGGATGTAGCTTCTTCCCAGACCCTAGGGTACAAAGTCTCTTCATTTCCTTTAAAAAGGTACTAGTTACATTGCCTCCAGAAAGGGTCAGGAGAAGAAAGAAAGGTGATCTTTGGTTGTTTTTCAAATATGACCACATGTTAAATTAAGAACTCTGTTTATGGCCTGTGCATTTTGCACTGAGACTAGGTGAAACCATGGCAGAGGCTGGCAGTGAAGTGGAAGCCTAGAAATCTGGTGTATTAGTCTGTTTTCACGCTGCTGATAAAGACATACCAGAGACTGGGCAATTTACGAAAGAAAGAGGTTTAATGGACTTACAGTTCCACGTGGCTGGGGAAACCTCATAATCATGGCAGAAGGCAAAAGTCATGTTTTACATGGATGGCAGCAGGCAAAGAAAGAGAGCTTGTGCAGGGAAACTCCCACCGATAGAACCATCAGATCTCATGAGACTTACTCATTATCACGAGAACAGCATGGGAAAGACCTGTCCCTGTGATTCAATTACCTCCCATTGGGTCCCTCCCACAATACATGGGAATTCAAGATGAGATTTGGGTGGGGACACAGCCAAACTGTATCACCTGGCATGTTTTAATGCAACTATTAATAATAATACATTTGTAAAGATGAAAAATCTAAGACAAATGGTAAACCAGATGGAATGCCAGGATACTAGTCATACATAGAGACTGCTGCAGGCAAACCTGGGTATATGCTTCCCCTATTTGGTGGTGAAGAGCACAATCTTCAGACATCTTGGATCAAATTCTGATAGCATCAATTAACAGATACATAACCTTATCCAAATATCTACTGTTAATCTTCTCATTTGCAAAATGAGCAGAAAAATGTCCACCTTACTGGGCTGTTGTAAGGAGAAAAACTTGTGGAAAGTGCCTACAGCAAAGACCAGGCACACAACACATGAGACAGGGCTGCTGTCATTATCACCGTGCTCCTCTTACCTATGACTTGGTGGCACAAACGCCATAGTTTGTGACTCAGGCTGATTTTTCTTATGAAAAATAAAGCAGAACCAGAAAGAATCAGTTAGAACAGAAAAGAGAAAAAAAGTGGGTGGTGTGTGGAGTAGCTTCCCTATAATGTTGGTAAGAGGTTTGAATTTGTGTCATTATCCCTTCAAAACAGGAGGAGAGGCAGGATTTACTGAGCACTTCCTCGAGGCCCAGCACTGGAACAAACACTTACTCCTTTTTTATAAGAGGGTTATGGTGTTCTCACTGGTGTTTTTTCCATAACCATCACATGGAAATATTATCATTTTCATTTCACAGATGAGAAAACCAAGGCTTCAAGCAGTTACAGAAGTGTTAATAAAAATGCAGTCAGAAATAAAACTGATGTTCCTAAATTCATGATTTAACAAATCTGGCTGCATTGCTTCTCAAAAGTTCAAAATGTTCATGGTTTACTTACATCCGGAACGTTTGGTATATGACTGTTCAGCAATGCTAGGCAGAATTAGTGAGAAAATATGGTAGTCCTTATTAACAACCTCAAACTTAAAGAATTTATTAACAACCTTATAAAGTTAGAAATCTTTAAGAGCCTGTCACGGATGGTTCATCTCTAAATTTAACTAGACACTATCGTGGGCTAATGCAAATTCCATAGTATCTTTAAAATAAAGTATAAAACTAGTTTATGCTGCAGTAACAAATAAACCCCAAATCCCAGTAGTTTAGGTAACAAAGGATTGTTTCTTGGCATGCTACCCGTCCATTGCAAATCAGCAGAGGTGGATTCCTTGAAGTAGTGACTTGGTGAATCAGACTGACTGACAAGATAGTCATTGTCTCAAACATTGTCAGTTGCCAGCCAGAGGGAAAAGAGAACCCTTGAGGATCTCACATTGCATGACGCAGCTCAGAAATGACACACTCATAATCAGACAATTCAGTAGGTGGAACTAGCTGAATAACCCCACTCAACCATAAGGGGGTCAGGAACTATAAATCTGTCCTGCATATGGAAGGAGAGAAGTGAAAATATCATTCAAACAGCAATACTCATTGCTTACACATAAAGTTACTACAAATGTTGTAAATTATTAAATATTACTCTCTCTTAATTTTCATAAAATACCAATTTCAAGCTTCAGGTGGTTCTCTCTATACAATATATTCTATTATTAGGTAAACAAATACTTGTTCACCTATTTTAACAAAATTTTCACCTTATTTCCAAAGGAAGAACATTAAGTTTTAAGAGTCACTTCTGTCTTTTCTAAAAAGTTCTTTTTAAAATGACATCAACTGCTAGCTAAAGGGGATTCCTTAAGGAAATGTGTCATTTTCTTGTCTAGAAGTCAATGAATTCAAAGAAAAATAAGAGTAAGACTGAAAGGATGTGTAATAAAAGACCCAGTTAATGCCTAAAAGATGCCAAATTGGAAAGTGTTACTATTCCTTGTGTCATCCATCACTGCAAATGGCTCAGCAGGCAAAAGACTATCTCAAGCTGGCAGTCTTGCCATAGAAATAGATTAATTCAATAAAGGTAGCAGAATTACGAAGCTCAACATGGCCAGTGACATTCCACTGACTAGTTCAGAACCAAAAAAAGGTAAGAACTGAGTGAATGAAAAAAATGAAAATTCAATCAAGTCATAATCAAAGTTCAATAAATCTGGGAAATATTCTTGTACTGGATTTTTTGGTCCCTAAATATTAATCAGCTGTAAATTACTTTCCAGTTATCCATTCAGCTTTTAAAAATGGATTGACCTTTTCATAGAAAATCTATATTTGATGGTAAGGATGGAATTTAACATCCTTGGCTTAGGTATACTTCATAGAGGTGAGCAGTCTTTCTTGGCTGCATTCTTAGTACATAATAATGAAGGAAATTGCAGTAGACATTTTAAGTGCATAAGGCTGGAGACACAGTCATAGAGATTGGGAACACACTCAGCTTCCAGGACATTCAGCGCCACACAAAGAACATTCTTGATTATGTCATTGTTAAATTCCTATTTGGTAATCATGAAGAAGCAGGATAATTCAGTTCAACAACTAGTTATTGAGCACCTACTAATATGCCTACAAATGCTTTTTACACTTCAAAGAACTATATGAGATGAAAGGTATTATTGCTGTTGTTATGGCACTGTCCTTGAAATTGCAGAGAAAATACAGGTCAACGAGAGCAGGCAATGAAAAGAAAAGTAGTGAGATAAATTGATGGATTGAAGTTATTGATAAAGAAGGTTTATATTTTGCAGAGTAAATATAATCCAGAGCAAGCATTGGTTTAAAAAAAGACTTACTTTAATGTCATGTCAAAGCCCATTTTATATATTACAGAGCAGAGAAAATATTTAAACCTAGTTTTATGACTATGTAATTCTAACTTCTAAAACAGTGTAATTGTCCATCATATCAGCTGATTAATTAAGAAGGTTCTTTGTGTGTTGGTAATTAAGTCAGCATATTTTGGTATCATTTGACATAACTCATGACATGGACATGATTGTATGTTGGTTAGCAACTTACAACTGTCAGATGTTTTGAGAAACTGACAGCAACATCAGATGCTTTTGAATGAAATACCTTAGTGAAAAAGCAAAAGGCCACATGAAAAGGCACTTTATAAAATTTAAAATCCTCCAAATTGTTCTTATTAAGGTAATCAATTATTTCACATTGAATGTAAAGGAATCCTTTAATAAGCTTACAATGTTAGTTGAAAATATATATAATTACAGCTAGTTGATGTAATTATATTAATATCTGGCAAAATATATTTTAAGGAAAGAAATATTACTAGAGATAAAGATGCTGATTAAATAATGATAAAATATTCTATTTTCTAGGAAGATGTAATAATTCTAAACTTGTATGGACCCAATAGCCTCAAGCATATACAATGAAAATTAATAGGACTACAAGGAGAAAGTGACAATTTCACTATCAAAATGGGAGATCTAAACATTTGTCTTTCATTGGTAGATCAAGCACATTAAAAACTTAGTAAAACTGTAGAAGATTTGAATGGAACCTGATAGACATTTATAGGACACTGTATCCAACAGTTGTAGAATACATATAATTTTCAAGGAAACATAAAAGATCCATAGAAATTTCTCATTTCGTACAAATGGAATCACACAATATGTGGCCTTTTGGGACCAATTTCGTTACTTAGTATAATGTCTTCAAGCTTCATCCATATTATTGTATGTATCAGTCCTTCATTCTTTTTTACGTTCAAATAATATTTTATCATATAAATATACCACATTTTCTTTATTCTTCAGCTGATGGATATTTGGATTGTTTCTATTTTTTAGCTACCATGAATAATGCTTTTAGCAACATCCATATACAAGATTTTGTTTAGGCATATATTTATATCTACATATATCTAAGGGTGTATGTGGGCATAAAGGAAATATAAGTTTATATATACCCAGTTGTCTTGGGTGTATATCTAGGAGTAGAATTGCTGAATCTTAAAGGTAATTTTATGTTTAACTTTTTTAGAAACTGCTGAACTGTTTTCCAAAGCAGTTGCATCATTTTACATTCCCCCCGAACAATGTATGAGGGTCCCAGTTTCTTCACATCTTCAACACCGCCTGTGGTTATTTTTCCTGTCTTTTTTTATTATAGCCAGGCTTGTGAGTGTGAAGTAGTATCTCACTGTAGCTTTGCATTTCTCTAAGGACAATCGACGTTCAACACCATTTCATGTGCTTATTGGTCCATTTGCATATATATATATATTTGTAGAAATGTCTGTTCAAATCTTTTGCCCATTTTTTAAATTGTGTTATTTGTGTTTTTGTTATTGAATTATAAGAATTCTTTACATATTCTGGATATGAGAGCTGAACAAGATATATGATTTACAAATAAGCTATCCTATTCTTTAGGTTTCTTTTTTACTGTATTCATTTGCAGCACAAAAGTTTTAATTGTAATGAAGTCCAATGTACTTATTTTTTTATTTTATTGCTTGTGCTTTTGGTGTCATATTTAAGAACCATTGCCTAATCCAAAGTCATGAAGATTTTACACCTATGTTTTCTTCTAAGAGTTTTATAATCTCAGCCTTTATATTTAGATATTTTATCGATTTTGAGTTAATTTTTGTACATAATATGACATAGGGAACCAACTTCATTCTTTTGCATGTGAAACTTACGTTGCCATAGCACTTTTTAAAAAACTCTTATGTATTTTTAAATTTTCTTTGTGAGTTCTTTTTTGGCCCACTGGTTATTTAATATTGTGTGTTTAATTTCCACTATCTGTGAATTTCCTACTTCCTAAATTTCCTTGTGTTACTGATTTTTTTCCCATTATGGTCTAGGAACATACTTGTACTATTTTAGTCCTTTTAAATTTACTGAGACGTCTTTTATGGCCTAACCTACGTTCCATCCTGGGGAAGGTTCAATGTGCACTTGAGATGGACGTGTATTCTGTTGTTTCATGGAGTGTTCTGCAGCTGCTGCAAGGCCCAGTTTGTTTATACTGTTGCTCAAGTCTTCTATTTCCTGTTGATCTTCTGTCTAGTTGTTCTATCCATTATTGAGATTAGAGTATTGAATTAATGTATTTCTCCCTTCAATTCTGTCAATTTTGCTTCATGTTTTCTTGGGCCCTTCTGTTAAGTGCATATGGGTTTATAATTGTTTTATCTTCTTGGTGGATTGGCCCTTTCATCATTATAAAATATCTTTGTCTATAGTAATAATTTTTGTCTTGAAATCTATTTTGTCTTATATAAATATAGTTACTTCACTTCTTTTTTGATTACTGTTGGAATGGTATATCTTTCCCCAATATTTTACTTTCAACCTATTTTTGTCTTCGAATCTAAAGTGTTCATCTTGCATAAGAAATGCTTAAGGGGAAATTTATAGCTCTGAACACCTATATTAAAAGGAGGAAACATCTCAAATTAAATACCTAATCAAAAGTTAGTTCAAACATTTCTGAAGAACAATGTTTTCATATAAGGAAAGGGACTTGTTCTACCAGATTTAATTTTAGTTTAAAGCTATTGTAATTATAACAAGGTGTTATTGCTACAGGGATTTAATCAGTGTCAATTCAACTAAACAGGGACCTCAGAAACAGGCCCACAGCATACATGAAACTTAATTTATGTCAGTTCAGCCATTTTAGATCAGTGAGGAAAGAATCAACTATTTTATAAATGGTGCTTGGACTATTGATTATACAAATGAAAAATAAAAAAAAAACAGTTTTGTATTACAAACTATAAACTACAATTCCAAGCGGATGAAAGATGTAAATGTAAAAGGCAGTATTTCAAAACTTCTAAGAATATTTGGAATAGTCATATGAATTTGAAGTAAAATAGTTTCTTAAGCAAATTACAAAGTCCAAAGGAAATTGTTGATAAAATGTATGTACATTACAATTTAAAGCTTTCATTTATAGAATAAAAACACCTTACAGACAATGAAGAGAAAGACATACTGAAATAAGTGATTTGCGGTCCATGTCAATGAGTAAAGATTTGTGTTCGAAAAGATGAACACCACAATGAAACTAAGAACAAAAAACTTAAACATACATCTTACAGAGGAGGAAATACGAATTACCATAAACATAAGACAAGATGCTCAACCTTATTGTTAAGCAGGGAAATGCTAAATTAAATCTCAATAGGATATCATTTCATGCCTACCAGTTTATTAAAAAATTAAAAGGTGATTAATATCAAGTGTAGTGAGGATATGGGCAATAGGAATAGTCATCTCTTGCGGACAAGAGTATAAACTAGTAGAACTGGAAAGCAGTGTGTCTAAATAGAGTAGAGATGTGGATGAAAATTCCCTACAATCATACCTACGCTCCCAGATATATGCCCTTGAGGAATTCTAGCATGTGTACACCAGAAAATTCAAGATTGTCCAAGCAGCATTGTTCATAATAGCAGAAAACAGGAAACTATTCAAATTGTCTACCAACAGTTTAATAGACTCCTAAGTTGTGGTATGTTCATAGACTAGAATACTATACCATAGTTAAAAAGAATGAAATATAGCTATTGTCTTGGTGTAGTGGCTCAAGCCTGTTATCCCAGCACTTCGGGAGGCAGAGGTGGGAGGATTGCTTGAGCCCAGGAGTTCAAGATTAACCTGGGCAACATGGCGAAACCCAGTCTCTACAAAAATATGAAAATTAGCTAGGCATGGTGGTGTGTGCCTATAGTCCCAACTACTTGGGAGGCTGAGGCAGGAGGATTGCTTGAGCCTGGGAGGTGGAGGTTGCAGTGAGCTAAGATCACACCATTGTACTCCAGCCTGGGTAACAGAATGAGACTGCATCTCAAAAAAAAAAAAAAGAGAGAAAGAGAGAGAGAAAGAAGGAAAGAGAAAGAAAGAAAGAAAAGAAAGAGAAAGAAAGAAAAGAAAAAGAGAAAGAAAAAGCAAGCAAGCAAGCTACAGCTATTTTCTTCAACATAGATGAATCTTGCAATATGGAATGTGATAAGCCTATCACAAAAAATTACATATAGAATTTCACTTGCATAAATACAAAAGGCAAGTACCAAATGAAATATTATTTAGGAAACCATATAAAGGTGATAAACTATGAGAGAAAGAGAGATTGAGAGACAGAGAGAGGGAGAGGGAGACAGCAAAAGAGAAGGAGAGACAGAGACAAGATTCAGGACTGTGGTTACCTCTAGGGAAAGAGAAAGGGTGACAAGTGGGGAGGGGTACACAGCCTGCTACGGGGTTGTAATGCTGAATGTCTCAAGTTTTTGGTGAGTACATGAGTATTTTATTATTGCCCGCTAAGATGTACATACAGTAAATGTGTTTGTTTTATTCACTCCTCAGCACACATATTTTACTGTAAAATCTATTTAGCCACCTATGGGACTATATTGTATGAATCCTACATTGTGCTTATGGAGTGTACAGCTGAAGGATCAGGATAAGCTGTGGTCATTCTGGATTTTCAAGAGCATCGTGAAGAAAAATGAATGTTTGCCATAAGCACAAAGGTGACTTTCATACCTTTTTTCTCACAAGTAAATGAGAAGGGGTTTTAAAGAGTTAGCTTTGAGAAAAGAAGGTCATGTCAAAGGAGATATCCAGTGAATGATTGCAATAAGATCAGAAAATGAATAGACCTTACCACTGCCAGGAGGGTGGGGAGTTCCGAGGCTAAAATCCTCTGATGGTCTAGGATCCCCTTTTATTCACTGCCATCATAAAAGAGAGTTTTTAAATAAACCCGTTGGCTCTGGATCTACTGACACAAACAAAATGTTTCTTGAAATAAAACTTAAGGTATCATGGATTTTCAAGAGGATTTGGTTACAGGTACTATGTATAAAGCAGAGCTTGGTATTAGCATATTGTCTTTAGATCAGTGACCCCACTTTCCAAGTGTCTACAGACAAGTGACCTGCACACATTACAGGTTTAGAGAATGACTTCAAAAGCAACCAAAACATTACAGACAGAAGCAAGAAATGTTTGCTGCGTGGAAGACAGCGCATGCACTTTCACATTCTGGGCAAATCAAGAAGGTGATGCTCAGAAAGTTGACGCCATAAGGAAAGATGATTTCCTGTAGTGACGTGCAGGATGAGAAGAATTGAAATAACATACGGTATTACATAAAAAATTCAGAATAAATATATAAATGGGCCAGATATTCAAGGTGTCTTTGCTTTTGTTTCTGAGGACCATTTTTTTTTAAATTTTATTATTATTGTACTTTAAATTTTAGGGTACATGTGCACAACGTGCAGGTTTGTTACATATGTATACATGTGCCATGTTGGTGTGCTGCACCCATTAACTCATCATTTAGCATTAGCTATATCTCCTAATGCTATCCCTCCCCCCTCCCCCCACCCCACAACAGTCCCCTGTATGTCATGTTCCCCTTCCTGTGTCCACGTGTTCTCATTGTACAATTCCCACCTATGAGTGAGAACATGCGGTGTTTGGTTTTTTGTCCTTGCGATAGTTTGCTGAGAATGATGGTTTCCAGTTTCATCCATGTCCCTACAAAGGACATGAACTCATCATTTTTTATGGCTGCATAGTATTCCATGGTGTATATGTGCCACATTTTCTTAATCCAGTCTATCATTGTTGGACATTTGGGTTGGTTCCAAGTCTTTGCTATTGTGAATAGTGCCGCAATAAACATATGTGTGCATGTGTCTTTATAGCAGCATGATTTATAATCCTTTGGGTATATACCCAGGAATGGGATGGCTGGGTCAAATGGTATTTCTAGTTCTAGATGCCTGAGGAATCACCACACTGACTTCCACAATGGTTGAACTAGTTTACAGTCCCACCAACAGTGTAAAAGTGTTCCTATTTCTCCACATCCTCTCCAGCACCTGTTATTTCCTGACTTTTTAATGATCGCCATTCTAACTGGTGTGAGATGGTATCTCATTGTGGTTTTGATTTGCATTTCTCTGATGGCCAGTGATGGTGAGCATCTTTTCATGTGTCTTTTGGCTGCATAAATGTCTTCTTTTGAGAAGTGTCTGTTCATATCCTTCGCCCACTTATTGATGGGGTCGTTTGTTTTTTTCTTGTAAATTTGTTGGAGTTCGCTGTAGATTCTGGATATTAGCCCTTTGTCAGATGAGTAGGTTGAAAAAATTCTTCCATTCTGTAGGTTGCCTTTTCACGCTGATGGTGGTTTCTTTTGCTTTACAGAAGCTCTTTTGTTTAATTAGATCCCGTTTGTCAATTTTGGCTTTTGTCGCCATTACTTTTGGTGTTTTAGACATGAAGTCTTTGCCCATGCCTATATCCTGAATGGTATTGCCTAGGTTTTCTTCTAGGGTTTTTATGGTTTTAGGTCTAACATGTAAGTCTTTAATCCATCTTGAATTAATTTTTGTATAAGGTGTAAGGAAGGGATCCAGTTTCAGCTTTCTTCATATGGCTAGCCAGTTTTCCCAGCACCATTTATTCAATAGGGAATCCTTTCCCCATTTCTTGTTTTTGTCAGGTTTGTCAAAGATCAGATAGTTGTAGCTATGTGGCATTATTTCTGAGGGCTCTGTTCTGTTCCATTGGTCTATATCTCTGTTTTGGTACCAGTACCAGGCTGTTTTGGTTACTGTAGACTTGTAGTATAGTTTGAAGTCAGGTATTGTGATGCCTTCAGCTTTGTTCTTTTGGCTTAGGATTGACTTGGCAATGCGGGCTCTTTTTTGGTTCCATATGAACTATAAAGTAGTTTTTTCCAATTCTGTGAAGAAAGTCATTTGTAGCTTGATGGGGATGGCATTGAATCTATAAATTACCTTGGGCAGTATGGCCATTTTCACGATATTGATTCTTCCTACCCATGAGCATGGAATGTTCTTCCATTTGTTTGTATCCTCTTTTATTTTGTTGAGCAGTGGTTTGTAGTTCTCCTTGAAGAGGTCCTTCACATCCCTTGTAAGTTGGATTCCTAGGTATTTTATTCTCTTTGAAGCAATTGTGAATGGGAGTTCACTCATGATTTGGCTCTCTGTTTGTTTTTGGTGTATAAGAATGCTTGTGATTTTTGTACCTTGATTTGGTATCCTGAGACTCATCATTTTTTATGGCTGCATAGTATTCCTTGGTGTATATGTGCCACATTTTCTTAATCCAGTCTATTGTTGTTGGACATTTGAGTTGGTTCCAAGTCTTTGCTATTGTGAATAGTGCCACGATAAACATATGTGTGCATGTGTCTTTATAACAGCATGATTTATAATCCTTTGGGTATTATAAATACCCAAAGCTGAAGTTGCTTATCACCTTAAGGAGATTTTGGGCTGAGACGATGGGGTTTTCTAGATATACACAATCATGTCATCTGCAAACAGGGACAATTTGTCTTCCTCTTTTCCTAATTGAATACCCTTTATTTCCTTCTCCTGCCTGATTGCCCTGGCCAGAACTTCCAACACTATGTTGACTAGGAGTGGTGAGAGGGGGCATCCCTGTCTTGTGCCAGTTTTCAAAGGGAATGCTTCCAGTTTTTGCCCATTCAGTATGATATTGGCTGTGAGTTTGTCACAGATAGCTCTTATTATTTTGAGATACGTCCCATCAGTACCTAATTTATTGAGAGTTTTTAGCATGAAGGGTTGTTGAATTTTGTCAAAGGCATTTTCTGCATCTATTGAAATAATCACGTGGTTTTTGTCTTTGGTTCTGTTTATATGCTGCATTACATTTATTGATTTGTGTATGTTGAACCAGCCTTGCATCCCAGGGATGAAGCCCACTTGATCATGGTAGATAAGCTTTTTGATGTGCTGCTGGATTCGGTTTGCCAGTATTTTATTGAGGATTTTTGCATCAATGTTCATCAAGGATATTGGTCTAAAATTCTCTTTTTTGGTTGTGTCTCTGCCCAGCTTTAGTATCAGGATGATGCTGGCCTCATAAAATGAGTTAGAGAGGATTCCCTCTTTTTCTATTGATTGGAATAGTTTCAGAAGGAATGGTACCAGCTCCTCATTGTACCTCTGGTAGAATTTGGCTGTGAATCCATCTGGTCTGAGGGCCATTTTCTACTCATCATTAAAAAAAAAAAGAGAGAGAGACAGATCCTAAAAAAGAAAGATCCTTTGATAGGCCAAAAAGTTTAAGTTAGGCACAGCTTAAGAAATATTGATGAGTTACTGGGCCTTCAAGGTATGAAAAATAAGGACTATAGTTGGGCTTTAGGGTAGAGCTGGAGATTCTCTATGCAAGGATTGCTAATCAAAAAAAGAGAATAGCTGAGGGGGAGACTAGTTTCCAATTACAGTACCACAAATTAAACAAGAAATCTTTATATTTATTTACAGCAAAGTCTAGGGCAAGTCAGTCAACGCTATTGGAAGAAAAGTATGGCACAAATAATGCCAAATGACAGAAATAGGTATCATATTGAATTAACGTTTCAATGTGGATTTCTCTAAGGTTCTGGGGGAAAGCATAGCATAGCCAAATTACATAAGCATTCTTTTTTTTTTTTTTTTTCTTTTTTTTTGAGACAGAGTTTCACTCGTTGCCCAGGCTGGACTGCAATGGCATGATCTCAGCTCACTGCAACCTCCACCTTTTGGGTTTGAGCGATTCTCCTGCCTCAGCCTCTTGAGTAGCTGGGATTACAGGCGCCTGCCATCACGCCTGGCTAATTGTTTTGTATTTTTAGTAGAGACGGGGTTTCACCATGTTGGCCAGGCTGGTCTTTAACTCCTGTCCTCAAGTGATCCACGCCCCTCGGCCTCCCAAAATGCTGGGATTACAAGCATGAGCCAGCGTGCCCGGCCTTTTTTTTTTTTTTTTTTTTTTTAAATGTACTCAGCACTATTTTAGGTAGTGTGGCAAAACAGATGAACAATAAAATATGTTTCCTGCCCTCAAGGACTTTATATATAATGTAGGTAAGGACTTTATATATAACATAGGTAATATAAGCTATCAGAGTGAAATAATGAGATAAAAATACAAAGAAAAATAATAAGAGTACTTGCTGCTCGGATGGAAGGCTCTCAGTAACCTCACTCTCTGGGTCCCGGTAGAAAACCAGGCAGCTGGAACATCTACTTGTCTGCACACGAACCCTCATTGATCCTCACTGACTCCTAGTTGTACCCCAATTGGAATGATTCTTGTTTACTATCTAGTCCTAACAGGGCTTTATTATTGGGCTTTCTACAAATTAAAAACAGGAATTTAAAAGAATGAAAAATTGCTTGGAGTGAGAGTATTGAAAACTGATTAAAAAAAAAGGCCACTAATAGTGAGAAAGGGAATAGAAAGCCTATTACAGACACGACTCAGAAAGCAGAACAAGTTGGGGGTGCTGAGCAAAGGAACAAGCGAGGTTTCCCCTCTCAGGCTCCCCTCTGACCATGATGTGGCCCTGTATGATGGCTGATAGCCATGTGCTGAGTTTCTCATTAACAACAGGTTAATAGCTTCAGTATATATTTAATTAGGCTGGACACTGTGACACATTTGAGAAATCTTTCTACTGAAATTAGTTTAAATAAAACCTTTTGGCATGCAAAGGGAATAAGCCTCAGTTATCAGGACAAATCACAGCAGAGACACCTCATTTCCCAATCATCCTGGATAAATGAAGACTGACTGTCTGTCACTGAGCCTGCCATTGTGTGGTACAGACCATATTTTCTATATTATTATAAAATTATCATAAAATGTGATTTTTTGCAATATCATACCCTTTATGGTCATTCTTAAGAAGCAAGTTAGTTAAATTTCAAGCATGGTAACAGAAAGAGGTTCTAGACCAAATGCCTTATTAAATAGATAAGCTCAAATAAAAGTAAATGCACATTTCATGCAGGTCTTCTGTTTTAATATTTGAATGTAGAATTTCCCAATGTTCTGGGATAGTGCACAGCACTTGGAAAAGACCATAGCAGAATATCATTGCCCACACATATTTGAATTATTTTTAAAAAACTGTGTGTGCGTATCTAGATTTTTAATCAAAACAGAACCATGATAGCAACACTGATTTCGGAAAAACTGGAAAGATGGAGGGAACAGGAACTCAGGCTTAAGCCATAGCACACTTTTCTTTTATCGATTCTCCATTTGTTTTGTAGGATTTCAACAGTGAAGGAGACCTGAGAAACCATAAAATCAATCTCTCAAATTGAAGTTGAAAAAAGCAAATCATCTCTCACACCCACCCTGATTGGTAATAATTAACTTGGCAATACTTCAGTTACTCTTTCATTAAGCAGTTCTCCTAGATATCGAATTTATGTTAGTTTATTTATTGGATTCATCCTAAGCATTCAAGGTACTTTTGAAGGATATGAGGCAAACTGTTAGCATCATTTAACATTTATTGAATTGTAGCATCCACATAACTTAGAGCAGACACAAGACTTAATGAGAAAAGCAAGACATTATTCCTGTTTTATAGAGAGTAACCAAGGCCAACAGGTAGAAAGAAGACTTGCCCAAAGTCAGACAGAAAATGTTGAGAGGAGATTAGGACCCACTTAGGTTATTTTTGGTAGATTGCTCTTTTCACTTATACATAGCTGAGTTTGCCAGGAATAAAGAAAATATACTGAACATGAACAGTTAATTGAGATGCTTAAGCGTAAACACATGGAGGGGTGGTAGGTAAGCGCTTGTGTTGACTCAGCCATCATTCTGTTTGTGTGTGCCAATCAGTCTCTGCCAGTTGGTATCAGTCATTATCCAATGAGAGAAATGAGAGCTAGGAAAAGGGGAGTGAGCCCCGATTATCTTTTATAAGTATATAAATTGATGGCTATGGTAGGATTTTTCTCAATGTGGAAACTCGAAGTTCTGTGCCTAAGTTTTATTTCAAGAAACATTTTGTTTGTGTCAATAGATCCAGAGCCAATGGGTTCATTTAAAACTCTCTTTCATGATGGCAATGAATAAAAGAGGATCCTAGACCATCAGAAGATTTTAGCCTTGGAGCTCCCCACCGTCCTAACACACACAGATAGAGCTGGCTCCGAACTCTGCTGCTTCCATGGTCGTGGCTACCTACTACTCTGTTCCTACTTCATCTTCACTGTGATTTTTGTCCATATGTCAGACTGAAGCAGACTGCTTAGGGCCTTGGGTTGAGGTAGGGGACATCTTTCTCCAGGTTAGGCATTTCAACTGAAGAGGAAAAAAAGTAGGAATAGGAAATGATGACTACTAGAGGTCAATTGATCCATTAAAAACAAAAATGATTATTTTTGACTCCTGAGTTCTGAAAATGTATTTGAGGGTTCTTCAACACAAGGAGCAAAAGAACAAAGAGAAAGGGGAAATCTTTGTTGTTTTATTGATCTGCCTTAATAGTATTCTTTCATCTTAGAAATAAGACGAGCTTGCATAGAAGCCGCTGTCTGTGGTTCGGTTTCTGAACTAGAAAACAAATCTTTTTAAAAATCAAAATCTGAGCATTTCAGATTAAAACATGATAGGGGCCAATACTACTTTTTTGGTGAAAGCCTTGAATGGGGTGATCCAGTGAAAGGACCCAATGACAAATTTAAAACAAGGGGAATAACAGTTCCTGTGCCCTGGCACAGGATGGGTAGTAAGCACATCAATAATGATTATATGAATTCCAAGTAGGATTAGTTTCATAAGAGATTGGCACATATTTACTTTGGGTTCATGATGGAAGGTGAAAATCATAATAAATATTTGGGGAATCAAGAAGACTTCATGGAAGAGAAGGCTTTTTAGAAGCATGTAAAGAATGTTGAAGAAGGAAATAGACCTAGGCAGTCCAAATATAGAGGTAGTATGGGTAAGTATATCTTTGGAGAAAGTTGTCTATTTGGCTGTAGGATACACAAGAATGAGAGAAAGACAAGATAATAAGAGCCTTATTGTGGGAGGTCTACAGCATTTGTACTTGAATTGGCAGTCAACAGTGGAGCCATTAAAGGTTTTTAGAAATGAATGTAATAGATTAGAAATTTAAGAAAATTAGAGTACAGACCCAAGAAAGACTGGAATGGAAGTAACATGAGCAATCAGGAGAATTCTGTAGTAGAATTAAGTGAAAAATTGTGAGACTCTAAGTTAATAAAGGGAAAACCCAGATGTCACTAGCTGCATTTTCAGGGAGCTAACAAATCTAGTGATTGCATAAGCCATAGGTCCCTTAGAAAATTTAATGAAAAATCTCTGGAAATCCCCCAGAAAAATACCACATTTACACATACTCAAAATGTTGCTTATAATTTCAGGGAGCTTATAGAACCTTGGGAACCAGGAACCCTTTAGGACCCTGTGAACTACAAGGTAAGCACATGTGATTCTGACTGATTGATTGAAAATTAAAACATAAATCAGTTATAAAACAAAAATTACTTACTATTTTGACATAAATGTAGGCCAGCATTTCCCATTTTTTTTCCCTGAATGCTGCTTTAGAAAGAAACTTCTGAAATTAAGAACCAGAAACGGAAGTGTATGGTGGTCACATGGCAACCTGGCCAGCTTCTGGGGCATTTCACTTTTTCTGTTTTTATAACCTAACACAGTTTATGGTCAAAAAAAAATTTTTAAATGCTATTTACCCTGTTATCCTCCAGAAGATTAATATTCCATATCCTCATATTAAATGTTTTTCAGTAAAGAACACTGGTTTAACTCTTTTTACTCTAGCACTTCCAACCATTAATCCAGTGGTCTTCAGAGCCTGTCCCTGCAGCCTTCATCCAGAAATAACAGCCGTTCTCACAATCTATATTTTAAAAATGAGACTTAGGCTCCAGGAACATAAAGTTTCCTTACATCTGCCTTTACCTTTCCCAGCCCTCCTTACTCTGAACCAGGAGGTACCTATTCTGGTCGTTACTAACTAGCTGTGTGGTCATGAAAAAATTATGTGTCTCAGAATTCATATCTGGAGAATGAAGTTATACATTGTGAAGATCTATGCTCTACTCAGTGGTTCTCAAACTTGAGTATTCATCAGAATCATCCTGAGGGCTTCTTGTAACAGTTTGTTGGGTCTCATATTAAAGTTTCTTATTTCAAAAATCTGGGTGGGGCCTGAGAGTTTACATTGCTTGTTGAGTTCCCAGGTGATGCCAGTGCTGATGGTCCATGGACCAAACTTAAAGAACTGCTGCTCTAGCAGTTTTGGAATCCTGTGAACTCTTTGTAAAATTTTTATTATTTTTATGTGTTTTCTTTCCAACTTTTATTTTAGTTCAAGGAGTACGTGAGCAGGTTTGTTTCAAGGGTAAATTGCGTCTTGGGGTTTTGGTGTACAGATAATTTTGTCACCCAGGTAATAAGCATAGTACTCGATAGGTAATTTTTAAATCCTCACCCTCCTCCTACCCTCCACCCTCAAGTAGGCCCCAGAGTCTGTCGTTCCCTCCCTTGTGTACTCAATGTTTATCTCCCATGTGTAAGTCAGAACATGCAATACTTGGTTTTCTGTTTCTGCATTAATTCCCTTAGGATAATGACCTCCAGCACCATCTATGTTGCTGAAGAGGATATGATTACATTCCTTTTTTTTTTTTTTTTTTTTTTTGTGGCTGCATTCCATGGTTTATATGTACCAGATTTCCTTTATTCAGTCCACCATTGATAGGCATGTAGGTTGATTCCTTGTCTTTGCTACTGTGAACAGGGCTGCAATGAACATACATGTGCATGAGTCTTTATGGTAGAAAGATTTATATTCGTTTGGGTATATACCCAATAATGAGATTGCTGGGTTGAATGGTAGCTCTATTTTACTGTGAACTCTTATACTCTTTACCAGTTAAGTCCTTTCCTCTCTGGAGCTGGCAATTCACTTCCTAGCTGCTCCTGTTTTGTGTCTGATGCTCAAGTTCTTGATTCTTTATTCTGAACAATGGTTGCTATTAGTATTTTCTGAGGAAGATCACTGCATCCATCATAAACAATTTTTAAAATTTCAAATATGTACAGTCCATGCTGCTGCCATAGTATAAATACCAACTTTCTAGGGTACTAAGTATTGGATGAGCCCAGCCAATGTGCAGATAGACGTGGTGGCACAAAGGACCTATTTACATGCCATTTTTGTTGGGGCAGCACTGCCCTTTAGAATGTGACTGTTAGTATGGGTGCTGCTAGAAAGGATTCCCTCTACTCAAAATGCATGTGAACAACTTCTGCAGAGTTAATGCTAGGACAGAATTGTGACATTGATAAAGTTTGACTTTGAGGTCCCTTCACTTTGTATACAATCACTTAATAAATATTTACTCATCATTGGCATATAAGGTATTAAGCTAGATACATCAGGGGATACAAAGATAAATCAGATCAAATCCTTGCCTGCAATGGAATTTACAATTCAGTACAAGACATAAGATGTGTACATCTATGGAGACAGTGTGTGGGGCTCCTGCAATATCAGCTGTGCTCAAATGACAGTAAATCTAATTACTACTTATGAGAACTCAGACAGTTTATGTAATCCCTTTCAGTCTCAGTTTCATAATGGCTGATAGGTAAAATAATAACCCATAGAATCAACTATGGCTGCATTGTGAAAACTCATATAAACCCATATTATTTAAGAAAACATATTCTGGGCTTTCCATAGTACTAGGAATATAGTAAATGTTCAATAAACGCAGCAGTTTTAAAACTATCATTGCCAAAGTGGAGAGTGATACATGTAATAGATAATTGTTGAGTGCTTACTATGTGTTGGATATTGGACTAAATGTTTTTCATTTATTATGTAGTTTAATCCTTACAACAAGCCTAATAAAATTGATCATATAATTTTCTCAATTTTGTGGATAAGAAAGCAGAGCTCAGGGACCTTAAGTAATTTGCTCAAGATAATGCAGCTTACAAACAGCGGGAGCTAGTATTCAAACAAATTCTGGTTCCTGGGTTTGTATCCTTACCATTGTGTATACTGTTTCCTAATAAATACTCTAAGAAGACTAAACAAAGCATTTGGGGGAGGTCAGAGGTGTGAGCAAAAACTTCTAAGGGGAGCTTCTAAGAAGATGAAGGCTTAAAATTTGAGCTGGGATTTGAAGAAAGAGGAATTTTGGCTCTGTACATTCTCATCTTCCTTTTTCCTGTTTAATACATTTATTTATTTAATAAATACTTGTCCAGCACTTATTTTGTGACAGGCATTATAGTAGGTGCTGGCAGCATGACACAAGGTCCCTGATTCAAAGTTCATCCCTTCATGGAACTTATGATCCAGAGATGGAGATGACAATTTAACAGGCACTTAATGAGTAATTACAGAGGAGAAATTTAGGATGCTCTTCAATTCAGGAACTATGAGCTGAGAGCTTACTCTATCCCAGATTGTGCTACATTCCACAGGGATAGACCTTACCTGGAAAATATTGTTTGTTCTTCCTCATCTGTCTTGTTGCAGTTAAAATTTCTGTGATGCTAAATCTGTTCATGCAAAATCATTTATGACCCCTTATTTTTCACACTTGATCTTAGCCAAAAGGGTGAGAAGCAATACCTCTTATGTTTTAGGTAGATGAATGTGATAGGACAACAGCTTTTTAAAGTTATTGACCAATTTTTTTCTCCAAAATTTATCTTTTATCCCTCTCTTCCACCCTCTACTTCCAGTCATGCAGCTAAAGTTTTGTACATTCATTACCTAAGGAAATGGCTATTATATGGCAGAAAACTGGGGGAGAAATCAATCATTTTGGCTGTGGTTTTTAAAAGCCCATCCCCTCAAAGAAAGGGTGAAGACTCTGGGCGTAACCCCAATTATAGAAAAAACTTATGAGAAATTAGGGATCTAATTTCTGTATTCAGTAGAAAAGGATTCCTGGACTGGGAATGCCTCCAGTAATGTCAGGAAACATAAAATGACTGAGATTAATTTTTTGCCACCTTAGCTGTAAATGAAGAATTAAAAATAAAAATAGATTCAATGATAGAAAAATAAAGAGAAGTAATACGTCTTGCCAGATTGTATTTGTGGATGAATATTGGAATCCATTGTATTGATTCATGCTAAGGTTCACAGTCTTTTCCAGATAAGTTTGAATCTCAACAGTGACTTTTAATATTATGTTAATTAATTCCACAAATATTTATTGAACATCCATGATGTGCTAGGTAAATGGCAGAGGGTAGTATCACAGTGTCAAGCAAGAATAAACACAGTTCTTGCTTACTAAACTTTATTTTCAAGACAGAAAGTCAATAATCAAATAATTACACAAATGCTTGTGAAATTACAAGTGTGAAAACTGTCACCGAGGAAAGATACATGAATTTATGTGGCAAGGGGATCATCTGGGGTATCTGAGAAGTCTCCCTGAGAAGTGGCATTTAAACTGAGACCTGAAAATGAGCAGGAGCTAAGTACATAAAACAGAAGGGAAAGAACAAGCAGTCTAGGCCAACAGAATCAGGATTTTAGCCCTTCATGTGGTGGCAGAGCTACTAGATAAAAATTTAGGTTGGAGGGAGTGTGGAGAGAGACTTTGGCTCACAGCATGAGGGCAGCTCTTGCCGTAAAAGGCCTTCCTGAGCATGAAGGCATGTTCTGCACATGGATGTGGCTTTTGCACGTCTTTTGTTATCTTTGTGCCCATCTCCCTGAGGCCTCACAGGCTGAACTCTTCACCTTTCCCCAACTCTACTCCTGCTTCTGCATGTCCCATCTCAACAAATGATAGCTTCATCTTTGCATTCTGTGCAAGCTAAAACCCTCCACCTCATCCTTGCTGCTTCCTTCTTCCTCATCTGATCTATGTCCAATCCATCTCCAAGCTGTGTCTATTCTGTCTCATTAATATCTCTCACATCTAAGTCACTTCCCTCCATTCCCAATGCCACTCCCTTAGCTCAGGGTCCACACCACCCACCCTGACTTTATACATATACATATGGAGCTGCTTTAAATTGTTTTAAGAAGCTGCACCTTTCTCCCTCTTGAGGTTTTTATGCATATTTCCTCTCTGTTCAAAATCGTCTTTCTTTCTATCCTCAACTAGGGAATTCCTGTTCTTCATGCTGGATTTCTTTTCTATAAAAACTCTCCCTGATCACCAGCCATAACCACCATGGATATAAGGTTGGCTTTTCCTCCTTCATGTTCACTCTAAATACTTCATGCTTATCCCTACCAATTATGCATCTGTTTAGACCTGAGCTGTGTAACATGGTGGCCACTAACCACTGTGGTGGCTACTGAGCACTTGAAATGTGACTGAGACGAATTGAACAGTGCTGTACATGTAAAACAAACATCAGATTTCAAAAACCTAGTATGTTGCTTAGTAATTTTTAAGTACTTGTTTACGTGTTGTCATGATAATATTTGGGATATACCCAGTCAAATAAAACATATTATTAAAATTAACCCCACTTATTGCTTTTTACTTTTCAAAGTGTGTCTAACTGAAAGTTTAAAAGTATATCCATGGCTCATATTTGTGCCTTGCATTATATTCTTATTAGATGGTACTGCTTTAGACCCTAGGCAATTACAGCAGGAATTGGAAAACTATGATGGATGGGCCACATCTAGTCCTGCCACCTGCTTTTTGAAATAAAGTTTTATTGGAACACAACCAGGCACATTTGTTTATATTCCTATGGCTGCTTTCCCGTTACAATGGCACAGTTGAATAGCTGTGATAGAAACAATATGGTCCACAAGCCTAAAAGATTTACTACTTGGCCGTTTGCAGAAAAGTTAGTTGACCTCTTTTCTAGAGGGTTGATATTGTATTTTGTTTTTCATTGTGTCTTCAAATCATGTCACAGAACCTGACACCTAATAAGCACCCAGTAAATATTTGCAATATTGGCTGACTGAGTACATTTCTAATTGATATATGATTATTGAGTAATTATAAATTGAGAAGGATATTGCCAAGATCATCACTAAAATTAGTTTATGACCCACAGCTATGGTGACCATGGGATCGAAATTAAAAATTGAAGTACAACCTGTCAAGTAGGTCTATACTTAGATAATCTTCCTACGCAACATTTAAAATGGAGACCATCCAAGCCAGAATGGGTGGTTCTCATTCTCATCACCATGGAATATCTTGATTTTGGAATAAAGAAAGATATTTTAATTGTGCCTGAAACAGGATAGAGTGTTGTATGAATTAGGAAACTTATCTTGTAGGTTGGATATTTGGAGTAAGGGTTTATGTCATAACAAACTCCACCGTCCCTCATGGTAGTAAATCCCATGGAAGTCTGGATCTGGTTGGTGTACATGAGAATGAATTCTTATATGTTAAAAATGGGGCTGAGAATGAGTGTTGGAATAGAATTAAGCACATCTTCACATTTTGATCCAAATATACTCCTGTCATTTGCTCTCTGCTCACAAATCTGCAGCTGTTAGAAGACATGAAATAATTTTCTTTTGCTTTTCTCTGTCAAATTGTTGATGAACATGATTTCACATAATTGAAACAGCCAGAGTTACCATAGATGAGAATTGAATATCAGGTCTTGGTTATGCAACATTATCTTTTCTCATAAGAAGCAGTCATTTTAAAAAATATATAACATTTCTCAGTGTTGCATTGGATCTTTTCTTTTTTTAGTAATTAAAGTTGTAGAAGCAGCTAGACGTGCTTATTTCAACAGGTAGATTCCACAGGGCTTTTCTGAAGAAACCATGCGAGGCAGAGTGTTTTCCTTTATTGAAGTCAATCTGGGAAGCAAACAAGAAAAGGAAAAAAGTAATATTCATATGTGATCAATATAGAAAGAGAACAATTAAGTATCTGGTGATTTTGCTT
Organism: Homo sapiens; assembly: GCF_000001405.40. Lineage (NCBI taxonomy): Eukaryota > Metazoa > Chordata > Mammalia > Primates > Hominidae > Homo > Homo sapiens. Next base: position 117,626,219 of record NC_000008.11, on the reverse strand, counting down.
TAGGCTGGTTCAAAGAAACGAAGGATTATAAAGTTGATAAGATCACAGAGTGAGCGATCACCAACCCATCCACCGTCTATCCATTTCCCGACAGTTACTTATTAAATTTGTTAAATTACATTTATTAAATTACTATTTGTCCAGCTCTGTGGTAGATGTTGTGAAAGACACAAGGGAAACAAAAGATAATCTTTACTCTTGAAGATTCACATAACGTTAAAACTGAAGGTAGTTTAAAAAATGATGTTATTGTAATTCTATGTTCTCTTTTCAAGACAAAGACACAGTTGTTAGGTACTTTGCTTAAGGTAATATTTAAAAATTTATGTGGTGGGCCACAGGGCTCTAATTCCTAGTCCAATAAGTTTTCTACTATATTTATTGGGTAAGTCAGATATGTTTGTCTGCCTAAAAAGTTGGAAAATAAGTAATCCCAAGTTATTATGTAAGCAAGTGTGGGATCATCCTGCATGCCTGATCTGTGGGACATCCAAGAATATTCGCCATTGAGCAAGAGAATTCAAGGAAGGTTTAAGGGCAGAGGTGAGCCTGGAGCTGTACTTTAAGGAAATACAGAGCGTGAGGTCGTATATGCTGGAAAGAAGACATTTTAGTTGTGGCAAACAAAATAAATAAATGCAGGGCAACAGAACTAAGCAGACATTAGAGATACAGAAAAAAAGATACAATCAGGTTAAAAAAAGATCAACAAAAATAGTGAAGATGGCCCTGAGTTGCACAGAGAGCCTCTGTGGAAGAGGTGGAGGAACTAGGTTGGGTCAGTGAGGTGAGAGCAGTTGATGTAAGAAAGCTGAATGCCTGCTGGAAAATTTTTTCTCTGAGTAAGAGACGAAGTGTAAGCCAAGCTTTTGGAAGATTTATACATTGCACTCCCACTCTAGAGAAAGACAAAACATTCCTCAAGGACCCAGAAAGAAACTCAAAAGAAACGAAAATCATTCTGGCAAATTAAATAGGGCAGTAAGTCTATCAGATTTCCTTTTCCATCTCTATATTGCACACCACTTCACGGTGTTTGACTAAAATTTACAAGTTTGGTAGGAAAAATCTAAGTGGGAATATTTGGAGAAAACCCACAGAGAACTAATAATATTAAGGATATACACACACTTACTTTCAGAGATAGCCAATTTCAATTGCCCTGGGGTTTGGATTTTTTTAAGGTTTTGATATATAGCTTAAATTATTGCTTATGTAGGATGAAGTACATGCTTAAATGCTATGTTGTCACTGTAATATCTACAAATCACTCAGCACACCATCACTGACAGTAAATATTTTATATCTTATTGAAAAATAATAATATCCTTATAAAATATCAAAATCATAATCCTTTTAGGCTCTTCCCCAAATCCTCCCTTGAGAGGCTTAAAAAAAATCATCCTTAACACTTCGTCATACAAACTTACAGTGAAATTTCAGTGAATAGTTGTTTTGAGTTTGAATTTTAAGTTCCTTGAATTTGGGGTATGAAATTCTGTTCTCCACATCACCATTGCTGTGCATGTGGAATTAGTGTGAAAAAAGAATCTATAGACATCTACTTTCATTTATTTTGTTTTTTCTTATAATGTAAGTAGGAAACTTACATCTACATAAACGGTGCCAAATTACAGCTGTTTCTCTAACTCCATTTTTCTGCAAAAGATTACTGGTTTCTGCGACCAGGCTCTTTCAACTGCACAACAGTTGCTGCCTTTATTTGCATAATTAACTTGCCTGTTGGTGGAGGGAGATGATGTGAGCAGAGGCGAGCACAGGCACTCACTGTTTGTTGCAACTGACATAGTGAAGCTGCAAGGTGTAAGCAGGGTTGTGATTCATCCCCTATCTCCTGCAGCTTGGCTTGAGTAACTGACTGCCTTAACACCTCTTTAAGCATTCTTCCTTGTTCTTTTTCAAGGACCTGATAGTCTATTGAGAAAAGGAGATGCAAACAACGTGTATAATGGAAGAAATGCTACAAGGTAGACAATAGTCATGCAGGATTTGCCCCTTTTCCCAAGTTGATAGAGAAGGTTGACTGCTCATTGTAGTTTGTGTTGTGCACTCTTCTGAGAATAAACAAACATCTTTTGGTTGGCCTGTGGTTGTGGGGTTACTACCACTCTTGTCATCTTCAAATATAGGTAAGACATTCTGGACAGATGATGTTATGGCTAACAAGAGAGACAATTTTTACATGCTCATAAGCAACGTGGCCAACAGTGTGGGAACGTGGGCACTCACTTTTTTGGTAGTAGGGTGTATTAGAGGACATCAGCAGACTCTGAAAACAACTTGGAAATATGCTCTGTGAAGGCTTTGTACATCTTATTCATTACTATCCCTAATGCCTAGAAGAAAACCTGAATAAATGAATAAATGTCAAAATCTTTAAAATTTTGCATATGCTTTGATGCACAAATCCTAAGAACTGGAAGTCATCATGAATCTACTGTTAAAATTTAGCTGTCGGAATACACATTATATTATTATTTATAATACTAAATGCTTGAAATATCTCATTTAGTTTTATCAATGTGGGATTGAGTAAAAATTATATAACATCTCTATTATGGATTATTAGGCAGCCATGAATGCTGACATTGCATAAAAATATATAAAGGATACAGAAAGATACATGTGACTATTTTTATGAGTAGGCTGTAAAACAGTGCACAGAGTATTAATCCATTGTTGTAAAATGATAAAATAAAAAATTTTTCAAAGGTTGTCAAAGAAGGAACTTTACCAGAGACTCAGGCACAGTCTCAAAGAACAAAAACTCTGAAATTTTAGTGACTTAAAACAACAATACATGTGCTATATGGCTATTGTGAATCAGCAGGGAAGCTTTGCTCATCAGTCACTCAGGATGCCAGGCTGAAGATAGCATTGAAATAAATGGTGTTCACAATGTCATATAGAAAGGAGCCCTGGAAGGTTTCACACTGGGAATTCATGGCTCTAACCTGGAAGTAAAATGTTGCTTCTATTCAAACTCATTGGTCAGATCCAGACACATGTCCCATCCATGCAAAAGAGAGCAAGACATTATAATCCTCTATGTAATTGAGTATGAGAGAATTAGAAATATTTTGTGAGCAGTACTAAGGATACCACTTATGGTCATCAGTATTCAGCTCACTCAGTGTGTCCCTATGGAAACAACCCCAAAGTCTTATCCCATCTTACAGAATAAACGTATCCAGTTTTATGGCATAAAACTCTTATGTCTATAGTTTCTGGGTGGTAACCAAGTGGTCTCTTTATCAGGTCTGGGTGTGGCTCCTTTTGGTTATAAAATCAACTGAAAAAAAACAAAAACAAAAAAGATTATCTCTTTCCCCTGACACTTAGTACAAAATAGCAGAATGGGGCAAGGTGTCTATAATATTGCCAAGGCTGGTTTGTATAAATTCTGATATTTTACTGCCAGTCCCCATTCCCTGGGATGAGGAAAGCTCTTAATTATGTTCTGATTTGACGCCTGGGAAGGGGTTCTCCAGTCCATGGCCCTTAATTTTGTTCTTTGGAGGTTCTTCCTTTTCTATTGTTGCCTTGGCTATGTCTGCAGAGTGTGTTATAGAATGTACACTCCTTCAAGGATGAGAAGCTTTCTTAGTCTGATACTTGCTCTAAGAAGTTCACGTACTTAACCATGTTAATGTTTTTGTCTTTACACAAAAGTTTTAGAAGGTTCATTATTTCTTTGGCTGTACAAGTTTCTCAAAAAAGTAATCAGCTTCTTTTTATAGTTGATTATGGTCAATTTCTTGTGCCAACAGCCCCATACACAACTTTTTTGATACATGCTTCTCTGTGTTTTCTCTGAACTGTAGATATCTTAAGTCAGCTAAGCTTCAGTAGAAGAGCCGCAGCTTCAGTCTTAAAAAAAAATTGAGTCATTCTGTCCATATGAAATACTAACTGGGTTGTTATGTTAACCCATTCAAAGGTTAAAAACTTGTGTGGAAACCATATCCTTGATTTATTCCTTGATGCAAGACTGTGTTCTTATCAGTCTGTCTCTAATTAGTGATAAGAAACAATTGCCTTGTCCAATTCTCCAAGTCTTCAAATTTTCTTGACCATCTCTGTTATCTTTCATACTTGCTTGCTTGTTAATTCGTTTTTAGCTCATTGTTTTATAGTAGTATTTTGTCAAATGAAGCCAACAGTGATTGACACTTGCTAGAAGTTCTATTTTTCAATCATTTTGCCTATAGCTATAAGTTCACAGAGGACATTACCTTCCTTTTAAGTTTTCACAGGTGACAATTTTACAAAATAGCTCATTTGTGCATAACATAGATTGCTGTCATTCCAGCTGCAACTGAAGATTCGTTGCTGCCTGCCACCTGATCACTGAGCCAATGCCACAGACTTTGTTTTTGATGTATTACTCCAATTTTTTTTTTTAAAAAGATGCTTTAAAAAATTGACCAGAATAAGAGAAATCTAGTTTTCAGTTTTGTAGACCCCTGAAACTTGATTGTTATTAAATGATTTTGTCCCAGGCAACTGGAATACACATTCAAACTTCTAAGAGATTACAGAAAAAAGTGCTGATTTGTTTATTTAAAATTGAAAGTCCACCTAAATGACTAGAATATCTGTACTTTCTAACTTAGAACATATTCCGTGGGTCAATGGATTCCAGAAACCAGTGTTTTAATCTGAATGTTTCTTCTTTTTGTTTTCTTTTTATTTTTGGAGATAGAGTCTTGCTCTGTAACCTAGGCTGGAGTGCAGTGGTACAATAATGGGTGACTGAGACTGGAACTCCTGGGTTAAAGCAACTCTTCAGACTCAGCCTCCCAAGTAGCTAGGATTACAGGCACACACCACCATGCCTAGCTAATTTTCTAATTTTTGTAAAGATGGGGTCTCACCAAGTTGCCCAGGCTGGTCTTGAATTCCTGGCCTGAAGCAATCCTCTTACCTTGGCCTCCCAAAGTGCTGGGATTTCAGATGTGAGTCACTGAACCCAGCCTGACTCCTTCTTGATGACTTTTAATGAATTCTTTGATCATGAGTGGATACTATTGTGGGATAATTCACTTAATCTTTGAAGAATCTTGATCTCCCTTTCGGTACCATAGAGCTCAGCTTTCATTGACCAGGAGACTTTTTTTTTTTTTTGAGCAAAACAGAGTTTTGCTCTGACGCCCAGGCTGGAGGGCAGTGGCAGGATCTCGGCTCACTGCAACCTCTGCCTCCCAGGTTTAAGCGATTCTCCTGCCTCAGCCTCCTGAGAAGCTGGGACTACAGATGCATGCCACCACGCCCAGCTAATTTTTTGTATTTTTAGTAGAGATGGGGTTTCACTGTGTTAGCCAGGATAGTCTTGAACTCCTGACCTCGTGATCTGCCCACCTCAGCCTCCCAAAGTACAAGACTTTCTTTTGGATAGGGTTGTCTTTCTGCATCTCATTTTCTAGGGGGGCAGAGAAAGATGACAAATGATGAACATGAAGAAATGCTTTTTGGGCCGGGTGCAGTGGTTTATACCTGTAATCCCAGGACTTGGGGAAGCCGAGGCAGGCGGATTACTTGAGGCCAGGAGTTTGAGGCCAGTGTAGGCAACATGGCGGAACCCAGTCTCTAGTAAAAATACAAAAATTAGCCGGGCATGATGGCGCATACCTGTTCAGCTACTAGGAAAGCTGAGGCATGGGAATCACTTGAACCTGAGAGGTGGAGGTTGCAGTGAGCTGAGATTGCGCCACTGCACTCCATCCTGGATGACAGAGCAAGACTGTCTCAATTAAAAATCAAAAACAACAACAGTTTTCATATAATGTGTTTTTACAATAATAAAACTGGGTAATGGTATATAGTGAAAATTGGAGGAGAGAATGGAAGAAAATGTTTTTGCTGGAATGGCCAGTAAAACCATTCTAAGGTGGGGACATTTGAGCTGAGACTCACAGGGGGGGAAGAGGCAATCATAGAAGATCTGAGGAAAGAGCAGTCTATGCAGAAGGAACGGCTGGTGAAAAAGGCCAGAGACGTGAAGGAGCTCAGTGTATTGGAAGGATAGAAAGAAGGCCAGGGAGTTGGGAGAATGGTAAGGAGAGAAGTATGTGGTCATGTCTGAGAGGCTGGCAAGGAGTGCATTGTGTACAGTTTTGCTGGTCATGTTGGGAAGTTTCTGTTTTACTCGAAACCCAGTGGAACCATTGAAAGCTTTTAAGCAATGGATCAATTTGATCTGTTTTACTCTTTAAAAAGATCACTCTGGCTGGCTACTGCATGGAGAATGAATTCTGGCAGGGGAAGAGTGGAAGCAGCCCATTGCAGCCCAGCTGTGAGAAATTAGTCATTTCGATTGGGGTTGTAGCAATAGAGATGGTGATAAGTGGTGGGATCTTGAATGTATTTTGGAAATAAGAGTAGACAAGATTTGCAGATAGATTAGATGACAGATGTGAAGAACAGTGAGAAAATAAGGGTTATTGCTAGTGTTTTGGCCCAAGAAACTTGATCGGTGGTGATACCAGCAACTGAGAGATGGGGAAGATGGCTGTGGGTAAATCAAGAATTTTATTTTGGAAATACTAAATTAGAGATGTCTATTAGACAGCTCAGAGGTGATGTCAAGTAGGCAGTTGGGTATATAAATCTAGAGCCCAGGGGAGTGGTAAGAGCTGGAGATAGAGATTTATGAGTCATCGGTACAAAAATGTTATTTTAAGCCATAGAAGAGGATGAGATCACCTAGAGAAGGAATTTGGAGAGAAAAGAGGGTGGAGGACAGAGTTAAGGGTTAGCAGAGGCGGAGGAACCAGAAATGGAGTCCAAGAAGGCACAAGTTTCAGGTTAGAAGAAAATCAGGTGTGAGTAGTGTTGTGAACGCCGAATGGAGATATTTTTGCAAGAAGAAAAGCCATATGCTGAAAACTGACTAATGCTCTATCCCATTTCTGCTTTATATTTCTCCCAAACACCCACAATACCATGCCCCTCTCCTTAGCATTTGATTCTACTGGAAAGGAGGTTAATTACAGAACAATAATTGTTTCTATTTTTTTTTCTTTTTCAGTCTGCTATTTTAGGAAGTGGATAAAATGGCATTTTGACAGATCTGGAGGGTCTTGGATCTACCTTTCAACATTGGCATTACTGATATTAGAGTACCACCACTCACTAGCTGTGGAGATGTAGGAAGATTACTTAACCACTCAGAGCCTTGGTTTCCTCATTTGTTATGTGAAGATGACAATATCAGATGACAGGTTTGTTGTGGGGATTCATTAATGTAATGCATACAAAGTGGTAGCTCAGTGTCTGGCAGAAGGTAAGTAGATCACAAATGGTAGCTTTTATTATTTTTTTCCCAGATGATGATTGGCTAACTATGGAAATGGATCACTATCAAGCAATCCTAGAAAATGAGTAGGCAAGATTTGCAGATAGATTGGATGACAGATGTGAAGAAAAGTGAGAAAATAAGGGTTATTCCTAGTGTTTTGGCCCTAAACATAGTTAATTGTTTAGACCTATGTTGGAGAGATAATATCTACATATTATTGCTGCAGAATAGAAGTTAAATACTCAATCTATAAACAAAACCCTGCTATTGCCCCTGTGCCCTCTAGCAAACACCCTATATCTTGTCTCTTTCAGAGACAGGATGTGTGAAACTCAGATCAGTGATGTTTTAAAGATGGAGCATCAGTGATAGAAACATACTTCTGTGTTTCTCTGGTGAAGAATGATCCAGGCCTGTCTTTGAAACTGAAGTTTCAGGCTGCCAGTGAGCAGATATAGTGAAGATAGAAATCCTTGCACAGCTGAAATGGGTCATGACCGCTGTAAAAATAAGCAGGAATTTCCCCACCTTGGGGCAGCACACAAGCCTATCTTTCCCTCTGAAGCACAAGAGAGTGGGTCAGGGATATAACTGAGCAAGTATCTCAGATTCATTTTCCAGGAAATGAAGCCGTTAGCCCTAGCTGCTCTGTGAGGGTCCTTTGTTAAACATGACGAGTCCTCTGAAAACATTACAATTCTGCTATGGTGCCTCTGTGCCAGCCACTTCTTTATCTGTGGAGGGAGTTGGGTGGCTGTGGCTGCTCTGGAGTAGGGTAGGGGGTCATTGATGATGGAAATATATCAATCCCCTTCCTTCAAACTAACACCTCCATCTCTTCAAAGGCATCCATAAGGGTTTGGAAATTATACCCGTATAACACACATACCTATTTTTCAGTTTAAATGCAACCTTTAATTTAATTTTCCCTCGAGGAGAGTTATCACTTTGGCCTAATTATCGAAAAAAAAGTAGCAGATTGCATTATTGAATCCCGAATCTTGACTGCATTATTTATGATCTCTGTGAAATTGGTAAAGTTGGTTTATCTCTCTAATCCTCAGTTTCCTCATCTATAAAATGGAACTAATAACTGTTGCATAGCATACTGTATAGACTAATACATTAATTCATACAAAGGACTACTTAGCACTAACAACTTAGTACTTATTAGCTCCTTAATAAATATTTGTATTAGGGTTCTCTAGAGGGACAGAACTAATGGAATATATATATATGTTTAAGTTTTATATATATATGAGTTTATTAAGTTTTACATATATATATATATATATATATATATATATATATGAGTTTATTAAGTATTAACTCATATGACCACAAGCCCCACTATAGGCTATCTGCAGGCTGAGGAGCAAGGAGAGCCAGCCCGAGTACCAAAACTGAAGAACTTGGAGTCTGGTCTTCAAGGGCAGGAAGAATCCAGCACGGGAGAAAGATGTAGGCTAGGAGGCTAGGCCAGTCTCTCGTTTCACATTTTTCTGCCAGCTTTTTATTCTAGATTCTATGGCAGGTGATTAGGTGGTGCCTACCATTAAGGGTGGGTCTGCCTTTCCCAGCCCACTTACTCAAATTTTAATCTCCTTTGACAACAGTCTCACAGACACACCCAGGATCAATACTTTGTATCCTTCAATCCAATCAAGTTGACAGTCAGTATTAACCATCACAATATTGTTGGATTGTTTGAGCTGAGGAGTTCGAGGTTGCAGCAAGCCATGGTTGTCCCACTGCATTCTAGCCTGGGAAACAGAACAAGATCCTGAATCTAAAATAAACAAACAAACAATAAGTAAATAAATAAATAAAAGTTGAAATTTTTATCTGTTATGCAAGAACACAAAGAAGCTCATTTTTAGGAGGCGTTTTCATATTGTTTTCACCAGTGTTATTTTATAGATCTTTGGTGGTTTTAAAACTTTATTCCATCCTCTCTGATGCTTTAAAAAAAGAAATACCATGTTTGGAAGATCTAGCAATCTAGCTGTATGATATAATAGAGGATAATGACACCTCCTCTAGTTTTATATTTATGAGAACATCTAACACATCAAACAAAGTGTCAACACAGAGCTGGAGTCATTTAACTGAGTATGTTTATCTTTAGGGTGTTTTCGGCTCTGTGTAATAGGAAACAGTGACAGAAACTGGCTTGAATAATAAGAAATTGTATCGCAGAATGCTCAAAGTCCGGAGGTAGGATTGCTCGGCCGTATTCCAAAGTGCCCATTGTTTCCACATCTACGCCATCCCTTCCTCAGAGGCTTGTCCTTGCCTTTAGTCTTCTCCCTCTAGTTGCAAAATGAATATTAGAGCCCCAGGCATCATGTTCAGACATGATTCTAGAGAAAGAAGAAGGGCCATGTTTTCCTTAGGTCTCTTTCTTATAGGAGGCTACTGATGACCAGAAGAAATTGCTGGCATTTGTCAACCTTCTGAACAATTCCTACAATTTTCATTCATAGGGCAGCTTCTTTAGGATGTAAATGGTCTCAAGGCTTCAGCACACAATCGTTTAACAACATGTCAGCCCAGCACACTGAGGTCCTCTCTCCCCTTTGTCCCTACTTTTTCCATATAGGTAATTAGACATTTCAAAATGTGTTACTTGCAGAACTTCATCCCTGCTTCCATTTTTTTAAAATCAATTTTAGTTATCTGTCACAAGAAACAGAAAACAACTCTGGCTGATTTAAACAAGATATACATTTATTTCAAATGTACTAAACTAGTTCCAGAATGATTTTGAATTTTCTTTTGCTAGACAAGACATTATTGGGACAATTGGCAAATTCAGAATAAGGTCTGCAGATCAGATCATAGTGTTGTATGTAATCTGATTTTGAAAAGTAGGCTGTGATTATGTAAGATAATTATTTTTTAGTAAAAACACAATGCCATTTTAGGGAAAAAGCATCATGTCTACAATTTACTATTAAACAGTTTAGAAAAACTACACAGAGAGAAAGGGGGTGAGAGAGGAGAGGGAGAAGGAGGGGGAGAGGGAAGAAAGAGGAGGACGAGGAGGAGGTCAATGTAGAAAAATATTAATATTAGAAATCTGGCCAAAGCGATATCCAGGAATTCTTTGAATTAGTCTTGCAACTTTTGTATAAGTTTAACTTATGTCCAAATTTAAAAAAATGTTTAGTGATACAAGAAGATGAAAAGTAAGATTGCAGTGAGGCAAAAACTTGCTTTAATACACCTTTAATACACCTCTAAAGACAATGAGGAGGATACTTAGTGAACAGCTTAAGAGCAGACTAGATTGCAAGAGATCCTGGCTGAAAGATTTCAGAACAGGAAACCATGGTCCAATTCACACCCCAGAGCTGAACCCCGTGGACAATACTGCCACCACTATGGTGTGCCACACATTGCAGCTTACCCTGCTGCTGTAGCTGGCACTCCACACTTTATACCACCACCAGCACAGCTGCTCTGGATGATTCATCTTTTTATAACCACCACCCATGCCATAGACTTATCTCTAGTACCTCTGCTTTTTAGATTCACATTAAATTAAAGGTCCAGGTGCAGAAATCAGATTGATAGAGCCCAAGTTGTGGGGCTATCTCTAGGTGCAAGGGAAGGCTAGTAAAATGAGTATCAGACATTTTCAGTCTCCACAGGGACACACAAATTGTGCTTTGCCCACAAAGGGAGGGATTCTCCAAGGAGGAATGGGTTTCAGCTATTATGCAAGAATGACACATGAATGGCAAGAATGACACAAGAATGACAAATGTTCGTTACAGAATAGTGTTTGCAGTTCTCTCCCTTAGGATGTCATAATACTCTGGGCCTTGCTCTGTTGAAGGTAGAAGTGAAGGAAAATGCATTTCCCTCAATCTGAGAGGAATAAAGTATTTAGAGATGTTGGATCTTACTCTTACATATACTCATAGTGGGGTTAATATGGAAGAAATTATTCCTGATGAGGTTTAACCACTTCTGACATTACATGAAAAATGGGAACGCTTTGTTTTCAATTGGATTAATTTTATTCAGAATATCCCTTATTCTGGACATTGATATCTTGTTTTGTTTTCTCCCACACTTTTAAAGGTTTTTTCCTCTTGTATTTATTTTTGTAAAAACCATTATTCTATATGAGGTTGACATTTTTTGTTTCAAAAGATTTTCAACTCGTATTTTTCAGAAAGAAAACCTGGCCCTCAGCTCTGGTACAGTACCTAGTGCATAGCAGGGACTCACAAACTTTTGTTTTTTATTCAAATCTTATTTTGTTATATAATGTAAATACAATTATATAACATTGAGGTCCTACTCTGGCCCAGAAGTATAAATGCTGTTTGTGGTTAACATTAAGAATACTTTTTTTTTTTTTTGCCCTTGGTATCTCATTGAAAAAGGAAGGCTCATACTTCAGCAAGGAAAAAGCATCTGTGTCATAATTCTTAAGAACATAGTATTTTATTTTTATTAATGTTTGCCATAAAAATGATTGGAGGAAAAAAGCGAGATATGAAAAATTGTATTCTAAAAGTATTTGACATCTGGTTGGAATTGTTATATTACTTGATTGTCAAAAGTTTCTTCTGAGAGGTTGAGGGAATTTTAACATTTCATTTGACAGTGAGATCTGAGATGAATTTAACTGCCTTCAGTAGTGCTGGCCTGCTCCTGAGAGAGAGATGATTGAGAGGGAGGAAGTAGAGAGGAGGAAGAAGCCTTTACTCACACTCCTTGAGGAGTGATTCAGGTGGACAGCCTGAATTACGGGATTTATTGGCAGCAAGTAAGTATTGTCTGAGTGGATTACTGCAAAATGCTTTAGCTGGGGATGGCTTTGAAAACCACTCATCAATTACAGATGGTACCCAGTATAGCAGCAGGAGTACCCTTGCGGGCTTTTGTTATCTCCGACCTCTTCCTTCATGGGTGACCGTTCTAACCCAAAGACCTCAACTGTTCATCAAAAACCTGCCACTCAGAACTGCATATCAATTATTAAACAATGTCCCATGCAGGACAGTGACTTTAAATTATCTTGGAAATGATAAAGACCAACATTTGTCTTTGTTAACATGCTGAGTGATTCTGTGGTCTCTAGTCACAGGTGAAAGGATCAGATTTGAGATTTCTAGACACCAGAATCACATTAGGGTTAAGCAAAACTCCATCTTTTCCCAGAGAAAATTTAGCCAGAAATGTTGCTTATTTGAGATGAGAAGTAAGATGAAGTGTTCTAACATGGCGGAGCTTGATATGCAAATGAGCCCATCTAGGGACAGTAGGGATTGGTAATGTGGGTCTGTGGATGCCTGGAAGGCTCACAGAAAGACTTCAGGAATTCCTGAGTCTCTTCAAAGTGTAAGCAAAATTTTGTGTGTATTTTCTTATTTGCATGATATGGCTTGGCTGTGTCCCCACCCAAACCTTATCTCGAATTGTAACTCCCACAATTCCCACATGTCGTGGAAGGATCCTGGTGGGATTCATTATGGGGGCAGGTCTTTCCAGTGCTGTTCTCATGATAGTGAATGAGTCTCACAATATCTGATGGTTTTAAAAACAGGAGTTTCTTTGCACAAGCTCTCTTTCTACCGCTGCCTCCATGTAAGATGTGACTTGCTCCTCCTTGCCTTCCACCATGATTGTGAGGCCTCCCCATCCACGTGGAACTGCGAGGCCAATTGAACTCCTTTCTTTTGTAAATTGTCCAGTCTCAGGTATGTCTTTATCAGCAGTGTGAAAATGGGCTAATACAGTGCATTTATTTTTTTGAAGCATGTCCATACTTTCCATTGGATTCTCAAAGGGATTCAGGACCTGGAAACTTTTTGAAATACTGCTCCATAGTAAATGGCACAAATCTCTCTGAATCAAGGATGTCTCTAGCCTTAGGCAAAGCTAGGTTGAAGGACAGAACAGAGAGTCAGCCTCTGGAGTGCCCTCTATAAGGAAAAAGAAAACATTACTAGAGTAAGTTGATAAAGTATAAATTCATCTCACTCCTACTGGACACTGCCCTTGAGTGAAATTAAAAACTGAAAAATTTTTGACATATCTTTTGAGCATTTTTGTAAAATACGCATGTAGCTATGGCCAAAATTCTGGAATAAAATGGTACATATAGCCTTAGGTATCCTGGCTCTGTTTCTTAAAGGAGTCATATTTACAGAATTGCAGTTGTCCAGGTGCAGTGGCTCACGCCTGTAATCCAAACAATTTGGGAGGCCCAAGCAGGTGGATCACTTGAAGTCAGGAGTTTGAGACCAGCCTGGTCAACATGGTGAAACCCCATCTCTAGTAAAAATACAAAAAAAAAATTAGCCGGGCATGGTGGCGGGCACCAGTAATCCCAGCTACTGGGGAGGCTGAGGCAGGACAATTGCTTGAACCTGGGAGGCAGAGGTTGGGAGGTTGCAGTGACCCTAGATAGCACCATTGCACTCCAGCCTGGATGACAGAGCGAGATTCCATCTCAAAAAAAAAGAAAGAAAGAAAGAAAGAATTACAGTTGATTAGCCACAAATAATTTCTAAAATGTTTTTGCTCACATCTCTCATAAAAATAAAAGAATATCCATGTCCTGTCTTATTTCTTATAGCTGCCAGTACACCCCCCAGTTTCCTCTTATAACTGTTTCATCCAGAATCCTTCACATGGTTACCCTTCACTTTCTCTATTCCAGTCCAGGTTGCTTATTTTCTTTTCTCTGGCCTTCTCCCTGTTGCTTTGCTCTTCATCGTGTAGATTGATTTAGTTGTTTTGGCTCAGTCCTTCCTTCTGTCTTCTGTTTCTGGATCTACCCCTCTCTTCTTATTTTCCTGAGGCTGCATCACAATATTCTAGTGACAAAGACCGCCTTTAAGAAGCAGAAGAGGTGAAGAAACCAGGGAAACAGGAAACACACAATCCTAAATCTTGTTTTGGGGCTGAGTGTGGTGGTTTATGTCTGTAATCCCAACATTTTGGGAGGCGGAGGCGGGTGGATCACCTGAGGTCAGGAGTTCGAGACCAGCCTGGCCAACATGGTCAAATCCCGTCTCTTCTAAAAATACAAAAATTAGCCGGTGTGATGTACATGCCTGTAGTCCCAGGTACTGCAGTGGCTGAGGGAGGAGAATCGCTTGAACCTGAAAGGCGGAGGTTGCAGTGAGCCAAGATGGCACCACTGCACTCCAGCCTGGCGACAGGGCAAGATTCCATCTCAAAAAAAAAAGTGATTTATTTTATTTCTTAATTTTTAAACATATAATATGCCTTCTAGGTAGTTTTGTGATTTGGAAAACCACAAAAGAAAACTGAAATGTTTGATGCCTTCCACAATTTTTTAGAAAAAGAATTCTGCTTCAAATAGTGAAATACATTTGTAAGTGAATCAGACTCTGGGTAGTTTTCATTAATATAAAGTCAGTTTCCTCCCAGCTCCACTCACAGATGGTAGGCTCATATGAATCTTTCTACAGGCATCAGATAGTATGCTAGATGATGGTGAAATGGAGATGGAAAGGCTCATCCCAGCTCTCAAGAACTGACTGTCTATTGAACAAAGAGGTAAACAGATGATTACAGTATGTGAAGATAAATGCACCACGGTGGGTATGTGTATTGGGCAATGGGAACTCATAGAAGTGTTAAATCAAGTTTAGCCTAAAGCTGCCTCCATATATATTTAAGTTCAGTCTAATGGTTTTACTGTACTTCGTGACCTATAACAAGTGGAGGTGTAAACAGACCGTAGCCTACACTTGTGCCAGTCACGCAGTTTTGGCCAATCAAATGTAGCCAACTGTTTGAACCGTGTTCAAATAAGGCAAGTGCTGAGCTGTTACCAATCCAGCTGTTTCTGTACCTCATTTCTGTTTTCTGTATGTCACCTTCCTTTTTCTGTCCATATATCTTCTTCCACCACGTGGCTGTGCTGAAGTCTCTGAGCCTATTCTGGCTCAGAAGGCTGCCCAATTTGCAAATCGTTTATTGCTCAATTAAACTCCTTTAAATTTAATTCAGCTGAAGTTTTTCTTTTATACGAAGGAAGCATCCATATTTGCCTACAGGAGATGAGCCTTAAGCTAACTCAGAAAATGAATAAGCCTTAGGCAAAGGTGAGAGCACAAGTCACACAGAGGTCACACAGTGCACAAAAAAATAGGCATGAGACAGTATGAGAAGGTATGAAACATGGAGATGAGGGGGTGGGAATCAAAACAAAATGTGACTGGCTAGGTAGTTTGAGTTTACACAGTAAGGGATCTTTGTTTTCCCATGAGGTATTCTGAAACTTTGAATCACTCTTCTATTGCTACTACTGCAGTGGTTCTCAGTGTGTCATGGTGACTAACTGGGTAGGCTCAGAGGTCAGACTGCCTGAGTTCAAACCTTTCTCTTCTTGCTACTAGAGTGCCATTGCACAGTTTGTTTACCTGGCTTCTCCCTTCATCAATTTCTTCTATAAAATGGGGATAGGCTGCCCTTTATCAATTTTCTCTTCTATATATTGGGGATAGGCCGGGCGCGGTGGCTCGTGCCTGTAATCGTAGCGTTTTGGGAGGCCGGGAGTGGCAGCTTGGATCACTTGAGGTCAGGAGTTAGAGATTAGCCTGGCCAATATGGTGAAACCCCATCTCTACTAAAAACACAAAAATTAGCTGGGCATAGTGGTGCATGCCTGTGGTCCCAGATACTCTGGAGGCTGAGGCGGGAGAATCGCTTGAATCTGGGAGGCAGAGGCTGCAGTGAGCCAAGATCGCATCACTGCACTCCAGCCTAGGTGAAAGAGTGAGACTCCATCTCAAAAAAAAAAAAAAAAAAAAAAAAGGTGTCGAGGGGGACAATATCGTCCCCTTCACAGGGTTGCAGTGAAGATTTAACCCATGAAAGACATTTAGAATTGTACCTGTCATAGGTATTACAGTGCAAAAACTATTAACTCTTATATGTGTCCCTTTCAAGCATCAATAAAATGAATGTTCTGCAACATTTCAACATTTGATCTTCTAGCAATATTGGCCTTGGGGGAAGATTAGTGGATCAGACACATTTCTACATGTTGTAGGATGAATAGTGTCAAGGTTTCTTTATTCTACCATATTTCCTTACTTGGAAAAGTCATGATACTCAGTATTTACATGTTATTAGTATCTGAAGATTGTTGATAATTAAACTATTATCAAGCAAAAACATCTTGGCATAAATGAGTATCAAAGCTGGGAGGACTGACCCAAAAAATGGGCCACAAACCTGGTAAGGTAAAAGCACAAAATGGACAATGAAAGAACAAAAATTAAATTGGCCTGCAATACAATATATGGTTTAAACTTTGGTCACAATATAAATAATATGTTTATTGCTTATAAAAACACTTTCACGTGATAGAGGTACAGATGGAGTGTCTTTTATTGTTAAGCTTAAATCCAAGATAAGGAAATCAAGGTACAGATTAAGACAAATGTGACAACTTTTGTTTTATTGTCCCTCCCACACCATCCTCCACACCCAGCTCTGTAATGTTGTTATTGAGAAGGAAAGAAAAGTCTGAAATCCACTTTGGGGAGTTGCATAACTTTTAGGAGAGCACTTGCTATATTCCTCAAGAAGTTATAGTCACTGGTAGTATCATTCACTGGCAGCGCCTGCTATCCAGGGTGGGGAGTTTGCTTGAGATATATGTATTATTCATAGTTACAGGCTAGCCTGTTATAACAAGACTTTAGAGTTGCTACCTCATGTTTATAGACACATAGCAACAACAAGGGACAGAGAAATGGACTTGGAATTTATTCAGTGAATATTTTTATAGCCTATACTCTGTGTAGTCACCATAGAGTGACTCAAAGAGCTTACAGACAAATTGGGGGAGGTGAGAACTGCACATAGAAAAGGTTAAATAAAAACAAAACGAAGAGGAGAAGAAATAAGATAAATGAAAATATATTTTGGTACCATGATTGACTATCAAATAAGTGGAAATGACTGGCTGATAGAACATCTCATAACCTCAATTCCTACTTGAAAATATGCACCCTGAATTCATGAGCCTGCCAACCCCTCCTGACTCAGCAAAGCCCTTATGAATAAGCATGTGGAAGCAAAAGAGAAAATGAAGAGAGAACCAGGTAGAAACACCAGAGCAGAAGTTCTATGTGATCCAGGACAGAGCCTGAATTATTTGCTGAATCCCTAAAGCTTAGTATAATTCATTACTATGTGTTCAATAAATATTTTCTCAGTTAATGCATGAGTGGATGCATAGATGAAGGCCAGAGACTATCCTAGGACTGGAAAAGTGCGTTATAACATGCTCCGAGGTGGTTGCAGCATCTTTTTTGTATGCTTGGCCTATAGTACATAATAGGTGTTCAGTAAATGTGGAAGGGAGCAAGGAAAGAAGGAAGGAAGGAAGGGGGGAAGGGAAGGAGGGAGGGAGAAAAGGAAAGAAGAGAGGGAGGGAAGAGGGAGGGAGGGGGGAAGGAGGAAGGAAGGAAAGAAGGAAGGAAGAGAGGGAGGGAGGAAGGAAGGAAGAGAGGGAGGGAGGAATGAAAGGAGGAAGGAAGGAAGGGAGGAATTAGTTAATATCATAGGATCATAGGTCTGAAAGAAAATTTGTGAGGTTATCAGTCATTCCCTTAATCCACAAGGAAAAGGTGTTAGTGAGTCTAATAGACAGAAGCAAAGGGCTAGAGTTTGAGAAAGGGTTCTGAACTGGAATCAGTTTAAATCCTGGCTTTGCCAATTTCTCCTTCTGTGACTTTGTACAAGCTGTTCTACTAGTTAGACCTCAGTTTTCTCATCTCTTCAAGGGAAGTAAGAAATTATTATGCTACAGAATTTTTATAAAGATTAAATAAGATAGTATATTAAAGCATGCACAATACCTCATAAATGCTTTTATAAAGAAAGAAATTCCAGCTAAGCATGGTAGCTCAGGCCCATAATCCCAGCTATTTGGGAAGCTGAAGTGGGAAGATTCCTTGAGGACAGGAGTTGGAGCCAGCCTGGGCAACACAGTGAGACCTCATCTTTTTTTTTAAAAAAAAAAAGAATGAAAGAATGAAATTCCTAAAATATGTTGAGCTGTTGAATGTTAATAACTCTGTGAAGGAAAGATTTTTCTCTGGAATCTTTTAGAAGGAGAAATGCTAACCAAAATTATAAGTATCTTTTCTTAAAATTTAATTTATGGAAAACCCTAGTGATTTTGGTTGGTTGCATGTCTTAGAGGATTTTGCATACTAGGGCAAGTGCTTTAAATATAATGTAACATGATCAGGTAAATGATTTGGCAATAGGCTGTCATGTTGTGCCACAAAAATTCTTCAATATTTAATTAAAAACTCAAACAACTCAAAATTCAAGACATGTTAAGAACATTAATTGGGGGTATAGAGTAGCTGTTGAAGGGCTGTGGCTGTCAGCTCCAAAGCCTGGTTCGTATTACTGGGAAGGGTTTAAACAAGCAGATCCAATTGCTGTAATAGACATCTATGGTTGCAGCAGAAAGTGCAGACATTAGTGTCCATTTTTAATATGCTGCCTGTTTCTGAGCTCCAGGATGGATCTTTTGGAGAGTCAGAAATGGAAGGAAATAAGAAGCTTGTCAGAGCTAACAGACCAGGACTCTCTGGGAAGTTCATGAAGGGTGGCTTGCAAATCTACAGGGGTTATAGCTGTGCAGAATGATATCTAAAGTTTTAGAAATACTAAATAAAATAAACTAGTCCTTTTAGTTTCTTATCCTATGTACAGTGCTAGCTCTGAGCTCGGGGATGAATCCACTGACAAGTGATTAATATAAAGAAGAAAAAACCACTGAAATCCAGACACATACAAAATTCTTCTTCTGCCTGTGTTTGGTCAAGAGTCACTTGGATAAGATACAGTCACTTGGATAAGACATGGCAATTGGGTCAAGTGTGGTCATGGCAAAAGCTGAGTTCCAGTTTATCTTATCCACCAGTGTGCTCTGTCATTTAAGGAATCCAGGAGGGAAGGGTGATTTGTTTTCTCAGATGCTGTCATTGTGAGCTAGGAATGGCAATTTCTTCCTCTCTCCTCATTAATGCAATTTGGTCAAGTCACACACAAAAATACCTGGCTGACTTATCTCCAGGTCTCCCTCCATCTACTCTGATCATAAGTAACTCTAGCACTTAACTCTTAACAAAAATCAGAAAAATAGGAACAAAAAAAAAATTACAGCTGGCACAGTTCTTTACAATGATCCAATCATCAACCCCCACACCTAATTTTACAAAGGAAAAAGAGGAGGACTATAGAGAGGATGTAATCACATGATTGGCTTCAGAAGAGAACCCAAACTAGAACTCCAAACTTGACCACCAGGCCAAAGCACTTTCCAGCCTTCATAGCTTGAGAAGTAGGATGCTCTGAATATGATAGGCTGAGTAGCAGGAAATAAAGGAAACTAGGAAAAGCCCACATAGAAAAAGCCTGAACAAGGGACATTTTCATAAAGAGCAAAATTCTAAGACAGCAAATAAATTTTATGTGCATGAGTATAATGTGAAAATGAAAGGGTTCTATAAATGTTGAAATGATATTAAAAGGAGAGAGCACTGATGGCTCTCAAAGGAGATGAATGGACCATAGATTTGTCTTGATGTTTCTTGTCCCAGAAAATTGATATGGTTTGGCTGTCCCCACCAACACCCAAATCTCACCTTGAATTGTAATACTCCCCACATGTCAAGGGCAAGGCCAGGTGGAGATCATTGAATCACAGGGGCAGTTTCCCCCATACTGTTCTCGTGGTAGTGAATAAGTCTCACGAGATGTGATGGTTTTATAAATGGGAGTTTCCCTGCACAAGCATTCTTGCCAGCCGTCATGTAAGAAGTGCGTTTGCTACTCCTTCACCTTCCACCGTGATTGTGAGACTTCCCAGCCATGTGAAATTGTGAGTCCATTAAACCTCTTTTTCTTTATAAATTACCCAGCCTCAGGTATGTCTTTATTAGCAGCATGAGAACAGACTAATACAAAAATCTAACACAACTAGTTAGGGAGAAAAAAAGTGTAAAGGAGGGACATTGAAAGTCTGTGTGGTCCTCCCCTCTCCATGAACTTGGTTCATTAGGAAACAGGCACCACTCTAGGGAGCAGTAAAGCTGGATTGAAAGATTCTGTTCTGCCTGCATAGGGCTTCTCAGATAGAAAGGGGGAAAAAATCAATGGAACTGAAAAGAAAATGACTATTTCAGTTTGTGCTTATGAAGAATTGCTGAAGATTCCAACTATATGATAATAGTTTTGAATCCTCTGGGACAGGCTGATCAGTTGCTACATCTGAAGCCTTCTTGTTGTCTATGAAACCTATCAAATCAAATAGCCAACAGGTCAGTCACCCTCTTAATGGGTCAATTCAATCCAAATGTTAACTGATGGAACATGATGAATATAGGCATTGTATTGCCTCATCCTCAAATTCAGGGCAATGCCATCTTCTCCTCATGGATGAATATCCCTGTGAATTATGTCATTTGGATGCGCTGATTCATGTTGTACATCCACCCAATGACTTTTTTTTTTAGATAAAGACTAAAATTCTGCAGCAAGCCAGTACTGAATGAGGAAGACCATTGGACTAGGTGGGTCCTAGACTAGACAAATCATGGAAAAATGTACTTTGGAGTAGCTGAGCATGGTGGGGCATGCTTGTAATCTCAGCTCCTTGGAAGGCTGAGGCAACAGGATTGCTTAAGGCCAGGAGTTTGAGACCAGCCTGGTCAACATGGTGAGACTGTCTCAAAAATACAAAGTATTTAAGGAGAGTGCCTAAGATCATAGGCTCCAGATGCAGACTACTAGTTCAAATCGTGCCGCCGCCTTTTACTTGTTCCATGAACAAGTTATGGAGCCTTTTGCTTTATCAGTTTCCTCATCTGTAAAACAATAATTCCTCTCTTATTGGAATACTGTGAAGATTAAATTAGGAAATATTTATGAAGGTCCTAGAAAAGGGCATAGCACAAAGTAAGTGCTCTAAATATTGATATTATGAATCTCATTAATATTAGTTCATAATGCTTAATATTATGACATATATAGAGGCCTGTTATAAGAACATGATGGATGGACATGTATAATTTCAACACATATACAGGAATATATAAATGTAAGATTATTAACAGTAACAGTAATAGAGGCAGTGATAGAGGAAATACTAGTAAGCAACCCTTGTGTGTGATTTAATCTCCCTAAAATACCAGGTAACAATCAGCTGGAAACTATGCATCACCTAGCTTTTATCTTGGGGTTTAGGAAGAGGGTTGTTGCCTTGCTGGCTCAGTAGGGCACAACAAAACAGCTACAAATATCATTGAACCCCTACCCTAAGCTCAGAGATGAATGAAATATAGACAAAATATGACTCATGTCATCAAGACCTATATAGAATAATGGGGGAAAGAACATATAAACCACTAGTCGCAGTCTGAAGAATAAGAGCCATATTGTTTTCTTAGAGAAACCTGCCCTTGATTCTTTTATGTCCCCTCCCTACCTTCTCTGTCCTCTCTTCTCTCTCTCCATCTAGCTTAGGCATCCTGACTGTGCATCCTTAAAACTCCATGTTCTTATCTTTTGTAGCCTTTATCACCACTGTAATTTAAAAATCATGTTTGCAATTTTGAGTTTAATACCTGTCCCACTTGTAATTTCCTGATACTCAAGACAGTGTCTGTACTTCTTGCTGCTAAAGCCTCAATGCTTAGCACAGTGCCAAGCACAGAAGTACTTTACAACTATTTTAGAAAGATGTAAGTAGAGGATGACGTCTGGTAGAACTGGGAAGAGACATGTGTAGGAGTAACTGGCTTTTGAAGGGTATACAGGAGTTCAGTGGGGGAAATGCACATTTGAACATTTAAAACAAAGGGAACATTCCCAAATAGCTAACCTGCCTGATTTGTTCCTAACAAATGGTTCTATTGTTTACCTGAAATGTGTAATTATTCTGATATTTTGGAGAGACGTTGACTAAATAAGATCAGCTGAGTTCTGGTACTGGGTCAAACACCTGAGTTCAACTTCTGTTTCTGCCAATTAGGAGCTTTGCATGCATCACTTAACTCATCTGGGCCTCGGCTTCCACATCTATATAGTGGGAGTGGTAACATTCACCCTGACAGAGCTGTTGTGAGAATAGAGCCAGTCCATGAGGAGGAAACCTTTAGTAAACTGCAAGCGTTATAGGAGATCTGCGTATTAGTATACTTGGCTACAACTGTATTTGCAAAAGTAATAACCACAATGATAATGATTTTTAAAAAACCAGCACTCGCCACTGCTGGTCCTAAAAGAAAGCCCCCTGGAAGACCCCTGAAGCAGCAGGTCAATGTGTTTTGCAAACCCAGATTCTCTGCTAAATAGCACATCAACAAGATAGAAACTTGTCAGCTTTCCCTCCCTCTGAATCTGGGCCAGTTTTGTTGCCCAAATTTTATGTTAAATAATAAAAGCACTGACATTAAATGCATTGCCACGAATCAACAACCTATTCAGGGTAACATATTATGGCACAGCGGTCCCAAAGCAATGTGTGTTTTTAAAAATATGCTTAAAACCGCAAGTGCTTTGTGTGGCTGCTTTGCAAAATCACTAGAGCTGAAGTATTTGTATTTTAATGTTTATCCCCAAACTGGCCTGCTGTTTTTAAATTGCCCAGGAAATGAAATGTTGAAAATGGAAGGAAACCAGCACCAGCTAGGTTTAGAAATGCAGCGTTAGTAAAGCAAGCTGTGGGGTTCTGATACCTTAACAGCACCATAAAATGCTCATAATTAAATAACTGTTCTTCTTAACACGACGATTCCTATTTTTCCCTCAGCCACTTTTGTGAAAGCATTTAATGTTCGTTCTTTCATTGCCAACTAGAGACTCTAGTAAAGAGGTAACTGGTTCCAGAAATTGTTTAAAAATGTCTTAATAATGGTGTCCTTTCCAAAGGGGAAAATGTATTAGAAAACAAAATCAGGGTTTAGATATTTCCTGTGGTTATTTTTATTGGCAGTTGGCCCATAAATAATGATTTATACAGAGGAATGTCCTGCCATGGAGCTGCTGCATGAACAACAGTGGCAAAAGCAATGACAAAATGCATTGTGATTATCAAGATCCCAGACACAATGGCAAAGCACGAGGCTACCAGCAGCTAAAAAGAAAGAGACAAGTTTGCTGGAGAACCATTAAATGGAGCAGCTTCCAAATAATTAAATGAAAGGAAGGAGGGGAATAGTACTATAAAGCTAGCTAGGATTTACAGTGCTCCTACCACGTACCAGCATGATTTAAACACTATTTTGAAAGCCTCACACCAGCTGTGTGAGATGACTGTAACTGAGGCTGAGGCAGCTTAAGGAACTATCTTAAGGTAGCACAGGTAGAAGATGGCAGATCTAGCGTCATGTTTCCTATCTGTGATTCTTATTCCTGTTTGTTCCCTACTATTCAATGAACAATATTAAGATAGTAATTTAAGCTATCAAAGACCAAAGGAAATGAGGAAGTGTTCCGAGACTGGCAAAATAAAAGGGAAAAAAGCTGTAGAATGGTATTTTTCACAAATATGATCCTAAGACACTTACCTCAGAATCAGCTCAAAAGCTTGTTAAAACTGGGAAAAAAAACAACTCAACTCATCCCACTTTAGACTACAGAATCAGAGTCTCCTGGTGTGAATCTCAAGGATATAAGCATATGCATTTTCCCCCAAGAAACTAAAGTAATTCTTACATACCTAGTGACCATCCATGATCACCAATGTGTTATACTTTGTTTTCTGTGCTTAACTGTACGGGAGTGTTGCCCAAAGAGATACCTCTCATGGCACTTTGTTTGGTGAAATATATTTTGAAAAAAGTTGGTTTATATGTACACAATTTTATTCCTCTCTAACTCATCCATTGTGTGAATAGATGAGCCCTAGGAACATGAGTTTAAGGTCATTGTAAATTTCTTTTCTATGATATGATGAACACTTATAAGAGGCAATCAGTCAGCATTCATGTTTCTGTACCCAGTGGTAAGTCTATTTTCAGCTCACACTCTAATCAGAAAGTAATTTTTCCCATAGGAGTGGTGTATTAATTATCTATTGCCATGTAACAAATCACTACAAAAACTTAATGGCTTAAAACAAAAAACAGATGGATATGAAGAGTACTATGCTGAATGAGAAAGTCAACCTCAAAAGGTCATATGCTGTATGATTCCATTCATATAACATTCTTGAAATAACAAAATTGTGGAGCTGGAGAAGAGATTAGTGATTACCAAGAATGAGGGATGGTATACTGGAGGGATATGGCTACAAACGGGTAGTGCAAGTAAGATCTTTGTAGTGATGGAAAAATTTTGTGTCTTGATTGCTGTGTTTTCATGAATCTATATACTGGGTAAAATGGCATGGAACTCTACACAAATATGGTACCTGGTTTTATTCATAGTTTTGATTTTTTACTACGGTTATGTAAGGTGTAACCATTGGGAGAAACTGGGTGAAGTGTATGTGAGACCCGTCTGCACTATTGCTGAAATTCCCTGTGAATCTATAATTATTTTAAAATAAAAAACTCAACAATTATTATCTCATTGTCAATCTTCATTGATCAGAAATGCAATAATGGGTGTGCCTCTGGCTCAAGGTCGCTCATGAGATTTTAGTGAAGCTGTGGGCTAGTGCTGTGGTTTCATCCAAACGCTCAATTGGAAGATAATCTGCTTGTAAGCTTACTCTTGGAAGGATTCAGCTCCTCATGGGTTGTTAGACTGAGAACCTCAATCCTCACTGGTTGTTGACTGAGGGAGTTCTCCCTCAGTTGCCACTTGAGCCTCCTCAAAAGTCAGCTCACAACTTGACATCTGGCTTTTCTTAAAATAAGTAAGAGACAGAAGGCAAGCACCCAAATGGCAGCCACAGTCCTTTGGAATCAACTTGGAGATGACATTTCATTATTTCTGTTATATTCTTCTTCTTATAAGTGAGGCAAAAAGCTTAGCCAACATTCAAGGGGAGAGGATCACACAAAGGCATAAACATCAGGAGGCAGGGATTGCTGGGCCCCATCTTAGAGGTTGTATATCACAAGAGCATGTTAAAAATATCTTTCTTTATGTCACAGTAAAGAGAAATGATAGAACACATAGAGTGATCATATTAGGGGAAGACTGTGATAGCTTTAGCACTGAGTTAAAATTCTGACGTTAGTAACTGAGGCAGTCAATTGGTATTTTTCAGTCTATTAAAAGAAGCCAGTCTCCAGAGAAATAACAATGTCAAAGACTATACAAAGAGGGACAACAGCAAACTAATAAGCAAATACCAAAGATTTCTTGCAAATAGTAGTAAAGGCCTTGGTATAAGGAATAGATATTATGGATATCTATTTCAGGATATGCCTAATTGTGCCTTTCCACATTAGGGAGGCTAGGACCAGGGTGGGGATACCCAACATGAGTACATCTCTATGCTTTGTTTGCTGGGATTGACCTCATGGGTACTGGTATCCACCACAGGAAGCATGGCAGTTTTCTACTTTATCAAGTGAGAAACATCTAAGGTCTCAGTCTTTCAGGCAAGAACCTTCTCCTCTAGGTTCCACTGAGACGAAAAACACCCTTTTCTATGGTCAGCATTGAACTCAAGTTGAGAACTGGAAAAGCTGTCCTGACACTGGTAGGCTAGATGGACCTCTGGTAGTTATGTGCCACACCCATGGGCTGCTAATAGAGTATTTGAGCTGTCCCTACAAGCCAGCCTTACAATGTGAGTACTCCATGGGTAAAGCTCTGTACAATTCTTTATCCTAGAGGGTGCCAAATCAACAATGTGATAGCCTCAGCTTGTTTTGTGAACCCAGAGCATAACCTAACTCTGAATAGCTTGCTTTGGAGTATTAAACATTGAGGAATAGCTAGGGAATTTCTACAGAAATGAATGTTGCCTGAAGTACTGGATTTATTATAGTGATCTTGATGGAAAGAAGCCAGAAGTATCATGGTGGTGATGAAAAATTGTATGCTTAAATGTGTGTGTGTATGTGAGAACATGTACATGCCTGATATCAGCCATTGTCCACCATCCCAGGTGGTGATGGGTAGGGTAAAAATGACCCCTATTTATCTCTCCAAGCACATCAACCGCTCCTCCTCTACTCTTGTACATTATGTTCCAACTCCTTTCACTTAGTTTCTCAGACATGCCATGCTTTTCCCAATCTCTCAGTTGGAACATCTCATATGATATTCCATCGTTTGTTTCTCTCATAGTCTTTATCACTACTTGCAATGTTTTTATTCAAGTGCTTACTTTTTTGTGAGGGAGGGAAGAAGGAGTTCTTTTTTCATAGGCTGTAAACTCTGTGTGGGTAGGACCACGAGCATTTTGCTCATCATTGTATTGTGGCATGTGTTAAGCATTCAACAAATAAACTAAGTACATTCTTAAGACTTTTGCACAATTTCCATTCTTCCAACATGAAAGGGCTGGAGAGTCAGGGATGGGTAGATAACCTACAAGTGAGCTGTCTATCCCAGTATAGAGGCACAATGAAATGGGTAGAACGTATAAAACCAAAGAGAAACAGATGGGGGGAACCAGTGAAAGATGAGGCTAGACATCCATTGTTTAAGATATTTCCCGAGCCAAAATGGAGGGCTCTGGCCTTGACTTTCCATGGTGGCAGGCATGATTGTGATAAGTTCATGTAAAGGGAAAGTGGGAGAAAAACAAATGACAATTCAGTTAAATTAGATTGTCCCCAAGCAGCAGAAACTAGTTTTGTATCAAGCTACATTGAAACAGGCATTAGGAATAGCAGGGGCACTTTCAAGTGTTGGCAGTTGTCAAGTGTGTTTAGCAATACTTTAGCTACTATAATCAGTGGCACAAAAAATCTAATGCACTGTAAAAACTCGAGACCTAAAAAGTTAACCTGTAGTATTGTTTCTAAAGTGGTATTTGTTAGAAACTCCTACTGCTGAGATCCATTTGTCTCAGGAAGAGGTGGTGAACCAGCATTTACCAGTGGCATTGCCACGCTAAAGAGCATACAGTTGTGTATCTTAGAGAAGGAGATTCAATTTCATTAGAGGCTCTTCCCATAAGGATCTATTTGAATATCCTAGGAAGTGCTAAACAGCATAACACTTCAGTGGAAATTTCACAATGGCAGAGAGAGAGAGAGAGAGCTGGTGCTCATCAATATCTTGTTTCTCTCTTTCTTCCCAGAAACTGTACTGAATGATATTTCCCAAAACCTTCTCATTTAGGTAGAGACATGTGCCATAGTGTGGGCAGAAGGGAGGATGGCCTCTTCCTGGACTGGCCCATAGAATCAAAGACTGGCCCATGGAAGACCATGCACAATAGATCCTTCATTTGCTTGTGATGTGAATGAGAAACAAACTGTTATCATGCTAATCCATGGAGATATGGGGATAATATTTGCAGTAGTTAACCTGCTCTAACTAATATAGCCATTGTTCTACAAGACAAGGTCTGAAATCAAGGATGTTCCAAAATATCTGATGGCTCTGAGGACATGCTTCATTGCCTTGAATACAGGAACTCACTGCAGGATGATCTCCAGGTTATATTTACAAACAGAAAATAGCTTAACCTAAGAGAGTGAAAAGAGGCAATTCACACTTTAACACTATCAGCAGGTAACTCATGGTTTTATGTATGTGTGTGTGTAGGTGTGTGTGTGTGTGAGAGAGAGACAGAAAGAGGCCAAACCACTAGTTTGGTTAAAATGCATACATTTTACAATATTTGGTCACAGGCTAATCAGTCATAATATTTCATACCCTTGTTTATATGAAAAATTAGAGTTGCATTGAATCTGAGATTCAGGGATAGCTTTACACTCACACAAGACTTCCATTCAGTGCAGAAGGGTCAGTGCTAAGATAGGGGGAAACAGGCTGAAAAAGGAGCCTGCTTGGAACAGATTTAACTCATCTTGCACAGGAGGGAAGGGCTAATGTCAAGGAAGTCTTAGCAGTGGATGTTCTTGATGAGTGGTAATAATGAGCAATGTATGTTCTTGACGAGTGGTCAGGTTCCTTGAAAGCTGAGCCTGAGATAGGGATTCTTGTGCAAGTGAGTTATTGAAGCTGTTCTCCCCAAGAAATCTGTGGGGAACTGGAAGCAAGGTAAGGCAGAGGAAGAAGTAAAGGAAAGATATGGTTTGGAGGGAAGCCTAGCTACATCCCGATCTCATGTAGAGTTCTGAGGCATGAATGGTACCACAGGGTTGTCTCACCTTGAGGCATCAGTGTGTCATTCGCTGTAGATTGCTGTCTGAAATGGAGTGTATAATTCCCAGACATTTCTGTGCAAGGCGATTCCCATGGACCAATGGCAATTCTCCAGAGAAGGATAAAGCTAGGAATTATTAGTTGCCAAAACTCACTATGTCTGGAAGATGGGTGCAGTGCCCCTGTAAAGGGGATGTGGATGGGGCCCCAATCATCTGCTCCAGTCTCCTGCTTGCATTGCTCATATCTGCTTGCTTTTCACAGTATGTTTAGCCCATTCATGCAAAGCTTCTCTAGGATTCTAACTGATTACATGTCTGGGGAAATTTAATGCTGGGCATTGGTGAAGCTTATATCCCAAGGCTATAATTGGTATCCATCATCTCCCTCCTTCACCACCCCTTCTGAGTCCCCTTTCCTCTAAGCTAGCACCTCTGCTGGGCAAGATGGTTTGTCTGGTAGGGTCACCCAGAACTTCATCCTTGAGGAGTTTAAGCCTCTGGCTCCCAGGTCCTTATCAAGCAGTGGTTTCTGTCCCTGCCTGTGTACAACTAAAACCGAGGATAGGAGTACCAAGGTGAATTCCTGAGTTCTAGTGAATTCCTGAGTTCTAAACATATTTTTCACTGTCCTTATTCTATAGCAGAAGCTCCATATCCTCATGATAATCCAAGTCAGTTAACTTTGTCCACATGTTAACCCCTTTCTATTGCTGTTGGTCTACTAATACAAGGAGCCCAAAGTGATCTGGCAGAAGCAATAGTCTTAAGTTTAGTGGGAGTCTTAGTGAATCCCTGATGGAAACGTTATCTCTGGGAACAACAAACTCTGTAACCACACAACCTAAAGTTACAGAGATGAGAAGCACAAATTCCCATCTAGGTCTCTGAAAGTGATGGAGAGCATGACCATTTCTACTTCATCCCTTGGTTCCTGGACCTCTGTATATGCTACTTCTTGAACACATAGGATCATGCCACTCTGTACCTTTGCCCTGGAATTTGATATTGCTTTTTAATTACTGTCTTGGCCAAGAGGGTTCTGCCTACTTCTAAACATGCCCATTCTAATGATACATCTGTGAACTGAGCAAACATTCAGTTCTAGGCTTCCTGTCAGACACACTGAGATTACCCTGAACCAGGAGTTTACTCATTATTGGTTCCCCATGAAACTTTAATCTTCCATGTAGGCCATGATGGCATTTTGGTTCTCCAGGTTCAGTATTAAAACCAGTACACAACAACCCTCAAAAGATCTGGATATTTCCACTTCCCCAGCATATTGTTACTCAAGGAAACAGCTATAAGCATTCTGGGGAAGGGCTGCATGTATTTGCTGTGGTGTTATAGAATCCTTCTTCTCCTTCAACTGATGGGTTGTAGATTTGAGAATCAGCTCAGCTCTAGAAAATAGGCAAAGGATCATGAATTTCCTCTGGGGCAGCTGACCTCAGCATTCTTTTTTCCATCCTTGATTCCTTTTGATTATCTACATTAAGGAATACCTTTGTTGGTTGCCAATCTATTTTGCTCTTTAAAATACCATTATCTATTAGCCATATCTATAAATCCCCATGGTTTAAGGCCATGTGGCAGCAATTTCAACCTGGATGCCAGTAAGGTAGTTGTGCCCATCTTCTTCCTGGTGATTGAGTGATGCCACCTGGCTTCTGCCACTCTGGACCATCATCACCCACATTGCTGGCAGAAAGGCCAGTTTTATAACAGCATTGCCCATTGTCAGTCCTGATTTGCAGAGGATAGACACAAATGAACTTTTCAACAATGCTGCTGTCACTAACACCAGAACCCTGAAAAAACAAGTTGTTCCTTCGGCCCTCTAAAGGAGCAAAGGCAGATGATGATGGATTCTGGTCATACCCAGTTTTGCATGCTTACTTCTCTGAGCCTTTTGATTCTTCTCTCCATACTCTGTGCCTAAAATTCTGGAAACTCTACTGCATTTAACATGACCATTACTTTTTCCAGTCTTTGAGAACCACCCCAGCAGGGTATCAGGTACAGTTCTTGGGCCCTTACCAAGACGTAAAGTCCTGTGTCAGGGAAGGTGTTGCCATATCCATAAATTATTCCTTTCCAGCTTTTTATCCCTGACAATACCCTCAAGATCCTCTCCCAGGCTTAAATTTTCTCCCACTGATGCCCTGATTTTGCACGAAGGGTCTTATCAAAACTGAGAATCGCATCCCCTCCTGAAGTTTTCCAACTCTTACAATTATGCTGTGGGCTTGATTTTCAGCATAACTGTCTCTCCAGCCACAGAAGGTGAAGGTCTTTTTAAACAGCATCAAGGAGGCTTTCTGAAATTCACACCTTGCGTCACACTGGTGATCAATCTACCTAAGTCTGCATTTTCTCTCTTCATAAAGTAGCTACGCAATTATATAGTCCTTATAATTACCACTTCCTCAATACTTCTCAAAGTCCAGGGATAATGCACAGAAGCCAGTGTATGCCCTTCCACCTGTATTCTGACCCATTTCATTCTAGGTGAAAAATTCAGGTGCAGCTACACATGCCAGGGACTCTCAATAATTCATCTGTCTCTGGGGATGGGGCTTTCATTACCATACAGAGCTGACGATGGGGACTCCTGTGCAATTAATTTATTAAGAAAGTGCTCTCAGGAGAAACCTTTAAAGAAGTGAGGATGCAGGATATGATGGGGGAAGAAATTAAGCAAAGACAACATTAGCTGAAATCTAGTCTACTCCTGTTCACACAGGGAGCTCTGGTCACTGACAACACAGAATTGCTCCACTTTGAGCCAAGGGGTCCAGACTTTCGTATGTTTGGATCATTACGTCATTGGCTATTGGCTACCCACAAGGAGGGGTTATGTAACCTTCCAGACATCCACAGGTGAGGTAGCTCCTGGGAGCTAGGGCAATTTTCAAGAGAAAGGTACAGCCATGTGCCCTTAGAAGTTAACACTTACTAAAGCTGGAGGATGAGCGCACCAGCCTTATAAAGGGATCTGGGCAAGGTGCCACTAGTTCTATTATAACAAAATAGGTCTCTATAGGCTGAGTGGTCCAGAAAAAGCTTCCATAATTTTGGAGAGCCTTAAATGCTGCCTGAGAAGAGTAAGTGTTATGACCGTGGTCTTTGGTGTGTCAATTAGTTTGTTGATGCATTAGTTTATGCATTTATTCAGCAAATATGTTTTGCATGCCTATTATGTACCAGACATTGCCCTTCTAGGCACTGTGTAGACAGCAATGAAACATGAAGACCTGGTTCCTGACCTTAAAGGGCTTACGACCTAGCGAGGGAAATAATTACAGCACCAATGGTGTTTCACTGTGTATGTTTTAGCAATTGCCAATTAAATGATATGCACTCAGAAAGAAAAAAAATTAACCATTTAAATGGAGTGAGCTCTTTTGTCCTACGTCAACTCAGTGAATACATTCTCTGAATGCAGTAGAAAATGGGAGATGCGAAATAGCTGTTTTCTCAATCTGAACCTAACCTAATCAGAACCTAACCAGTTCAGTAGATATAACTCTACTGAAATAATTTTTTTTAGTTTAATTGTTAAAGTTGGCTTATTGCAACTACTGTTTCTAAAAAATAAGAATGCAGACAGTGAATGGAGGGGTACTCAGTTCTAGAAGCTTTTGAGTATATACAATGTGTGTAGTTTGATGTAAAATGTCAGCTGGATCTAGATTTCCATAATTTATCTACTTTTTATAGGTGCCTACAAGCCCCAGAATATTATTGCATTAACCTGCATTTTTTGTTAAGAATAGCTTATGTGAAGCAATTTGAGCCCTTAAGTAGGCAGACTTTGAGTAGGGGAAATGCTAATTCATTTAAGAGACAGCATACAAATAACCCTTCTTAGGTTTATCCAAGCCCAGACTGATTTGCTGATTCTGGGTCCTTGGCTTCTGTTTTCCACTGGAGGAAGAGAGCTCAGTCTTTATATTGATTGGTTAAGGACGAGCTTGAGTCAGCTGATATGCAGCAATGGCAGTATTGAGTTGTTGAGTTGTATTTGTGGCTTGCCTAGAAATGAAAGCTTTTTATTGTATTATTGTAAGAATGGGTAATGAAAGCAAGTAGTCATCGAAGTTATTGATGGCTTTGTGTTTTGAATCAGTTACTAGGGTACACAGGGCTAGTTGATTTGCTAGATTTAGCCATAAAGTATAAATAAGAATTAATTGGTGAAATGCTTGTTAATAGATCATAATAATGCATTCTTTCCTTGTCTGTTGGAGAACATTTCAGCCTTTGAAAAGGAATTTAGGAAGATCAATACTGTTTGAAGCACATTCTTACAAAAAAAATCCATCAGGGTCAGAGAAACTATGGAGTTACATGACATCTACTGACGGTAGAGAATATCACAATTCAGGCTGCACTGAGAGATTATCTCCCCCACCTATAAATATTTGTAACAAATATCTGCGTGTGGAAATATTGTGGCTCTGGTCTGTGAAACTGGAAACCTAGTGCCCGAAATTCCCTAGTCAGCTCTTACTCATGCTGGGGATTGGATGGGAAGTGGTTGGGCCCAGGAGCTAGTGTTCAATTTAACTTCTTTCATGCTGAAGGATGATGCTAGCAGCCTGCCTCCAGCCTTGCCAGAGAGCAGCCTGCAAGAGATTTGTGGGCTGTATTGTACACAGGAGCAAAACACATCACTGTCTTTCTACTACAGGGTGCTGCTTGCTCTCACAAAGCAGAAATCTAGCATAACTCAGAAAAAGCTCTAGATCCATTGTAGCTAGGCAGAGAAAAAGAAATTCCCAAGATAGGGAAGGGATTAAGATTCTTGCTATATCCGTTATCCATTGCCACAATAATGCTGTATAAAAACAACCACAAACCTCAGTAGCATATATTAATAAACACTAAATTTTGCTCATGCATCTATGGGTTGGTGAGGTGCTGTTGCTAATCTGGGTCAGGTCTAGCTGACCTCATCTAGGCTCACTCATGTGTTTGTGGTCAGCTGTCAGATCAGCTGGGGCCTGGATGTCTATGATGGCCTTGGCCGAGATACTTTGGCTTTGTTTCATATGGCCTCTCATCCTCCAGCAAACTAATGTAGGATTGTTCACATAGTGAGGTCGGGCTCTAAGAGCATCCAAGGCCTGTTGAGGCCTAGGCTTGGACCTGATAGGGCTTCACTTTCCCTGCATTCTGTCAGCTGAAGCAAACCACAAGGGCAACCTAGGTTCAAGGTTGTAGGAAGAGCTTCAAAATCACATATAGGCCAGGTGCAGTGTCTCACGCCTATAATCCCAGCACTTTGGGAGGCTGAGGCGGGCGAATCACTTGAAGTCAGGAGTTGGAGACCAGCCTGGCCAATATGGCGAAACCCTGTCTCTACTAAAAATACAAAAATTAGCCAGGCGTGGTTGTTCATGC
Source organism: Homo sapiens (assembly GCF_000001405.40). Taxonomy (NCBI): domain Eukaryota; kingdom Metazoa; phylum Chordata; class Mammalia; order Primates; family Hominidae; genus Homo; species Homo sapiens. The sequence continues at coordinate 117,592,208 of NC_000008.11, read as the reverse complement.
CTGTAGTCCCAGCTACTTGGGAGGCTGAGGCAGAAGAATCTTTTGAACCTGGGAGGCCGAGGATGCAGTGAGCTAAGATCGTGCCATTGCACTCCGGCCTTGGTGACAGAGCAAGACGCCATCAAAGAAAAAAAAATTACATATAAGGGGCACAAATTCAAGAAGGAGTGGAGAAGTAGAGCCATTTTTGCAATCAATTTACCATACCCAATTGTGCATAAAAGTTCCAGGTTAAAGGACAATTTATCGCTGAATGATTCATGATGAACCTTCAAAGCTAGATTAGACCTATGTGAGAGGAATCAGTACTTCTGTGTCAGTCCTTCCTGAACTGATTTTATAGAGTGGCCACCCTCTGACACAGTCAGAATTTGTCTTTGGTATCCTGGTTGCTCCTCTTTGATCTATCCTTCAGTTATTTTCCACTTTTCATACCTGCTCTCCAGCTGTTTTTAGGAAAGAAGCTTATAACTTATTTCCCACTGGGGTATAAATGATGGATAAAGACAAAGTGCATTGAGTCTCACTGTGCTTTTTCATAGCGTGAACCAAAAGGAATTGAGTGACAGGGGTAGAGTTTTAGGCATTGGACAATAAGCTGGTGCTGGGCAGGAAGTGTTCTTCTTCTGGAATTGCCTCCCTGTAGAAGAGCAGGACTGTGCTGCCAGAGATCTGAGCTCAAATAAGGCTAAACTGCTCAGTAGATACATAGGTTTTGGCAATTTACTTAACCTCTCTGAGTCACTATCAATAAAATAGGAATAATAATATATGCATTAAGGCTTCATGTAAAATTCAATGAGGTAATGTAACAGGCTCTTTGCTGTGTCTGGAAAAAAGCAGATTGATAGCAAAGTTCATTCCTATATCACCCCATCTCATATGATCCTCTATCTTCGTCTCAATGTGAAGGACTGACTCCACTGCTCTAGCTGAGGGTAAGAGAGGTAAGCCAGGGTAAGAGAGAGCAGCAAACCTAAACTGGGTATCCCTCAAATGGCAGACACTGTGTTTATTGGTCATTGAGGATATAAATATGTCTATGGAATGGTCCCTGCCAGGAAGGAATTTATGATCTAGTGGTACATAGGAGTGAGACCAGGAACTTGCTCCTCTGGCTAATGAATCCAGTGCTCCATCCCTACTCTCTGACTTTTTCATGACCTTCTCTAAGAACCTGATTGCCTAGAGAAGAAACTATCCCACACTAAGAACTGGCCGAGCCAGTTCACGGGTTCAGCAATGGGCAGAACCACAGAGGTGGAAGAGATCTGTCAGATGAACATGAGTTAACAGGGTAAAGTTCCTAACAAGGTGCCTAGGACACAGTAGGTCTTCAAAACACTAGCTCTCTTCTTTCTCGTCGTGGCCTCAGCTGAGGCCCAGGAATGTCAACTTTATTATTGACATTCCAATATAATAATTCAAAGTTAAAAAGTACCCAATTACTCAAATAATTGTGAACTCCTTGAGGGCAAAAACTTTAATTTTTCTCCTGAGTGTCATTAACATCTGTTTCACGTATATGCACGTATATTTTTTAAAAGATATATTATTCTAAAGAGTATAAGAAAGTTCCTTTGTGGTGATGGAATGATTTTTTATCTTGATTTTGGTTGTGGTTACACAAACCTATACATGTGACAAAACAATACAGAAGCACACACACATATCCAGGCAAGTATGTAAAAACTGGTACAGTCTGAGCAAGTTCTGTAGATGGTACTAACATCAGTGTCCTGGCTTTGATATTTCACCATAGTTATGTAAGATATTCCCATTGGGAGATGCTGAGGAAAGGGTACACCAATTTCTCTGTATTATTTTTGAAACTTCCTTTGAGTCTGTAACTATTTTATTTTATTTTACTGCTGTTACCAATTCAGTATCCTTAACCCACTATTTGTGTATCTTTCTCTCTTGAGGAATCCGGGTTTGCTTACCATTATGTCTCCAGGTCTAGTCTGGCGTTCAGCAAGTGGTTTTCAAATTATTTAATGAACACTTGCATGAACAGCTACACGAATAAATAAATAGACAAATCTGTTTTTGAGCAATCTAAGGCTTGGCTTAATTAATTAAGGCCAATTAATTAAAATTAGTTAAGGCCACTTGCCTAAGTTCACACAGTTGGTGGTGGCTGCAGAATTTGCTGGTACCCCCTGCTCCCTAGGAGATGACTACATTAGGAAGGCAGATCAGTTACCCAATGTCTGATGACTTTGTATTAAACTGAAATGACTGCCCACTCTGACTGTTCTCCATGGGACAACATTTATCTGAGATTAAAGTGAAGCAAATGAAGCCTTGCTCACGCTGTAGATTTTCTCTTCCCCCTAGAATGGTCTGTGCTTATCTATGGCAGCAGGACCAGCTGCCCTGATGTGGGAAAACACCCCAGAGGGAAAGCTTGCCCTGAGGTTTCATCAACTGCCACTGCCTATGCATGGTCATTTTAATAATATTTCCCATTTAACTTTCCATCCACAAAACACTTCACCGCCATTAACTAATTACTCTTTTCTGCTCAGAGTTGATAGCTGTCCAGTGTGCTGCCTTTACATATTTAACTGTGTTCAGAAAAGGACAAAAAGAAAACCCACTAATTGTCCAGGCGAGTGCATGACATCATCAAATACCAGACAGCACTTTCCATTTTCCTCTAACCAGGATTGTGTTGCTTTGCAGAGCAAAGCCCAGGGATGACAGGAGATGCTACAGGAAGCTGAGATATGTGACCACATGGCCATTGTATTCCCAGCTTAAAACCACTCAGTGGTGTTCCTTTGCTTTTAAAAAGTGTACCTTTCTCACCAAAGCTTGCAAGATTTTAAGTTACCTGGTCTCTGCCTCCTGTACCCCTCTTTTCCTGTGCTGAGCACCCCATTGTTTTCTATACTCTGATCATGTTGGTCTTTTCTGGCTCCCCACATTCTCCTTGTCCCTTCCCACATACGTACGGGCCCTTTCCCAGGCATGTCCTTCTTCCTTGTCCTTCCCTTCTTACCACCTTCTCAGATTCCAGCTATAATACCAAGTTGTCAGAAAATACTTTCCTGATCCATCCTGGGCTAAATTAGGATACCCTATTTTACACTCTCAGAGTACTTGATAATTCTTTTCTAGCCATTATCATAAATGTATTTAAACAAAATGAATTATATAACTCACTGTTTATTGTCTGTCTTCTTCTCTATTCTGTAGGCTCCACGAAATTCCGTGGCACTAGTACAAGTGAATATTGGCTGAAAAAGTGAATCAGTGAATGAACCAATGAGTTAATATCATGGATTAAGAAAGAGGGTGGGAGGAGGTGGGTAATGACCTCCAAAGCAATATCTCATGCCTCCTCTTAAGCTATGGAGTCAGCTACCCACAGAGAAGTTAAAAGCCTTCCCCAGAATCTTTACCAGCGATAAAGGCCATGAAAACCGTAGATGCCTTGTGCTATTATAGATTGCTGGAGATGAAGTTAACCTAAAATTTTAAGGGAGAATGAAGAAAAGGAAAATGCAAGCTATCATTTTAAGCCACCTCTTCATGATTCCAGAGCTCCTAGCCTGAGTTAAATGGGGTGACTAATATTCTTACTTTTAATTCCCTACACAGTAAAAGAAAAATCTCAGGTATAGGAATATAACTTTTTGATGTGAGTTTAATAGAGTCATTTGCACTTTGAGTGAAAAAATATAATGCTTATCATATATACAATATAAAGTATATTTTTCTTGAACTGGCCCTTACATAAAAAAATTGTTCACTAAACTCCATAGCCTGACATTTTTGTTTCTTCCTGACATCACTTGCCTTCTTTCAAGCCTCATTTTGCATCTTAGAAATCCTGCACTGAGTTCTGTACAAGGTCACCTGTGTCACAGAGGGCCTTGTTTTTTTAAAAAAAAACTTCTAGGTGTTTTATCTTCCCGAGTCTCAAAAATCCAGTTTTGCTTCCACAGAGGATTTTTCTGACAAGAGTGGGTTCTGTCTCATGTTTATGCCAGCTTTTCTTTCTGAATGCCTCATATGAAGTATAAAAATATAAATAGAAGCATGAATAATAATATTAACATATATGAATGTCTTAGCCTGTTCAGGCTACCATAACAAAATGCCATAGACTGGGTGGCTTAAAGAACAGAAATTTATTTTCTCACAGTGCCAGAGGCTGGAAGTCCAAGATCAGGGTGCCAGCATGGTCAGGGTCTGGTGAACACTCTATTCCTGGCTTCCAGACATTCACTTTCTCACTGTGTGCTCACCCAGCGTTTCCCTGGTGTGTGTGTGTGTGTGTGTGTGTGTGTTGGGGGGGGGGCGGGGGTACGCGCACATGAGCATGCGCGCATGTGCACATGTGTAAACATAGCTAGACTTCTCTCTCTCCTTCTAAGGCTACCACCCCATCAGGTTAGGACTTCTCCCTTATGACTTTATTTAACCTCCTAATTAACTTCCTAAAAGCCCTATCTGCAAATACAGTCACAGTGAGCTAGGACTTTAACATATGAATTTGGGGGTGGGGACAAATTTGATCCATAGCAATGGATAAGCATTTGAAGTTTAATAACAAATTCTTATTACATTCTATTTTTATTTGTTTGAGATGGAGTCTTACTCTGTCATCCAGGCTGGAGTGCAGTGGCGCCATCTTGGCTCACTGCAAGCTCTGCTGCCCAGGTTCAAGCAATTCTCCTGCCTCAGCCTCCCAAGTAGCTGGGATTACAGGCACCAGCCTACACGCCTGGCTAATTTTTGTATTTTTAGTAGAGATGGGGTTTCACCATATTGGCCAAGCTGGTATCGAACTCCTGACCTCAAGTGATCTGCCTGCCTCGACCTCCCAAAGTGCTGGGATTACAGTCACGAGCCACTTTGCCTGGCCTCACTACATTCTTTATGTGGTTTTACTCCATTATATATTTCCAAAGGATTCAAACACACTATTTTATTTGATTAGAGATTGATGTTTATGCATTTCAGATTTCAAAACACTTAGAATTAAAAGAGATAAAGTGACTTTTCAATGTCATAAGGCAAAGAAGTTGCAAGCCAGGGACTTGTATTAGTCCGTTTTCACACTGCTGTGAAGACGTACCTAAGACTGGGTAATTTATAAAGAAAAGAAGTTTAATTGGCTCACAGTTCCACGTGGCTGGGGAGGCCTCAGGAAACTTACAATCATGGCAAAAGGTGAGAGAGAAGCAAAGGCATGTCTTACATGGTGGCAGGTGAGAAAGAGTGAATGAGCAAAGGGGGACAAGCCCCTTATAAAACCATCAGATCTCATAAGAACTCACTCCATATCGAGAACAGCATGGGGGAAGGCGCCCCCATGATCCAATCACCTCCCACCAGATCCCACCCTCAGTACGTGGGGATTATGGGGATTACAATTTGAGATGAGATTTGGGTGGGGACACAGGCAAACTATGTCAGGACTAGAGCACTGGTTTCCTGATTCCCTATCCAGAGCTCTTTTCAGGGACACTCTGATTCCCAATCTTATTTGACCATTGCACCACTTTTCTCAGAATACCAATACTTTTAGGAATACCTTTAGGATAATCCATATCTAATTTCATAGCTGTGAGACTTGTGGGAAGAGGCTAAACTGGAATTCCCCCAGGAAACTGAACAAGAAACAATGAGAATCATTGGTGGTTCAGGGAGCCCTGCTGTGTTTATGAGAAATAGGCAAAGCTGTTTTTAAGATCTCAGGTTGTATATTAGGGTTGGCATTACTAGTAGGAAGGTGTGATTTGTGGCACTGAGAAGGCCCTTCTTTGTTCAAAACTGTCTTCCTTTTATCTAGCCATGCTGCCAGATAGTCCACCAGTAAAAAAGATTCTGTTCTATTCCAGACCTTTATACACAAGGGTCCCTACTTTAATCTCTTCTCATTCAATAAGAACCTGTATCCTTTTCCTGAAATTCTGCTGCTTCCCTTCATTACTCCCCCTCTTAACCAAGGCTCCTGATCACCTACCACATCTGCCTTAATGGCCTTCTACGGATGGATGCACTATTTCTTTCCAACTTTAATTTTTGGCATTTCTCAGCACATTCAGGGAACATTCTGAGTTGCATACCTTTGCCCAGGGCAGAGATGTGCCTATGACTAGCACTTGGTAATTTCACTGAAATCTAAACTTCCCTCTCCTCCCAGTACATAGTCCCCACCTCAGCAGCTTTTGTCACCCCCTCCCCTCCTATGCCACATGCATTGCTCAGTGCTCAGAAAATGATGCCTTTTGTCATTTCAATGGGCATTGGCTGACTTGACCCAATAAATCCCTTCCTACAGTCAGAATGAGACCACAGTAGAGTCCTGGCAATCCAAGCAACACTCATTTGATAACTGGTGGCACTGAATTCAGCTTTCTCTGCATATAGATATGAGGTTCTATAAACTGAATTTACCTATTCACCAAAAAATTACTGAGTACTGCTATGCCCCAGGCATGTTGACTTTCATTTGGGATATAAAGAAAAATAAAGCACAGTCCCTGTGCTCATAGAGCCTGTGGGCCTAGTGGGAGAGACAGATGTTTAGACAGCTAATTACAATTCTTACAATTCACTATGCTGTGTGCAGAATTAGGGTTCTTCCTTTATAAATGAGTGTTGTTGGTGGTGCAAGCTGGCCAGTACCTGTTTCATCCATTTACCAAATGCATAATGGGCATGTGTTTTATGCCAAGTATTTGGTTAGACCATAAGAATACAGAGACAGAGGGCTCCATCTTTGCAGCTCAGTGTCTTTTTTTTTTTTTTTTTTTTTTTTTTTGAGACGGAGTCTCGCTCTGTCGACCAGGCTGGAGTGCAGTGGCGGGATCTCGGCTCACTGCAAGCTCCGCCTCCCGGGTTCACGCCATTCTCCTGCCTCAGCCTCCCAAGTAGCTGGGACTACAGGCGCCCGCCACCACGCCCGGCTAATTTTTTGTATTTTTAGTAGAGACAAGGTTTCACCGTTTTAGCCGGGATGGTCTCGATCTCCTGACCTCGTGATCCGCCCACCTCGGCCTCCCAAAGTGCTGGGATTACAGGTGTGAGCCACCGCGCCCGGCCTCAGTGTCTTTTTTGAGGCATGGATGAGGCTTGGTTACATGGCACATGAATCTCTGAATGCAAAAATTTCTAATCTAGAGACTTGGGTTATGAATGCGAAAGGAACAGATTTAGTAGAGTTTTCAGATCTTGCCCAAAGATGCAATGTTATTTATATAACTCACAGGAGAACATAATGGTTAAGATCACAAACTCTGCAGTCAGACTGTCTGAGTACCAAGCCTGGCCCTGATTTTGACTGCTGTGTGACCTCAGGCATGTTATATAACCTCTCTATGCCTCAGTATCTTCATCTATAAAATGAAGACAACAATAGCACCTACTTCACAGCATTGTTGTGAGTGTCAAGTGAATTAATTTATATTAAGTGCTTAGAACGATGCCTGGCCTAAAGAAAGTTCTCAGTAAATTGTAGCTATTGTTATTAGTATCAAATTATGCTTGCACAAAGTTTCCCGTTACATAATGGCTCTCCAGTGGAACAGGGGAGATGCCAAAAGCATTATTAGAGCCTTATTCAGACTTGGTATTCACTGGTATTCTTTTCCTTTCCCAATCCCAAAGTGTGTGTGAAATTGGCTGTTAAATTTTGCACTCGTTTGAATATTGGCTTCTTACAAAAGGATTGAGCTCTGAATTCTAGTTTGGTTTTCTCTGAATCTTCTATATCCTGAGACTCTTTAGTTAACCTCTACTAGCCTCAGTTTCCTAAAATGGAGATAAAACAGCTAACCTTCCTGTGAAACCCAAATAATACTAGACACGAAGGTATACCCACCTGCTTCTGAGTCCCTGTCCAGCCTCTCCTTCTTCCTTCTAGGGAACCAGAGGTGCAGAGAAAGTCCAGTTGGCCTCTTGTGGGCGATAGCCTTTCAGGCTCCATGTAGGAAGGGCCCATGCTCATTTGTCCTATCTCAGTTCCTTGAACTGGAAGTGTCCACAAGAGACTGAAAAATGTAAAAATAAAATAAAAACTATTTGCAAATAATGTATTTCCTCCTATAAATTACATATTTCCCAGATTGCTAAATAGTTAAATTAACCATTATGACCAGTTACCAGCAGCCTGCCAATCCCTTCTCACCAAGTCAGGGTCTTAGCCTTGTTCCTGTGACTTCTTGATCTTGAGTTTCTTTTCTCTTCTTTTTTCTCCACATGTATAAGAAGGATACTTCTTATCTCCTTCTGGGTTTATCCAGTACGCAGATTTTGCTCTCCTAATTGCCTGTCTTCAGGCATTCGCTTTCCTTTTACCTGTGTGCTTTCTTATCCCTCCTGTCATTGGCCTTCCCCAGCCTTTGTCCCTCTCCAGCCCCTATGCGCCCTGTGTGTTGCCTTCTTGGTTCAGCTTTGCTTTGCTGCCTTTGATTCCATTTGCCTCCTCATTTCCTTCTGGACTGTTTTGTGATTCTAGGCTTGATCCCTATGACACAGCTTATTTTCCAACCTTCTCTGAGGTCCTTCTTGGCACAAAGACTGTCTCTTCAGTGGTCATTTGTCCCCCAAGGGCAAGACATATATCACTGGCTTCACAGCTAAACCCATGCCCTGGCGACCAAGTCCTTGGGTAACTTCTGTTTGCTGTACTCATTTATCTTAACAGGGTGGGGTTATTTTTTGGGATGGAATAAACTAGTTTCCTAGAAATAGTTTCCCAAGTAAACCCTTACCAAACCAAAGCACATACTTTACCTGAGATGCCCATGACAGCCTTACAATGACTCCTTAAAAAAGGCTGACAGAAATCAAAGAATCCAGTCAGGCCAGAAGCAGCAAGAGCATAAAGCCCTCCATACTTATAATCCTTTCTTATCTATTCTGTATGGTTTATGAAACACATTTTGGACACAAAAAGGTATATCTGAGTATAGTTGTTTTGTCCACAGAGAACCATATTTTTTTTTCCAAGAGTACACCTGGGGTAAGAGGAAGAAACAGAGGTACAGAAAATATTTGAAAGGAAAAATGCAAGCATCCTCCATTTGACTCTTGCTCAAAAATGGAATTTCTCAGCTTTGGAGAAAGTACCCAGTGTTTTGACTTTACAGACTTTCAAATAAGAGAAATATATACATACTCTCTATTGACCTAAGCCTGCTATTAATAAAGCAAGTGAATTATAATAAAACCTAATAATGTATTGAGCATGTATTAGGTACCTGGTACTTACCCCAAATCTATTTATCTATTTATATAGTAATCTAATTTAATATTCACAGAAACTAGAATGAGGGTTAGGGACCTTTATTATTTTTACTTTCAGTTGAGGCAACTGAGGCACAAAGAGGTAAATTAAACACACTTAAATGGACAATGGTCACGGGTGATGCAGCAAAGATTCGAATCCAAACATTTGGCTTCCAGAACATGTCTTTCCAACTCTCTGGAAGGCTTGACAGTCTTCCTAGGCTCACACTTCCTGATGTAAGCTTGCATTTTACTTAGAAAACTGCTGTCACTCTAGCTGTAAATTCAAATCCTCTCAACTGGCCTTGGCTAAGCAGTAAGGCTTATGGGTACTCACTCTGAAGAGATCTGACAGTGTGCCAGCAGGCAGAGCTTGTCTGCTCAGCTTTGCTTACTTAAAGTTGAAGAAGGGGCTGACTGGGCTGGCCTATGTTATTTTTATTTTGTCTTGTCATGTTGGGGTACCATATCCCACAGTGTGATGCTGTGATGTGGGAATAGACAACCAGTCCCAAGGTCCCCATGTGGAGGTTGCCCAACACACCATCTTCAAGACATCAGTGAAGAGGAAGTGACTCCGTGATCTGGAGAGACTCCTCTTTGGGTCCTGAGATTGCCACCAATCCAAAGACAGCTGTAGACAGCTATCCTGAACTTGATGCAAATGTGAATCACAGTCTGTCAAGCCTTCTCTGAGTGTGATTGACATATTCACTGTTGACAACACAAGGTGAATCTTGCCATCCTCTTAGATATGCGGTCTTTTGCCTGAAGGCAACGTTCAGGCTGAGAATGGAATGTGGGATTGCCTTCCAGATGCACATCTGCCTGGGTATTTTTTTTTTAAAACCCTCTTGAGAATTCCCCAGGCTTCTCTTGACTGACAGCTAGCACTGAAGTCTTGTCATCTAAACATGTAAATTTTCTGGCAACTGCATATGCATTGTTTATTGAAGGGGCTTAAGATCTTGAATGTGATGGCTCTTTATATTTGTTGGTTCCTTATACCACCATGTGCTTTTTTTTTTAAGTTTGGGTTCTTTGACTGATGGGTGTTTTCTGACTGGAGCTGATGAGAAGGGCACCAACTAGAAGTCACATTCCTGAAGTTATGGTAACAAAGTCTGCTCTGGAGAATTTTTTTTTTTTTCCTACCTTGGCAAGGCCCAATATTCTGGCCAATCTAGAAGTTTCCAAAGTTGTATTCTTCAAGACATTTGGCTTGCAGAATGTTAAGAGGTGCAAAACAAACAACCTCCATAGTCAAATAAACCTGGAGTGTTCTTTTGACCACAATGCCTCACTCTTGGAGTTTCTTGGTATATAATAAGCGTTCTGAGAAGCTCTTCAGCCAGGATGCTCGAATAACTTCAGCCACATCACCTCAAGTAATTAATTGTGGGATACTTTCAAATAGCACCTACTCATATCTGTTAATACCTATTGTGGTTATAAAGTTAATTACACAATTTGGGTCATTTTTGTCATACCTAACTAAATCATACTTGAAGGGCTGGGGAAAAAGCAGCTGGAGCACATAGCACCAGCTCCAAACATTTTTCCACAAGCCCAACTTCTATAACCCTAAAACCAGATTTACCTGGTAACTGCTGCGTCGACCTGCTGTGACTCAAAGACTAGTTTTATCTACCACTATCCCTCACCAATCAGAGCTTGTTAGCTCCCAAAAGCTTTGTTTACTGTGCCAATGAGTTTTGTTTCAAAACAATATGTAATGTTTCTCTTTCTAACAAAAATGCCAACCTTCTCTTTGTTCTTTGGACTTAGCCTAGACCAACCCTGTTTACGCCTTGAATTGCAATTCCGTGATTACCAAATAAGATGTTTAATATAGAGATTTATCTCCACATATTATTTTGACTTTGACACTATTCACCTTGTGCAGAACACATTTTGAAAAAAAAATAGCATAGGGAAAAGGCCTTCATTCCCTGAAACATAATTTTTCCAAATATGACCCAGTAATTTTAATTGTGGAAAGAGAGGAGACAGATGTGGGTTGCCTGAAAAACACAGGCAGGGCCTTGTGAGCCAGTGAAAGAAGAGTCAGTGTTTGAAAGGTCGTGCATCCAGTTTGCAAGGCTCAGCTGAGAGTCTTTATGACAATTATATCTTCTCTAGTGACCCCACCACAGAGAACTTCTGCTTCCTGCCCATGCCACTTATTGGCTACGTGACTACACTACACTGAATTCTACAATTGTGATGGGTAAGTATCGAAGTGACCTTGAAAAACACAAAATTGGCTGGGTGTGGTGGCTCACGCCTGTAATCCTAGCACTTTGGGAGGCCAAGACAGGTGGATTGCTTGAGGCCAGGAGTTCAAAACCAGCTTGGCCAATATGGTGAAACCCCATCTCTACTAAAAATACAAAATTATCCAGGCCTGGTGGCAGGTGTCTGTAATCTCAGCTACTCCAGAGGCTGAGGCAGGAGAATCTCTTGAACCCGGGAGGTGGAGGTTGCAATGAGCTGAGATGGAACCACTGCACTCCAGCCTGGGTGACAAGGGCAAAATTCTGTCTCCAAAAAAAGAAAGAAAGGAAGGAAGAAAGAAAGACACAAAATCCAGCCCCTATGTCTTAAGTAGTTGAGAACCAGAGTATATATTTTAAGTTACTTTTTTACATGCATCTATCACTTCACAACTATATTTTTGTCCACATGTGGAATTACTAGGTAAATGGGTATGGGTTTTATGAAGAATTTTGATAACTATTACCCAAATTACCTTTCATAAAAGTTTTTATCAATTTATGCTTAACTGGCTGTGTTTGAAAGTGACTCTCAGTGGATGGAGCGTACCCTTACCTATGTTATAGTTACTATTATTTTATACTGACTATATGATCATTAGTTCCTGAGAACAAGGGAGGAACAAATAGGTCTTTAACACACACTAGAAGCTTCCACTTCCCAACCCCCAGGTAACTCTGGGGCTTTCAGTACTGTGGGGCTGTTTGCAATGACAGGATGTCATCAGCTGGCTTGGGAATAACCCAGTGCAGCATCCAGAAGCTTCTGGCACTTCCAGAAAACTGTTTTCCTGGCCAATTCCTGCCTTCACACTTTAACCACGTCTGCGCAGGGCAGCTTAACAATAGCCTGATATGTACACGTGCAATCACCTCACCTAGCAATTGCAGGGCACATTATCACAAGAAAAGCATAGCCAACAGCCAGATCTGTCTGATCCCTTCATGGAAGTGAGCAGCCCATTTGTCACAGTCATGCAAGTCTTACTTCTAAAATAGGACTGGGAAGAGGGTTCGAACAGACTCCAGTATCCTGCGGATCCTAGATAGTATTAGACATCCTGGTATCCCCCAGACCCTGTCATGCCAACACTAAAAAAACACAAGGATAATAGCTAACATTTATTGAGGCCATACCATATCCCCAGCCCGTGCTAAGCACGTTATATGCATCATTGAACAGCCTGAAGGATCCTGTTAAAGTAAAAATCACGTCACCCTTTTCCTGAAGAGCTTCAATAGCTGCCTGTATCACTGAAAGTAACAGGCGAAGTCCTTATTCTGAACGTCAAAGGACCTACATGACCTTCATCTCTCACCAGCCCTAGCCCCAACCCACTGTAACTTATATGGACTTACCTCTTACTCTGCTCCAGCCACACTCCTGCCCCAGGACCTTTGCATGTGTTTCTTCCTTTGCCTGGAATGTTTTGACAACAGATATTTATCATTACACACCCAAAAGTCTTTACTCACAAGTCACTTTCTCAGTGAGGTCTTCTCTGGCCAATATCAACCTGTTGCTTTCAATCTTCCTTTCCTGGTTTATTTTTTCTTCATAGCACTCATCATGATCATGAAGCTTAATTTATCTAGTGTCCCATCTGTCTCCTCCATTAGAATGTAACCCCCCTAAGAAGTTTGCCTTTTTTCATCACAGCTGTATTGTCAATTCTTGGAAGAGTGCCTGGAAAATAATAGGTGCTCAATAAACACTTGTGCATAAATGAATACACTTACCTAACTTGCATCAGACCCAGGAGGAAAGAGCTATTTTCTTCATTTTTCAGATGAGGCAACTTAAGCTTGGGAGGGATTAAATAATCTTCCCAGGAAGCAAGGGGGCTAGGGTTTGAGCCCCTGCTCTTGGCCACTCTGCTCTATCCCTCTGAGAGGGCTGTGAGATAACAAACCCTCTGTGCACACCTTGTGAGGTTCTGTCTTTGTAGCCAAGCATCTAAGTCCACTGTGAGCTGGCCATAAGCTAACTCTCCAAAGTGCCCACCCTCAGCTATCACACCTTGGCCATACCAAAACAGACAGTGATGTTGCTGCCTCTGTAATTTTGCTTATACTCTTTCCTTCCTTTTGGATTTGTTCAAATTCGTTCTATATTTCTTTTCTTTCTTTGCTTCTTTTTTTTTTTTTTTTTTTTTTTTTTTTTTGATGGAGTCTTGCTCTGTCGCCCAGGCTGGAGTGCAGCGGTGTGATCTCAGCTCACTGCAACCTCTGCCTCTCAGGTTCAAGCAATTCTCTTGCCTTAGCCTCCCAAATAGCTGAGATTACAGGCACCCACCAACACTCTTGGCTAGTTTTTGTATTTTTAGTAGAGACAGGGTTTCATCATGTTGGCCATGCTGGTCTTGAACTCCTAACCTCAAGTGATCCACCTACCTTGGCCTCCCAAAGTGTTGGGATTACAGGCATGAGCCACTGTGCCTGGCCCCTTATTATATTTCCAAACTCAAGACAAATGCCACATCTCCATGAAGCCCTGTTTCTTGGTCCTTACTTCTGCTGTTAATGACAGTTGCACATAAGGTTCATCCTCCTTTCTAGAATTCTTAAGATGCAGGCCATGTCTGTTTGACTTTGCTCTTTTTCACAATGCTATGTAGAGGCTCTACTAAAAAACAAACAAAAAGCTGCCTAATGAACACATAGTTGCCACTTAATACAATGAAGTGACTTATTTCCAACTAAAATATTTCATAATGTGGACATCTTAATAATCAGTGATAATGGGGTTTGATGCTGAACACAAAGCCACTTTTAGGAAAAGGAAGGATTAAGTTGCATGTTTGCTACATGACAACCACCAGTCAACTCAATCAGCACAATTTAAAAAATCAATCAAACCAGGTGTTTGGTTGTTTGACATTTGTAGACAAAACAAGTAGATTGAATTTCTTCTGCTTTATATGGTGGTTTTTATTTATTTATTTTGCTGTTACATAAAATGTCCTTAGAATTTCAGGTACTCTATGGACATTAATTATTTCAGAAATACACAATCACTTGACAGTTTGAGATGGGGGATGAGGAGCAAGAGAAAAGGAGGACATATTTAAAGAAGATATACATCTAACAATATTTCATATACTAGCAAATAAGAATGTGGTCACAAGCCAAGTGTACATCTTTAATTCTCATGTGACAACAGAATTCAATATACTGGGTAAGAAGAAATAATTGGGAGGCCCACTCTTCCTGGTGATTCTTTTTGTAACCTGGGGTAATTGACTCATTGTGCAAACTTTGTGATCTCATTGGTCAAATGAGGGTGCTAACATCCTCATTCAATGGCACAGGCATCTTTTTAGAATATAAGTAATTTTACATATGTATATCTATGTATAAAACACATATAAAACATTTAAAGTTTTTAGCATCAGAAATATCTTAAGAATCCAAATGTAGTATTTTCCCCTCAGAGGTATTGCTTGGCCCCTTTAATTGAGTAATTTAATTAAGTGATTTAATGACTCTCCTGGGTGAGGTACTTGAGACTGGGAAGCATGTGGAGAGCAGCATAGGAGCTTTAATTCCACCCCTCCCAAGTTGTTTCCACTTGTCCTTCAGTACAGGTTTTCCTGCCTTCCCAGCTTTGGCCTATTGCCTGCTTGCCTCTCTGTCAAAGCCAGGATCACAGACTAAGGAGGATAGCAAATGGGGATGGAGGAGGTGCTAGTTTGGCTGGGAGGTAGGGAGCACTTAAGTTAAAGTTAGACTTAGACTTAGGCTTCCAGGAAGCCCACCCCAGATTCTGTCTAGGTGACAGAATAAAATCAATGATATGAACTTTCATGAACTCTATTACTATTTGCATTTTCACCACTATTAAAATATTGTCTAATCAAGATGTGCATTTAAAATATCTTAGCAAAATCCTGGACTTCAGACCAGAAAACCGTGATGACCTGTCATTTTCCCATCCCGAAACACTTCTGAGTAAAGCCAAGGGAATTAATTAAACAAATAGAATATTATCTTAAGCATAAACACACATACACACACCATTAATACATACTAAAAATTGTCTTTCCTCAGCTCTGGACATAAATGAAGGTCTAGTGTTTGTCTCTGAAGCTAGATCCACACTTAGTTCCCCAAGCTGCTGGCTTTGTAGACTGTTAACAGAGGTCTATGAAGAAAAGTTTCCTTTCTTTTCTTTTCTTTTTTTTTTTTTTTTTTTTTTTGAGACAGAGTTTCACTCTTGTTGCCCAGGCTGGAGAGCAATGGCACGATCTCGGCTCACCGCAACCTCCGCCTCCTGCGTTCAAGTGATTCTCCTGCCTCAGCCTCGCGAGTAGCTCGGATTATAGGCATGTGCCACCACCCCTGACTAATTTTGTATTTTTAGTAGAGATGGGGTTTCTCCATTAGACAAATTGATTCTTTAAATACTGGATGAAAGACAGTTAAACAGGTTTTTTGTTTTGTTTTGTTTTCATTTTAAAAATGTTTTATTTCCATAGGTTTTTGGGGGAACACGTGGTGTTTTTTTATATGAATACGTTCTTCAGTGGTGACTTATGAGATTTTAGTGCACCCATCACCCAAGCAGTATACACTGTACCAAATTCGTAGTCTTTTATCCTTCACCCCACTTCCGCCCTTACCCGTGAGTTCCCAAAGTCCATTATATTATTCTTACACCTTTGCATCCTCATAGCTTAGCTTCCACTTATGAGTGACAGCATCCAGTGTTTGGTTTTCCATTCCTCAGTTACTTCACTTGGAATAATAGTCTCCAATTCCATCCAGGTTCCTACAAATGTTATTATTTCATTTCTTTTTTATGGCTGAATAATATTCCATGGTATATCTACCACAATTTCTTTCTTTCTTTTATTTTTTAGTAATTAGGGATATGTAAATTTATTTTTTTAATTTTAATTTTAATTTTAAGTTCTGGGGTACATGTGTAGGATGTGCAACTTTGTTGCATAGAGAACTCAGAAATAAGAACCGCACATCTACAATCATCTGATCTTAAACAAACCTGACAAAAACAAGCAATGAGGAAAGGATTGCCTATTTAATAAATGATGCTGGGAGAACTGGTTAGCCATATGCAGAAAATTGAAACTAGACCCTTTCCTTACACTTCATACAAAAATTAACTCAAGATGGATTAAAAACCTAAATGTAAAACTCCAAACTATAAAAACCCTGGAAGAAAATGTTTTGTTTTCTACATAACTTCTCAGAGTCTTTTGCATGCAGTGTCATGCATTGTGAATCTCAGACTGGAGAATGTGACATCTGATGATCTGATGTTTCCCAAACTTATTTTACCATGGAGTATCCTCTTTTTTTGGATGGGGGGGACCTGTAAGACTAGTTTTCTATGGATCACATTTTGGAAAACATTAAAGAGAGGTATACATTAATATGGATTGCAACTGTGTGAGAAACATGCTCATTAAACATGACTTTTGTATGGGAGTAAATTTATGAATAAAAGCTTAAATTTACCCAAGATCTTTAGGAGACAGATGTACAATGTGAGCCAAGAGAAAGCCAAGTTAAGAAATCCTGATTTTTCTTACAAACTGCAAGGGAGAAGATAGGCTATCATGTTCCATTTGTTAATTGGATCATAATTAATGTAGAGTTGGGAAGATTTGACCGTGATAAAGAGAAGACATTTGTACTGTTTATACAAGATAGGGATGAAATTAAGCCTTTCAATTTTAATCTTTCTGGCAGAAATTGTTTAACTACCACTCACTTTCTGTTGAAATTCAACTTCATGACAGCTAAAGGACATACAACTTCAGTGTCTACTTAGATACAGTTGTTGTTGAGGCAGGTGCCATATGGTCATCTTTTTGTGTGTGTGCCTCTAGTTGCAAATGGTGACAGCGACTGGTCGGGTGACTGTCTGTTCTGAGTGGCTGCCAGCTTCCTCCATGACAGCTCAGCCAAGTGGGAGATAAGCTCTGATCTGCAGCCTGTCCATTCCTAAGCCAGTGATTTTATACCTTTAAATCCCCTATAAGTAACTAAACTAACTACTTAAACAGTCTTTTTTGAATATAGGTTCATTTATTGGCTTAATGGCTTAGAATGCATTCTTTGCAAATTCAGCCCTGAGGGTCCAACCAGAAGATGAAATATGTCTGGCTTGGCCACGGCAGGAATTGATTAAAGGAGGCTCTTGCATGCTTCCTGGTACTCTGCCGAACAGGAATTAAAACACAAACAAGATGCTGTCCTTATCTTCAGTGATTTGGACTGAGAGGTTTTCCTCCCACTAAAGTGGAAGTGGCTGAGGGTAGTTCAAAAGGAGAAGCTTAGTTAAAAAATAAATTAATTAAATTAAAAGCTTTTCACAAGGGTGTAACTATGAAACAAATGTGTGTTTCCAAAATATCAACTTTTCAGGAAATTAAATGAAAATTTTAATGTGTGAAGACTTCCAGACCAGGTAAACTTGGGAGCTCTGGGTTCTTCTTTCTCCAATCCTCTATAGTCCCAGTAGGATCAGATTATCTAGAAAGCATCCTGACCACAAGAACTGTGGTAGAAACAATAGGGAGTGAGATTCCCCCCGCCCCCTGCTTGAGGTTTCTGTTAGGACAGGAAAAGGTGGAGTCTCTTGACTCCATCTAAAGCAGGGCTCTGGGGAATCTCACTTGTCTCTTCTATATCCTATCCTATCTCCATCTTCCTTGGGATTGTGTCCTCTGCTTCTCGATTTAATCTAACCTATAGTTGTTTGAGTAAACCCAAGCATAGGGACAGTAAAGTCAAGACTCTGTGAGTCACAAGTTACAGAAACCCTACTCAAATGGATTTAAAAAGAACAACAATAACAATAAAAAACAACAACACAGAGAGGAAGAGATTGATTTTATTTCTCCCTTACCTAGTAGGATCAAGAGTATGTTTCCTTCAGGCACAGCTGTAACCAGGTGCTCAAACATCTTCAGGAACCTAACTTTTTTCTCTTGGCTCTTTTGTCCTCTGGTTTGGCTTCATTCTCAAACAGGCGCTCCTTTCATAAGAGTAAAATAAATGGCTGTCAGTAGCTCAAGGCTTTTGTTCTATTAGTTGGGCAAGCCCAGTGGAAAGGGAATTTTTTTTCTTAAGTCCCAAATTCATTGAACATTCTTCAAATGGGTGGCAGGAAACAGAGCAAAGAGCAAAGCAGGTGAAGCCTCTGCCCTTTTAAATTGGCACTTCATGGGAGTAACTTAAGTTAAGTGTCTATCACTGAATCAATTGTTGGCTTTAGAAGACTAGGGAATGCTATACTGCCAGGCCTAAGCCTGGAGTGTCTACTGTTGCCATTGAGTGAAGCTGATATTTTGGAGGAAACTCTCCATCATCCCCAATATCTCACTACCTAAATAATGCTTTCTTTTTTTTGTCATCATCACCTCTTTTCCAGCTTGAGCAACAATTGTAATAACAATGATAGCAAGTGCTCATTGAATGACTTTGCATACATTAACTCATAGAATCCACACTAAAACCCATACCCCTTGACTATCAGGTCATCAGTTTAAGAGGCTGTTTTCTAGGTAGTTAGAATTCAAGAGTTAGGTTACGTACTACTTATGCTGCCCATTTTAAGGATGAACAAACTGAGCTACAGAGAGGTAAAGAATATTGCCATAGTACCCAGGCTGTAAGGAACTGTGAGGCTAGAACTTATTGAGAACAACTTGGCAGTTATTACTCGTTTCCCCATCTGATTCCTTTCTCAAAGCAATGAGAGAAGGCAACCTAGAAAGAGTTCAGGGGAAAGAGAAGGTCATCCCCTTCTAAGCAGCAACTTCACGAGGTATATTTCACTTCATGTAATACCTATGTTTCTGAAATATGTTTGAAAATCTTCGTTGTTCAAATCAACTCCTCTTTTCATTTTGTAGTCTTTGATAAAACACCCCATGAGGCCTCTGTTCTGTTCCATTTGTCTATATATCTGTTTTGGTACCAGTGTCATGCTGTTTTGGTTACTGTAGCCTTGCAGTATAGTTTGAAGTGAGGCAGTGTGATGCCTCCAGCTTTGTTCTTTTTGCGTAGGATTGTCTTGGCTATATAGGCTCTTTTTTGGTTACATATGAAATTTAAAATAGTTTTTTCTAATTCTGTGAAGAAAGTCAATGGTAGCTTGATGGGGATAGCATTGAATCTATAAATTACTTTGGGCAGTATGGCCATTTTCACGATATTGATTCTTCCTATCCATGATCATGGAATGTTTTTCCATTTGTTTGTGTCCTCTTTTTTTCCTTGAGCTGTGGTTTGTAATTCTCCTTGAAGAGGTACTTCACATCCTTTGTAAGTTGTATTTCTAGGTATTTTATTTTCTTTGAAGTAATTGTGAATGGGAGTTCACTCACGATTTGGCTCTCTTTGTCTATTATTAGTGTATAGGAATGCTTGTGATTTCTGCACATTGATTTTGTACCCTCAGACTTTGCTAAAGTTGCTTATCAGCTTAAGGAGATTTGGGGCTGAGGTGATGGGGTTATAACACCACACATCTACAACCATCTGATCTTGGACAAACCTGACAAAAACAAGCAATGGGGAAAGGATTCCCTATTTAATAAATGGTGCTGGGAAAACTAGCTAGCCATATGCAGAAAACTGAAACTGGACCCCTTCCTTAACTCCTTATACAAAAATTAAGTCAAAATGGATTAAAGACTTAAACATAAGACCTAAAACCATAAAAACCCTAGAAGAAAACCTAGGCAATACCATTTAGAACATAGGCATGGGCAAAGACTTCATGGCTAAAACACCAAAAGCAATGGCAACAAAAGCCAAAATGGACAAATGGGATCTAATTAAACTAAAGAGCTTCTGCACAGCAAAAGAAACTAGCATCAGTGTGAACAGGCAACCTATAGAATGTAAGAAAATTTTTGCAATCTATCCATCTGACAAAGGGCTAATATCCAGAATCTGCAAAGAACTGAAACTAATTTACAAGAAAAAAACAAACAGCCCCATCAAAATGTGGATGAAGGATATGAACAGACAGATTTTCAAAGAAGACATTTACGTGGCCAACAAACATATGAAAAAAAGCTCACCATCACTGGTCATTAGAGAAATGCAAATCAAAACCACAATGAGATACCATCTCACACAAGTTAGAATGGCTATCATTAAAAAGTCAGAAAACAACAGATGCTGGAGAGGATGTGGAGAAATAGGAATGCCTTTACACTGTTGGTGAGAGTGTAAATTAGTTCAACCATTGTGGAAGACAGTGTGGTGATTCCTCAAGGATCTAGAACCAGAAATACCATTTACCCAGCAATCCCATTACTAGGTATATACCCAAAGGAATATAAATCATTCTGTTTTAAAGACACATGAACATGTATGTTTATTGCAGCACTATTCATAATAGCAAAGATTTGGAACCAACCCAAATGCTCATCAGTGATAGACTGGATAAAGAAAATGTGGCACAAATACCCTGTGGAATACTATGCAGCCATAAAAAGGGTTGAGTTCATGTCCTTTGCAGGGACGTAGTTGAAGCTGGAAACCATCATTCTCAGCAAACTGACACAGGAACAGAAAACCAAACACTGCATGTTCTCACTCATAAGTGGGAGCTGAACAATGAGAACACATGGACACAGGGAGGGGAATGTCACACACTGGGGCCTCCGGGGGGGTGGGGAAGGGTAGGAAGGGATATCATTAGGAGAAATATCTAATGTAGATGATGGGTTGATGGGTGCAGCAAACCACCATGACACATGTATACCTATGTAACAAACCTGCATGTTCTGCACATGTATCCCCAAACTTAAAGTATAATTTAAAAAAAAAAAACCCTCAGTGGGTATCATAGGCTCTTTCACTGTCCTGAAATTTTCTTGAATGGATGATGACTTAAAATAATTGGACATGAGTTGGAGCTTGGGAATCTTTTTATGAGATGGTGAGTTCTGTTTTGATGGATGCTTGTTAAAATGGATTATCACCTATAAGCCTTCTAACTCATTCTAATTGAGAAGTTGACACCATCTTGTATCACTACTGCGCTTGTGTTCTTATAGAATCAGCTGCCCTCTAATTTACTCTAAAGGAAGAATATTGCTTTGCAGCATTTTTTGGTGGATTTTAAAATCAGTTTCATTAGCTGGGAAATATTCTGATTTTCTTCCTAGCCTATTTGTAAGGGTCACTTATATTCCTGTGATGCTTTTACTGGAATGAGCTTGAACTGAAGATTGATCAATGTAATGCTATTTCTGAGTAGGTTTTGTGAACTCCGGTGACACCTTTTCTTGAAGTGGCCAATTACTGAGCCTCTCTACCAGTTAACAATGGAAAAGTGAGGAGAAGTAGATTGTTAGATACCCATTGGCTTTGACCCATCCTTTGAAATAATGCTTACAGGAACTGATTTTCATATGGCTATTGATACAATCTACCATTTGGATGTGCAACAAGCCAATCATCATATGTAGTGTTCTAATCTAAACAAGTAATCACCTTGTAATGAGTATGTTAAGGTAATTTTGTCCCTCCTAAGACTTTTGGAGGAAGTAGGCAAAACGTTTGCAGGAAGAACTTACATTTGTCAATTGATTAGAAAAATGGAAGGTGTGTCCGCTCTTCCTTTAATACAGTTGATGTTTCTCAGAGCTCTGGAAACAGAAAACAAAATGTCCTTGACTATTAGGTCATCAATTTAAGAGACTGTTGTTTTCTGGGTAGTTAGAGTTCAAGATTTGTTATGTTTGATGGTCATTTGTAGCTTCCTTCTGAGTAGAATAGATTTTCAAATCACAAACCACAAGGCAAGCATCAAACTGAATGTGAAAATCAATGACCCATCATAGTTACAAGCATGTAGATAGCCATGCCATGATTAGTAGACCATGCAGGGAAGGACATGCCTGATGAAGAACAGGCAAGGGCAGCTTGATTTAGCCACTTCTCTCTGCTTTCTGCTCCCACCACCCCAATTTGCCACTGAAATGTGCCCGTAAATTTAAGCCAAGTAATAATCTGTGATTAATCTATATGCAGCTCTAAGCCATTTCTCCCATTTCAATTTAGCAGAGGCTTCTGCATTCAACAACTTTCCTCCCTTCACTGAGATCCCACCTGCTATCCTTGTTAACACAGACCATGCCTTACATCCTCATGCCTCAGCTTCTTGTAACCCTGAAGCTCTGTTGGCAAGAAAATGAAATGCTATTCTTTAAGATCTTCTACTGGGAGCTGGGAGCTGAACAATAGGAAAATCCAAATTTCCTTTATTATTATTTATAATAACAGCTACCATTTCTGTGAACACTTCCTATTTGTAGGCACTGTGGTAGCATTTTTGAACCTTACTTCATATGATTCTCTGGAGGTAGCTGTGAGATTGACATCATTACTCCCATTTTACAGATAAGGAGGCAGAGCCTCAGAGAAATTACCAAACTGTCCAAAATGATTTAAGACCAGATCTGTACTCTTAACTACTGCACAAAAATTAGAGACTAACAAATAATTTTCAACTGGAGCCCAATAATTTTCACCTGGATTCAATGATTTTAACCTGGAGTCCAATGTCCCCATCAGAAGCAAACTGGAAAATCCTTCTCAATGTCATCTTTTTGAAAAATGTTTTTAAAACAAGACTTTAAAAAATTAGCATAGTTTTAGATTTAAAGAAAAGTTGCAAAGATAAGAGTACAGAGTTCCCATATACTCTGAACCCAGTTTCCCCTATTGTTAATATTTTACATTAGTGTGATACACTTATCGCGATTAATGAAATATTGCTATATTATTACTCACTAAATTTCCATAATTTATTTAGTTTTTGCCTAATGCTTTTTTTATGTCCCAGGATCCCATCGAGAATATTACATTTCATTGAGTTATCATATCTCCTTAACATCTGATTTGGGTGGGAACACAAATCCAAACCATATCTCATATGGAAGTGTAATCCCCAGTGCTGGAGGTGGAGCTTGGTGGGAGGTGATTATATCATGGGGGTGGTTTCTAATGGTTTAGCACCATCCCCCTAATGCTGTTCCCATGATAGAGTTCTCGTGAGATCTGGTTGTTTAAAAGTGTGTAGCACCTCCTCTCTCTTTCTCTTGCTTCGGCCATACGAAGATGCCTGCTCTGGCTTTGCCTTCCACCATGAGTGAAAGCTCCCTGAGGCCTCCCCAGCCATGCTTCCTGTACAGCTTGTGGCAATGTGAGCCAATAAAAAGTATTTTCTTTATCAATTACCCAGTCTCAGGTATTTCTTTATAGCAATGCAAGAACAAACCAATACAGCCTCCTCTAGACTGTGACAGTTTCTCAGACTTTCCTCGGTTTTGATGACCTTGACAGTTTTGAGGAGTAATAATCAGATAATTTATAGCATAATCTTCAGTGTGGGTCTCTCAGATGGTGCTCTCTGGGATCTATTTTGAGTATTAAACAAATGCATGATGCTTCATCAGGAGAATATCTAGAATAAGCTTTGTATTGCCAGAGCCTAGGCATGCAGATGAGAAGAGCAATTCCTCTATGCTACTCCAGGGTCAGTATTAAATGAGTTTCTTAGGAAAAGTGTACATATATACATCAAGGACAGATATGTTCTTTTCAATGAATGAATAAAAGAACACATTTCTTTAGAAATCCTTCACCACAGAAATATCATAGACACACTCCCCACTGATCATTATAAGAAAGTTAGAAACTTTCAGAATAATATAGTAGATGAAGCCATGATTTCAGTTAATGATAAAATTGTCATTGTGAATAGCATGTTCGTGGCCAACAAAAACAGATGTCCATATAACCATTTGGAGCCATCCAATGCCTAAAGCAATTTGTAGATAATCTCCTAAACAGATATAGTATCAAAAAGTATTCATTGTCAATTAGAGGTACATCCAGGCTGTATGTCTAATTGACCAGTTAATTTCCAGGCTGTCTCAGGAGCTACTAAAATGGAGCCCTTGGTACTGCACCTCAGAATGACCTAATGTTGATAAACAAAAGAACAGATTCCTCCGCCTGTGCAAGGAACAGAGAGTTCAATGTGTTGTGTTCTTTATGCAAAATCAGGTGCCCCATCAAGCTGTTGTTGACTCAGTCTGAATTGTTAATGTGATGGTGTAAGAATGTATCATCTCCACTGAAAAGACTGACAGCTAAAATTATTATTTAAAAAAGGATATCTTTCACCAAAATGTGATATTAGAGACATGAACATGAGGCTAAATAACCAATCATATCAGAGAAAAAAAATTATCTGATTGAAAAGCTCTTTACATAAAGAGAGGAAGCTCCTTATAATGGTTGTTCTGTAAAACACATCTATGTTTTGGACATTTGGGAGAGTGAAATTGTCTCTTTCTAGCTTCTTCCCAAGCTCCTGGTTGCCAGGAGATTCTGTCTCAACTCTGGTGTCCACTTGAATGCTGCTTTCAACCTCACCACTGGGCCATGCCCATCATCCCCTGCTTTGATAACTACAAAAAAAAAATCACTAATTTCTTTTTACAAGAGGAAAGAATACTCATTAGAATAAATAGGCAAGATTCATTGTAATAGGAAGGTGCTACTAGCAAGCAGCAGTCAAGGTGATCTTCCTAAACACCCTGTGGATAGTCATGGGCTGCTTTGTGCATTTCTCTGCCACGCTGTCTAGCTGCCCTTGGCTCCAGGTATATCCGTAATCCTGGAATACAGCCAGAGAAGGAATCAGAAGAGGTGAGGGTTTCTGATGGTTGAGCAACGTGAAGTCTTTATTCTCAGCTAGGGCTTTCACTTTTCTTTATGGGACTTGAATTTTGAAGACCCTCATCATCTGGAAGCTTGCACTACATCAGAAGTTGGAAGCAGACTGTTATTGATTGCAGCTGCATCCTTGTTTGGCAGAGGAAGATGGGTGTAGAAAGCAAATGTAGTCCCATTTGGCAAGGACACATTCCAGGTGAACAACAGTTAGGAAAGATGCCTAGAGGCAAGGTTACCAGCCATGGAGACAGAACTGACAGTCCTAGGATTGATAATAAGTGTCTTGTCTTTTAAAAAAGAACCTCCCTCTCTCATACATAATGGAAACTAACAACTTCCTTGTGCACCCAGCTACCCTTTACTTATTGGGACCTAGGGAAAATGTGTGCATTTGTGTATGTGTGTGTGTGTGTGTGTGTGTGTGTGTGTGTGGTGTGTTATGTATTGCAAGCCCTCCATAAGCTTCCCAGGGCTTCTCCACATCTAAAGTGGGCCTTTAGAATGGTTTGGGATATTAAACCTGGAGATATTTACCAGTCACACAACCCCTAAAAGTTCCTGATGTTATGATCTGTCTTTTTGCTGAGGCACAAATTTAAATTTTTTCCTGCAAGGTTTGAGCTATTTATATATGGAGTGAACTTTATTGCTAACTCAGCAAGCACACTGCAGTGAAGTTTTGTTGCGGAAGAATAACAACTCTTAAGAGAATAATGATTTTATTTCTTTGTTAAAAAATATCCTGGAATGGATGCCATTTCAGGATGCTGGATTGAGAATGACAATGTAAAGATAAACTATTGGATGCATTTGACCACATGGAGAATACTGTCAGCACGGAGGTGGTAGTGGTGATGGTGGAATAGTGTAGATCTGCCAGAGGTGTAGGAAAGAGTCAGTGACTGGACACAAAAAAATTAATCAAATGAAAAAATCAAGACACTGTAAACTCTAGGAAAAACAAAAATTTCTGTAAGAAAGGATGTTTTGCTCAGCAGAGTATAATATTCCTATAGTCATAAAATATAAACAAACAGTACTATTTAACCAGAAGTGTGAACAGTAATACTCTTAAAGGATAGTTATATGGATAAGAGTATGTGTGTCAGTGTATGTGAGGAGGAAAGCTAACCTTTATCTAACAAAGTATAAGTGGTCAATGCTATGAAACCAACACATAAAAAAAATAAGAATAAATACATTATAAAATTATGGAGATACATTCTGAAAGAAACAATTAAGAGAGCCAAAAGTTGTTGATAGTGTGAAATATAACCACCATTTTCTACTATAAACCTTTTACTGCTATTTGATTTTTCAACAATTTTGTGCATTACTTTGATAAAAATCAAAGTTGGTTTAAAAAATAAGAAGCATGGATAAATTTTTTTAAGAAGATATTGAATAGATCTGTGCAACTGATGACTGGTTCTTATCCAGAAAATAGAAGTCTGGGACAAATTAAAAAGTGAACTATGCTGTACTAAAATAAAAAGCTTCTGAAGATATTGCCTAAATATTCAATTATACTTATTGAATTTTTGGGGGAGAAGAGAATATGTTATCATTATCTTTTTACATTTGGAAATTCTTGAAGATCTTTGATTACATTCCTATGAACATCAAAGATTTATTAAACTGAATACTAACAAAGCAACTAAATTTTGAAGCTATTTCTGACATCGGAAGAAGTCCATACTTCACTGAGATGTTTTGGAGGATTCCTTTGGGTAGAAGCTTCCTCTGGTCCATTTAAGTGTTTGTAGACATCAACTTCTAGGAAAAATATCGAGAATATCAAGAGACAAGGTACCAAAGCCAAAGAGCTAGGTGTTGCTGCCATGTTTTGAGGATTTCTTTTTTTTGTTGTTGTATTTTTAATTGACACATAATAATTGTACATATTTATGGGGTACAGTGTGATGTTTTGATACATGCATAAAATGATCAAATTAGGGTAATTATCTTCTTGATAATTTCTAAGACGATCAGATAAAGAAGTTCAGGCACTGCAGCGTGAATTAACAGGAAGACTTCCTTCACCAAACATTGCCATCTATGCTACTTTTTCTTTTTTTGAGACAGACCTTACTCTGTTGCTCATGCTGGAGTGCAGTGGTGCAATCTCAGCTCACGGCAACTTCCACCTCCTAGATTCAAGTGATTCTCATGCCTCACCCTCCTGAGTAGCTGGGATTACAGGCATGAACCATCACACCCGGCTAATTTTGGTATGTTTAGTAGAGATGGGGTTCCCCATGTTGCCCAGGCTGGTCTCGACCTCCTGGCCTCAAGTGATCCACCCACCTCAGCCTCCCAAATTGCTGGGATTATACATGTGAGCCACTGCGCCCAGCCTATAAGTATAAGTGGTCAATGCTATTAAATCAATACATAAAAAATATAAGAATAAATACATTATAAAATTATGGAGGTATATTCTGAAAGAAGCAACTAAGAAAGCCAAAAGTTGTTGATAGTGGGAGATATAACTGCTGTTTTCTACTATAAACATTTTACTGCTATTTGTATTAAAATAAAAAGCATCTGAAGATATTGCCTAAATATTCAATTATACTTATTGAATTTTGGGGGGAGAAGAGAATATGTTATCATTATCTTTTTACACTTGGAAATGTAAAACGTAAAATGCTACTCTTGAGGAGCATAACCACTATGTTGTTAAGCAAGGTGCATATTTGCAACTGCTTAGCGGAATGACCAAATCCACAAACTCTTTCAGCATGAGTTGGAAACTGCTAAAATTAAAAAAACTTCCAAACTACCTAAACCTTTAACATTTTTTAAAGAAAGAAAAAATCAATCTCCTCGAACAAAGTTAAAGGTGAATTTGTGTCACTTTTGAAAAATGTTGACTCTTTTGTTGCAAAAATAATGTAACTGCAACTGTTGCCTTTACTGGCAGGAAAGCAGCAACACACATTCAATCTTGAAGGAGTAAACATAAAGGGCAGGTCATCCCTGCATCCTCGTTAGGCAAAGCTTGCTGACAGTGTCTTCACAGCTCTTTAAATAGATGGTGACATGCCATGGCCCCTTCTCTATCACTCGAACCTGTAATTCACCCCCAAGTTATAAAATGACAGAGCTGGTCAAAGAGCAAGGCTGATGGCAGCTCCCATTTGGTGCATTTTGTCATCTTTGCTGACTTCCAGAAAGCCACCTCCTCCACCTTCAGTACCTCTACTTTCTCCGAATGACCACTCAAGGTAGCCTCTGTAAGGTGAGATCAGCTGCGTCACACTCTCCAGAGTGTTAACAGAAAAGAAGGACAAGGAAATCAAAGCAGCAGTCTCTTTTGTTGACATTTCCAAACAGGGACATTTCAGTCTCCAAGGCATCTCACTGGGGAAAGAAGATACCAGTGCAACAGGACAGAGGTTGACAATGTTCTCCAGTTTCCAGATTTATACAGGACTGGTGAGGAACAGCTGCTGCCAGTGCTGAAATGACACATGAGCCCTGAGCACCAGCTGGACAGCATCTTCTTGCAGGGAACCTAGGGAAAGGCCTTTCTGCCTCTCCTTCATTGTGAACTTAGGCAGGCCCTGCTTCCCCCTTGTTTACTCCAGAGGCCCTGGTGAATGCCTTAGGCTGCTGTGAAACTTCAGAAGAGAAGAGCTCAAATAATTTAGGATGCTGATTCCTTCTTTATTGACAGATGGGTATTTTTTTTTTTTTTTTTTGAGATGGAGTCTTGCTCTGTCACCCGGGCTGGAGTGCAGTGGCACAATCTCGGCTCACTGCAACCTCTGCCTCCTGGGTTCAAGTGATTCTCCCACCTCAGCCTCCTGAGTAGCTGGGATTACAGGTGCCCGCCACTACCCCCAGCTAATTTTTTGTATTTTTAGTAGAGACAGAGTTTCACCATGTTGGTAGGGCTGGTCTTGAACTCCTGACCTCGTGATTCACCTGCCTCGGCCTCCCAGAGTGCTGGGATTGCAGGCGTAAGCCACCACGCCTAGCTGACTGATGGGTATTAATACTAGTAACTACTTCATGGTATTGTTGTGAAGATTAAATTATTAATTAATCATAACAATTAATTATATTAAGTTATTAATTAAATGTAAGATGATTAGAAGAATATGTGGTACGACAAATGTTAGCTATCATTATTAGCAATAGTTGTGGCAGGTTGTAAGAAATGAACTCATAGTTCTCCCAAAGAGGCAGCTGGGTGACCAGACTACTTTGTATTATCTGGTTGATATAAAGCATCATAGATCCTCTGAATAAGGATTTCTGTGCTGGGGGAAATGGATCAATGTGCACAGAGCCCTGCAAATGAAGCCTGGAGAGGCTATGGAAACCAAAACTGTTAGAAGTTGGATATTGGCTATAGAATCATTGGATGTTGGAGAATAAATGTTATTCATTATTCATTCATTAATATTTTTGAGTCTTTGGTTCAAGCCTTTCTTTTATAGTTGAGAAAGTTGAGTGGCCAGGAGGTTAAATTGACTTCTCAAAAGACATGCAGTTAGTGGGAGTCACCAAGAAAGCCTTTGTCCATTATAACACACTGTCTCCTACTATGAAAGGAGGATCTCCGAAATGGAAGACCTACTCTTCCTGAGATTGTACCCAGTTTTGAGCCTTTCCAGGTATACCAATAGGACAAGTCTGAAGTACTTGAGAAAGGGAGCAGGTGGTCCTGGGCACATGGATCAGGGTATCCATGTCATATCACAAATGATAACTAGTCATAGTAGTGATGATGCAGTGAAGTGGTAATGAGCTAGGGCTCTGGTTCAAATCCTTGTTTATCTAACTCTTGAATTTTTTTTTTGAGACAGTCTCATTCCATCAACCAGGCTGGAGTGCAGTGATGTGATCTCGGCTCACTGCAACCTCTGCCTCCCAGGTTCAAGAGGTTCTTGTGCCTCCACCTCCTGAGAAGCTGAAATTACAGGTGCGCACCTCCACTCCCAGCTAATTTTTGTAGTTTTATCAGACATGGGGTTTCACCATATTGGCCAGGCTATTTTCAAACTCTGGACCTCAAGTGATCCTCCTGCCTCAGCCTCCCAAAGTGCTGGGATTACAGGCCTGAGCCACCACGCCTGGCCTAATTTTTTAAAAATGTGTAAAACCTGGTTAATTACGGTATCTACCTTATAGAATTCTGAGGATTAAGACAGTTAGAGTGTAGAAGGTGCTTGACCCAGATCTAGGTAACTGTTCAATAAGTGTTATTTCCTAAGACGGATTCCTTCCAGTGTCTGAGAAACATGGATAATAATTGTCAGAGCCATGATTTGAACACAAGTTTCTCAGGAACCAACTAAAGCCTTCTGACATGTATACTTAATTCAGGCAGCTGCAGGGCAAAGCAGAACTGAGGTGGAAAGAAAGGGAAATGTTTGTAGCCTTGTGTCTCAGGTACTGCTCAAAGGCTCATGTTAGACTCCAAACTTAAGAAAGTAAATTTAATTCTACACTTGGCACTATGGTTGGAATGAAACACAAAATATGTTGCCGAGTCTCTTGGTCCCCATATGGACAGGTCCCCTTAATTGCCAGAATTCTCTTGCTCTGTGCACATAGGAGCCCAAGGGAGAAGCTAAGAGTGAGACTTGGCCCAGGCACCTAGGGAAGTGGAAAGCAAGAACTGGACCCTTACTTTTAGTGATGATGCCTCAGGCAGTCACTTAGCATGTGAGAGCCAAGGTCTGCTTGGCCAATGTCTTCCTTGGGGAGGATGAGTGGGAGCAACCTCTCTGGAAAGATGGCAGCTGAAGAATAGAAGAGAAAACAAGGCCCAGTAATAGTCATTGCTGCAGAACTAGGGCGCTGAACAGGTAAACAGAACTCCCACGAGCAATCAAGCAATTTATATCTTAGGAACAAAGTTAGATCCAGAAACTTGTAATATGTGATTCTGGAGATCTGGTACGTTTCCCACCAGTGCATAGCCTCCTCTCTCACCATAGCTCAGCCTTTGTTCATTCAACAGTGGGGAGGGATAGCATTAGGAGATATACCTAATGCTAAATGACGAGTTAATGGGTGCAGCACACCAACATGGCACATGTATACATATGTAACAAACCTGCATGTTGTGCACATGTACCCTAAAACTTAAAGTATAATAATAATAAAAACAAACAAACAAACAAACAAACAAAACAAATGCTACTACCGGCCAAGTGTTGTTCTAGGTGCTGAGGACGTGATAGTGTTGATGTTGTTGTGGCTGCTACTGCTGTTGTTTTCTGTTTTGTTTTTGTTTAAAATGTGAACATAGCTTATAGATCTTACATTTTAATGGGGAAGACAGACAACAAACAAGTAAAGAAATATATAACAAAGTGCTGAGCTGTGATGTGAAAAAAATAAGCAGGGTAAAAAATAGAAAATGTTTGGGGTTAGCTATTATAAACTGAGCTGGCAGAGAAGGGCTTTCTGATGGATGACATCTGAGCAAAGAATAATAAGAATGAACAGGCAGCTATTTGGGGAAAGAGAATTTCAGGCAGAGGCAGAGAGAGGGAATGGCAAGTGCAAAAGGCCCAAGGCACATAAGTGTGTCTGGCCACAAAAGGGATGGAGCAAGAAAATGGGGTGGAGTCAGGGCAGAGGGTACAAGAGGAAAGTGTAGGGGAGGAAGTCAGAAGAGTAGCAGGAAGTGGAGCACGCGGGGTCTTGATGGCAGAGAAGCATGATTTGCATTCTGAAATGGGAAGTGTCAGTTCTCATTCATGTTTTAATAGGATTATTTCATCTAAGACAAAGGCCAAAATGTTTGGCTCCTAAGTGTTGTCCAAAGAAGAGTCTGTCAGTTTTGAAAAGGAAAAACTAAAGTGGAGGGTACTTTGCAAGGAAGGAGAGGTTGTATTAACATTCCTTCAAATTGTAAATGAACATAATTCCTGCACTTGTAGAGTCTGCTTTAAAGCACAGTGGGATAACCATCTATCAATCCCTCTCTTCTGAGGGATGGAGGAAAAGAGCAGTGGGTTGGGATGTAGAAAATTCAAAAATAAGCAGGGATTCACTTAAAGAACATCTGAGAAAACCATTTGGAAGCAATGAATATAGAAATTAATTTGTGTTATGGCTAGGCAATGGAAAAACGAGGCAAGAGCCCAGGGGTGGCATGTAAAAGCCATGTTAGTATTTGAAACTTCCCAGAAATGGTCTCCAAAGTGAATAACCCACATGTGAGTAACAGGTGAATGAAACACAATAGCAAGACAGCATTTAAGATGGAAGAAACTCCACAACTCACAAAGTGATTTTAAAAAGAACCCAAATGCCCATGAGTGATGGACTGGATAAAGAAAATGTGGCACATATACACCATGGAATACTATGCAGCCATAAAAAAGAATCATGTCCTTTGCAGGGACATGGATGAGCTGGAAACCATCATTCTCAGCAAACTAACACAGGAACAGAAAACCAAACACCACATGTTCTCACTCATAAGTGGGAGCTGAACAATGAGAACACATTGACACAGGGAGGGGAACATCACACACTGGGGCCTATTGGGGGGTGGGGGGAAAGGGGAGGTAGAGCATTGGGACAAATATCTAATGCATGTGGAGCTTAAAACCTAGATGATGGGTTGATAGGTGCAGCAAACCACAATGGCACATGTATACCAATGTAACAAACCTACACGTTCAGCACATGTATCCCAGAACTTAAAGTAAAATTTAAAAAAATTAGCTTAAGCCTCCTCAAAGAGATGAGAGTCTAGAAAACTATCAATATAATGATCTTAGGAAGACAAACATAGCAGTGCTTCAGTCTTTCCTTCCCCATGACTTCACCTGTTATAAAAGCATGTCCTCTGGATTGTTGACTTAAAACACTTGTCTTTAACACCTCAGAATCCTCTCCCATACTATGTCCTTGATATGGGAATCCCTGGCTTTGTGACATCCTTGGCCCTTTGAATCATGGAACCACCAATATGTGTAATCCCCAAACATGGGCGCTACCGTAATAATTCCCAACCCTGAAAGCTGGGCACTTAGCCCACCTTTGGTCAGCAGTCTATATAGCTCAGACTCTGCAGTCAGATTCCCCAGGCATTGAATCCTGGCTTCCTATTTGCTCATTGGGCTTAAATGTCCCTAGATTTCCACATTTGTAAAATAAGGGGAAATAATATAGTACTCATGAGGCCTTAATGTAATACACACACACACACACACACACACACACACACACACACACACACACACAGAGTAGTACAGGATAAAACAGTTCCTCAGTCAATGTCAGTTATTAGTATTACTAGTAATACTGGTGCATAGTTCTCTTACTTTTCTTTCTCTTCTTCCTTCTTTTCCTTCTTCCTCTTAAGATTTCTTTTTTCTTGTTTCTT
Organism: Homo sapiens; assembly: GCF_000001405.40. Classification (NCBI taxonomy): domain Eukaryota; kingdom Metazoa; phylum Chordata; class Mammalia; order Primates; family Hominidae; genus Homo; species Homo sapiens. The sequence continues at coordinate 117,558,575 of NC_000008.11, read as the reverse complement.
TTTTTCTCATGATCATTACTTTTAATGGTGAAAACCACAATTACCTTTGCACCAATCTAATACTATCATAATATTCTGGGAATAGGCTGTAGACCCATGTGATTTTGGTAAATAATGTGGCATGGTGGTGAGTAGGATCCAGGCTGTCAATGTCAGTACTTTATGAGGCTGAACACCCCTTCTTACAACTCCTGTCTTAGAAGGCAGGTAGGTGGAGAAAGGGGCAACAGGGAGGGTCTTGTGAACAAAGGAGAAAAGAGGGGGAAGATGGAAAGAGATATGGATAAAAAGGAGCCCCCAGAATCCTCAGGGTGACACGCCCACAGTGTAAAGAGTATGAACAGGAAGTTATCTCCTTGAGCGCTTTACCATCTTAGGATGGGGAGAACGTATCTTCAATCATAACCACTAGTGTGGTTGATAACACCAAACGTAACTCTGTGTTTTGGGAAGGCCTGCTTTTGTATGAATAAAATTCTTGTAGGGCACTGGAAAGGATAGGAAGATATAAAAATGCAGTGGAAAAGGAGACCTAGAGAGAAACAGAAGCCTTTAGGGAAATGAGATGAGCACATATTGATGCAATGTTAGCAAATGGGCTGTCTGCGAAGCAGACTAAAAAGAGCGTAACTCACTTGAGGAAAGTCAGAAAAGTCTCTCCCTGTGGAGAGCAGCCACGTCATCTTCCCCATGACAACTTACCATCTGGCTGGCTGGCAGTTTTTCTTCAAGTGCTAGATGGTATTGAGAAGGAAGAAAATCCTTATTTTTTGCTTTTCAGGTGATACCAGGACTGCAGAGAGAGGTTTTCATCTAGAACCCGGAAAGGAAAAAGTTGAGCCATTATCCGGAACTGAAGGATGAGCTAATTGGATGGGGAGGCTTAGGGGCATGGACAACCAGCTTGGAGTCTGAGTCGTTATCCCACTGAGCCATCAGTCTCAGGACAAGAGCGAGTGCCTTCACCTCATTCCCTTAAAGCCTGTAGTCTGACCCACAACAGAAAGAGAGTTTCTGTTCTGCCACATCTCGCTATGTGTACTCAGGCAATTTACTTATCCCCTCAAGGACTTAGTTTCCTAATCTGCAAAATGGGTGACAGAAGAATGATCAGGTTATTGGTGTCCACTGGAAGTCACTCAAGCACAAACAGATGAACGGACTGGGAGCGTGGAAAAGAGCTATGTTTTTGCTTTCCCTGCATCCACCCACTGCTTCATCCAGAGCATTTCTGTTTCCTATATGGATTATGTGTCTGCATCCCAGGGTGATATTAGGTCTGAACAAAGGACTTCAAAGCTAAGATGGAAAACCCACTGGCTTTGGCAATCTCTAGGGTTGCTTCTACTTATTTTCTGTTTCTGTTTGTCATGAAGTCACATGAGAGAATGTTGTACTGAAGACATGATGGGAAAGGGGCCCAAATAGAAATTAATCTAAAAAACGAGTGTGCCAAGAATAGAAGGGTTTTGGGTGAGGGGACCCTCAGGTCTTGCTTAGAAGGTGGTAGTGGAAAATTCCACACCTCACTGGAAGGGGCTGTTTCTTCCTGCCTCCTTCACATTGATCTCTCTCAAATGTAAAACCGATCCTTCCCACCTCAGAATTGGGCCAAATCTGGTTTGAAGCATCCATTTCTTGTGAAGAGTCTGTCCTGTGGTGTGTAATTTAATTTATAATATATTATCAAAGACAGTATAATAAAAATAGGTGCTGCTGGTTGCCCTAATTGGGATACACGTTATAGGAAATCGTTCACAGAGTTTAATCAAAGAGCCACACTGCAAGGAAAGTTACTACAAGCATCTAGCTGTCTTTATCTACAATTGACCCCAGAAGTTTAGACATTAGCATGTTTTTATAATTGGGTTTACATTGATAAAATTGCTGGTATTCAAAATATGTGGCTTGGCTAGAACTATGATAAATGTTATAGAAACCCTTCTGCACTTGTTTAAGGCAAAATAATGCAGGGCACTCAGTAGTCCATATTCTTCGCAGTGGTACCAAAGCTTGATTCTGAAACTGTCCTTTGTCTAGCAACTGATTCTGAGATTGCTGGATTAATCCTCAAAGATTAACAGAGGCTCACGCCTGTAATCCCAGCACTTTGGGAGGCTGACGCGGGTGGATTACCTGAGGTCAGGAGTTTGAAGCCAGCCTGGCCAACATGGGGAAACCCCATTTCTACTAAAAATACAAAAATTAGCTGGGTGTGGTGGTGGGTGCCTGTAATCCCAGCTACTTGGGAGGCTGAGACATGAGAATCGCTTGAACCCGGGAGACGGCCCTTGCAGTGAGCCGAGATTGTGCCACTGAACTCCAGCCTGGGTGATAGAGTGAGACTCGGTCTCAAAAAAAAAAAAGAAAGAAAAGAAACAGATTAACAGAATCCCTACTTCCAGAACACTGTTACTTTTGCTTTATGCAAAGACATGGTCAGGATAATTAAGAGGGCAAAGATTTGAGATTTATCCAGTTTATAAGGCAGATTGTATGCCTTTTAAAAATTCTATTGCTAATAAACACTTGTATGAATGGCAAACTTTGTTTTGCTTCCTGCTTCTGATAGAACCTGGGAACAAAGTTTTAGAGGCAGAAACTTATACCTTTTCTACTCAATGGATGGTGCATGCAACCATCAGCAGGGCCACTCTAGACCTACTGAATTAACAAATGTAACTAACAGGATACCAGGCAATTCATAGCCAAGTTAAAGTTTGAGGAGTTCTGTTACAGACTTCAACTACTAACTCTAGACAGTTATTGATATCTCTCTAATAATCCAATAATCATCAAACACAAGATTGGCTTACACTAATTTTCAACAGATAGCAAGAAGAAGAGCTTCCCAGGATTTTATGTTGTGAGCCATCTGAAGGGAACTTGGAAGGAGGGTAAAAGAAAACCAAGCAAGAAAATAAAGCTTAGCAGGAGCTGCAAACTCAGATAACTACACAGACAAGGCCAGTTAGGAAAACAAAGTGAGAATGACGGAAACTACCAGAACTGGAGAATTCATGCCTCTTCCCTAAACAACTACCATTACTCCGCTCTGGATTGATGCTGCACAGAATGTGGGCCTGAACTTATGATTTTGTTTCAGAAGCCCAGAATATATATTTTAATGAAAAACTTCCCTTTTATTCAATGAGGCCCAATAGTCTAAGTCTAATTCTATTATCTAAAAACAACTGAACAAACTCAGTCACCAAGTTCTTCAAAGGGCCCACAGCAAGTCACTTCTTTCTGTATTTCTATTTGTATATTCCTTTCATGGGCTATTATTAGAGAACATGTAATTTTCCAAATTCATTAGAATAATAATTATATGCTTGGGAGACCTGAGCCAAAGACTCTGAGCCTGCATTGCTGATTTCAATTGGAGATGATATCCTTGGACAGCTGGCAACCTGCAGCTTGCCAATGGGGCTTCAATTTTTTGACAGGAAATCTGAGAGCTTGAAGACCACACTACTTCATGGCTATCTGAACAGGTAGCTGCTATAAGCTCTGCAAGTTGGCAATATACAATTGAGATCAGAGTTAGTGTGTTTGATTAGTAGAGTGTTATTTCTCTGGGGAGACACAGGGCATTGGGTGGTGGAAGCTCTTAGAACCCCCAGGTAAACGTAATGAGCTGCTTCCCTGTCAATATGCCCGACACTTGAATTTTTTTCAATGCATTGTCTAAAGACTACCAGCATTAGAATTTCTTTATCTTGTAAAACGCAGAATCTCAGGTCTGAATACAAATCTACTAAGTAAAAATCCTGGGAGTAAATTTATAAAAGAGCATTTTAACAGATACCCCAGATGGTTGTTATGTATATTAAAATTGTTGAGCTATAGCATTTCCATGAGACAATGTTTGGTAGTAGCCAATTGATCCCCGTTTCTACCAAGGCTAGAATGAAAAGAAATGCACTTTCTCTGTTGCAAGAATTGGAGTGTGGAGGAAGTGACAATAGTATTAGGATGCTCCTATGATGTTATTATGCCAGGGAGCCAACACCCCTGATTTATGTCAGGTATGTCTGGGCTATAAGCCAGTTCTTTAGGGGGAAAGAATGTTCTGACTTGTATTTTCCTATTTCAGTGGTGTAAATACTCCTGCCGTGGTCAATTTCATGTTACCAATGTGATGTTTCTGAACACAAAGTTGGGAAGGGATGGGCAGAATGGGCTCTCAAGAGCCTGTGCCAGTTCGTTCCAGCTCATCACAGAGGAGGCCCTCTCAAAGCAGACCCAGAAATAGATCTAAGTTCAGGGAACAATGGCAATGTTACAAAAAAGGAATAATTTTAACCAACTGGAAATTTATATCAAATCCCAGTGTCATGTTTCAGATGGCTAGGTTGAACTAGGCAGAAACTTCCTTTACTTAAATGAAGTAAGTTTATAGATCTGGGATGGATATCTTGAAACTGAGTGTCTGAATCTCCTGTGGATCTTGTTAAAATGCAACTTCTGGTTCAGTAGGCTCTGAGGGGTGATCCGAGATTTTGTGTTTCTAAGAAGCTTCCAGGTGAGGCTGATGATGCTGGACCATGGTCCATATTTGGAGAACCTCAGCCTAGACTCAAAGCGACTCACTGTGCCTTTTCCCTGGCATCCTAAACAAAGCCTCAAAAGTTACCACTCTAAGGGGCTAAAAAGCTGTACCCTACCTAATTAGCTTCGGAGGAAATGGAAACAGAGAGCTCTAAACACTAGAAAAACTGTCCTGGCATTTGGCTTATCAATTTAACAGTGTTCTTCCCCAAGGATGTAGTAACTGGAATAGGAGGAGAGACTTTGGCGTAGAGACCAAAATAAAGGGCAATTCCCTATCTGTGTGAGTGACTTAAAAAGGAGATCATGAAAAAAGCTGACTGTGAAATCTGCTTTACTAGAGATGATTATAGACATGATAAAATGATTTACTAGAGACGATTATAGACATGATAAATCAATTGCCCATCACAGACATGATAAATCAATTGCCTGTAGCTGCCACATGGGACATGAAAGCTCTAGGAACATCCACTGAAATTAGGGGTTCTGCCTGATGTCACTCCTTTAGATGTACCACTTTAGAGCTCCTAAAACATTTCTGAAGAGTTTTGAAGAGTTGAGAGCCAAGAAATCCAAATGTGTTACTGACATAATAAATCTCTCCTCTATTTGTCTGAACGATACAGTGTTTGTGAGTGTTTATGGGTAATGCTAAGCATTGTACTAGATGTTTCATTTACATTTCCTCTAAATTCCCCACCAATTATGAGGAGTGGGTATTATTGTCCCCATTCTCAAATGAGAAATTGAGTCTCAGTGAGATGACAAAATGTGCCTAATGCCAAGGTGCAAGTGACAGAGCCAGGATTCCAACCCAAAGACTTGGGTTGGACCTTCTGATATTTTGTGTGTGTGTGTGCTTCTTCTTGTATATGAAACTTTTGAGACTGTGGATTATGGCTCTCTCTTCTTTATTTCACCATTGGCTACCCAGGGATGGGTGTGTGTGTGTACATGCAGGTGTGTGCATGTGTTTATATACACAAAAAGTGTATACTCAACTTTGTTTATCAGGCTCTCAGAGAATAACTTTGCAAATGGAAATAAAAGTTTTAAATCCATATTACATACATATTTATGTTATTTATATGTTCCTATAGGTGAATGTGATGTAAATAATTCCAATATTATTTTATAATTTTTTTTTTTTTTGAGATGGAGTCTCACTCTGTCGCCAGTTTGGAGTGCAGTGGCACCATCTCGGCTCACTGCAACCTCTGCCTCCCGCGTTCAAGTGATTCTTCTGCCTCAGCCTCCCGAGTAGCTGGGACTATAGTTGCCCACCACCACGCCCAGCTAATTTTTGTATTTTTAGTAGAGATGGGGTTTCACCATGTTGGCCAGGCTGGTCTCAATCTCTTGACCTCATGATCCACCAGCCTCAGCCTCCCAAAGTGCTGGGATTACAGGCATGAGCCATTGTGCCTGGCCACTTTATAATTTTTGCATATAATTTTCAATATTATATGCAACTGTTAGAATCTATTAATGATTCACAAAAAAATGTATATGTGGTATGGTATGAGAATGCATTTGGACCACTCAGAGAGAAATCAACAAACCAACAGAAGAATGGAGTTGGAGATGTTTTGTACATTGCAATTGGCACAGGACTGAAGGACATTTAAAGACTTGACAAGTGTCTTGACTCAGTGGCGAGTTTGAGTCAAGCTAGGTATAAGAAGCCCTCCTCAGACTCCAGGAGTTTGAGTTCAGTCCACGCAAAATCTGGATGACTTTCTATTCCCCAAAGGGAAGTCAGCTTGGCTCCCTAGAGACCTCAAACTCAAGGACACTCAGAGAAGGGTGTCAGATTCCCCATGCTTTAAAGGGAGCATCTCAGCTCTATCATCACCAGCAGTCCTCCTGATAACCTTTCAGCAGCCCCTTCAAGGTCATGGCACTGATATTAAAAGTTGTGGGCTGTAACTACCTGAGAAAGGACTTCCCTACCTCTTTTGCTTGGCGTGGGGTAAAAAGTATGTGGGTTTTTGTTTTGTCTTACTTAAAAATATTTGTTCAATTTTAATTGACAAAAATTGTACATATTTATGGTGTGCAACATGTTTTGAGATATACACACATTTTGAAATTACTAAATCAGGTTAATTAACATATCCATCACCTCACATATGGAGAAGATTTAAGATCTACTCTCAGCAATTTTCAAGTGTACATTCCATTATTATTAACTACAGTCACCATGCTGTAAATAGATGTCTAGAAGTTATTTGTCTCGTCTAACTGAAGCTTTATACCCTTTCACGAACATCTCCCCACATTCCTCTCCTCATCCCCAACGCCTGGTAACCACTATTCTATTCTCTGCTTTTATGAGTTCAATTGTTTTAGGTTCCACATATAAGTGAGATCATGCAGTATTTATCTTTCTGCAACTGCCTTATTTCACTTAGCATAATGTCCTCCAGGTTCATCCATGTTATCACAAATGACAGGATTTTCTTCATTTTTTATGGCTGAATAGTATTCCCATTGTGTTTATGAAGCATATTTTTTCATTCATATATCCACTGATGGACACCTAGGTTGATTCCGTATATGGGCTATTGTGAATAATGCTGCAGTGAATATAGGGGTGCAAATATCTTCTCAACAAGCTAATTGCATTTCCTGTGCATATAGACCCAGAAGTGGGATTTCTAACAGATCTATTTTTAAATTTTTGACAAACTTCTGTATTGTTTTGAAAAATGGCTGTACTCATTGACAATCCCATTCATAGTGTGCAAGGGTTGTTTACCTTTTCTCCACGTTCTCACCAACACGTGTTATGTTTTGTCTTTTTGATAATGGCCATTCTAACAAGTGAGGGAATATCTCACTGAAATTTTGACTTGCAATTCCCTGATGATTAGTAATGTTGATCACCTTTTCATACACCTGTTTGGCCATTTGTATATCTTCTTTTGAGAAATTATTTAGGTCATTTGCACATTTTTAAATCAGGTTATTTGTTTTTTTGCTATGAAGTTGTGTTGGAACGTGCTTTGTGAAAAGAGACTCAGTTCTAGCTATATCAACTTCTAACTTTGATAATATGCCAGACACTGTTGGTGTTGGTTCAGCTACCACTTCTCTCCCCTCCCTCCCTTTCTCTCCTCTTCCTCCCTTTCTTCCTCTATTCCTTCCTTCCTTCCTGACAAAACCATCCTCCAGTAATGGTGAAAATGCTATATACTCACTTTCTCTTCATCCCTTACAGCTACAGATGGCCATGTGATCCATTTTGCCAAATTAGATTTAAGGAGAAATCTGTTAGGGGGCCCTGGGTAAATTTTCTGTTATGATGGAAAGGATGTTGCAGGAAGAGAAGCCTTTGCACCCTTTTATTTGGCCTGTGGTCTTAGCTGTGTAAACAAGTAATGTCTGGAGCTGCTGCAGCCATCATATAACCATAAGACTAGAAGCTTGCAAACTAAAAGCCAACACACCAAGAAAGGATGCATGGAAGGATGGGTAGAGCCAGGGTCCTTGGTGTTATCGTTAGTCTGCTGATTCAGCCCTGAGACAAAGACTTTCAAACTCTTTGTTACGGGGGATTACTTGAAATGAATTTTGTTTAAGCCATTGTTAGGTATGGTTACCCGTGGTTTAAAGCACCCTCAGTGATACCCAAGTTATGTAATCTCTCTGAGCCTAAACTTCCTCATCTAAAAAGTGAGGCTAACATCACCCAAGAGAGTTACTGGTAATTAGAGAATTTGGTCCACATAGTGTCACCTGATGTAATGTGTGTACTCAGTGCAGGTATTCAGTACATTTTAGCTAAATGTGAAGAAAAATTCATAGTATTAAGCAGTTCTTTTGGCCGATATGAATATTGGTACAGCTACTTGATGAACCTTCTGATGTAGAGCATGAATAGACAGTACAATGATTTTTTTTGCTTTACGCTGCTTTATATTATTACTTTTTATATAAATGTCATGTGTACAGCAATATTCATACCTACATTTAAGTATTTTTTTTAACCATACTTTTCAGTGCTTTGTTAGGGAGCTATTTTTCCCTTCTCTGAGAAAGCAGGTTTATCATAATAGAGTTTAAAGGCTCAGAAAATAGTCTGTTTACTTACATTATCTATCCATTTAAAAGATCTCTCTACATATGTCTAGGCTAGTTTAAGCCTCATGATATCAGATTTTCCTGGTAACATTTCCCAAGTTTTTACTAGCTTCAGCAGGCCACAGACTTTACCAGACCTTGGATAGGATGTTCATTGCTCTAATATGAAAATATTGCAAAACCCATTTTCCTCCCAGATAAGGGAAATGAGCTTGCTGGCAAAGCTGCCTTCTTCTGTCCCTTCAGAAGTGGCTGCTCTCACAGACTCTTGGGTAGTTGCTGAATTCAGCTTTATTTTTCTGCTTCTTAGAAAGCAATCAACTTGTCTATGAAAATCATCTTCCATTGTCAGGCCAACAATGGCCCTTACAGTCTTCTTTCTGTCTTGAGTGGAATTGAAAAGGCATTGGTCTCTTCCAATTCCAAAGGGGAAGAAAGAGCCGAGGCTCTGCTCCTGAAGTGCCTGAGTAAAGTACTCCTGTGCCTTTCTTCCTTTTCCGCAAAGTGTACAAAATTGCCCTCCCTCACTGGATAGTTTTCAAGAGGGGCAGAATTGACAACTTCTTATATAATATTTTCCTCTTATTTATTTTTTGCAGTACACTACACTTCAAGATGCAGAGATACACTTCTATGGTAAAAGTGGCTGTGGCAGCTGGTTTGGCATCAGCTGGTGCTGAATTGACAAGCTACTGGGGAAGGGAGCCGGCACACACATCCACACTGGTCATACAGGTTAAGGTCATATGATCGTGGCATCTCGCTGAATTCAGATCCAAAATATTAGTCAAAGTACAGCTTTCATAAGTCTTATTAACTCCTGGAGGCAGAAATTCAATACTTTTAGAACATTCTGGGACATACCTAGTCAAGCAAGCCACTCCTTCAAGAGTGAAACATAGTACCTATGAGCATAGATTTTACAATAAGAGTGATCTGAATTTGAATCTTGCTTCTGTCACTTACTAGTTACATGTCCTGAAGGCAAATTATTTAACCTCAATTTCCTCATTTGTAAAACAAGGGTTTTAATAAAACCTGCCTGTATACCCAAATCCCCAAGTATACAAGAATCTGCATGTACCCAAGTCCTGAAGTGGGCCCTGCAGATACATGGGTTTCATATCCCATAAATGCTCTATTTTTAATCTGTGTTTTGTTGAAAGAAATCCACATGTAAGTGGACCTGTATAGTTCAAATCTGTTCAAGGGTCAGTATTTATTTTTATAAATACTTCATATTCTCCTGTGGATCACTCATTCATACAACAAATATTTATTGAGTGCCTGTTATGTGCCAGGTATTGTTCTTGTGCCAGGAAATATTCTCTTTTTGCTAATGTTCAAAATGCTGCGTCCACCTTGAAGGGTTCGTGGCTTACAACCCCCATCCCAGTCAGCTGTAGATCTCTATGCAGGTGCTATTTAATCAGCACTTTCCCTTAGAAAGCACTGCCCCACCAAAAGAAGGCAGTCCACCCCGTAGCAGGAAGTCAAACCTCTTCTCACCCAGGTTTTGTGCTCTGTTACCAAACCTGGTTTGTGAGAGGATTTCAATGCCCTGCGAGAGTCCTTGGAGCACAGGTCTTCCTGAATTTACAGCTAACGAGCCTCACGTAGTGAAAGGCTAAAGCATTGCTTTGATTTGCTAGCTGCCTTTGGATCCATTGATGGTGAAAAGCCTTGAGTTTGCCTGGTGGCTTCTGAGCAAGTATGTACCTAGAGACAAGAAAAATAGATGAAAGTGCAAAGGACATCTAGGGGTGGGAAATATAAAGAGAGATGATGTTAGCGCCATTCTCAGATATGCTCTTTTTCTTTTCCACGACCTGTTCAGAAAGACCTTTACAACCCTGAAGAAGCAGAAAATAAGATAAAGCGTTCTGTGAGAAAAGACTCTGAGAAAAAAAGCAAGATGCTGTTCATGTGTTCCAGGAAGCTATGATTCTTAACTGGTGTTGGTCATGTAGCCATAGTAGAAGGGCACATGTGGTGGTAGCGGTGGTGTGGACAGGAGTACTTAACATTTACCAAGTGCTTGTTATCAATCAGGTCCATGCTAAGTCTGCACAGATATGATTATCTTTTTTTGTTGTTGTTTTTAGGGCAAGGGTTTTGCTGATTGCTGGGAGGAGTTCAAGGTCTGAAGAGTCTAACTCTTTCAGAGACATTGAGATTTTAATACCACACATCTGTCAGTGTTATAACCATGTTTTTGACTTGTGTAGTAAGTTTATTGGTTAAAAACAAGGACTCTTTATTTTTTGTGGAGACGGAGGTCTCACTTATATTGCCCAGGCTGGTCCTGAACTCACGGGCTCAAAAAATCCTCCCACCTCAGCCTCCTTGGGATTACAGATGTGAGCTGCTGCACCTGAATAACTGGGGGGCTGAAGTGGGAGGTTTGCTTGAGCCTGGGAGGTTGAGGCTGTAGTGAGCCATGATTGTGCCACTGCACTCCAATCTGGGTGACAGAGCAAGACCTTGTCTCAAAAAAAGAAAAAAAAAAAAGGCACCAGTACTCTTGGAGCCAGACTGACTGAGATTTGAAGCCAGTTCAGCTACTTTCTAGCTGTGTGGCCTTGGGCAAGTGATTTAACCTCTCTGGGTTTATGTTTTCTGGTCTGTAAAATGGAAGGAATACTATAGTTTTTATTTTAGGAAGTTGTGTGGATTAAATGAGTTACTACATTTAGAACAGGGTCTGGCAGAAAAAAAAAATCTACCACCTTTGTTGATTCTCTATAACTTCTCCAGGGAAAAACATGTGCCTTGCTTTCAGTCTTCACCCTTTTTTCTATCATGTGCTTAAGGTTCCTGATCTGTAAAAAGGCAATAATGTAATATCTATCTCATATGATTGTTTTCATGATTTAGTGATATACTGTATATTACTACCTCTTCATAACAGGCTGTCAATCAGTGAGTTTGGACTACTCTTGATATCATAGTATAGAAGCTTATTCTAAGATTTTGCTTTATCTTTAATTTTATGGGTACCACAATGAAAGCATTCATATATAAATTTAATCATTAACATATAATTATTTTGACTTCAGAAGTATTATTTCTTGCATCAAATGTTGTTTTTAAAAAAGAAGTAACTGCTTGAGGCAATATAAAAAGTAGAAAGATTATTTCCTAATCTGTGGAACTTGCAAACTACAATGAATTCTGAATCAAGCAAGCTCAACCACTATAACTGGATATCTGTGAGTGTCATTGCATTGTGCTGGGTGGGGAAAGAGGGAGAATTAATCCCATTCCCAGGAGCTTTTCATTTACTTGGGCAGACAAAGCTTCACACACATGAAACTAAAACATTAGAGCAGAGGGCAGATGTGATGAATCCATGAGCCCTCAGAGTTCAGGGATGACAGAAATCAGTGTGGAAAGATCTCGGGGGCAGCAGTGGGCTTTGAGATGAATCTTGAAGGATGGTTCAGGATTTAGCCAGAAAGAACAAAGAGGGGACAGTAGGGTATGCAAGCTGAAGAAGAGGTCATGCCAAGGCTGGCTTTGTCCACACATGTGATTGAGGTGAGAGGTGAAGCATCCTGAAAGGCAGTTATTGCACTTGGCGTGTCCAAGGGAGATACACATTTATAAAACATATTTGAAATAAAGACTGACAGAAATTGGAGATGGATAAGACAAATGATAGAAGGAGACAGATAGGATCAAAATAGCTCTGGGCAGGGCAGGGAGTTAGGGCTTTGCTAAAAGAGAAAATGGCAGTGGTGATGCCATTTTCTAACTGAGTTGTTGAAATTCCACTGCTTTGATGAAAGCAGTTGGAGAAAATGCTGGCTTATGGGGAGGGGGAAATAAATGATTATGCATTTATTTTTTAAATCTTTAGTTTTTATCCAAGTAGGGATGATATCTGACATCTACAGATCCCCTTCCCTTTTCGTGGAGGCACAATGCTAGCTCCTTATCTCATTTCATCCTTGCAAATGATGGAGTTGTTTGCTAGGTAAGGCATTGGTAGATTTTTAAAGTATTTGGCTCTTGTAAATATAAATGTTCCTCAGAGCTGTTTAAAAATAAAACTCGTGTAAGAACATACTATTTGTCCCTTTTATAGAAGAGAAAATCAAGTCATAAGCAACTCGAAAATTCTGCTCAAAGGAACAGCTGGTAAGCGGCAGAGCTGGGATTCAGGCAGTTTGTCTCCAGGGTCCATATTCTCACCCTCTATTCAGGACTCAGCCATAGGAGAGGGTGAGAATGCCCTAAGATGGTATTGCCCTCCACCATCTGAAAGAAAAAGACCCTTCTCCCACCGACTCCTCTCCCTCTCCCCCACAAATACAGAAACAGTTGTAAACAAGCAAGAAAGGACACAAGACTGGTGCAAAACACTTGTTACAAAATCCTTTAAAGGTCAAGGAAAAAAATAATTCTCCAAACAGAGGCCAGTAGCTTTAGGAAACACCCCAAACTCTTTGACCTTACTAGGCCAATGGCTACAACATTGGAAGGATTGGTAAGAACTAGCCGCATGTAGTAATATCCATCAAGATGAGCATTGTAGGAGAAAAACATGCTACTATTTAATTCAAATTCTGCCTCTGAGACTGTTTGATGCTTTAGTTATTTCTCACCTGGACTATTGTTGGTACCTTGGCAAGCCCTTTCTATTCATCTGTCATGCTTTACTGTCTATTCGAAACACAGAAACACATTTATCTTTTCCCCACCAGCTGTAACTCTCAAACCACTCTTTACTGAGGCAATTATGCCAGTTTTCTGTTTCATCAGAGAATTCAATTTAAAATTTTAGTGCCAGTGGTTAAAATACTTACTTCATACATAACTTGAAGTTTGTATGCCTTTAATTCACATTTATGTTTCTGTTCACACTTTGCATCCTTTAATTGATTTATTTGTTCACTATGCCATCTGTAGATTTTAAGTACTGAGCTTTTGCAAATGACTTTTTTCCCCCTTCTCAAAGCTGTTTTGAAAATTATTTCCCTCACCTTATTGCAATTAAAGCTGTGCTACATTCTCATCTTCCGGAGTTGAACATTTTTATAGTGTTACCTTCTTGTATCTTTATCCTAAGTTAGATTGTACAGGTCTGGGCACATATAGTAATTTTTAAACCATGTAGATACTCTCTTTGTGTGGTATCCCATGGGAAGGAGCCCTCTAATGAGCTCTGTGGTCTGCTTTATAGGCACCATGAAAATCTAAGTATCAATGGAGTAAAAGCAGTTCATTGTTTTGGGGCGTTGGTTGATGGATGTCCAATTTCTGAATGTGGAGAAGGCCTCTGATTATCCTAGGATTTGCATGTATGAATAGCTCTCTTCTAGCTTATATTCCATAGCCTTTGGGCAAAGGTTTCCAGCATGGTAAGGAAACTGTTTAGAACACGATTTTTCAAAATGTCCATGACAGATCACCCTGAAAACTATATTACATTCCATAACCTTTGGGCAAAGGTTTCCAGCATGGTAGGCCCAGCTCGAAGCCTGGTGCCTGGAGCCTGCAGGTGATCAGTAAATAACTGTTTAATGAGTAAATTACAAATACAGTTTAGTTCTATTAGCAGTCTAAAACAAGATGTGGCTCGCCATGTTTAGCATGGAACAGAGAACAAAGAGAAATGTAGCCTTCCTTTTGACTTCACTCTACCTCTGCAATGTCTTCAAAGTGTTATGACCTACAAGGCTGGGAGAGCATGCAACGATCCCCTTCTTTGTCTTCGCTTATAAGAGTTGCCAGCTGTATGGCGTTATCTCTACTGTGTTTTCATTAGTGGTGTGATTGTGGATGACAAGGGTGAGGGTCCTTTGACTCTGATACCCAAGACTGTAAGATTAGTTCTGTATAGGTTTTAGACTTCTGCCCTCTAGAAGAAGTTCTTTGCTCCAGGTATTTAACTATTACTTGAAAACACAATCCTTCAAGATTCTTTCCATGCCTATAAATTTATACAGAGCTACGGTTTCTACTTTGGCTTCAGATTGGAATCAACTGGGAAGCTTAAAACACATTGATGTCTGGATCTCACCTTAGAATTCTGATTTAATGGGTCTGGGGTGTGGTTTTGGCCTAGGGAATTTTAACATTTTTCCAGTTGATTCTAATGTGCTGCCCGGGGTGAGAACTGCTGATATAGAATATTATTGTTAAATACTCAAAAGGCCAGAACTCTAAATACGGCATAATGTGTTTTATATCTGCCGTTTTTTGAAATACTCAACAATTCTCACTACACTGTTTAGAACAAGATTTTTCAAAATGTCAGTGACAGATCACCTGGAAAACTTGTTAAATATGTAGATTTTTAGATCCTCACTTTAGAAATTCTGTCTCAGTACATTTGTGGTAAACATAAAAACCGTTCTTTTTAAACACACACCCAAATGATTCTCGTAGACGTTAAATCTGGAAGTACTGCCTCAAAAAGACATCTGAAAGCATTATAACAGCTTTAGGCAATTATAACAAAGAGCATGCCACTTGGTAGTCTTGTGGTTTGGTGTCATGGAAGAATAATAAAGATCTCAAAACAGAGAAAATAGAGTTTTACCCTTTCTTTGTAAATTTTCTAGCAGTTTTTGGAATGCAAATTACATACCAGCAACAGTAAGAATTTTTCAAAAAAAGTATTAATTCTTTGCATCAGTGCACAATTTCTATTTAATGTAAAAATATAAACTTAAAAAATATTAATTTAAATGACTAATAACTTTAATTCTTTAGTTTAAAAAGGCATGAAGTAATTCAAGACTGCTTTTGTGTTTAAACACACCTAGAATGTCTTTAAATTTAGGCTTAAAATTAGTCTTTGATGAATGAGTGTTTCAAAGCATTAGACAAAAATTTAAGGCATCTAGTTTTGTTGAACAAATTTAAGAACACCGAGGATAACAGACTCTTTGAGGCTTTAGGACAAGTACACATTTTAGTTTAAAGCTGAAAAAATCTTCTATCTAGCTTAAACTTCAGTGGGAATTTAGGGAAAGAAAATGAATTACTCAAGCTGAAACTACATCAAAATGTCAAGTTAACACATTTTGGCTTGTAACGGTGCCAAGGGATCTAATGCCTGAATAATCAGGGCTGTAGATTTCTAAACCATTTTAAAGATAATGTCCTTACCAGGATGCTGGATCTTTCATTTTATTTTTTCTTAGCTGTTTCCTCGCTGTGCTTTTACCCAGGCTAACCAAGACCTGACAAGATCACATAGCAATTAATTGAAAGAGCTGGCAAGAAACAGCTGCAAATAAAAATGTTAGTACAGAAGTCCACAAATTCAGAAAAAAAATATGAAGACTAGTAATTCCCATGACAGTCAATGATGCATTTGATTTTCTGTAAACTTTTCTTGGGCTTCTGAAAGATTGGATAACTAGTATTATATCTGAGATAGTATTATAACCAAGAAAGAACAACAGTGGACTGTGGTTGCTGTTGTTTGTGGATTTTTTTTTTTTTTTTGCAAATTTTCCTGGTTGACCCCCTCTTTTTCGAATATTTGTTCCTTGCACAGTACACTCTTCCATAACTCCCATACCCGATTCCTGGCCACAAGAATGAGCTTATAACCTGGATTAGTCTAATCATACTACCCATTTATACTATCATTGGTCCATGGGTTGGTTATATAACCCAAACTTTTTAGAATTCATTCTAGGATTTCTCAATTTAGAGTTGGAGAAGCAACCTAGCTCTGGGCTCAGGATACAGCAAGGTGAAAGGACAGTGGAAGGCCATTTTCCCCACCACTTGGAAAAAACCGATCTGCAATGAGAGAGAATGGAGCAAACAGAGACAGACTAAAATTAGGGGTGGACACAGAATCCTGAGGGCACTGAAACTTGATTCCAATACCTGAAGCCCTGTTTCCTGCCATTTTCTTTTATTCTGTGAGCTCTTCTCTAGCATCTTTTCTCACTACAGGAACTAAGAAATCCCTTTTGGCTTAAGCCATTTAGAATTGGGTTCTAATATTTGCGACCAAAATTCTAACATAGAATATGAGATTATCTAGTCTCACCCATCATTTTACAGAAAACAGAGATTTACTTGCCCAAGGGAACACATTACAACAACTTAATTCACCTTTCTTTACTCCTCAATCTATTAGTATGCTCTCCTTCAAGAAAAAGTTGAAACTTTGAGAATTTGTGAGGTTCATGTATTTAATAAACCCTGCCACGTTCATAATTGGCCCCAAGTAGACTTGTGAATAACTGGGTAAACCCATGTCAGTTCTGAATTGTGAATATAACCTTTCAGAACTTGCTACAGCTCCGTAGCAGAGTGTAGCTGCATTGATTATTGTTCTACAGTAGAAATATTATTTATAGAACTAAGGCCAAAATAATACAATTTCCACATTCCCTCCAAGAGTTGAGTTTATGGCACCTTGAATAATCGTAGTTGAGTGTGATAATTAAAACAAAAACATTAGGTCAGAACATTTTAGAAGTGTCTTAGAAGACATCAATACAAAAATAAATTGACAAGAGTACCCAACGATAGTGCACTAAATTCATAATAGTGCAAAGAATATACAGTGAAAACCTAAAAAATCCTGCATGTCCAAATAAACTATAATACACTTAGATACTAAGAAGTACCACAGTAGGTTAGACTATTAGTCCTATTTCTTCTCCTTGTCACAGCTTCATACACCTTTTCATTCTGCCCTTTAACTCTGAAGAGCTTCCCACTGTAGGCAGTCAGCGCCCCATCTAACACTGGGCTTGCTCAGAACTGCCTTGACAAATGTCAAGTTGGAGGGTCTAAAGATGCTTGCATGGTTTGTCTTGTCTTCTTGTACTCTGTCTAGGTGGGAATCTGCATAAGTTAAAATGAAAAATAGTTTCCTGTTTTCTGAATAGCCAGTATTTGTACATGCTGTAAAATTCAAAAGGTACAAAATGATATACAATGAAAAGTCAGCACCTTCTTAATTCTGATCCTCAACTACCCACTTCCCCTCCCCAGAGGATGCCTATTACAGTTTCTTGTGTTACCTTCCAGAGAAACATTTAGAAGAAAAGCCCAAACAATATTTTTCATAGAGTCAGAACTGAGACCAGATAGAAGAGCCTTCTGAATCAAGCTGGAAAAGTCCTTTCTGAGAAGACTCCAACTCTTATTTGAGAATATATATTATTTGTAAGTTGAGAGATCAGCTCCCACAGGGAGACCTAAACAGGATTGACTATAGGCAAAAAAAAAAAAAAAAAAAAAAAAAATCACCTGTTATATAGAACTATCTCATTTAAAATCCCTGCAAATGTACTGTTTCCAAAACACACTTATGATTACTTTAGGGTATACCTAAAAAATTAGGTAAGTGATTGCTTCTTAGCTTAAAGCACATAGCAGATAAGCACACAGTTGTGATTTCAATTTGTGCTGTCCTTAGATCATTAGTTTCTCTCCTTTTAGAGACAGATCATTTAAGACCAAACACTGGAGGAATATGTTAATTTTCATCTATTCATAGAAATATACATTTTAATTGGCTTGGCAATAACATTGAATTTAAAAACTTGAGCTGATATGGTAATATATCTTTAATTTTGATTTGTATACAGATTGACTGTATTTGATACTTTTATCTGCAGAAATATTTAAATATTTTTCTTCTAAAAGGGTAATTGGAATGAGTAAATCCATTAATCAAATATTAACATTTATTTAAAAAACTTTATTTTGCTTTAAAAAAACAATTATTCAATTCATGAAGATTAACCAAAATACAAACCCCATCAAAGTTTATTACAATAATCTTTCATAAAATAGCATTAAAAAAAGTTAATATTTTAATGTAAAAATCACAATGTAAAAATAAAAACTTTAGTTTTAGTGACTAAAATAAAAGCAGATAAATAATCTTCTTCACAGGGAAAAAATACTTGAGGGAAAAAACAATGGTATAACATGTGTAAAGCAGGAAATTTAAATATCAGCTTAGTTCCTCATTGCCAACATGGCATTTATATCCCAGATGAGATTTCGTAATTGATCCATAATTTGTTTCAGCTGTTGATTCTTCTGTTTGAGTTTCTGTAGAAACAAAAGAATTTATCAAAAATGTTTCAGGAAATATAGACCATGAAGTTAGAAGATTAAAATATCATAAGTTAGGATTATAATGATACAGACAGAAATTAAGCTAAATAACCCTATAAGGCAGATGGTCTCAACCCTCTTCTGGCCTTAAATATTTGCTGACAGGGATCCTGAATTCTAAAAATCCAGCCTGCAGAGGTCTATGGCCCCAGCCCCGGCCCCAGGCCCTGCTTACTCTTCCACTTCCACCATAAACAAATCAATAAATCAGCTAAACATTTATTTGTTATAAAACATAAGCATATAAGTTTTCTAAGGGGCAGCATAACCTAACGGTCAAGAGCCCATACTCTAGAGCCAGATCTCTGGAAGTCATTCAGATCCTTCACTACGAATTTTTTTTTTTTTTCCCAGGCTGCAGTGCAGTGGCGCAATCTTGGCTCACTGCAATCTCAGCCTCCTGGGTTTCAGCGATTCTCCTGCTTCAGCCTCCTGAGTAGCTAGAATTACAGGCTCCAGCCACCACACCCATCTAGTTTTTTTGTATTTTTAGTAGAGAGGAGGTTTTGCCATGTTGGCCAGGCTGGTCTCCTGACTTCAAGTGATCTGCCCGTCTTGGCCTCCCAAAGTGCTGGGATTACAGGCATGAGCCATCACACCCGGCCAGATCCTTCACTATGAAACTTACAACACTGACCTAATTATTTAACCTCCCGGTACTTTAGTTTCCACATCAGAAAAATGGAAATAATAATTGAAACTACCTCATAAGAGCTGTTATGAAGATTAAATGGTCTGATTCATGTCAAGTATTAGAATTGTGCCTGACACATAAGTAAACATTCAACAAATGTTACTGTTAGGCACAAAATGTAAACTGTCGATATAGAAAATATAATAAAAGTACAATGCCTCATGCAATCAGTCTTTCAAAAGTGCGGCAGAAATCACTGTTTGCCTATAGCATGAATTGCAATCTCCTTCTAATTCTAAAAACTGAAGACAAATGGCAGAGTACCCAATGCAATCTTCTCTACTAAGATTTGCTGAATGCCTGAAATGTGCACGGCATGTGTCTCTGTATCTCTACACTTGGATTCTACTTGACTAAGATTTGTAGACTTCTTTTTAACCATTCTTTCTTCAAATCCTATGTGGTAAATGTCTGCTTAGATAAAACAAGATAGAAATAGAGAACTTCTGGTCAGAGTGTTTACTAGTTATAATAACAATAATTATTATTATTCAATAACCCCTTGGAAACATTACATTTGGAGATAATATACTTAATTAATTTTAAGACACTATATTAAACTACCTCCAGATAAATTGGTGTATGCTTATTAAAAAGAGGCCTAACAATCTTACTTTTGATTTCATTAAAAAACAAACTAAAATGAAGTTGCTTGTATTGCTTCTATTCAGAGTTAGGGAAGTAACAAGAAATAGGTGGCTAAAAGGAAAGACCAAGAAACTCTTATTAGAAAATAGAAAATCAATTTACAGAGACTTTAATAATCTTTCATAACTGAATTTAATTCACATTTGAAAAGAGAACTAGCACAATGCAGTCAGAGAAAAACAGGACTATACAGTACACAGGGCTCGACTCTAAAGCTCACTTTAACACAGTCTTCGGGAAACAAAAACTGCTGGTATTTTTAGTTAGTCTCCCTTGCACAAGTTTTCAGATGACCCATCTTCTATATTCTGTTATCATAAGTAAGTGATAGTCTGTTATTTAAGTGGTTGTATATATCTAACAAAATTGATTCAAATTGCTGGGAAAGATGAAGAATAACCAAGCCTATAAAGTCTTTTTCATCACAGAGACCAAGAAACCAACACTTCTGCCAGCAATCAAGAGTAGCAGCAAAACAGAGGAATATAAAAGTGCTATATTGGGAGGCTGGCAATCTCGGTCCCAGTTCCAACTTTGCCTCTAACTTGGTATTTGATCTTAGATAAATTCCTTCTTCTTGGTTTTCTCATTTATGTAATTGGATTATAAAATCTAAGGTCTCTGCCAGTTGTACTTTCTGCATACCCATACATAAGATGACAATTGGTCATCTGGGTGGTTAAAAACAGACTTTATAATCAGTATCAACTCAGGGCTTGCAGCTGGCTATCACAATGGTCTCACCACTGAAATAAATGCATAACCTACCAATAAGACTACTCTCAAGAATCCTCATTTGGAAATATACATTCTGGTACTCTTTTTTATTTAAGCCTCGTAATTGTTTTTTAAAAAAGTAACAACTAAAATTTGTAGGGTATTTTCAAGATAATATTCAACACTGGGGAATAGAAAATTTTTAAATAATTAATATATTATAAGGCTCTTGGGATAGCGTTTCTCAAAGATGCCACAAAGTTTTAAATTAAAAAAATTAGCATACAAATAAAATATCCAGAGTCAAAACATGTCATGAAAATGATCAACAGCAAAGCTGACACTTATGCTTATTAGAGGCTAAAGTGTAAATAAATTTTCATGACACGATATAGGATTTAATATACACAGTCTTGCCACTGATTGATTTTAACAGACGTTGACAGCTGCTATTTTCAAAATCCATCAGCTGTGCCCAATTTTGTACATTAACAGGCGAATGTGTAAGTAGACTAAATACTTAAAAAAAGTTGATGCTAACTGATACCATGTAATGTAATATTCACACAAAAGCTGTGACACTTGACAAAAAATGGTTTACTTTCTAAATGCATGGACTCAATGCCAACCTTGTAAATACTACCTACTATCTTTTTCAATTTCATTTTACCATCAAGAAAAGAGCGTTAAGCAAAATAAAACTCATTCTGATGTCCCCAAAGCAAGCTTGTCCAACTGTGGCCCACAGGCCACATGTGGCCCCAGTCGGCTGTGAGTGCAGCCCAATACAAATTTGTAAGCTTTCTTAAAACATTATGAGATGTTTTTCGTGATTTTTTTATATTTTGGCTTCTCAGCTATCATTAATGTTAGTATAGTTTATATGTGGCCCAAAACAATTCTTCTTCTTACAATGTGGCCCAGGGAAGCCAAAAGATTGGACACCCCTGCACCTAAAGCATATGGTCTCAAACAAGTGTCCATCCTTTAAATGGGTATTTGGCTTAAGGATTCCAGGATATATTAAGAGAAAATGAAAAGTATTTAAATAAACCACGAATTTGACTATTAAAACCAGCCATATTGTCTTATGATGATTTACATCAAATACTGACTACAAATCATGTGCCTCAAAGTTTCATAGCACCAGGATAGTTATTGGTGGTTTTTGTATTGTTAGAAACCAGACAGACCATAACGACTAAATAGTAAACACACCATCAATATGTTCTTCTGCACAATTTCAAGTACACAATGATATGATAATATCTTGAAAATGACTGAGGGTCAGCTGAGGGGTATATAAATCTACTTATTTTAGGTAGCTTATTTAGAAAGAAAGAAAATATTCATTGTAATAAAATTCTGACTTTTTAATTGAATGCAAATAATATAATTTTATTATAAATTACACAGATCTATAAAGCAACTTATTTAATACAACCAAATGCCAATGTATTAAAAATATGGCACAATACTTTTGTTTCTGTAAATATTCATCAAAACATGAAATGGGTACATGAAACAGGTGCTGCTTTGTTTCCACTGGAGTCTTATGTTCTCCAAGAAGAAACTTGTCCACTCATGTGAAATGAGTATATAGCCGACAACACATCCAGCTGCTTCATGGAAGAAATTCTGGTACTGAGGACAATGCCTGTCAGAGAGCAGGCACACAAATATTTAAATATTTTCATGTTTGAAGAAAAAATAACAAAAGCCAAATCAAAAAGCTTCTCCCAAAACCTACAAGAATGGAAAAAAAATAAGCAAGCAAACAAAAATTATTGCCAATCATTTCAAAACTTATTTTTGTTTAAATAACTCCTCAGTATAAAAAAAAAAGACATTTAATAATGGCCATTATTAAAAACTATGCATTTTATACTCCATACCATAATAGGTAAGATGTATTTTCAATGTTTTAGTGTTACCAGCTAAGATTCCGTGAACTTTAAAACTCTATCACCTAGTAAATGCATGAACTAAAAAAAAAGCAAACCTATATTTACATAAGAATGTGGATTAACATAATTGACAGAGACAAAAACTTAAGTTTATGAATGTAGCTATTTATAAATAGTGGTCAAATCAAATCAGTGAACTTTATTTTTAATAGCATCTATGTGATTAAATAATCAAATCAGTACATTATCATCTATAGCCAGTTTTCACTACGAGAAACACCCTCGGGTGTGTGTGCCATTACGGAAAAAAAAAAAGATGTATCGGCTGGGTGCAGTAGCTCACGCCCGTAATCCCAGCACTTTGGGAGGCCGAGGCAGGTGATCACGACGTCAGGAGTTTGAGACCAGCCTGACCAACATGGTGAAACCCCATCTCTACTAAAAACACAAAAAAATTAGCCGGGCATGGTGGTGCACGCCTGTAACCCCAGCTACTCAGGAGACTGAGGCAGGAGAATTGCTTGAACCCAGTGAGCCGAGATCGTGCCACTGCACTCCAGCCTGGGTGACAGAGAGAGATTTTGTCTCTCAAAAAAAAAAAAAAAAAAAAAGTATCAATGGATCACGAGCTCAGTATTTTAAAAATTAAAACTTTTAATCATATATTTTAATCTTATATTCTAGAATGGAGACACAGAGCTTAAAGAAGTTGAGGAAAATAATAAAATAAAATTGTTTGAGGGAAACAATTATGTAGGTGGGTCCAGGAGAGAGAGGCTGTAGAGAGCTAAATCCTCATATGGAGAAAGTCCTTTTATACATCATATCCTTGTATCAATTATATCCTTTACTTAAAATCCACAAAACTCTATGTCAGTAGCTAGGGTTAACTGTAGGTAAGATTATTCTAGTAACAGAATATGCTACATTTAATTCACATTTATATATTTTTTTAAGGAATGAATTAAAAAGCCCTTTTGGTAAAAAAAAAAAAAAAAAACAATTTGTTTGCCTTTTAGCAGTTAATTTTATTTTCTTCTTCCTTATTTGGGATTTAAATTTAAGTTAACCAAATGTTAGCCCTCTCCCATCTTTTCCCTGTGCCCACCACCTAATCTTTCAGTGCTTTCTCAAAATATAGGTAGAAGAATTCATACAAAGAGAGTTATGAGGTCATCAAATGAGTTCTTCCCCATGATACTCAAGAAGGTACTTTACCTCTAAATTGTCTTTTAAAAAGCAATTCCCACAGAAATAGAGTTTAGCTTTAAACCTGGTTCATTTAAAACACCTAAACTGATTCTTTTCTCTTTGTAATAACCCATCAGTTTGATATCACGTTAACTAAAACATGTTTTATCCTGAAGTTAAAAGCACTTAGAACAGATCCAAGTCATTTAATCAAAGGAAGAGATCTCAATGTCAGAAGTAAAAATGGGGAAAAAAATTTAAAATACTTTCATTCCGTAAATATACACAAACTTTCAGAAACATTGTGTATCTATTGAGTGTGTGGCAGGAGAGGAATAAAAAAAGCTATAAACTGATGCAGAGAAAAGTGATCAGAAAGGACACAACAGCAGATGCAAGGTAAATTTTCAGATGAAAAGTAAAGAGGGAGTGGTCAGTGACTCAGAGAAGGCCTGGGCATGCAAGAGGGATGCCACCGAGAATACGCCTGATCCACCATGGAGAACCACAGACAGAGACCATCTCAGAGGCACCAGGTGAGCCCTGGGAATGAAAACTGGAGGAATGGTTAAAAGATTGACTATCTAGTAGTTTAAACAAAAAGTCTGCCAAACCCTATACTAGATTATGGAATGCCTTCAAATTTCTGAGGAAACATAACTTACAACATAGAATTTTATAGCCAGCCAAACTATCAACTGGACAAATATGTAAGGACTCAAAATTTAAGTGTCTGCATTCCTTCTAAAGAAGTCACTGATGTATGCACATCACCAACAAGGAAGAAAACCAAGAAAAGGGAAGACATGAGCTGAAGAAATAGTGAAACCAACAGAAGAGGTGAAGGAAAGCCCCAGAGCTGAAAAGCAGGCCTAGCCAGCATTCCATCCAGACCTATAAGACCATAGAAAACTTGGGAGGGTGGGATGAGAACCATGAAACTGTCTGATGATTCTGACTGTGGAAAATTGGAAAATAGTACTGAGATGTTGTCATAGATGCATAAAAAACTAACTAAAATTTTAGAAAATTAAAGAGGTAAGAATTAACTTCAGAAAAACAAAAAATTATTCAATCAAGGAAATATGACCCTAGTATACTATGCGGCTTAGCAATAAACAATACTTATGAAGCCATAATTATATGATACAGATTATTTACTGAACCCCAAATATGATATAAGTGCACTGAAAGGTTTGAGGGAAACAATTATGTAGGTGGGTCCAGGAGAGAGAGGCTGTAGGGAGCTAAATCCTCATGGGGAGAAAGAAGTCCTTTTATACATCATATCCTTGTTTCAATTATATCCTTTACTTAAAATCCACAAAACTCTATGTCAGTAGATAGTAAGATTTTTTTTTTTGGTTACATGCTGCCAAAGAATTACCATATTTTGATTATAAAAGAGAACTTTTAAAAGTCAAAGACATGTTATTTCTAAGTTATCAAATTGGGAAAAAAGAGAAACTTAATGAAAATTGAAGAGAAATGTAAATATAGAAAAAGTATCTTTCTGAATTTACACAGCTTTATTTTTTACAAAATATTATAAAATCCTCTATGGTACAGAACAAACTATGTTTACATTAGTTACACATGTGGTACTCTGAAACCAAAGTTATTATTATAATGGTGTTTTATTTATATACATATTTCATTATATTTTATAAAAAAATCATTAGAGAAACATAAGCAGAACACATTTATTGAGGTAATACATATTTATCAACAGAAACATATAACACGTCTTAATAAGTGAATGTCTCATACATCTAGACTACCAAACACCAGTTATTTTTCAAGATCTAAACTAAAAGTTCCCATTCTCCTCCTCACCCTCTACCAATTTTTTACTGTGAGTTTTTTATTATGATTGTCATGTATTACAATCAGATTTTTTGGAAATAGTTTTCTAAATGTGTGTTTCACCTTTTAAAAAAGTTACAAAATTTTATTTTATAAAATCTATCCATCTTTTTCCTTTCTTCCGAGTTTTAAAATACTTAAAAAATTATCCAATATTTTGTTTTGCAGGTCTTATTTTCAACTCTGAAATTCATTTTGATTTATGGTGTAATGTAAAAGCTAGCTTAATTTCGCCCCCAAAGTTTCTATTTCTAAAGACTAATTTTCCACACAAGCCCTCTTCTGTCATATTAAATTCTCATGTACAATAAGAAGGCTGTTTTTCTGGCTAGATTATTTTACTAATCTGCCTATTCTTGTGCCAGTATTATACACCTAATTACCATTTTTATAATATGCTTCATATTACAGTTTAATTTTTGAAGCTAAGAATTCTGCTTTATTAGTCGTATTTATCAACATTTTCTTTGATATTTTTGTATACTTTCAAGAAAAAAATTCCATTTGGGTTTTATTTGGATTTGTTTATTGATTGGTATTGCACTAAAATCCTATTGTTTTTGCATGCTTTCTTATTAGGATTTGGATTGTTACTGTATTAAAACTGTGAGTATTAAATCAAGACTGGTATTTTTATAATATGTATTGCTCATCCAAGAACTTTATATGTTCTTTTAATCATTCAAAGCTTCCTTTATGTATCTTAATAAGTTTATTCATACACATTATTGACATAATTCCTATCTACTTAATATTAATTGTTACAAGAGTCAATAGAATCTTATAATCTAATAGGTTTACAGCATTGTAAGAGCATGGTATCAGTCTTGTCTTAGACCCTTTTACGGAACTCTTATAGACTAGTTGTTCATCAGTTGAGTTTCTTTGACCATTCTAACAAGCTCATACATAGTAACTCCTGTTTCCCAACTGTCATTTGTCCACTGTCTTTTTGTACTGGCTATAACTTCTAAAATAATATTAAACATAGTGTTATAAAGTATCTTATTTCATGCTTGTTTTTAATAAGGATATTTCTATATTTCACCTTATGAAAAATGTTGGGTATTTATCTAAAAGAAAAAGATTTAAAAAAAAAACACACTGTCTTGCTAATAGTTTTAAGTGTCCTTTGAATCAGCAACAGTATTGAATTTTATCAGATGTCTTTTAGACATGTGAGAAAATCTTTTTTCAAGGTAGTTTACTGACATCATGTATTATACATACAAACTGAACTATAAAATCTTCATATACCTCAGAAGACTCTCTTTGGCAGTGGTGGATTATTAATACACTGATGAGTTCTATTAATTAGAATTAAGAATTTCAGGAAGGGGCAATCTATATTTGTCAGTGAAAGAGTGATGCTGAAAGTTTTATTCACTGTGCTATCTCTGGTAGGTTTTGCTAAGCTGGGGCCACATTTCCATCCCCAGAATGAACTGACACCTTTCCCTATTTCTCTCTGTTTCACGAGAACTATTTGAACATTATCTTCTGAACTTTTGAAAGTATTCAGCGATAAATACATTCCAGTTACAAGCTTTTTGTGGGGTTGGAGTAGATAATAATGCTGGGATAGTTCTCTAAATTTTTTATTCAGGTGTTGAGACATTCACATTTCATATTTGTAAATTTTTATCATTTGCTGCTCCAAATATGCTATAAGCTAGAAAGGTAGAATTCTGCCCAGAAAAGAAAAAAGTAAATGGATTGTGACTAAGTGTCTAAGGAGCTCTTCTAAGAGCTTTATCGAATGAATTTTGCAATTTCTCTTCTGACTATTCAGACAGCATTTCTGCTTACCTTTCATTTCTTGGCTGTATTCTAAATAGGTGAAGTTTGCCGCAGAAACAACTTCATGTAATTTGATAATTCAAATTATGTTTTGGAGTTACATCAGACTCCCTAGTAATTTTTATCAATAACTCTAAAACATAAAATGTAAAAACTAACAACTCACTTTATTTACTTCAGCAATTTCTCGCCTCTCTTCACTAGCAAAACGAGGTGGGCCAGCCCGATCATCATTCTTTGAGCCATCTTCTTCCACATATGGAATAAGTTGCTGGGAATGATTAACAAAAATTAAAAGGCAAAAATATAATTCAAGTTTTCTAATCACTTGTATAGAGAATATATCAGATTAAGGTCAATTTTTATACTTTTATTTGTATAAAAATAATTTCAATTCAGGTGATGGCCTGAAATAAGAGCTTTAATAGTTGACCATTTCAATGCATTCTATGCATTACCCTTTCAGGTTTCTTTTGCAAAACAGCCTTTATAACATTGGTTGTCATGTACAACTAAACAATACTTCCAGCAGGAAGATGGGAGAAGTAAAAAATAAAATAAAATAAAATAAAAATTTAAAAAAACCCTACTCAATCAGCAAATATTTAATTATGAAACACTATAAAAGTAATGCCAAACAAGATGTGATTCCTGCCCCTAAGAGATTTGTAGTCTATTGAGATAGATAAAACAGGCTTTCCTTCATCTGCAATAAAAAGAAAAGAACTTCACGGATCTGTATTATATAATTGTCATTAACTTGCAATCTAAAACTTCAGAGTCTATGCAAACTTCTAGATGTCTTAAGTTTTCGCAGTTGTGAGAACTTTTTCTTTGTAGGAGAAACAAATTTATATAGCAATGAAACTTCTAGCAGAATCGTAATTAAGTATGCATGGTTAGTGATGGAATTTACCGCATAAGTGTGGCAGACTTCAGGAATCACCTAGCCTTTACCATCGTGTATTACCAATGCAAGAATAGGCTAAAGGTAAATGACTGGTAAAACTAGGATTCACCTGATAAAACTTCTTCAAATTCTTGGGATATATATAAACTCACCCATGTCTACATTCTCCTTTTCTTTCTTTCATCTGTCTCAATGCAGAGCTGTCCTTCCTCCTGAAGACGATTAGTCTCCATTCCTGTGCCCTGATTACTCTGCCCTCCTGTCTTCATTATTTATACACCTTTCTCTCAACCTCTCCCTACAGCTTTCTTCCTTTATTATTCAAACATGTTCCTATCTCTTCTATTTGGAGGGAAGCTCCTCTTCCTCCTGCAAACCTTCGATTCCATCTCTCCTTCCATCTACTGCTTTCCTCTCTTATTTTTTTCAAAGCTTC
Source organism: Homo sapiens (assembly GCF_000001405.40). NCBI lineage: Eukaryota > Metazoa > Chordata > Mammalia > Primates > Hominidae > Homo > Homo sapiens. The sequence continues at coordinate 117,529,647 of NC_000008.11, read as the reverse complement.
TTGAAAGACTGATATCCACTTGCCGGCTCCAGCTTCTTATTTCCTGTTTAATCTTCACCCGACTAGGATCAGACTTCACGCTGCTATCATTTCACTGAAGCTCTACTCAAATATACCAACAATTTTCATCTAGCAAAATCTACTGGACAGTTTTCATTCCTTATTTTCCCTGACTTCTCTGTAGCATCTGACGATGTAGGCCACATTTCTGATCTTTCTCCCACATCTCTGACCCCTTCTTTTTAGGCATTTTTGCAGTTTAATTTTTCTCTGGTCATCTCTTACCAGCTTCCTTTGGTGGCAGAGATATAATTTGTCAACAGGAAAGGGTGACTTATAGAAATATATGCCTAATTAACTAAATAGGTATGACCCAAGATTAAATTTAGAGAATATATTTTTAAAATATAGTGATTCCACTGGGCTAAATATAAAATCCAAATTAATAATAATAAAAATAATATTTTATCTGTAAAGTACTTCATGAAAACCACCTTAAAAGTATATGATACTATTAAAATTCCTACTAAAAATATCCCTGACTTAATTAAAAGGAGACACTGACAGCAATAAAAATTGCCATAGGAAAACATTTCTTCCTAACAACAACAAAAATTACTATAAGCCTGTCAAAGTCTACAAGAAATTGTTAATGTAAAAATATAGTAGTATTTTATGCATATATATCACATTTTCATCTTCTCTGGTCAAAAGTAAAACCAATAAAATTCGAAACCTGGAAATATTGCTAAAACAGGAGAGAGAGGAAAAAGATTAACAACTGTCTTGACACTAGTTCACACCTTATATTCATCCTCCCTCTATCACAAAAAATTACCTCGACTGGAATGGGATCCATCCCACCACAGTTTTCATTGCATTTGTCATATACCAATCTCAGCTTCCTGAAGAGAACTGAAAGTTGGCGAAGATTATCCTGTAGCTTTGTTAACCGGTCTTGATATGTTCCAGTGTGGTAAGTGACACCATTTGGCAGCTTATCAGGAAAAACAAAGAATAAAAATATCAAGTAATGAAAAAAAAATCAAGATTTTCTATAAGTAAAGCCAACAAACAGAAACAATTTTTAGGCAATGCATAGACATAAGCTGTCCCTCACAACTGATCAAGTTTAATTTTAAGAATTTAAGAGCAATGCATGCCCATTTATTAACAACTTGGCATACCTGTTTCACTGCTATAAAACAGACCTAGAAAAACTTTGTGATAAACCCTCTGACTTGAAATACTTTTTCCCCTTTAATTTTTGAAGTGTAACTTTAAAAAAAAATTTACAATTTTAATATTACTATTATATAAATGCAGCATGCTGCTGACCTCAACCAAGAAGTTAAAAACAAAGTACAGTTTAAAAAAAAAAGTGAATCTGATGATATTTTAGTGGAAGAAAATGAAGAATATATGGCTGGTATTGCAAAAATATTCTCAAAATGCCTTAACTCTGATAAGATAATTAAGATGCTTAAGGCATACATTAAAATATAAACCTGTCATTTAAAGTTTTACTTAAAAAAATCAATAGCAGGAGATATGGGTGCCATCTATACTTGAACACCATTAATAAATTATTACAAGTAACTGCTATGATCATAACTCTGCCTTAGATATGGATATATTTTTAATTCAGGAATTTTATCAAAAGAAGAAAAGTATATATTGAAATAATAAAATGACAGGTAAACAAAAATCGACTATTTATTTAGAATTTATAACTAAATATGTACTTTGCATTGCTGAAACTCATGAACAAAATCTTTCTCTGTACAGCTGTACAATATTTTATTCCCACAATCTGATCTGTGTCATCACCCTAATACTTGAATCAATACTATTTACACAGTACCACGTTTTCTAGTATTCGGGCATTTTCATTTGTAGGAATTCACATGTATAATAGCTAGGTGATCAGTCCAGTCTTTCCAAGCCTCAGTTTGCATTTTTTTCTTTTTTAAACACATGAGGTAGGAATGCCAAAAAAAAAAAAAAAAAAGAAAGAAAAAAAGAAAAGCATGATACAATGTTTGGAGTGAAAAGTAAACAGGACATATAATGATTAAAACCATAAACATGAAAAAAGACTGGAAAGCCCTATACATAGTTGATAAAAGATGTGTAAGATAAATAGGCTTGAATAATTTATTTTCTTCTTTTCTCATACTTCTAAATTTCCAGTACTGTTATGGTTTACAAGTTAAGGAGATGGATCTCCTGAAATTATTTGAAGTGTGATATTATTAGGAGTTTCAGAAATTCTCAAGCATTAAAACAGTCTACAATGCCTCAAAGCAATGTGATAAAATATCAAAGGCTGAACTAGTCAAAACATTTTAAAGGAGAAAGGCATTAAGGGTTCATTTCTCAGTACAATGTAAGATTTCTCCTCCTGAACTCTCAGTTTATGAAATTCCACAGACACTAACTAGAAATTCAGAGAAAAGTTTAAGTGGATCCTTGCTTTCTTGTTTAGGTGACAGAAAGGAGCATGATGATTATGTCTTGCCTAGAACAGCACTCTGTACCTTTATTATGGCATTATGGGGTTTAATACTTTGCCCATATTTTCTACTTAGTAAAGACTGGAACTTAGGTTCATATCACCATATTGAGCATAGTGCACACATACAGAAGGCTTTAAAGTACAGTGTGAATTATTTTACTTAAGCGAGTTATTTTACCCATAAATCTATACTTAAAATTTATTAAGATGTATTATGTAAAAGAACTCTTGATAAATACTGTCATAAAGAAAACAAAAATCCTTTTGAAATGCCAAGAATCACACTCCCCAAATTTGCTGACTTAGAAAGATATTAGATGTTAAATCTAAGATCCAAACTTACTAACTTAACTTACTAAATCATTAAAAAGAAAAAATACCACACACGTTTCATGTGTCAGCACTGTTCTAGAAGCTAGGATAGAGCAGTAAACATCAGAGAGACAAGGTTTCCATAGTACAGAGTATACACGGTAAAAATGCCTAAGATCCCTTGGTATATACCACGGTGTAGCTGTTCAGCTGAAAAGCTCATCAATAACCATCTCACTCATGAGTATGGATGAAAACCCATAAATACATGATCGTATCCATAGACACCAAGAAGGCATTCAACTAAATTCAACACCCATTTAAAAAATCAATATAAAACTCAATAAAAAATCCTCAATATGTGACAACATACATTTATTTCAGTTAAAGAGTCAGCACTATGATTAATGTGGAATCATTAGAAGCATTCCAACTAAGATCAGAAACAGAAAAGGATGTCTACTAAGACCCTAATTCTGTAAGTGAACACTGTTCTGGAAGCACTAGCCAATGCAATTAGAGAAGAAAGAGAAAAAAATGTTGAAACATTAAAAAGAAAGCATCATAATCTATTTACAAATAATATGATAAAGTGCTACTAAAAATAAAAGAATTCAATAAGGAAGTAGGTCCAAAGAGAAAGCAATAGCTCTGTTTTCATCTATAACACAAACAAAAACATGGGAAAAGAAGACCCCATTTACAATGGCAACAGAAAAGATAAAATACCTAGAAAAAAACTTTTAAAATCTCAAGATAAAAATGAAAACTTAAGATACCTTATAGGAAAACAGAAAAAGAATACTGCATGTTCTTGGTTAGTAAGAGTCAACATCATAATGATGTCAAGTCTTTCTAGGCCGAACGGACCTAATAAAAATGCTAACAGGCTTTTTCTTAGAATAAGCTGATTCTAAAATACATGTGGAAAAATAAGCAAGAATAGCCAGGGAAATTCTGAAAAATAAGTGTAACACATTTAGATCCTGACAAATTAAAAGAATGTTTTGCATTAATACATAAAAGATAGGCAGCTACGTGGAATAGAATAGAACATCCAGAAACAAATTCACTTATATAAAAGCTACCTGAAATCACTGGAAGAAGCAAGTGAATTATTCAGTGAACCTTTTGAAAAAGTTAAGGCTAGGCCCAGACCTCACATTTTATAGGATAAATTCCATAAGGATCACAGTTTTAAATGTAAAGGCTGAAATTTTAAAAATTATAGAATTCTTCCTAATTTGAGTGGGGAAGACCTTTCTAACTAGGCATAAGGCCTAGAAGTCCTAAAAGACTAATACATTCAACTACTTAAAAAAAATGCATGGCAAAACTACCATTAGCAGAGCCAAAAGGTAAAAGACAGGGAAAAAAATAACTTTAAGTTGTATCACACAGAGCAGGTTTCTCTAGTATGTAAATAGCTAAATCCTACAATTAAGGTAGGTAAAAAAGATGAAAAAAAAAAAAAGACAGACAAATGGGTGAATAATAAGTGAACAAGCATTTAGCAGGAAAAAAATATAAATAATTAAAATATTTTAAGAGATGTTCAAACTCAGTCAAACTAGGAGAAATGTAAAGTAGAATTTTCACCTATCAAGTGATCAAAGATCCAAAAAAGCTATAACTCACTGTGCTGGTCTTAGGCCGTAGCATAAATTAGTTCAATCTCTGTGGAGGACAATTCATCAAAATGTATCTAATTACAAAAGCACATAGCTATTTCTAAAAACGTATCCGACAGGTATACGTGCAAATTTGTGTAGGAGGTTATTTGGTGCAGCCTAACAGGGAAAGATGAAAAACAGCCAAATGCCCTCACTAGAGAACTGGTTTAATAAATTACAGTATTTCCATGCAGTGTAAACTATACACTATAAAAAGGATAAGGGAGTATTTTCTGTATGGGTATGAATAAATTCCAAAATATATCAACTGAAAAAAGCAAGGTACAAAATGGTTGTGTATAATATACTATTATCTGTGCAAAAAAGGCGAAAATGAAACAATATACATAAACATTTGCTTAATATGCAGAGAATATCTGGAAAGATACACAAAAATAGTAAGAATCAGTCACAATCACTGCCTGTGGAGAGGAGTTAGGTACATAGTATAAGAGATAGGAATGGGAAGGAAAATGTTCACTGCACTGTCCTTTTTTATTCCTAAATTCTGAATGTACTATGTATTTTAAAAATTAAAGATTCAAAGAATAATAAACAGAACAAAAGCAATGGTATCTTCCACAAGGACTCTTAATCTGAGATTTAAGGATACTTGGGGAGTATCCCTAAATCTTCCTTTAACCCCTGAAATTTTCAAAATGTATGTGTATTTTTCTCAGAAGAGAGCTCACAGTTTTCATCAGACTCTCAAGTGGCTAACGGACATCTAGTGTATACCAGGAACCACTTCTTTAAAACAAATGCTTAGAAAAATTCTTAGCAGTTTGTATTCACAGCACTTTACTCTCGTAGATCAATAATACAGACGATTACTTTAAAATGTGAATACTAAAAATGTATTAACAAATCACTAGGTTATATATAGTTAAGAATATCCTATTTCTATCACCTCTTCTAGTTTTTTTGGAAATGAAGGAGCCCATTGTTATCTTTTCAGCCAATTATGATAGGCCCCAAAGGGTCCTGGATGAGTGATCACAGATTTCACAAAATGAAAAGCACACATATAATTATCATAGTCCCTCAAAAGCTGGCTTTGGGTCCCAGACCCTACAGTGGCCGAAATGTTGAAGCTTAAGAAGAAACGTATTGCCATTTATGAACTCCTTTTTCTTGAGACAGAGTCTCGCTCTGTCGCCCAGCCTGGAGTGCAGTGGCGCGATCTCTCGGCTCACTGCCACCTCCGCCTCCCGGGTTCAAGCGATTCTCCTGCCCCAGCCTCCCGAGTAGCTGGGATTACAGGCGCCCGCCACCACGCCCGGCTAATTTTTGTATTTTTAGTAGAGATGGGGTTTCACCATGTTGGCTAGGCTGGTCTCGAATTCCTGACCTCGTGATCCGCCCACCTCGGCCTCTCAAAGTGCTGGGATTACAGGCGTGAGCCACCGCGCCTAGCCTATGAACTCCTTTTTAAGGAGGGAATCATGGTGGCCAAGGAGGATTCCACATGCCTAAGCACCCGGAGCTGGCAGACAAGAATGTGTCCAACCTTCATGTCATGAAGGCCATGCAGTTTCTCAAGTCCTGAGGCTACGTGAAGGAACAGTTTGCCTGGAGACATTTCTACTGGTACCTTACCAATGAGGGTATCCAGTATCTCTGTGATTACCTTCATCTGCCCCCGGAGATTGTTCCTGCCACCCTACGCCGCAGCCGTCCAGAGACTGGCAGGCCTCAGCCTAAAGGTCTGGAGGGTGAGCGACCTGCAAGACTCACAAGAGGGGAAGCCGACAGAGATACCTACAGACGGAGTGCTGTGCCCCCTGGTGCCGACAAGAAAGCCGAGACTGGGGCTGGGTCAACAACCGAATTCCAGTTTAGAGGCGGATTTGGTCGTGGACATGGTCAGCCACCTCAGTAAAATTGGAGAGGATTATTTTGCATTGAATAAACTTACAGACAAAAAAAAAAAACTTAAAAAAAAAAAAGTTGGCTTTGAATGCAGGTCCACATGTAATCTAGTTATTGATAAAATACTTTTTTTGAAAAAGTTTAGTTCTGCGTAGAACATGAACCTGTATTATATCTTTTAATAATGTACATTGACAGCAAGTTAGTATTAAAAAGAGGTTAGTAGGAAGAGCTATTAGTCGTGTGTGATGTTGGGTAATTTATTTTTTCTCTCATTAAGCCTCAGTTTCCTTTACTGTAAAATAGGGATAAAAATACTCCTTAAAACTGCTCCTATAACAGGGTACCTGACCAAGGAAAGTACTTCGTAAGTGTTAGGTATTATTCGGTGCTTTGCATATAACAGGACAAAATTTTTTTTAAAGTATGCTAAATTCTGAGACATTATTTAATCCGTACTTTATTCATTCTAGATATGAATCTATTCATTTTTTTAAATTATTGCCAAAGAATGTCATAATTTCTCCTGGATCTCCTTTGTACTATATTTCACATGGTCTTAAAAATTTCCACGAAACTGAATTACTCTTATAATCAGGACGAAAAAAAAAGTCTTGACCAGTTAAAAAAAAAAAAAGCAATAAAACACTTTTTTGGACACCCACAGAAATAAGAGCTGTAAGATTTTTGAAAACTTGGTTTCAAATTTACCCTACCACTGACTAGGTTTGGGCAAGTCACTTTATCTCTCTGAAGTACAGAATCTTCATCTGTAAAACAAAAATAATATCTACTACATGTAGTGGGTAATATAAGCAAGCATTAAAAATGGGTCAGCAAAATGGTGCTGGAACAACTGGATATCCAAATGCAAAACAATGAACTTGGATCCGTATCTGCCACTATGTATACATATTTAAAAACTCACAAAACTAAATATAGGTTGTAGACCTAAATATAAAGCTTGAAAGTACAAAACTTCTAGAAGAAAACAGAAACCCTTTGTCACCTTGGGTTAGGCAAAGATTTCTTAGGTATGACAGCAAAACCAAAATCTATAAAAGAACAAATCAGTAAGCTGGATTCCATCAAAATTTAAAATGTCTGTTCTTCAAAAGACAGTATTAAGAGAATAAAAAGGCAGGATAGACTGGGAGAAGTATTTGGAAAGCATCAAGACATAACAGGTGTTGATGAGGATGAGGAGAAACTAGAACCCTCAAACAGCAATGTTTACATTCCCACTAGCAATAATCGGGACGTAAAATGGCTCAGGCCACTTTGGAAAAGTTTCTTAAAGTATTAAACAGACATGTACTGCATGATCCAGCAATTCCACTCCTGAATCTGTCCAAGAGAAATGACACATACGTTCACACAAAAATTTGTCAGCAAAAGTTCATAGCAGCATTATTTACAACAGCCAAAAAGTGGAAACAACCCAAATGTCCATCAACAGAAGAAAAGGTAGGCAAATGGTGATACATGGATACAATGGAACATTACTCAGCAATAAAAAGGAAATTATTGATGCATTCTTAGTGAAGGATCTCAGACAAAAAAAAAAGCCCACATACTGTAGACTCCGTTTATATAAAACCCTAGCAAATGCAAATTAATTTATGATTACAGAACGCAGATCAATGGTTGCTTAGCGATGGAAGGTGGGAAGCAAAGATGTCAGAGGGGTATGAAGAAACTTTCTGGGATGATGTGTACACTATTTTGATTGTGGTGATAATTTCACAAGTATACAGACTACAGTACACATATATATCAAAACTTTAGGTGAGTGTAGTTTACTGTATATTAACTATGCCAAAAAAAGGAGGACTGTTTTTTTAAAAAAAATGTAAATTCTTCAACTCCTTGGACCTCCCCAGAAGAAATGCTGGAAAAAACATTTAAAGCAACCTAAAGAGGGAAGTGGAGTGCGACCCATCTCTGCCTTGAAAGGTGCAAGAGTTTACAGAGTAACTAAAGAGCTCGATTGAATCTAAAAAAAATTGGCTTCAATTCTGCAGAAATCTGGTCTGGAAAACATCACCTCTACAAATCCGACTTTTGGGGACACTCTTGAGTGTGAATGGGGGAGACCCTACACCTAAGGTTTGCCCAGGGCAGCCCCGATGACATCCACGGGCCCCACGTAAAGAGGAAACCAGAGGCCCTTTCCCTCCCAGCTGCATCCCCCTGGCCTCGCGCGCCCGCCTTCCTACCTGCATGTTCCTCAGGAGCTGGAAGATCTCCATGGTGCGGTACACGATGTCCTGCACTGTCTCCTGCCCGATGCGGCACAGCGACGCCGTGTTGACTTCCCGGGCGGCCTGCTGAGCCTGGGGCCCGGCGAAGGGCCCGGGCGCCATCCCCGACGCGGCCAACGGAGGGGTGGACATGGCGCGGCTGCAGCTTCAGGCCGGAAGGGGCCAGACAGCAGGTGTCAGGGGTCTGCCCGGAATTGGGAGGCTGTGGGGCCTCAGCGTTGGAACCAGCTTGAGAGACCCCCCGCGGCCCGATTTCAAAACAGCGGCCGCGACTTCCGCCCACTGTGACGTAACACGTCAGAAAACGTCATAGACACCGCCCACTCGGCGAACTGTCTCCGAGCGGAGCCGGGCTGGATTGGATTGGACCCCTGGGCGGGAAAGGACGGACGGGTTAAGTAGCCAATCACCAATTGCGCTCCAGCCAGAGGGGCGATGTTCTTGGGGAGCCTGGGGTGAGTTCCCAGAGTTCGTTTCCCAGTCTTGGCTCAGCGTTAGAACCTTCTGTGTTTAGTTCCTTGCGGAGCATTTTCTCTTAACAAGCCTGAGGTTTGTAGTATAACAGCTAAGAGACAGGTTAAAGTACTTGTTGAGTCGCATACAGGTGTAACTGGCAACCTGCGATTCGAATTCAGAAAACAAGATTCCTAAGCTTGTACGCTTCTCTGTGACATGATACGGACTCCCCGATTGCTCTTGGTCCCTGCTCAGATGTTTTATTCTTTGAGTTTTCCCAGTATCTGTAAGCAAAAAAAATGATCAACACACACACTTCTTTCTGACTCTGGCTCTTATTAGTGTCTGATTTTTTTTTCTTTTTCTTTTTGAGATGGAGTCTCGCTCTGTCACCCAGGCTGGAGTGCAGTGGCGCGACCTCGGCTCACTGCAAGCTCCGCCTCCCGGGTTCACACCATTCTCCAGCCTCGGCCTCCCGAGTAGCTGGGACTACAGGCGCCCGCCACCACGCCCGACAAATTTTTTGTATTTTTAGTAGAGACGGGGTTTCACCGTGTTAGCCGGGATGGTCTCGATCTCCTGACCTCGTGATCCGCCCGCCTCGGCCTCCCAAAGTGCTGGGATTACAGGCATAAGCCACCGCGCCCGGCCTACTGTCTGATATTTTATATAGCTTTCAGTTTGTTTACTTTCAGACTTTATCTCACCCTATCTACACACACTGCCAACTCCATGAAAACAGACTATTTTATTCACTTATTCTCAACACCTAGTGATTGGCACAAGTATCAATAAATACTTATTGAATGATTGTTGAGTGACATGATAAATGCAAGAGAAATTAAAATGTCTCTCACAATGTCTCTCACTTACTGTTCATCTCCAAAGTGGGGAAAAGTGAAGAATGTAAAATTAGTGATAGGCACAAACATTGCATTTTTTAGAAGTATCTGAATGCTCCATTGTACGGACTTTCCAGGAAATAGTTACTAAATATGTCATAGGAACCCTGGTAGAGATTTTAAACATAGTAATTCGCAGGTCTTCGGTAATTACCATTCGACAAATATTGGCTGAGCACCTATTATGTGCTGGGTGCTAGGAGTGAAGATAGCGTACTGAACAAACCAGGCAAAAGCCCTGCAGCATGTTTGTCATGGGGACAAACAGAACACTATTGTGATGAGCGTCTTGAAGCAAAAGTTCCTGATATCAGGGTGCTAACAATTTAGGAGATTGAGAACGACCTGAAGGGAGCAGTGTGGAACCTGAAGGTGGATAGGGAAGGGAGTAACGAATGATAGAGTCTTTTCTATGAGGACGAGGAAGGCCAGTGCCAACACCTGAAGTGAAGAGGCCTCCTAATGCTTTCTAGGATCTGGAAGAAGTTCAGTGTGAGGACGAGTGTTAGGAAATAAGGCTGAAGACAGAGGCAACCCTGGAGGATCTTCTAACCCATGTCAAGCAGTTGAGAATTTATGGAGTGAAATAGCAAGCCATTGAAGAGTTTCAAGGTGAGAGGAATAATTTGAAATATTCATTTTAGAACACTTATTCTGGTTGCTAAATGGGGAACAGATGGTGGGTTTCTATTGTCTTCTCTCCCAAAGGGGAATGATGATGATGATCATGACCTGTGCAGAGAAAGGAGACAGAGGGTAACTTTGAATAAATATTTAGTAAGTAGAATCTAGAGAACTTGATAGTAACTGGATCAGGAACATTAAGGAGAGGAAAGAATTAAGGATGGCACGTATTTCTGCTTTCATGTGAAACTTCAGGTGAAGTTTATGTCATTTACCAAGACAGGATACACTGAAGAAAAAATAAGTTTCCGAGAAATTATGCCTTATGTTAATTTCCTATTGCACATGTAACAAATTACCACAAACTTTGTGGCTTAAAACAGCACACCTTTTATTATTTTATAGCTTTTTAGCTCAGAAGTCTGAAATTGTTCTCGCTGAACTACGCTCAAGGTGTTGGCGGGCTGTGTTCCCTTCTGGGGGCTCTCAGAAGGAATCTGTTTCCTTGTCTTTTCCAGATTTTAGAAGGCTGCCGCAATTGCTTGGCTCATGACCACTTCCACCAACTGCAAAAACCAGCTTTCATCCTTTTCAAAGCCAGAATTGGCTAGTTGAATATGCCATATCTCTGGTTCTGAGTCCTCTGCCTCTCTTTCATTTAAGTATCATTTTGATTACATCGGGTCCACCTAGATAATCCAGGATATCTTTTTATTTTAAGGTCAGCTGTTTTGCAGCTTCAGTTCCGTCTGCTACCTTAATCGCCCCTTGCCATGTAACATGACATACAGACTCTGGGAATTAGGATGTGGACATCTTCGGGGAGTAACTAAAATCTGCCTACCACATGCCGCCAATCCAAACTGTCCCTAAATTCAAACTCACATACCTAAAAACCTGACATCTTGACTTGGATGGCTATTTGGCATCTAAAACTTATGTCTAAGAAAACCCAACTCTTGATCCCTCCCAACCTTCTTTACCACACTTTTCCCATGTCATTGTCTGGCACCACCATGCATTTAGTTGCCCATCCTGGCTTCTCTCTTTCCCACCCTACTTCCAAGTCATCAGAAAATAGAATGAACTCTGACTTTCAAATATATCCTATATGTGACCAATTACTTCACCCCTTTCAACCTAGTCCAAGCTGTCTTCTCTTATTTAGAATGCTGGATAACAATCAAGAGTCTCCTAATTGAACTCCCTTCCTGCTACACTTGCCCCATCCAGTCCACACTCATTACAGCACCCACAGGCAAACTTACAAGCTAAGTCAGGTTATGATTCTCCCCTGCTCTCCTGTCCTCTCATCGTGCTTAGAATAAAATCCAAAGCTGCATGACCTGCACACCTCCACATGTGCTGGCCTAGGCTGTTCCTGCTCTCTCAGTTCCCACAGCTCTCCCCTCACTCCAGATACATACACCTCCTTACTATTCCTTGTGCACTCCAAGTTCATCTCACTTCAGACTCATTTATTTTGGCCTGGGAAGCTCTTCTCTCAGCTATCTCTCCAGGCTTTGTTTACAGTGGCCTTTTCTGGCCACCCTACTTAAAATAGCCTGCATCAGGCTGGGTGCTGTGGCTCACACCTGTAACCCCAGCACTTTGGGAGGCCGAGGCGGGTGGATCACGAGGTCAGGAGATCGAGACCATCCTGGCTAACATGGTGAAACCCTGTCTTTACTAAAAAATACAAAAAAATTAGCTGGGCATGGTGGCGGGCGCCTGTAGTCCCAGCTACTCGGGAGGCCGAGGCAGGAGAATGGCGTGAACCTGGGAGGTGGAGCATGCAGTGAGCCGAGATCGCACCACTGCACTCCAGCCTGGGCGACTGAGCAAGACTCTGTCTCAAAAAAAAAAAAAAAGAAAAAAAATAGCCTGCATTAGTCTTCTGTTGCTGCTGGAAAAAAATATCAGAATTTAGTGGCTTAAAGCAGCAGAAATTTATGTCCCCATTTTCTTACTGATTGTAAACTGACAGCCATTCCTAGCTTCTATGAGATGCCACATTCCTTGGCTTGTGGTCCCTTCCTCCATCTTCAAAGCCAGCTATGGCAGGCAAGTCTCTCTCATGCTTTAAATTTCTCCTGCATCTTATTCCATTGTCCTTGTCACATACCTCTAACCTTTCACTTTTGAGGGCCTATGTGATGATACTGGGTTCATCTACGTTATTCTAGATAAACTCCCCACCTCGAGACCCTTAACCTTAACCACGCCTGTAAAATTCCCTGTTTCATGTAATGCAACATAGTCATAGCTTCTAGGGATTAGAGGGTTTGCATCTTTGTGGGGCCATTATTCCACCTACAGTACAGCCCTCTCCATCTCTCTGTCCATTTAGCCTGCTTCATTTTTTGTAGTGTTTCTCTCAAACTGATGTTGTTTCTTTCACTGTTTGTCCCTTCAGCTAAACAGTAAATCTCATGAAATTAGAGATTGTTTCTATTGGTTACTTCAGTAGATTCAGCACCTACAGCAGTGCCTGGCACATAATAAGTGCTCAATAAATAGTTGATGAAAGAACCAGGAGTTTACTCGGGGGCATCTTGGGTTTGAAATGTGTGCATGATCATCAGTGGATATATCCAGTAAGCAATTGAGTGTGTGCTGGGACCTGGTAGGGTTTTCCTTTTACATGGTTAGAGAAAGGTGGGTGGGTGTGATAGTAAGCTCAAAATCCATGGAGTCAGATAGTCCTGGACTAAAATCCAAACCTGGCATTACTCAACAGTGGACAGATGACACCAACCTCCATCAATAACAATGGTATTTAGCTTTGGGATTGTTGATAGGATTAAGTGAGATGCTATATATAACACACTTATAGTTCCTAGTGTATACTAAGCATTCAATAAATGTGCACTATACTTCCTTCCACCATGGGTAACGGTGAGGAAAATGGATAAAGTGAGAAGTGAGGAAGAAGCTGTTCCAGGACAGAGCCAATGGGAACACTAAGGAACAGAAAGAGGAAGAGGAGGCAACACCATTAACAACAAAAATTGGGAAGAACTGGAAAGGTCAGAGGAAAATCAGGAGAGTCCGGCTATGGAAGTCACAGGAAGAATAGATTGTTTCAGGAAGGAGCTTGTGCTGAACAGTGTCAGACACCGCTGAGAGGTTAAGCAAAATAATCCACACAAAGGAAGTATTATCTTAAATCACAGAAGAAGATTTTAGTACAAAATTATTACCCATAGTCCCATAGTTAGGAAGGGAATGGAACAGAGTCTTAATTTCTATACAATATCTCCTCTGCCGTTTTTTTTTTTTTTTTTTTTTTTTTTATTTGAGGCAGAGTCTTGCTCTGTTGCCCAGGCTGGAGTGCAGTGGCACAATCTTGGCTCACTGCAACTTCTGCCTTCCAGGTTCAAACAATTCTCCTGCCTCAGCCTCCCGAGTAGCTGGGATTACAGGTGCGTGCCACCACGCCTGGCTAATTTTTTGTATTTTTAGTAGAGATGGGGTTTCACCATGTTGGTCAGGCTGGTCTTGAACTCTTGAACTCATGATCCTCCTGCCTCAGCCTCCCAAAGTGTTAGGATTACAGGCGTGAGCCACCATCTCCAGCCTTTTTTTTTTTTTAGCCAGAGAATATCTGGTTTTTAGCAGGGCACCCAGGGTGGAAGCTGTATGTCCCAGCCTTCCTTCAGCCTTGACAGGGACATTTCACTAAGTTCTGGCCCATCAGCTGTAAGTATGCATGACGTGGGAGACTACTGGCAGTTGTCCTTAGAAGAATGGGGCCTCCAGTTCCTTCTTCCTACTAGCTGGGATGCAGAAATCATGGCTACAGCTTAGCTAGCTAAGTGCTTATTTGGGGGTTTTCTGTCACATACAACTGAATTTAATACTAATTTGCTACTGCCGAAGTGGCAAATTTGAAATTTGCCCTAAGATCCATGTGGTTTTGTCTGATACCAAAGTCGTTTCTTCTAACACAATGATTCATTGCCTCTGCTTTAAATTACCCAAAAGACAAACTAGAATCCTTCTTGACCTGACTCATTACCTGCAGCAGTGCCCCTGGCTCTTGTGTAATTGCAGGATTAGAGCTATCTTTGTGTATGTTGTTATGGGAAGTGTTGGGCTTTGCAGTTTCTACCACCTGGGAGACATGTGAACAATTCTGGGATGGTTTTGTGGAGTCAGGATACCAGTCGTTGAATCAAAAGTCTACATACAGGCTACAGTATTTAGTCTGAACCTAAGACTCAATATTTGAGAATACACTGAGGGGAAAGCAGCCGGCTTTGGGGGTAGGAAAGGGAGAAATGTAGACTCGAGAGATTTGAGGGGCCACAATGGAAGGAAAACTCCCCACAAGTCAGCACAGTGGGTTCTAGACTTGCTTTGTCATTAAATAGTTTGGTGGTTCTGGACTGACTTATAACCCAGATGTTTCACTCTTGTACTTTCCATTATATTACACATGCCATGGAAAAGCTTCAAAATAATCTAGGACCATTTGGAAATATCGCTGCATAGGACCTACCAAAGGAAAGGGACCTGACTGAGCCATCACTGCTGCGACCTTGGACTTCCAGTAGTAATGCTGAAATGCACCAGTTTATATGCAATTTATTCATGACTAATAGCTTATATTTTTCAATTCAGCCACTCATGAACCAGAATATTCCCTCTGGACAGAGAATTACTGAATTCAAACAAACACTTATTGGGCACCTGTAATTGGTCAAACTAACAAGCATTTAGGTTGATTTAAACTATTGCCTAGACCTAATTAGCATTCCAATTTAACACACTGTGCTAACTGGTCCCTGAAGGTTCATTAGTAAAGGTTTCCTATGCTTCCCAATGCTCTCTTAGAATCTCATACTTAAGAAGTGCATGAATTAAGTCACAGCTTCACATTCAAGACTGATCCTCCTCTAGGTTTAGAGAATTTGCATGGCTTGGTCAACTGTTTTGGACAGTTTAATTGCCTAATATCTCCTTTTTATACATGTCACAATTATTGTTACCCAACGTCAATATTTAGAAACACTTAGCCAGGATCAAGAGATATTTGAAAACATCGTTAATGAAGGCACTAGGCTGTAATTAAATAAACATGGTTTGGGATAAAAAGAGTCAAGTTATGTGTGAAGTTGCCAGTTGTTTGTGGTTGATTGTCTTACAACCACATGTGCTACCACATAATGGGTGTTTCTTTGTTTTGCCAGAAGTAAATATTCTCCCTCTTTTAAAGTTTTATAGTCATCAAACTAATAAAAATTATTAAGATCTTTGTGATTGCGATATTTCAAGGTGAGTAGTGAGAGAATAAAGCAAATAATTCACCTGCCAGAATTTCCAGTACTATTTTCTGCTATAGCTTCTCTTGAACTTCTCTGTTTTCATATTTTTTCTCAGAGTACTACAGGGAAATATCTTCTGAATTATTGTTAACAGCCTAAAAAGTAGTCTTCAGATTTTGTACTGTATTAGAATGACTGAATTCATGTTCAATGATACCTATAGTGCCCACAATTTCCCTGCCCCAAACCAGAAAAAAATCTACTGCTTTATTTTCTAATGGGTGACATTTGAAAAAGCAGAGTAGGCTGTTTGTTTTTAAAAAGTGCATAGTTCTCTTGCTTCAGAAAGAATGGTTTTACAACCAATTTTGTTGAGTTAGGGTAATGATATTAAGTGAAAAATACCCATATGATAAAATATTTTATACATTCTGGGTGATAAAAAATAAAGATATGATAAATCAAGATATTTCTCTTATGGGGACCCTATATAAAGGCTGAATTCTGAGCAGACTTTTGAGTGAGGAGAAACAGAATGGTGAGGAGGAGGAGGGAACCTCTTATGCATTGGCAGAGGATGAAACAGGCAAATCAGGGGTAAGGAATGACAAGCCTTCAGGATAGAGAAATGTTGCAGGAAAGGACTTACTTGCCACATGCCAAGTCTTCAGAAAACACCAGTTGTGACAAATAGCTCCTGCATTTCTTTCACTCTTTCCCAAGATCAAAGAGGTGATTGTGTGGTGAGTTGGGGTCTGGGCTGCCCCCACCTTTTCTCTCTCTTCCTAAGACTGGCCCTCTGAACAGAATAGTGCCTTCTCCTCCACTTCTTGGGCTCTGTCCCTGCCCTGCCAGGGATTGGCAGTCAATTCAAGGGGAAGTCAATGCTAAGCCATATTCTGTAATCTAGCTTTACCAATAATTAGGCTGCTATTTTACCTTCATCTCTCTCTGTACCGATTTCTCATCACATTTGATCTGAGAGGGTAAGAGAAAATATTATGACCTTTAAATCTCAATGTATGGTTTAATAGAAAAAGAAATAGAAAATGAAGACAAATTCACTTGTCTTCCTGAAATTCTGCTTTCATCATGTCAGTCTCTGCATATTTCCTTTGTAGGATTTCAGTGGTCTCCATAAAAAGGCTCAGTTCTCTGATTTTCAAAGCCTTCTATTGCTTACTTTCACTCTACTAGAGCAACCTTTTTTTTTTTTTTTTTTTTTTTGCTGTATTAAGGAGGTTGACAAATAACATTGGCAATGGTATTTGCCATCTTCATTTCCATCTTAGGTTCTTCTTCCTTAGCCATTTCTGTGCCATATGACTCCTGGTCATAGCTGATTGGATCAGGATGACCATCTGGCCCAAGGGCAACCAATTTCTAGGCTGGCCAGTGATGTGTAACCTGCTCTGGTACAAAAAGCTTTACCCAAGCAGGATTGAAGGTAATAACCTGGACCAATCAGATTGTCTTTCTTAGGACTTTGAATAGGGAAATAAAGAGTGAATTAGACAAAGGGAAAGGTGCCAGAGGAGAAGTGAACCCAAAGAGAAGCAGGATCTGGGAGAGAGGCTGGTGGCATTAGAAGAGAAGACTGGAGTGAAGTTGTTCTTCGGTAGCAGCCTAGTGTACCCTTTATTTAGTCAACTTTATTTGACCTTAGAGGGCATGCTTTCTTCACCAGCTGGTCACAATGTTGCACTTAAAATCTGGAATCCTGAACATCCCCTGGGGGCTTTGTGTGTTCTGCTCATGTCCTCTCTCCTCGGCTCTTGCATCTTTTCCACCTGTGCACTGTTCCTTCACAGCACTAATAATCTTTTGCAATTGTATTTTTATTTGCATATCTGTTTATTCAATAACTGCTTCTTCTAGTAGGCTGGGAGCAACCTATGGGGGCAAGGATTAGTGCATTTTTGTTCACTACTGTGTTCTTAGTATTTTGCTCAGTGCCTCGGCATGGTAGATTCTTAATATTCATTGAATGAATGAATGATAGTGAATTTTTCTCCCACTTCTGCTGATTTCCCTCTACCTTTCTCAAGTCCAGACTCAAGACCCTTTGCTTATTTCTCTGTCTCAGTGTTGCCTTCTTTGCTCTTTTAATTGCATTTATAGTTTAACCACTACAAGGTATTTATTATACTGCTGTTATTCCTTAACTGTTGTATGTATTCAAAGTTAATTTTTACATGAATGGAAGCAGGTATAGTGACTCTTTCCATGTACCCCTTTCTTCTCCAAAATGCCTAGCACAGTGCCAGACCTGTCATGAATATTTGATAAACGCTTGGTGGCCTATAACAAAGTCCCTTTCAGTGACTGAGCCAAAAGATGGAGGCTCAAGGTGCCATGAAATCCTGGAGACTTACTTTTTGAGGCTTGTACATTAGGAAAAAATGTCTTTAGAGGAAAAAACTGTGGTTTCTACCAACATTGTCCTAATGATCAAAAATGGAAGGTCCACAGATGCAGAGCTCTGGAATAAGCACTGGAGAATTTTTAAGGTCTATTTTCAAACATAGTTCTAATGTGTATTTCAATTAAAGCTTAAACACACAACTAGCACCTCCTTTGTTCTTTGAACGCTAATAATCAGATTCACAGGTTACCTTTGTATGAACAAAGTCATAAATGGTGAGTAAGCCTTGCTTATTCACTCAAAAACTAGACTTTAAGATTTATTAGCTTACATTTCCAAACTCAAAATTATTGTATTTATTTTCACTTTTGAGAGCTATTGTATCTTACCCCTATTTTATTTTTTGAGAGAAGGTCTTAGTCACCCAGGCTGGAGTGCAGTGGTACAGTCAGCTTAATGCAGCTTTGACTTCCCACTCAAGCAATCCTCCCACCTCAGCCTCCTGAGTAGCTGGGACCACAGGTGTCCACCACCACACTCAGGTAATTTTTTTATTTTTTATTTTTGTAGAGACAGAGGATTTTCACTATGTTGCCCAGATGGGCCCTGAATTCCATGGCCTCAAGCAATTCTCCCACTTTGGCCTCCCAAAGTGCTGGGATTACTGGGATAAGCCACCATGCCAGACCCCTTAATTTTTTTTAAATTATTGTTTCATCTCACTCTACTTCCAGATTATAAAAATCTTTGAAAGTAGGTACCATATCTTCTTTTTAAAACACAAGTAGCATTTATTATCTTAATGTTTTATTTCTTGTTAAGGTAAAATTCATATACGATAAAACTGCACATATTTAAAGTGAACGATTTGATAAGTTTTGACATATATTTACACTAAAAATCTATTACCACAACTAAGGTACCAAATGTTTCCATCACCTCCAAAAGTTCCTCCGTGTCACTTACACTTTGTCTTTCACTGCATTTCTTACCTCAGGCAACCTCTGGTCGATTATAGGTAAACTTAGATTTTCTAAACTTCTATAAAAATGGAAATATACAGTAGGCACTCTTTTTAAAGATATAATGGATTATTTTATTAGATGTAATAATTTCCGGAGTAACTCCACATTGATGCATGTATTAGTAGGGAAGTACCTTTTGGTAGCTGAATACTATTCCATTATATGGTTATACCATATTTTCCTTATTCATTGCTGATGAACATTTGGGTTATTTCGAGTTTGAGATCATTGCAAATGAAGCTGCTATGAATATTTGTGTGCAGGTCTTTGTGTGGACATACGTTTTCATTTCTAGTTGGTAGATTCTAGAGGTGGGATGGCTGGGTTATGGGTGGCATATGTCTAACTTTCCAAAAGTCTGCTAAAGTGTTTTCTAAGGTGGTTGTATGCTTTTACATTCCCACAAGTGGCTTACGAGGACACAATACCCTCAACACCTGATATCGCCAATTTTTAAGAACATTTTAGCTATTCTAAAAGATGTTCAGGCTGGGTGCAGTGGCTCATGTCAGTAATTCCAGCACTTTGGGAGGCCAGCGTGGATCACTTGAGGCCAGGAGTTCAGGACCAACCTGAGCAACACTGTGAGACCCCTCTTTGTCTACAAAAGAGTTAAAATTACCTGGGCATAGTGGTTTGCACCTGTGGTCCTAGCTACTTGGGAGGCCGAGGCAGAAGGATCGCTTGAGCCCAGGAGTTTAAAGTTGCAGCCTCAAAAAATATTTTAAAAATAAATAAATAAATACATGATGTTTAATGGTATCTTATTGTTTTAATTTTTCTTCTTGATGACAAATGGTGATAAACATTTTAATGCACTTATTATTCATGTGTATATCTTTTTTTGTGAAATGTCTGTCAAATATTTTGCCTAGTTTTAAATGGGCATATTGTAAGAATTCTTTATTCTGGTTTCAAGTCCTTTGTCTGATATGAGTTTTAAATTTTAAATATAGCTTCTTGATGTGGAACTTTAAGTCATTGAGAATGTGTTGTATTTTTCTCGTTCTTTATATTTTATTTTGGATTCCATCTGGATATTCTCAATGTTTTGTTATATAGACTTCGAGTTATTTTATATTCCTCTGAGGAATTTTGCTAACGTTTTCTTTTTTTAAATACCAGCTAACCTGGTGTCTGTCTCACACGCGTATGGTTAAGGGGTCAACCTGAACTATTTTTGGTTTTTGTACATAGGGTTAGGGGATCTATTCATCTGCTTCTCTACTTTCTGGGATTCCCTCCTCATTTTCCCACGGTGGCTGTTGTCCTAGCTTCTTTCCTTGGTTCCTGCAGTCAGAAAGACGATGGGGCTTCCCACATAGTTTTAGCTTCCTGTACTGCAGCGAGATTCTGCAACCGTACCCCAACTTTGAGTCAAAGCCATAAAGGAACACAAAACCCACCCCCATTCTTTTGTTGCTGCTCCGAGGTTCCAATTACCTCCATAATCTGCCTGCTGTTGTTTACTTGTCAAGATTATTAGGTTTGATTTTTTTCCCCTGGTTCTGTAGTTGTTATGGGTGGGAAGATGGTTCCGTAAGGGAGTTACGCCACCATACAAGAACTAAAATTTCACTGTGTATTCTGTTATCTCTTTTATCCTTCCCTACAGTCTCTTAGGGCCTGAGCCGGGGTTGAGCGAGCCGGCCATCATTTTTCTTTTTGCTTCTCTATGAATATATGGTACCAAGACAAATGCAAGGACATAGAGGAAGCAAACGAAAGTGAAAAGTTTGGGAATGTGTTTGCAGAAGAGATCAAAGTGTCGAAGTTTTCCTAAGTATCACAGAATAGATATTTTGAGTCTTAAGCAGGTTGCCAATAAATGTTAGTCTTCCTGCTTTTTTTTTCTGCTTGTTTATGATCTCTACCATTATTGAACATCTACTATGTGCAGACGTTGTAGCTGGTGCTTTTCATACATTATCTTTAATCTATATGTCTACAAGGACTAAGGATTTTTCTCAACTCTATTTCATATGTTAGGGAATGGGGCTTAGAAAGGTTAAACACATTGTGCAATGTCACATAGTTTAAAAGTAGTGAAGTTTGGGACACAAATCTTTGTGTGTGTGTGTGTGTGTGTGTGTGTGTGTGTGTGTGTGTCACCAGAGCCCAATTCGTTTTCCCTTGATCACCCAACCTCTCAGGCTCCAGTTCTACCCTGGTGTCTCTCCATATTATTCTGATGTAAAATCATTTACTTTTGTTAACATAAGGGGCTGTTGATCTCTCCCTAAGGAGTGACTATCTATGTAATGTATTTATACAATGCACAAAAACTGGGGACTGAAGAATTTTATTTGCATTGCAAAAGGAAGCCCAGCCTGGTATCCTTAGGTAGTTCTCCTCTTTCATCTAAAAGTACACTCCAAGTATTGGCTACATAAGCCTTCAATAAAAGCTCTTAGAAATGAACTGAGTCCTTGGGAAAGTGTTAGTGAGATCAAGTGAATCATTGAAATAGCTGTGCCTGTTCAAAATCACACAGAACCTAAGAGATGTATCAGCACCTTCAATTGTGCCTTAACACGTACATTGTAACAACTTGAAACTCATTAACAGCTTGTTCTCTGTCTCCTATGATCAATGGTTTGCTTTCACTTAGATTTTTTTTTCTTGCTGTTTCACAAAAGAGATGAAGACTAATTGACAAACATGCCAAATTCAGAGACATTTTATACATTCTTAAGAAGACTATCTTTTCAGAGTTAAAAATACGGATTTTTTGGTCCATGAATTCTTTTTGTATTTGTCATAGAAAATATTAAGAATGTTATTAATAATATTATGAACAGAATATGAGTTGTTCGTGTCAGTGAACTTGATTATTCCTGAAATAGCTAGTTTATTTTTCTTTCTTTTATTTTTCTTTCTCACTCAGTGTTCTTTTAGCAAACATTTATTTAATACCTAATATGTGCCAGGCACTGTTCCAGGCCTTGGAGCTAAAGCAGTGAAGAAAATAAAGAAAAAACTGCCGTTCATATGAATGGGAGAGAAAGACAATAAGCATTAAATAAATAAAATAATTTAACAAGAAAGCAAGATATATCCTATGTGAGTGGTGAGAAGGGCTATGGAGATAAATAAATCAGAGAAAGGGAATAGACAGTACTGTTTTACATAAGGTAATCAGAGAACTGATTATGTACCATGAGTTACATAATCACATGGTACATAATCTTTAAGCAAAGACTTAAAGAAGATGAGGTATTATGCTTTGGAGTATTTGAGTAAAAAACATTCCAGACAACTTGAAAGTCATTAACGGCTTGTTATCTGTTTTATGTGATCAATTGCTTGAAGGAACAGCAAGTATAGAGACCACGAATAGGGAGGCCTTGAGCAGGGAGCCACCTGCCATGTTCAAGACTCAGCAAACAGGCTAGTGGGGCTAGCACACCACAAGGAAGGGGGCAGGAGGGGCAGGCGGCAGGAGGTTACTACATCAGGAAGAGCGTGTATTTTGAGTAAGACACTGGGGTGGAGGGTTGGATTGTACAGAGGAGATAAACGGTCCCTTTCAGCAGGGTGGCTCTGAATAGAATAGACTCTAGGAGGCTAAGATCAGAGGGAAAAAGCAGTTGAGGCTATTGAAGTAGTTCAAAGGAGAGATCTTGAAGGCTTGGACCATGGGAGTGACGAAGGGGTGAGAAGTGGTCACACCCTGGGTATACTTTGAAGGGAGAGCCAAAAAGATTTGCTGAGTGGAATACGAGAGAGAAAGAGAAGTCAAGAATGAACCCAAAATTGTGGCCTGAGCAACAGGAAAAATTTAGTTGTCGTTAACTGAGAGGGAAGGCTGTAGAAGGAATATGCCAGGGATATAAGAATAAGAACATAGTTTTTACGTGTGAGGTGTGACACATCCATCAGTCACCCAAGAAAGGGGTCAAGTTGGCAACTGGATACAAGAATCCAGAGTTTAGGGGTGAGGTCCAGGCTAGAGGTGCAACTGTGGGAGTTTTCAGAATTAAATGATATTTAATACCATGTGTATGGTTAAGATTAACCATGAATCCCCAGAGTGCTATAAAATCACGAGATTTAGGAGCTGAGGAATAACAAGAACAACAGACTGAGAAGATGTGGTCAGTGAATTGCAGGAGGCAAAGGAGAAGAACACAGTGTCCTAGAACCCAAATTAAAGAACTGTTTCAAGGAAGCCAGCAATCAATGTGTTAAATGCTGCTAACAGGGTCAAATAAGGTGAGGAACAACAACGTGCAAGCCATTGGAGGTCATGGTCATGTTGAAAAAGTTTTATGAGAGTGGACTGGCCAAAACACTAGCTGCAAGAAATTTTGGAGATAATTGGAAAAGAGGAACTGACTGCAGAGAATGAATACCGAGAATGCTCTATATTCTCTCTATATTAAAAACATTTAAAAAAATTTTTGTCAAAAAGAGAGACAGAGAAATAGGGAGTAGCTGTAGGAGATGGAGGGTCAAGAGTTTTTTAAATTTAATAAGATGGGAGAAATCACAACATGTTTGTTTGCTCTTGAGATTTATCCAATGAAAATGGGAAATGATAATGCAGGGGAGAGGGTAGAGAATTACTGGGCAAAACAGTGAGCAGGCATAGAAGGTAAGGGGATGGACAGTACATGGAGAGTAATAGGAGGGACGACTGAATACATTGCCAGAGAGACAGGTGCTTGTGGAATTTTCCTGCCAATTGCCAATTGCCACAACTTTTAGTTGGCAAAAGGAAGATTAAAAATTGTAAGACTGAGGCCAGGTCCGGTGGCTCACGCTGTAATCCCATCACCTTGGGAAGACAAGGTGGGCGAATCACTTGAGCTCTGAGCTCAGGTGTTCAAGACCAGCCTGGGCAACATGGCGAAACTCCATGTCTACAAAAAAAATAGAAAAACTAGCTGGGAAAGGTGGCTTGCACCTGTAGTCCCAGCTACTCAGGAGGCTGAGGCAGAAGAATGGTGTGAACCTGGGAGGCGGAGCTTGCAGTGAGCCGAGATGGCGCCACTGCACTCCAACCTGGGCGACGGAGCAAGACTCCGTCTCAAAAACAAAAACAAAAACAAAACAAAAAAGTTACCATCTTGTATTAGTCTGTTCTCACACTGCTAATAAAGACATACCCAAGCCTGGGCAATTTGTAAAGGAAAGCGGTTTAATGGACTTGTAGTTCTACATGGCTGGGGAGGCCTCACAATCATGGCGGAAGGTGAATGAGGAGCAAAGTCACATCTTACATGATGGCAGGGAAGAGAGCTTGTGTAGGGGGACTCCCCTTTATAAAACCATGAGATCTAGTGAGACTTGTTCACTATCATGAGAACAGCACCGGAAAGACCCACCACCATGATTCAATTACCTGCCACCTTATCCCTCCCACAACACGTGGGAACTATGGGAGCTGTAGCTCCATAGTTCAAGATGAGATTTGAGTGGGGACACAGCCAAACCATATCACACCTCAATTGGTAAACATAATACTTCAAATGGAATATCTTTCTGGGAAAAAAATTTATATCAACAAAAAGCATATTACCCAGTAAGCCTATAGTAAGAGGAAATCATAAATGATAGTCTTTTATATATTTCATATTATTTCACCCAACCACGACAACAACATAATATGAGTTATGTATTATTGATACCAATTTTGCAGATGAAAACATTGGTATCTCAAATTAGTTAAGTTACTTGTCCAAAGTTACGTGGACATAGATGGCAGAACCAGATCTTAATTCTAGGTTTTCTGACTCAAATCTATTTATCTTATTACTTCTAGTAATGAAATCTCAAATCATGATCTTGGGTTATCCAAGAGGTTAAATTATTTTTAATATCTTCTATTAAGGTAGAAAAATATGTAAGTCAAAGCAATTAAAATAAATATTTTCACATTTTTATGGAATAAGTTTCAGCTTTCTGAAAAATGTCACTCATCCAGGAGTCCTTGGTTACCAATGATAAATGAGATGTCCAAACCCCAAAGATACTGATGTTAGGTGGCAATTCATAAAAATAAATTGGAATTGCGTGGAATAAACTGCATGGAACCCATTGCAAAAGTTAAAAACTCAAAAACTCAGGTAAGCTAATTTAAGTAATAAAACTCAGGTAAGCTAAGAGTCACTAATCCTTTGAGGTATGAAAATGTTTTTTCATTTTTCTTAAACCTTGAGATAATTGGTAAAGAAAAGCTGATATTTGAGTCTTTTTTTTTTTTTTTTTTTTTTTTGAGACAGAGTTTTGCTCTTGTTGCCCGGGCTGAAGTGCAATGGCGCGATCTTGCCACACTGCAACTTTTGCCTCCCTGGCTCAAGCAATTCTCCTGCCTCAGCCTCCTGAGTAGCTAGGATTACAGGCATGTGCCATCACACCCGGCTAATTTTGTATTTTTAGTAGAGACGGGGTTTCTCCACGTGCGTCAGGCTGGTCGAGAAGATCTTTTGCAACCCAATGAGCCAAAAATTCAAATATTTTAAAATGAAAATTTGTATAGTTTTTTTGTGCTCGACACCCATGAACCAACTAATAGGAGGTGAAGCTAATTGGCTGATAATTGTATAAGTGTGTAAGTAAAAACTTCACTGGATAACTTTGCCTCACTTTCTCCAGTTTATCCTTGAGACACATACTATTAATATTATCCCTGGACCAACTTATCTCGGTTTGGGTGCTATGCTGCTTCCTTAAGTCTCTACATAGAATTCTTATTGTCTTTTGAGTCAATCAGTTTTCTGACTGAGACTTAAGCTTTACCATCTCATTGGTAGGAATGCATCTCATATCTACTCTCTTGTCTTGAGTTTTTAGCAGCTGTTTACTATAGTGAAATGATTTTTTAAAAGGTAATAACAGTAATGATAATTTATGAAGTATTTACCAGATGGCAGTCATTGTGCAAAAACACTTTAAAACTGTTTGCACTCATTTTTATTCTATCAATAACCTTATGTAGGTAGTTTTCCTCCTTCTGCACTTTCTTCCTCCTCTTCCTCCTCCTCCTCCTCCTCCTTCTCCTCCTCCTCCTCCTCCTCTTCTTTTTTTCTTCTTCATCTTTTTCTCCCCCTCCTCCTCCTTCTTCTTCCTCTATCTTCTATCTTCTTCTTCAACAACAACATTTATTGCGTTGGTTTTCCTCACTTTGCATGCTCCAGCTCACTCAAAGTGAAACCTATGAGCCTTGTCTTTGCTTTCCATTCACACCTACTGCTTCTGAGATCCCGTTTCTTATCCCTTGACACTGTAGCTTTGTCTTGCTTTTGCTTATCATATCTTGGAGTTTACTCCAAGGGGCCTTGATCTAACTTGGATTCTGAGCATTGTCAGATTGGATTCTCTACACTGGCACATCTCAACACTGAAATCACTCCATTTTGGCTTGCCCTTCCATCTGCCCAGAGCCATGCCAGGGTGGGTAGATCTATCTAATTCCAGTGCCTACCCATTCTCCCTTCCTTGATTCTCTTATTTTGAATACAGGGCCATGTTTCATTTATGCAGCCCAATCATTCATTTATTTATTCAATCACTCTTCTTATATTTAAATCAACAGTATATTAGACACAACTCTTTCCAATTTTGAGAAATTTGTTTACTAATGTGCTTACATTTTTTCCTAAGTCTCTGAGTTCTATGGATTTTCTATCAGGTTGCATGTAAAAAATGAAAATATACACTGGGGCATTTCAAGAATTAATAGAAAAGCTTAAGAAATCAAAATTCACTTGCAAGCACATTTCTATAAAAAGCCAACTAAATTGGAATTAAAGGAAAAGGCAAAGCTAGTTGAATAAATGTATTTTGTCTATTATAGTATTTTTTCAGGTCTAAATATAAGGAAAGGTAAAAATTTTTATAGCTATTTTGGACAAAGTGTAAAACTGAGGGAACTGCTTTAATTCAACATCTACCACATCCAATGTTTATCCTACTCCACAAAATTGAAGACATTTTCTTGGTTTTGGAGGTGTTAATTTCCATATGGTTGAAAACATAACCCTTTCTTTCACTCACTAGGAAGAGGAGTTCTGTATATGTTGAGGACAATTTTAAAAAGACTTCACACTTCCCCATTTCCCTGGTTATTGTCATCATTAGAACTGTCAAAGATTTGTGATGATGACTGCTTGGACACAGAAATCAGGACAGAGTATTAATGTATCAGGAAGGGGCTTTTTAGGAATTTAACATCTTTGGTTCAAACTGTGAGGTTAACGTGGACAGACAACATTGAAATCAATGGCATATGCATCATTTTCTGTAAAATGTGTAAAGTTTTGGACCTCGAGAAGAGAAGCAGAGGCCTTGAGAAGAGAAGCAAAGGCCTCGAGAAGAGAAGCAAATGCTTCTGAAGAGTGTGCAAGAAAGCAAACAGGGGAGCATCTAGGGCCAGAACACACAGACCTTCCACCAAAACTAAGCAGCTGCAGCACATATCTTTTTTCTATGAACACATTAATGAGGAAAAATATCTTAAATATTGTCTAATTAAAACGTGTGTAATTGTGTGGTGTGCACATACACCCACTAAAAACTCAGCACCACTTGGGTAAATCACAATTTAATTTTTAAAAGACCCTCAATCATGGCATGGTGCAATTAAAATTTTAACAAGTAACTACAAACTTTAATTAACGAAGCTCTGAATTGCAAACTGTCCTAAGCTACATGAGCATTATGTGCTAAACTCTATGGAATGGAACTAGCTGACTTAATTCTAGTAATCAAATTAATACATAAGAGAATCATTGAGTATTGTCTTTTCCTACATTTTATTAGTGGTTTGTGTGAAACTCAGTCACATAACATGTAGAATTGCTTTCAAATTGCAGGCTACATTCCTAATTGAATCAAGAGAAAATAAATAACAATAAAAGGCAAACTCTGGGAAATGAAACAGTACACATGATTCAAATATGGTTGAATATAGTTGCTTGGTGTGTATTTTGATAATATCCTTTCTTCTTCATGTTCATCTTGATTTCTGTGTTTATTTTGGAAGTCTAGAATTAATTCTGATGATAGTTTATTTAAAATAGTACATCTGAATTTAAGGATAATTTAGAAGTTCTTTATTTTTCTTTAGAATGTAATCTACATGTTAGTACTTTGGTGAAATGCACTATGATAGCATATTTAAGATAGTGCCAAGACTGTAGCAAACATTCAACAAATGTTTGTTAAACTAAATTCATTCCCACTTGGCTCCATCCAAGTGATTGTTGTTTTATATTTCCTCCCCCTTTCACTGTCTATGAAGGAAAGCCTATCCATACTGTATGTGTGACGTCTTGTAGGGTTCTTAAAACTCAACATATCCAGAAAGAAATTCATTCTCTTTCATCCATCCATCTATGATTCACGTCATCAACATCTGCTTAGTCATGCAAGCCAGGAGCCTTGAAGTCATTCTTTATGTCTTACTCTCTTTCAACCCCTGACCATATCTGTCCTATGTGTCTCCACTTCTCCATACCCATGACCACTGGCTTAGTGTAGTGTACCATATCTTTGTCTATGCTGTCACAGCATGCTCCTGAATGGCCTAGTTCTTTCTTTTTTGTTTTCACTTATTCTGCGCTCTGTGACCAGGATTATTTTTCTGAGATAGGATTTTAATCCCTTCATTAACTTCTCTTCAAGTATAAGATGGAATTTAAGCTCTTCAGCATAACAGACGAGAAACTCCATAGGCTACAATAGTCTGTTGCAGTCTCATTATCAGCCACTTTCCCTAACATATCCTTCAAGTTCACTGAAGTCTTTGAAGTCCCAGAAACATGCCATAAACATCTGTGCATCTGTTTTTCTGCTCATAATATTTTCTCTGCCTAGTGACTATTTTCTTAAAGTCAATTCTTAGTTCAAATGTCACTTTCTCTGAGATTTTCATCTCTGATCCAGATAAGAATATTCTAGGTTATCTGCTTTTAAAAATATTACTCAGCATCTTAAACTGTTATTTGTTTAGAAGCCTGAATCTTCTGCTAGATAGTGAAT
This sequence comes from Homo sapiens, assembly GCF_000001405.40. NCBI lineage: Eukaryota > Metazoa > Chordata > Mammalia > Primates > Hominidae > Homo > Homo sapiens. The sequence goes on along the minus strand of NC_000008.11, from coordinate 117,500,379 downwards.
GTGGCTCTAAGATGACTTCCCATGATCTTTACCACCAGATATTCATGTCCTCATATCACTCCTCTCCTTGAGTGTAGGCTAGACTTACTGACTTATTTCCAATGAATAGAATACGGCAGAAATAATGGGATACCACTTCCAAGCTTTGGTTATAAAAGAAGACTTTGGTTTTTGTCTTGGGTACTCAGCCTCTTTTGCTCTCTCACCTGCTTTGAAGGAAGACAGCTGCCATGTTGTAAGTCACTCTATGGAGAGGTCCATGTTGCAAGGAACTGAGGGAAGCCCTTGACAAAGAGGCAGTGAGGAAGTAAGACCTTCTAGTCCAACATCCTATGAGAAACAATCCTGTCTACAACTGCATGAGAGAGCTTGGAAGAAGATTCTTTCTCAGCTATAGAAAACCATACTCTATTATAATAAGGCATCTATTGCATGACACTGTCCTTCAAAAAAGATTGGTTTTAGATCTCCTACTGATGCAGGATATTTTCTTGACCACTTCATGGGACTTGTGATGGGGTGCCGCATTTACTCAGCCCACTCCACTCAACTCCTTGTAGGAGGGAGCATGCGAGCGAACGAGTATGGGAACTGGAGCAAGTGAGTGCAGGAACCAGCCAGCAGCCCAGTAGGTGCAAACTGAATTCATTCAGGTCCGCTGGACTCCACCCTCCCTGGGAGGGAGCACACAAGCAGGAGAGTGCAGGAACTGGCCGGCTGCTTTAGTGTTGGCAGAAGCAAACTTTATGCATGCCCCGTTGCAGCATCCAGGTGGGGGTGCCTGTGACCCCAAGGCCTCAGAGGGTGTGTTACAGTGCTGTCTTAGCTCCACCATTTTTGGACAGCAGTGTGATATCAGCTTAGTGGGATCTTTGCCTCATGGCGTGGGGTGGCTGCGCTCTACCAGTGAGCGCAAAGGGCCAGTGTGACAGCCTTTTTGGGTACCTGCACTTGGTGCATCCCAGATTCTTGTCCAGTTTCCAAGAGGAATGAGGTCATGTGGAAAAATTGAAGGATGGTGAATGTGGAGAATTTTATTGAGTGATGAAGGTAGCTCTTAGCAGAGAGAGGAGGTGGAAAGGGGACGGGAAAAGCAGGTTGTACTCCCCTGAAGTCAAACCTCCTGTCTCTTTTGAAGTCAAGTTGCCCAGCCACTGTTTCTGAAGTCAAAGCCGCCTCTCCCTGACGTCCAGCCGCTTGTTTCCTCTGCCAGCTGAATCTGGGATCTTTATAGGCACAGGGTGGGGGCAGGGTGGGCCATAGGTAGTTGTGGAAGAGGAAACATTCAGTTGGTGGAAAGACATTATTCAGAAAGAACCAACTGGGAGAGAGCAGGCACACTGGGATGGAAGTTCTTACTTTGGGCTGCAGGTTTCAGGCTTTTCGATTGGAAGCTGGGGTTTTGCCAGGGTCACACCCCTGTCTGCCTAGAATTTATGTATCACCACTATGTGCTATCCAGGCACTAAGCTAAGGCAGTAGTTCAATTATGAAAAAGATGAAGCCCATTTGTTCTTCTTCTGGATGTTTTTCTCTCAGCTACTTCTTGTCTGCCTACAAGCATGCCCAGGTATTTTCTATCCTGTACAAATCAAAGCGAAAACCTTAAAAAGTATTCCCTCAACGCTGATACTCTCTCAAACTACTACTGCTACTTTATCTTCTCAAGTAATGATAGATGCTTAGAACAAAAAGACTGCTTATATGAACAGAATGAAAATAAGACAAGTGCATGAGCTAGGGTCGTAGAAGAAGGAATAGAAAAATTCATGTAGGACATTATAAGCCACAGTAAAAAACTTGGTTTTATAGCAAGTACAGCATCATTAGTGGTAACTAAAAAACAGTTTTATCCATTTGGTACTATAGGCTTAGTGTCTAGATTAGTCTATGAGCTTGTCAATGGAATTTTTTAAATCTGGAAGAAAAATTATTGGCTTCAAATTAAGAAAAAAAAACCCTGGAAAATAAAAATGAACAAAAGTATAATTAAATGTCTAAAGAATATAATGTTAAGTGTAATTCAATCCAACTCTACTTAAATATAAACTTAAATATAAATGTAATCCACAAGAACAAAATAAATCATTTATCTTTAAGAAAACTCAAATATAACCATTTTTAAAAAACCTTTTGAAAAAATTTTAGGGAAGTTATATTTAACATCTGATGTGGGTGTATTTTTATATGTTTGAAATGATATGGGATGAAAGTCTCTAAACTTAGAAAGCTGGCGGACTAAGAAGTCCCAAAACTGCCATGAATCTGCTTGCTAATATCTAAAAAGAGCACAGTGTCTCAGCAGACAAGAATAATTGAAAAGGTGAATAATCTTCAATGTATATAACTATCAGTAAAATAATATCCTATAATTCCCTGGAATAGTAAAATGTACATATATATATATAACATTGGATATTAAATATTTAATATTATATATATTTTTCAGGAAGCTGTGGCATTTTTTCTATTTCTACACAAGAAGAAGTATAGAATCAAGATTTTGGCTATAATATACACATCACTAATATATAATCCTGTCCCTTAAGTAAAGATTAAGTGTATTTTCAATGTTATAAAAAGATATATCTGGCAGTTCTTAAAACTAGACCCAATAAATATTTAGTTGATATTTCCCTTGACAAGTGTCTGAGAATTTGTTTCTTACAAGATTTGTAGGCTGGGATACTGTTTCGTTTTGTTAATCTTTATATGGTATTGACCACATACACACAAAACACATATACTCATATGTACAAACACACATAATCATACTTATAAACACACAATTGCAAAGATCAGACATCTCACATCTCCAGAGAAAATCGAAGTAAGATTTTTGCTTTTTCTTTATGTTTCCAATATAACCTGGAACCCTGCCAGCAACACCAGAATTGGATACCATCTGTGAAATTAATTTGAAATTCACTAAGTTTAATTTGCCTGCCTCTAAATCTGCCATGGCTTTCCTCCAAATTTATTTTTCCAAGTTTAGACTTCAATTTTATTCAGAGATCCTTCTCCTGAGGGTATTTTGGTCCCTTTCACTGTAGAACTGTGCATTTTAACCATTAACCATTCATATTTCCTATCTTCCCAGTATTTGAGTTAGTAGTTTGTGTCTCAGACTAAGCCTCAATATAGTTAAGAAGAAACAATGTTGGTTAGTCCAGCAAAGCATCAAGAAAAGAGTTCTCAAGTCATTTAAAAATCTTTAGTAGCTGTTTTTTTGTTTTTTTGTTTTTTGTTTTTTTTTAAAGAAATTTCTACCCTGATTTAGAAGTTGTGCATGGTGGGGTGGAGGAATGGTGAGAAAAAACTTAAAGCAGCCTTCCTTAAACTTTTTACCCTAGAACTCTTGAAATAATCTTCAGATCTCAGAGATGTCCTGCATAAAATTATTATATCAACAATTCTCTATACATTAGTGTTATCAGTAATTTGTGGACATAATAATCCACTAATAATCTCAACACTCTTTTGAGTGTACAATTATATTTTCCTGTAGATCAATTTATTTGACTTACTTCTAGAATATTCTATTTGTATAGTTTGCCTTTCTCATACTCTAATACTAGTCAGTAGTGAAGGCGGAGGGAACCTTAATTCTTTTGGTTTTTATATTCCTGTTTGATCTTTTAAAAATCTCATTCAAAAAGACTTGAAGATACAAAGCCGTTCTTTGGCAACAGGCAGTGTGGATGCACAATCATTTAAGTCTTGGGCCACAGATTGAAGTTCCTGCTCTGGAGCACAGGGGCCTCCACAGCCAGAACTGTGGAAGGTGCCTTAGCAGTAGGTGCTGGAATTGTGCTATCCCCCATCACAAGCCTGGGGTGGGAGGAGAATTTCTATAGCAGCAGTTTCTTCTAGATGATGAGACTTATAGCCAGGTCCAACTTGGAAATCTGGAATGGGTCTGTGTGTGTCATTGCTGGGAGTTCCAGCCTGCTCCCCTGAGATTTTGGTACGGTGGGGCCCTCTACTCTACCCACAGGCAGAAATAAAGCATTAAGACAGCCTGGACCAGCAGCCTGAGCCATTCTACCCTTCATGGACATAGATTGTGGTGCAGTAGGGCCCTCTCTGCTTTACACACAGGCAGATCTCCAGGCATTTGGAGCAACCACTCACATGGGTTAGCAGATTGGGTTTCCCTACCCTTCCTGTGCAGAAATCCTATGCACAAAAAATAATTACAAAAATTAGTGCCAGCATCTCCAGAGGAGAAGGTACCAGAGCAAGAATTCAGGCACCATGAAAAATCTGAATGCAGGGACATCACCACCAAAGGATTGCACTAACTCTCCAGCAATGGTTCCTAACCAAAATAGAAGCTCAGAAATAACAGGTAAACAAGACAAGCATGGATTGAAAGAATGCTCAACAAGATCAAGGAAAATGTTGAAAATCCACACAAAGAAGCTTCTAAAACAATCCAGGAAATGAAGGAAGAGATAAACATCTTAAAAAGAACTCAATCAGAGCTTCTGGAATTGAAAATCTCACTTAAAGGACTTGAAAATACAAAGAAAGCTTTATCAATAAACTGGAACAAGCAGAAAAAGAATTTCAGAGCTTGAAAACTGATCTTTTGAACTAACCCAGTCAGAAAAAAATAAAGAAAAAACAAATTTTAAAAAATGAGTAAAGTCTTTGAGAAATATGGGAGTATGTAAAGTGACCAAACCTTCAAATGCTGGCATTTCTGAGAGAAATGAAGAGAAATAAAACAACCTGGAAAATATATTTAATAAAATAATTCAAGAAAATTGCTCTAATCTTGCTAGAGGGAGACATCTGGATATGAGAAATCTAGAGAACTCCTGTGAGATACTATAAAAAATGAACATCATTAAGGCATATAGTCACCAAACTGTCCAAGATCAAAACTAAGAAAAAATCTTAAAGGCAGCTAGAGAAAAAGGTCACATTATGTACAAAGGGAACCCCATTAGGCTTACAGCAGACTTCTTAGCAGAAACCTTATAAGCCAAGAGAGACTGGAGGCCTTTTTTAAGCATTTTTTAAAAAAAGAAATTCCAACCAAGAATTTCAAATCCTGCCACACTAAGCTTCATAACTGAAGGGAAAATAAAATGTTCTCCAAACAACCAAACACTAAGGGAGTTGGCTACCACTTGGCCAACCTTGCAAGAGATCTTTAAGGGTTTCTAAACATGGAAGTGAAAGAACAATACCTCCTACCACAAAAACACACCTAAGTACAGAGCTCATAGACACTATAAAGCAACCACAATAGAAACTGCAAAGCAACCAGCTAACAACTTCATGATAGCATCAAAATTTCACATATAAATGTAAACCTTGAATGTAAGTGATCTAACTGACCTACTTAAAAGGCACAGAGTGGCAAGTTGGATATAAAAAAAGCAAAAACAAAGTCCATTTGTCTGCCACCTTCAAGAAACCCATCTTACGTATAATGACACCTATAGACACAAAGTAAAGGGTGAGAGAAATATAGACAGAGCAATTAGGCAAGAGAAAGAAGTAAGTGCCATCCAAATAGGTTGAGAGGAAGTTAAACTATCCCTGTTTTCACATGACATGATTCTATATCTAGAAATCCCCATAGTCTTGACCCAAAAGCTCCTTTAGCTGATAAAAAATTTCAGCAAAATTTCAGGATAAAAAATTCAATATACAAAAATCAGTAGCATTTCTCTACACCAAAAGCAGCCAAGCTGAGAGCCAGATCAGGAACACAATCCCATTCACAATTGCCACAAAAAGAATAAAATGCCTAGGAATACAGCTAACCAGGGAAGTGAAAGATCTCTACAATGAGAACTACAAAACCCTGCTCAAAAAAATCAGAGAAGACACAAACGAATGGAAAAACATCCCATGCTCATGGATAAGAAGAGTCAATATCATTAAAACAGCCATATTTCCCAAAGCAATTTACAGATTCAATGCTATTCCTATCAAACTAACAATGACATTCTTCATAGAATTAGAAAAAATTATTTAAAAATTCATATGGAACCGAAAAAGAGCCCAAATAGCCAAGGCAATCCTAAACAAAAAGAACAAAGCTGGAGGCATTACATTACCCAACTTTAAAATCTACTACAGCTACAGTAACCAAAACATCATGGTACTGGTACAAAAACAGGCATATAAACCAATGGAAGAGAATAGAGAGCCCAGAAATAAGGCTGCACATCTATGACCATCTGATATTTGACAAAACTGACAAAAACCAGCAATGGGGAAAAGACTCCCTATTCAGTAAATGGTGCTCGAATAACTGACTAGCCATATGCAGAAGATTGAAGCTGGACCCCTTTCTTACACCATATACAAAAGTCAACTTAATATGGATTAATGACTTAAATGTAAAACATAAAACTATAAAAGCTCTGGAAGACAACTAGGCAATACAATCCTGAACATAGGAACAAGCAAATATTTCATGATGAAAATGTCAAAAGCAATTGCAACAGAAGCAAAATCGACAAATGGGATCTAATTAAACTTAAGAGCTTCTGCAGAGCAAAAGACACTATCAATAGAGTAAACAGACATCCTACAGAATGGGAGAAAACATTTGCAAACTATGCATCTGTCAAAGACACAATATCTAGCATCCATAAGGAACTTAAACAATTTACAATAGAAAAACAAATGACCCCATTAAAAAGTGGGCAAAGGACATGAACAGACACTTCTCAAAAGAAGATATACATACGGCCAACAATCATATAAAAAAAAAAAGCTCAACATATGCAAATCAGAATCACAGAGATACCAACTCACACAAGCCAGAATAGCTATTATTAAACAGTCAAAAATTAACAAATGCTGGCAAGGTTGAGGACAAAAGGGAACGATTATATACTGTTAGTGAGAGTGTAAATTAGTTCAACCATTGTGGAAAGAAGTATGGTAATTCTTCAAAGAGCTAAAATCAGAAATACCATTTGACCCAGCAATCCCATTACTGGGTATATACCCAGAAGAATATAAATCATTCTACCATAAAGACACATGCATGTGAATGTTCATTGCAGCACTATTCGTAATAGCAAAGATGTGGACAACCTAAATGCCCATCAATGAAAGATTGGATAAAGAAAATGTGATACATCTATACCGTGGAATACTATGCAGCCATAAAAAGGAACAAGGTCATGTCTTTTGCAGGAACATGGATGGAGCTGGAGGCTGTTACCTTTAGGAAACTAATGCATGAACAGAAAACCAAATACCGTATATTCTCACTTATAAGTGGGAGCTGAATGAAAAGAACTTATGAACACAGAGAAGGAAACAACAGATACTGGGGTCTACTTGAGGACAGAGGGTAGAAGGAGGGAGGGGAGTAGAAAAAATAACTATTGGGTACTGAGCTTAAGACCTAGGTGATGAAATAATCTGTACATCAAACCCCATGACATGAGTTTACCTATGTAGTAAACCTTGACATGTACCCCTGAATCTAAAATATTAATAAAAGTTTAAAAAAAGTTTAGAGAAAGTTCTATTATGCAAACAGAACACAGAAAAGAACAGGGGTTAGTATTCTTGTATTAGATAAAACAGACTTTATTTATTTCTAAAATGTTTTATTTATTTTATTTTTTAGTTTTTTACTTTAAGTTCGGGGATACATGTGCAGAATGTGCAGGTTTGTTATATAGGTATACATGTGCCATAATGGTTTGCTGCACCTATCAACCCATCACCTACGTTTTAAGCCCCATATACATTAGCTATTTGTCCTGATGCTCCCCCTCCCTCTCCCTCCACCACAACAGGAGTGTTGTTCCCCTCCCTGTGTCCATGTGTTCTCTGTTCAACTCCCACTTATGAGTGAGAACATGCGGCATTTGGTTTTCTGTTCCTGAGTTAATTTTCTGATGATTATGGCTTCCAACTTCATTCATGTCCCTGGAAAGAACATGATCTCATTCTTTTTTGTGGTTGCACAATATTCCATGGTGTATATGTACCACATTTTCTTTATCCAGTCTATCATTGGGGTTGGCTCCATGTTTTTGCTTTTGTGAATAGTGCTGCAATAAACATACGTATGCATGTATCTTTATAATAGAATGATTTATATTCCTTTGAGTATATACCCAGTAATGGGATTGCTGGGTCAAATGGTATTTCTGGTTCTAGATCATTGAGGAATCACCACATTGTCCTCCGCAATGGTTGAACTAATTTGCATTCTCAACAACAATGTAAAAATGTTCCTATTTCTCCACAGCCTCGTCAGCATCTGGTTTCTAGACCTTTTAATAATCTCCATTCTGACTGGCATGAGATGGTATCTCATTGTGGTTTTGATGTGCATTTCTCTAATGATCAGTGATGTTGAGCTTATTTTCATATGATCATTGGCCACATTAATGTCTTCTTTTTAGAAGTGTCTGTTCATATGCTTTGCCCACTTTTTGATGGGTTTTTTTTTCTTGTGAATTTATTTAAGTTCCTTGTAAATTCTGGATATTAGACCTTTGTCAGATGGAAAGATTGCAAAAATGTTCTCCCATTCTGTAGGTTGCCTATTCACTCTGATGGTAATTTCTTTTGCTGTGCAGGAATTCTTTAGTTTAATTAGATCCCTTTTGTCAATTTTAGCTTTTGTTGCAATTGCTTTTGGTGATTTCATCATAAAATCTTTGCCCATGCCCATGTCCTGAATAGTATTGCCTAGGTTTTCTTCTAGGGTTTTTATGATTTTGGGTTTTACATTTAAGTCTTTAATTCATCTTGAGTTAATTTATTTATAAGGTGTAAGGAAGGGGTCCAGTTTCAGTTTTTTGCAAATGGCTAGCCAGTTTTCCCAGCACCATTTATCAAATAGTGAAGTCTTTCCCTATTGCTTGTTATTGTCAGGTTTGTTGAAGATCAGATGGTTATAAATGTGTGGTCTTATTTCTGAGGTCTCTATTGTGTTCTGTTGGTCTATATGTCTGTTTTGTACCAGTACGATGCTGTTTTGGTTACTGTTGCCTTGTAGTATAGTTTGGAGTTAGGTAGTGTGATGCCTCTGGCTTTGTTCTTTTTCCTTAGGATTTTCTTGGCTATGCAGGCTCTTTTTTAAAATATGAATTTTAAAGTAGTTTTTTCTAATTCCATGAAGAATGTCAATGGTAGTTTAATGGGAATAATATTGAATCTGTAAGTTACTTTGCGAAGTATGACCATTTTCATGATATTGATTCTTTCTATCCATGAGGATGGAATGTTTTACCATTTGTTTTTGTCCTCTCTTATTTTCTTGAGCAGTGGTTTATAGTTCTCCTTAAATGGATCCTTCATGTTCCTTGTTAGCTGTATTCCTAGGTATTTTATTCTCTTTGTAGCAATTGTTAATGGGAGTTCATTCATGATTTGGCTGTCTGCTTCTCTGTTGGTATATAGGAATGCTTGTGATTTTTGCACATTGATTTTGTATCCTGAGACTTTGCTGAAGTTGCTTATCAGCTTAAAGAGTTCTCAGACTGAGATAATGGGGTTTTCTAAATATAGGATCATGTCATCTGCCAACAGAGACAATTTAACTTCCTCTCTTCCTATTTGACTACCCTTTGTTTCTTTCTCTTACCTGATTTCCCTGGCCAGAACTTTCAATACTATGTTGAATAGAAGTGGTGAGAGAGGGCATCCTTGTCTTGTGCCAGTTTTCAAGGGGAATGCTTCCAGCTTTTGCCCATTCAGTATGATATTGGCTGTTGGTTTGTCATAAATAACTCTTATTATTTTGGATATGTTCCATCAATTCCTAGTTTATTGAGAGTTTTTAGCATGAAGAGATGTTGAGTTTTATCGAAGGACTTTTCTGCATCTACTGAGATAATTATGTGGTTTTTGTCATTGGTTCTGTTCATGTGATGGATTACATTTATTGATTTGTGTATATTGAACCAGACTTGCATCCCAGGGATGAAGCTGACTTGATTGTGGTGGATAAGCTTTTGGATGCACTGCTGGATTCAGTTGGCTAGTATTTTATTGAGGATTTTCACATCAATGTTCATCAGGGATATTAGTCTGAAGTTTTCTTTTTTGTGTCTCTGCCAGGTTTTGGTATCAGGAAGATGGGAGTCCCTCCTTTTCATTTGTTTGGAATGGTTTCTGAAGGAGTGGTATCAGCTTGCCTTTGTACCTCTGGTAGAATTTGGCTGTGAATCCATCTGGTCCTGGGCTTTATTTGGTTGGCAGGCAATTTATTACTGCCTCAATTTTAGAATTTGTTATTGGTCTATTCAGGGATTTGACTTCTTCCTTATTTAGTCTTGGTAGGGTGTATGTGTCCGGGAATTTATCCATTTCTTCTAGATTTTCTAGTTTATTTGCATAGAGGTGCTTATAGTATTCTCTGATGGTTGTTTGTATTTCTTTGGGGGTCACTGGTGATATCCGCTTTATCATTTTTTATTGTATCTATTTGATTCTTCTCTCTATTCTTTTTTATTAGTCTGGCTAGTAGTCTATCTACTTTATTAATTTTTCAAACAGCCAGCTCCTGGATTCACTGATTTTTTGAAGGGTTTTTCCTGTGTTTATCTCCTTGCATTCCACTCTGATGTTGGTTATCTCTTGTCTTCTGCTGGCTTTGGGGTTTGTTTGCCCTTGGTTCTCTAGTTCTTTTAGTTGTGATGTTAGGGTGTCAATTTGAGGTCTTTTTAGCTTTTTGATGTGGGCATTTAGTGCTATAAATTTCCCTCTTAACACTGCTTTAGCTGCATCCCAAAGATTCTGGTACATTGTCTCCTTGTTCTCATTGGTTTCAAAGAACTTCTCGATTTCTGACTTAATTTCATTATTTACCCAGGAGTCTTTCAGGAGCAGGTTGTTCACTTTCCATGTAGTAGTGTGGTTTTCAGTAAGTTTCTTAATCCTGAGTTCTAATTTGATTGCACTGTGGTCTGAGAGACTGTTTGTTATGATTTTAGTTCTTTTCAATTTGCTGAGGAGTGTTTTACTTTTAATTATGTGGTTGATTTTAGAGTAAGTGCCATGTAGCACTGAGAAGAATGTATATTCTGCTGTTTTTGGGTGGAGAGTTCTGTAGATATCTATCAGGTCCACTTGATCCAGAGGTGAGCTCAGGTCCTGAATATCCCTGTTAATGTTCTGTCTCATTGATCTGTCTAATATTGACAGTGGGTTGTTAAAGTCTCCCACTATTATTGTGTTGGGAGTCTAAGTCTCTTTGTAGGTCTCTAAGAACTTGTTTTATAAATCTGGGTGCTCCTGTATTGGGTGCATATATATTTTGGACAGTTAGCTCTTCTAGTTGAATTGATCCCTTTACCATTAGGTAATGCCCTTCTTTGTCTCTTTTGATCTTTGTCGGTTTAAAGTCTGTTTTGTCAGAGACTAGGAGTGCAACCCCTGCTTTATTCTGTTTTCCATTTGCTTGGTAAATTTTCCTACATCCTTTATTTTGAGCCTATATGTGTCACTGCATGTGAGATGGGTCTCTTGAATACAGCACACTGATGGGTCTTGACTCTATCCAATTTGTCAGTCTGTGTCTTTTAATTGGGGCATTTAGCCCATTTACATTTAAGGTTAATATTGTTATGTGTGAATTTAATCCTGTCATCATAATGCTAGCTGATTATTTTGCACACTAGTTGATGCTCTTTCTTCATAGTGTCATTGGTCTTTATATTTTTGTGTGTTTTGCAGTGGCTGGTGCCATTTTTTTCTTTTCTTATTTAGTGTTTCCTTCAGGACATCTTGCAAGGTAGGCCTGGTGGTGACAAATTCCCTCTGCATTTGCTTGTCTGAAAGGATTTTATTTCTCCTTCACTTATGAAGCTTAGTTTGGCTAGATATGAAATTCTGGGTTGAAAATTATTTTCTTTAAGAATGTTGAATATTGGCCTCCACTTTCTCCTGGTTTGTAGGGTTTCTGCTGAGAGGTCTGCTGTTAGTCTGATGGGCTTCCGTTTATAGGTGACCTGGCTTTTCTGGCTGCCCTTAACATTTTTTTCATCACTTTGACCTTGGGGAATCTGATGATTATGTGTCTTGGGGTTGATCTTCTCATGGAGTATCTTAATGGGGTTCTTTGTAGTTCTTGAATTTGAATGTTGGCCTGTCCTGTTAGGATGGGGAAGTTCTCCTGGATAATATCCCAAAGTGTGTTTTCTGTCTTGGTCCCATTCTCCCTGTCTCTTTCAGGTACTTTAATCAGTCATAGATTCAGTCTTTTTACATAGTCCCACATTTCTCAGAGATTTTGTTCATTCCTTTTCATTCTTTTTTCTCTAATCTTGTCTGCCTGCCTTATTTCAGCAGAATGGTCTTCCATCTCTGACATTCTTTCTTCTGCTTGATTGATTCAGCTATTGATACTTGTGTATGCTTCACAAAGTTCTTATGCTGCATTTTTCAGCTCCATCAGGTCATTTATGTTCCTCTCTAAACTGGTTATTCTAGTTGGCAGTTCCTCTAACCTTTTTTCAAGGTTCTTAGCTTCTGTGCATTGGGTTAGAACATGTTCCTTTAGCTAGTGGAGTTCATTATTACCCACCTACTGAAGCTACGTCTGTCAATTCGTCCATCTCATCCTCCATCCAGTTCTGCACTCTTGTTGGAGAGGGTTTGCAATCATTTGGTGGAGAAGAGCCACTCTGGGCTTTTGAGTTTTCAGTATTTTTTTGTTGAATCTTTCTCATCTCCATGAGTTTGTCTAGTTTCTATCTTTGAGGCTGCTGACCCTGGGTGAGGTTTTTGTGGGGACCCTTTTTTTGTTGATGTTGTTGTTGTTGCTTTCTATTTGTTTGTTATTCTTTCAAATACTCAGGTCCCTCTTCTATAGGACTGCTGTGGTTTGCTGGGGGTTCACTTCAGGCCTTATTCTTCTGGTTCACTCCCATGCCTGGAAATGTCACTCAGTGAGGCTGGAGGACAGCAAAAATGGGTGCCTGCTCCTTCCTCTGGGATCTCTGTCTTTGAGGGGCCCCAACCTGATGCCAGTAGGAAAGCTCATGTATAGGATATCTGACAACCCCTGTTGGGCGTCTCACCCAGCTGGGTGGCATGGGAAGCAGGACCCATTTAATGAGGTACTTTGGTTGTCCACTGGTGGAGGGGGTGTGTTGTACTGGGGGAAACTCACTCATCTGGGCTGCCCAGATTCCTCAGAGCTAGCAGGAGGAAAGAGTAAGTCTGCTGGTCCATGGGGACTATGGCCACCCCTCTCCCTAGAGGCTCAGGCCCAGGGAAATCAGAGTTCTGTCCTTGAGCTCCTGGTTGGAGTTGGAGTTCTGCAGGGAGGCCATGCAGCCTCAGTGTTGTCTGCTGCCCCGCACCAACATCCCCCCACCGTCAACCGCCAAGGAGCTCAGATGGCTTAAACGGCAGCTGCAGTAGTGGTTATGGCCACCCTTATCCCCAGGAACTTGGCAGGCTGGGTAGCGCGCTCACTCACCGCCTCTTTCGTCTGGGGGTGGGGGCTCCCCTGCCCCATGTGGCTCTCAGGTGGGACTACTGCTCTTCCTTCCTCTTTGTGGGTCATGCCAGCCACCTAGTCAGTCTTAATGACAGAACCTGGATACCTTGTTTGCCAGTGCAGGGTTCGATGCTGTTTTAAATCTTTTCAATGGGAGCCTCTGATCGCAGCTGCTTCTAGTTGGCCATCTTGGCCCCACCCCCAAAACAGACCTTAAACCAACAACAGGATAAAAGGACAAAAAAGGGCAATGATGAAGGTTTCACTTCAACAAGAAGGCTTAACTATCTTAAATATTTATGCACCCAATATTGGAACACCCAGATTCATAAAACGAGTACTTCTAGAAATATGAAAAGATTTAAATCACACACAATAATAGCAGGGGACTTCAACACCCCACTGACAGCATTAGATGATCAATACAGAAAGCTAACAAAGAAATTATGGAATTAAATTTGACATTTGACCAATTGGGCCTAACAGACATCTATAGACTACTCCACTCATCAACCACAGAATATACATTTTTCTCACACGCAATATACTCCATGATCGATCACATTCTCAGCCATAAAGCAAATCTCAATAAATTCAAAGAAATCAAAATTATACCAAATAATACTCTTGGATTAAAGTGGAAAAAATAGAAATCAATACCAAGAAGATTTATCAACACCACACAATTACATGGAAATTAAACAACTTGCTCCACAGTGACTTTTGGGAAAACAATGAAATCAAAGCAGAAATCAAAAAATTCTTTGAAATAAGTGAAAACAGAGATAAAACACACCAAAATCTCTGGGATGCAGCAAAAACAGTGTTAAAAGGAAAATTACACTACTTAAAACCTACCTCAAAAAGTTACAATCTCAAATTAATGATCTAACATCACACCTAGAGGAACCAGAAAAATAAGAATGACCTAGGCCCAAAGTGAACAGAAGAAAATAAATAACTAAACTCAATGAAGAATTGAATGAAATTAAGACCCAAAAATCCATACAAAGAATCAACAAAACCAAAAGCTGGTTCTTCGAAACAAGAAACAAGATTTATAGACCGCTAGCTAAATTAACAAAGAAAACAGGAGAGAAGATTCAAATAAACCAATCAGAAATGACAAAGGTGACATTATAACCAATCTACAGAAATACAAAAGATCATTTGAAGATCTCTATGCACACAAACCATAAAATCTAGAAGAAATGGATAAATTCCTGGAAACACACAGCCTCCCAAGATTAAACCGGGAAGAAATTAAAATCCTTTACAGACCAATATCAAGTTCCAAAATTAAATGAGTAATAAAAAACCTACCAACCCCAAAATCCCAGATCAGATGAACTCACAGCCAAATTCTACTAGATGTACAAAGAAGATCTGATACCAATTCTACTGAAACTGATTCAAAAAAAGCTATGAGGAAGAACTCCTCCCTAATTCATTCTATGAAGCCAACGTCAACTTGATACCAAACCTGACAAAGACAGTGAAAAAAGAAAATTTCAGGTCAACATCCCTGATGAACAGAGATGCAAAAATCCTTAATGAAATACTAGCGAATTGAATCCAGCAGCACATTAAAAAGTTAATTCATCATGATCAAGTAGGCTTCATTTCTGAGATGAAAGATTTGTTCAACATACACAAGCAAATCAATAAATGTGATTCATTACATAAACAGAATTAAAAACGAAAATCATATGATTATCTCCTAGGTGCAGAAATGCTTTTGATAAAATTAACATTCTTTCATGACAAAAACTCACAAGAGACTAGGCATCAAAGGAACATACATCAAAATAATAAGAGCCATCTATGACAAACCCACAGCTAACGTCTTACTGAATGGGCAAAAAATGGAAGCATTCCCTTTGAGAGCTAGAACGAGAAAAGAATGTCTACTTTCACTACACCTACTCAACATAGTACTGGAAGTGCTAGCTAGAGCAATTAGGCAAGAGAAAGAAATAAAAGACATCCAAATAGGAAGAGAAGAAGTCAAACTGTCTTCACTGGCGGTATAATCTATACCTAGAAACCCCTAAAAACTCTGCAAAAATGCTCCTGGAACTGATAAATGATTTCAGTAAAGTTTCAGGATACAAAAATTAATATACAAAACTCAGTAGCCTTTATGTATACCAATAATGTTCAAACTGAGAGCCAAATCAAGAACACAATCCCATTTATAATAGCTGAAAAAAAAACACCTACCAAAACAAAACAAGAAATACATCTAACCAAAGACGTGAAAGATCTCTACAAGGAGAACTATAAAACACTGCTGAAAAAAATCATAGGTGACACCAACACATGGAAAAACATCCCATGCTCATGGATTAGAAGAATCAATATCATTAAAATGGACATATTGCCCAAAGCAATATACAGGTTCAGTGCAATTCCTATCAAGCTACCAAAATTATTTTTCATAGAACTAGAAAAAATTATTGTAAAATTTTTTGGAACCAAAAAGGAGCCTGCATAGCCAAAGCAATTTTAAGCAAAAAGAACAAAGCTGTAGTCATTACCTTATTTGATTTCAAACTATACTCTAAGGCTACAGCAACCAAAACAGCATGGTACTGGTACAAAAACAGACATATAGACAAATGGAACAAAATAGAGAACCCAGAAATAAAGCCACAGAACTACAACCATCTGATCTTCAACAAGGTTGGCAAAAAGAAAAAAAAAAAAAGAAAAGAAAAAGAAAGAAAGAAAGAAAGAAAAGGCAATGGGAAAAGGACTCACTATTCAATACATGGGGCAGGGATAGCTGAGTAGTCATAAGCAAAAGAGTAAAACTGTACCCCTACCTTTCACCACATACAAAAATGAACTTCAGATGGATTAAATATTTAAATGTAAGACCTCAAACTATAAGAATCCTGAAAGAAAACCTAAGAAACACCATTCTGGACATCAGCCTTGGGAAAGAATTTATGACTAGGTTCTAAAAAGCAAAAATTGACAAGTTAAACTAATTTTGACCTAATTAAACTAATTAAAGAGCTTCTGCACAGAAAAAAATCAATAAACAGACAACCTACAGAATGGGAGAAACTATTGGCAAACCATGCATCCAATGAAGGTCTAATATCCTGAATCTATAAGGAACTTAAATCTTTGAACAAGCAAAAAATAAATAACCCCTCAAAAAAATTGGCACAGGACATGAACAGACATTTCTCAAAAGAAGACATATGAGCAGCCAACAAACACAAACACATCATTAATCACCAGATAAATGCAGATCAAAACCACAATAAGATACCATCTCACATCAGTCAGATGGCTATTATCAAAGTCAAAACAAAAACTAAAACAAAAACAAAAACCAAAAACTCAGACACTGGCAAGGCCATGGGGAAAAGGGAATACTGATACACTGATGTTGGGAATGTAAATTACTTAAACCACTATGGAAAGAAGCATGGAGAGTTCTTAAAGAACTTAAAACAGAACTACCATTTGACCCAGCCATTCCGTAACTGGGTATATATCCAAAAGAAAATAAATCATTCTACCAAAAAGACACATGCACTTATGTGTTTATCACAGCACTATTCACAGTAGCAAAGACTGGCAATCAACCTAGGTGCCCATCAGTGGTGGAATGGATAAGGAAAATGTGGTATCTAGAAACCATGGAATACTACACAACCATAAAAAGAGTGAAATCATGTCCTGAGCAGCAACATGGATATAGTTGAAGGCCATTATCCTAAGCGAGTTAACACAAGAACAAAAAACCAAATATGACATGTTCTCACTGATAGGTGGGAGCTAAACAGTGGATACTTATGAACATAAAGATGACAACAATAGACACTGGGGACTGTAAGGGCAAGGGGGCAAAGGTTGAAAAGCTACCTATTCAGTACTGTGTTCAGTACCTAGGTGACAGTTTCATCTGTACTCGAAACCTTGACATCACATAATATGCCCAGGTAACGAATCTGCACATGTACCCCCTGAATCTAAAATACAAGTTGATATTATTTAAAAAAAAGATAAAAACAAAAGTAAGTATAATAAAAATGTACAACTTAAAACTTTTATAATATCCAGTCATCAGTTTTAATCATCACTTTTTTAAAAAAGTGTAAGTCAAAAAATTAAGTCCTATTTCTGATTTATCACGAGATAAAATATTATTTTAAAGTGGTAACAGTTTTGATTTGCTAGTGTAATATTCAATTCACATTTGAAAATCATAGTAAAAATTTTTAAAAAACCATAAAGTCCCTAAATAAATCAAATAGATTTGAAAATATTAGTAATTTCTACCACACAGTTGCTAAAAAGCTATGAAATGTAGTAGATGATATGTACAAATGTAGTTTTTATCCCTATTTAAAACTCAAAAAAAGTTTGTTGCCAGACTTTCTCAAATAAAAACAAAGGATTAGGTAAGTAAGCTCAGTTCACCTTTTTTGAAATTAATTCCTTTTTTGCTTTTAATAGTTTTTTAAAGCCCAGAAGGCAAAAATAATAAATTTCTGTTAAATAACTGACTTAGGTAAGAAAATAATTTTGACTTTGGTATAAAATAATTTTTTCTAAAGATAGGCTTTATATGTTTAAATAGAAATTGCAAATATTATTTGCAATATGAAAAGTATTGACCATGTCATTAATATGTTGCTGTGTTGTAGTGATAGTGGAGGCTTTTCAGCTTCTGATACGAAATCTGTCCTTGCATTTCACTAACTTGAGTATTATTCACTGACATTACTAGGTTCTTATCAATTGTGGTACTTCTACTTTTTTGGGGCAGTAAGTTCTACTACTAAATAGGCTCCTGAGTCCTTTCACTGAATTTTATTATTCTTAACAAAATTTTTACGGTGTTTATCCAGTAACCCTTTGAAATAATTCTCCTTTTAACTTGCCAAATGGATATGATTTGTAGATGTGTCTTTTCAATTTTGCTTCAGCTCTTCTTGGCCACAGATAATGCACAAAAAATTGGACAACTTGTATTACCAGACCATTTAAAATAATTGACAAGTATCTTTCATTGTCATGCCAGACTGTGTGTGTGTGTGTCTTTCTCACCAGTGCAGATAAATGACTTAGAAGATTGTAACTCTTTATAAGTAGACATGAGTAGTCTTTATGATGAGTTTGTAGGTCTAGGCCTAGAATCTTTCTGTCCATCTTATACCTGCCTTAAAAACTCCCCACATTGTATCAGCAAATATGTTTTAAAAACACGAACATTAACAGTGTATAAAACGTAAGAGAACATGATAAAGGGGGTCAGTTCAGCAAGAGGATATAACAATTGTAAATATATATGCACCCAACACTGGAGCACCCAGATATATAAAGCAAATAATATTAGAATTAAACAGAGATACTGTAGGCAAAATGAACCTAATAGACATTTACAGAACATTTCATCCAACAGCTGCAAAATACACATTCCTTCTCCTCAGCACATGGATCATTCTCAAGGCTAGTCCGTATGTCAGTTCACAAAACAAGTCTTAAAACGTTCAAAAACATAAAAATCATAAAGGCATAAAAAATAACTGAACAACAAACTCTCCCAAATATGAAAACTTCAAGCACAATTTAGTGTGAATTTGTACAACCCTCATTTTGCAACTTTCACAACAACAGCAAAGTGGCAAAAGCAGCTCAACTATGGCACATAATTTTTTTTTTGGAAACATATTTCTCATAAATCAGTTGGTGGTGCATGATGGGAGGTTGAAGTAGTTAAGCTGATATCATAAGCCTCCTGTCCTCTTTATTGTGTAATAAAGCACTCACAAATGATCAATGACCTTCTTCTTTCCACATCCACATCAAAAACCGAAAATCGACTTAATCAAATGAACATGGTCCTACTGGTATACAGAACTGAAGAGCCTCTCTCAAAATAGCTAAATGGACTTCTCAGTCACTGTTTACCTCTGTAAGCACTAGCATTGTGTGGCACGTTAAGTTGTTTTCTTTTTTCTTTTTCAATCATACTCTGTCTTGGAACCCCTAGCCACAAATTTGAGAGTCCTAGGATTCCACAGAAGCCCTGCTGAGACACGCTGCCTTATAATTAAGTAGTCCAACCTTTTCCTCCCATTCCATTTTATTTTTTATTTTTATTTTTTGAGGTGGAGTCTCACTGTCACCCAGGCCAGAGTGCAGTGGTGTGATCTTGGCTCACTACAACCTCCGCCTCCTGTGTTCAAGTGATTCTTCTGCCTCAGCCTCCCGAGTAGCTGGGATTACAGGTGCATGCCACCATGCTCAGCTAATTTTTGTATTTTTAGTAGAGATGGGGTTTTGCCATGTTGGCCAGCCTGGTCTCCAACTCCTGGCCTCAAATGATCCACCTGCCTCAGCCTCCCAAATTGCTGGGATTACAGGCATGAGCCACCATACCTGGCCTACATCTCCATTTTAAAATAGTTATTGAGTGAGATTCTTTTGACCAAAAAGTCAAAGTTTTTTGTTAATCTACTCAAAATACAGTTCAATAAATATCTTGTGATTTAGAGCTTAGTCCATCCACCTCCCAAGGCATTTGTATGAGAGAGCCTAGGTGTAGCAGATATGGAGATCCATTACTCAGATACCCTTTCTTTTTTTCTTCTTTTTTTAAATTTTATTTTATTAATATTATACTTTAAGTTTTAGGGTACATGTGCACAACGTGCAGGTTTGTTACATACGTATACATGTGCCATGTTGGTGTGCTGCACCCATTAACTCGTCATTAAGCATTAGGTATATCTCCTAACACTATCCCTCCCACCTCCCCCTTCACCACAACAGTCTCCAACGTGTGATGTTCCCCTTCCTGTGTCCATGTGTTCTCACTGTTCAATTCCCACCTATGAGTGAGAACATGTGGTGTTTGGTTTTTTGTCCTTGCGATAGTTTGCTGAGAATGATGGTTTCCAGCTTCATCCATGTCCCTACAAAGGACATGAACTCATCCTTTTTTATGGCTGCATAGTATTCCATGGTATATATGTGCCACATTTTCTTAATCCAGTCTATCACTGTTGGACATTTGGCTTCGTTCCAAGTCTTTGCTATTGCGAATAGTGCCACAATAAACATACGTGTGCATGTGTCTTTATAGCAGCATGATTTATAATCCTTTGGGTATATACCCAGGAATGGGATGGCTGGGTCAAATGGTATTTCTAGTTCTAGATGCCTGAGGAATCACCACACTGACTTCCACAATGGTTGAACTAGTTTACATTCCCACCAACAGTGTAAAAGTGTTCCTATTTCTCCATATCCTCTCCAGCACTTGTTGTTTCCTTACTTTTTAATGATCGTCATTCTAACTGGTGTGAGATGGTATCTCATTGTGGTTTTGATTTGCATTTCTCTGATGGCCAGTGATGATGAGCATCTTTTCATGTGTCTTTTGGCTGCATAAATGTCTTCTTTTGAGAAGTGTCTATTCATATCCTTCACCCACTTGTTGATGGGGTTGTTTGTTTTTTTCCTGTAAATTTGTTTGAGTTCATTGTAGATTCTGGATATTAGCCCTTTGTCATATGAGTAGGTTGCAGAAATTTTCTCCCATTCTGTAGGTTGCCTGTTTACTCTGATGGTAGTTTCTTTTGCTGTGCAGAAGCTCTTTAGTTTAATTAGATCCCATTTGTCAATTTTGGCTTTTGTTGCCATTGCTTTTGGTGTTTTAGACATGAAGTCCTTGCCCATGCCTATGTCCTGAATGGTATTGCCTAGGTTTTCTTCTAGGGTTTTTATGGTTTTAGGTCTAACATTTAAGTCTTTATTCCATCTTGAATTAATTTTTGTATAAGGTGTAAGGAAGGGATCCAGTTTCAGCTTTCTACATATGGCTAGCCAGTTTTCCCAGCACCATTTATTAAATAGGGAATCCTTTCCCCATTTCTTGTTTTTCTCAGGTTTGTCAAAGATCAGATAGTTGTAGATATGCGGCATTATTTCTGAGGGCTCTGTTCTGTTCCATTGGTCTATATCTCTGTTTTGGTACCAGTACCATGCTGTTTTGGTTACTATAGCCTTGTAGTATAGTTTGAAGTCAGGTAGTGTGATGCCTCCAGCTTTGTTCTTTTGGCTTAGGATTGACTTGGCAATGTGGGCTCTTTTTTGGTTCCATATGAACTTTAAAGTAGTTTCAGATACCCTTTCAAGAAGGATTCCCTGCCCAGCTACAAAGGGTGCGCTTAGACAACAGTCTTCAACTGTTTGCTTCATTGTGATCCAACCCAGTCTTTTGAATCAAGGTCTTACTATTTTTAGGTCAGTCTCTGATGAACAACTAAACCAGGTGGTCATACAAGGGCCTGGCCATTTCCATCCAATGCAGGCCTCCTCTGAAGAGCAATCTTTGATCTGGAGTTGTCCTTTGGTGGGTAGAAATTTGTGAGATCTGCATCACAGTCTAACCCCACCCACTGCCCCATCCTTCTCCTTTCCTTTTCCTTTTACAGGAGTTACTCCCCAAGAAACTCCTTGTATTCCAAATTCCATCTCAGCCTCCCCTCCTAGAGAGTCTAAAATGGCCCACTTGGTACCAGGAATGATAAGTTTATATTTTAGAACTTGACCACTCACTGATTGTCTGATTATGAGGATTCCATCCCTCATAGAAAGCCCCTAGCACAAAGTGGTTGTTCAATTGTTAAAATGTTCTCCCATGGTGAGCTGGGATGATGTCCCGGAGAAAGGGTGTGTACTGGTAGATGCAATGGTCCAGGGTTTGAAATGTACTGAGGAATAATAAAGATCAAAATAATGCAATTGGGTGGTTATTACTAAGTTGCATTGAATTACTGTACTAACTTATAAAGAAGCCCTTATCTTATGCAGTGAAGGAGCAGAAAAAGCTGAAGATTAAGCACAGGATTTGATAGTCAGAGTGGCTGAATAGTTGAATGTCCAAATGAGGAAGATCTGTCAAAGTCAAGACTCTAGCTGGAAAAACTTAGGGACCCTGACACATGGGATGGAGACATTTGGTCCAAAGATTTTATTTCCCAGACTTATCTGATCTTCTGAGCCTGCAGAAGTTGCTCACTCCACCCCTGAGAGCTAGTGTCCCACGCCCCAAAGCCAGAATACAAGACAACAGGCGTCTCACCTCAGAAGCTGCCCCCACTGCCTTCCTGCCTCCTGGCCTATAATCAGAGTTAAGTGGAAGCATAACCCAGCCAGGGTTGAGCAGCATCTGATAAGGGAGGACTTGGACTACAAGGACCTGGCCAAAGGAGCTACAAGACCTAGCCGTATGGAGCAGCAGGACCCATATTCTGAAGGCTGAGGATGCACAATCAAGGGGGCCTGGACCTATGACTGGTTATTGAAGAATTTATTGGCTTGGGGGCACTATTTTGGGGTATAAGATTCAATATCCTGGAACAGGGTTCAGAGGATGTTTCAAACTTGCATCTAGGGTGGGTCCTGGGGCCTGGATAAAGCTGTGGCCCACAATGAGTGAGGCTGAAATACTTACATTACCTAGGAAAGTCCCCCAAATCATACTTTAACCCAGACCATCAAGAAAACACTGTTAAGAGGCACATGAGCCTCACTATGGAGTTCACTGCTTGTTCTCTTCTGTAGACCAAGGCTGGAGGTAGAAGAACCACCAGAGAACTTGGCTCACTAACAGCAATGGGGATACTAGGACCCTAAAGCAATAGAGACAAGTAAACAGATTTTAACACCAAAAGCTAGGAGATTATTATTTTCATAAGAACAGACAAGATCAGAGTAATAGCCAAGGAAGCCTGACCTGCAGAGAACTATGGAGATGGTTTAATATAACATGGTCTATCCCTTTGGGTAAAATAGATGGACTTCCAACCTAATCAATAGAAAACGATAATTGATATTGTTTGACAACACTGAAGCCTATTGTTCAAATAAAGCCACATTCCCTTGCCCAGTTTTTGGACTCAAGCCAGTTTTCAGACTGGGATCCACTGACTCAAGAGAGTGAGGATCTCAGGGGAAGGACCTTATTACACACTGTAAAGTTCCTCTCAATCCTTCTCCAAAAGAGCCAACGGCCTGATCAAGTGACTGTGTACTGGAAAAAGGTAATACCC
Organism: Homo sapiens; assembly: GCF_000001405.40. NCBI lineage: Eukaryota > Metazoa > Chordata > Mammalia > Primates > Hominidae > Homo > Homo sapiens. The sequence goes on along the minus strand of NC_000008.11, from coordinate 117,476,838 downwards.
AAATATTCAGAAGACAGATGGCCATAGGGTCTGTACTGACACTTCTACCTAGTAATCTGAAACATCTTTACGCCTCCTCTGTCAGAATGGGGTATAAGGGAGGCAGATGATAAAAAGGGTCCTGGCCAAATTCTGACTGTGGTGAGTCCAATGGGTCTGCAGACACACCCAATAATCATTTCCTCAATTCCTAAAAGTATAACTGGGATTAGATGTACTTGACTTTTGGAGCAACTCCTATGTTGCATCCTGGTCCTATGGGATAATAGCTATCCTGTTGAGGATGTCAAGTGAAAACTTCTGAAATTGTCTGCCCTATGCCTTGGCCAGGATCATAAATCAAAATCAGTATCACATCCAATAGGTGCGTATGGGGGAAAATGTTAGAAATATTAATCTTAAAGGATTCAATGGTAGTGGTCCCTATCATATCTCAATTTAATCCAATTTGTGCCATGCAGAAACCAGATGGATCCTGGAAAATCACTACAGACAACCACAATATCAATCAAGTTGTAGCGTTGATCATAGCTGCTATGCATGATGTGGTTTATTGCTACAGCAGATTAATAAGGACTCAGGTACATGATATGGAACCATTGATTTGGTGAATATATTTTATTTTCTGTTTCAATCGGAAAAGAAGATCAGAAACAGTTCTTCATATGCAAAAACCAAAAGCTATGTTATCATTTTGCCCCCAAGAAAAAGCTTTCTCACCCCCTGTCATCTTATCGTCAGAAGAGCTGTGGATCACACAGATATTCTACAGAACATCACATTGATCTTTTATGTTGATGATGTCATTTGATCAGAGGGAATGAGCTAGAGGGAACCCAGCACACTGGAGGCCTTGGAAGGGGACTAGCCCTCCTGAGCATAGGAGAAAATCCTTTGAAGACTCAGGGACCTGCCATTCGCTGAAGATTTTAGAGGTCCAGAGCCTAAGGATGTGTTGTGTCATTTTCTTTCAAGTAAATGGTTGCATTTACCTTCTACCATAAAGAAAGAAGCACAATGCCTGGTCAGCCACTTTGAGGTCTGGAGGCAATGCCCCTGGCTCTTATAGCAGGTGACAAAAAAGATTACCACTCCAAACAAGACCTAGAGTAGGGGAGGGGTCTGTAGCAGGTCCTGGTTTTAGCCACTTGGGCAACAATCTGGTCTGGGCAGAAAGTGCATGGAGTGAGGAAGGAAAACAAGACATGAAAGAGGCAGGTGAACAGGCCAAAGTCAGAATTGAGAACCTGCAGCGCACCCCTCAAGAATATGTTCATCCTCTTGAAGGCACTAGACAGCCATCAGTTTCTGTTTTTGTTTGTTTGTTTGATTTTTAAAGAATAACTTAGCAAGAGAAATTTTTATAGAAACTTTGGTAAGATCCCGTGTGCAAGACAGACTAAACGATGCTGGGTACTATCAAGAAAATAATTTAGCCTTTTGCCTTTTGTCATTCCTTCCCCATCTTGCCTCAGTTGTCTTCATCCAAAACATTTACCTAACTAAACTAGGGCTTGGGAGGAGAGGACTCACAGTGAGGTTGTGTGCATAACGAATTTCATTTTGTCCCTGCTTGATTCAGTGCTAATTTTTTTCTCCAACTTGTTAGTTTGCTACAGAGTGTCAGTTTCATTCCCTCCTCCAGAAGACTGGTGTAGTCATTTCTATCAATGCCTTCGTTACTACACAGATCCACTACAAGCAAGTTGATGTCTTGGGGAATTCGTTCCAATGAGCTTTTACCTGTATAAGTACTACATTGCCTGTAAAGGACTTTTGAGTTTCTTGGAGAAAAATGTTATTCTTTGCAGATGTTTTAGAATATCTTGAAAGTTTTTGACTTCCAATAGACTGAAATATTTTCTAGCAGTATAGTAGTGAAACTGTTTCTAGACAAACCTTAAAAATTCAAATAGACCATGGTAACATTTTTACTTGTGATTATGAAGACAATCAAAGCAAAAGAGACCTTTTAATACAAAATTTTGTTTTAGTGATCATGATAATTGAGTTAATTTTTTAGTGCACTTGTAATAAAAAATATTTGTGGAATTGATATATTAGTCATGTGATCCAATTTAGAAAACAGTAACACAGTGTGCCAAATAATACTTAGTTGAGGCAAAAAAGGAGAGAGAAATATTTTTTGCTCTTCAAACTCTCCTTTTCATTTTAGTAAACTCGTACTGTATTGAACAATGTATAAACATAGTCCTAGAAGTGCTCTTATAGGTTGGTGCTTTGTATTTTTCGTAAGTGCAGGTAGTTGAAGTCTGGGATTTCCTTACAGCTTTCAGTGTATTTCTTTTAAGGCAAGTTAGCACTTGAGTTAGAGCTCCCTCCACTGGAGTCTGAGCTTTAAAACTCTTTTTGCCTACTATTTACCTTCCTTCAAGAAGCTCCCCTTCCTGGACCCCACCAGTACTGGGAGATTAAACTAACAAAACATTAAATAATGTCCTTCAGGAAAGATGCACCTAAGCCCATTTATCAATCCAAGGAGGCTGAACTGGAGAGAAACAAACAAACAAACAAAAACATATACAGTTCCTCCTGTCATTCTTGAATCACATCAGCTGCACAGAATATGTTCTTGGAAGCTTAGAACATAAACTGACTGTAATCATATGCCTTCAAGGTCTTAGCCCAGTTTTTCTTCAAATGCACATTTTGATGAATTATTGCTTTCAAGGAAAGGTTGGAAATTTACACCCCAAAAACTCTACCCCAGGGTTATTCTGCTTTCTTTAAGAAGTTTATCAGTTTGTGCTGCATTTCTAAAAAACGGAAACATCATATTTAATATTTTTTTAGGGCATTTAAGTTAATAAAGTATTTTGGCTAATCCTGGGTGACCCCTTTTATCATAGTTGAATTGCATATTTTCAATGAATTGGAATAAAAGAAGACCAGATAATTAACACAAGTGATAGAGGTCATGTTCAACCATTCTTGTGAGGTCTATAGTTCACCATTATGAATATTCATTACTAGCTGTGTAACGTTTACTAAGTTACATAAGCACTTTGGAAATGTTTTCTTAATCTAAAAATGGGCCTATTAACACTTTACTTACCTCAAAGTGTTGCTTCAAAGATTAAATAAAATAATGAATGTGAAAGTACTTTGCAAACCATAAAAACTATTGTGATGAAAATAATGGCCATGAAACAGTGAGATAGGTCTTTCAGAGTGACCAGCTGAGCTTTCTGGTAAAATTTGTCAGTGAGGGTGGTATGTGGAATTAATACCATTACTTCAGAGATACACTGCATACCAAAAGATGTACAAGTATTGGTTAATAGAGAGAGATGGCTAACTGAATAACATTTGGCCCAATAGAGAGCATTATCTCTTCACATAGTAGACAGCCTACTAAGGATTTTTAAAAGTTGATGTTGTTCCCTAAATCCTGTTCTTTTCCATTTGAAAAGAAAGGAGAAAAAAAGAAATTTTATCTTGGAAGGTTTATTGTAGATTTATTTTTTGAGTCAGCAAATCTTTCTAACTTAACATAGATTGATAGGGTCAGTAAAATTTGAGTATTTTTGCGTAAGTTGCATTATCAAAATCAACATAAACCAACTGATACATACAGTCCTCCAAAAATAACAGGTTGTGTGGTCATAGTGCTGTGTGAATATACACATATTCTTTACGTTCAGTTTCCCTATTATTGACTTTCTACCACGTTTCTCTTTTCCCCAATGTCACAATTCCAATCACATCAGTAGGAGCTCAATAAATCTTGGATGAAAGTACTCGTTATACTTACGTATGGTAGAAACATCAAGCTCCCTGGAAGAATGTTCAAATTAAATATTGCAATTTTTCAAATGCTAAAAAATTCAGAGGCATTTTGCACATGGATTACCAAAGTATATTTCAGATCTTCCATGGAGTGGGTATTCTTTATCAACTGGAAATCATTATATAATTGGTCTAGTAAATGTTTGCTGATGATTCTGATATTTAATTCTTTCAGAATTTATTTTGTTTCCTATGACCAAAGAAGATGAGAAGCAAATGATCTATCCTTAGAGGTTCAATCTTCATTTTATTTGCATGTTTGTGACAGCTTGATCTTGTAGCCTCCATTTTTTCCTTCTTATCTTGTTTTTCCCAGTAGAGTGATGTAGTTCCTTCCCAATGTTCAATTAATTCTTTGTATATTCTACAACACATTGCATTTATTAACCTCTTTTTCAAGGAGACTATGAACTACTTGAAGGTATTTTTTTATATCTTCAGTACCCAGCACACTGCCCTTTGTCACCATCATAAAGAATCTCAATATATTGTTGTTGTATAATGAGAGATTGACAAAAAATACTTTCATTCTCTCTGCCTTGTTGAGATCCTTGAGATGCGACAAAGTTGTATCCTCAGGAAAATGTTCTTAAGTATAAGGGCAACTGCTTGATTTAACAATTTGCCTATAAAGTCTACTAAAATGTCTGAACTTCACAGAAGATAAAAGTAAATGATAAAATTTTTTCTATTTGTTTAGGGCTGGAACATTTGAAGGGAGCAGCTGGGACTATATCCTCCTTGCACTTTGTTCATATATAAGGAGAAATGAAAATTCTGAAAAGACATCTGTATTGTAAATCAAAATACATTGCCGAAATCAGTGTTGAGTTGACATTCTGCTTGCAAATATTCTTTTGAGATTGGTTCTTGTAAATCTCTTTCCCATCTGGTTTTTATGTCTGCTCTGGGACTTGTATGCACAGAGTTGTCTAGGATCTGCTCAGAATGTTGAAATAAAGTGTGTGGTTTTTAATAAAAGGTTAGCTGGGAGGGAAGACACTGTCTTGGTCATATCTAAACTGCTTATATATCTTGTAGCTCAGTTAAAGTTTTGGGAACTTTGGAAAGTGTTTTCTTGGAATAAGAAAACTTATTTGAAGTCATGAAATAATCCTATCCTGCAACTTATATTTTTGTAGAGAACATTTGCTGGAAGAATAATTTTTATTTTTAAACACAGGAAGAGTGAGTAGCAGAGAAGAGTTTGTGATTGCAATTTCCTCTCTTACCATAATTGCACTATTTCCATTAAATTAATGATGGAGAGAAACAATTGTTTATAAAAACGTTCTTTTCCTTATTGAAAGTTAATTGGGGAATATTGATCTCTTCTTAAATGGCAAATTTAACGATGACAAAGAGAAAAAATTCAATCTGAGATGTCATGATATATAAGCCCATGATTATAACTTAACATCTGGAACTGATATCCCTCCTTGAGTTTTATGAGGGAATGGTGCTCTGAATGAACTCTTGCAAGTGAGAACATGATCACCATCATCATCACATAGCATTTACTCAATTCATTGGTTAATGTCTACACAGCAACCAATGTGGATTCATTTAAGGACAAGAAAGACATCATTTGACTCCTTAGAACCATGAAATTGGCCCTTGCTCCCATCATCTAAAGTGTGTGTGTGTGGAGTGGGGTGGGGGAGAGGGGATTCCAGAAGCAGATGGGAAGAAGAGAAAGCACTTAAGAAGCCCTATGTGACTCTGAATGTCCTCTTCACTGAGGAAATAGGTAAACAAGGCTTCTGGAACCAGAAGCTTTCTCTCCAGTAGTGGGGATAAGTCTACTGTCTTTAATTTTGTAATTTGTTTGTTTGTTCTTTTTGACTCAAACAATACAGAGCAAAAAATCATGGAAGGAATAAAGTGAATCACAAATGGTTTCCTCATGGTCCTTTGGGGACCATGATTGTATCCATTGGAGAAATAGGGGATATTAAGTCAATCTTGCCATCCAGTGGAGTCCCCTCTTACTTGCATTTAACGTGCAACCCCCCTACCCAAGTCCTCATAGCAACAAACAAATTCACAGATCTACTCTCATACATTAAAGTCGTAGAGACTTACTTTTAAAACAGAAGGGGCAAACCATTTAGGAAAGTGGAATATTTTAAAATTTTCCCTGATCTCTCATTTACCACAAGGTATTTCATAATTATCTTAAAACAAGATGTCTTTCATCCTCGACATCTGGATTGAGAGTTCTTTCTTTCTTTAATGTAGATCAGTCATTTTCTAATTTTGATATTCATAAGAAAGAGATTTTCTCGAGTAATTTTGTCTACATATGCTTTTTACTTTACCTGCTGACTTAAAACTCTCACCTTTGCTTAAACTGTGACTCCCCTGATTGAGTTTTTCCAAGCCTCTCTATTCTAGAGGCAGTTCAGCAGGATACCTCATCTATGTTGGTCTTCAGGAGGGGTTTTCTGGCTGATAGCCCATGTAAAGCCATGCTCCTGTGTATCCTCCGAGTTCGCTCTTCTTTGTTTATTACATGTGCATGACTAATATTAGTAGCTCAAGAGTAACCCCAGAGTTCAGTGGGTACACCATTCATAAGATCAAGACAACAATATTATCATACCCATCACATTTCTTACAATCAGGTAATTAAAATGTCAGTTTCACCTAGACTCTATAAGGCACATCAATTAGATTGCATATGCTTACAGTTGGGATTCCCCAATATTACATAATTTCAAATTAAATAGACAATGTGAGTCCTTCCTTCCTATTTTTAAACTTCATCTATAGCTAGACATCTTGTTAAGTAAATATGTTCTATTGTGGTTACCGCTGCATTCTAACTCCCCCTTATTAATTTGTCAGTCTGTTTTTAACTCTGGACATTATTCTTTCTGGCTCTTCTTTAATGCTCCCATCCACCACTTCACCTGGAGCTTTCTTTAACTTTCTCTTGCCCATCATTAGAAAGTAATCTGCTCACTACCCAACAATCTCTAACTAAATGTGATGACACTTACTATAAAATGAAATAGTTTCTTTTCTGCTTTTATTTTTCTTTTTTTGAGATAGGATCTTACTCTGTTACCCAGGCTGTAGTTCAGTGGAATCATTCTAGCTCACTGTAGCCTCAAACTTCTGGGCTCAAGCAGTATTCCCACCTCAGACTTCCAAGTAGCTGGGACTACAAGTGCATGCCACTGCACCCAGCTAATTTTTATTTTTTGTAGAGATGGAGGTCTTGTTTTATTATCCAAGCTGTTCTCAAATTCCTGGCTTCAAGTGATCCTCCTGCCTCAGCCTCCCAAAGTGTTGGGATTACAGGTATGAACCACCATGCCCAGCCAATAGTTTCTTGTTATTAGTCATATCAGTATTATCTGATATAGTGACAGTGCTCATGAATTTTTGCCATAATGGGAAAATGCTTGCATGTTTGTGCATGCGTTTGTGTGTGCTTGCATGCACAGTGCATTGTAATGTGTATCTCTTGGTCTAATTAGTGATGTTCTAGGACAAATTCTGTGCCTGTTGATCTCAGGAGTTGTTAGGGATGGTGTTTGCACAAACAAGTCATTTTAATGCTAGCCACTTTCTCTTTCTATTACACTGAGACATGGCCCCATTAAGATGGCTATAGACAATGAAAGCTAACCTAATATAGATCATGTCACTTCTGAAGTGGTTCCTATCCAAGATAATTGAAACCTTTCTGGCCCATTGGGAAGAACCATCATGCGGGATAAATGGTGTCAGTGGTTTACCACTCTTCAGAAAGTGATTTATTTAAATTTTATACAGCAGAAACATATCCCCAGGCAAGGCAATGCAAAGACTTGTTTATAAAGTGGACCCTTTCCTGTTCCCAGACATCTGAGTAAATAGGTATACATTCTGTCCAGCTGGACCATAAACACCTGATTGCTGAGACTAGAAGATTGCTGAGAAACATTAAAAGGTGAGCAAGAGAGTGGTTGTTCTGTCCAACAGTCAGCTACAAAAGACAGAGACTGGCATTCAGTGGATGATCCAACTATCACAGTATTTATTTTAGACAGACAGGATAATGTTGTGGAAAGGGGCAAAAGGGGAATTTATGTGTGTCTCATCAGACACATAGACAAACAAGAAAAATAGCACAAATTCAGGGCAACCTTTTACACATGTTTGTTTTAGTAGATGTGGCTCCTTTGATCAAGATTCTATTGGTGAAGATGCAAAGGACATTTTTTCCCCTAGATTGATCTGTATATCAAGGAAAAGTGGAGCCCAGACAATTTCTGTAATAACTTCTGGAGGGGCTCATTTGTCTCATGTCGCACAGTATGGTTTTTGTGAGAGAAACAGAAGTGAGGAGGGAAGAAGAGAGGGAAGAAGAAGGAATCCCTTAATGTTCTTTGCCATCATGGCCTATCCAGGTACTTTGGACTTTTTTGGGTGAGAGTTTTTGAGACTTTACTCAAATGCATGTTAAAACCTAAAATAAAGACAAATAATCAATAAAAACTATGAATTGTACAGGGGTTAGATTCAAGTTGTGGTGTGTGTGTATGTGTGTGCTCACATGCGTGCATATGAATGACAATGTGTATGCATTTGGTTACTTCCCTATGAATTTAAAAATTCTTAACATGGCAGGCCGCGGTGGCTCACGCCTGTAATCCCAGCACTTTGGGAGGCCGAGGCGGGTGAAATACGAGGTCAGGAGATCAAGACCATCCTAGCTAACACAGTGAAACCCCGTCTCTACTAAACATACAAAAAATTAGCCGGGTGTGGTGGCTGGCGCCTATAGTCCCAGCTACTCAGGAGGCTGAGGCAGGAGAATGGTGTGAACCCGGGAGGCGGAGCTTGCAGTGAGCCGAAATTGCGCCACTGCACTCCAGTCTGGGCAACAGAGCAAGACTCCGTCTCAAAAAAAAAAAAAAAAAAAAAAAATTATTAACATGGAAGGAAAATAATTTTTATCTGTTTCATATACAAAAACAAATGCCCTTTGTCAGTTTAGTAGGTTGAACTGTTTAGGGCTTCAAGAATCGTATCAAAAAGTTTGGTCTTCAAAAAGGACATACAGTATCTTTAAAGATTTAAGTAGGGGAGTGAAATAATGAGATATTTACCTTAATTTCATATGCTGACTTCTGAGGAGAAAATAAATTAGAAGAGGAAAATGATAAATGAGCTAGAACTATTAGGAGGTTTTTTGGAGATGAAAGTGGCTTGATCTTGAGTGACGGGAGCAGAGATACTGAGAAATGGACAGAGATGAGATGCAATTAAGAGGTAGAATTCGTAGGACTCCGTGCTGGATTGGATGTGGGGATAAGGAACAGAAAGGTGTCAAGCAAGGCTCCTGGGTTTCTGGGATGAGCAACTGGGTGAATTGTGTTTTGCAATGAAGAAGGAGTATATTTAGAATGGAGGAGGTTGTTTAGAAAGAAAATGAGTTCAGGTTGCAGCACTTTCAATTTGAGATATTTATAAGACCAGTGAATATCTAGAATGAGAAGTTGGTTGTATGTATCTAGTACTCAGAAGAAGGTCTTGGAAGGAAACACAAGTAAATTAAATGGTCTTTGAAGCCGTGAGAGTGATGGAGATGATGATTGAGAGTGAAGTAAGACAAAAGTAAGGGATCATGAGCAAAAGTGAAGACACAAGAGGCCTAAGATCTAACCTCAACAATTTCAATGTTTAGAAGAGAGACTGAGTGTGAGAAATTTCCGCAGGAGACTAATATGGAGTGGTTGGGAAGGGAGGATAAAAGTCAGGAGAGCATATCATTGTGGAATTTCAGGAAAGAGAATATTTCTAACAGGCAGAAGTTGAGGCATCATTTATGATGAGAATTGGAAAATGTACATTGGGCTTAACAACATGGGAGGAGATCATTTGTGACCTAAGGAAGAGCACACTTAGTTGAGTAGTAGCAACAGAAGCCAGAGTGGAATCACATGACAGTGAATACAGTGTAGAAATAAAGGCTGCTTGCCCAAATACTCTTTGGATAAAAGTTGCTATTAGAGGGATAGAGGGAAGGGTCAGTAGCTTGAGAGGCATACATGATTCAGGGAGGATATAATTGTTGTTACGTTGATTTTTCTAAAACAGAGAGACTGTAGCATTACTGAATGCTTATAGTAAGCGTCCAGAAGGTAGAAAGAATTTAAGGATATTACCACAGTGTGGAGAAAGCACAGAGGCAGTTGGGCAGGGACACAGATGCCAGAGGCACAAGAAAACCTCAAAGGCCCAAAGTTGTGTGCGTGCACACACACATACACACACATGCACACACACCATCCGTGAGAAAGAAGTAGCTGGTGAAAGGCATTCTGCAGGACTCATTAGTCCTGCTGGATACCAAATGTGCCAGAGAGGTGCTAATTTCTTTATCTGCAATAGCTCAATCCCCATAGCACACTAGAATAGAAGCCCCATGAAAGCTAGGATTTTTCTACATATTGCTCTTTGCAGCATTTCCCAGTGCCTATGATGGTGATTGGCAGTTTATAGGCCCTTAATAAATATTTGCTAAGTAAGTAAATGAATTAGGTAGGTCTGGTTGTTTCAATTTTGCAGTTGAGGGAACTAGGAAATAGAAAGGTTAATTACTTTGCCTATTCACAAAGGCAATAACGAAAGATATCTGGATTTGTACACAATCAAGGATCTTGAACAACACGTTAAGTTGCCTTCCATTTTGAATCATATTGGATGAAGCAAACTTTTTTTAGAATTTTAATATTCCCACATACTATCCTCATTATGTGAAGAGATTCTGAAGTATTAGAATCAAGTTTATTAAAGTACTTAAAGAGTATTGATGTCTGTTTAACATGAGTTTGATTATGCAGAATGGGAAGCCATTACCAAGCTATCCAGGCCCTTCTTTTAGAAACAACCAGCAAATATAAGCCCTATTTTTTTTCTCTTTAAACCATGTACCATGAGCAAGCATCCCTTTGATTGCCATATGCTGTGTTGTGCTCACTGTGCATGTACTTTTTTTGTTTTCCTATTTCAGTCCCTCAAGATATCTTTGCCTTCCTCTCTTAACTTGTGCCAGTATTAATTATGATCTTTTCTCCTTCTTTTATCTTACTTCTGCCTCTGTCTCAACTACTGAATCCAAGCTTTCATCCAGCTTTTAAGGGAAACTAATATCTCATGAAATTGTGAGGGCCTGGAATCTTCAAAGAGCCAAGGATTCTGCCAGACTGAGCAATAGACTTGATGAGCATTCTCCACTTAAGATCTGAACTATGAGAAGTCGAATCAAAGCAGTTCTTTTGTAATTCCAAACAGCCATTTAGACATATGAAGAAATGAAAGTAAAGCAGTTCTAAAGACAAGGAAGAGGGTCAATGAAAGGTAAGAAATCCTGACAAAACAAGAAGAAAAGTATTTCCTTTGGTCATGGTGGGCTTGTTTCTAATGAGGAAGACTTGGGATTCTGAATATTATGTATAGCTTATTGAATAGTTATGTTTAGGTTAATTCTATAGTAAACTATATTAGTTCTCATTCTTGCATGTGAGTTCGATTCTCAAACAATCCTTGTTAATCTTAATAAAGGTACATTAGAGAACCTCTTCAGGAATTGTTGTACACAAAGATCTTTAAGAGGCTTGCCTCCAACAAGCTGCTGAAGTGAAGACACTTATAATTAGACCAGTGGGCGAAATAAATAGTATTCTTACAGATTTCTGTGTAAGAAAATCTTATTTCTATCTGGATGTATTTGGAAGTTCTATGGGCTACTTAAGACTTCCTTAGTCCTCTGCCTCTGAGTCTCTGAAAACAGACTCAGGCTTATTGGCTTAACACTGCTTTCCTGTAAACTTTTATTATGGAAATGCCTCTCATTCCTAAATATTATTATTGTGACTCTCATCTAATAAAGTTTTACAACGACAGGTCTTGGATCTTCTAGAAGAGAAAAAAATCTGTTTAATTCTCAAAAGTATATTGTTTCTTCCCAGTTACCGGAGTAGAATTTATAAAGTTTATAATTTGTGTGTCTCTGTGCTTCAATCCTCAGTTACCGAATGATCTCAGAAAAGAGTAAATTGCATTTCTAATTCGGAAATTTCAGACTGGTTAAATGCCTAGAGCTGTATTGAATGCTATCATATGACTTCTTCTCATGATTCTCTGATACAATTCAATGGCAATTTTTGCCCACTTACAATGGAAGTGGTATCATGCAGACTTGACAGAAGGGTGGTAGTTCAGAGTCTGATATCAGGTTTACCATGTATCTTTAGATAAGTGAATTAACCTCTCTGAGTCTATGCTTCTGTATTTAAAAATGAACACTTTGGGACAGGTAGCATTCATTTACTTCTTCAAACATTTATTGCATTCCTTCTGTGTTCTAGCTACTGCAGTTTTTGCTTGAGTTACAACATTGCACAAGATAGTGTTCCTGTCTTCATGGGCCATAGTGTAGATGACAAAGATAAACAACCAGACAATTATAAAACAGTGAAATAAACAATACCAGTGAAAGCATAAGTTCCAAGATAATGGGCTGTCAACTTTATCCATCCTCTAGATAGATTGTCAATTATTTGCATTTCTTTGAATTTGTCATGCAGACTTCATTGCCTCCATGTCTTTAAACATGTTCCCTCTGCCTAGAATAGTGTTTACCATGTTCTTTACCTAGCTAATGTCTACTTAGTCCTTAAGGTTCAGATCAAGTATTACTTCTCAGGGAAACCTTCGTTAACTCTTTGAGTCTGGTTTGTGTGGCCCTCCTTGAGTGCCTCTGGCCCTTATATGCATTCTTCAACAACAGTAGCTTGATTTTATTTGCTTACCAGTACTATTGTTAGGATGTAAACTCATACAGTGCAGGAATCCCATCTTTTATTTCTTTATTCCCAGAACATGGTCTAATGTTCGGTATACAGCAAATGTTCTATAAATATTTGTGGATTATTTGAATATCAAACATTTATTGAACACTTACTATGTGCCAGGTACTAAGACGGGATTCACTTTCATCACCTTATTTGCTTTAATTTTTACAATGCTCTTTATTACGGTGTGTATAGTATTCCTATCCCCCTTTAGAGATGGAGAAATGGAGATTCACAGAAGCTTGGTAATTTTCTCAAGGTTACATAGATGGACAAACCCAGAGTTTGAAGTTGGTTTTCCAGAGGATTTCCTCTTTATTCGAATACTACACTGTAAATCATGGGTTTTGTTGTTTTAACATATGTGTGTATGTGTGTGTGTGTTTACATGCATGTTCAAGGGGAAGTGGTTGTAAAGATGATCACCTTCTCTAAGAGGACATTCAAGGCTAATGGTTTTTGTGCCATATTTGTATAAACTGGTGTAAATCTACCCTTGGGTATTTTGGCTCATTAGTGGGAGAAACATTGAGCTTCTTCAAGTGAACAGATGTCTATGCATAGTTATATCTTTGAAGCAAGGTTATGGTAGGGCCTAATCTGCATACCTCTGTAATATATATATGAATGATAGAGATATATGTATATAGCTTATCAGGAAAAGTTTGTATATAAAATCTCCTAGGACATTATGGAGAAACAGAGAAGGAGTCTAGCTATCCAGGGCCTTGGGGGTATTAGGATTATAAACAGATATAGAGTTATATCATTTTAAAGAAAAGATTTGTAATTGTAAAAGACCCAAATACAAAATTTGGGAGATGAATAATACTGACCCCTACAAAACGTATGGAGGTAGTTGGGGAATGTTTTCTGCTGACCAGAGTAAAATCGTACCTTCACTTAAAATCAAAAGTCCTAAGTTCTCACTTGACTAGATTCTATAGAAGTCAGCTCAAATATTGAAACAATACATATTTTTCTTAATTTCAAAAGTTCTTGAACATAATCAGGTAGCTAGACAAAAATCTTAGCTCTTTCTAGCCAGACACAATGGCATAAAACACAGATACAGGCATTTCTACTCTAATGCCAATGTTTGCACTATTGAATAACCTTACATTCTGCAAAATTGGACACTGAAAATAATAAGGTCTATGGGAAAAATAAGGTGTGGAGAGATGACTCAAGACTGTGAAATTTGGAAAGTAGAGCACTAAAAACACTGAGACAATTACTATTTTAAAAAAGCTGGCATAGATAACCCTCTAATAGCATTGGCACGTGGCTTCAGAGATGATTGGTCATTAGCAATTTTAAAACGTGGGGCTTTTACTTGCTCCTTTGAAATGTAAAAATCGTCCTTCCAATATGGACCATTTTTATTAAAACTAAAAATCAGATCCAATGTGTAGCCTGTTTTGTTAATCCATTATTTTAATATGGGGATTAATGTCTGCAGCTTCTGAATCTGTGTTGGCACTTTCACCAGCAAGTTTAACAAAATTGAATATGTAGACATGTGCTTGAAGCACTAAAGAAAAGTGCCTTTGTAGATTTCTTAGCATTTTTCTTAAGATCATCGTGGGTTGCTATGCTTTTTCTTTATTTGCGACAAAGTTTGCCGTGGATAACTTTAAAACATTAAGCTACTGGGAAACAATATATAAGAACCAACAATACTTCTGTGTTATAAGAACATCTTTCCCTATTTACCAGTAATATATGGAGAAATTTACATAAAAGAACTGGCCTTTTTACAAGAAAAGATTCTCCTAATTCATGTGATATGTAAGGTTCCAACATCGTGTAATGAATGCTAGATTCATCTATATTAAAATCTGACTCATTGACTATTTTCAGAGCCTGCTTCATCTTAATCCATGCCAGTATTCTACGATAATAACACAGTAAACAAGCTTTTGCTTATAGACTAGCAGTATAGAGTAGCCATGTGTGGTGGAGGTGGATTTTAAGAAAGGATGAAATGGTACCTTGGGAAAGTAAAAAGAAACAAAAAGTACCTTTATTAGTCTAATAAATAGTTTTAACTGTGCTGCTAGATTTGTTTTACATCAAATAATCATTGACTTCAATGTTTCTGCTTCAATTAGATGGTCTTCCTTCTTCTTCTTTTCCTCTTTCCTTCTCTTTTTCCTTGTTTTGTCTCCTTCATTTTTAAAAATTTTTCACACATTTTATCTGTTTTTTTTTCTTTCTTCACGATACATTAGATATGTACTATTTAATTGTTAGATCCTAGAGATAAAATGGTGAACAAAAGCAGAGTTTGGAGTATTGTTGAGAGATTTAAACATACAATCCCACAAATACATGTTAGTAAACAAGACATAAGTCCAGTATTACCAAGGAGAGGAACTATACAAGCATGTAAGAGGGAAATATGTCTTAGATATGTTGCCCAGGCTTTCCTCAGGAAATAAACTTGGAAGAATGAGTGGGTTAACTAGGTGAAGATAGGAGGGAAGATCATTCCTGACAGGGAGAATTGTTTCTGCAAAAATCCTGCAGCTCAAGTAACCACAAAGCTTATGAAAGACTGAAGGAGGACCAGTGTGGTTGGATGAAGGAGCTAGGAAGGGTTTTGGCATAGAGCCAGATCATGCAGGGCATAGCTTGCCTGGGATGGGATAAAGATTCTCATCTTTAACTCTAGAGAGATAGAAATCATTGAAATGTTTTAAACCAGGAGATCTGTGATATGATCAGATTTGCATTTTGCAAATGTGTCTCTGTCCACAGTATAACAAGATTGATACATAATTCTGTGCTTATTGCAATTTTACATCTTTAAGGTATCCCTGCAAGGAAAGAGCAACCCTGATGTCTGCATTTCTTTTTCCATTTTGGAAATAGAGAGAATGAGGCTTATGAGAATGAAAATTATCCTTTGCTTGATCGAATCTGTTTTTTTCCTCATAATTCCTCTAAGGAATGTCAGTATCACAAGAGATGACATCATAGCTGTGAAACAAAGCATACAGGTAAAATAACCACATTTCTTTGAATAGAGGGGCCTCAGTCCCTCATTTTTTTGTACTCTCCATCTTGAAAACAGCTTCTATTCCCACCTGAGCTCTCATTTGTAAGCTACTTCTGTCTCAGTTTTGTTGGAGGTGTTTCTAGGTTTTTTTGCCACATTAAACATGTAATCTCCAGGATCTACCGTTGAAAAGTTTTAACAGATCACTGGAATTAGCAAAAGAAGAAAAGAAAAAGAAGTCAGATTTTTGGCAGGAGACTGTCTACCTGAGGACACATTGCCTCATTCCCTTGGCAACCATGCCTGTGATTAACAGTTTTCATAAATAATTCAAGTCTTCCATTTGCACTCTCTATAATCCCTCTTAGGGAGGGAACGGCACAGTATTTAGGGGTTTTTAGTTAAGCAAAGCCACACTCCCTGTGGCTCCTCCTCCTTCACTCAAACTGTTAACACTGTGAGATTAAGAGCTCCAGAAATGTGTTAGGTTTTGTGCAGAATTTAAAGGAAACACTGGATGTTTCTCAGTAAATTTTATGTCCAGTTTGCCACCCAAGCCTCTGCTCTGTACCTCCTTTAACAACGCATTCTTTCCTTTTAGAAAGTAGAGTTGCTCTTAACAACCAATGGTTTCTGTACATCTAATGAAAACAGGCCATTTTGTAAGTTCTGGCTGCCAGCAAGACTGCTTGAGGTGAAATTATGAGAGGTGGGGCCTGCACCAGAAGCAAGAAATTGAAGAAGAGGGCATCAGCTATAAATTTTTCGCTTGTCTAATGGACTGTATTTTTAGGGTCCCAAAGTGAAGTAGCTGGTGGGGAAGAATTTCATTATGACAAAAATGTGTGAAGCCAGAATTCTCCCTATTTTTTTGTCATAATCAAATCTTCAAAACTCCCAGATGATAAATGGGCTTCATGGAAATGTGTGTAGGGTCCAATCACTTTGAATCTGAAGTGCAATCACAGATCATCTCATGATTTAAACACACACACACACACACACACACACACACACAATTTATCAGGGCAAGGCTAAGACATTTCTATACTGCACACAAATGTGCATTCCTAGCATCAATCTTCTAACACTGAAATGTTCACTAAGCAACAAGTAATGAACTGACCTGGTGGAGAAATTTTGAAAAGTTATAGCTCCTCCACTAAGACATCCAATGACCTGGTAATAGAGACAGAAAGAAGAAAGACAGAATAGAGACAAGAAGATTGGCTGAAGGCAGAACAGCAAGAGAAAGTCCAAAAAAAATGAGAAATAATGAGAGAGAGGGAGAGAGAGAAAAAGAAACATGTTAAAGGGATGCTTCTTAAGGCAGCTAAGAGAGTGTGAGAGATTGAGACCTCGGAAGATTCTGGACAGGGAATCAACTAGGAGTGTTTATTACACTAGAGGCTGAATACATTATCCTTATTTGTGGCATATTATTTTTAATCTACTTCTAAATATGAATGTTTTAATCCTTTCTAGAATGAGATGAGGTGTAAGTAGATAATTAAAAACAGAACCAGAAATGACTTATGATGTTAAACTACAACAAAAAATAGAGGGAATTAAATAAGAGATTAAAAAAATAAAGAGATGTGAGAGGAGGCATTTGGGTGAGCTTCCTGTTATGAACTACATATTTAGCTTTGGACTCCATGTTATAAAAGGCACAGTGGGAGGTCATCTAGTATTGTCAAATTAAAACAACAAGAGCAACAACAACAACAACAGTAAGCATCTTAAAATTTTATCAAGAACATTAACACCTTTTTTTGGCACTAAAAAACAACTATATATATATGTAAGAGATAAAATAATGGAAAATATTTTATTGTGGTTTCCAAAAAAAGGAAGGAAGGAAGGAAGGAAGGAAGGTTCTTATAACAGTATTTTATGTTTATATAGTGGTTTGTAATATATCCCATACTTTTACTTTAATTATTTCACTTGAGCCTCTTAAATAATCCTATGACTTAGAAAAGGCACATACAATGATCACATAACAGATTAAAATTAAAAGCTTGAAAAGAAAATGCTATTAGTAAAATTGATGGACAATATACTAGAACCCAGGACTTCTGACCCCAATCCAATTCCATCTGCTTCCTTAAAAAAGCAAAATGTAAACTATTAAATCAATGATTTTACCTCTTGGATTGCCTCAGAATTAACCATGAACAGCTTTATTGAGGTATAATGGAAAATAAAAATTGTATATATTTAAGGTGTGCACTGTGATGATTTGATATACATACATATATTCACTAAATGAAATGATCACAATAAAGCTAATTAAAACATTCATCATTTCATGTGGTTTCCTTTTTGTGTGTGGTGAGAACATTTAAGATCTAATCTTGAGCAAGTTTCAGGTATACAATGCAGAACTGACAACTACAGCCACCATGCTGTACATGAGATCCCTAGAACTTTGTCATCTTATAACTGAAAGTTTGTACCCTTTGACCAATATCACCCTATTCCATGCACCTCCCACCTGGCTTTTGGCAACCACCATTCTAGACTTTGCGTTTATGAGTTTGACTTTTTTAGATTTCACATATAAATGATATTATACAATATTTGTCTTTCTGTCTCTGCTTATTTCATTTAGCATAATGTCCTCCAGATTCATTCATGTTGTTGCAAATGGTGGAGTTTCCTCCTTTTTTATGGCTGAATAATGGTTCATTACACCCACATACAGATATATAAATATATGATATCTATGCATCACATTTTCTTCATCCACCAATGGACACTTATGTTGTTTCTGTATCTTAGCTATTGTGAGTAATGCTGCAATGAACATGGGAGTGCAGATATCTCTTTAAGATGTTGACTTCATTTCTTTTGGACATACATCCAGAAGTTAGATTGCTGGATAATACTGTAGTTCTATTTGTAATTTTATGAGAGGCCTCCATGCTGTTCCATAATGACCGTGCTGATTTACATTCACACCAACAGTGTACAAGGGTTCTCTTTTTTCCAAACTCTCACTAACCCTTGTTAGCCCTTGTCTTTTTGATAGTAGTATCCTAACAGGTATGAGGTGATATCTCATTGTGGTTTTGATTTACATTTCTCTACTGATTAGTGATATTGACTACCTTTTCACTTACAAGTGTTGGACATTTGTGTATCTTCTTTGTAAAAAATGTTTATTGAAGTCCTTTGCCCATTTTTTAATAAAAATATTTCTTCTGTTTTTTGCTATTAAGTTATATAAGTTGCTCATATATTTTGAACATTAATTCTTTATCAAATATATGGTTGGCAAATATTTTCCTCCCATTCTGTGGGTTGCTTTTTCACTCTGTTGAATGCTTCCTTTGTTATGCAGAACCATTTAAGTTTGATGTATATAAAACTAAAATGCTTTTGGCATCATATCCAAGAAATCATTGCCAAGACCAATGTCATAAAAATTTCCCCTTTGTTTGCTTCTAGGAATTCCACACTCTCAGATCTTATATTTAAGTCTTTAAGCTATTCCAAGTTAGTTTTTTGTGTGTGGTATAAGATAAGGGTCCAAGTTCTTTCGTTTGCATGTCAATATTCAATTTTCTTAGCACTATTTTTGCAAGGGACTCTCCTTTTCCCATTGTGTACTTTGTAGATCAATGGACCATGCATGTCTCGATATATTTCTGGGCTCTCTCTTCTGTTCCATTGTTTTATATATATCTTTATACCGCTACCATATTGTTTTTATTACTGTAGCTTTATAATATATTTTGAAATCAATAAATGTGATGCTTCCATCTTTGTTCTTTGTCAAGATCACTTTGGCTATTCTGGGTCTTTTGTTGTTTCATATAAATTTTGGATTGTTTGTTCTATTTCTATAAAAAGTGTCACTGGGATTTTGATGGAAATAGGATAGAATCTGTATATATCTGTGGGTAATACAGACATTTTAACCATAGTAGGTCTTCCAATTTGTGTACATGGGATATCTTTCTATTTATTTGTATCTTCTTTAATTTCTTTCATCAGCATATTGTAGTTTTCACTGTAAGTCTTTTACCTCCTTGGTTAAGTTTATCCTTAGGTATTTTACAATTTTTGATACTATTATAAATATTCCATGGTGTATATGTGCCACATTTTCTTAATCCAGCCTATCATTGATGGACATTTGGGTTGGTTCCAAGCCTTTGCTATTGTGAATAGTGCCGCAATAAACATATGTGTGCATGTGTCTTTATAGCAGCATGATTTATAATCCTTTGGGTATATACCCAGTAATGGGATGGCTGGGTCAAATGGTATCTCTAGTTCTAGATCCTTGAGGAATCGCCACACTGTCTTCCACAATGGATGAACTACTTTACAGTCCCACCAACAGTGTAAAAGTTTCCTATTTCTCCACATCTTCTCCAGCACCTGTTGTTTCCTGACTTTTTAATGATCACCATTCTAACTGGTGTGAGTTGATATCTCATTGTGGTTTTGATTTGCATTTCTCTGATGGCCAGTGATGATGAGCATTTTTTCATATGTCTGTTGGCTGCATAAATGTCTTCTTTTAAGAAGTGTCTGTTCATATCCTTCACCCACTTTGTGATGGGATTGTTGTTTTTTTCTTGTAAATTTGTTTGAGTTCTTTGTAGATTCTGGATATTAGCCCTTTGTCAGATGACTAGATTGCAAAAATTTTCTCCCATTCTGTAGGTTGCCTGTTTACTCTGATGGTAGTTTCTTTTGCTGTGCAGAAGCTCTTTAGTTTAGATCCCATTTGTCAGTTTTGGCTTTTGTTGCCATTGCTTTTGGTGTTTTAGACATGAAATCCTTGCCCATGCCTATGTCCTGAATGGTATTGCCTAGGTTTTCTTCTAGGGTTTTTATGGTTTTAGGTCTAACATTTAAGTCTTTATTCCATCTTGAATTAATTTTTGTATAAGGTGTAAGGAAGGGATCCAGTTTCAGCTTTCTACATATGGCTAGCCAGTTTTCCCAGCACCATTTATTAAATAGGGAATCCTTTCCCCATTTCTTGTTTTTCTCAGGTTTGTCAAAGATCAGATAGTTGTAGATGTGTGGTATTATTTCTGAGGGTTCTGTTCTGTTCCATTGGTCTGTATCTCTGTTTTGGTACCAGTACCATGCTGTTTTGGTTACTATAGCCTTGTAGTATAGTTTGAAGTCAGGTAGTGTGATGCCTCCAGCTTTGTTCTTTTGGCTTAGGATTGTCTTAGCAATGCAGGCCCTTTTTTGGTTCCATATGAAGTTTAAAGTAGTTTTTTCCAATTCTGTGAAGAAAGTCATTGGTAGCTTGATGGGGATGGCATTGAATCTATAAATTACCTTGGGCAGTATGGCCATTTTCACGATATTGATTCTTCCTATCCATGAGCATGGAATATTCTTCCATTTGTTTGTGTCCTCTTTTATTTCGTTGAGCAGTGGTTTGTAGTTCTCCCTGAAGAGGTCCTTCACATCCCTTGTAAGTCAGATTCCTAGGTATTTTATTCTCTTTGAAGCAATTGTGAATGGGAGTTCACCATGATTTGGCTCTCTGTTTGTCTGTTATTGGTGTATAAGAATGCTTGTGATTTTTGCACATTGCTTTTGTATCCTGAGACTTTGCTGAAGTTGCTTATCAGCTTAAGGAGACTTTGGGCGAGACAATGGGGTATTCTAGATATATACAATCATGTCATCTGCAAACAGAGACAATTTGACTTCCTCTTTTTCTAATTGAATACCCTTTATTTCCTTCTCCTGCCTGATTGCCCTGGCCAGAACTTCCAACACTATGTTGAATAGGAGTGGTGAGGGAGGACATCCGTGTCTTGTGCCAGTTTTCAAAGGGAATGCTTCCAGTTTTTGTCCATTCAGTATGATATTGGCTGTGGGTTTGTCATAAATAGCTCTTATTATTTTGAGATACATCCCATCAATACCTAATTTATTGAGTTTTTAGCATGAAGGGCTGTTGAATTTTGTCAAAGGCCTTTTCTGCATCTATTGAGATAATCATGTGGTTTTTGGACAGTGCAGTTTTAATAGAGCTCAGTTATATTTACTTCTTTTGAAGAGGGTTCGGACTGTGTAATATCATTTTTTGCCATCAAAATAATACCCTGTATTTTATACATGGCATAGGATATACTCAATAATCCCTCTTCTGTGAACTTCTACAGCATCCCTTTTAACCATGCCTCACCTCACAGAGTGTCAGATTCACCCCCAAATTAGTAATACTATTTTTCTAACCCATGCCCTTCTTTTCTGACTCTTCTGTCTGACATATTTTTCTCCTTCATAGCCATTGGCAGATGGCCTCTCATCTTTCAGAATTTAGAACTCATGTCACCTCCCCTATGAACACTTTTCTGACATATCCCAGGATTAATTGCTTATTTTCTCCTTTGTGTCACACTGTAACCTTCTAGATTTCTATTATGCTACCTAGGATGCTTCATCACGTTTATTTGTTTTTCTGTTTATCTCTTTTCCTAATAGACTATAAATTCTTGAGAGAGACTTTGTTGACTTAATATTTTTTTCCCAGTAGTTAGGACAGCATCAAGTACAAAGTCAATCATCAATAAATGATACACGAATAGGAAATTTAGAAGGTAAAATTCTGTAACAACCCTCAACGACTCCCCTTCTTTGATATGCATTATTTTCCAGGCAGTTAGAGCTGATCCATCCTGCATAGTGTCATCTGCTTCTTGTATCTGTATTTAGAGGGAGCTACTTCTGATTCTTTGCCCTCAGTGGGCACGCAATCAAAGCTTACAGTCTACCGAATGAAACCACAATTGCACATTGAATTTCTTTCTCTGTTAATTTCAGACAACATGTCACGAAATGTCTGTCGTGAGAACATGCTGATTTATGTAGCAGTTCCTGAGGTCATGAAAATGAAAACTGGAGATTTAGCAGACCAGATTCTGGCATATATGACTTATGATTATTATGTTGGATTGGGTCAATTTCATCGCTATACTTCATCTTGTTAGTTACTAACAAATTGTCATAATAAAATTAACACATTTTAAAGTTTATAGGAAGACTTGAATTAAAATTTCTGAGTCTAATTCAATAATATTCCTCATGCTTCAGTGATACGACAATTCTTTGAGAAAATGGAGCCCTTCATTGAATGCTTCTTTATTCAATAAACCTGCAGAATAGTGTAAATATTCACCCTTTTCTGTTGTTCTCCATTTATTTTTATAAGTCTACTGAGAATAAATTTCTTTCAAGATAAAATTACTTTTATCTTTCTTTCAGTTTTTTTTCATTCTTACTTTCTATTGTCTTTGACTTTATTTTTGAAGGATATTTTATGGGTATAGACTTCTAAATTGGTAGCACTTTTTCTTTCTGCTGTTTAAAGAAATTTCTAAGTTTCTATGCAAAAATGTACTTTATTTTTACTATTGATCCTTTGAAGCTAGTACCCTTTTTGTTCTGGCTAAATTTGTTATTTGCTTTTTGTTGATAAATTACTTTGACTACATTGTGCCTAGATTTTTATTTTTATATTTTAAATCCTGCATAAAGTTTGCTAAATATCTTGAATTTATGGGTTATTGTCTTTTTTTATCATATTTGAAAAATTTTCAGCCAACTTTTATTCAAATAGAGGATATTTTTTCTTCTTCTAGGACTCTAATTACACATGTGTTAGGCCTTTTGAATGTGTCTCACATGTGTCTTACACAGTTTTCTGGTTCTTTTTTTCCTCTCTATTCTTCTGCTTGGATATTTTTCTACTGAACAGTTTTCTAATTCACTAATACTGTCTTCCACTGTGTCCAGTCCACTTTTTATTTATCCAATGAGTTTTAAATTTCAGATATTTTATTTTACAGATTTTTAATACCAGTTCGAGTCCTTTTTGTCTAATACCCCACTGAAATACTCCACTTTGTCCATCTCTTCTTCTGTATTATTTAAGATGTTAATCATAGTTATTTTAAAGACTTTATTCACTAACTTCAATGTCTGTAATATCTCTCAGTCTCTTCCATTGATTATTTAATCTCTTGATTACTAGTCACTGTATCATCCTCCTTTGCTGTCTGGTAAGTTTTATTTTATGTGCTGGACACTGTGGGTAATAAAGTCTCTAGATGTTGTTGTTATCCTCTAGTGAGAGTTAATGGAGTTAAATTTTGTTCTGATACATATTTAAATTACTGGAAGACCACTTGATTCTGATGAGGCTTGCTTCCAGAGTTTATTAGGATGGAACTATTGCAGTTTTGCCCTTCATGTCTGAGAGTGTCCCCTACTGCTGGCACATGGTCATTACTTCCAGAGTATGGCCATTCCAAGGTCTCAGCTGAAA
This sequence comes from Homo sapiens, assembly GCF_000001405.40. Lineage (NCBI taxonomy): Eukaryota > Metazoa > Chordata > Mammalia > Primates > Hominidae > Homo > Homo sapiens. The sequence continues at coordinate 117,452,849 of NC_000008.11, read as the reverse complement.
GCCTGAGATGTTCCCAAAGGTCTCTGTACTCTTGTTGGGCCTCAGATCCAACATTTTCTTTTCTTTCTTCCTTTCTTTCTTTCTTTTTTATTTATTTATTTTTTTTGAGACAGAGTCTTGGACTGTCACCAAAGCTGGTGTGCAGTAGTGCCATCTCAGCTCACTGCAACCTCTGCCTCCCAGGTTCAAGTGATTCTCCTGCCTCAGCCTCCCAAGTACCTAGGATTACAGGTGCATGCCACCCCGCCCGGCTATTTTTTTGTATTTTTAGTGGAGATGGGGTTTCCCTATGTTGGACAGGCTGGTCTCCAACTTCTGACCTTGTGATCCGCCCGCCTTGGCCCCTCAAAGTGCTGGGATTACAGGTATGAACCACCCCGCCCAGCCTCCAACATTTTCTTAATACTCTGCAGGCTTGAAACCTTTGCTAAGCTGTTTAGCCTTCTAGTAGTTTTTCTCTGGTAGGCCATTTGAAATCTTGCCTTACAAGTTTGCATTTTAGAAGTTGGCCAAATGTCCTAGGGGAAATGGCTACATACATTTTGGTGCCTCTTGCTTTTGGGTCCTTCTTATATAATACCATATCTCGAAATCCAAGTGTCCTGGAAGCCCTAAACGTTTTAGTTGATCCAGCAAGACTGCCACTGTCTTTTAGGACTTTATTTCTCTTTGTCCTAGATTAGAAAATACTCTCAGGGTGAAAATCAGGGTAAATGTAGTACTCACCTTCATGTTTCCTTTCTTTCAATGGCCAGAGCCTAGGATTAATTGCTAAACAGTGTCTGAAAACACTTACTTTATATATTTTATCCACCTTTTATACCAATTTATGATAAGAAGAGGATAGGTTTGATACCAGATACTCAGCCATGACCAGAACCAAAGACCTCACCACTATTCCTTATTTTTATAGTCATCACTTTCCAATGCCACTGTCTCATGTTTTTGTTCCTATTTCTTAACCTTTTCTCCATTCCTCATGAGACTTAAATGCTTACTCTCAAGAGCAAAAGCATTATTTTTCATGAATAGGGGAACTTAAACAAGATATTTAAGTTTCTTGATTCTTAGTTTATTCATCTAAGATTATGGTCAAATTTTATTAGGCAATATTTTTTTTTTTTTTTTTTTTTTTTTTTGAGACGGAGTCTCGCTCTGTCGCCCAGGCCGGACTGCGGACTGCAGTGGCGCAATCTCGGCTCACTGCAAGCTCCGCTTCCCGGGTTCACGCCATTCTCCTGCCTCAGCCTCCCGAGTAGCTGGGACTACAGGCGCCCGCCACCGCGCCCGGCTAATTTTTTTTGTATTTTTTTTTTAGTAGAGACGGGGTTTCACCTTGTTAGCCAGGATGGTCTCGATCTCCTGACCTCATGATCCACCCGCCTCGGCCTCCCAAAGTGCTGGGATTACAGGTGTGAGCCACCGCGCCCGGCCTAGGCAATATTTAATAGGCAATGTTACTTACAGTGTGTTCCACAGGCTACCTATACCAGAGGAATCTGGAGAGGTTTGTTAAAAATAGAGATCCTTTAAATCCTTCCAGATCTACTTAATCAGAATCCTGACTGAATTGACTCTGGGGATCTGCCTTTTTACCAAGTTGCACAGAGGACCCTTGTGTAAAGTTTGAAAACAGTGTGATAAGGCCATCATGAAGATTAAATGAGCCATATTCTATGAAGCACCTGAAATGTAAGTGCTTAATAAATACTGGTATTTATTATACTATTTTCTATTCCATATATTTTAGAAAGATATTTTAAATAAATATGCCAATATGTGAAATATTTTGATCCTATTCAGAGACTATAATTAGATACAGTACACACACACACACACACACACACACACACATCTATATATGTAGTGCTTCTACTAACTAAAATACCACATGATCCAGGCTTTTTTTGTTATTTATTAGAACACTCAATAAAAAAGAAGTATATTTGATGTGAAATATAGAACTTAAAATCTTTCAGTAATCAGGATCCATCAAAATATTTCAGCCTTGTAAAATATGTGGAAAGGTTACTATTTCTTTTTTTCCCCAGAACTCTAAAAAGGAAACTAAAATTCAATAGGAACATACACAGTGTGTTTAAAAAGGGAGCCAAATACATTGCTATTCTGACTTGTGGTTTATCAAAGTGAATTCTAGTAAAAGAAGAAAATATCAGCGATTTTAAAGAGTGTTACGAGGTTCCAAATCCATAGTTCCCCCCAAAGTTAATTGTCTTAATTGTTATAAGTGATTTAGAGGTTTTAAACATTAATTAAAGTAAAGTAAAAATGAATAACCCTGTAAGTAATATCCTCCTTGGCTTAATGACATGCAGAATCAATTGTGTACAGCATTTAACATGCATTTTTGGAAAATTGGCTTCCTTTTTAGAGATGGCAGCCAAGACATAGCTGCAAGGCAATCACCATCAATTACCAGGTTACTTCTGTTTTAGTTATAGTATAATTTTCACTGGAAATTAATTATATTGTTGGGGTTTTGGGGTGTTAATTAATCATCCATCTCCTGAGCCGAGCTCAAGTCTGAAATCTATGAGAAAATTGCTAGGAGTAAGATGAACAGGGATCAAAATACTAGAATTATTTGTAAATATAGATTGGGAAATTTACTGGGATCTATGGTCACCACTGGGCTTTCTGCTACCTTTATCCCTAGGCATAGCTGAAGAAGTTGGATCTGCCAAGTAGAATCACTTATCTAGAATTATTGCCTCACAAATGTTGAAGTCTATTAGTGGTGACTGAGAGAAACAGGCATGCAGACCAACATCTAGACAAAATACCTTGATTTCGATCTATGTGTCCTCACCTCAGGGATGCACAATTGGTGGGAGTATGAATAAAAAGAATGAGGTAGCAACTGAGTCATACATGTTTGGTTCCTTCACCAAATCTTAGGACATAAATTTTTACATTAGGGTGAAGGTAGAAAGTTGCAGTGCAGGATGCTTCCATTTATAATACTTTAGGGTCGAACTGGAAGCTCCTTTTAGGGTTGAGTACTGTATGTCCCTTTCTACCTCCCTCTTTCCCATATGTCTGCCCACTCTGCTGCCTAGTAAAATTCAAAACAATTAAGGGAATTTAATTGGATAACAACCAAATGCTACCATCAAAATACACAAATACTAACGTCTATGTTACATCTCGTATTTGGATAGATTTAAATATATTTCTAAAGCTCTTTCATAAATACTGTGTATTAACTACATATTGTATGTGTGGCCGAGATGCGAGTTGACCTTTGAGTTTCAAAGAAAGTTGGCTCAAACTCCTTCCTATGGACAGTGGCAGAGATAGTTCATGTGTGTATATATGATTGTGCAGTTGTGGGAGTGGTAATGGCAGTGATGTCTGCATCATCCTGGTCGTCTTTGGGGCTGAGATCTGGCTTCTGATCAAATAGGACAGTGTCTGAATTATCCTCTAATACCAAGTGTGCTGTCCTCATTCCATGATGTATATGTTGAACACAAACCCTTTCTTCCATTTCCTTCAAAAATGACAAAAAAGAAAAACAAAAATGCTCCCATGAGGCATATTGGCAGATTCAATCTTGGATATTTTCCTGTTTGTGAAGATGGAGATGGTTTCAGTGAAATCACAAAAATAAACCAATATTTGCTATTCTTTTAGGAAGACTTATTATCAACACTATCCTTTCTCTTCTGCTCTCTTCTCTCTTCCCAATGTCCTTCCCCTGAGAAGAAACTCTACCCCTCCTCAAATTATTATTATTTTTTTTTCATGAAGTTTTCTCCAGCTCTTATTCTGAAATTCATCCTAGGACTTCAGAGTCAAAGCCACAGGCCACTGCCTTGTGGTCTTATTCTCCCTCTCCAGTTTCTGCAAGGGTATGAGAGCAGAGGAGCTACGTAAGTATTTATTTCTCCAATGATATAAAGTATGCTCTCAGTAGTTAGCAATAGAGTCTGTTTTGATTTTAAATATTAGTTTTTTCATCTTTATTAATATGTTAATTATCTGTCTTCTATACATTATAAAAGAGATAGTTTTCACTTGCACAATCAGCACTGGCTTTATAATTCAATAAATGTAGCTACAAATCTCTAAAGTCTTCAAGGAATTTGATTGTTTACCAAGTTGCAATTATATTCCTAGCCTGCATTGTGTGATTTCAGTGTATCAAGATGCCTCATTCATAGGACAAAACAAAATTTCCTTAGCCTGCTTTATGATTATTGACACTTCATAACTACAACTAGAATTACTTATTTCACATGGAATTGATTTTCAAATATACATCTCTAACATAAGTAAAGTATCTGATCTTTTTCTAAGAGCAAGTTTTGATTAGGAAATGGGTGAACATACTATAGACACTTTGAATACTTAAAAGGGAATGATGTCATTGAGCAAGAAGTGAACTAATAAAGAAGTTTGGAGTGATAATCCAAATTTCTCCTAACATACTATTTGGCTTTCAACTTAGTAGCATTTCTTGGGTAGATTTAACTCTAGTCCCTTCATTTCTGATAATAGTAGTTTTCAAACATAAATCTGGATTAGGTTTTCAACTCACTTACTTTTGGTAAATATGTTCTTATTATTGCATCTTACAGTTTGATCCAAAATCAATAATTTGGAAGCACATATAGCAAACTACCTAACTGACAGAGTTCCTAAGGAGACTGGCAGACTAATTTGCTAAAGCACATAGCAACAGCCCAGAAAACACTTCCTGTGTCTGAGAATGCCGAAGAGAGGATTCTTTTCTAATCCTATTCAAAACAGAGTGGAAAAATATATATATTTCCTTTTGATTGCAGAAAAAAATGAGTGAATTTATAGCATACTTTAGACCCTCCAGTGAAAGGGCCTGTGAAAATGTCCTCACCATAGGGAACTATGTTAAATAATTTTATTGAAAAAAATCATTGTTCCATAAGGAATGGAAAATTCTGACACTCATAAACAGTAGGCAAATAGGCATTACAAAATTGAGGATCAAATTGCAAAAAGGAAAGTCTCGAGGTGATAGGTTTATGACAGTGCCTATCCACATTTGATTCCATTGCTTAGACAGTGAACATTTCCCCTGCTGGGTCTTTACTTTAAATTAACCTTAGTCTCTAGCAGCAGGAGCAATTATTTGGACCTACATTTGGATACAGGAAAAGGAAAGAGATTCTTCTTTTATGCCTCATTAGGCTACAGAATGAGTAACACAATACAAATGTCCCTGAAAGGATTAATGATACAGCTCAAGATAGCTACGATTTGTTCTAATTGGAAATACGATCATCATTTCCTCTGATCTTCGGATCTGGGGATGAGCAAGGATCACAGCTGAACAGTAAGTAAAGAGGCAACAAGAGAGAGATGAAATCATCCTGAGGTCGGCTATTTCCAGTTCACTCAACACTTCTTTCCAATTTTGCACCTTCCTGGAGGGAGTAGTCATAGGACTGTATGGTGCAGTTCCAGTATTATTGAGTGGTAAACTGTTGTCCTCAAGACTATGAATATATTGTGCATGTTAATACAATCTTGCAGGGGGTCCATATGGAGACGATGAGAGCCTAAGCAGTTGTGTAGACTTTGAGCGAAACTGTTCTTGGCTAATGTGCTCCGATTCCTACAATCCCCATTTGGCAAAAGAACTAGAGGGAAGAATTTATTATTTGAGATAATCCATTATATTTTGTATTTGTGTAGGAAGACTGAACACTGTACTATTACTAATAAAAAATATGATGTTGAGAAGCAATTCTAGTTATCTATTAGATATCAGTTACTTTTATCCCATTGACTTGTTGTACAGCATGGTGCTTAAGAGTACCTCTGAGGGTCAGATTGGTTAGGTTTGAAGCTTGGCTCCTTCACTACCAGCTACATGACTCAGGACAAGTAACTTAACCTCTCTGTACTTCAGCATTTTCATCCAAAAAATGAGGATAGTAATATTCCCTACTTCATAGAGTTATGAGAATAAAATAACTTAATATATGCAAAGTGCTACATTATATGACCTATAGCAGACACTCTGTATAGGCTACTTGTTATTAATCCTCTGCATAGCACATAACAACAGTAAGCCATTTGTTCTGTTTATTTAAATTATTTGCTTTATTGTTTATATGTTATGGTCTATACTAGAATGTAACTTTCATGAGAACTGTGACCTTGCTTGTATTGATCACTACTATATCCCTAGAATTCAGATTAGTATCTGATGGGGAATAGACAGTAATACTTCTTGAATGAATGTGAAAGGTAGAATCATATGAAAGGCAGATGTTCAGCCATTATTGAACTGAAAATTGGTGGCTTCATATGGTCCAAATTAATAGAATGAATACCTTAGACTTGAGAACAGCCAATGTGGGTGCTCAGTATAACTAAGCCACCTAATAGCTATGTGACCTTGAACAAGTTTCTTCATTTGGCTAATTTATAGTTTGGAGATGATATATACCTACCTCCAAGAGTTGTTTTGAGAATAAAATAAATAATGTATGTGGAGGTAACTTGCACATAATAAATAAACATTTTTTTGGAAACAAAGTAAATTCTAACATTAACGTAGCACTATAGAATCTGTAAAATGCATTTGCAAGTTTTATCTCATTTGTTTACTATAACAATAGAAGATGGTACAGATAAAAGAGAGCCTTATTATGCAAGGGTAATTTAATTATTCACTACAAAAAATTCACTTAAAGCTGCAACAAAAATTTCATAGTATATAAGGGAAAAAGGATTCAATTGAGAATTTACCTTTAAAAAGTAAAGGTAATAAAAATAATATATTTTTCATAAATGTAATAATTTTGGTTATAATGACAATAAGACATGTTTACTGAAAATAATGGAGTCCTTTTTTTAAAAAAAAACATGATTTCTGGCAAAACTATAAATGAGAACATAATGCAATGTCCTTTTATGTTATTAACTTTCAAAGAATCCTCAAAGGTCACTTTTGAGAAACATTCAAGGTTTAATCAGCTTTCCCAAAGATTTTTATTGTTATTTTGATACTCAAATCATTTTCTTTAAAATTCCTGCCCTGTCACCAACCTTACCTTTTCTCTCTTCTGTGGTTTTGAGATGCTAACTAGGCCAGATCCTTCCATGTCCGTTGCTTTGTGTGTGACTTTGCACTATTCTCTAGCACTCCTCTCATTCATCGCTTGAGAGTCTGAAACTTTTCTGAGATTTACAGTTTTGCTTGCCAAAGGATTTGCAAGATATTTATAGACTAATGATCCAAGGCATTGATTTGATGGTTAGAGATAAATACAAATCTTAAAAGAGAAGGGATGCAGAGAGCAGACTAATTTCATAAATGAGCAACTCATTAGAGCATTAGAGGATATTTTCATGTTATGATGGCTTTTGATTTCTTGTGCAGTCTCATTATGCTGCAGACTCAGATAATAAAATTGAGATAATGAGGAACCTCTGTATTATTACTATCTTCGTTTTATAGATAATTAAAATGCAGCTCAGAGAAGTTTAGTGACTTAAGGCAACACAGCAAGTAAATACTGTCTCTTAATCCATGCTCTTTATGCACAGAAGATAAATTTGGGATTAAGGGTGAAATTATTTTCTTTTGGTTGCAATTTAAATTTATGCTTTACTGTAATAAGAAAGAGTCTTTTCAAAGGACTCATTACTTTGAATAAATGTTAGGATTTCTGAGTAGTCTCAGGTCGCAGGCTAAAGTCTTTTCTTCTGCACTTGATTTTGATCTCCGTAGGAAATTATTGCAGGTCCTATGTCTGAGAATTCCTTCTCAAGTAGAATGAATGGAATAATGGAATGAGTTTAGAACTAAGAATGAGGATTTATGGGTTCTAGGCTTAGCTCTGATGTTGACAAATTTTCAAAAATCAAGTATAACCTTGGACAAGGAGCTTTCTCAGTTTCAGTTTCCTTAACTCTAAGATAAAGGTTCTGAGCTCATTGTTCACCAAAGCCCTTTGTATGTCAAGATTCCTTATGTCTACCTACTACTTGCACTCCACTACAGACCAGACAGGTGGTCTTATGCTGCTATGCATTTGAACTGTGAGGTCTGGCACAAATGGAGTTTGACTGCAGCTCTATGCTTTCCCTCTCCCTGTAATTTTCCTTTTCCCTTTCTTTAAACCTAAAGTTCTTCAGCAGCCAGTATATTGGTAAGAGTGTGACCTCAAAAGTCAGACATACCTGAGTGCAAACCCCAGCCATATGATTAGAAAATTTGCTGAGTTTTAGGCTTCTTATTTCTACAGTTAGATTATTAGACAAATACTGGATACTACTAAGGATGAAATCTATTAATATATGTGAAATAATTGGTACATAGGAAAAACTTAGTAAACACCAGCTTCCTTGCTTTCCTTCCACCTTCTCCAAACACAAAAGCTGTAAAACATATTTGCTGTAGAGCCACCACACTTCTTTTACCAGGAGAACACAGAGATGCAAATGGTTAAGAAAAAAATAATTAAAATGGATTAAGATATCGCTTTCAAGCAATGCTTACTTAAAAGACCGAATTTTGAAGCTATCAGTTGTATGTGCATTCACTTGGAAGTCCCTGAACAAAGCACTAATATAATCATGTCTAAGTCAGCATCTTCTAGTGACCTGGAACGTCAGGTCATTGCTTGGCTTTCTTGCTAATCTCTGAAAGCTCAGTGTTTTATTGCCAAAAACAATGCAAAGGATCAGCTCTTCCTTTTAAAGATTTTCTTAGTGTTTTACTATCTCATTTCTTTCAGAGAAGCCAAGCTGAGAATTGCCTTAGGTGGACTGAATATATGTCCTGTTGGCTAATGTTCCTGTCTTCTTCTAGAGTTTCTTCTAGAACTCAGTTCTTATTCTATCTATCTATCTATCTATCTATCTATCTGTCTATCTATCTATCTAATCTATCTTCATCAACAACAACATCATCTATCTATTATCTATGTTTTTCATCTATCCTGTGGAAACACTGATATCAAATATATTTTTCTTGATTTGAGACCTGTGTAGAATACTGAGAAATAGGTTTCCAGGGTGAAAAGCGAATCAGTTGCTTTTGTCATTTAATTTATTTATCTTATAAAGTATCTTAATTACATTTTCTTTAATAAGACAAGTCCCTACCATGTGTAGTAGCACATTATTTCTTTTGAAGAGATTCAAACAAAATTCTTCCTATCTTCAAAGCTCAAATTTTAGTTATTCAGAAAATGTCAGTGTGTCTAGCAGAAGGAATCTGAAGCTAGCCTGATCTCTAAGAGTGCCCAGTTTCACTTCACCATCTCTATGGCTGTCATTCTGCGATTCAGAGAGCAACAGAAGAGGGTTCTCTTTGCAGGATGTGGGCAGAAAGCCAGGCAGGAGTTATGCACTGGTGTGCCAGCTGAGTGGTTTAGAAACCTTGTGTTCAAGGTTTCAAATAGTGGTCATTTATAAGTGACCAGAAACCCCAAAGTAGCCAAGACTTGAGGCAGGCATTAAGAATTGAAGAGGCAGATAAATCCCAGGAGAGGAAGTCAAAATGGAAAAGGAGGTAAGTTTTAGATACATTCAGTCAAGACTCAGTGACCAGGATACAGAATCTCAAACTAGTATGAATGGAAAGCTTTTTTAAAATCTAGGTACAGATGACAACAACTTTTGCAATTATTTTCTTTGTTGCTTACATGATCAGGGAATTTAATCCTATTCCACAAACCTACTCTATAATCATGGTACAAAAAAATAGTAATTTTGATAGTGGCTTTTGTTTGTTTTCTATAGCAAATATCAAAGTCCACCTGTAATATTTTAAGTGGTGATTGGAAGATGGCCATTTTTCTAAGTTTTAAAGAGACACATTATTGACACATCTGTGGACTTTTTAGTGTGAATCACAATTTCACTACCATGAGTATGAAAGTCCAGAGAACAAAGACAGTGTTTCCTTCTGTTTTGAATGCTGTGGTCTCTGGCATAAGTTCTGGTTCATGGCAGATTCTCCATATACACTTTTTTCAATTGAGATGCTTAGGTTCAGAATGTTAAGAACAATCCAGATCAAGCCAGCTGTGTTCTGAAACAATGTTGTTTTCCTCAAGCCCTCACTTTCTCTGAGTTGGAAACTTTACTTGATCAATAATGACTTTTCTGAAAGCCGTAATTCCAGAACCCCATAAGTTGACTTTCAAGGCTGCTAGGCACTGCACATCTGTCACTTCTCTTTGACAATCTGCAAGGTGCGACCGCAGCATCTGTAGAGAGTGGATTAATAACGCTGTCCTGCTTTGTGTGAGAATCCCCAAGGTGGAACAGGAGGCTCAACACAGAGTCTGCTGCATTCTCAGCATCCTGGCTGGAATTATTAAACACCTCATTTGAAAACCAAGACACACAAAGAAGAAAATGGAACAAATCTCTGGCTTTCAATTGCATTGCAAATAGGACTGAGTGAGGCTTAAATGTAGAATTCTGCCTAGATTTTTCTGAATCTAAATGGTTCATCTCTTGCAGAAGAGTGGTTGGGTTATTTCAATGTTTGAGACCAGGTAAAACTGTTGAGTATATAGGCTACTTTTTCATACATTCAACCATTTTATTCACTCATTTGGTGTGGACACCCATTATGTGCTGCAGATGAAGCAGAGAAAAGGACAAAACAAATTTCCTGTCCTCATGGAGCTTACATTCTGGTGATAGAGACAGACAATGAATAAATGGACAAATAAATACATAATGCCATCAATGAATAACAATAACTCACAGTAAGATTGATATGGTGGTACCATAATGCCTGACACCAGATATGATGAATGACAGTGACAGATAATGATCAGGGATGGTCTTTCTGAGGAAGGACCCTTTGGGTAGAGAATGAATGAAGTAAGGGTGGGGACCATGTAGAGATAACTAGGGGAAAAGCTCCTGGCAGAAAAAAAAGAGAATATTCAAGGGCTCTGAGATGGGAATGAACTTGGCATTCTGGGAAACAGCAATAAAACTGGTGAGACTGCATATTAATGAATGGGGAGACAGTGATGAGGAATAGAATGAGAGAGTAGAGGCCGGCAGCTTGTGAAAGGCCTGTTTGCTGGGATTTTGGATTTGTTCCAGGTGTGGATGAAAAAGCAATGGAGGATCTAAAAGAGAGGGGGAAATAAGGTCTGATTTACATGTTTAAAAATTACATTGCGTGGCCAGGCGCGGTGGCTCACGCCTGCAATCCCAGCACTTTGGGAGGCCGAGGCGAGTGGATCACCTGAGCTCAGGAGCTCAAGATCAACCTGGCCAACATGGCAAAACCCTGTCTCTACAAAAAATACAATAAATTAGCCGGACGTGGTGGTGCATGCCTGTAATCCCAGCTACTCAGGAGGCTGAGGCAGGAGAATCACTTGAACCTGGGAGGTGGAGGTTGTAGTGAGCCAAGATCACACCATTACATGCCAGCCTGGGTGATACAGCAAGACTCCGTCTCAAAAAAAAAAAAAAATTACACTGTATGACAGGCAGAATAATAGTCCTTCAAAAATGCCCATACCCTAATCTCTGGAACTGTGAATATATCACATTACATGTCAAAGGGGAATGAAAGTTTCAGATGGAAGTAAGGTTGCTAATCAGCTAGTCTTAAAGAGATTGTTTTGGATTTTGCAGGTGCTCCCAATGCAATCACAAAGATCTTTAAAAGTGGAAGAAGGTGGGAGAGGTCAGAGTGATACGAAGAGAACTCAGTCTACCACTGCTGGCTTTGAAGATGGAAGAATGGGGCTATGAGCCCTGGATTGCGGGCAGCCTGCAGAAGCTGGGGCAGAGATTCCACACAGGCACCTCTAGAAAATAATGCAGCCAGCCAATCCTTAGACTTTATCCCAGTGAGAGTCAAGTTGGACTTCTGACCTACAAAAGAGTAAGATGATGAATTTATATTGTTTAAACCACCAAGTTTGTGGCAGTTTGTTACAGGAGCAATAGAATATTAATACACTGTAGCCTCTGTGTTGGGGATGAACTGTACCATCTAAAAGTAAAGGGAGTACAATTAGGTTGTTCCTGTGATTTTAGAATTCAGGGAAAATGGTCTTGACAACAGGGACAACAGTGAAGGTGGTGGGAAGTGGTCGGATTTGGGATACATTTTCAAGCAGACAAAAAATTGTCTTGAATAATTCCCAGAATTTTGGTCTAAGCCATTGAGTTTGAACAACTAGATGAATAGTAGTGCATTTACTGACATGGGAAAGACAGGGGAGCTATGGTTTACAGGAGAAAAGAAAGAATTCTGTTTTAGAAATTAGTTTGAGGTCTTTTTCAGATACCCTAGTGGAGATGTTGATTAGGCAATGGGATAAATGATTCTGAAGCTCAGGAGATGGGTCAGGGCTAGAAATATAAATCTGGGATGGCAAAGTTACAAAATGGGAGAGGCTTTTATCCTAGATATTATGGTGCCACCCTCAAAACCCCACTACTTATACTTGAAATGTTATGTGAGAAGAAAGAATGATTTTGGATTTCTGAAGCACTTATTATTTGCTGTCTTACAGCTAACTAATTCCCCAAACTGTTTAATCACTTTATATTTAACAAAATTTGAATTTCCAAAATTGCTCAAATCCAGAGAACGGTAGTATCTAGCTTATTTTGTTGCAGATTTAGGGACATAGTCATGAATATTTCCTAGTGATGTGTTCTTATCTAAACTTGCTGGGGCAAATTGGGTGACAAAAACAACTGTGGTTTCAGTGGGTGCAGCCTTTATCTGTGGTTGAAAATGGCTCGTCACAATGTCGACATTTGGAACAGCCTGTTGAAGAAACAGAGGGGAGGATGTACCACTTCCCTTTTAGGACATGAATCTGCAGGTGCACATATCTCTTCCAGTCATTTCCTGTGGCTCAAAAATAATATATAGTCCCATTTAAGATTTTTGTTTTTGTTGTTGTTTTGTTTTGTTTTTGTCTGGATGGCCATCTGTGCAGCTGAGATTGTGGGGTTCAGTTACTAATGAACAAAGAGAAAGTAGATATTGGAGACAATAGTAATTCTGTCCCAGTCAGTTCCTTTGGCCACCCTAGTAATCTTATGTATCCTTCTTTTTGCCCCTAGAACACACTCAACCTTCCCCAAGGGTCGCATGCCAGGTACTATATCTAGCTCAAAGCCCCAGATCTGCAGGTGATGTATAGACTTTCACTAGAACCAGGTGTGGCTGCTCATAGTTCAGGGAACTGTAACCTAAAAGACTAGTTATTTGACTTCTCCCCAGTGTAAAACAGCAGAGTAGGAGCTGTATAGTTGCAATTAAAACACACAAACAAAAGTCAAAAAGCCTCCGAGTTAGAAAGAAGAGTCTGAAGAGGCAGTACTCACTTTATAACAGTGATCAAGTGCTGATGTACAGGAATACCAAAGGCTCCTGTACTAGGTCTGCTAGAGCTGCCATAGCAAAATACTACAAACTGCCTGGCTTCAACAACATAAATTAATTTTCTCACAGTTCTGGAAGCTGGAAGTCTACAATCCCGGTGTCAGCAGTTGTGGTTTCCTCTGAGGCCTCTCCTTGGCTTGCAGATGGCCACCTGCTCGCTGTGTCCTCATGTGGTTTTTCCTCTGCGCACAGCCCTAATGTCTCTCCCTCTTCTAATAAGGAGACCAGTCACTTTGGATTAGGGCCTGCCCTAGTGGCCTCATTTTAATCTATCCACCTCTTTAAAGGCCTTATCTCCAAATATAGAGTCCCATTCTGAGATACTAGGGGTTAGGGCTTCCACACAGGAATTTGGCAGAGGGTGAGGAGTACAATTCAGCCCATAACAACTCCTTTCCCTAGCAATGGAGTAAATCCCTTCTTTAGCTCATCTGGCATCCCTGGCTTTATTCTCTGGGCAGAACTTTCTGAATTCATGTCTGTGTCTGCTCTAGGACCCAGCTCATAGTTAAGGGGGCATAAAAGTTAAGGGGGCACAAAAAGACTTGATAATCAAAAAAAATTTAATGATATATTTTAAACAAACAAAATGAATGTAAATGATCTATAAATCTGTGGTGAACAAAATAACACTGTTTAATAAAGATAGGATTGTATGGATGATTTTCCTTTTCATCTCAGGATCTGATATGACTTCCTATGGCACCGCTACAGATCGTGTTAGTATTAAAAATTTTGCTATTTTGTTCATCCATGATGTTTTGCACTGATTCTGATTCTATAAAGCATTGTATTAAAATAGTATTTTGATTACTGACTGTTTTTGCACTACCTTAAATTTTGTACCTGAGGCCAGGGACTCAACTTGCATTACTTTCATCTTGCTCCCTCCTCCTCCAACCCTTCGCTTTTTCCTCTGGAAATTTTTTCTTGTCCATCCCCCCTTCACTACATCTGAAGTGGACACAGGAGAGAATATCCTTCCCAGTGACCAAACCACGTTATGTTGGTTTTAGGTGTGTAGCAACACCAGGCTTTGGTCAGCTAGGTTTCCCATTCATTCAGCATATAATTTCCTAAAAAACCTAGTCAATTTCTGGTCTGTTTCTTTCTTTTTTTTTTTTTTTATTATACTTTAAGTTTTAGGGTACATGTGCACAACGTGCAGGTTTGTTACATATGTATACATGTGCCATGTTGGTGTGCTGCACCCAGTAACTCGTCATTTAACATTAGGTATATCTCCAAATGCTATCCCTCCCCACTACCCCCACCCAACAACAGGCCCCGGTGTGTGATGTTCCCCTTCCTGTGTCCACGTGTTCTCATTGTTCAATTCCCACCTATGAGTGAGAACATGCAGTGTTTGGTTTTTTGTCCTTGTGATAGTTTGCTGAGAATGTTGGTTTCCAGTTTCATCCATGTCCCTACAAAGGACATGAACTCATTATTTTTTATGGCTGCATAGTATTCCATGGTGTATATGTGCCACATTTTCTTAATCCAGTCTATCATTGTTGGACACTTGGGTTGGTTCCAAGTCTTTGCTATTGTGAATAGTGCCGCAATAAACATATGTGTGCATGTGTCTTTATAGCAGCATGATTTATAATCCTTTGGGTATATACCCAGTAATGGGATGGCTGGGTCAAATGGTATTTCTAGTTCTAGATCCCTGAGGAGTCACCACACTGACTTCCACAATGGTTGAACTAGTTTACATTCCCACCAACAGTGTAAAAGTGTTCCTATTTCTCCACATCCTCTCCAGCACTTGTTGTTTCCTGACTTTTTAATGATCATCATTCTACCTGGTGTAAGATGGTCTCTTTGTGGTTTTGATTTGCATTTCTCTGATGACCAGTGATGATGGCATTTTTTCATGTGTCTTTTGACTGCATAAATGTCTTCTTTTGAGAAGTGTCTGTTCATATCCTTCACCCACTTGTTGATGGGGTTGTTTGTTTTTTTTCTTGTAAATTTGTTTGAGTTCATTGTAGATTCTGGATATTAGCCCTTTGTCAGATAAGTAGATTGCAAAAATTTTCTCCCATTCTGTAGGTTGCCTGTTCACTCTGATGGTAGTTTCTTTTGCTGTACAGAAGCTCTTTAGTTTAATTAGATGCCATTTGTCAATTTTGGCTTTTGTTGCCATTGCTTTTGGTGTTTTAGACATGAAGTCCTTGCCCATGCCTATGTCCTGAATGGTATTGCCTAGGTTTTCTTTTACGGTTTTTATGGTTTTAGGTCTAAGATTTAAGTCTTTAATCCATCTTGAATTAATTTTTGTGTAAGGTATAAGGAAGGGATCCAGTTTCAGCTTTCTACATATGGCTAGCAAGTTTTCCCAGCACCATTTATTAAATAGGGAATCCTTTCCCCATTTCTTGTTTTTGTCAGGTTTGTCAAAGATCAGATAGTTGTAGATATGCAGCATTATTTCTGAGGGCTCTGTTCTGTTCCATTCCATTGGTATATATCTCTGTTTTGGTACCAGTACCATGCTGTTTTGGTTACTGTAGCCTTGTAGTATAGTTTGAAGTCAGGTAGCATGATACCTCCAGCTTTGTTCTTTTGGCTTAGGATTTACTTGGCAATGTGGGCTCTTTTTTGGTTCCATATGAAGTTTAAAGTAGTTTTTTCCAATTCTGTGAAGAAAGTCATTGGTAGCTTGATGGGGATGGCATTGAATCTATAAATTACCTTGGGCAGTATGGCCATTTTCACGATATTGATTCTTCCTATCCACGAGCATGGAATGTTCTTCCATTTGTTTGTGTCCTCTTTTATTTCATTGAGCAGTGGTTTGTAGTTCTCCTTGAAGAGGTCCTTCACATCCCTTGTAAGTGGGGTTCCTAGGTATTTTATTCTCTTTGAAGCAGTTGTGAATGGGAGTTCTCTTATGATTTGGCTCTCTGTTTGTCTGTTATTGGTGTATAGGAATGCTTGTGATTTTTGCACATTGATTTCATATCCTGAGACTTTGCTGAAGTTGCTAATCAGCTTAAGGAGATTTTGGGCTGAGATGATGGGGTTTCCTAAATATACAATCATGTCATCTGCAAATAGGGACAATTTGACTTCCTCTTTTCCTAATTGAATACCGTTTATTTCCTTCTCCTGCCTGATTGCCCTGGCCAGAACTTCCAACATTATGTTGAATAGGAGTGGTAAGAGAGGGCATCCCTGTCTTGTGCCAGTTTTCAAAGGGAATGCTTCCAGTTTTTGTCCATTCAGTATGATATTGGCTGTGGGTTTGTCATAGATAGCTTTTATTATTTTGAGATACATCCCATCAATACCTAATTTATTGAGAGTTTTTAGCATGAAGCATTGTTGAATTTTGTCAAAGGCCTTTTCTGCATCTATTGAGATAACCATGTGGTTTTTGTCATTGGTTCTGTTTATATGCTGGATTACGTTTATCGATTTGCGTATATTGAACCAGCCTCACATCCCAGGGATGAAGCCCGCTTGATCATGGTGGATAAGCTTTTTGATGTGCTGATGGATTCAGTTTCCGAGTATTTTATTGAGAATTTTTGCATCGATGTTCATCAGGGATATTGGTCTAAAATTCTCTTTTTGTTGTGTCTCTGCCTGGCTTTGGTATCGGGATGATGCTGGCCTCGTAAAATGAGTTAGGGAGGATTCCCTCTTTTTCTATTGATTGGAATAGTTTCAGAAGGAATGGTACCAGCTCCTCCTTGTACCTCTGGTAGAATTTGGCTGTGAACTTGGTTCCATTCTTCCAGTTGATCGAGTCGGCTACTGAGGCTTGTGCATTCGTCACGTAGTTCTTGTGCTGTGGTTTTCAGCTCCATCATGTCCTTTAAGGACTTCTCTGCATTGGTTATTCTAGTTAGCCATTCATCTAATCTTTTTTCAAGGTTTTTAACTTCTTTGCCATTGGTTTGAACTTCCTCCTTTAGCTCCGAGTAGATTGATCGTCTGAAGCCTTCTTCTCTCAACTCGTCAAAGTCATTCTCCGTCCAGCTTTGTTCCATTGCTGGTGAGGAGCTGCATTCCTTTGGAGGAGGAGAGGCGCTCAGATTTTTAGAATTTTCAGTTTTTCTGCCCTGTTTTTTTCCCCATCTTTGTGGTTTTATCTACCTTTGGTCTTTGATGATGGTGACGTACAGATGGGGTTTTGGTGTGGATGTCCTTTCTGTTTGTTAGTTTTCCTTCTAACAGTCAGGACCCTTAGCTGCAGGTCTGTTGGAGTTTGCTGGAGGTCCACTCCAGACCTGTTTGCCTGGGTATCAGCAGTGGTGGCTGCAGAACAGTGGATATTGGTGAACAGCAAATGTTGCTGCCTGATCGTTCCTCTGGAAGTTTTGTCTCAGAGGAGTACCCAGCCGTGTGAGGTGTCAGTCTGCCCCTACTGGGGGGTGCCTCCCAGTTAGGCTACTGGGGGGTCAGGGACCCACTTGAGGAGGCAGTCTGTCCATTCTCAGATCTCCAGCTGCATGCTGGGAGAACCACTACTCTCTTCAAAGCTGTCAGACAGGGGCATTTAAGTCTGCAGAGGTTTCTGCTGCCTTTTGTTTGGCTATGCCCTGCCCCAGAGGTGGAGTCTACAGAGGCAGGCAGGCCTCCTTGAGCTGTGGTGGGCTCCACTCAGTTCCAGCTTCCCAGGCTGCTTTGTTTACCTACTCAAGCCTCCGCAATGGCGGGCGCCACTCCCCCAGCCTTGCTGCCGCCTTGCAGTTTGATCTCAGACTGCTGTGCTAGCAATGAGTGAGGCTCCGTGGGCGTAGGACCCTCCGAGCCAGGCGTGGGATACAATCTCCTGGTGTGCCGTTTGCTAAGACCACTGGAAAAGTGCAGTATTAAGGTGGGAGTGACCTGATTTTCCAGGTGCTGTCTGTTACCTCTTTCCTTGGCTAGGCAAGGGCATTCCTTGACCCCTTGCACTTCCCGGGTGAGGCGATGCCTCACCCTGCTTTGGCTCATGCTTGGTGCACTGCACCCACTGTCTTGCACCCACTGTCTGACAATCCCCAGTGAGATGAACCTGGTACCTCAGTTGGAAATGCAGAAATCATTCGTCTTCTGCGTCACTCACACTGGGAGCTATAGACTGGAGCTGTTCCTATTCGGCCATCTTGGCTCCACCCCCCGGGTCTATTTATTTCTAATCAATTCTATAGGACAGTAATAACAGCCAATGGTCTCATCCAACATACCTCTTAAGCATGAAGATTTCAATCTATTTTCGGTCCTCTATGTGCTGCCCATTCTCAATCTGACTTTTTTTTTTTGAAGGTAGCTGAGGTCATTAAAAAATATATTTGGTTGGGAAGAAAAGATCCTAAGTCCAGTTTGTGCCTCTGTGCCCCCTCCCATTGTCTGGCAGAGAGAACTTACTGGGAAGTGCTTGAGCAAAGCCTAGCCTATAGGCTTGTCTCCAGCTAAGGCTGCTTCTTCGGAGTCACCAGAATAGAGAAGCCATTAACTTTCCAACCCTGTAGGGTTCCAACTATCTAGACCCTTCCCCACCCCACCCCCCCCCAAAAAAAAGAAAAAGAAAAAAATGACCCAAATGGAACTGAATTACCTTCTACCTCTACTTTTAAATAGGCTGACTTTAGCTAGGATTCAGCCCGTTCTTACAGGACTTTGCTAAAAATGACAAGAAGCAGTCAACAATATCCTGCACTGATATTCTGAAAAAAATCAACGCATTCCTAAAGTGGGTTCAGTTAGCATGGGTTCTGATGTCCAAGTTATCACAGGAGACATTGTGATAGGCAGAATAATAAGCACCCCTCACCCTTACCCAAAGATGTCCATGCCCTAATCCCCAGAACCTGTGACTACATACCTTACATGGCAAAGAGGAATTAAGATAGCAGATGCAATTAAGGTTAATAATCATCTGACTTTAAGATCAAATAGTTGACTTTATCCTGGACTGTCTAAGTGGATTCTTCAAAACCACATTGGTTCTTAAAGGTAGATGAAAGAGGCAAAAGAAGAGGTCAAAGCGATTTGTAGTGAGAAGGATTTGACCTGCTGTTGCTGGCTTTGCAGATGGAGGAAGGGGCCATGATCCAAAAAATGCAGGCATCCCTAGAAGCTGGAAAAAGGAAGGAAATAGGTCTCTCCTAGAGCCTGCTGAACAGAGCATAGCCATGATAACAACTTAATTTTTAGTTCTGTAAGAGCCATTTAGGGTTTCTGACCTCCAGAACTGTAAGATAAAAAAATTTCTGTTGGTTTAAACCATTAAATTTGTGGTAGTCTTATAGAGCAGCCATAGGAAATGAAAGAAGCGTTTTTACCAAATGTTTTGCAATTCAATTTTTAGCCTGAATTTTTTTTGTCCTT
Source organism: Homo sapiens (assembly GCF_000001405.40). NCBI lineage: Eukaryota > Metazoa > Chordata > Mammalia > Primates > Hominidae > Homo > Homo sapiens. The sequence continues at coordinate 117,433,105 of NC_000008.11, read as the reverse complement.
GCCACTCACTGCCTAACCATTAAGCCAATGTCATATATGTTCAATTGTGTTATGCCATTATCCCACTATAAGTACCAGATTCTATTCATTAGTACATTGTTTCATACCTCTGACAAGACCCAAAATAACTCTGGCTTAAGCAAGATAGAACATGAATCTATTTTACGTAAGTCTGAAGAGAAGCAGACCAGGGCTGTTCCAAGGGTTGGTAATTCAGACCTCTCTCTTGTTCCTCTGACATCCCTAGGTATTGCTTCCATCCACATGGCTGAAGAAGATTCGTCATCATATTTTAGTTACTGGAATGAAGAATTGGGAAGTGAAGGGCACACACCTTCCCTTTAGGGCCATAACTTGAAAGTTGCACACATCACATTTGCATTCCATTGGCCTGAAATTAGTCACATGCCATATTTAGCTGTAAGGGAAGATACCATATGTAATTTCTAGTTTGGTGGTCATATGCTGAACTCAAGTTTGAAGACCCTATTACTAAAAGAGGGAGAATGGAAATATCAATTCCTGCTACATACAGGAGGTGACCATTTCATTGTTCAAAGAGAAAACTTATTTCAATTTGCACCCCAAGAGAGGAAAAACACTTATCCCAGCAAAGTGACTTTAAAATTCTTCCCATGGACACTGGAGTGGAATGGGGTCATCACAGAATCAGCATTCCTGCAAGGATGTTTTAGGTATAGAAAGAATGTTCAAGTAAGAGACTGAGGGTTGCAGTGGTGCATTGGCAAATGAGTGTTGAAATCAAGCAAAACTCTCACGTAAGGCTAAGGTTTAGTGGAAACCTTTCACACCAAAAGTGGATATCCCAGAGTAGATTTGGGGATAGGAGAACAACATGGAAAATATGAAGAAAGCTCCAGATAAGATCGGCCTAGAGGCTCTTTTCTTAGCCATTATAGTCAAGAGTTACCATCAATCCTCCTGGTGAGGAGAAACCAGAGATTGTTGCCAGAATCTATTGTGTATTGTTTTTAGATTGATGTTTAATTGTAGAGATTAAATTGTAGATTTTTTTTTTCATTTTCAACAAATCCTGTGGTCATCTTCATGGAAATCTTGAGTTAAATACTCACGTGGGTGTTGTCACACATAGATACTTGGAGGAATTAGATCATGCAGTTAGAGACCAGATTCAGGAGCCCTGAGTGGGAAAACCCAGGTAGGCATCTCTATTCTGGAATTCTAACAAGATGTGTTACTTGGGGAGCTTAACCTTTCTAAATCACTAAACAGTATTGAAGTGTCCTGGCAGTTTAGGTCACTGTGCTTTTTCACCCACTGACGTTCTGACATTTGTGCTAAATATCATTGGTTATTTGCTCACTATCCTATGAAATATCAACAATTCAAAAACATCTCAATGTCTGAAAACTTCGAACTTTAGTGATTCTCTTGGCTGATGTCCTTATGCTTTAGCTGAGGTAGGAAACTGGTACTCAGAGAATAAATGAGTTCACATGCTAAATGGTTGTTATTGACAGAGTCACATTTGGAGTTTCAGCCCTGATTGCTACTCCACTATTCTGCATGTTATGCTTTTCTGTTTGATTTTCCCCTTATTTCCATTTTTTAATCACCTAAATAATATGTTTATTATTTTTTAAGTATTACATTACAGATGAAGCACTGTATCTTTACTATATCCACTACCAATAATTTGCACTACTAATTTTAGTTCTTTACTCCTGTCATCATGAATAATCCCTTATGAGTTGAGTGTCCATGCCCTTTAATATCCATGTTTGTGTGTACTTTTCATAGAACACATATAGTATTGTAGGTTTTTCTTTACTGGGTAAATGGGATCATACTATACATACTCTTCTGCAATTTGCTTTTACTCTACATATTTTTATGATGTTTACATATTGATACACAGATCCAAATCTTTCCTATCAGTTAATGTATGATATTCCATAATCCAAATAGACCACATCTTATTCCTCTATTTTATTTAGTCATTTCTCTTTTGATACACATTTCATTTGCTTTCAGTATTCACTGTTAAAGCTAATTACATTTATGCATTCAACATTCAGTATTTTTTTTAATCACTCCAAAAAGAAAAAAACACAAACCAGGGAAGCCTGAAAGGTCATAGCCTGTCACTTGGAATTATGGCCTGTGGAAGATAAAGATTTAGATTTCAATTATTTAATTTTACATTAAACATGTTAGGAGTCCTAGAGTCATAGATTAATAGAATTAAAATAAATTAAAAGAAATATCAGCAATCCCCAAGTTTATCTTTTTTCTTTCAAGGAATTGATGTGAAGAATTAAATGATTTCATATCCAAATTACAAAATGACAATTGATGGTTTGTGCTATCTATCTCTGTTACACGGACCAACTTCCTTGCCATCTCTCATGTTAGAATTCCTTAAGCCATCCTTAGCTTCTTCCTGCCCCCAATCTGTCCTCCTTTTTAATTTGTGGTACTCCTGAGAAATCTTCAGAGACCCATATATGTTCTACATTTCTGTCATCCACCTTGGTCCACTCAAAACCACTGCTCTATGATATAAACCATTAGTCTATAACATAGGCTCTATAATGGTAAAAATCAACTTCCCTTTCACTTGCCCATGACAGATAAGACTACTCTACAATGGCACTGTTTTCTCTTCAAATGTTGCCTCAGAATTATCAAAATAATAATAGATAATTATTATCAATAATAATATTGATCTTTCTCTACACTTCCCTATAAAAATTTATATTAACAAGTGAGATGGGACCTATTTGTCATCATCAATATGAAACTGGCTGTTTCTAGGCCACACACTAATGGTTCCCTGCAGATGGTGGTTTGTATACATCACTTAGTTGTTACAGTTGCTTCATTTTTATCATCTGGCATCTCCTGCCTCATGTACTCTACCCATCCCCAGGACCCACTTCAATTCCTTCCTTTCCCTAAAGCCTGCCCCAACTATTCTTGTCCATAGTGCCCTCTTTTCTCTTCATTCAGGTGGTACTTACCTTACATTGCAGTATAAATAACTCACGCCTCTTGCTTTTCTCCCAGATGCTCCAAAGATAAAGGCCATGACCTTCACTTTCCCTCTCTTCTGCACATCTACCATAGTACTGAGAACCTAATGTAATCACGGGTCTCACTCTGTGAGTGAGCTACTATTTGGTGGAAAAAGCACTAAGAAAGTATAAAGCCTTATATATGGAATGATTGCAAAAAACTGAGATGTTAATTTGTCAACAATTAGTACCAGAATCTGGCCAATAACTTGGTATTTTGAAAAATGTACTATTTTAAATAATTTATGTTCTTCAAAATAAATGTAATATTTGTTCATTATAGACTTTCTGGAAAATACAAAAAGAAAATAAAAATGATTTCTAATTCCTGCACTCAGAGATAACTTCTAAGGGTATTTAGTTTTTTCATTTCCCCCCTCAAGTTATTCATCTCTGTTTATTTGCTTATTTATAGGATAATCCAGAAGAATCAGAAAATGTGGTTTTATATTTTGCTTTTTGCAATTAATATCACAATTTTCTTCATTTAATCTTCATTAAAAAGGGCTTTTTAATGGCTACATAATATTCTATTACTTGAGCCGTTTCACAATTTCTCCAATCACCTATAATGAAACATTTAGGTATTTCCAGTTTTTCACTGCTACAAATAAATGAGCTAAAAATTATTGAGTATTTACTATGGGCCAAGCATTCTGCTGAGTCCTTTATCTTCAGTGACAGTTACATATCTGTAACAATCCTTTGGAGATGATGCTTTGATTATACCCATTTTTCAGATGAACAAGCTTACTGTAGAGATTGGGTCCCTCATCCAAGCTCATGGCTGTTAAGTGATAAAGCCAGAATTCTCACACAGAAGATTTGGCTCAGGAATCTGTGCTAATTAGTATGCATACAATCATGAGAAATTCTTCTAAAACAGAATTCTTTGTCCACATCTCTAACACTTTCCAATGAAAAAAATAGTAACAGTGTAATTACTGAATCAAAGGATGTTAAAAAACCTTCTATTATCAAATTGCTATTTTCCAAAAAATTGTGTTGATTTATACTCAACATATGTAATATAGGGGCCTGCTCCCTTTCCCTGAGAGAGACATCCTTAGTTAGTCATACATGTCAACTTATAACCTTGTATTCTAACTACAGTACTTTAACATTGATCACATTCCATTTGCTTATTTATATTTTAGTATGTTTTGCTATACTATGAAATCTTTGGGAGCAAGACTGAGTCTCATATGTCTTTTAATTCACAATGCCTACCACTGTGCCAGATATACAGTAAACTCTCAGCATGACCTCTGTTTTTTGTTTTGTTTTGTTTTAATTTAATTTAACTTAATTTTAAGTTCTGGGATACACGTGTAGGATGTGCAGGTTTGTTACATAGGTAAATGTGTGCCATGGTGGTTTGCTGCACCTATCAACCCATCACCTAGGTATTAAGCCCAGCATGCATTAGCTATTTATCCTGATGTTCTCCCCCACATCCCCCGACTCTGAAAGGCCCCAGTGTGTGTTGTTCCCCTCCCCTGTGTCATGTGAAACACATGACATAATTGTTCAGCTCCCACTTATAAGTGAGAACATTTGGTGGTTGGTTTTCTGTTCCTGTGTTAGTTTTGCTGAGGATAATGGCTTTCAGCTTCATCCATGACCCTGCAAAGGACATGATCTTGTTCCTTTTTATGGCTGCATAGTATTCCATGGTGTATATGTACCACATTTTCTTTATCCAGCCTATCATTGATGGGCATTTGGGTTGGTTCTATGTCTTTCCTATTGTGAATAGTGCTGCTATGAACATTTGTGTGCATGTATCTTTATAATAGAATGATTTATATTTATTTGGGTATATACCCAGTAATGGGATTGCTCAGTCAAATGGTATTTCTGGTTCTAGGTCTCTGATGAATTGCCATAATATCTTACATTCCCACCAACAGTGTAAAAGCATTTCTCTTTTTCCACAGCCTTGCCAGCATCTGTTGTGTCTTGACTTTTTTTTTTTTTTAAGTATTTATTGATCATTCTTGGGTGTTTCTTGGAGAGGGGGATGTGGCAGGGTCATAGGATAATAGTGGAGAGAAGGTCACCAGATAAACACATGAACAAAGGTCTCTGGTTTTCCTAGGCAGAGGACCCTGCGGCCTTCCGCAGTGTTTGTGTCCCTGGGTACTTGAGATTAGGGAGTGGTGATGACTCTTAATGAGCATGCTGCCTTCAAGCATCTGTTTAACAAAGCACATCTTGCACCGCCCTTAATGCATTTAACCCTGAGTTGACATAGCACATGTTTCAGAGAGCACGGGGTTGGGGATAAGGTTATAGATTAACAGCATCCCAAGGCAGAAGAATTTTTCTTAGTACAGAACAAAATGGAGTCTCCTATGTCTACTTCTTTCTACACAGACACAGTAACAATCTGATCTCTCTTTCTTTTCCCCACATTTCCCCCTTTTCTTTTTGACAAAATGGCCATCGTCATCATGGCCTGTTCTCGATAGTCACTGTCTCTTCGGAGCTGTTGGGTACACCTGCAGAAAGGCTGTCACTTCACACTTGGAAGATTGCACAGTAGCCAGGCAGAGGCGCTCCTCACTTCCCAGACAGGGTGGCAGCCGGGCAGAGGCACTCCTCACTTCCCAGATGGGGCGGCCGGGCCGAGGCGCTCCTCACCTCCCAGACAGGGTGGCTGGGCAGAGACGCTCCTCACCTCCCAGACGGGGCGGCCGGGCAGAGGCGCTCCTCGCTTCCTAGACGGGGCGGCCGGGCAGAGGTGCTCCTTGCTTCCTAGACGGGGCAGCCGGGCAGAGGCGCTCCTCACTTCCCAGACGAAGGGCGGCTGGGCAGAGGTGCTCCTCACCTCCCAGACGGGGTGGCGGCCGGGCAGAGGCGCTCCTCACCTCCCAGACGGGGCGGCCGGGCAGAGGCGCTCCTCGCCTCCCAGACGGGGCGGCCGGGCAGAGGCGCTCCTCGCTTCCCAGACGGGGCGGCTGGGCAGAGGCGCTCCTCACTTCCTAAATGGGGCAGCCAGGCAGAGACGCTCCTCACATCCCAGATGGGGTGGTGGCTGGGCAGAGGCACTCCTCACTTCCCAGATGGGGTGGTGGCCGGGCAGAGGCGCTCCTCACTTCCTAGATGGGGTGGCGGCCAGGCAGAGACGCTCCTCACCTCCCAGACGGGGTGGCAGCCGGGCAGAGGTGCTCCTCACCTCCCAGACGGGGTGGCCGGGCAGAGGCGCTCCTCACTTCCCAGTCAGGGTGGCCAGGCATAAGCACTCCTCACATCCCAGAGGGGGCAGCCAGGCAGAGGTGCTCCTCACATCCCAGATGATGGGTGGCTGGGCAGAGATGCTCCTCACTTCCTAGAAGGGGTGGTGGCCGGGCATAAGTGCTCCTCACTTCCCAGACAGGGCGGCCGGGCAGAGGGGCTCCTCACATCCCAGATGATGGGCGGCTAGGCAGAGATGCTGCTCACTTCCTAGATGGGGTGGCGGCCGGGCAGAGGCTGTAATCTTAGCACTTTGGGAGGCCAAGGCAGGCGGCTGGGAGGTGGAGGTTGTAGCGAGCTGAGATCACGCCACTGCACTCCAGCCTGGGCAACATTGAGCATTGAGTAAGTGAGACTCCGTCTGCAATCCCAGCACCTCGGGATGCCGAGGCGGGCAGATCACTGGAGGTCAGAAGCTGGAGACCAGCCCAGTCAACACGGCGAAAACCCATCTCCACCAAAAATACAAAAACCAGTCAGGCATGGCGGCGCCTGCCTGCAATCCCAGGCACTCGACAGGAGAATCACGGGAGCCCGAGGCAGGGACGTTGCAGCGAGCTGAGATCACGGCAGTACAGTCCAGCCTTGGCAACAGAGGGAGACCAAAGAAGGGAGAGGGAGAGGGAGAGGTTGAGGGTGTCTTGACTTTTTATAGTCGCCATTCTGACTGATGTGAGATGGTATCTCATTGTGGTTTTGATTTGCATTTCTCTAATGATTAGTGGTGTTGAGCTGTTTTTCATATGTTTCTTGGCCACATAAATGTCTTCTTTTAAAAATGTTTTTTCATATCCTTTGCCCACTTTTTAATGGGGTTGTTTGTTTTTTCTTGTAAATTTGTTTAAGTTTCTTGTAGATTCTGGATATTAGACCTTTGTCAGATGGATTGATTGCAAAAATTTTTACCCATTCTATAGATTGTCTGATTACTTTGATGATAGTTTCTTTTGCTGTGCAGAAGCTCCTTAGTTTAGTTAGATCCCATTTGTCAATTTTTGCTTTTGTTGCAATTGCTTTTGATGTTTTCATCATGAAATCTTTGCCCATGCCTATGTGCTGAATGGTATTGCCTAAATTTTCTTTCAGGGTTTGTATAGTTTTGTGTTTTACATTTAAGTCTTTAATCCATCTTGAGTTAATTTTTGTATAAGGTGTAAGGAAGTGGTCCAGTTTCAGTTTTCTGCATATGGCTAGCCAGTTTTCCAAGCACTATTTATTAAATAGGGAATCCTTTCCCGTGCTTGTTTTTGTCAGGTTTGTCGAAGACCAGATGGTTGTAGATGTGCGGTCTTATTTCTGGGGTCTCTATTCTGTTCCATTGGTCTATGTGTCTATTTTTGTATCAGTACCACGCTGTTTTGGTTATGGTAGCCTTGTAGTATGGCTTGAAGTCAGGTAGCATGATGCCTCCAGCTTTGTTCTTTTTGCTTAGGATTGTCTTGGCTATACAGAGTCCTTTTTTCTTCTATATGAATTTTAAAGTAGTTTTTTTCCAATTTTGTGAAGAATGTTGATATGGTTTGGCTCTGTCCCAACCCAAATCTCATCTTGAATTGTAACTCTCATAATTCCCACATGCTGTGGGAGGAATCTGGTGTGAGGTGATTGCATTATGGGGACAGGTCTTTCCTGCACAGTTCTTGTGATAGTGAATAAGTCTCATGAGATCTGATGGTTTTAAAAATGGGAGTTTCCCTGCACAAGCTCTCCTTTTGTCTGCCACCATATGAGACATGCCTTTCACCTTCCATCATGATTGTGAGGCCTCCCCAGCCACATGGACTGTGAGTCCAATAAATCTCTTTCTTTTGTAAATTGCCCAGCCTTGGGTATGTCTTTTTTAGCAGCATGAAAACAAACAAATACAGTAAATTGATACTAGTAGAGTGGGACATAGCTGAAAAGATACACAAAAATGTGGAAGCAACTTTGGAATTGAGTAACAGGAAGAGATCGCAACAGTTTGGAAGCCTCAGAGGAAGACAGGAAAATATGGGAATGTTTGGAACTCCCTAGGGACTTGTTGAATGGCTTTCACCAAAATGCTGATAACGATATGAAGAATAAAAATACAGGCTGAAGTGGTCTCAGATGGAAATGAAGAACTTGTTGGGAACTGGAGCAAAGATGGCTCTTGTTATGTTTTAGCAAAGAGACTAGCAGCATTTTTCCCTGCCCTAGAGATTTATGGAACCTTGAACTTGAGAGAGATGATTTGGGGTATCTGGTAGAAGAAATTTCTAAGCAGTTAAGCATTCATGAGGTGACTTGGGTGCTGTTAAAGGCATTTAGTTTTATAATGGAAGCAGAGCATAAAAGTTCAGAAAATTTGCAGCCTGACAATGCGATAGAAAAGACAATCCCATTTTGTGAGGAGAAATTCAAACCAGCTGCAGAAATTTGCATAAGTAATGAGGATTCAAATGTCAATCCCTAAGACAATGGGGAAAATGTCTCCAGGACATGTCAGAGGTCTTCACAGCAGTCCCTCCCATCACAGGCCAGGAGGCATAGGAGGAAAAAATAATTTGGGGGCCAGGCCCAGGGTCCCCATGCTGTTTGCAGCCTAGAGACTTGGTGCCCTGCATCCCAGCCACTCCACCTGTGACTGAAAGAGACCAACATAGAGCTCAGCCCATGGCTTCAGAGGGTGCAAGCCCCAAGCCTTGGCAGTTTCCACATAGAGTTGAGCCTGCAAGTACACTGAAGTCAAGAACTGGGGTTTAGGAACCTCTGCCTAGATTTAAGAGGATGTATGGGAATGCCTGGAAGTCCAGGAAGAAGTTTGCTGCAGGGGCAGGACCCTCATGGAGTACCTCTGCTAGGGCAGTGTGGAAGGGAAATGTGGAGTTGGAGCCCCCACACCAGTCCCTACTGGAACACCACCTAGTGGAGCTGTGAGAAGAAGGCCACTGTCCTCCAGATCCCAGAATGGTAGATCTACTGACAGCTTGCACTGTGCACCTGGAAAAGCTGCAGATAGCACCAACCCATGAAAGCAGCCAGGGAGGAGACTATACCCTGAAAAGGCACAGTGGCAGAGCTGCCAAACACCATAGGAACCCACCTCTTGGATCAGCATGATTCAGATGTAAGACATGGAGTCAAAGGAGATCATTTTGGGACTTTAAGATTTGACTACCCTACTGGGTTTCAGACTTGCATTGGGCTTGTAGCCCCTTGTTTTGGCCAATTTCTCCCACTTGGAATGGCTGCATTTACCCAATGCCTGTGTCCCCATTGTATCTAGGAAGTAACCAACTTGCTTTTGATTTTACAGGCTCATAGGTGGAAGGGACTTGCCTTGTCTCAGATAAGACTTTGGACTGTGAACTTTTGAGTTAATGCTGAAATGAGTTAAGACCTTTGGGGACTGTTGAGAAGGCATGATTGATTTGGAAATGTGAGGATATGAGATTTGGGAGGGGCCAGGAGCTAAATGATATGCTTTGGCTGTGTCCTCACCCAAATCTCATCTTGAATTGTAACTCCAACAATTCCTGTGTCTTTATCAGCTGTGTGAAAATAAACTAATACAAATGTCAATGGTAGTTTAATGGGAATAGCATTGAATCTATAAATTATTTTGGCAGTATGGCCATTTTAATGATATTTATACTTTCTATCAATGAGCATGGAATATTTTTGCATTTGTTGTGTCACCTCTGATTTCTTTGAGCAGTGGTTTATAGTTCTTCTTGTAGAGATCTTTTACTTCTCTTGTTAGCTGTATTCCTAGGCATTTTATTCTCTTTGTAGCAATTGTGAATGAAAGTTCATTCATGAATTGGCTCTCTGCTTGTCTATTGTTGGTGTATAGGAATGCTTGTGATTTTTGCACATTGATTTTTTATCCTGAGACTTCGCTAAAGTTGCTTATCAGCTTAAGAAGCTTTTGAGCTGACACAATGAGGTTTTCTAGATACAGGATCATGGCATCTGCAAACAGACAGTTTGACCTCATGTCTTCCTTTTTGAATACCCTTTATTTCTTTATCTTGCCTGATTGCCCTGCCCAGAACTTCGAAAACTATGTTGAATGGGAGTAGTGAGAGAGGCCATCCTTGTCTTATGCCAGTTCTTAAGGGGAATGCTTCCAGGTTTTTTGCCCATTCAGTAGAATATTGGCTATGCATTTGTCATAAATGGCTCTTATTATTTTAAGATATGTTCCATCAATACCTAGTTTGTTGAGAGTTTTTAACATGAAGGGATGTTGAATTTTATTATAGGCCTTTTCTGTGTCTATTGAGATAATCATGCAGTTTTTGTCTTTAGTTCTGTTTATATAAGATACATTTATTCATTTGTATATGTTGAACCAGTCTTGCATCCCGGGGATGAAGCCAGCGTGATTGTAGTGGATAAGCTTTTTGATGTGCTGCAGGATTCCATTTGCCAGTATTTTATTGAGGATTTTTGCATCGATGTTCATCAGGGATATTGGCCTGAAGTTTTCTTTTTTGTTGTTGTATCTCTGCCAGGTTTTGGTATCAGGATGATGCTGGCCTCATAAAATGAGTTAGGGAGAAGTTTCTCTTTTTCAATTGTTTGGAATAGTTTCAGAAGAAATGGTACCAGCTCCTCTTTTTACCTCTGGCAGAATTTGGCTGTGAATCCATCTGGTCCTGGGCTTTTTTTGGTTGGTAGGGTATTAATTAGTGCTTCAATTTCAGAACTTGTTATTGGTCTATTCAGGGATTCAATTTCTTCCTGATTTAGTCTTGGGAGGGTGTATGTGTCCAGGAATTTATCCATTTCTTCTAGATTTTCTAGTTTGTTTGCACAGAGGTGTTTATAGTATTCTCTGATGGTTGTTTGTATTTCTGTGGGGGTAAGTGGTGATATCCCTTTTATCATTTTTTATTGTGTCTATTTGATTCTTTTTTCTTTTCTTCTTTATTAGTCTAGCTAGTTGTCTGTTCTATTTTAAAAAAAAAAAACCAGCTCTTGGATTCATTGACTTTTTTTAAAGGTTTTTTTCTGTCTTTCTTCCATTCCACTCTGATCTTGGTTATTTCTTGTCTTCTGCTAGCTTTGGGCTTTGTTTGCTCTTGGTTCTCTCATTCTTTTAGTTGTGATGTTAGGGTGTCAATTTGAGATCTTTCTAGCTTTCTAATGTGGGCATTTAGTGCTATAAATTATCCTCTTAACACAGGTTTAGCTGCATCCCAGAGATTCTGTTGGTTGTCTCCTTTTTTTCTCATTGGTTTCAAAGAACTTCTTGATTTCTCCCTTAATTTCATTAATTACCTAGAAGTCATTCAGGAGCAGGTTGTTCAATTTTTTTTCATGTAGTTGTGTGGTTTTGAGTGAGTTTCTTAATCTTGAGTTCTAATTCAATTGCACTGTGGTCTGAGTGACTGTTGTGATTTCAGTTCTTTTGCATTTGCTGAGGAGTGATTTATTTCCAAATATGTGATCAGTTTTAGAGTAAGTGTGATGTAGTGCTGAGAAAAATGTATATTCTGTTGTTTTGGGGTGGAGAGTTCTGTAGATATCTATCAGGTTCACTTGACCCAGATCTGAGTTCAAGTACGGAATATCTTTGTTAATTTTCTGTCTTGCTGATCTGTTTAATATTGACAGTGGGGTGTTAAAGTCTCCCACAATTATTGTGTAGGAGTTTAAGTCTCTTTGCCGGCCTCTAAGAACTTGTTTTATGAATCTGGGTGCTCTTGTATTGGGAGCATATATATTTAGGATAGTTAGCTCTTCTTGTTGAATTAACCCCTTTACCATTATGTAATGCCCTTCTTTGTCTTTTTTGATCTTTATTGGTTTAAAGTCCGTTTTGTCAGAGACTAGGATTGCAACCCCTGATTTTTTTGTTTTCCATTTGGTAAATTTTTCTGCATCCTTTTATTTTGAGTTTAGGTGTGTCTTTACATGTAAGATTGGTCTCTTGAATACAACATGCTGATGGATCTTGACTCTTTATCCAGCTTGTCATTCTTTGTCTTTTAATTGGGGCATTTAGCCCATTTACATTTAAGGTTAATATTGTTATGTGTGAATTTGATCCCGTCATCATGATGCTAGCTAGTTATTTTGCAGACTTGTTGATGTAGTTGCTTCATAGTATCATTGGTCTTTGTACTTCAGTGTGTTTCTGCATTGTCTGGTAATGGATTTTCCTTTCCATATTTAGTGTTTCCTTCAGGAGCTTTTGCAAGGCAGACCTGGTGGTGATAAATTCCCTCAGCATTTGCTTGTCTGAGAAGGGTTTTTTTATCCTTCACTTTTGAGGCTTAGTTTGGCCAGCTATAAAATTCTGGTTTGGAAATCCTTTTCTTTAAGAATGTTGAATATTGGCCCCCAATATCTTCTAGCTTGTAGGGTTTCTGCTGAGCAGTCTGTTGTTAGTCTTATGGGATTCCCTTTGTAGGTGGCATGGCCTTTCTCTCTGGCCACCCTTAACATTTTTTTCTCATTTCAACGTTGGAGAATCTGATGATGATATGTCTTGGGGTTGTTCTTCTCATGAAGTATGTTACTGGGGTTCTCTGGATTTCCTGAATTTTAATCTTGGCCTCTCTTGTTAGGTTGGGAAAGTTCTCCTGGATGATATCCTGAAGTATGTTTTCCAGCTTGGTTCCATTCTCCCTGTCTCTTTCAGGTGCCCAAATCAGTTGTAGGTTTGGTCTTTTTACATAGTGCCATAGTTCTCGGAGGTTTTGTTCATTCCTTTTCATTCTTTTTTCTCTAATGTTGTCTGCCTGTCTTATTTGAACAAGATAGTCTTCAAGCACAGAAATCCTTTCCTCTGCTTGGTCAATTCAACTATTGATACTTGTGTTTGCATTGTGAAGTTCTCGTGTTGTGTTTTTCAGCTCCATCAGATCATTTATGTTCGTCTCTGAACTGGTTATTCTGGTTAACAGCTCGTGTAATGTTTTATCATGGTTCTTAACTTCTTTGTGATGAGTTAGAACATATTCCTTTAGCTTACTGAAGTTTGTTATTACCCACCTTCGGAATCCTACTTCTGTCAATTCATACATCTCAGCCTCCACTTAGTTCTGTGCCCTTTCTGGAGAGGTGTTGCGATCATTTGAAGGAGGATAGGCACTCTGGCTTTTTGAGTTTTCAGCACTTTTTCATTGATTCTTTCTCACCTTTGTGAATTTATCTAGCTTCAATCTTTGAGGCTGCTGAACTTCAGGTGGGGTTTTTGTGGGAATGGTTTTGTTGATGCTGTTGTTGTTATATTCTATTTGTTTGCTTTTAACAGTCAGGTCCCTCTTCTGTACTGCTGCTGTGGTTTGCTGGGGATCCACTCCAGACTCTATTTGCCTGGGCCTTTCCCACACCTGGAGGTGTCACCAGTGGAGGGTGCAGAATAGCAAAGGTAGCTGTCTGCTCATTCCTCTGGTATCTCTGTCCCAGAGGGACACTGACCTGCTGTCTGCAGGAACATTCCTGTATAAGGTGTCTTATGACCCCTGTTGGGGGGTCTCATGTAGTCAGAAGGCATGGGATCTGGGACCCATTTAACAAAGCACTCTGGCTGCCCCTTGGCAGAGAAGGTGTGCTGCACTGGGGGGTGTGCTGTACTGGGGGAAATCCCACTTGTCTGGACTGCCCGGATTCCTCAGAGCCACAGGGGAAATGTTAAGTCTGCTGATCCATGGAGACCATGGCTGCTCCTCCCCCGAGGGGCTCAGTCCCAGGAAGATCAGAGTTCTGTCTCTAAATCCCTGGCTAGAGTTCCTGAAATTTCTGCAGGGAGGCCCCACCCAGTGAGGAGGGATGGGTCAGGATCCAGCCTAAAGAGGCAGTCTGGCCATGATCTGCCATAGCTGCTGTGCTGTACTGTGGGGAATTACTCCTGAGTCTGAACCATCCAGTCTCAGTCTCTCCAACACTGGCAGGGGAAATATGGCAGACTGAAGCTGCAGTGATGTCTGCTGCCCCTCCTTCAGAAGCTCAGTCATCTTAGGGAGCAGCAGTGATGATTGCCACCTCTCTCCCACCCCAGGAGCTCAGCTGTCTTAGGGAGCAGGCAGCTGCAGTGATGACGGTTGCCCTTCCCCCTGGGAATTCGGTAGTCTTAGACAGTCTCCAGCCATGTGGCCATGAGAATCTGCACAGCTCTGTGCTTGGGACCCAAGGCCCTGGTGGCATGGCCTCACAAGGGGGATCTTCTGATCCAAGGGTTACACAGATCCCTTGAAAAAGTGTGGTTTCCTGGGTGGGGTAGCACAATCACTCACCACTTCCCTTGGCTGGGGGTGGGAGCTCCCCTTGCCTTGTGTGACTCCCAGGTGGGCCGATGCACCATCTTGCTTTTCCTCACTCTCCATGGGTTGCATCAACTCATAGTCAGTCCCAGTGAGAGAACCTGGATACCTCAGTTACCAGTGCAGAATTCACTCCTCATTTTCCTTCTTCTTGGTGGGAGCCTCTGAGTGCAGCTGTTTCTAGTCAACCATCTTGGCCCCTCTTCAGCCTCCTTTTTTTTAAAAGCACCATGACTTACAGTTTCAGGTGCTAGTTTGCTGTACACAATTACATGTCACTTCGCTTTCCTCTCCATTCCCCACATCTCCATAATATGGAGCTTTAGCTCTAAACTTTCTGGTCCCCTACTGACCCTCTGTGTGCCCTCCCTACCTTGTTCTTTCTCACAACCTAATTCCCAGCTCTCCAAATCCATATCAAGTACTATCTTCACCCTGAAGTCTTTGCTTTTACCATCTTCCCCTCCAGTGCTAAACTGTCTCCTTCCTAACCCTCCTAAAGGATTGACTGTTTTAATATACATACTATGACAGTAGTTTTTTTTACTATTTTACCATATAATTTCTTTAATGAATCTTTAATAATCTTAAGGCCATTTATTCCTTATACTTATTTCTTATTCCCTGCTCACCCTAAACTTATTTTAAGACTGGGCACTTGCCCCCGTTCTCCAAGCCTTATGGAGGTGGTTCACTAGAAGCACTCAGAACTTCCTCAAGCATTCAGGGATGGGCCAACGAGTTATCGTGTTTCCAGGCATCTGTCTGGGTGGGGCTGAGTGGCTTCAGCCATAATGATATTTTGAAAGAAAGTTCAGGGATCATTGATTTTTCTCGTATCATCCTACAAAAAGAACTGTTTGGTTTCTGTTCCCCACCTCCATCACAGTTCTAATTGGAGGCTTTCAGAATCCTATGGGTGAGTTCAGAACATTTTAGCATGGGAATGGTTTAGGGAGCTTGTAATTAACTGGTTTTCCTGGCAGTCTACAGGACTCTTGATCACTACTATCTTTGATCAACATAAATTACTGAATTTCCCATGGGTGAAAAAAATACTGCCAGATAATGAAAGCTTGTTTCAGTTGCATGCCCCAGTCCTCCAGTGAGGCTGATGCATTTGGTTATCCCATCAGTTTCCATTGCAGTTCATCTAAATGTTATTTTTAGCATAGTTTGCATTTTAGATGGCCATTTTTTTTTCCTCTTGGTATCAACATGGATTTTTAAAATAAGAATCCTTTGGCATATTAATATGCCCTAATAAATCAAGTATGTTTTAAAACCACACACAGAAATATTCCATTTGCCATTAAATGTGTTGATACAGTTGATCTTTTATCATATTTTTCTATCTTTTTCTGTAATATTTGTCTATTTTTCTGTTGATCTTTTATAATTTTCTATTTTTGCCTTTTGAGGTCTGCACTTAGGGAAATTATTTAATGTAGAAATTGTGAACTCTGGAGGTTGGTAGGGACAAAGATCAGCAGAAGTGGGCTAGAGGATTTTAAAAGAGAGAGGAGAAGGAAAGGAGAATCTGAAGCCTGGGTACTTCTGGTTTATGGCAATCTTAGCATAGCAGAAATGAAATAATTGAGGGCAGCACTGGTAGTGAGAGGCTGAGTACAAGTGGAGCCAAAAATGAAAAAGAAGCATTTGAGACACTAGAAAAATTCAGAAGAGCTGATGGGAAAAACAGATGATGGTGAAACAATTGACAAAGATGAAGGTCAACTCCAGAATGAAAAGTCAGTAACAGATGAAGAACAAAAATACAGAATTTAAAGAAGAGGCTATACACCTCTTCAACCTCTAAACTCTACCCCTGCTTTCAATAGTGCTTTGTAATTTAACAATAGCTTTCACAGCCAGAAAACTATTAGGCAGAGAGGAAGTGAGTCAGGAACAAAATTGTTTACTAACCAGATAAATGCTACAATTCCAATAGCTACTAAGGCTCTTTAATGAAAAGATTGTTTCCAGATTTTGGCAGAAAATACTTGGCAAAAACAACAAGAGTTCTTTGGGCTTGGCGTGAAGTTCTGTCTATTATATCTTGCCAGGCCAATTTCACACTTAGAAAGAGAGGCAAGAAACTACTGCTTACCCAGGAAGGGGTGTTCACATTGGAAACGGAGAGAGAGTAATATAAGAGTCAAGATTTAAGGACTCATTTTTACTTGTTGTTATTTAATTCACTCATGCAACAAATACTCATTGAACACCTAATAAGTGCCAAACATTATTGTAGATTCTAAGAATAAAAAGCTTATTGATATTTAAGGAATTGCAGTGGGTTATTCCAGGAGTTGGCAGATTATGGCCTGTGGACCAAATCTACCCACTGCCTGTTTTTGTAGTTTATTGACCCATTTATTATGTATTGTCTGTCTCCTTTTGTGTTAAAATGGCAGAGTTGAGTAGATGGAATGAGGATGGCATAGCCTGGGAAAGTAAAAATATTTACTATTATAGTATATATTATATAACTGTCCACTGTTAGTTATGACTTTAACATACAAATGTAAAAAACAGGTATTTGAAATTATGTATTATTCTGTTATTTAATATTCTGTTACATAAATGCTATTATTTCAGCATTTAAACAAAACAGTAATAGCATAAAGTACCAGTGGCAATTAGTAGTAATTAATAGTTGAACTAATTAAATAAATAATGTGTGGGAAAATATAAAAAATTTTATTATTTGATCCTTTACAAAAATAGTTTTCTGACCACTAAATACATACAATGGTCATAATGGAGTTATATTGGCATTTAATAAATTCTAGGAGGAGAAGCCTGGGTGTTAGTGAAAGCTTCAAAGAAGAGTTGATGTGTGACACTTGATTTCAGTTTTGAAAGATTTAAAGGAATTTCTGGGCATGAAGAAATGAGAGTGGTGCTTTGGGAATGGCAGTGACAAAGATAGCAGCGTGAAATATTATGTGAATTTTAGGAATCTGCTCATTGTTTGTACTGGCTAAAGCTTAGCTTTGGGTGGGTGACTAAGAATGAAGGGTTGAAGCTAGACCAGCTGATAGAACACAGATCATACTTGAAAGGGACTTGTACTGAGAACTTCATATGCAGACACAGCATGGCAAGATGCCCAAAATTAATAGCACATAATATCTGCCTTCATGAAGCTCAACCTCCAAAAGGAAGAATGCGACATTAAATAATGCACATGACAGAATGAGATACATATTATAGAAAAGTCCAAACAAAATATAGTGGGGATTTTTTAGTAAGAAGAAATCATATCTGATTGGAGGATCACAAAATTAATTTATATTGATGTCAATAATATATCTTGAAGGATGGCTGTAATTTTTTTGAGGGTAGTGGTGGGGCACATGGGCACCAGGCAAGAAAACAGCATAGAGACCAGGCACTAAAAGGAATGCTAAGAAATTTGGGGTATGTCATAGTCCAGTTTCCCTAGACAACAGAATCGGAGAAAAAAAAACTGTGTGCTAATACTTCACGGGGTGGTGCAATATCAGGGAAGCAGAAAAGAGGGAGAAAAGGGCATGAGGCAGAGATGGAAGGTGTGCACATATGAGGGGGGCATGTCCCAGGCTGGCCCAAGTTGCGTAACAAGGACAGCTGGCTCCTGCATCTGGTGTGGCATTTTCCTGGAGCATCTATGAATTTCCATGTCTCAGAACAGTTTACATGGTAGGGAAGGATGAAGAAGGGAGATAAATCTACTCAATGCCTTTCACTTTTGTTCTACTGACCAATTCATTCCTTGGACATTAACTCCCCTGCACTTCTGAGTTGTGTCACCCCAGCCTCTTGAGTCGTTGCTGGGAAAGTAAGAGCCTCCATGCCTTCAGTCTGGCCAGGGAGCATGCATGCCTATCTCTCTTTGCCAGCCAGTGCCATAAGCAGGGCTCTTCAGTCTGTAGTGGTAGTAGTAGTGACAGTGACCTGCCTCCATGACCTAGGGGAAAGTGCAAACCTTCGCTAGGACTATGCCAGCCAGAAAGCAAGCAAGGTGTTACATATGAGGCCAACAGAGGGAGCAATACATTGCTTGTCTGGAATATAGAGTAGGGACCTAATGGGAGAGAAGACAGGAGAATTTGGAATGTCTTATGGGAGACATTGTTTTTGGATGGGGATCATGTAATATATTAACAAATAAGAAACAGCTAAAGGTTTTCTAGAAGATGACATGATCAAAAGTGTTATTTTGTGGGGGTTAATATGAAAGTGGTACATAAAGGGGATTTATAGAGTATAGAAATTGGAAGAAGGACTATTTGTGAGTTACAAAGAGTCTTAGCAAAAAGGATCAAACTGCTTGTTTCTATACCTTTAGAATGGGCCTTTGAACTCTTTAAAGAGGCCCCTCTCAGCTTTCCATATGAATTATCTTCCTTTGTAAAGGAGGTTGAATAGATATATATATCTTGCTTTAGGAGACAAAATGATCCTCAGTAGTGTTAATTTCTAGGCAACATGTGGATTTTACATGCTTATACATTGATGTGTTTTCATTTTGAAGATCACAGTAAATAGACACTCATTATTTAGACTATTCATGTATAGATAAATAAACACAATTCTTATCTCTTGATCTAGAGCCTGAAGAGGCACAGGCTCAAACACATCTTCCATCCATGATGGGATTTTAAACTACACAGGTGGGTGAGAGAGAAGGAAGCAATTCTGCAATGGAGCATAAATGGACTCTGTACTTTCTTCTTCCTGTCATGGCCTCACCTCTGTGTGAGGGCCCCAAAGAAAGCATCAGTCAGGCCATCAACAGTAGTCAGGGTGTACTGGATGCCAAGCTTTGCACTAGGCACAGGGGAGAGGAAGGCAGAGTTGGTAGGAGACTTTGTCTTGGGAAAAAATGTGATGTAGTTATTGTTCAAGGTCACAGCCACTGGCTTTGACCATTCATAATGGCAACACCAATGATATGTGGGGTCAGATTCTTTCTTTGTTGAGGCCAACACTTCCTTTAGAAAGGAAGATGGTAAAGTACAGTAGTTACAACCATGGGCTCTGGATACAGAATGCCTGAATTCAAATCCTGGTTCCATCCTTAATAGCTAGCATATCTCTGTTTCTTTATATTTAAGTCAAAACTATGATAGCTGTATCCTAAGAGAGTTGCTGAGAGGATGAAATGAAATAATATATATAACTGCTTGGCATAATTATTGTTAATACTTATTACTATTACAAGACAATAATCTCTTCTTTATAATTTTGAAATCCCCAAACTATGGAAAACCCAAAGTTGTTTTGTAACTCATTTGGTGACAAAACCTCACCTGAGGTTATTTAGACCTTTTATGTATCACACATAGTATGAATGTTATTGTTGTCTTAATTGCAAGCATTATGAATTTTATATGTTTTACTGTAGAAATTTGAATGTGTTTAATTATAGGGTTTTATTCTAGGCTCTGATGGAATAGTTTTATATCATTCAGTCCATGTACCGTATTCCTAGTTGATATAGTTTTGCTCTGTGTCCCCACCCAAATCTTATCTCTAATTGTAATCCCCATGTGTTGAGAGAGGGACTTGGAGGAAGGTAATTAGATTTTGGGGGTGGTTTCTCCAATGCGGTTCTCATGATAGCAAGTGAGTTCTCAAGAGAGATGTTTAAAAGTCTGGCACTTTCTCCTTCACTGGCTCTCTCTCTCCTGATGCCACGTAAGATGTGCCTTGCTTCCCCTTTCCCTTCTGCCATGATTGTAAGTTTCCTGAGGCCTCTCAAGCCATGTGTAACTGTGAGTCAATTAAAGCTTTTTTGTTTATAAATTACCCAGTCTCAGGTAGTATCTTTATAGCAGTGTGAAAATGGACTAATATACTAGTCAAAAAGCCCCAAATTTCCAAATTCTGTGAAATACAATTGCCCAAGAATTTCAGGTAAGAGATTGTGTACCTGTGTTAGTTAGAGGTGTGAAATGACAATATAGGTATTAACACTGATTTCTTTTATCCAGCCTACAATAAAAACACTTTAAAAATTCTTAAATTCTTAGGAAACTTTGAATAAACACAATCCAGTGTGTGAATTTTTGAAAAAATTTGATTCTATACATTTTTAACTAAAAGAAAAATTCTAAAAATCTCCCCCCCATTTTGTTTCAGTTTCAGCTCACTGATGTAACAATGGGAACAGTTTGGCATGTATCCTTTTATAACACAAAATATGTTTTAAAAACTTTTAGAAGATGAAAAGAATGTCTTTATTAAAAAGGTTTTATTTTTAAAATGCACTGTTTTAAAAGCGAGATATACTATCCTGAATCACAAATTTTTTTCTTATCCACAAAAGCTTTTCTTCACTTTGAGAACTGATTATATTGTTAACATTACATATTGTACATTACATGTGATATTAAGGTAATATTTTAAATTTGTGTTTAACCTTGAGGAAATATTTATTTCTCAACTTTTATTTTAGATTCAGGGGGTATTTGTGCAGGTATGCTACCTGGGTATATTGAGCGATACTGAAGTTTGGGTTATGAATGATCCTGTCACCTGGGTACTGAGTGTAGTACACCATAGGTAATTTTACAGCCCTTTTCCCTCTTCCTCTCTCCACTCTCTAGGGGTCCCCAGTTTCTGTTGTTCCCATCTTTATGTCCATGAGTACCCAATGTTTAGCTCCCACTTATAAGTGAGAACATGCAGTATTTGGTTTCCTGTTTCTTCATTAATTCACTTAAAATAATGGCCTCTAGTTACATCTATGTTGCTGTTAAGGACATGATTTCATTCTTTTTTATGGCTGTGTAGTATTCCATAATGTATATGTACCACACTTTCTTCATCCAATCCACTATTGATGAGAACCTAGGTTGATTCTATGTCTTTGCTGTTGTGAATAGTGCTGCAATGAACATAGCCTGTGTCTTTTTGGTAGAATGATTTGTTTTCTTTTGGATATATATCCAGTAATGGGACTCTTCAGTCAAATGGTAGTTCTGTTTTAAATTCTTTGAGATATCTCTAAACTACTTTCCACAGAGACTGAACTAATTTACATTCCCACCGATGGTGTATAAGCTTTCCCTTTTCTGTACAGCCTTGCTATCATCTATTGTTTTTTGACTTTTTAATAATGCCATTATGACCAGTATGAGATGATCACTTTGTGGTTTTGCATTTCTCTGATGATAATGATGCAGAGCATTTTTTTTCTGGTTTGTTGGCTACTTGTATGTCTTCTTTTGAGAAGTGTCTCTTCATGTCCTTTGGCCATTTTTTAATGCGGTTGTTCATTTTGTGTTTGTTTAATTGTTTAAGTTTTTTATAGATTCTGGAGGTTAGACTTTTCATCAGGAAATATTTTAAAGGATGTTTATCAAGATAAACTACTTTTGGAAAATGATTTGGACTCAAACATGGGAGACTAGTAATTTAATTATAAACTCTTTAAAAACACTACATTGCATTTGAGAAAACCTCATTAAAAGTTTACCCATAAAAGCTGTGTGATTTTTATCCTAATGGGATGTATTTTAGTATAAATGTTAATGACATGTCTTAAATCCATATAAATGGAGAGCTGAAAGCTTTCTTTGAAATAGACCTTCAAAACATGTCATTTTAGTTACCTAACTTATGATTATTCTAAAGAAAGAGGCAAGGAATACTGCTGAGAAAAATCAAGCCTCTGAAAACTTGGTGATCTACTTTTGGATTACTGATCTTTGCTGCTTTATCTACCTCAAACCTAGGTGAAAGTCTGATTCTGCTTTTGTCCATACACACTGAGTGCCAAATGTGTGTATTTCCAAGCCGTGTCAAATTAGATGTGGGAGGATTTTCATTCCAGAATGCTTACTTTATGTTTCAGCTTCCCTCCCTAACCCTGCCCCAAGGCTTCTGGTTTCTGAAATAAAATATCTAATTGCTTTTTAGAAGTTTTACCTTTCATTTTATAAAACCTCACAGCTTAAAAAAATGTGTCTAAATTTTACTTTGAAATGAAGTGGAACACCCTTTGATTATTTTCTAAAAATTTTCCCTTGGCCAAACTCTCTATAATCCTAGAGTTACTCCTTGATCATACATCAACCATATCTCAAAGGTGTCTATAAGAGATTCCTTATGGCTAGATAAAAATAAGGGGATATTATGAGGGGAGAGATTATAAGAGGACTACATCATTAGAAATGTAATTGTCACCCTTTAAAATCATCTTTATGGTGCTGTTTAGAGGTTAACTAAAGGACATAAATTAACAAACCTGTACAACATGAAAATTACTGATGGAATATATTGGGGTTTTAGGCAACCTAATAGAGTATATTATCGTGTTTCTTGCCTGAGTTCTGATTTCACTGAGAAAGACAAAAATTTAAGCAGACAAACATAAAGATTCCTACTTCATTATTGATGGAATTACTGGAAATTGAGGCTTAGGCCCTGTGAGAAAACAATGGGCTTCCTAATATGTAGCCACATTAATACAGACTTATTCACTCAATGTCAAGTAGCACTGGTCAACCACTGATTTTCCACAACAAAAGGACAAGGTTGCTACTGTGAAGCTCTTTGTATGACCAAGAACAAAGTAGAGTATATTTTCCTAAAATCACATAGATCCAAAGAAGAAAGGCAAAGGGAAGGGACTCAGTCAAACATGACCAGTTTTTGTTCCTAAATTTGCTATTCAGATACTTTAATCCTCCTCCCATTAGGAAAAATTAGTGAGGATGCAGAGGAAGCCAAGAATGTTACTCTAATAGAAACATTAAGAGTAAAGAAGGTCCCATTTAATAATGTATAGTCCTAATAAAACAATAGAAAGGGTATGTTTAACATTTGCATTGGCATTCCTGCCTCTGCTCTCTCCATCCAAAACGCATGTAGATAACCTACAATCAGGCATTTATCTTCTATATAAAGTTGAAGGTCGTTCTCTGAACAAACTGCACCTATTGTCAGGATATATTAAATCCAGGTGTCACAAGGTAAACTTTTACAGGCACAGTAATGTAGACTACTTGTAGTTTAGATTACTTATATTTAGATCTCAAATTTCAGCAGTACAATCCTAGCTTGCAGTCTATACACAATATATTTTACTTCATCAGGGAACCATGGTGGAATCACAGAACTTTAGCAAAATCTGGCTTCAGGGCTCAGAGTGCAAGCTTTCAGCAGGGTTCTTCAAAAAGATACATGTGCTTAGTGGGTGAGGAGCGCACAACTTTCTCAGCTGTCAGATTATATCATACTCTCCCTGTCTGATCAGGCAGTAATGAACAATGGCACCAAGGAGTCTGGTTTCTGCTTTTTATCAGGAAACAGCTTTTCCTGCTTTGGCATCAAAACCATATCAACAAAAGCCCAAACCAGAACACACAGCTCAGTGGAAGATGGATACGCCCATGTTTTCAAGGTAATACCAGCATTTTACCTGGCTGAACCACCTCTGGCACAATTCACATATTAAATATAAGCCTTTCACTATGGAAGACGTTCACTCTATAGTAGCATGGAAATCTATCCTCCAAGGATTGCATGCCATTTGTTTCAGACAATATTCTTTTGTGGTACTTAATACACAAGGTAAAAGTGAGGGAAGACACACAGGAAAGAGGACATGAACAAATTTAGTAAGTTTAAAATATTAGCAAAGCTAATGTGTCAAGTTTAACTGAAAATCACAAGTAGCATGTCTGAGAGCAATGAGAAATCCTGAAGAAATACAATGATCAGAGAAGAAACTATTCTTCCTCAAGCTAGTTTTATTGCTCATTCAGATGGAGTGTATATAGAAAATAACACACAATTACACATGACAGGTCAGTCATTATGAGAGCACTGGTATACATCTCAATGCCATTGTTTTCTATTCTGTTTGATACAGAACATATATTTCCTATATATTAACTCACTATTTGGTTGAGTAAATAAAATTTTCATTCTCTTAATTAGGTAAAAATTATTCTGATATAGTAGTATCTTGAGCATATTGTAGCTTCTTAGTAGGTAACTTTCCAAATCTTGACTGCCAGAAATACTATAATCTTCTTCAGCTTCCCAATTGCATTTCCTGGAAACAAGTGAGATAACAGATTTATATCATCTAATGCCTGGTATATACTATGCCCTCCATAAACAAGAGCAGCCAGGCCCCATTTGTGAATCAATGCTCATCTCAGATCCTGAGACACTCCTGATGAGAGCAAGAAGTATGCTGGAAGCCTCACCCTCTCTACCCCCATCCAGTGGCCCTTGGAACTAAGTCTCATGTCTCAGACCCCAAGTCCAGTGTCTGAGCTATGATTGATGGGATGCCACATGCCCTCTGAGCTACCTTAATGCCAACCTGGCTCAGGACCCCATGTACCAGGAATGAGCATCTGTGGAGCCCTAAACAACAGCCTTTTTCCTTCCACTTATATATGGGTCCCAGCCAAGGGTAAGAACTTCTTTGTTTTTATTTTGACCTTCATAGTTTCTGCTTAATGTCCCTGATTAGACACCAAGTCAAGCTTAGGGTATTGCCGTGAATGCCTGGCTCTTACAAGGTTTCTGTTCCAAAGCTGAATTCTGCTCCCCTATATTTCTACCCAATTGTGAGAAATCCACATGGACAAACCTAGTGTCTATTGCTCTTTGCCTCTTCCAGATATCATTCACCACTGGGATCTTCATCCCTGTGTGCCACAGTTCAGATAGACACTGGCAATTGCCTGAATCACCTCAGGTCTTGAGGCTTTTTGGAGTTTCTGTGTCCGAGATGCCCCCGCTCGTGTCCTCCTACATTATGGTGACACTGATGCTACTGAAATGTTTTCTCACCTCTCTACAAAAGATGTCTTAGTGTCCCAACTTGCATCTTACCTCACCTTTTCTATGACAACACTGATTTTCCAGACTAGGCTGCAAATGGACTGATCTCTAAGTACAAACTATGGGATTAGAGTAGAAAGAAAGAGGGTCATGAGCTGCATCACTCAAAGATGTTTGTAAGTTGAATCCCAGTCCCTCAAACCCAAACCAGCTGAGGAAGTGATTTTTCTTTTGTTTTTGGTTCTCAAGAATTGCAACCCCTTCAATATTTTATTCATTAGATTTATTTTCCTTATTTTTTTTCTGAGCTCAGAACTTCTGTGCAAGATAGAATAAGAAAACTGCAAAACCCCTTCAGGGCACAAATCAGGAATTGTTTCATTTGCTTTTTTTTTATTTTTATGAAGTCCAGGATATAGGTCTTGATGAAGCCACATCAGCTCTTTTTCTCTTTTCTGTTTTTCTTTTAAACAGAACAAACTGCCAGCAGGATTCCTGTTTCTGAGGGTAGGAATTGCTTGTACGCATTTCCCATAAGGATTCTAACAGGAGGTTTCTCTCTGCTAAGGCAAAGGGCTCGTTGTATTGCCAATTTTGGGCATGTAGCCAGAATAAGTCTGAGATCCCTTATGCCCACCAAGACACCCTTCCCTGTATCTGTACAGTCTGATTTGCTTGAGAAACATAGTTCATTTCTGTAATTATCTCAGAATGGAGAAGTTTAAGTCTGTGTAATTACAGTGTTCATGCATATTGAGGATTCTCTCAAGTTTGGATGTCAACAGGGTGCCCAGGAAAAGGCTGACTGGTGAATCCAAGTTTTGAGACCACAAGCAGGGTGAAATGTAGGAGGCCCCATAATGGCCTTCTCAAGCCCAGTTCCATATTGATCAGTGCAGCTGTGAGAGGCTGGGAAGAGCAGCAGCAGCCGTCTTTCCTAGGCTAATTTCCTTTGAACAAACATATGAACAAGGAGGCTTTTTAGGTGGTATCATGGTTAAAACAGAGACAACCAGACTAAAGATGTCTTTATCTATGGCATACAATGCATGAATAATCATAATTGTGATAATAACCTTTTATTATACTAAATGTATTATAGCATTTAGTATTATAGCATATAGTATATTAGCATTTAATATACTAAATGTTGTGTATACATTGCATCAGCAGTATTTTTTAAGTGTTTTCTAGTTGCCACACATTCTTCTAGATACTAGGGATTCAGTATGAATAGCTAAAACAAACATGGCATTTTCTTCTGGTATAAAAACAAATATATTTGGCTACATATGAAAGCAATGTTAACAGTGATCCCATTTTCAGTTGTGAAGAGCAGAGATATACCAGCCATCAGTTTAAAGCATTTATCTCCTCCTTGAGGACAAAGTGTTGTCCCCAAGCAGATGGCTTAGCTGAGCCTTTAATAGGTCTTCCCCCATCATTATATTGGTCTGGTTGCTTCTGAGTGATATGGTAAGATTTCATGGGCAGTGGTCCACTATTATAACTTCTATACTGTAAAATGCATCCCTTTAATGGACAGTGCTGAGCGGAATCCCATGTCCATAAATCAGGCATGCAGAAAGCCCTTGGGTGATGGTCCTGAGAGACATACAGCAGGCAGGGAAGGTTAAGACATATCTGGAATAAGTGTCAGTTTATTTAAGGGTGAACTGATAACCCCTCTAAAATGAAAGAGGTGTGATGTAATCAAGTTGCTACAAAGTGATGGAAGATCTCTTTGGGCGTTAGTGCTATATAAAGGGACATAGTGTTGGTCTTTTGCTGGCAGTTTGGACATTGAACAGTATCAAAAGATAGTCTAGCCTTGATCAGAGGGACCCCAAACTTAGAGCCCATGCATAGCCTTCACCTCTGTCACCATGGCTACTCAGTTCATGGCTCTATTGCATAGTCACAAGAGTGGCTAAGGGTAGAGGCTTGCTGACAACCAGTGGATGCATCATCTTGTCCACCCAGTTAAGTGCTGCCTCTGCAATGGATGGTCTGTGGTGGACATTATTAACATTAGATAAAAAGATCAACATGGATTTTGACCACTTCCATGGGTACATCTACATACTTCTTTCCCAGCTCCCCTTGTCTCTGATCTAATCTTTCTCTTTCCTAGCCGATGACCAAGCATCCATGCCTTTTAGGAGTCCTCAAAGATCTGTGTCTGTCGTTATTTTGAGGTACTTCTCCATTCCTGCAAAGGGAATGATCCAGTGTACTGCTCATACTTCCAGTGTAGAGGATTCACTCTCACTACTGTCCTTTAGTGCCAAGTCTAGATGGGGCTGTATTGATGTAGCAGTCCATTTTCAGCTCAAATCAGCATAGCAGGAGGTAAAAAACAACATATTGTGGACCAGCTCTCAGGCTTTTTCTGCCTTCATCATGTAGTCGTAGGAAAACTCTCATCATGTGGGGCCATAGTCATGAGCTTCAGAAAAAGCATCACTAATATGTTGAGGCACACCTTCATTAACTTACTTATATCTCCTGCTTGGGCCTGATCCAGAACAGATCATTTCTATTGTCCAGTGTCTAGTGGATTGCTGCTGTACCCACCCGATGTTGCGATTAGGAGAATCTGATAATACCTAGCTCGTGTTTGATGGCTTCACTTACCAGGTTGCCTGTTGTTAGGTACTCAGTCTTTACCAGGATCCAACAGCACTCCAGGTGGTGTCTTTTAAATAGTAAGTCATTCTCTACCATGGAAGGCATCTGTGTGTCTCTTCTATTGAGGTTTGCCAGAGATTCCAAATGGCATACTTATCTATCAGAGGGCATCATTGACTCTGCCAGGTCATGTGGCCCAGGTTGCAGGAGAGTTGATACCACAAACAAGACCTGCTGCAGGATTTTCTCTTGCTCTGGGCCTCATTCAAAACTGTCAGTCTTTTCAGTCTCCAGATAAACCCAAAGGAGAACTATTTCCAAATGTAGTCAGCATGTTACCTTCAAAATCCACAATGACACACTAAGTGCCATGGCTCCTTCTTGATAGTAAAAGGTACAAGATATAAAATCTGCTCATCCTTAGAGGGGATGTCCCAGCCTATCTTAGACCACTGGACTCCTAAAAGCATCACTAACATGGTAAGCAGCTAATTTTTCCTGTGGTTTATCTCCAGTCCTCTGACATGTATTTATCCTGCCAGAGATCTAGAGTACTTACTACTTCCTTTTCACCAGATCTTATTAACATGATATCATCAATATTGTAGACCAATATGATGTTCTGAGGAATGCTAATGTGATGAAGGTTCCTGCTGACTACATTGTGTCTGAGAGCAGGAGACTTATATAGCCCTGGAAAAATTAAGTGAATGTATAATGTTGTCCTTCCTACAAAAGAGAAAACTGCCTTTGATCCTCCTTCGTGGTACAATTGGAGAACACATTCACCAAGTTGGTAGCCTCAGACCAGTACCAAAGCCTCTGTTGATCTGTTTCATAAGGATTTTACATCCAGCAGAGGAGCTGTGAGGGTGATCATAATATTTGGTGACGTTTATAAGAGTCCACTGTCTTCTACCACAACTAATAGGTTTTATTATTTCTGGTCCCATACAAGTGAATTGAATAAGAATATGTAGGAACTATCGTCCCTGTATCCTGCATGTCTGGTGGTAGGGCTGTCTCCAGAATTCCTTCTGGAATGCATTATGATCTATGCTTTATTATCTTGGCAAGGGTGGAGGCAATCTTAGGAGTTTCCTATAATTTTGACTCATATTCCATAGGTCAGGGAATAACAACATCTGCCAGCTGTTTAGTATATCTATCCCAATTATATACTTGAGAATTGGGAAATACGTCTGTGGACTCAATGAACTCACTGTGGAATGAACTTGTATCAGAAATCTGTTTATTACTTGGATTCTGTGAGCCTCCACTCCACTGGAGCTCCTGGATGGTATTTTGGGACCCTGAATGGTGTCAGCTCAGACCCTGTATTCAACTGTCCTTGAAAGGTCTAGATGTTCTATTTTCCTCTTGCACAGCTACTCTGGAAAATTTATCTGGGGAGATATTTCTTACATATACAAATGATGATATTATAGAGTCCTTCCTCAAGGAAACCAAGCCTGCCCTTTGATCAATAACCTCTGGGTCTGTAAACTAATTTAGATCCGGAAATTTGGTGAAGGACTAGTTTTTCATTGTGTTAGCTGACATTGGACAGTTCTCAATTTTGGGCATGTCAGGGAAGGGAGGGATTTACGTTAATTCAAATTGAATAGCACTCTTGTGGGCTGTCCATCTATCTTGTCCCCTGGAATATTCTAATCTATGATTCATTACCATAGATCCCTTCAGGTAAAGGCATCTTGATTTCTACCTGGCTCTTTCCATTATGATAGTCACATCTACTTTGCTTCTGAAAATTAAGTGCTGCCCGTGGGCCTTTGTTCTTCTGGGATCATTTTATAAACACGCCAATACAAAGCAGCCCAGTGCCAAGGTAGCGGACTCTACTATCACAACAACAGATGGAAGCCTCCACTGGGCTTCTCAAATCTGTTCATCTTCAGCAGAGCCTTCATGGCCTTAGTAAAGGAGTTTCTATGGGTCCTTCAAATGAACAGGCAGTTAGTGGGGTTTGCTCTCGCATAATAAATCCATTCTAACGTTTTCACTTCCTTCAGCCTTTTGGCTCCTTCATTGTTCTGTCTAAACAGTTCTGGCATCTCCACCTCATTTACTCTGCACTGTTATTGTGTACCGCCTTCAATGAACCATCCCAGCAGTAGGTTAGGACTGGTTCCAGAATCTCTTTGCCAGGACAGTACCTCCTGGATCCTTGTTCAGACTGTGCTGAGAAGAGACCCAAGTTATTGGTATTGGCAAAAAGGAGTGAGTGGTGGTGGATCTTGAGAAGAAAAAGTATCACTTTGTAAGGCATATTCTTCAGGTGAGGCCTTTTCAAGGTGTCTAGGCAACTGGAAGTTTTTCTTTGAATAAGGAGATAGTGGTGTCCTTTTGCCAGCCTGGAGTGTTCAGGAGGATCTGGTGGTTTAGGATTCTCAGGTTCCTCCACTCATTGGTTGAGACATGCCCTGGGGACATTAACTTTCCCTCACTTTGAGGCTGCACATGAGGGCAGAGCATGCTTTTCTCAGGTCACCATGCCACTGTGCTAGATAAGACCTGGGGCTGCAAATGAAGAAGAGGTGGTTCTTGCTTAAGGCAGGAAGCTGCCAGTAAGGCAGAGGCCATAAGTACTATTTGCTATAACTAGAGCTGGAGTCAGAGGTGAAGTCAAGCCAATACAAGGCAGTTTACAGAAGTCTCTGGAATAAATAGGAAGAAGACTCATCTATGTTGAGTAAATTATCCAAGATGATACATGTATGCCTAGCCTAGAGTTGGAATAAAAAGCTAGGCTATCTGATTCCAGACACCATCTCTTAACCACTGCTACTCTTTATTTAGGAAAATCAAACAAATTTTATAGGAATGAACATATTAACACTGAAGTGGGTGGGCAGAGCTTAGCTCAGCAGCCATCTGAATGCTTCACCTTAGCTTCCAAAAGAGTCTAGCTGCCTAGAAAGTTTCTGATCCAAAGTCTCAGTGCCTTCTGTAAATTCCAAGCCTGGTAATTCCTTTCACTGTCTGATATGGTGAAATTCCCTAAGGAGCTCCATGGTCTTTGCAACTTCCCCTGATCAAGTCTAAGTTCTTTGAACACTAAGCTTTCTACCACTCCAAAACCTTTGTTCTTTCTGTCACTTCTGTCAGGAACTTTCTTTCCCTGTCCTTTTGCATGGTGGCCAGGCTTTCATCCTTCCAGGATCAGTTCAAGTGCCATGAGAGGCTGCCTCTGACTACC
The DNA here is from genome assembly GCF_000001405.40 of Homo sapiens. Classification (NCBI taxonomy): domain Eukaryota; kingdom Metazoa; phylum Chordata; class Mammalia; order Primates; family Hominidae; genus Homo; species Homo sapiens. The sequence goes on along the minus strand of NC_000008.11, from coordinate 117,401,912 downwards.
TCATGCAAAGAAGCACATACCACCCCTCTCCTTAATAACCCTCGACACCATTATCCTGGTAATGTTCTTTATTGTACCATCACATTCTTCAACTATCTTGTATTTGTGTATAAGGTTATTGTTTGGTTCCTTCACTAGAATGAAAACACATTGTTTAAGAATAGGCTATTTGGCCGGGTGCAGTGGCTCGCACCTGTAATTCTAGCACTTTGGGAGGTTGAGGCGGGCGGATCACCTGAGGTCAGGAGTTCGAGACCAGCCTGGCCAACGTGGTGAAACCCCATCTCTACTAAAAACACAAAAATTAGCCGGGCCTAGTGGTGCATGCCTGTAATCCCAGCTACCTGGGAGGCTGAGGCAGGAGAATCACTGGAACCCGGGAGGCAGAGGCTGCAGTGAGCCAAGATTGTGCCACTGCACTCCAGCCTGGGTGACAGAGCGAGACTCTGTCTCAAAAAAAAAAGGCCATTTTTCTATTCTCTTTATCACCGTGTCCCTTGTCCTTAAATAGTGCCAGGTAGATAGAAGACACTCCAGAAATATTTGCTGGATGAATAAATGAAAGCCATTAAACCATTGGTTTGTCCCTAATGCCTATGTATGGCTTTACAGTAATTACCAAATCATTTAGAAACCATGAGAGGTGAGCATCAGTGGAGATTTACTTAGTAAGCGGGGCCAGTATCAACCAATGCACTGCACAGAACACAGAATAGACATTATTACCTTCCTCATGCACTTCTATCTAAACATGACAAAATATTGAGCAATTAGACCAGTCATATTACCAAATGTATGGACAAAAATTTAGGTGCTTAACAAGAGCCTCAGGGATAAGGTGCCCACTCCTTATCTATTCTCTCCTCTGGAAAAGCATTGAGGTGATGTTGTCCATTAACAGGTGACATCTTTGTCCTTGGCCATAGGAATGAGATACAAAACTGAGTTGCATGCTAAGAGGTTCAAGGTATTCTCTTGTACTTTACTCTTTTAAATCACTCGCACCTCCTTTGACCTTTCTTTTTCAAAATTATTGGACTTGTAGCTTTCTACATTGGCTTTCTTTTCAATTCTTGCCTTGACTTGATTTAGAACTTGTCTCCAGACCATATGCTTCATGACTGCCTTTGAAATTCCATCGAAGTCTTCAATTAAGAGTTATTTCAGATCTTACTATCTAGCTGCAATCCCAGTCCAGCTTCTGGTGCTTGGCTTTATAGACCAGATATGTAGTTTGTCCAGAAGAGACTAACTGATAAATTGATGTATATTTTAAATTTGTAATACCCCAAATTAAAACATTAAATATTGAGACAACCTCAATGATAAATGAATAATAAACTTGGGAAGCTGAATGATCATTTTATTGTTGAGCAAACTTCATATCAAAACATGGAATATGATAGTTTGGGGGTATATTTTATATGGGGTCAGAGGACCACTAGCTATAAGAGCTTGAGTACGGGACTCAAACTTTTGAATTTTCAATTCCTTCATTTATTAAAAAATGTAAAAAATAGTATTTACCTCGTGGGGTTATAGGATGAACCAAATAAATGCACATGAAGCCTTTAGCATAGCATGTGGCCCATAGAAAGCACTTGATAAATGTTAGCTGTTAATGATAACAATAAAAATGTGCTTGGAATATCTTTCCCTACTTCCCCACCAGGAAATCTTTCATCCTTCAAGATTGTTCAAGATTGCTTTGCTCTGTTTCCCCTACAGGTAGCCTTAGTCATCTTCCTTGCTGAGACTCCATTGTTCATATTTCTATACCAGTGATGATATTATTATTCATGTCTGTATTACAGGGACTAACCTATGCTAGTTATTCAATAAATCCTGATTGAATAAATGCATACCCTCTGCATATTAACCTTGACCTCACCTGACTCCAGCAGTGGCTTATTGCAAAGTAAAATTTCTGAAGCTTTAAACTGTTAAAGAAATTACTGTTTTACAAGAGCCAGAAACATACAGAAATGACTTCGCACTCAATACCTGGGCCAACTTTTTGTTCTCTGGGCTTTTTATGGGTGGGAAGAGATCTCAGCGTTCAACCCTGAAAAAAAAACAAAGTCTTAACTTTGCTAACATATTTTGAAAAAGACTGGCCTTGGAAGTAAAGGCAGGATCTTGGATCTTGGATTCACTCTTAGTAAGTGCTTCTGCCTGAGTTCTGAAAAAACAGTTGCAGGAAAATTGCCAATAATTCCAGTATATAACTAAGACAAGCATTTTCTAAAATGTCTGTTGCTAAAGTCAGATCATAGCTCACTCATAATGCTCTTAATATTTAATTTAATCAATTAATCGCCTGGCTAGTAAACGTCGTCTTCATCTTAAATCTGTTCTCTTGGACTGTCATAATAGTCTCACAGGTTCAGAAATGCATAAAATTTCTCACTCCTCCCAACGCTCAGTGCAGAATGAAAACTCTGTGACCTTTAAGACCTTTCCAACTCTGAAATGTTATAATTCTGTGATTCCCTCAGCCAGATAAAATTTTATTAGTTTTAATAGTTCACACCAGGATAAAAGAAGTGATCTTAACCGTTCAGGAGTAACTTGTGATGCTGTTAAAAATCTATTGGGTGATTCAATAAGAGATGCCACAGAGCTCCTCAAAATATGCAGCTATGGCAATTTTGCCAAGAGGAAGAATCTAGAAGGCCCAAAGCCTCAGAGATTATTGAAGCCAAACTTACTTCTCCTGTACCATCTTGAGACAAACACCCTTTTAGTATGCTCAGCCAACCTGTTTTGTAAACTTCCCATTTCAACATCACTTTGCCTCTCTTTACACTGTATATTGCCTAGAAATAGTACCAAATGAATGATCAACAGAAAATAAATCTGATGAATCACCTTGATCTCTCTCTCTCTCTCTCTCTGACTCTTTTTTTTTTTCCTGAGAGATTTTATTTCTGCCAGTCTCCCTAGGAGTCATCTCATGAATCATCTAACTTCCTCTGAGAATATTTGCTCTCAGAGGCTGTGAACCCTCCAGGGAAAGTTGTTTCTGGCTGAGATGCAGGCTGTGCAAATCATGAAAATGATTTAGCTTTAGCTGAAAAAGCACTACCCAAAATTTAACACCATCTATTTCTTTGCTCTTCTGTTTGGCTATTGTGACTTTGCATTTATTCTTTCATTCATTCTTTAATTCATCTTCTCCCTGCTCATTTACTCTTTCAATTATAATTCAACATTAACCAACTCCTGGAAATTTCACTTCAGTTGCACAAATGTTACTTGATTTACTATTTTGCTTAAAATTGGGTACACAAACTAAATAATGCATTTCTATCTCTAACATCTTTTTGATACATTACTCTAGTAATATGTCTTATTAAAATATGAGTTATGTATACTTTTAATTGAGCCATTGCTGGGGTCACAACCATGAAGCATCTTACTAAGTGCCAGGTACTCTGCTTAATTTTTCATACAGTATCTCCTTGAGTTTCACTATAACCCTATGAGAAGCTATATTATTTTTTGTTTCCTGATTACAAATTCCGGCAAGGTTAACATCAAGCCTTATTTCTCATCCTGTTCTTGATTGCTACACCTAGTGTCTGGCATATTCATTCATGAAGACATTTTTAAAAAATTTATCAATTATCAAGCCCACAGTGGATTGGGCACTATGTTGGCCCCTGGGGATGAAGCTAAGTGCAAGGTAAACATCCATCCCTGCCTTTATAGAGCCTATAGTCTAGCAGGGGTGATAATAAATATTTGATGAATGAATAAGTGAATGCAGAGGCCAAGGTTAAGAGAAGTTAAATAATTTCTGATTAGTAACAGAATTAAGATTCATGCCCAGATTTGAGTGGCTCCAACTCTATGCACCTCACATAAAACAATTTTAGGCAGAATATTTGACCTCAAGGAGCTCACAATCTAGAGAGGAGTAAAGAGTAGGAGAGGATAGGAACGTAAGTAACCACATAATTACAATGTATATTATTTAACATTTAGCAAGTCCTTCCTATGTACCAAGTACTGTTTGAATGGCTTTCTACATAATGAATTTTTAAAGTCTTAGAACAATCTTTGGGGCAAGTAATATTTTATTGCCATTCTACAGACAATTAAAAGGGACAGAGAGAAGTTAAGTAAGTCTCCTGAGATCACCCAGCCAATAAGTAGTAGAATTTGTATCCAGGGAGTCTGATGCAATAATGTATGGTCTTATCACCATGTCATACTATACCTTTTAGTGTGGTAGTGTTCAGGAACTGTGCTAGTCTCTTTGGATTCAAAAACAAATAAGATATGGCCTCCATTCTTGATGAGCTCAAAATCAAATTTAGAAGACAAATGTAAAAACATTATTATCACGAAGGATACGCTGGTAAGCTATGCTTTATTTTTTCCAAGAGAAACTATTCTGAACTCAAAGAGTACCTGGTGTCTGGGGTAGACTGAATTACTGGTCCCTATATTCACACTTTTACCATGGCCTTGGTGTGAGCTGAATATATTTCCCAACAACTTGACTTTGACCATATGACTTGCTTTGGCCAATGGCACGTTGGTGGAAGAGACAGCATGACACTCCTGACCCTAGGCCTTAAGCATCACAGGTTTCTGCTGTTGTCTTAACCCTCTGATATCTTCATGGGAAGGACATGTCTTGGCTAACCCCCTGGTCCATAGTGAACTACCTGGCTGACCAGCAGGCTTACAGTTTGATACAGAGATACCTAGATCCAGGCTCTTCTAGCCTAGATCAGTTGACCCCTGGGCTATGCGCTGATACTTAAACAGCAAAACTATCCCAACCAACTTGCAGGAACATAAGAAGCAAACACTTTTTTTTTTCTTTTTTTTATTATACTTTAAGTTTTAGGGTACATGTGCACATTGTGCAGGTTAGTTACATATGCATACATGTGCCATGCTGGTGCGCTGCACCCACTAACTCGTCATCTAGCCTTAGGTATATCTCCCAGTGATATCTCTCCCCCCTCCCCCCACCCCACCACAGTCCCCAGAGTGTGATATTCCCCTTCATGTGTCCATGTGATCTCATTGTTCAATTCCCACCTATGAGTGAGAATATGCGGTGTTTGGTTTTTGTTCTTGCGATAGTTTACTGAGAATGATGATTTCCAATTTCATCCATGTCCCTACAAAGGACATGAACTCATCATTTTTTATGGCTGCATAGTATTCCATGGTGTATATGTGCCACATTTTCTTAATCCAGTCTATCATTGTTGGACATTTGGGTTGGTTCCAAGTCTTTGCTATTGTGAATAGTGCCGCAATAAACATACGTGTGCATGTGTCTTTATAGCAGCACTTATCATGATATGTGTGAGTTTGCTCAGGCCCCCATAACAAAATACCACAGACTTGGTGGCTTACACAACAGAAATCCATATTTTCATTGTTCTGGATGCTAGAAGTCGAAGACCAAGGTGTTGGCAGGTTTCATTTTGTCTGGGGCCTCTCCCTTTGCTTGCAGAGGACTGCCTTCTCAGTGCGTACTCATAGGATATTTCCTGTGTGTATACACATCTGTGTCCTTGCCTGCTCTTCTTATAAGGATATCAGTCATATAGCATTAGACCTCACCCTTATGCCCTAGGGTCAGAAGTGTCATGCTGTTCCTTCTACCAATGTGCCATTGGCCAAAATCATGACCTTATTTTCTATTCATTATCTTTTTAAAGATTCTATCTCCAAAAAACAGTCACATCCTGAGGTACTGGGAGTTAGTGCTTCATGACTATGAATGTAAGGAACAATTGAGCCCATAACAATACAAAATGCCTCTGAGATTTTATATTCTTTCTTATGCAGCAAGAGATAAAAAAATAGGTAAAATATAAATAGATAAAAATATAGACAGATTTCTCCAAAGAGATAAGGTGACTTCTGGGCATAAAAATATAGAGTTCCCAACTCTTTTTCTCCAATATTAAAAGTTATTAAAATCTCTTGTAGTGGACACAGGTAGCCCAGAGCAGATCTTATGACATGGAATGGCCTCTGAGTTATGCTCATTGCAGTAGGAAAAATACGATCAGTGTGCCCTAAACCAAGATGAGTGGATAAAAGGGGAAGAGTAGTTCTACGTCCATGAGGTTCTGACCCAGCCATCCAGGTAGTAGGTTCATGACCTAAGAAAATAGCTATTCAAGTAAATTTAAAAGCCAAGAAGCTGTCAGGCCAGACTAAATCTGGCATGAGCTGCTAAAGTCTATGTGTAATATTGGTGCTTCTATGTTTCAGGGCCAGTAGCAACAACCTCCAGGAGGTGGTTCCTCAGCACAAATGAGCACTCCAACGTATCCTTAGACACATAATAGAAAGGAAATATTTTTGAAAGGTAGAGTAAGACTAAATTGGACATTCAGGAGTTTCATAATTATATTCTAATTGTACTGTTGCTCCTCAAACTTGAGTCCTTAGACCAGCAGCATCAGCTTCACCTGCCAACATGTTAGAAATGCAGCATCTCAGGCCCCAAACCATCCCACCTGCTAAATCAGAATCTATATTTTAGCAAGATCTCCAGGTGCTTCTTAGGCACCTTGAAGTTAGAATGGCTCTGGTGTAGATAAAATTATTGGCTGTCAGGGGCTGGGTGGGGAGGTTATTCTGGTAAATTCAATGGGGTACATCAAGACTTCCTGGCGACATTACAATCTCACTGTTATTCCTGTTTTTAGGAATCAAATTCGGTTATCTACTGGTGTGATGGTCAGTTTTATGTGTCAACTTAGTTTAGGTTTATAGTCTTAGTTTTTCTGTTATTCAATCAAACATCAACCTAGGTATTGCTGTGAAGATAACTTGTAGAGGTGATTGAAGTCTATAATTAACTGATGGTATGGACTGAATTGCATCTCAGTCCATATGTAATTCAAATGTTGAAGTCATAACACCCAGTGCCTGTGTTTGGAGATGGGGCCTCTAAGGAAGTAATTAAGGTTATGTGAGGTCATAAGGGTGGGCCCCTGATTCTATAGGATCAATGTCCTTATAAGAAGAAACACCGAAGAGACTCTTTTCTCTCTCCCCTCTCACTCTGTCTTTCTTTCCCTGCCATGTGAAGATACAGCAAAAAGGCAGCCATCTGAAAGGCAGGAAGAGAGCCCTTACCAGAAACCGAGCTCTGCTGGACCTTGTCCTTGGACTTTCCAGCCTCCAGAACAGTGAGAAAATCAAATTCTGTTATTTAAGCCATATAGTCTCTGGTATTTTTTTTTAATGGCAGCCTGAGAAGACTAATACAGTTGACTTTAAGTAAGAGAGGTTATCCTCAGTAATCTTTGGGCTCAATTCAATCAGTTCAAAGATCTTAAGAGCAGAACTGAGGCTTCCCTAAGGAAGAGAAAATTTTTCCTACAGACGGCAACTCTGAAGGAGAATTCTATCCTGTCCTTCCTAACAGCCTGCCCTATGAGTTTTGGATGTGCCTACCCAGCTACCACAATTACATAGGCCAACTCTCTGAAATAAATCTCTTAATAGGTATCACCTACTGGTTTGTTTCTTTGGTTTATCCCTGACCAATATGGTTGACTTGTCCATTTTTTTTTTTAATTTTCACAGATTCAGCATTTTATTAATTGTTTTTACTGATTATTGTTTTGTCTTTCATTAGTATCTCAGTTTTATTTTTATTTCCTTCCTTTAATTTTTTTGGCTTAACTGTTTTTATTTTTCCTCTTTTCATTGGATGTAATTCTTCTTTTTTTATTTTATTAACAAAAATATCTACGATTATAAATTTTTTCCTTTTATTACTGCTTTAAATGTATTCCACACATTTTGACATAATGAGTGTTTTTATCGTTAATTTTTACAAAACTTGTTATTCTGATTTTCATTTTCCCTTTACCCAAGAGTAATATAATAGTTTCTTTTTTTTTCTAATTTCCAAGTAGAATTTTTGTTTTGTTTTGTGGTTTTGTTATTAATTTCTAGTTTTATTACTTTGTGATCAGATATTGTTGTTAATATTATTTCTACTTTGTGAATGTATTTTATGCTTTCTTTGAGTCATGACTATATTGTCAATGTTTACAAATGTTTTAGGTGCATTTGAGAAGTTCTACATTTTTTAATCAAGGAGCAAATTACATATACATATATAAATATAGATATTTATAGAAATATAAATATATAATGAATATATAATCAATATATTATTTTCTGTTCACTTAATCTTTGTCTGGGACTGAAAGTGCTGGCTTAAATTCTCCTGATAGTTGTGTGCTTCTGTTCATTTCTCTCTATATCACTTGTAATTTTTGCTTTATGATGGTGGTTTCTGTGTTTCTGATACAAAAATTTTATATGTGTCATGTCTTCATTGAAAAGTATGGCCTTTAGTACAAGAAAGCCTCTCTTTTTTTCGTTTTTGCTTTAGAGCATAAATTCTTATATGATAGAAGGATGCATCCTCTCTTTTCCTTGGTTTCGTTTGACTAGTATACTTTTGTCCCATCTGCTCCACTCATTTCTTTTTTGCCTTTCTGAATCATTTTGTTTTCAGGTATTTCTATTCTATTTCACTTATTTTCTGCACTACGATAGCTCTAATGCTGTAGGACAATGACCTAATCTGGAGGTTATGGAAACTACCAACTATGTCTATTTTAATTACACATTCAGAGATTAGAGAAATGACTGCTAAGTGGTTCCATGAATCCTGTGGACCCATTGTGAGCTGGACCTGGGCCAGGACTCTAATGTGGAGGTGGCATAATAACACTTTGGGTATTAATAATTACTTGGTCCCTACATGCAACAGTCCTTGAAATGTGTGAGTGTTTGCTATTCCCCAGGATTGGGTCCCTATTTGAAAGAAAGAGAACTATTTGAAGAAATCATTGCCATTTTTCCTTGCCATGATTTTGTCGGTTCCTTTCTCCTGGGAACCTGTCCTCCCTTCCAGTCTATAGGATCTGGATTTGTAACTTCATTTGGACAAGAAACTGGCATGGAATCATGACTTTTATATTTGGAATTGGGGGCTGGGAACTTCCCCCTGATCTGCCTTGTGATTATCTGCCACTGAATTCTTTGGCTTGCACACATTGAGCAGTTCCCTAATTGGCTACTCTTCTATTTTGCCCCTAGGAATACCATCTCATAACCCTCTCCATTCTCAGCTCTTCTTGGCTGCTGCTCCAATCTTACCACTTGTTACAATAGCTTCATCCTTAAGGCTGCTGACGAAGCTCACACATTGCTATTTAGTCTTTTGTTTTGAAGTTTTATCATTCTCATTATTATTAGAGAGCTATAGTTTGGGAATGGCATCTTCTGTTGTCAGCCCTAGACTAACAAGCATTAATGAACATCGCAATGACACCGATGTCCCTCTCACCAGCTCCTTCCTTAGCCCTTTGACAAATAGTGGATCCTCTGGCCTCAGTGATGGAATATCACTATCTGGTGAGTTTTCTCACTTTATGTAGTATATCCACTCTGTAGTATATCCACTCTAACATGTCCACTTCTTTGATTCTTTTAATTGTTTCTTCTACTATCTGCCACAAAAATTCTGGAATTTATTTCTCACCACATGGGGGCCATTGCTTTTTTCATACTTCTAGTGGCCATCCTTACAGTGTGTTTGCACCCTCTTCCGAGGGCTTTTTGCCAGGCTGTTAAATACTCCCATACTGATAAATTCCTCTTATCCAGGTTTTTTTCTTTTGCCCTTGGCAGAACATTTTTTGTAATCAGTCTCATGTGTGCTCTTCCAGCTCCTTCTGGTAAATGTTGACTAGGTCATGCAGCTGTGCAGTCACCGTCCACCTTTTTCCAGGCTGAACACACTCCTGGCTGGGTTAGACTATGACTTAACTCTAGGTTTGGACTTAAAAGCAAAGAAATGAGATAATGAAAGATCATGAGTGGGTGCTGATTGTTTAAAGGAGAGACACCTATATCAGGAAGAGGCTGCCCTCCTCTGTTGGAATGGTGAAGTGGTTTCTCTAATCAATTGTTCTCTTTTTGTGGGGGAGGAGTTGTGTGCATTCTGTTTAATGTGATTTTCTCACTCCCTTACCCAAGAGTTGAGGGAATGTACTGATGCTTAGTAGGAGGAGTAGGCTACTTTCTTAGTCTCAAAGGATTCAATGGAATTAGGGCATTCAAGATTTTCAGGTCCATCAACTCAGATTTTGCCATCTCATGTGTCATGATAGAGATTAACCTTCTTTGGAACGCAGTTACTCTTATTATTAAATCTTAAAACCAATCCTTAGGTTTCACTACCTTTCTGTTGCAAGTGATTAGGAAGTTTTTGTTATGCTACCAAGGAGGCTTTCTGCCTTTCACATTTAGATTTTATTTGGTGATTATTGATTATGATTTGATGATGATGTTATCTTTCCCCAGGGCATCCATCAAGCTTAGCAATAGTTTAGCAATAGGTCACCCAATTCCACTCTCCTTAGAGCTTCTATTTCCTTAATTTTTTCCCAATGGCTGATACCTTGCAGCAATTAGTGCATTCCCATTAAACAATACACCATCCCAGATTGCCCCAGTGAAAGTGTTTCACTGCTACTTTATGCTTGATTAACCATCAGTAATGGGGTTCTCATTGCCGGCCAGCTAGCTGGTAAGTGATCCAGCTCCAAAATTCAATTTTAGCATCTGCAAGACCACTTCTGGTCAACCATCACTGGTTACATTCTCTAGGAAGTAAACTATGAGATGCAGATTAGCATGCTAGGTGTATATTAGTAGATACTCTTTGATGAACACCTGTAGAAGGAAGGTAAAGGAAGTGGGATAAGGAAGAAAGTGAAATTGTGCAGTGATGCAAACACAATAAAGGCCTCAGCGAAACCCGTAGAAATCTCTGAAGCTAAGATGGCCTCTCAGAGTTATCCTGAGTTAGAGTAAAAAGGGGAGCTGGGCTTTTATACTTTTCTCTCAATCAGTGAAGGAGGACTTGGGTGGTATTTCACAGCATCTATCGGTCAATGTCTATTATTTTCTTTGTTTTACTTTTTCTTACATCTTTTTGTACTTAGAAGTACTTTTATTTGTGTTCTAGTAGTTATCTATACACTAGCAGGTGAAAAATGTTCTTCATTCTCCTTTTACTTAGTTGGTGTTTGACTATTTGGTTTCTGAGCTTTAACTTACATACTTTGACTCTCACCTTCCTTTTTCATTTCTCTGCCTTTAAAAAAAGCTTCCTCAGTTATTTCTACTTTGGACAAATTTGTCCTCTAGTAGATTTTCTTGTAAAGGGCACATGTACAGTATCCCTAGATTCTTGCATATCTTAAAAATGTGTTTATATAACCTTGACACTTGAAGGACAGCTTAGCTGGATATGAAATCCTTGGCTCGCACTTTCTTTGAGTTTTTTGAAAAGGTTTCTCCACTGTTATCTGTCTTTGCATGTTGCAGTAGGGAAATCTTATGCCAATTTGATTTCCTTTATAAATAATGTGGGGCTTTTTTTGTTGTTTTGCTTTGCAGACCATGAGGACAATTTTCACTACATATTATACACCATAGGTCCTTTTAATTTATGCAAATAGGTCTTTTATTTCTGAAAAAAAAATTGGATTGTGATCTAAAATGTTGTTCTATTGTGTTGTTTTTTTGTTTTTGGTCCCCCAGAGACTCCAATTATATGTATATTGCATCTGCTTTGCCTATGCCAAATACTTTCCCTTGATCCTTTTAAATTATTTCCTTTTTGTTATTTTTATTCTCTGCCCTGTTTTTATTTTCTTGACTATTCAATTGTCCCTACTAAATTTCAATCCAATGTTTTCTCATTCAGGCAATTTGTAATGTCTTCACTTCTAGGATGAATTTGATTTTTTCTACTATTTCTTTCCTGTGTTCAGTCATTTTACATCTTCCTAATTTTTGTTCATATTTGCTATGAGTTTTACCTTTCTGATTTGAGATACTTATTTTACATATACAAATTCTTGTTTTCAGATATTTAATTCAGATGGAGCTCTTATGTTGCAGTTTTGTTCTACTTCATGGTTGACATTTTGGGGAGTATTTTTAACAGCTGGTACATTTTAATTCTTAATTTGTTTCTTTTTTGTCTAACTTTGTATGGATATTATCTACTTTTCATACTTATTTTGAATGTCTAATTTTCTGGACCAGCAATAGCAGTTGTATGCACACAAAAGTGAAAGTTTTGACAGGCTTATCAAGCTCCCTAGTTCAAGACTACCCTCTTCATTTAGTACGGTGAAGTGCAGCTTCTCTAATTAATTTAGCTATTTTTGTGTGTGGAAAATTTTTGTGTATTCCGTTTTGTGATTCCCTCTCACTTTCTCTCTCTCTTAGTTCAAGACTACCCTCTTCCTTTAGTGTGGTGAAGTGTAGTTTCTCTAATTAATTTAGCTATTTTTGTGTGTGGAAAATTTTTGTGTATTCTGTTTTGTGATTCTCTCTCACTTTCTGTCTCTCTCTCTCTCTCACACACACACACCCACACACACACACACACACACGTGCACACACACCAGAAATCTCAATTTCTTGTTTTTATATATATTTTTTTACCTTCACTACCAAGTAAGTGCCCATGGGGCATGTTTCCTTCTCAAGTTGCCCCATTCCCATGCAGAAGTTTTAGTTTCCAATGTTGCTGCTTTGGGTCCTGATTACATGCAAATCCTTTCATTTCTCTCCTTTCTTTCTTGTTTTCCTTTCTTTCTAGCCAGTACTCAGATCTACCAGATTCTACATTTGTTCTTGGTATTTTCCACTGCATGGTGGGGATTTAGCTTTTGGAGGGAATTCTATTTGGATTCTGTTACCCTATTTCTCCTGTGGCCCCTGCTCCTCTTTCCTCCTTCTTTTGGCCTCTTTCATATCTCTGCCTTACTCTTCCCCTAAACTGGATTTTTAAAAAATTTCCCTACTTGCCAGTGTTTTAAGCTCACATTATTGTATTTTCTGTTTCCTGCAGAAAGCATAGATTATGGGTCGTTTTATTTGCTGATTTTATTTATCCAGGTGGGTTTTGGGTGAATATTTAGAAAGAATTAGAGTTAAGAGGCAGCCATTATTCTATGTAAATCTAGAAAAACCAGATGATTAGGTTTTAAGCAGAAGACTGTCAGAAGTAAGATTTAGAAAAATAAAGCTGTGACAGAGCTCAGAAATGTGTTTGACTACTCACTTTCACTCCTCAGGTAAAGAAAGAAAAGGGTGAGATGCTTTCTGCCTTGTTCAGGTGCAAGCAATCCTCCAGGGCACCCAATCTTACTCACCACATCCATCCTAACCACACCCTGGCTCACAGAGGGTGAGGCAGAGAATGAATCATTGGGAGGGTTTTCGTGACTAACAGTCCTTCCACTGTCCTCGGGCCTGGCTATGCAGATTCTCACCTGTACACTTTTCTTCTTCCTGGGGTAATATTGCCCCCAGTTTCTCAGGTCTTTTCAATAGCTATTTTTTACTCACTTTAAGAATTTCTTTAAATATCAGCTATTTCAGGAAGCCTTCTGATGACCTACTGCAAACTGGATGGTGAATATTCTCTTTGTGCAACTACAGGAAACCATATACCTCCCTATCCCTGCACTTGACATGTTATTCTGCTTGTGAAAATGCCTCCACCTATAAAATGTGGATACTTCATGATTCCTTTTTCCTTTATGCATTTCAGTAGCGTCTCTCACAGAGCGTGATATTTAACAAATACTCACTGGTAGAATGAATAGATGAACAAAGAAAGCAACATAACTGCTCTAGAAATGCCTGCACTTTGCATTGTCCCAGCCTATGGGGAAAACGTCTTCCTGACTCTTTTGCTTTGTTATGGTTAGAGGGTCACTGGTTTCTACAGACAATTTTCTATGCTTATGTCCCTGATTCCAGGGCCACTTGGACATGAATTTTAACCAGACTTCCCCCCGGGGCCTGGAAGCATGGAGCATTTTGCTGAGTGTGCTTTTGGGTGATCTCCTTTCTATTCTTGTCTCCAGCCATGTTCCACTGGGGACACAAAAATGAATATATTATCTCAATATGTAGCTAAATAGGAAGACTGAATCCATCTCCAAAGTCACAATATTCTCTTCAGGTACAGGCAGAATAAATTTAGTTATTCTAAATCATGTTGAGGGGCAATAAATGTTCTTCTCTATTAAATTTCCTCTGCATTTCTTTCCTCCCCTCACCTGATCTTTAATTGTATTCCAGAAGAGGGTTTCATAATGAAGGACGACCTGCTTTCATCCAAGATCATTATAATTCTTGCAATTCCAAAGTCTGTTTCTCCCCTCTTCTCTGTAGAACTGAAACTATAAAAGTCTTAAAAGCATGGAACTTAGGACTTGAAGGGACCTCATTATCATCTAACCTTCTCATTTGACAGACAAGCACTGACTTGCCCATAATTATAAAGCTGGTTAATGGAAGAATAAGTAATAAAATAAGTTTCTTACTCACAGTTTTGTGTTCCTTTTGTTTCTGTGTGTCTCTGTATGTATATCTTCTCTCGTCCAAGCCTCCAGGATAGTGACCCCTCCCTTAAATCCCCTAACATATTCTTCTTGTGTAAATGGTTCCAAGCAGCAGTTTGAAAATAATGTTACTACACCATAGAGCCTTGAGATTAATGATATAAGCATCTCCTTGTCATAATGCTTCACAAATTTTAGAGACATTCCTTTTCCTCTCTTTTATTTTTGTCATGAAAAAAGAAATAAAATTTCTCTTAAAAATAAAAAAAATCCAGAATCCTTTCAAGTTTTTTCAGGAGTTTAAACCATTCTTCATCAGTTGCAATTTTCTCTTCTATATTTTCCATTAAGGAAGGCAGAGTTAATAACAAATTTGGAGTCCTGTTAGAGAATTTGCAGTCTCAATTTACTGCCTTCTAGTCCTTTTTATCTTGGCCTTCTCATAAAAGGGAAACTGTTTTCTTTGAACAAAGGGATCAGTAATTCACAATCTTGGTTTTGCCACACCCCAGGGTGTCTTCAACCATAAAATAGTGTCAAGAGATTGTCAAAACAAAATTAATTGAAATTGAAACAATAAATTCCTGCCATAAAATGTCTTCAGAAGGTGAAAGGAAAGGTGTATCATAGAATAAAGCAAAAGGTGAGTTCCCCAAAGGATGAGAATTGTTGATCCAAAGGGAAGATGGAAAATCTTTTACTCTTATCTCACCTGTGTTTTTAAAACCTTGCAGGACATAGAAGGAGGAAAAACTAGAATTGTCAAAACAATAAGCCACATCTTCTTACAAGTCAGGGCCCTCCACAGCGTTTCTGACAGTTTGAACACCAGCTAAAGTTTTTTTAACACTAAATTTAGCATGCACAGGCATTTCAGATCTGTCACTAGAAGCAGGGTGATGTCAGTGAGAAAATCTGGTGTTGTTTCATTTTCACAAGTTTTTCAGGATCTGAAATGGAGTGTTTGTTGAGCATGTCACTGCAAGAGGGGGTAATCATTAGTGATCTGAGAAACAAGGCTTGTTGCGAGGTTAAGAACCTAAAAAATGCTTATTAACAAGGAGAAGGGCTGTCAAAGGGAGGAAGGCAGTGAGACAAACGTAGTATTTATCACTCCTGGGGGCTCCAATTTATTTAGATGCTTTGGAATTCTACTCTTTGGGCCATGTATGTGGTAAGACTAAAGTCACATTCACACTTCAGGGGAATGCTGTTGTAGTCATTCTTAAGAAATGTGTCATGACATGGGGCATCTTTTTATCCTAAACCATTTGTGCTTTGCCTTTCAGACTAAAGTGGCTTCTGAACGTTAGAATTTTAATTAGAAGTTGAATGAAAACCTTTTACCAATGAAGATGATCTTGAAAAACATAAGGCAATAATGAGGTTTTTAGGAAGCAAACCATTTATTATTCTGTGCCCATTTGACTCTCTGCTTCATGTTGAGGGGCAATAAATGTTCTTCTCTATTAAATTTCCTCTGCATGAACTTGCATTTAATTATTTTTAAGGAAGGCTTCATGTCTGCTCTTAGTCTGAAGTCCTCATGAAGAATTTGGAGTTTCACACAATTTAGCTCCCTGTAGAAGAGATTGCTGGTAGCCCTCTTCAATGTCAGTTTGCTCTTTTTCATTAGTCATAGAACCCCAGTTTTATTAGGTTGGCGCAAAAGTAATTGCAATTTTTTCATTAAAAGGGATGGCAAAAACCGCAATTACTTTTGTACCAACCTAATATTGGGTGACAGTGATTTCAGTTTAAAGAAGATATTTCCCCAGCTCTTTTTCAGCTAAGTGTGCCCATGAAATTATAATTGGTTCTTGCCAATGATATGTCAACAAGAAGTTACATGAAAAGTAGAGTAAGGTTTCAAAAGTTTATTAACTCACTGACAAATGTGTCCCTTAGTATACATTTCTCCTCCCTGAAATCTGATAATTGGTTCTGAGGTTTGGAGCTGTAGCAACCAACTGGATTGATGTCATGGTTAATTGTGTGTCAACTTGACTGGACCACAGGGTGCCCATGCATTCAGCTGGATGTTATTCTGGGTATGTCTGTGATGGTGTTCCTGGATGAGAGTAACATTTGAATTGGTAGGCTGAGTGATTGCCTTCCCCAATGTTGATGGGCCTCCTCCCATCAGCTAAAGACCAGAATAGAACCTTTTCCTTCTTTTGGACTCAAACTGAAATGTCAGCTCTTTTGGGGTCTGGAGCCTGCTGACTTTTGAACTAAGACTACACCATCAGCTCTCCTAGGCTTGGTGACTACAAATCTTGGGACTTCTCAGCCTCCATAATCTCATGAACCAGTTTCTTACAATAAATCTCTTTCTATAGGTACACATATCTTATTAGTTCTGTTACTCTGGAGAACTCTGATTAATACAATCCGTAAGGTGGCTTTGAAGGCAGAAAGTGTGCTGTAGGATGATAAAGCAGGAAGATAGAAGGAGCCTTGACTTCTGACAATTTCACTGAATGATTATACTAGTCCTGGGCTGCTAAACTTCGGGGCTTCATGTTATGTGAACAAATAAGCACCTAATTCGTTTAAACACTGTTATTTCAGCTTTCTGTTACTGGCAGCCAGAGGCAATTTTTAATTAATATACTCCCTTGTTACACATAAGCTCTGTGAAAGCTGAAAAGAAAATTTATACTTCTTTGTTTCCCCCTCAGTGATTAGGACAAAGCTTTGCCCAGAGTAGGAGCTCTAGAAGTATTTATAGAGTTATTTTCTTTAACAAACATCTATTGAGCTCCTAATATGTACCTGGTAATGTGCTAAGAGTGTGAAATAAAAGAATGTAAAACAAAAGCTCTTTTAACCAATCTCTACTTAACTATCATGATGGGTTAATCAATGTTCTTCTTTTCCCCTGTAAAAAGCATAAATGTTGGATGCCCTTGGCACTCCACTTACTCCTGAACAGTAGACTACTCTCTACTGTGCCAAGCACTTCTGCTCCCACAGGTTGGATTTTAAGCTTCCAAAAAGTCCATTTTATTTGTTCACAAGCCTAATTATGCCAGTTGCATTTATTATTGTAATTATATAATTATTATAAAACCAATAAAATATGAGTGTACAAAGAAATGGAGCTATTGTTTGTGTAGAAATTAAGCTGAATTCTCTGAAAAGATTAAATAAAGGTGAATCACTAAACAAATGCTGTCAAATTAGGTGGATATTACGTATATAGTGGTAAAACAACTTATAAGTATTTGCATTAGGACATTTTCCATTGCAAATACAAATAACCTATCTTAGATCCATTTAAGCTGAAAAGGTAATTTATTGGCTCATGTGGCCAGGAAGTCCAAGGAAGAATGGCCTTTCTGCATGGTGGGATTTGGGTGGCTTAACTATGTCATCATATATTGTCATCATTTTCCAGCTCACTCGTTGTTTTTGTTGGCTTTTTTTTTTTTTTTTTTAACTTGTTGACTTCATTCTATCCTACTACAGAAAGACTTTCTCTGTATGATGGACAAATTGACAGTAGGCAGCCTGAAACAGACCTCATTGTCACTCATGTTACCAAGGGAAGAGGATCTCTCTCCCAGGTTTAATTGGTCTGAATAGGTCCTGTAATCTTGGACTAATTGCAGGATAGTTCTTTGGGTGACCCTAGATCCCCCAGTTCTCCCCTATTCTACTTTTCCTTTTTAAGAATAACTGTAGAATGTGTTGGAAATGCAACAGCCTGAGATGAAGAAGGACTGGCTAGAAGAGCCTGGTCTCTGTTCCAGACCGTCTTAAGAAAAAGATTATCATTCAGTTCCTTAGCCCAGTGGGTCACGTGACCCTGAGGTATATAACCCAGGGGTAGGCTGCCTTTTGGGGGTCCCTCAGCTGTGGTGCAAGTGGGACATATGTAGAAAAAACTCCATCTGCACCAGGCAGCTTTCCCGAGCCTTCGGGGAATGCCTCACAATGGACCCTAGGCTTCTGTTGTCCCTTGCTGCCTGTGTGTAATAAATGCATTTCAGATAACTTGTTTTGTGTGTGGGCTTCTCTGTCACTTGACTCAGAAACGCTGATAACCAGTGCACAGTGAATCTGCTTCTCACTATTCAGTGTGAACAGTTTTGGGTCACCATGCCTCTCAGTTCTGATTTACTGTCATACCAGAACCATGGGGGTTGAGGCAAAGGTAGAGCAGCCCCAACTTCTCCACTGTGGCAGGGGTCTATTCTGGGGCAGGGCCTGAGAAACGGTACTTGTCTCTCTGTTTTTCTCTGTTTTCCTTAGGATGCTGGAACTATGTGGGGTTTTATTAGCCTCTTCTAGGCCCAGCAAAAGGCCACTTGACTGCACCTCGGAGGACTTGTGAGAGAGTCCTATAGTTCATGAACTGGCTTAAACTTTCTTAAAAAGTTACCCATTGTCGGCTGGGCGCGGTGGCTCACGCCTGTAATCCCAGCACTTTGGGAGGCTGAGGCAGGCGGATCACGAGGTCAGGAGATCGAGACCATTCTGGCTGGCACGGTGAAACCCTGTCTCTACTAAAAATACAAAAAAATAATTAGCCAGACGTCATGGCGGGCGCCTGTAGTCACAGTTACTCAGGAGGCTGAGGCAGGAGAATGGCGTGAACCCGGGAGGCGGAGCTTGCAGTGAGCCGAGATCGCGCCACTGCACTCCAGCCTGGGCGACAGAGCGAGACTCCGTCTCAAAAAAAAATAAATAAATAAATAAAAAGTTACTAATTGTTTCTGGATTTTAGCTTTCTGCACTGTAAAATGAAGACATTGGACTTGACATTCTTTAGGATCGCTTTGAATCCTAAAATTCTACAACTATGACTCTACACTTTTGCTCATGCCGTAAATCCTGCTCAAGGAATATTTTTACCCTTGCAAAATTTAAATGTGTAAACTCTACTTTTGATAAATAGCCTGGTGCTCTGTATCAATCTAGAGACTCTAGGAAACGTTTTTTGTTTTGTTTTGTTTTATTTACTGGATATTTTCAGTACTTTAATTTGAGAAAAGTAGTGACTCCTTTATAGCAAAACCTATGTTTTTCTAAATAAATTCAAATTAAATAGAAAAAAGAGATCATTAAAGAAGGAATAATTGCAGGAAATGACAGCAGGCATATTGGCAGGTGGCGGAAGGAACCTAAGGGTATGGAGAGTCTTGAACAAACATCAACCCATCCCTTTTAGAGAGGATAACATTTGTTCATCCAAAGACACTCAATTTGAACATTGGGCTTTTTTGAAATAATAGAAGATAAATTAATATTATGTGCTTTATGGCAGGCACTGTGCTAAGATGTATGATGTGTCTTTTCTCTTTATTTCAAATGGCAACTTCATAGGGGTAGGTTTTGTTATTAGGCCCACACAGATGAGAGGAGAAGGCCTTGGGTAAGTAAGTAGCTCAAGGTCTATTAAGTAATAAACAGTAAAGGTGAGATTCACATTCAGGGAGCCTGACTCCAGAGGATGGCTTCAACTCAGAATGACTTTGTGGTTTACATTTTTTTTTTTTTTTAAGAGACAGGACCTTGCTTTGTTGCCCAGGCTAAAGTGTAGTGGCACAAATACGGCTCATGGCAACCTCAACCTCCTGGGCTCAAACGATCTTCCTGCCTCAGCTTCCCAAGTAGCTGGGATTACAGCCATATGCCACCACACTCAGCTAATTTTTAATTTTTTTTTTGTAGTGACTGGGTCTCACTGTGTTGCCCAGGCTGTTCTCAAACTCCTGGGATTAAGCAGTCCTCCCATGTTGGTCTTCCAAAGTGCTTGGATTATAAGCATGAATCACTGCACCCAGCCTAGATTCTTTTTTATTACATTTTTTCCTTCCTTCCTAAAAATGTAATTTATTACATTTTTTCCTTGTTTTCCTCTGCCTCCTTGTTTCCTCTGGTAAGTAGTCTAAGTTCATCCCATTGAAAGGAGTACCTTGAGGCACACACATGGTTAGAATGCTAAGCAAGAAATCCCTAAAGGACTGTGACTACTTTGTGATAGTTAAAGAAAATAAATGAGTTTGCTTAAGGGTTTTCCAGCCAACAGAAAAATAAAGACGATCTTGTTGATGACTAAATAGTCTTTTTAGAATTTATTAATATTTATTATTGGAAGCTATTTTAAAAGAAGAGGGAAAAAATTATCCATGTTGCTTGCTCTATCCTGTAAGGTCCATCTGCTATTTCTCAGGTATAGATGCCAAATTACACAATTAAAATAACACATACAAAGGGCTGTTCCTTTCATAAGTTGAAAATCTGTCTGATTTTTCACACTCTCACAAAATCAATGTCTAGAGAAAGATTTTATAAATAAATATGTCCTATGTTGCTGCTGCTTCAAGTTATGATTAAATTAGTCCTCTCATGTGGAAGTTTAAAAAACTTCCCAGGTAAGATTCTACAGACAATAAGATCTAAGTCTTCCCCAGAGATGGACATTTAAGCATTTTCTTTGGTACAGCAGCAAGTCTCTTTCTCTCCTGTTAATCCCATAACTTGTTTTCTTCTTTTAAGATTCCACAGTCTCAAGACGATCTCCCACAAATCCAGCTTTTCTCCCTTTTCTGGGCCACTTTCTATTGTTACACAATATATGGTAATGATTTGTTTCACTACACAGGGACTGTGAGCTCCTTGAGAAGAGGGTCTGCTTGTTCATCTCCCTCCTGAGTGTCCAGCCCCGTACCTGGTATGGGGAAAGTGCTTCACTGTTGTTTGTTGCATAGAAATGATTCTGGGTTCAGAGCTTTCCTCCAGGATGAGAAAGGGCAGAATAACATGTAAGCAATGGTGTGGCCATCGGTCAGAATTCAGAACTAATCTTAGGAGCCAAATAAGAAAGAATGACTATATTTAAATCAATGAATTATCTTGGTTTAGCTAGACTTCATTTATAAACCATTTTCCTGATAGGAAAGCTCCTGAAGGCATTGTCCAAACCACTGTTGTTACTCATTCCCTTCATTTTGTGGTTCAGGCATTTTGAAAATGTGGGGGTAGGAGCAGAAGAAATTAAATTTCATACAAATATGGAAAGAATGGATTTTTGTTATCTTTGTTTGAAGTGATATGTTTGGCTAGTTAGTACAGAATTGAAAAGATTCAAGAGAGTGAGCCAAGTAACACTGATTTTGACATTTTTAATTCAAAGCAATTCTTTAAGCATTGTGCTGTGAACAACCTTAAGAACAGATATGCACCCTCTCCCTCCTTGTTATTTCAGGGCTTAGAATTCATGTCCCACATGTGCAGCTTTATATCATAAAACACTAGTTAAGAAATATTTTCCAGGCCTTATATTACCTAGTGATATACTTGAATCTAATATAAATGTCAAGATAAAAGAAGTTTTCTGTTCTGCTTTGTTTTGTAAATTTCAAATGCTATTACAATAAATACCAGGAAGCAACCAATTTTCTGAAGTAACAGCTTTGTTATCAAATATATTTTCTCTTGATTAACTACCTATTTAATCAACTAAGTTCTGTCTCTGTTATCCACTAATTGATTAATCTCAGGTAAGTAATTTAACCTCTCCAAGCCTCTGTTCCCTTGTTTATTATATGAGATTCTTATGTGATGGCATGAAAGCATATATAAATCCATGGCATAGCACATAAAAATATATTAGAAACTCAATCAGTGCTACTTTTTCTCTCATAAGAAGAAAAAATACTTGAGATGATTACTATGTCACCTCTCAGCCTTCACCCTTTTGGCTAAACAATTCCTTTTAAATATTCTGAATCTCCACAACTATCATTCTTATTATGCTATTCTGTCTTGAACTGTTTTTCCTAGTCACTGTGAAATTGCATGATCAAAAAGAAATTAAGACAGAGTTTTCAGTCTTCATAATGACTCAGCTCCTTGTTACCACAATTTAAATAAAATAAATGGCACAGTTGGCCACATTTTAAGCAAGTTATTTAGTGTTGGCTACAGGTACAGCCTTTGGGAGAACCGAGAAAACTACTTTTTTTTCTAAACAACAATAACAAAAAAATGTATTGCCTAAGTTGTACATTCAAGTCACTTAGGTAACTTTTTATGCCTTCCCCTAAATTTGGAGTAAGCAGAGGGTCTAGAAGTGTTGAGTCAAGCCTAGAAAAAAGATGTTCTCCCTAGCCTCTGGCTTGTAATAGAGGGGGCATGAGAATATGTGTAGAGACCAAATCTACAACCAGCCCTTTCACCCAATCAAAACACCAGTGACAACGATAATGGTTTAACACCTTATTCTACCTCAAAGATGCTCCATTCAGTCGGCAGCTCCGTAGAGGCTGTCAACAGGCACGTTCAGTTTATCTCTACGTTTGTTGGTATGTTGTAAAATAAGAGGGAATCACTCTGAGACACAACACTTTAGTGAATAGCATTGTGTGGGTAGTCTCTAAATTGATTTTTTTTTTTTTGAGCCCATCTTTGCTCTTTTCTAGCCTGCAGATGAGTTCTGTGTTTTTAGCAGATTTGTGTTAACTTGAGAATTAACTTTAAGTTCAGGGAGTTGTGAGTGAACTTAACATTTATGCTGAGTGCCAACCCTTCCTACAGGGAAATTAATATTGTGTCAGTTATTGCCATATCCCAAATTAAGAGGGAGATAGTATGTGTCAAGAAATAAGAGCAGCTAATAAAAATTAGCATTAATTGACTGATTACCATGTGCCAGGTATGATTTTGATCTCTTCACATCTCTTCTATAACTGAATCCCCAACAACCCCTAATTAACATTATTCCCATTTCAAATGTGAGAAAATTAAGAACAGAGAATTTAAATAATTTTCTCAAAGTTTCATAGTGATTAAGTGGTGGAGTTACAGTTGAAACCTGAGTACGCAGTCTAACTTCTTTTCTTTGGCAACATCAAATATTCTGTATATTTTTTACTGTAGGGGTCTTAGTCTTAATGTGCTAACTTAAGCCATCCAGTAGATTGTCACAAGAAAAAATCCTCCAAGATCTCTATGACTTAGTTCTTTTTTTTATTTTTTTATTATTATTACACTTTAAGTTTTAGGGTACATGTGTGCAATATGCAGGTTTGTTACATATGTATACATGTGCTATGTTGGTGTGCTGCACCCATTAACTCGTCATTTAACATTAGGAATATCTCCTAATGCTATCCCTCCCCCCTCCCCCCACCCCACAGCAGGCCCCGGAGTGTGATGTTCCCCTTCCTGTGCCCATGTGTTCTCATTGTTCAGTTCCCACCTATGAGTGAGAACATGCGGTATTTGGTTTTTTGTCCTTGCGATAGTTTGCTGAGAATGATGGTTTCCAGTTTCATCCATGTCCCTACAAAGGACATGAACTCATCCTTTTTTATGGCTGGATGTTATTCCATGGTGTATATGTGCCACATTTTCTTAATCCAGTCTATCGTTGTTGGACACTTGGGTTGGTTCCAAGTCTTTGCTATTGTGAATAGTGCCGCAATAAACATATGTGTGCATGTGTCTTTATAGCAGCATGATTTATAATCCTTTGGGTATATTCTAACATAGCTTTCCCTATGTATCTTGATATAAATCTTTTACAAATTGGATGATTTATCCAAATTGGGTTGCTGACTTTTTCTCAAATCAGTGCTAGGCCTTTTTGTATTCATTCCTTTTCTTTTTTTTTTTTTTTTATTTATTTTTTTTCTTTTGTTTTGAGACGGCTCACTCTGTCGCCCAGGCTGGAGGGCAGTGGCACGATCGATCTCGGCTCACTGCAAGCTCCGCCTCCTGGGTTCACGCCACTCTCCTGCCTCAGCCTCCTGAGTAGCTGGGACTACAGGCACCTCATTCCTTTTCTAATTGTTTTGCTCTCTTTTATATATTTTTGCCTTTTGTCTGTACCAGCACAGCTTCTGTCCTTATCTCCAAGCCCATTCCAGGTGTAGATGCTCACTCGTATGAACTCTTTTTGGGTCTGTCTTTCCAGATGAAATCAATTTCTCTTCTTTCACTTTGCTTGGACCTCTCTTGCATCTGCCATTTGTCCTTATTTGTGCTCCTGTATCATGTGCTTTACCAGATTATAAGTTCTTTAAAGCTAGTAGTATCCCTTAGACATACTACGTATGTGTCACAATAAATGTGACAGAGGTCATAAGAGAACAGCAGATAACCTTGCCCTCCCATTTCAATGCCAGAGAAACAAAACCACATCCTAACGTGGATAGGTCAGAGCAGCAGAGCCTTGCTTTTGTTCAGGTGCATTTCTCCGTCCAGGGAGGGCTGTTTCTGTTTCCTACAGCAGACCTCAGGGACACAGTCTACTCTCTTCTCTTTAAGGTTACCACCACTCTATCTGTTGGTAGCTATAGGAGGGCGGATCTTCTGCACAAAAGACTGTAGAGAAGGAATGTCATCTCCCTAGACATTGTCTTCTTTGCTTCACCCAAAGACAAGCTCACAGGATCCTTTTCCCTATAAAGGTTTTCCTGCTCATTGGTCTGGAGAATACAGGAGGTAAAAGAAAAAAACTCGAAGAAATTAAAAAGCTTAAGTAGTCTGTTGCAACATTATTAGTGTGATCCCTGGTGGGTTGTTCCTCTCTCTTGCTAAGATAGAGACTCAAAGTTACTTTAAACTTTTCTCAACTCTGTTCTTAGGGGAGTGTTCCCTGAGAGCAATAATCATGGCAGAAATTAGACATCCATTCAGGAGCCCATGCAAAATACATCCAGGAACGTAGGAAGGCACGGTGGCTAGAGCACATTTTTGGGGTTAGCCAACTGATGTTTGAATCCTAGTTCTGTCACTCTATATCTCTGTGACACCGGGAAATGTATTTAATGACTCTATGACTCAGGTTTCTTATTTGCAAAAAGAAGATAATATTGTATTTACATCACAGGGTTGTGGGAAGTGTAAATGAGACACTGGGTAGACATTGCCACACTTTGCCATTATCTGGTTTGCTTTCCCCATGTCCTTGAGGCCAGGAGTGGTCACATGACACAGCCAATGGAATATGAGTGTAGATAATCTGTCACTTCTAAGTAGAAATAGTTCATTGCTAGTGCTGGACTTTGCAGTCTGCCCTTCGCTACACAATGATTGTGGAGGCTCATATTGGTGTGCTGGTGACATGAAGTTAAAGAAGCCTGGAGGACGAAGTCATCACGTGGGCAGCTGCTCTGGAGAGCCAGCCATGCCTGGAAGAGACTCCATATGAGCAGAAAATAAAACCTTCGTTGTCTTTAGCTTCTGATATTATGAGTTTATGTTATCACAGCATAAACCTAGTCTATGACTAATACAGTGCTTAATGGAGTCTATGACAGAGTAAACTTAAAACCTTTAAAAATTGATACTTTTAGAAATGGATAATTTGCATTTCCTGGGACTCCTAGATTGCGAAGTACCTATGTTAATGGGATTCAAGCCAATCCCACATGGAAATATTTCTTCATGTTTAGCATTGACATGCTTCCATGAAAATTCTCCCTTCTATAGCCCGTTAGCATTAAATAACATATCCCCATGTAAAATTTACCTGCAGAGAATTTCTTTACTTCAGTAACATCAATAGAAACCTTTCAGGGTAAACCTTTTTATAAGAAGACAAAAGTTAATTTTTCCTGGCAGACAAAGGCTAATGACCACTAATGGCCCTCTTTGCCAGATCTCTTCTGGCAATATCATTCCATGCACTTGGAAATGTAGATTTTTCTTTCTTCTTTCTCCCTGTGAAGAAGTCATTATATGTCTAATTAAACTTTAGTAAATAACGTGTTTTATTCCTCTAGTAGTCGAAAGGGATTTTTTTTAATCCCACAGAGTTCACAATTCATATAAGCCAATGGATTTCATGACTGGAGTTGGGTTATTCTTTCAAATGAGCAGTAGGGGTGTTAATTCCATGATAAGTGAGGTTTAGATGGAAGACTACTGTCTACTGATCAGTCTCAAGTTGTAACTCTGATTATAGCACACGCTTGCTGTGTGACCCTGCTCAAGTTTCTTCTTTGAGTTTCCTGGAGTTTTTTCTCACTGGATTATAAAAAGTTTTCAACATTGTGTGGACTTTAACTCTTTACCTCTTACATTTGTTGCAATCTTCCGCATCCATGTGCGCATACCCTGACATTTCCTTTCTAATGATATTTATGTATTTGTAGATACGAATCTCATTTCACATCCTAGCTCTGCCTCTGCCAATATATGTAACACAAGACTAGCTATTTATAAGCTGTCTGAATCTGTGTTCCCTTATTTACAAAATGAGAATAATAATACCTAACCCACTAGATTTATGGTGAAGGTGCATGGGATAATACTGAAAATTAGCTGGTACATAGCAAGAGGTTAATGCATAGTAGTTTATCTTCTTGCTTCATATATTTCTTGGCATATCAAGATTCACGACCACCATATTCCATATTCCATATGATATCCAAAAAGAAAGGAAAGGAAATAAAGATTCCAAGGTTATTTCAGTGAAAAAAATACTGTGTTATTTCTCATTTCAGAAAACTTAGGTAAACTCCCTTGCCTTCGCTATATATATTTTTCACTTTTTTGAAAGTGTCTTGAAGTTTGCAGTTAACAT
Organism: Homo sapiens; assembly: GCF_000001405.40. Classification (NCBI taxonomy): domain Eukaryota; kingdom Metazoa; phylum Chordata; class Mammalia; order Primates; family Hominidae; genus Homo; species Homo sapiens. The sequence continues at coordinate 117,374,909 of NC_000008.11, read as the reverse complement.
GAACTCTATTAGCTGAAATCAGGACTTTTATACATCAAAATGCCAGTTCTCAAGGCAGTGCAATTAATTTTTATTAGTAGTAACACTAATATTTACTGAGAATAAATTATGTGCCACATACTGTTCTAAGTATATTATGTACAAAATATATTTATACATAATACGTACAAAACATATACTAATACATAGACTTGTTTAGAGAATTAGAGTGTATAATACACACCACCCACACAGCTTTATAATACAGATATTATTTCCATTGTATCAGTCCAGCTTCAGTCAGGAGAGTTATTCTACAGAGAAAATTTAATATAAGGTATCAAGGCAAAATGTGACAGGGAGGTATCCCAGAGGAAGTAACTGCACCTGTAAGCCTGCAGAGAAGAGAAAAGGGAAGAAGTTGGAATTATAGAAACCTAAGAACATGAAGGAGGAACCTTGTGGATTCAGGACTCTGACCTCTGAGGAAGGGGTGCTGCTTGCAGTTGCATTTGCATTCCTGAGCACATGCAGCGATGCTGGTTCTAGGGTTAGAGAGAACTACACATTGGAAGTAATGCTGCTGGCACAAGCTGTAATTAACAAACCATTGCTACAGTGACATGGTGGGAACAAGAAGCAAAATAGAAATGAGTGCTTCTTCCTCTTCCAGCCTTCAAGTCTTTCTTCCAGCATCCCTATGAGCAGATCCTAAGCAAGATGCAGCTGGTAAAGGAGAAATGTGTTTTACAGAGGTCCAACTCCAGCATCAGAAAACAGCAGAGAAGCATAGGTTTGATGCTGAGATATAATATCTTAATAACCAATACCGTCTACCCCTTTGGCTATTCATAATCTGTATACACCCTTCTACATATACTTAAATTTCAGTAAAACAACAAAAATCTCTTTGTACAAAGATGACCTCTTCTATCCAAAGTGGGGAGAGGAGAAGTTCCAATAGTTATAGTATGTGTTTCTGGAAGACTGTCGCAGTAACCATCTCTGAGGTTCTGAAAAGCAAGCAAGGTAACTTCCATTGGTTTGTGTGGAAGCATCCACATGTAATTTAAAAGATTTAGTGGACTATGATAGAAAGAAAAGTTTTCCTTCATAGTAATTCTTCTTATCCCATTGACTGGTAAATGGCTTAAAAAGCTTGGTGAAGTTCTCAAGGTATTGATTTTCAAACTTATTTTCAGCTGCATTTTGCCTCCAACATTAGTTTATTTTCCCTTCCCCTCCCCCTTTCTCTTCTCCTCTTCTCTCATCTCTCCTTTCTTCTCCTTTTTCCTTTTCTTTCCTCTCCTGTCCTCTTCTCTACTCTCTTCACCTTCCCCTCTCCTCTTTATTCTGATCCTTCCTTCTTTCCTTGTTTCTTTCTTTTTTCAAATATCCCTTTTGTTATATTTGTGTATCCTTTTAATAAACTTGAAATTATTTTCTGAAAAAAGTTAATATGTAAATAGATACAGAAAACACATTTTTTTCCATTTTTCCCATAAAGGTTCTGTGTTTGCATGCTTACCAACTGATATAAAAAATGTTTGCCTCACTCTACTTGTATCAATAACATTGTTTTTACTTCTTTGCTTATATAATGTGTAAAGAAATAATATCTCCTAATTTATATTACTTTGATTAGTAACTTAAATGCTTTTTCACACAGAATCTATTTTTTCCTCTTCTAAGAAATTTTTTTATCTTCTTAACCTTTATTTTGTCGTCTTCTTCTGAGATCCTTGATGGATTGTTGTTATAATTTTTATTAGTTATGTATTAGAAACATATTAATTATATCACAGTTGGAATTTCCCCCCCCCCAAAGTTTATTTCTCTTATAATTATGTTTCTGCTATTAAATTTAAATCTTGGGTCAATCAAAGCAGTTGGAATTTTAAGCTATTGCTGACGTCAATGGAAGGATATAGACTAGTTTAGACATTATCAACAAGGTACGCACCTTGTGCTGAAGATTGTCAACATGCTGCTAATAGACACGTTAACCTTTGAGATACAGTTTTCTAAGCTTTTGGTCTATCAGTGGATAGTATTTACTGTATAAAGGGAAGCCTACATATGACTATATGGCTTCATCTTTTAGAGTGATAACATAGCAACAGCTTTGTTAGTTTGCAGGAACCAGAAACAGATTGAATTCTTGGCACGCTGTAAGAAAGAGGTTTCACAAACTCTGCTGGTTATGGTACTCCCTGTGTTGTAAATGTTACTGGAGACAGACCCTGTGACTGAGGCTTTCCCCTCTGTGAACAACATATCACTGAGCAACAACTATCTTCTCACAGGTCTGACAGAGACAGAAAAACATGCCAAGGTGAAGACACTAAGAAAGAGGGTCACTAAACACTGCCAAATTGCTTTCTTCTCAAAATGGAACACTTAGCACAAGCAATAAAAAAATTAGCAAACATGCATGTCACCAGTTTGCTCTTATTATTGAAAATGAGGAAATGTATAAGAAGGCTGTCCACAAAAATCAAATGTCTATTTCATTGCTTGCCTAGATATTAGCAGAGGTGAAAATGGATACACAGATTCCAGATAGAGGTCAGGTCAGTCCTGAACAACATTGAAAGATGAACTAAGGTGGTTTGATTTCCCTGTAAGTGACCTCATTGATAATTAGGGATGCCTATGCCATGCTCACTCAGAGGCTACCCCTTTCCAGTAATATTGTATATGTACCTATCATCAGTCATTCACTTATTATCCAAGAATTCACTATCTATCTTTTCCAGGTATAGAGGATTTAGTATTATATATGTTGTCAGTGTCAGAAAGTGAATGCAAACTCTTTTCTCATAGATATTTATGACTTTTGTAACTTGGAGGGCAAAGGAGTGAAATTGGCTTTAAGCAAAAGGGAATTCTAAAGTTAAATTATGCCACCAAGATCCTCTCTTCCATTCTGTTTCTCTCAGGTCATCTTACTCCTTACAGGTTTTCATTTCAGGAAACCTCTCTCTACATGTCGCGAAGGAGACTCATGGCAGTTTCTGGCTTACGTGGGCCATTCAAATTTTAATAACATAAGGTGATAAACTGTCTCCAAATGGCCAAATCCCTTAAACAGGGAAATATGAGTCTGTGTGATGGAGATACTATCTCAGAAGCAGTAGCAGGAGTTTCCAAAAGGAATTCATTAAACAGAAAAAAAAAAAAAAAGACTATATATTTTCACAACTTTAAAAGAAGACTCTTCTTTATGCACAACAAGAATGTAGTCGGACAGGAAAAATAAAGCATAAATAGCTATTATATAATCAAATATAGTGTTGTGATAGAAATATTTTCAACGAACTAGAGGCAATTCTGTATCTGGTATGGCAGAGTAAGCCCCATCATGGTCTACATTCCTATGAATGGCAATTCTAAACTCTGAACAAAACATAAAAATATTTGTAGAAACTAGGGAGTGAACAAAATAAGACAGACTGTAAATAAGTGCCAAAACTTGCCAGAAGGAAAAAGAATGAGGTGCATTTTTTCATTATTGCAGGTATTAGTCTGAAAGTAGGCTAAAGCCTAAAACTCCAACAGAAAAGAGACAGACTTTCTGAACTAAAGAACCAGAGAACAGAGTTCAGGGAAATTACCTTTGCTGAAAACTGAGGTAGGTAAGGATTCAGAAAAAAAAAAAAAAGAACAAGAGAGTGAGCCCCACATTTTGGAAATAAATTCTGCCCAAATTTCTAGATAACCAAGGAACCACACATACGTGGGCAGAATCAAAGCAGTCCAGCTAGAGATAAGGGCACTGAATTGAGATCTGAGCTGTTCCCAAAAAGATTTTTTTGTAACTTGAATTCAACCAAGTTAACTGTCTACTAAAAGAAAGAGCCCATTCTTTGGAAGAATATAACAGAATCTATAATATCGCCTTTCGGGATATAATAAGAAGTTACTCGACATTTGAAGAACTAGGAAAATGTGATCCACTCTCAAGAGAATAAACAATCTACTAAGACCAACTGTAATTAGATTATATGGGTTTTAAAGCAGCTATGTATGATGATGTAAAAGAAATATTTTTTGGGTGGACTTAAAAACTGAATGGAAATGGCAAAGGAAAAGAGTCTGGAGATAAGAGAGCCTCATAAAACTGTAAGACAATGTCTAAAATCTAATGTGTATATAATTGTAATTGCTGAGGATAAAAGATATACAATGGAACAGAAGAAATTGAGATCACAAAAGCACAAGGAACAAACACACAAAAAATAAGACTTCATCAAAATTAAAAACTCTTGTGCATCAAAGGACCTTATAAAGATAGTGAAAAGGCAACCAATAGAATGGGAGAAATATTTGCAAATAATATATCTATTAAAGGTCTAATATCCAGAATATATAAGGTATTCTTACAACTCAACAACAAAAAGACCATAATTCAATTTAAAATGGTCAAGATACTTGAAAGATATTTCTCTAAAAAGGTATTCAAATGGCCAAGAAGCACATGAAAAATAATGCTTGGTATCATTAGTTATAAGAGAAATACAAATTAAAACTACAAAAAGATACAATTTCACATTCACTAAGATGGCTATTTAAAAGAAAACAAAAAAAAATGTGTTGGTGAGGATGTGGAAAAATTGGGACCTTATATATTGCTGGAGGGAACATCAAATGGTGCAGCCACTGAGGAAAAGAATTAAAAAGAGGTATTTAAACAGATATTTGCACATGAATGCTTGCATATGAATGCTCACAGAAGCATTAGTCACAATAGCCAAAAGGTGAAAACAAGTCAAATGTCCACCAGTGGATGAATGAGCAAGCAAACTGTGATATAGACATATAATGGAATATTTTTTGGCAAAAAGAACTAAGTACTGACACATACTATTAAATACAACATGGACTAACCTTGGAAACATTATGCTAAGCAAAAGAAGACAAGCATGAAAGGTCATATATTATACAATTTTATTTATATAAAATATCTGAAATAGATAAACCCATAGAGACAGAAAGCATACTGGTGGTTGTCAGGGGTTGGATGGAGAAAGGGTGGAGAGTGGTTACTTAATGGGTACAGGCTCTTCTTTGGGGTAATGAAAACATTTTTGAGCTAGAGACCACAGTTGCACAACCTTGTGAATGTATTAGATACCACCAATTGTGTATTTTAAACTATACAATAAGCTTTAAAATAATTGTATATTTTTTAAAATAGTTAATTTTTGTTGTATATATAATGCCTTGATAAAATTTTGAAGAATGGATGGTGTACATTTTTTTCAAATTTGGCCATAGACATAAATATGGTAACTAAAGGAGGTTAGTGAGCCCTTGGCAGAATAATTATAAAGAAAACTATGCCTAAGAACATTATACTCAAAGTGCTAAAAACATGAAATGGTGGAAACTTGAAAAACAAATAAATAAAACAAAGTGTTAAAAACAAAAATGAAAGGAAAATCTAAAAAACAGCTATAGAAAAACAACATATAATGTATAGGGAAACAATAATTCAAAAGACTTCTGAATACTCATCAGAAACTAGCGAGGCCATAAGACAGAAGATAAACGTCTTTAAAGCTAAGAGAAAAACAAAACTTTCAACCCAGAAATTTATATCCCATGAAAATAACCTTCAAGAATGAAGGCAAAGTAAAACTCCTTTCAGATGAAACAAAAAGAAGAATATTCATTGACAGTAGTTGGAGATTACAAGGGATGCTAAAAGAAATTCTTCAGGCTGTAGGCAAATGATACTTGAAAAAAGTTGAGGTCTTTTGCAAACAACAAAAAGCACTGGAAATGATAAATATTGTAAAATATATTCTTCATATTAATTTCTTTAAAGTACATTTGACTGTTGAAAGCAGAAATTAGTTTTTAGTTTCATGATAGAAGTATATGTAGTACATATGATTACTGTAGCATAAGAAACAGGCTTGGGGGGGTAAACAGGTGTATACAATTGTAAGATTTTCACATTTTACATGAAGGGTACAATATTAACTAAAATGTACTGTGAAAAGTCAAGGTTATTTATTGTAATCCACTAGAGTACCAAATTTAAGAAATTACAAAGAGACATAACCAAAAAGCTAGCAACAAAATTGAAATGAAAATTTTAATGAAATATTAATTAATCTAAAAGAAGTCAAGAAATAAAGAACAGAGATAAAATGGAGATGAACAAATAATAGAAAGGTAGGCCTAAATAAAATAACATTAATAATTAATTAGTGTGAAGCAAACAACTAAAAAGCAGAAATTATCAAAATAGGAATAAAAACAATTTCATACCCTCAGCTACATATTGTATAATAACACAATTTATATATACAATGATAAGTTGAAAATAAATGAGTGGAAAAATAATGTACAAACAGCAAACACAAAGAGTGTTGGCTGCCATATTAATGTCAAATAAAAGAAAAACTTCAAGATAAATGGTGTTGCCAGAAATAGACGCATTCCACATTATTAAGAGTCAATTTATCATGAAGACACAGCAACTCTAAATGAAGGTTCACTTAATAACTTCAAAATAAATGAAGCAAAAATTAACAGAATTAAAGGGAAAAATAAATTTCAAATAATATTTGGAAATGTTAACACTTGTCTCTTAGCAATTGATTAAAAAACTAAACAAAACATATTAGTAAAGATATAGATAATCTGACAAACACTATAAACTACCTTGGTCTAATTGATGTTTATAGTACAACACACCCAAGATATACAGAATACACATTCTCTTCCAAGTGCACGTGACACATTCAACAAGATAGACCATAAAAATAATTTCAAATCAACAAGATAGACCATAAAAACAAATTCAACAAATCTTTAGTTAGGTAGATTATACAGAGTAACTTATCTGATTATGCAATTGAAATATAACAATCTAGAAGACTCTAAACATTTGAAAATTAAACACACATCTAAATAATACAGGTCAATAAAGCATAAAATAATTATTTTGAGCTGGATAATAAAAATACAACAAATTAAAATTTTTTAGATATGTAAAAAATAAATGCCTATATTAGAAACTAAAGGTCTAAAATCCATTACTTAAGTTTTATTTTAAGAAACAACAAAAAGAAAAGCAAAGTAAACACAAAGATTTTCTAATAAATATTAGATTAAATGTCAATGAAAGAGAAATCAGAGAAATGAGGAAAAATTAAATGAAGAGATGATTCTTTGAAAAGATGAGCAAAATTGATAGACTGATAGAGGAAAAAAGATTAAGAACATAAAGTAGTAATATCAGGAATGAAAGAGGGATTATCATTGCAGATTCTACAAATATTAAGTGAACAGTAAGAATATTATAAACAAACTTAGGTCAAAATTTAATTAAAACAAACACATTCCTTGAAAATAAAGCTTACCAAAACTGACACAAGATAAAACAGAAAATATCAATAGTTCTACCTCTGTTAAAGAAGTTGAATTTGCTGTTAACAATCTTCACATGAAGAAAATTCCTGGGCCAGGTGGGTTTCTAGTGAATGCTATCAAATATTTAAGGAATAATTATTACCAATTTTATGCAATCTCTTTCAGAAAGTAGAAAAAGAATACTTCCAAACTTCTTTTGAGGCCTTCAAAACTCTATTCAAAACCCAGCAAAGAAATTACAAAACAAATACATAAATGAAACTACAGATCAATATCGCTCTTGAACATGGATACAGAAATCCTTAGCAAAATATCAATTCTAGCCCTATATAAAAAGGATTTTATATCATGACCAAGTGGGGTTTATCCTAGAAATGCAAGGTTAGTATAACATTTGAAAGTCAGTCAGTTTAATTCATCATAACAATAGAATAAAAGAAAAAAATCATGTGATAATTTTAGTTGATGCAGAAAAAAGTATTTGATGAAATTTAACACTGTTAAAAGAACAACTTTAGACAAGTTATATTTAACAGAGTTTAATTGAACAAAGAACAATTCACAAATCAGGCAGCCCCTGAAACCAGAATAGTTTCAGAGAGACTCTGCACTGCCACATAGCCAGAGAGCATTTATGGATAGAAAATGCAAAGTGATGTACAGAAAATGGACGTGTGGTACAGAAACTGCTGAATTGGTTACAGGTCGGTGTTTGCCTTATTTAAACAGGGTTTGAAAAGTTGGTCGCCTTTGATTGAATGAAGCTCAGAGATTGGTATAAGGGTAGGCTATAGTCTGTTTACACATCCAGTTAGGTCACAGTTCACTGTGTATGGAGAAACTTGTAGAGTGAACTTAAAATGTGTAAGGTGGCAACTTTAGGCTAAACTTGATTTAATAACATTGTTTCTGATTAAAAAAAATTTAAACTAGAAATAAATGAAAACTTCCTCACTCTGATAAGGGGTATCAAAAAACACCTACAGCTAACATATCACTTAGCAGTGAAACATTGAATGATTTCTTTCCAAAATCAGGAATAAGGCAAGGAATTCCTAGCTCACTGCTGGTATTATTAAGCACTGAAATCAGAAAAATTAATTTCAGCTATAAATTTTAGAGCAAGAAATACAACCCTCTATTTGCTGCTGATATCGTTGTCTACATGGAATATTCTAAGGACTTTGAAAAATAATAGAATTAATAAGTAAATTTAGCAACGTCACTGCATTCGACGTTAGTATAAATAAAAATTGTGGGTTTATATACTATAAAAAAATTAGAAAACAAAATTTAAAAATTAAAAATTTTTTTTCAAAATAGTATCTAAACTATTTTCAAAATAGTATCTATTTTCAAAATAGCATCTAAACTAGTACTCTTTTTTCAAAATGGTATCATTTTAAAAAATGAAGACTTGTACTTTTTTACTGTGGTTAGGTATACCTAATGAAAAAATTTGCTACTTTTTAATTCTGGTTCAATAGACATAATGACAAATTTTCTGTTTTAATCATTGTATGTATATAGTTTATTGGCATTAAGTGCATTCACACTGTTGTGCAACCATCTTCACTGTTCGTCTCTAGAACATTTTCATCATCACAAACTCTGTACCAATTAGACAATAACTCCCCATTTTCTCCCTCCCTCTACCCCCCGAAAACCATTGTTTGATTTTCTGTCTCTATAAATTTGGATGCCCTAGGTACCTCATAAAAGTGGAATCACATAATATTTGCCCTTTGTGACTGGCTTATTTCACTTGGCATAATGTCCTCAAGGTTCACCCTTGTGTAGCATGTGTCAGAATTTCCTTTCAAGGCTGAATAATATTCCATGTGAGTGCTGCTTTATCACCTCCATTGGAACCTTCCAGAAAAAAATGTGGTATTCTCTACTCTCCAAGACAGCCATCCCACTACTCTCAAGTCTGACTGTTAAGATAATCTTGGGTTGAACAGCAGTGATCTTGCCATTACTGCTAATTGATTTGCCCTTTCATCACTAATTTATTTCACTTAGCATAATGTCTTCAAGGTTCATTCATATTGCAGCATATGTCAAAATTTTCTTCCTTTTTAAAGCTGAATGATATAGACCTATATTTTTAAAACTGCAAAAAATTTGCTGAGTGAAATTGCAAAGCTGCTAAGTTAGTGGATAGGTATCCTGTATTATTGAACTGGAAGATTGAGTATTTTAAAGTTGGCAATATTCCCCAGAATGATCTATAGAATCAATGAGTTTCAAGATTGCTGAAGGTGTTTTATTAGAAATTGACACCAGCTTATCCTGAAATATATAGGTAAAGGACCTAGAACCTCCAAGGAAATCTTGGAAGAACAAAATTGAAGGACCTTTCACTATCCATCTTTAAGACTTATTGTACAGCTCAAATAATCAAGAAAATATGGTACTAGCATTCAGGATTCATTATTAGGTCAACACAACTGGCAGTAAAACGTCCAGACATAGACACTTACATGGTCATATAATTTTCAACAAAAGCATCAAAACAATCTAATGGAAAAGGAAAATTTTTTCAACAAATATTGCTGGAAAAACAGGATATTCATATGGAAAAAAAAGAGCCTTGCCATGATGATTCTCATATCATACACACATATGCACAAATTAAAAATGGATCACCAGGTTGGGCACAGTGGCTCACGTCTATAATCCCAGCACTTTGAGAGGCCAAGGCAAGAGGATTGCTTGCACCCAGGAGTTTGAGAACAGCCTGAGTAATAGAGTGAGACCTTGTCTCTCCAAAAAAACTTTTAAAAAAATTAGCCTAGCATGGTGGTGCTCCTGTAGTACTAGCTACTCGGGAGGCTGAGGTGGGAGGATCACTTGAGCCTAGGAGACGGAGGTTACAGTGAACCTTGATGGCACCACTGCACTCCAGCCTGGGCAACAGAGAGAAACCTTGTCTCAAAACAAAACAAAAGGATTACCAAACCCAACCATAAAGCTTTTAGAGGAGAACAGGAGCCATCTCCCTTGATAACTTGGCAGCAGGCAAAGCTTTCTTAGACAGATTACAGAAAAACCATAAAAGAAAAAATAATAAATTAGACTTCATAAGCAAACAAATGACAAAAGCAAAAACTTCCACTCACAAGACACTATGAAAGAACTGAATAGGCAGTAGAAATAATCCAAGTGTCCACCAATCGGAGAATGAAGAAACAAATGGAGGTGAATTTATGCAGTATACTCATATACAACTGTGACATGCAACAGTATAGATGAATCCAAAACATGTTAGGCTGAGTGGAAACTAGCCAAAAAGAGTACATACTGCATGCATAATTTCATATATAAGATATTCTAGAACAATCTCCTCTGGGAAGCAAAGGCTGAGTTGGACTGGGAAGACGCATGAAGGGACATTTTTGTGGTGATGATAATGTCTTATTGGGTTTATAGAGGTGTATACCTTTGTTGAAACTTGGAAAATATATAGTGAAGATATATGCTTTTTGTTGTATGTAAATATTATAAGAAAATACTGAAAAATATAAAGTATACCATTGTCTGTAGTTTAAATGCATTAAAAATGAGAAGGATATATGAATGACTAGAAAGATGGCTAGATATGTGATCAAGCAAATAAAGAGTAAAATGCTAATGATAGAATCTAGATGGTGGACATATAGAATTATTTACTGAAAAAATATTTCAACTTTGCTGTGTGTTTGACAATTTTTTTGCAATAAATTGTTGGAAAAGAAGCTATGGGAGCATAGAGGAGGGAACAACAAATTTGTATTTTTGATAGTGAAGATATAGATTGACTAAGAGAACGGTATTTTAAAAACATTTAAAAGAATCTACTTTCTTTCTCTGATTTCATTTTTCTCTTCCATCAGAATGTTCCTGTATCGTGTCCATGTCATATAAATGCTCCATTCTCTTTACTAGGGCTAATCTGATAAAATTACCTGTGCTAAGGAGTTAATGGCTAGTGAGAGCCTAATGCATTAATCCCTTCCAGATAAAATATTTGAGAAGGCTTCAATGCCTTTCACCAAAGGAAACACTATTTCTAAAGAGACTTGGGAACTCTAATGATGGAAGTTATCCTACCCCATTCTTCTCACAGAGATCTAATGGCAATCTGTAACTTCTAAAGAAGTGGATTATAATTGATACACCTTAAATACATTTATCTTATATCCCCCAAACCCACTTCCCTTAACTTATTTTCATCTGATAATGGCACCCAAAAATTTCAAAATATACTCATTCTCATTGGGCCTACAACTACAGTCTCTATCCCCACCCTAGCACAGAATCATCATAACTGTAATCTAAATTATTTCAATCACATTCTAATTATTCTTTCTCCAGCTTCTCTCCCTTTCCAACCTATGTTAATGATCTTAATCCACCAGTTTCTGAAAAGTTCATGCTGAAATATCTAAATTATTAATTTATCTAGTGTTCATTTGACTCTTAGTTGTTGCTTTGTATACTTTGAGGCTCTATTGTCTGTTACACATACATTCGTGGTTGCTACAATTTCTTGATATATTATTTCTGTTACCAGTATATGATTGCTTTTTAAAGTATACCTTTACAGATATTCAGATGCAAAAATATATTTTGACAAATATTAAAATTGCTGTCATGGCTGTCTTTTGCATTATTTTGCCTGATACACATTCTTACATTTCACTCTTTTCAAAATGCATTCTTTTGAATATTTCCAGTAAACAGCATACTGTTTTACTTCATTTTAAAAAAAAATCCAATGTAATTGTCTTTAATTTTTATTTATTTCAAATACCATTATTTCTTATCTAAATATTCAATAATTTCCATGTTACATACTTCATTTTCATTTTCCCTTACCACCGTCTTACTTTTCATTGGATATATCAAATTTTATTTTCCTGCTTTTTAAGTATCATAGTCTATTTGTAGGGTTTTGGAGTTTACCCCTAACTTGTTGAGAGCCATATTTATGCATATTTTTCCTATCAAACTCACACAGACACACACACCCACCCCACAACTCCCTTTCTGGACAAATACATAAGCAAGTTCTCCCTCTGGTACCTCCTTTCTCACCAAATTGTAGTCAGTAGTAAGTTTTACTAACTCCTTTAGTCACAATTTCCCCATGCCTTATTATATCCCCTCAGTCTGATTTCATTTTTTGAAGAAATAACTTATCCAAGAGTATTTTTTCAGAGGAAGTTTTTGTGATAAACTGAGAGTATACTTATTTAACTCTTGGATTTTAATGATAGATTACCTAGACACACAATTCCAGATTAAATGATAGTTTTTTTTAAAGTTTTAAAATTTTACTCTATATATTTTATGTTGTTATTAAAAATTTTAGCATCAATCTGAGTCTTGATTTTTTTTTTTTTTTTTGAGATGGGGTCTCGCTCTTTCCCCCAGGCTGCAGTGAAGTGGCATGATCTCAGCTCACTGCAGCGTCCGCTTCCTGGGTTCAAGTGATTCTCCTGCCTCAGCCTTCTGAGTAGCTGGGATTACAGGCACGCACCACCACACCCAGCTAATTTCTGTATTTTTACTAGAGATGGGGTTTTGCCATGTTGGCCAGGCTGGTCTTGAACTCCTAACCTCAGGTGATCCACCCACGTTGGCCTCCCAAAGTGCTAGGATTACAGGCATGAACCACCACGGCTGGCCGATTCTTGATTTTTTAAAAGTAATCTCAACATTATTGATCAATACTTTTCATCGTTTTTGTTTTTTCTCATAGGTTTCTCTCTCTCTCCATCTGGGACTTCATTGATATGAACCTTGACACTTCCGATTCTACTCTCCTTGTCTTTTAATTTAAAATTTTCTATCTCTTTATCCTATCTTGATGTTGTCTGAGAGAATTTCACAAAATGATTTTTACATGTATTCTTCCGCTATTCAGTCCAGTTATTTATTTCAACCGTAACATTTTTCTTAATATCTCCAGTTGATTCTTCCTTATGATTTTTCATGTTTGCTGCATGGATCTAATATTTTTTCTTACATATTTTAGAAAATATATTTATTTTAAATTCTTACTCTGATACATTACTTTTGCTTTTATTTGATATAGCTGAATTCATCAGTTGTCTTTCTTTCATTGCAGTTATGCTCTGAAAATATCTTTATCTTTTTCCATAAATTTATATTCCTTTAGCAACTTAATTTACCTCTATGGAAATGTGACTTTGGCAGGAAGGGCAAAAAGCCAGAAGCTAGCGTGTGCCCCTGATAGTAAATATAAGGGGTTAAGATGTGTGTGTGTGTGTGTGTGTGTGTGTGTGTGTGTGTGTGTGTGTGTGTGTAACAGGGTAAACACTTTGGAGCAGGGAACCTCTGAAATTACCACTTATATGTCAATGTTGGCACTGCTCTTGATCAAGAATTCTTAACCTGAGTTGTAATCACATAGCACTTGATGTATAGAGAGGATGTGCAGGAAGGAAAGGGAACACCGAAAGGCTAACCAGGCCCATTGCACTTATGGGTTAGCTGATTTCACCCCAAGTGGACTCAGCAGCACCCCAAGACTTTCCCTGCCATCACTATAGGGGATAGGCTGGTTGCTCTTGTTCTGCTTTGTAGTTTGTTTTTTTATTTACATAGATTATTGTCGTCTCAAGGCAATATCAGGGAGAGAAAATAGCTGTCAGAGGTGGAAAATTGCTTCCCTGCTCCATATCAGATGTCTGGGTTGATTATTCCACCCCTTACTCCACCCAAAGGTTATGCAAGGACCTAACCCATTGCTTTTCCTTGCCCTGATGTTGCTGTATTTCTTATTTCAATAGATTCCTCAGTCTTCTTTTTGCTTTCATGGAACCTCCAGGGTTGTATTCAGGGGGAGGAATGCAGCCTGTACATTGATGTTAACTCACCACCCTGATCACCTTCCCTTCAGCTAAAACACCTGCAGTAACTCTCACTGCCTTCAGAGTAGAGGTTTATTCTCTTCTGACAAGGCAAAATCCAAGATTTGGTAAGCCATTCCTTCCCAGCCTCTTCTGATTTTTCATATTCATTTAAATTAGACTATTTATACTTTTCCAAAACTTCACTGTACTTTTCCGCCTCTGCATTTTCAAATGCATAATTTTTTTTATCTTGAAAATCTTTCCCATTCTGCTATGGAAACCCGAGACATTGTGCATTTCCCACCTTGACTGGCACTTCATGAAGCAACGTAATTTAATAGAAAGGAAGAGGGCTGGCTGGGTGCGTTGGCTCACGCCTGTGATCTCAGCACTTTGGGAGGCCGAAGCAGGTGGATCGTGAGGTCAGGAGTTCAATACCAGCCTGGCCAACATAGTGAAATCCTGTCTCTACTGAAAAAAAACTACAAAAATTAGCCAGGCATGGTAGTGCATGCCTGTAGTCCCAGCTACTCAGGAGGCTGAGGCAGGAGAATCGTTTGAACCTGGGAGACGGAGGTTGGCAGTGAGCAGAGATCATGCTACTGCACTCCAGCCTAGGCAACAGAGCGAGACTCCATCTTAAAAAAATAGAAGAAAGGATGAGGCCTTTTGCATTCAGAACTCCAACTTGACACTCTAGCCATTATTCTTTCCATTCCATGTATGACTATCAATTGTTTATTTCACATTTCTCTGCTATAATTCCCCCATTTGTAAAATAGATAAGATACTACATACTTCATAGGCCTGCTATGGGATTTCATGAGACAGCAAATACTTAATATGTAATAAAGCCAGCAAGAACTTCGGTCTCTACAAGTTTACTGCCCCCTCTCTCTAGTGTTTCACTTCACCCATTTCCCTAAGCCCAGTAGAATTAGTCTCGTCCCTCACCAACCTCCCATAGCATCTTCTCAATAGCATTTTTAGGGCACTCATCCCATTTCATCTGAGCTATAAACCTGGATAAGAATTTAAATTTTATCTATCTCAGACACACACATATATATACACATACACACACGTATATATATAAAACTGTGTGTGTGTATATCTTCCAGGTGTTTTGCAAGAGGGAACAACAGTAATCATAGAACAAGGGCTTTGGAGTCAGAATCTCAGGGTTTGAGTCCTAGATCACAGCTTGTTAACTGTATGGTTATGGGAAAATTTTGTAACCTTTCTTGTGTCTCAGATTGCTCGTGTCTAAAATGAAAGTAACTTCAGTCTCTATAGGAATGTTGCAACAATTAAATATATTAATATATATAAACCATTTAGCACAGCGTCTGCTGTATAATAAGAGCTCAGTAATGATAACTATATAAAGGCAGAAGGAATTTGTGGGATTCAAACCATGGTGAGATTAACACTTCCCACTCCCAATATCCCTAAAATCCCATGGCCAAAAGATTGCTCAATCTCTAAACAACTTCAACATATATTAGCCCTCCGAGGTAGTCCAGATTTATGGATTTTCTCCTAAATTCCCAAATTTCCTTCTCGGCCAACTGGCAGAATCGGATTACATTTCTTTTGAGGATTTTTTTTTCCAGCTGCCTAGGTTTCAGTGTTTAAAGACCTCTTCTTCTTTCCTTATGCAAATTGATGTTTTTTCTTTTGCTCACCACAAGGAGTTAGTAATAAACACATCAAAACTGGCATTGAGCCAAAATTCCCAGGTGGAGATTGGCATATTGGCTTCGGTTTGAAGGCAATCTTTAATTTTTCCAGGCTCTCTCCCCAAATCATCAACCCGGCAGCCTTGTAAGTACTTATATATTCTTATTTCAATTTTTAAAGCGGTTTTTTTTTTGGTATTGCACAAATTGGATTCACACATTGCTAACATGTTATACAGAGCTATCAGCCTGCACTATTTGGCCTTGCAGCTCAGTTTGCAAAGTCCTGTGTCTTACTAGAAGATCTCAAGTCAAGCTGGTGAACACCAGTTTAAGTCCTGAAGGTCACTGCTCAGGATCTTGGCTCCCTAGATTCCACATGAAATGCATCTTCAAGATTGATTGCTTCCTCTCCAACTTCATGTCAAACTCCTCTCATGCCCCTTCCTCAATCCACATTCTAGATATAATTTAAAAAGATGATTAAAATTCAGCTTTAGAAAAACCCCTTCTGCAGTGGCTTCTTTCTTCTTGTCAATGTTTTTTGCCTGACCTGGCTTCCTCACTTTTTCTCTCTGTCATCTACAGGGACTATTAGATAGAAATCCCCATGCAGGCAGAATGAGATAAATTAGGAAGACTCTACTGGCAACTTATCAGGAAGCTGCTGCAAGGCAAACCCATGAATTTCCTTGCTCAACCTCTACTTTCCATTCACCACTCACACTACGGTAATAATGCTTTCTAACTATGCAGTGGTGCTCATTCCTCAATCTCCACTGACATCACCCATGGTTAATTGGCTCTTACAGCATCCCTGAAGGGTAAGCAAGTGTTGCTACCACTGTCCCCAATTTGCCAATAATTGAGACACAGAATTGTCAAGTGTCTTTTGGAAGGCCATGGAGAGCCACTCAGAGAATTTTCTGACTGCTATCTGTTTGCTCTAATCACTGAGCTTCCCTGCAGTTCATTGTTTCTGGGTGAAAGGCTGCTAATCAGATTCTTTGAGGAAACCCAGAAGAAGAGAATTTAAAGAATGGATGCTCCTAGGAGTCCTTTATTCCCTTTCTCTCTACAGGAAAGCATGCGAATTAAGAGTGAGTTTTTGTTGTTGTTTTTGACTTTTAAAATTTATGGCTTTCTATCATTGGAAGGTTCAAAAAGGATGTAGTCACATTCTTAACTGCTGTTTTATTGTAAATGAAGATGCTAAACAATCATGGGAAGAGGAGATATTTATGATTGCCAAAAGAGACATGCTCATTCTCTAGAACCCACAATGAAGCTTGGCTTCCCTTCTGGCCCCTGCAGCTGTACTCGCACCCCAGGACCCATTCTCCTACCAAACCCAGCCCAACTCAGGTTCCCAGGAGCATTTTCACCAACCCAGGTTTCCTGGACTCAGTGTCAGGTTTCTCTGGTGATAGCCTTTTTGCTTGGGGATACCAAAGTTTCAGTGATTAAGTGAGGCCAAATTTGATTCCTTCAGGACACCGAGAGATGAAGACTAATTTATGAGTTATTCATTCATTCATAAAATTAATGAACATCTATCAAAAATCTCTGTATGCCAAGCACTGTTATAGGTGTTGTGGAATAAGAATAAATAATACACACAGTTTCTGCCCTCATGAATCTTAAATTTAATTATTTCTCTCTTTCCTTTATTCCCTCATTTGGGCAATGCCAAGTAATATTCAGCACTCCCTGAACTGCTTTTCTGTCCTCTGTTGAAGGTGGGATTACCTGTAAAGTCCAAGCACAGTAGGAAGGTGGCATGTGTAGTGGGTGGAATGGTGACTCTCCCTGATTCTACCAAAAAAAAAAAAAATTCATCCACATCCAAATTCCTGGAACCTGTGAATATTACCTTATTTGGAAAAAAGGGTCTTTGCAGGTATAATTAAGGATCTTCAGATAAGATCATCCTGGATTACCCAAGTGGGCTCCAACTCCAATGGCAAGTGTCCTTATAAGAGACAAAAAAGAAGACACAGAAGAGATTGAGGCCATGTGAACACAGAGGCAGAGATCGGAATGATGCAGCTCTAAGCCAAGGAGTTCCAAGGATTACCAGCAGCCATCAAAAGCCAAGAGAAAAAAATGAAATAGATTCTCTTCCCAGAGCCTCCAGGGAGAGTATGGTCCTGCTGACACCTGGATTTAGGATTTCTGGCCTCCTGAATGCTGAGAGAATACATTTCTGTTGCTTTCTGCCACCTAGCTTGTGGCAATTTGTTACAGGTGCCACTGGAAGTTAATACATTATGGCACATTGGTCGTAGAAGGTGGTGGCAGGAATGGTTACCTTCAGCTGATGACCAATGGGCATGTCCAAGTGACTTCTTCAAAGTCTGAGTCCTGGTCTTTTTAGTGTACCTCCTCAGGCTCAGATGATAACTCATGCTGGCATCCAATTGTAATTTTATTACCTCCTTTAAGAAACATTCCCTCATTTTTCTCTAAGATCAACATAAAAGTATCAAGCAAGTAATATTTCAAACAGAGTTTTCAAGAGATACATTTTTTTCAGCCTGTATAAATTGTCTTCTGAGAAATGTGCATGCAGATAATAGAATACATTATGTAACAATAAAGAAGCAGCCACAATTTGCCAGTCCCACCCCTGGATTTTTAAAGAGAAGGCAGAAAATAAATAGTTAGATGACATGTTAGGGAAATTCCCTATCAGTGAGGTGTAACTTGTCCACAGGTCTCCCGGAACACCTGATATCATTTGGCTCTGTGTCCCCACCCAAATCTCACCTTGAATTGTAATAATCCCCACATGTCATGGGGGGGACCCAGTGGGAGGTAATTGAATTATGGGAGTGGGTTTTTCCCATGATAGTGAATATGACTCATCTTCCACCATAATTTTGAGGCCCCCATAGCCATGTGGAACTGTGAGTCCATCAAACTTCTTTCCTTTCTAAATTACCAAGTCTTGGGTATGTCTTTATTTGCAGAATGAGAACCGACTAATACAACATCCTTTTGTGCATTGAGGAGAATTGACTGGCCTTGTTTCTCACTAAAACCTAAGCCTCCCCAGGGGGCAACGTTGCTTATCATTGTAGCCCTCCCCAGGTTTGATATAGCCTCCAACTCTTGGTGGTAACAATGACAACTATAGCCAGTCTTTATTGAATTCTTAATATCTGCCAGGATTTACTCTACATGCTTTACATATATTTATTAATTTGATCCTGAGTGCCATCCTAGGTAAGAGATACTTGTATGATTCAGATTTTACCATGAGAAAACAAAACCACAGCCAGGCTGATAAATATCTGTTTTGTTCCTGATGCAAATTATCTCACTGATTGAATTTTTAAGAATCTGAAGCTACTAGATTGTCTATTGCATTTTGTGCTCAGTTTATAGACAACCTCTCTCTACATAATTGGTTGTTATCAATTTTATTGAGGTAAAATTTGTACACAATACAATGATACAAATTTATTCATACAGTTTAATGGGGTTTGAGAAACGTGTTTGGTTATTTCAGTGCAATAAAAATAAAAAATATTTTCATTATCCTTAATTTTTCCCTCGTGTTTCTTTGCAACCAATCCCCTTCGCAAATTCCAATCCAGACAGCCACCAAACTATTTTCTATATGTAAGGATTCATTTTTTATAGGTAGAATCACACAGTGATGTTGTGCCTACCTCAATATGCTGTGTTTGTAAGTCATGTTGTATGTATTAATATTGATGAATAATATCTGTTATATGAATACATCACAATCTGTTGATCTCTTAACCTCTTGATGCATATGTGTGTTGTTCCCAGTTTGTGGTTATTATAAATGAAGCTGCTGTGAATATTTGTGTACAAACCTTTGTGTGGACCTATGTTTGCATTTCTCTTGGAGTGAAATTTCTGGGTAATACAGTAAATGTATGTTTAACTATAGAAGAAACTTCCAGGTTGTTTCTCAAAGTAGTTGTCCCATTTAACACTCCCATTGGCAAGCTAAAATTTCAAGTAGCTTTACATCTCTACCTACACATGGTATTGTCACTCTTTTTAAATTTTAGTTATTCTAAACTAAATAGTGTAGTGTTTAGTGGTATCTCATTATAACTTTATTTGCATTCTTTGATGCATAATGATGTTGAACATTTCTTCTTGTGTGTATTGACTATTTGAATATGATGTAAAATTTAATTTACATATTTTTGAAGTGTTCTTTGTTAGATATCTCAATATAGTTTGTAAATATTCTTTCTCAGTCTGCAGCTTCCCTCCTCATTGTCTAAATAGTGTCTTTTAAAGAGGAGGATTTAATTTTCATAAAGTTTTAATTTGTTGGTCATCTTCTTCTATGGTGAGTGATTTTTGTTATCAAAGAAATCTTGCCTGCCCAAAGATTACAAAGATTTTTATCTTCTATGTTTTCTTTTAGAAATAATGTAGTTTTCTATTTTTAAATTTAGATGTAATCAATTTTGAGTTATTTTTTGTCTATAGTTTGAAGTAAAAATCGTGGTTCACTTTTTTTTATATTGTTATTCGGTTACTCCCAGCCCAACTTGTTGAAAGGAGTATTCTTTTTCAGTTAAATTATCTGAAACTTTCTCCAAAATCGATTTTCTTTTCTACTGATCTATATTACTATGCTTGTGTCCCTACCACAATCTTTTAACTACTATAGTTTTATAATAAGTCTTAACATTAGGAAGTGTAAGTCCTCCTACATTGTTATTTCTCAAAATTATTTTGGCTTTTCTATGGTCTTTTGCAAATCTAATCAAATTTTCTAATTGGCTAGTTAACTTCTAAACAAAAAAAGCCTGCTGAAATTGTTATTGATACAGCAATTTGAGTAGAATGGACCTTTTAACATAGTGTATTTTATGATCCATATACATCATATATTTCTTCCTTTATTTAAGTATTCTTTCATTTCTCCTAGCAGTGTTCTGTTGCATTCAGTTTATGAATCTTGTGTAATTTTTGTTAAACTTATCCTTAAGTGTTTCATAGTATTCCAATTATCTCTTCATAGGATATGGAAATACAATTGATTTTTGTACATCTAGTTACCTTTCATTTAATTGCTAAACTCATGAAGTAGTTCTAGTAACTTCTGGTAGATTATTGGAATTTTCTGCTCTCTGTGAATAAAGACATTTTTACTTCTTTCTTTCCAATCTGTATGCCTTTTGTTGCTTTGTCTTGCCTTATTAGACTGACTAGGACCACCAGTACAACGCTGAATAGTGGATTCCAATTATACTCATATCAGATCACTTGCTATTGTCCCATAGTCAGTGAGGCTATATTAAATGTATTCTGTCTTTCATATCTCTGTGCTTGAGTTTTAATAATTTCTTCTGTTCTGCTTTCAGTTTTCTGATCTTCTGTGGTGTCTAGTCCCTTGTTAGGTGCATTCGGTCAGTTTTTCAATTTGGTGTTGTATTTTTCAACTCCAGAAATGTCATTTCATTCTTTTTTATACTTTTCATTTTTCTCTTTCTTATGTTCATTTTTCTTTTACATCATTGAACATATTTAAAATAACAGTTTTTAAATCCTTTCTATTAATTCCATAATATCAGTCATTTCTTTGATTTTTTTATTTTTTGGTTTGTTTTGAAACAGATTCTTGCTCTGCTGCCCAGGCTGGAGTGCAGTGGCACAATCTCTGCTAATCGCGACCTCCGCCTCCCAGGTTCAGGCAATTCTTGTGCCTCAGCCTCCTGAGTAGCTGGGACTACAGATGTGTACCACCATGCCCAGCTAATTTTTGTATTTTTAGTAGAGATAGGGTTTTGCCATGTTGGCCAGGCTGGTCTCGAACTCCTGGCCTCAAGTGATCCATCTGCCTTGGCCTCCCAAAGTGCTGGGATTACAGGTGTGAGCCACCACACCCAGCCGTCTGTCATTTTGTAAGCTTTGTATTCACTAACTTTACCCCGTTTATGGATCTTAACTCTCTATCTCTTTACATGCCTGGTAATTTTAGATCAGATGCTGAGTATTGTAACTGTTACCTGGTTGAGTATCTGGATTTTGTTTTCTTCCTAAAAAGAGTGTCATATTTTTTTTCTTTATTATGAGAGTCAGTTTGCATCTAGGCTAACTTCACCCTTCCAGTCTTGTTTTAAAGCTTTGTATAAGCTTCTATAGAGAAGTGTAAACTCTTCAACTGGTGCAACACTGTTTTGTGTTCATTTGAGCTTTACTGGGCTATCACTGTTGAATAAAAATTCTACATATTTAAGGTGTACAATGTGATGTTTTGACATGTGTATACATTGTGAAATGATTACCACAATCAATCTAATTAACATATCAATCACCTAACAGTTATTTTTGTGTGTGTGTTAAGAACACTTGAGATTTCCTCCCTTAGAAAATTTTAACTATATTTTAACTTAATATGAATCACAGTCACCATGTTATATATTAGATCTCCAGAACTTATTCAACTTATAACTGACAGTTTGCACCCTTTGACCAACATGACCCCTTTACCCCACCCGCAACCCAAGCAACCACCATTCTACTCCATTTCTATGAGTTCAACTTTTAAAATTTCAATATATGTGAGATCACGCAAAGTTTGACTTTCAGTGTCTGTTTTATTTCATGTAGTATAATGTCTTTCAGGCTGTTTCCTTTTTTCTTGAAACACGGTCTTTCTGTCACTCAAGCTGGAGTGCAGCAGCATAATCATAACTTACTGCAGCCTCAAACTCCTGGGCTCAAGCAATCCTCTCCCCTCCGCCTCCCAAATAGCTGGGACTACAGGTACGTGCCACCATGCCTGGCTAATTTTTTAATTTTTGGTAGATACAGGGGTTGCGCTATGTTGCCAAGTCTTGTCTCAAGCAATCCTCCTGCCTTGGCCTCCAAACTAATCACAAGTAGAATGACAGGCATGAGCCACTACACCCAGCCCTTTCTCCAGCTTCTTTCTTAAGGTTGAATAATAATCCATTGTGTGTGTCTGTATATATATATATACACAAACAATTATATTGTAAATAATGCGGTAATGAACATGGGAGTGCAAATACCTCTTCAACATACTTGTTTCACTTCCTTTAGATGTATACACAGAAGTGAGATTGTTATATGGTAGTTCTATTTTTCACATTTTGGGATACTTTTATACTGTTTTCCATGGTGTCTGTACCATTTTACATTCCCACAAACCGTGTACAAGGGTTCTTATTTCTCTACAATCCCACCGACACTTGTCTTTTGCTTTTCTGATAAAGCCATCCCAGCAGGTGTGAAGCGATATCTCCCTGTGGTTTTGATTTGCATTTCCCTGTTGAGTGGTGATGTGAACCTTTTCATATACCTGTTGGCATTTTCTTTGGAAAAATGTCTATTCATATCCTTTGCCCATTTTTAAATCAGGTTATTTGTTTTTCCACTTTTGAGTTGTATGGCCTACTTGTTTACTTTTGCTTTTGTTACCTGTGCTTTTGGTGTCATATCCAAAAAATCATTGCCAAGAACAATATCAAGGAGCTCTTTTTCTATGTGCTTTCTTCTTTTAGGAGTTTTATGGTTTTATGTCTTGCATTTAAGTATTTAATCCATTCATAGATGATTTTTGAGTCTGGTGTAAGATAAGGGTCCAATTTTGTTCTTTTGCATGTGGCTATTCAGTTTTCCCACCACCATTTAATAAGAACTATCCTTTTCCTGCTTTGTATTCATGGCCTCTTTGCCAAGATATCCATGGGCTTATTTCTGGGCTCTCGATTCTGTTCCATTGGTTTATGTGTCTGTTTATATGCCAATACCATACTATTTTAATTTTTATAGTTTTGTAATATAAATTGAAATCAGGAAGTATGGTGCTTTCAGCTCTCATCTTCTTGCTCAAGATTTCTTTTGTTATTCAGGGTCTTTAGAGGTACCATGCAAATTTTAGAATTTTTTTCTATTTCTGTGAAAAATGCTATTGGAATTTTGATGAGGATTGCATTGAAACTAGAGATTGCTTTAAGTAGCATGAACATTTTAATAATAATTATTTCAATCCATGAACAAGGAGTATTTTTTCATTGATTTGTGTCTTCTTTTTTTTTTAGATTTTATTTTATTTATTTATTTATTTTTTAAATTTTATTATTATACTTTAAGTTCTAGGGTACATGTGCACAATGTGCAGGTTTGTTACATATGTATGCATGTGCCATGTTGCTGTGCTGCAGCCATTAGCTCATCATTTAGCATTAGGTATATCTCCTAATGCTATCCCTCCCCCCTCCCCCCACCCCACAACAGTCCCCGGTGTGTGATGTTCCCCTTCCTGTGTCCATGTGTTCTCATTGTTCAATTCCCACCTATGAGTGAGAACATGCGGTGTTTGGTTTTTTGTCCTTGCAATAGTTTGCTGAGAATGATCGTTTCCAGTTTCATCCATGTCCCTACAAAGGACAAGAACTCATCCTTTTTTATGGCTGCATAGTATTCCATGGTGTATATGTGCCACATTTTCTTAATCCAGTCTATCGTTGTTGGACATTTAGGTTGATTCCAAGTCTTTGCTATTGTGAATAGTGCTGCTATAAACATACATGTGCATGTGTCTTTATAGCAGCATGATTTATAATCCTTTGGGTATATACCCAGTAATGGGATGGCTGGAATATAGACTAATGGAACAGAACAGAGCCCTCAGAAATAATGCTGCATGTCTACAACTATCTGATCTTTGACAAACCTGACAAAAGCAAGCAATGGGAAAAGGATTCCCTATTTAATAAATGATGCTGGGAAAACTGGCTAGCCATATGTAGAAAGCTGAAACTGGATCCCTTCCTTACACCTTATACAAAAACTAATTCAAGATGGATTAAAGACTTAAATGTTAGACCTAAAACCATAAGAACTCTAGAAGAAAACCTAGGCAATACCATTCAGGACATAGGCATGGGCAAGGACTTCATGTCTAAAACACCAAAAGCAATGGCAACAAAAGCCAAAATTGACAAATGGGATGTAATTAAACTAAAGAGCTTCTGCACAGCAAAAGAAACTACCATCAGAGTGAACAGGCAACCTACAGAGTGGGAGAAAATTTTTGCAATCTACTCATCTGACAAAGGGCTAACATCCAGAATCTACAATGAACTCAAACAAATTTACAAGAAAAAAACAAACAATCCCATCAACAAGTGGGTGAAGGATATGAACAGACACTTCTCAAAAGAAGACATTTATGCAGCCAAAAGACACATGAAAAAATGCTCATCATCACTGGCCATCAGAGAAATGCAAATCAAAACCACAATGAGATACCATCTCACACCAGTTAGAATGGCGATCATTAAAAAGTCAGGAAACAGCAGGTGTTGGAGAGGATGTGGAGAAAGAGGAACACTTTTACACTGTTGGTGGGACTGTAAACTAGTTCAACCATTGTAGAAGTCAGTGTGGTGATTCCTCAGGGATCTAGAACTAGAAATACCATTTGATTTGTGTCTTCTGTCATGGCTTTTGTCAATGTTTAATTGTTTTCAGTGTACAAATCTTTCATCTCCTTGGTTAATTTATTCTTACATACTTTTGATGCTATTGTAAATGACATTGTTTTCTTTTTTTTTCAGATGGTTTATTGTTAGTGTACAGAAATGAGACTGATTTTTGTATGTTGATTTTTTATCTAGAAACCTCACTGAATTTACTAGTTCTAACAGTATTATTTTGGTTGAGTCTTTAGGGTTTTCTATATATAATATTATGCCATCTGCAAACAGACAATTTATCTACTACTTTTTTTTTTTGAGACAAGTTCTTGTTTTGTCACCCAGGCTGGAGTGCAGTGGTGCCATCTCAGCTCACTGCAACCTCAGCCTCCCAGGTTCACGTGATTCTCCTGCCTCAGCCTCCCAGGTAGCTGGGATTACAGGCATGCCACCAGGCCCAGCTAATTTTTGTACTTTTAGTAGAGATGGGGTTTCACCATGTTGGCCAAGTTGGTCACGAACTCCTAACCTCAAGTGATCCACCCAACTTGGCCTCCCAAAGTGTGGAATTACCGGCATAAGCCATCGCACCCAGCTTACCTTCCACTTTTATTATTTGAATGTCTTTTTTTTTTCCTTTTCTAATTTTTCTGGCTAGGACTTCTAGTCTTACGTTGAGCAGGAGTGATGAGATGGACATCCTTCACTTGTTCCTTATCTGAGAAGAAAAGCTTTCAGCTTTTCATCATTGAGTACAATGTTAGCTGAGAGCTTGTCATATGTGACCTTTATTATATTGAGATATATTCCTTCTATATCTAATATTTTGATATTTATCATGAAAGTATGTTGAAAATGTAAAATGCTTTTTCTGCATCTATGGATACAATTATATCATATTTATTCTTCATTCTGTTAATGTGGTGTATCATTTATTGATTTCCATATGTTGAACCATTTTTGCATCCCAGGGATAAATCACACTTGATCATGGTACACAATCCTTTTAATGTGGTATTGATTCAATTGCTAGTATTTTTTTGAGAATTTTTGTTCATATGTTTATCAGGGATATTGGCCTGTAATTTTCTTTTCTTGTACTGTCCAAATCTGGCTTTGATATCAGGTTAATGCTATGCTTGTAAAATGAGTTTGGAAGTATTCTCTCCTCTTCACTTTTTGAGAAGGGTTTGATAAGGATTGATATTAATTCCTCTTTAAATGTTTGATGGAATTCAGCAGTGAAGCTATTAGGTCCTATGCTTAGCTTCATTCAGGTCTTTGATTCATACTTTAATCTCCTTACTCATTATTGATACATTCATATTTCCTAATTCTTCATAATTTAGTGTTAGAAGGTTGTACGTTTCTAGAAATTTATTCATGTCTTCTAGTTTGTCCAATTTGTTGACATATAATTGTTCATAATAGTCTCTTATGGTCCTTTGTATTTCTGTGGCACTAGTTGTAATTATCTCCCTTTCATTTACAATGTTTGATTCTTTTTCTTTTTTTCTTAGTCTAGCTAAAGATTTAAAATTTTAATCTTTCCAAAATATCAACTCAGTTTCAGTGATCTTTTCTATTGTTTTTCTACTCTCTATTTCATTTATTTATTCTCTGGTCTTTGTTTTGTTTTCCTTCTTTCTGCTAATTTTGTGCTTCATTTATCTGTCTTTCTCTAGTTCCTTACATGTAAAGCTAGCTTGTTTATTTGAGAGTTTTCTTTTTTCTTAATGTAGGCATTTATCAGTATAAGCTTAACTGCTTTTTCTTTATCCCTCAAATTTTGGTATGTTGGGTTTGCATTTTTATTTGTCCCAAGATATTTTTCATTTCCCTTTTGATTTCTTCTTTAACCTTATAGTTATTCAGAAGTATGTCATTTTTGTGAATTTTACAGTTTTTCTCCTGTCGTTGACATCTAGTTTCATACCACCTGTATTAGTCTGTTCTCAGGCTGCTGTTAAGAACTGCCTGAGACTGGGTAAATTATAAAGGTAAGAGGTTTAATTGACTCACAGTTCTGCAGGGTTGGAGGGCCTCATGAAACTTACAGTCATGGCAGAAGGGGAAGCAAACACATCCTTCTTCACATGGCAGCAGGAAAGAGAACAATGAGAGCTGTGTGAAGGGTGACGCCTCTTATAAAATCATCAGATCTCATGAGAACTTACTCACTATCATGAGACTAGCATGGGGAAAACAACTTCCATGATTCAATTACCTCCTATTGGTTCCCTCCCACAACATGTGGGGATTATGAGAACTACAGTTCAAGATGAGATTTGGGTGGGGACACAGACAAACCATATCACCACCACTGTTTTCTTATTAATTTTCTGTCTGGATAATGTGTTCATTAAAAGTGGGGCATTGAAATCCCCTTCTATTATTGTATTGCTATGTATTTCTCCTTTCAGATCTGTTAATGTTTGCTTTATATATTTGGGTAAGAAATCATTGATTAGGAATTCTTTTCTTCTGAGGTTAAATGAACGCATATTTACAATTGTTTTATCATCTTGATAAATTGATCCCATAATTATTATATAATGATTTTTTTGTCTTTTGTTACAGTTTTTGACCTAAAGTCTATTTTCTCTGATGTTAATACAGCTACTTATCCTCTCTTGGTTTACATTTGCATAGAAAATCTTTTCGTATTTCTTCATTTTCAGCCAATGTATGTGTTTAAAGTTGAATTGAGTCTCATGTAAACAACATATACTTGGAGCTTTAAAAAAAAAAAAATTTAACCACCGTATGTCTTTTGATTGGAGAATTTAACCCATTTACATTTAAAGTGATTATTGATAGGCAGGAACTTATTGACATTTTGTTAATTGTTTTTTGGCTGTTTTGTTGTTCCTTTGTTTCTTCTTCCCTTTCTGTCTTCTTTTGTAGATTTGATGATTTTTTTGTAACGGTATGCTTTGTTTTCTTCTTCCTTATCTTTTGTGTATCTCCTATAGGTTTTTGGCTTTGTGCTTATCATGAGGTATACATAAAAGATCTTCTAACAGTCTATTTTAAGCTCATAATAACTTTAATTGCATATAAAAACTAAACTTTTGCTCTCCCAAATTCTCTGTTGCTGATTCATAGTTTGTATATTTTCATATTGTGAATCTTGTGAATCCATTAACAAGTTACTGTAACTATAGATTTTTAATAATTTTGTCTTTTAACCTTTCTACTAGAGTTAAAGGTGAGCCACTCACCACCATTACAGTAATAGGGTAAAGGGATACTTATCTTTACCAGCAAGTTTTATTATTTCATATGTTTTATATTACTAATTAGGATTCTTTCATTTCAGCTTAAAAAGCTCCCTTCATTATTTCTTATCAAAAAAAGGTCTAGTGGTGATGGTGATGAACTTCCTCAATTTTTATTTGTCTGAGAAATTCTTTATTTCTCCTTCAATTCTGAAAGACAGCTTTACCAGGTAAATTATTCTTATTAGTGTTTTTCTTTCCTTCAGCTCTTTGAACATATTATCTCGCTTTCTCCTAACCTGTAAGGTTTTGCTAAAAAAAAAAAAAAAAAAAAATTCTGCTGAAAATCTTATGAGGGTTTTGTTGCTTACAACGCTACTTTCAAAAATTCTCTTTGATTTTTGACAATTTGATTATAATGTGTCTCACTGAAGTCCTTTTTGGGTTGAAACTCTTTGGAAATTTTTGTGCTTCACATATCTGGATGTCCATCTCTCTCCCCAGCTTTGAGATGTTTTCAGCCTTTATTTCTTTAAACAAGCTTTTTGTTTCTTTCTCCATTCTTCTTGTGGGATACTCCTAATTTTATATCATTTCTCTGAATGGTGCTTGTAGTTAGTGCTTGTAATTTTATGTTGCCTCAGCATCCATTTTAAAATATGTATAATTTTCTCACATCAGAAGCAGGGCTCAGCCAGCCTTGACAGTTTCTAATACTATACCCCACTCAAATGGTTCCAGGTAGTAGCTAGAGATAAATATTAGAGGCATCTTTCTTGCCTCACAGGCTGATCTCCCTACTTTCCTGCTGCCTCCTTTAATTCAGACATTTTCCAATGAACTTAAAGGGACCACTTCTCGGTTACAGCATGACCTCCTGGAACTAGTGCCTGTTTGCTTTAACCCATGAATTAAAGCTCCCTGGGGGAAACCTGTTTCTATAACACCCTGGACTCAATAAATGCATTGACTCATGGGTCCCTTCTCTCTTTCTGCTTGTGCTCCATTGCCTCTGTGTTTGTGTGGGCTTCAGGGGTGCTGTGTATCCTCCAGGATCTGTAAATACTAAAAACTCTTAGACTTTCACATTGTGGTTGTGTCATTGAAGTTGTTCCCACAGTCCAACCCAAACCCCTGTTGGTGAGGCTGCCCCAAAGGGACCCATGCAGGTGGATCCCCTGCTGGTGCTCTTTTGTCTGAACCTCAGCTGCTGAGAAGAGAAGTTACCAGCTAAGCTGATAGAGTTTCATTTAAAACAGCTTCTCATACATCCTGTAGGCTTTTCTCATTCCTTTTTAATCTTTTTTTCTCCTCTTACTGGATAATTTCAAGTGATCCATCTTTGAGTTCACAGACTCTTTGGTTTTGCTTGATCAAATCTGCTGTTGACACGCTACTGCATTTTCAATTTTTTTTCATTCGTATTTCAGCTCTAGAGTTTCTATTTTTTAAAAAATGTTTATCCCTTTGTGCAACTTCTTGTTTTGTTCATGTATTATTTGCCTGACTTCATTGAGTTGTCTAAGCTCTCTTTTAGCTTACTGAGCTTCTTTGAGACAATTGTTTTGAATTCTTTATCAGGCAATTTATTGATGCCTATTTCTTTGGGATTGGTTACTAGAATAATTGTGTTTTTCATTGATGTCATGTTTAGTTGATTTTTCATGTTTTTAGAAAATCTTGAATTGCTGCATTTGAAGACACAATCAACTTCTCCAGTTCTTACTGACTAGCTTCAGGGGATAAACACCTCACCTGTCAGCCTGAATAGGAATTCTGAGTCCCTCTTAGGCCTTTTCTCTGGATGCGTGCACTCTACACTTTGTGTTCCCTCTTGGGGAGTAATTATGATTGCACACCTTCTCTTGATGCTGGAAACCAAGCTGGGTTCTGGGAGTTCCCGTTTGTTTTTCGTAGGCTGGTGTCCTACAATCCTTGTTTGTGTGCTTTCTCACAATCCTGCGGAGTTGGGCCAGCTGTCTGCATCTGCTCATGAGCCATCTGCAGAGGCTCATACCTGTCATTCACAGAGGCAAATGTGAGGTGGGGTAAGAGGGATTTGGCGAGGTGTGTCAAATGTCATGGCTGCTTTTGGTTCAGTTACAGTGGTCCATAGGCAAGGCATTCCAAGTGATTCATGGATGGACTTCCTGATGAAATCCACAAAGTAGTTAGTAGGATTCATGGTCCTTTGTTGTTTTCTGAACTCTGGCTGCTTTGAGTCCCCTTTCACTTTCCTGATCCCAGCCCCTTTCAACCACTCGACTGTGCCAGTCACCAATATTCTGGGTGGGATGAGAAAGACATGGGTCTCATGAGCAGCATCCCACATGGCTGAGGGAGCCAGATGCTCACTTACTACACTCTCACTTTTCCTTGTAGGAGAAATCACAGGCCCAGGGTGTCTGTCTTGGCACTGAGCTTTGCCACCTTGTGGGAGGGCTGATATATGTAAAGTGAAGCTACTCCTCTTACTTTCTCCAATATGTCAGATTTTTTGCTCCAGTGATGTGCTCAAACTTCCCTGCCGGATTCTTGTGCCCCCACAAAGGTACTCTCATCCATGGATGGTTGTCAGCATCCATGCTTCTACATGGAGACAATGACAGAAAACTCCTATTTCACTATCTTGCTGGTGTCACTTCCTATAGCACTGTTTTCAGTGTGTGGTCATTATAGCATCTCTGCTAAATGCCCTGGGTGTTCAGTGAGGTCTCCCAGCTCTTGTTGGTCAAAACTCAGAATTTTCTTAACCTCGTATAAACCAGATTTGTTGTTTTGCTTACAACCCCCTAATAGTTCTTTCCATCATTATTGTCTTCATCGAAAACCCTGAAACCCTGGTCTCATAGAGTTTCAGCCTATGCATGTGCATCTTAATATTTAGATAAATATCTACAGTTTTACAGAGCTATTTTCCTCTGTTACTTATTTCTGGTATGTTACCCTAAAAATTTCAGGTACCTCAGTTTTTCCAAACTTGATCTCTGTTATATAAGTTCAGTGAGACTATCACTGCTTGAATTAACTCTCCCCGCTCCAGAGTCCTTTATATTATTCAGCTGGAAAGTTGGAAAGAATCTAGAGCTTACCGCTTTTGTTTTCCTTTATTGGGAATTACAGTCCTTTGCTGTTCTTTATCTAGTGACTGGATTTCTTTCAAATAAATTTCGTCCAGTTTTCTAGCTATTGATGTGAAATGGGTATTATAGTATCAAGTTTTCATTATGACCGGAAAAAAGAGTAGTTGTTGAACAAAGAATCTGAAGTTCTCATTCCATGATCTTCCAAGAGTTTCCCTTAAGCTTATCCAAAGTTTTCTGTGGGGTATACTCATATTTTCTTGATTTTTTTCTTCACGTATCTCCACTCCTAAGGTACATCTTGGTCTGAATTACTGTTATTTCTTTCATCCATTCTCCAAAAAAATCAGCAAGGCAATGTATTTTGTGTGGCAGTATATTACTAAAAATTGGTAATATGTTGTCAGTTTAAGTAACATTACACTATATCAGATGACAAGTAGGGACATAAAATAGAAGACTTGACATCAACAGCCTTAAAGATACTGGAGTATTCCTGACAGGGAATTTTTTACTATACATCTGTCCTACAGAGAGGCCTAAGTGTGAGCCATCCTTTGGGATTCATTCATTCTCCTTTTCTTATCCCTTTTCCTATTTCCATTCTTTATCCAATTGCATAAACCGCAATCCCTCTTTCTTAAGCTATCAACCCCAACTTAAGAATTCTTGGCAGGGCGCAGTGGCTCATGCCTGTAATCCCAGCACTTTGGGAGGCTGAGGTGGGCAGATCACCTGAGGTCAGGAGTTCAAGACCAGTCTGGCCAACATGGCGAAACCCCATCTCTACTAAAAATACAAAAATTAGCCAGGCATGGTGGTGGGTGCCTATAATCCCAGCTACTCAGGAGGCTGAGGCAGGAGAATCACTTGAACCTGGGAGGCAGAGGTTGCAGTGAGCCAAGATCACACCACTGCACTCCAGCCTGGATGACAGAGTGAGATGCCATCTCAAAAAAAAAAAAAAAAAAAGAATTTTTATAACTTGATTAAGCAGATCAACTTAGATTTTTCTCCTCAATCTTATCCTTCTAGAATGGTGGTTTTAAAATTCTCGCTGCTCATTAGAATCACCAAAAGAAACTTATGTAAATTCTACTTCCTGGGCCTTTACTAAACCCAACAAGGTCAGAATTTCCTGCTGAAACTGGGCACCTCTATTTCTATTTTTTAAAATTTCCCACTAATTTTAATATGCACCCAACTGGGAACTGCTTCTGGCAATTCGGCCCATGACGCTTGCTTTTCTCAGCTGGAAAGATCCTATCAGGTATTTTTATTGACAAAAAGAACATTACTCTAACTTTCCAGCCTAGAGAGCACAAGGATTCAGCACAAGTTTTGATATTATGATTTTTTTCACGCTCTCTTTGTCTCAGATTATATATTTACGTTTATCCTTGCAGTGTTCTCAAAATGAGAGAGAGGGATTAGGAAAATTTATTTCTTTCCCGAGCTAAGATTATTAAGTCATGGTTTTCTTATTCTTATAATCTTCATATCTTTTAATATTTGATACACTTAAAAATTTAAACAGATTTGAGTTTTAATAACTCAAATTTTGACAGTTTTTGGTCATACCTAGTTGATGTTATTGTCTCATGGTGAAATTTTCTGAAGTTGACTAATCCTCAGATATTTTAATGTAATTCATAAATTGACAAATAATAATTGTGTATATTTATGGCATTCAATATGATGTTTTGATCTATGTACACAATGTAGAAAAATTTAATCAAGCTAATTAACATATCCATCACCTCACAACTTGTCATTTTTTTGTGTGGTGAGAATGTTAAAAATCTATTACCAATTTGAAATATACAATACATTATAATTAACTGTGGTCACTATGAAGTGCAATAGATCACTAAAACTTATTCTGTGATCTAACTGACATTTCATAATCTTTGATCAACATCTTCCCTTCCTCAGTCCCTCCTCCTTCCTCCTAGCCTCCGGTAACCACCTTTCTATTCTCTGTTCATATGAGATCAACTTTTTTAAGATTCCACGTATAAGTGAGATCATACAGAATTTGTCTTTTGGTGTCTGGTTCATTTCACTTAGCACAATATCCTCTAGTTCTATCCATATCAACATGAGTGACAGAATTTCCTTCTTTTTTAAAGGCTATATAGTATTTCATTGTATATATGCCACCTTTTCTTTATCCATTTACCTATTGATGGGCCAGTTGGTTGATTCTATATCTAGACTATTGTTAACAATGCTGCAATGAACATAGGAATGCAGATATCTCTTTAACATACGAATTTCATTTCTTTTGAATATATACCCAGAAGTGGGATCATTGGATCATATGATAGTTCTATATTTAGGTTTTTGAGGAACCTCCACACTATTTTCCAAAATGGCTCTGCTAATTTACATTTTTACATTTCCCCAATAAATTCTTGCAATCATTAGAGAGAAGCTAGGGGACCACCCATGCTTACAAGAGAAAGGAGGCATTCCCTATGCCTTCATCCATGGCTTGCTTCAGCATTACCTTCAGACTAGAGTACTCCCCTTACAAAGAAGGTGTAAAAGTTCTACTTGCTTGAATAGGAAAACAGGTACTCCCTGTGCCCCCTTCCCCAGCTTGCTCTGGTGATAATTCCAGCCCTGAAATCTCTTTAGCAAAAGAGGTTGAAGGCCTCTGCCTGCAAGAATAGAAGGGATGGCACTCTTTGCACCCTCATCCTTGGCTTTCTCTTGAGATAAACTCCTATAATCTCTCATTAGAAGGAGGCTGGGGGATCTCTCCTTGCCTGAAAGGAAATTAGGTGCTTTCTATGACTTCCTCCCTGGCTTGCTTTAGGGATATATCCAGACAGAAGTCTTCTGCTAGGAGGGTGTGAGACTTCTGCTTGCTCGAACAAGAGAGAAGGCACTCCCTGTGCCTTCTTCCCTGGCATACTGCAGCAATAAATCCAAATCTGTAGACATTCCCTAGAAGTAGTTTCCACATACATTGTGTACCCCCAACTTTTACAGTCTTCACCTGAGGAAATGATTCTTAAATTACCTAACTCCAGTTGATGGGGCTCTGTCCTCTTGAGTCTGCTAGACCACATAGAATAAAAAAGTGATATTTAAACTTGCAAACTTTTATCAGCTGTCTCCTCAGGTTTAAGTTGAGCAGTCTGAAAAAGAGTGCAGGCATCTGCCTCACACCCTCTTCTTGGTGTAGGGTAGAATGATTGGGAGATAAACTCTGGCTCTCATCTTCTCACCAAGAAAAGAAGTAATTGGAACACATATCTATCACCCCAACCTCCTTAGCTATACCCCAAAGGACTGGTTTCTGTCCCATCTCTCTTGAGGCGATAACATAACTCAATACTTTCTAATTTCTTGGGAGGCAGTAAGAACAAACACAGGAGATTGGACAAGGACAATGAATTTAGAGGCACCTAGAATCTTTTGCTGAGCTGATTT
This sequence comes from Homo sapiens, assembly GCF_000001405.40. Taxonomy (NCBI): domain Eukaryota; kingdom Metazoa; phylum Chordata; class Mammalia; order Primates; family Hominidae; genus Homo; species Homo sapiens. Next base: position 117,339,796 of record NC_000008.11, on the reverse strand, counting down.
GAGAGAAACATCTTCTGTACAAGACCAGTCTAACAAAAGTGGGAGAGGTGTTTTTTTATCTTATGTGAAGAAGCCAACAGAATGAAAGAAAATGAAGAAATGGAAATATGTTCCATGTAAAAGAACCAGATAAATATTTAGAAGCTGACTCTAATGCAATAGAGATATGCGATTTACCTGACAGGAAATCCAAAAGGATAGTCATAAATATATTTGCTGAGGTAAGGAAAGCAATGTATGAACAAACTGAGAATTTCAACAAAGAAATAGAAAACATATAAAAGTACCAAACGTAAATCACAGAGCTGAATAGTACAATAATTGAACTCAAAAATTCAGTAGAGGGATTCGACAGCAGACTAGATTAAGCAGGAGAAAAATTTAGCTAACTTGAAAATAGGTCACAGAGATCATCCAATCTGAGAAACAAAAAGATAAAATGAAAAAGTAAAAGCAGCCTAAAGTATTTACGATAAACCATTAAATTTCCACCAGAAGAGGAGAGACAAAGAGATGGAAAATGTATTCAAAGAAATAATGGCAGACAATTTTTCAATTCTGAAGAAAATAGAAATCTGGATTCAGGGAATCTCAATGGACACCTAGTAAGGATAAATTTAAACAGACTCACACCAAAACACATTAAAATCAAATTGTCAAAAGTGAAAAACAAAAAGAGAATATTGAAAGTTGCATGGGAAAAGCAACTTATTAGATACAAGTTACATACAGAATCATGTTACATAAAAGTTACATATAAAAATCAGAGTTTCTAACAGAAAATCTGCATGTCAGAGGGAATGGGATAAGATACTTATAAAGCTGAAAGAAAAAAAAATTCCGCCAAGCAAGAATACAATACCTAACAGTCCTATGCTTTAAAAATCAAGGGGAGATAAAACCTTACTCAGACACACTAAAGTTGAGGGAATCTATTACCACTATACTTGCCTTACAAGAAATACTAAAAGTAGTCCTTCAAGCTGAGGGACAAGGTCACTTAAAAGTAAACATATAGCCAAAGTGAAAACACTCCTATACTGTGGTGGTGATGTGAACATCAATTATATCACTAGTATAAAGATTAAAAGACAAAATTATTAAAAACAACTATAGCTACAGTAATTTGTTAAGGGACACAAACTATAAAATATATAAAATATGTCATCAAAAACAAATTGTGAGGAGGGGAGTGTAAAAGTGTATAATTTGTGCAAGTGATCAAGGTTAAATTGTTGTCAGTTCAGATTAACCCTTGGTCTTATCCAAAATCATAGAGGGAGTATCCATATCTCTGTTTTAATTACCTATTTTTGCTATGGTCGGAACATGTCCCCAAAAATTTATATGTTGAAATATAATGATAGTATTAAGAGATGGGGCCTTTGTGAGGTAATTATATCATGATATATTTGTAATCATGATAGTATTAAGAGATAGGGCCTTTTTGAGGTAATTATATCATGAGGGTGCAGCTCTGAAAGATGGGATTAGGGACATTTTAAAGGAGTTGAGGGAGTAGATTCACTGTCTTCCACTCTCTTGCCATGTGAGAACACAACGTTCATCCCCTTTTGTTCTTTCCATCCCTTTTCCAAGTGATGACACCTAGGTGGCCCACCTACAAGAAACAGTCCTTCACCACACACTGAATCTCCTGACACATTGATCTTGGACTTCCCAGCCTCCAGAAGTGTGAGGAATAAATTTGTATTCTTTATGAATTACCCAGTCTCCACCATTTTGTTACAGCAGCACAAGCAGACTATGACACAGTTCTTGGCCATATTCTTGGGGTCTTTTTTTCCTTTTTGAGGATGGGGTATGAAATTCTTGGGGTATGCATTCTAAACTTTGACCCTTAACTTTCTTTATCTAGATGTCTTATTTTATTTCTAAGAGAAGAAACTGTCCAGGTATCTGTCTTGTCAAATTTTTGCACTATTTTAAAGGCCCCTTGGAGAAATGGTCAGTGTTGGCAACAGTAGATAAAACATTCCTAGGATTTATACCAAAGAATGCACAATTTCTTCATTTCATCTATGAGGAGAGACTACTTGGAGCCTGGAATTAAGCCCTAGTACATTTACTATTTCATCATCAGATTAAGGGAGATGTTGTTAATTGTTGTTAATATTCATCTTAAATTGGGAGGCCCTTATTGTATCAATTGACAGTAATACTTAGCTTCAGGCCGGGCGCAGTGGCTCATGCCTGTAATCCCAGCACTTTGGGAGGCCAAGGCCGGCAGATCATGAGGTCAAGAAATCAAGACCATCCTGGCCAACATGGTGAAACCCTGTCTCTACTAAATATATATATATATATATACACACAAAAATTAGCTGGGCATGGTGGTGTGCACCTGTAGTCCCAGCTACTTGGGGGGGCTGAGGCAGGAGAATCACTTGAACCCAGGAGGCAGAGGTTGCAGTGAGCCGAGATCGCGCCGCTGCACCCCACCCTGGTGACAGAGCAAGACCCTGTCTCAAAAAAAAAAAAAAAAAAAAAGGAAAACTGAACTGCAAAGAAGTTAAATGACTTTGTTTATGGTCTTTTATTTGGATATTTGTAAGTCACTGGATCTCTTAGCTCCCGGGTAATATTCTTTCCACTATAAAATTGTGATATTTATTTAACAGATTAAAAAAAACTTGACTATGGCATAATTGTTTTTAAATTTTGGCAGCATATGTATGTGCACCCACATGCACACAAGGACGTGTATGTTTCCTTAGAACATTTTGCATATATTTTCAGGGAGTTCTAGGACCTTAACACCCATTTGTGGATCCCTCATTAAGAACTTCTGTTGTAGATGTAGGCTCACTATAGGACAATATCAAATATTTTAGCACTGACTTTCTTCAAATACTGGTAGAAAGGTTTTTTTTAAAATTTTTTATTTTTTTCCCCCAATATTGTCGCCTTAGGGTCCAGGCAAATTTTCCACCCAATAAGGCAAAAATATTTTTGTTTGCTGTCTTAACTTCAACCAATTTCTTAAAAATAATCCAGCCTAGAAAAATCAGCCAGCCAAATGCTGTCAAGAAAATTCCTGACTTAAATCAAATACAGCATTGCAGACTTTTTTTTTACACCTTTGCTAGCTCATTTGTAGTAGTACTTTTTTTTTTTTTTTTTTAATAAAAGGGCTTTCTAGTCTGTGTTCTTAAATACACTCCATGTTTATCAGGAAACTTTTCCCCAAGAACAGCAGCCAATGAGTCCCTCCACTGAAGACTAGAATAATAGTATAGCATTAATAGATGTTGCTTGGAAGTGAATTTGAGCATTTATTATATTTCATGAAACATATTAAACACTATCAATGTGCCAAAGAGGCCGAATCTCACTGATAAATGAGATGCTGGTAAAGAGTACTTTGGGGATACTGAGGATGGAACAACTAACAAGATTCCCTCCTTAGCACCTCCAGAGTGAAACAAAGCAAAGAGGAACAATTTCCCTGACCTTAGCACTTCTGAGGTCCTGTGAGTTTGCAGCGACAGATGGTCAGTGAATCAGGGAAGGCAGCAAGAAGAAGGGTAGTAGCTCTATTAGTTGGTATTACAGGTGTCTGAATCTTATATATAAAGCACACCTGTTCAAGAGAACATGGCTTCCTTGACCCCATTTTTCTTCATAGTTATCGTCAGGCTAATGGTTGGTTCTTCCCATTTCTATTCCTTATTTAAGGAAGCCTTTGATGTTCCTTTTCTAGCAAATCTCACCCTGGGAGTGCACAACCTTGAGGGTGATTGCCTCCTTAAACTCTGGCCCTAGTTACCTCATTTGCCTTACCTAGTCCTAGGCCCAGCCTAGAGTTAAAGGGCTAGAAAGGAAAAGGAAGAAGGGAGGGCTTGCTGTCTGCTACCCTATAGCAAAGGTTTCCAAAGGACAGTTGTGTGTTCACTGAAGAGAGGACTGTCTCCCTTGTTTCTCCTACAATGCTTGGGCACTCCCACCACAAGAAGACCTGTAAAGACGCTGAGGTGAAAGACAGCAGAAATTTGATTGATGCTGGTCTCACACTTGACCTTGGCTGTCATTGATTAGAAGCAGCATCTCCAGAACACTTCTCTCCCATTTGATATGAAGATTTAGGTTTGCAACAAGCACTGAAACATTTTTTCCTTCTATTTCCTTCTTAAGACCTTCTTCTCCTGTGAATCTCAATCCAGTGAGGAAAGGCATTTTTGCCCAGGCCACTATACCTGATCAATTTCCAGAGGAATATGCTGTCCTCATTCACACAGAGGGGACAGAAACACTGCTGCTACCATCTCCCAAAGGAATTTACAGTTAAAGAAAGCAGTGCTTAGCCCAGAGTTGGGAAAGCTTACTGTACATACTATCATCATTACTATAACTCATTACTCATGCCTTGTTTTGATTTTGCAAAGCACTTTATTTGTATACTCTCATCTTATCCTCAAAATAGAGCCTGATAAAAATTATATTTATCCCAATTGTACAAATGACAAAAGTAAGGCAGAGAGAGTTAAAGCAGCTTGCCCAAGGACACACAGTAAGCAATAGTGGAGGAAGACCCTGAGCAAAATGTTCTGAGCTAAAATTCGTTCTCTTTCCACCATTGAGTACTACCTCCTGCGCCATCAGGAAAGAGCATTTCTAGCATAAACTTTCCAGGTGTACTTTATCTCCCACAAATGGGAGATGTAAGTTGATTACAACAACATTTATAGGGTTATTTTGTGCCTGGTATAATGATAGGTGCTTTTGATGGTTAATTTTCTATGTCAACTTGGCTGGACTAAGTGATGCCCACATGACTAGTAAGACATTATTTCTGGGTGTGTCTGTGAGGGTGTTGCTGGAAGAGATTAGCATTTCAATCAGGAGACTAAGTAAAAAAGATCCACCCTCACCAAGGTGGGTGGGCATCATCCAATCTGTTAAAGACCCAAATAGAACAAAAATGCTGATGAAGGATAAATTCACTCTCTCTGCTTGAGCTGAGACATTCATCTTCTTCTTGACCTTGGACGTTGGTGCTCCTGGTTTTCAGACTTTTGGACTCAGAGTGGGACTTACATTGGCACGTCAATTCTCAGGCCTTCAGACTGGCACTATATAATACCACTGGTTTTACTGGTTCGCCAGCTTGCAGATGGCAGATTGTGGGATTCTCAGCCTCATCACTGCATGAGCCAATACCTATAATAATTCTCCTCTTATATATATTTATAAATATCTAAATGCTATTGGTTCTGTTTCTCCAGAGAACCCTAATACAGTGCTAACGATAAACTGAAGAGTAAGATTATCTTCCTTGCTCTCAGGGAATTTTTAGAAGAACAAGTGGCTACTTCTTTTTAGGTTCCATGAATTTGTTTATTTATGTAACATTTCATCCTGTGTGGGATTTTGCTGTTGACACTGGACTCACCTTTGCCATCCAGCTTCATGTGTCTTGAGTCCAGGGACCATCTCCTATAACCCTTATGCCCAGCATAGTGATGAAGCAAGGCAGGTGCTCATAAATATGCATGAGTTGATTGATCAGCTAAAGGACAACAACAATGACACGTGTTTGTGTATGTGACAGTAGGGAAGTCTTGCTTTTGGGACTTTTAACATACTAAGCAGTTTCTCTAACTCCATTTCCCTAATTCCCTAATGCAAATGAAGACTTGCTTGGTTCCCACAGAGACACTGAGGCACTTTCCACTGCAGATCTGTGGCTTAAAATGCAGCTTGTTTATGCTGATCCTGGGCAGATAATGGAACATGGCTTCCTTCTCTCTTGTTCTAGCGCATCCTCATAGTGCCCAGATTCTCCATTGTACCAGCTCCCTCTCTGACATCAATTTCAGTTTCAATCTTATCTACTTACTCCGATTCCTCATGTTTTATACATCCTTTTCGGGCACTGAAGACTTATCAAGCACCTCTTGAAACCTTAAATAAAGAAGGCCCACCCCAGGAGTACCATGTCACATCTTCAAAGAATTCTAACAAAGGAAGACTGTGAAGGGTAGGAAGGCCAGGCCATGGCAACTATTCTTCCCTTTGATCCTCTAAAATACATTGTAAGTGTGACTGCTCAAAATCTTTCCCTCGAAACCCCTCACTATTTTTGTAATGTTATGCCAGTTACTTTGCAGCCTAAGATGTGTTTTTGTGTTTGGGGCTGTTTTGGGGAAGCAGGTGGCAGGCTGGAGGGACTTGGTGGGGGAGGACGGAGAGGAGGGATGTGTGAAGAAAGAGGCTAGACAGAGCATAGCAAGCCCACCACGACCCTCAAATCCTTCTCCACTACCCCACAGGAGGTGAAAATATCAAAGAAAATTCTTCCGTTCCTACAGAGCTGATGTCTGACAGCTTCTAGAACCTCTAACCTTTGTTTCAGGTATTATTGGCACATTCTTTAATTTGTCCTCAGGGAAGTGGGTAATTGAAGGTTATGAGATTTGGGCAATTATCCAGCCTCTTCCTTCCTAGTGGCAGACAGCAAATATTAAAACGCTGCTCCGTATTTGCCTCTCTGCCATCAGCAGCCTTGTTCCCTTTCACACGGATCGTATCCTTTCATGCCACACTTAATTGGGAATAAAAAAGGCCTTTCATGCTCTTGTTCACCTCTCCAGGATTTTTTTCACCTCCGTTTTTGTTTCCTGGGGGGAGCGTGTGAACGAATTCAGCCTTATACCGTTTCAGCCCTTGCTCCCTCCTCAGTACCAGCTGGCGTTGTTCTACCATTTCGCCCTATAAATATTTTGCATTCAAGGAGCTGTATGTGCAAGCAAGCTTGTTCTAAACTCTTTTGCTTTTGTTTCAAGAAAGTGAAAACCAGCCTCCGTGCTCAGCCTTAGCATTTTATGCCAAATGAGTGGAGAAAACTCACATTTAATCAGCTCTCATATGTCCTGCTGCACCTCCGCAGTGAGGCTCCCTTTCCCACGTTCTCTAGGGGACCACCCTTTGCCACCTAATCACCTGCAAACTCATAAGCTGTTTGTTAACATGGGGCGATGCCTTACTTTTGTTGCAGAGGGTGATTCCCCCTCACCCATTCCCAGTGGGTTCTCTCCAGTCGATCAGCAGATGAATGAGAGAAAGTGTCTGTTCTAATTTACTGGGTTAATTTTTCTTTATCAGTAGTCATCGTTTATTAAGCCAAATGTTGACAGGCACTTTGCATCTCTCTACTCTTCTCAACTACTATACTAGGTAGGGATATTTTGTCTCTAGGTTTTGCAGATGAGGAAATGGAAACTCAGAGGTCGAATAACTTACCCGGGATCACAAAGTCAGTGGTTGAGCTGAAAGTCCAATGCAAATTTACTTGAATCCAAAGTGTATGCTCTGTCAACTGTATGATGACAGAGACAGGAGCAGCTGACATTTCCAGTAATGACCCAAAGGGGATATTCCTCCTTATTAAGCATAGCAGGGTTGAAATTTACTCTTCATGGCTCATATGTGCAAGAACTGTAACTTTTCCTTTTAAATAACAGGTTTCATCTTGCTTCAAAATTCTCATTCCTGATGATTGTGTGTGTGTGTGTGTGTGTGTGTGTGTGTGTGTTTGGAGATTGAGACATAGGAAAGATGTTTAATAAAAGTAACTTAGTCTCTCTCTTAGTTTAATATACTCTCTCTCTTAATATACACATATACCATATATGTATATCTATGTGTATATGTGTACATAATGTATATGTGTGTACACACATACATACATACATAAATTTAGTGGTGTGCTGGTCAGTGTTTCACAATCAGCTTTTGGGGACAGGGAACTCCTAGTTTGTAGCACTTTTCAATTTCTACAGCGTAAATAGTCTCACTTTGGTCAATTTCAAGTTACCAGCATGATTATACTGAATGTGCAACTGGGAGGAGATCACACAATTGGCTTTCACTAGCAAAGCAAGCCAGCCCATGATCCCACTCTCCCTCTCAGGAGCATAAGATTCAACTGACAGGTGGGCCAGTGGCTCTTTAGGGACACCAACCTAGGGTGCCAGGAATCAAAATGGACAGGACTTGTCAGGAATCTCTCAGGAGAGGGAGAGGGAGAGGGAGAAAATGTGTGCTGTCTAGGGTAAGTCTATAGCTATGCAACATGCAGTCATTTCTATAATTTCTTTTCCACATGTAAAACATATATAGAGATTATATATATTCAATCTCAGGTTGAACGTCCCTAACAGAACTGTTTCACCCTTTCAGGGGCTTCTGCTGCTGCTGCTTCCACCCATCACCTGGGTACGTGTAAATCAGCAAAGAAGCACCATGGGCTCCAGGGCTGGGACTTCCTCTAGCTCATCTGTGGCTCCAGTGAGAAGTCCCAAGTCCTTTTTTGATTCCCAGCATCTAGATTGGTGTCCCTAAGAAGCCACTGGCCCACCTGTCTGTTGGATGCTATGCTGGCATCCATTGCTGGTAGCCAGGCATTCTGCCATCAGCTCCAGCTACAAGGCCCTTAACCTGTGCAGCCTTATTTCCCTGGCCTTTTGGTCCATCAGTCCAGCTGATGTTCTCTTTACCCAATGCTGCTGTGGGCTGTAATCTTTTGAGGCACGCTCAGGCTTTCCCTAAAAGCTTGCTACTCTGGGTAAAGTCAGCATGGCACCTGTCTGTGTTTTAAGTTTTTCTGAAATGCCTTTAAAATCCCCCACGTTCGGGGAAATGGAACACAAGCTACACACTATCCTCTATTCTTTGCCTGTTTCCTGACCGAGGCTTTGAGTCTTGAGGGTGGCAACTGTGTTTTCTTTATCTTTATAACTGAAAATCTAAGAACAGTGTCAGAACACATAAGCATTTGTCAAATGAATGTGCCAAACAATAAGAGAATGCTGGAGTAATTCTGAACAATGTCTTGCAAATTGTAAGAATTTGGACAAAACCATCAATTCATATTAAGATAAAAAAAAAAAGGAGAGTAACCATCTCAGAGTCAGCTCAATATAGAACAAGAGAAAAAAAATCCAATTTTGGACCTACTGTACTGTGTGGTTCCCTTCAGGTGCCAGCCACTCACAAATTGCCTCCTGTGACCCTGCCTGGGACCTATTCTTTAATCTCCGATGTCCATTACAGCAGACTTAAGAAAAAGGAAATGCTTACTGCCTTGTTAGGGAATGGATTAGGAAATTTCATGCACTTTATCAGAACCAGCAGAGATAAGTAGGTTGCAGGATAGTCTTTCAACACTTTTAAAAACACACCCAACAAGACCCCAGCACAACTGAATAGAAAGCTGATCTTACCATAGCATACATTTGCATTATCGATCCATTGGTGAAAATACTTTTGCAGCAAATTAAACCAAATGCTTCCTCCAAATACACAAGGTTTCAATTATCACTTTGTTTACATGTGTGTGCGTGTGTGTGTGTATGTGTGAGTGTGCACGTTCAAGCAGTTTTGCACAACTTGGACTTAAGCTTACGAGAAAAATCTCAGACTGGGTTTGAGAGAGCCTGTCTTTCTTCCCAGCTGTCGGCAGGGGGAGCTCATGCTTCATGCACAGCTGGGGCCTGTCTGCTTGCTGGAGACACAGACCAGATGAAGAAGGCTGAGGTGCCTCAAGAGAGGGGAGGAGATGCAGATTTGGGCGTGGGAGGGAGATTAAACAAAACTAAACAAAAACACATATTTCTTTCAAATGTCATCACTTTGGCCAACTGTCTTTTGGAAGATAGAAAATGTGGGCTGTCTAGAGTAAGTTCATAACTGCAACATGGGTTCCTTTCTATAATTTGTCTTCCACACATGAGAAAGCCTTTTTTCCGGGGAAGGTGCGTTTTTTTTGCTGGAGTTACACGATTTTCTGAACTGTGTGTTTGAGAAACTAGTATCCTTGTGACATTTACCAGTGATGTTCTAAGTATTGGCCTGGTAACTCTAACCGCATGTGCTAAAGAGGGTGCCAGACAGCTAAGAAAGCAGCATCAGCATTGGCTTTGGTGAAAACGGAGGCTTTGCCTGTGAGCAGTTTCAGGAGAGAGGGGTCAGACGGAGGCCTTCATCAGGCCCTGCCATGGGAAACGGAGCACAGCGTGCTACTATTGATGTTACTGGAAGAGTAGTCATGCATGTGCACATATGTTCACGTGTGCATCTCTGCATCTCTGCACATGTATGAGAATGTGTATGTGTGTGCGTACTGAGTGTGTGTGCTCTGAATCAGTGATTGAAGTCAGCTACAAATCCACAGCAGAAATTCTGCCAATCGCTTCGGCCCTATAAGAAAAAACAAGCAAAACATCACAAGCATGGAGATATTTTTTAAGAGAAAAAGCATCATTTTTTTTCATCATTTTTGATACAGTAAAACAAAAAGAATGAAAGCTTTTTAAAAGTGGCTTGCAGTATTGTTATTTTTTAAGTAGTGATAGTTTCTGTTGCCATGCATTCAAGGATTGATACCTAAATATTGACTAAAGTTTAGGATGAAGTTGCTCCTAATTCAGGTATTTTATTTTACTTACGTCTGTAGCTTCCTTTGAAAGCAGAGTTTGCTGACTTAATATATCTTTGGCCACACACACACACACACGAAAGGATGGTGGTAGAAGGGGATGTGAGGGAACACTCCTTGTGTTATTACCAAGGTTTTCGCCTACTGTGTGTCCATGCTCCCTGGGGCCCTGCCTGGTACAGTATGGTAACAGTTGGAGAGTAGTGCCATCTTGTGGCCACACTGGAAATTAAGTCTAGAAATTAACAGGTAGTGGACAAAATGCCCAATATTTGAAGTGTCTGGTCTGGGATTTCCAAGTAGTTGGGCAGAATCAATTGAGTTAGAATCCCCAAGGCTCTTTTATGCAGGGATGGGGTAGGGGGATCAGATCCCTCTCACTAATACCTGAGGCTAACTTTTCACTTATGCAGATTAGTTTAAATTTTTTGTTTGTTTAAAGACAGGGTCTCACTTTGTTGCCCAGGCAAGAGTGCAGTGGCATGATCATAGCTCACTGTAGCCTCCGACTCCTGGCCTCAAGTTATCCTCCCACCTCAGCCTCCTAAGTAGCTGGGGCTACAGGTGAGTGCCACTATGCACAGCTAAGTTTCTAATTTTTTATAGAGACAGGGTCTCACTATGTTGTCCAGGCTTTTCTTGAACTCCTGGCCTCAAGTAGTCCCCTTACCTTGTCATTAGGCTTTTAAAAGTCACCTTCCTTTCACTTAGTGTGAGTGAGCTTAAAATCCAGTCCTGGCAGAGTTTCTGATAAAAGGAGGAGACTGCTGGGAAATAGGGGAAGAAGAATCAACGTATTTGAACTGGGATAGAGACATGAAAGTAGACCAGGAAAACAGAGCACCTCATTTTTGCCTGGTTAATTTTCTAGAAATGAACCTAACAAGAAATCTTTGAAATGCTACATTCTCAGATGCTGTAGGAGGAGCTGTTGCTTCATGGTCAAATTAACTTGGCCTATTTGTGAATTTTCTTCTTTTTTAAAATCAGAAAACAGAATTGTCGAATTTTTCTTTGTTAGATGCCCTGCAACTGAAAGATTTGTAAACCAGTAATGTAGTTGTTCTTAATAGGTTGTATTTTCCAGATCTGTTTATCTAGTTCAAAAATATTTGTCATCGCAATGTACAGTAGCTTTTTGGGATGAGTTATTGTCCCATGGAAGCAAGTAATATTTAGAAATCTTTGGAGAGAACACTTTTTTGTGGAAGAGGTTAATAACATATTTTTCTGGTTTGTTCTATATTTCTAGTGAATGATTTTGAAGTTATGTGTCTTATTTTTGAACAGTAAACAATATTTTTTAAATAATTGCAAGTAACATGAGATAAGTCAGAGCCTTTATCTTCATTTAACATATGTTCATATGGAAAATGGATGCGCATATGTCATCTTGGATCAAGTGGTAGAGTGTCTAGGGTCACTCAGAATCAGATGAAATACATTCGGATCTCAGCTTAGCTACTTACTAGCTACATAAATATGGACAAATTGTAAAATAATATGAATCATGGTTTGTAAAACTGGAGCAGTATTACCAACCACTGAGGGCTTTTTGATAATCTGGAGATAACCTGGGTAAAACATTTAGCACCTTTTTATTATAAGAAGGAAACAGACAAATTCCTGGATCCAGATTCCAGACAAATATTGATCACCTTTCTGGTTCCTAACACAACTTCAGTCCAGTCTGACCTTAGAGGAACCTCAGATATTTTAAATTCCTTGTGGAAATCATCACAGAAGACAAATGACATTCGCAGTTTGGCTAAGTTATAGAGAATACCTTTGCTTTAACTACAGACGGTAGGAATTTGAACCAATAAAATATCTCTACTACAAGGATATAGCAATGCCTGAGAAACAAGGGCAGCAGGAGTAAAATTTAATGGCGACTTTTCCCCTGGATTCCTTAAAGAGCAGATGTTTATTTTGTTAAAATTGGCTTGAGTGTGCTATAATTTTGACTTGAAAACAAATCTTTAATCACGGTCGAGTGTTTGTTTCTTCATTTTCCAAACTACCACTTTTCCTATCCTCAGCTCTACTTCAATATATTCCCAGAAACTTTTTAAGAAGTTAAACCCCAGATGAGCATGCATGTTGGAGACATGCTTACAAGCAACCTATAAGCTGCTCCAATAATCTTAGCAGCAGCCGAGGCAGCTGCGGTCAGCCCGATGTAGTCTCAGTGTTTCAATAACCACACACAATAGGGCCACACACGTTCAGCTAGTTTTATTTTCACCTCCCTTTGAAACTGGAATGGTATTGAACATCTGACAAATGGAAAGGGATTAAACTGACAGTGGGCTGATGTTAATTTCAAGCTTCAGAAATGACATTGTAACCAATAAAAATGTCTTTAATCTGTTAAAGATGGGAAATGCTTGCCTGTTTCTGATAAAAAGAACAAAGTTATAATTTGTGTTACAATTTATGGAATCTGGGGTGTGTGTGTGTGTGTGTGTGTGTGTGTGCCTGTGCACCAATGTGGGCCTGTGTAAATGCTGTGGGTAAGAATGGCAGGTGTGGATTAAATAGCTTTCAAAGATCTCTTGCAAGCTTTTTTATGATGTCAGGGGGCAGAATATTAATATTTTCTCTGTTTCATGGATGGGGAAACTGAAGCTCAGAGAGTGTAAGGACTTGTCTCTGTTCTTACAGATATTAGAAACATCTCTAAGAAATTAAGAGATATCCAAGTTCTAAGGAGCCAGCTGTTAGTTCAGGCAAAGTCTTATCTAGAGTGCATCGTCATCGTATGCTCTGGGTTCTGAATTAAACCTGAAATGCAGTTAGGTATCCAATAATTATTTGATGAATGTATAAAGGGAAAGTTTATGACTGTCTAGACAGAGTTCACCCTTCCCAGTATAATGACTTAACTTTATAGCTCTAACCTTACTAACTTTTCTGTTCACTCACAGGGTCTTAGTGACCTCCCATTGGTCTTGATCTCTGTGAACATTTGGCATTGTTAGGTAATGTTTGCTTCCTTTTAAAACTCTCCCACTAGAGAACCCTTGTACTAACACTCATACTTCTTCCTCTCTGTTTCTTTTCTTTATTTTTTCAGTATTTTATTTCCTTCTATTTCCTAAATGTGTGTCTTTTCTAAAAATTTGAACCCAGCCAATTTCCCCTTTCTCTCTTGAGGAGAAATTTCATGGTCATTCTGGAGGCTAAGTGAAAAATGGGTCTTGTGGTCATATAACTAGGAAAATACTCTATATGACCTGTTCGTTGTAAAAACTTATCATATCCAGCAGCAAATCAAAGGCTGATGCGGATCAGTTTTTCTTTGTAAGACTAGCGTTTTCTAAATTTATTAACCTATAAGACTGTGTTAGTTAAGGCAATACCGTCTGCTATTATAAAGAACCCCAAATGTCATCACTTAACACAATAAAAATTCTTTCTCATGCAGCAATCTGATGAGGTCCCCCCTAGTCTGGGAGATCTTATGATCTATTCTCCTTCATGTGGTGACTCACAGACCCAGGCTCTTTCGGTCTTATTGACCTGCCCTCCTGTAGGTCCTTGGTCTCTCCCTTCATTGGGCAGATGATGAAAAAAAAAAAAAAAAAGAGTGGAGGATAATGAGGAGTTTTTTTAGAAAGCATGTGGAAAGCACTTATCATGCCTGCCCACATTCCATGGGTTATTTGGCCACACCTAACTGTAAGGAAGGTTTGGAAATGCAGTCTAACTTAGGAAGAAATGAAAATTGGCTTGGATGAACATAGCAATGACTGACTTTTATTGCCACATTCTTTCTCCAAGAAACAGAACTGACTTACTTTCTATCAAGGTAAACACTTTAGGTCCCATCCATTCAATGCACAACATGACCAGGATCTATAGGTGATGTACAGTCCTTCTGCTGTGTACAGATGTGGTTCCTTTTGGCCCAGCAACCTGTAAAACTAGAGATGAGTTACTCTACATACTTCTGCTCCAAAACACTTAAATATAAAATAATGAAGACTGTATAGAATAGCTACAATTTAAAATTCCCTGGCGCTCCTGGCTCCACCCTTTACAAATTTCTTCTTTATTCATACTTGAAGCTGGTGTTCCTGCCCATGCTAGTTTGGATCTACCATGACAGTTTTAAAGCCTAGCAAATAATTACAAGATTATTAGACTTGGCTTGGGATTCTTCTGCAATAAAAGATTCTTCAAAACTTGGCAGTTTCTAATCTAAATATTTCCATTTACTTTTATATATCAGTAATCACAGTCAAATTTTTTTATATATACAATTGTTAGTCCTGCCTTATTTCTCCTTTACCCCAATGCCTTTCTGTCTTTCCCATGCTTTCTTATTTTCTCTCATCTTAATGGAAACTGCTTGTTAGCTACCCAAAACATGAGATTTGGTGAGGAAGTAACTCTTTTAACTGGTCTTTGTCTCAGAGGGAGTTATTAGCTGAGAGTCATATTGAGCTTTTTATGCTTAAGACCTTTTTCAATTTGCAATCTTACTATAGGGAATCCAGAAACAGTTAGCCTTTCTAACTCTATAAAACACTTGATCTCTATATTTTCACTATCCCCTGTAAATCTACTTTAAAATAGCTGATTATTTTTAATTAATAATTAATTTGTTTACTTTGCATACCATGAAATTCATCCTTTTAAAGTGTACGTTTCAGTGGTTTTTAGTATATTCACAGAGCTTTACAATGTACAACGCTATGACTATCTAATTCTGCAATATTTTACTTACCTCCAAATGAAACCTGATGTCCATTGGCCGTTAATCCTCAATCCTTCCCCTCCTACCACTCCCTAGAAATTACTAATCTACTTTCTGTTTTTAGGGATTTGCCTATTTTGAACATTTCACATAAGTGGAATCATATAATATCTGGCCTTCTGTGTCTGGCTTCTTCCAGTTAGCATAACATTTTCAAGGTTCATCTGTGTTGGAGCGTTTATCAATATACAAGTTTTGCACTTCTTTTGTTACATTTACTCTTAAGCATTTTATCCTTTTTACATATATTAGAAATAGAATTGTTTTTTCTTTATTCATTCTACCAATCTCTGCTTTTGGATTAGAGTATTTAATCAACTTACACTTAATGTATTACTTAAGTGATATGATTTATGTCTGTCATTTTGCTATTTGTTCTATGTGTCTTATTTTTTCCCTCTATTCTTCCATTACTAACTTATGTTAAATAAATAATTTTCTTTTAATTTCACTGTTGTGTACTATTTAACTTAATTCCATTGTTGCACCATTTAATGCCAATGTTATTTCTTTTATTATGTATTTTGGGTTATTTTCTTAGTGGTTTTCTTGTGGATTACACTTAATAATTTAATTTATAACAATCTAATTTGGATTAATACCATGCTGATTTCAACAGTATGCAAAATCTTTCCTCCATGATAGCTCTGTCCCCCTTTCTGCCTTTGTGTTGTTAGTCACAAAAACTACATTTTTATATATTGTATAATTACTGCTTTTATGTAGTTGTCTTTTTAATTCAAACAAAAGGAAGATTAAAAACACAAAAAATACACTATACTGTTTTTACATTTACCTATATAATTACCTTTCCTGCCAGCTTGCAGATGGCAGATTGTGGGGCTTCTCAGTCTCCATAATCATGTGAATCAATTCCTATAATAAATCTCTCTCTCTCTTTCTCTCTCTCTTTCTCTCTCTCTATATATATATTATATAAAATATATATATATCCTTATGTTTTATGTTTCTCTAGAGAATTCTGATTAGTAC
This sequence comes from Homo sapiens, assembly GCF_000001405.40. Lineage (NCBI taxonomy): Eukaryota > Metazoa > Chordata > Mammalia > Primates > Hominidae > Homo > Homo sapiens. Next base: position 117,323,579 of record NC_000008.11, on the reverse strand, counting down.
ATTAGATAATATTCTATTACATAGATATGTTACAATTTGATTATCCATTCAAATGAATGGTATTCCCCCCTTTTTTTTCTATTACAAATGAAGCTGCTGTGAACATTTTGTTTTCTTAACGTTGATTGAAATTATCATTTTTTCTTTCTTAGTTTGTTAATATGGTGAAATACATTGAATTATTTTTCAAATGTTGAACCAAACTTACATTAGTATATCTTTTTACTTCCTTTCAACCTATTTGCGTCATTTTATTTACAGTATGACTTATAGGTAGCATATTGTTGGATCTTGACTTTTTATTCAATCTGACCATCTCTGCCCTATAATTGGCAGATTTTAATGATTTACATTTAATGTGATTATTGGTTAAATTTATAACATTTTGCTATTAGTTTCATATTTTTCTAATCTGTTTTTTGGTCCATTCCTCTTTTTGCCTTCTGTTAGAATAATTGAGTATTTTTTATGATCTTATCTTCTCTTTTCTTGGCTTACTAGGTGAACAGTTTTGTTCTTATAATGGTTGCTTTAGGGTTTATTCAATAAAACTTGTCTGTGTTCCATTAATATTACGCAGCTTTCTATATAGTAAAATAAACTTAAAACAGTTTATTTCAATTTTCCCTTTTTAAATAGACCTTTGTGCTGTATTTGACAGGCATTTTACTTCTACATATTCTATAGCCCATGATTTTTTTTCTACTTTTATTTTAGGTCCAGGGGGTAAATTTTGTGTCACTGAGACTTTGTGTGCAAATGATCCCATCACCAAGGTAGTGATCATAGTACCTAGTATGAAGCTTTCCAACCCGTGTCCCTTTCTCACCTCCCCTCTCAAGCAGTCTCCAGTTCTATTGTTCTCATCTTTGCATACTTGTGTATTCAATATGTAATGCCCTGGCTGGGCGCCGTGGCTCACGCCTGTAATCCCAGCACTGTGGGAGGCTGAGGCAGGTGGATCACCTGAGGTTAGGAGTTCAAGATCAGCCTGGGCAACATGGAGAAACCCTGCCTCTACTAAAAATACAAAAATTAGCTGGGTGTGGTGGCACATGCCTATAATCCCAGCGACTCAGGAAGCTGAGGCAGGAGAATAGCTTGAATCCAGGAGTCAGAGGTTGCAATGAGCTGAGATCATGCCACTGCACTCCAGCCTGGGTGACAGAGCAAGACTCTGTTTCAAAATATATCTGTTTATATATATATATATATGGCACCCAGTTATAAGTGAGAACATGCAGTATTTGGTTTTCTGGTCCCACATTAGTGCACTTAGGATAATGGCCTCCAGCTACATCCATGTTGTTGTAAAGGACATGAGTTCATTCTTTGTTAAATGGCTGTATAGTATTTCATGGTGTATATGTACCACATTTTCTTTATCCAGTCCACCATTGGGCATCTTGGTTGGTTCTATGTCTTTGCTATTATGAATAGTGCTGTTTTCAACATATAAGTGCAAGTGTCTTTTTAATACAATGATTTATTTCTCTTTGTAATCCACAATTTATTATTATTTTTATTTAAGTAGTAAGTTATAAAATTAAAAAGAATGTTTTATCTTTACCTATGTTTTTAATATATGCTAGTTTTCTTCATCTTTGTGTAAATCCAGATTTTCATCTGATATCACTTTTCTTCCCCTTAAGGGACTTCCTTTAACATTTCATATATTTGAGGTTTATTGATAATGAACCCTTTCTGCTTTCATACGTCTCACAAAGTCTTTATTTCACCATTAGTTTTGAAAGATATTTTCACTGTTGATATGGTTTGGCTGTGTCCCCACCCAAATCTCATCTTGAATTGTAACTCCCACAATACCCATGTGTCATAGGAGGAACCCATCTGATGGTTTTAAAAATGGAAGTTTCCCTGTACAAGCTCTTTGTCTGCTGCCATCCATGTAAGACATGACTTGCTCCTCCTTGCCTTCCACCATGATTGTGAGGTCTTCCCAGCCACATGGAACTGTAAGTCCATTAAACCTCTTTATTTTGTAACCTGCCCAGTCTTGGGTATGTCTTTATCAGCAGCATGAAAATGGACTAATACAACTGGAAATAGAGCTCTAAGTCAAAACTTTTGGAGGTCTGTAAAAATATTGCCTCACTACTGTCAGGTTTACATTTTTTCCAACAAGAAGTCTATAGTTATTTTTTTCTGTTTTTTGTTCATTTGTTTTGTTTTTCTTTTTGAAATGTGTGTATTTTCTCTGTTTTTAAGGCTCCCATTGATGATTGGTTTTAATCATTTTCTTAGGATGTACCTTGGAGTAGTTTTATTGTGCTCAGAGTGTACTGGGCTTCCTGCATCTCTGGGTTTATAGTTTTCATCCAATTTAGAGGAAAAATTGGCATTTCTTCCAATACTTTTTGTGGTAATCATTCCCATGTCAGAGATTTCAATTATGTACATATTAGGCATCTTAAAGCTGTCCACAGTTCACATTGCTTTACTATATTTTTAAAGTCATTTTTGTCTATTTAATTTTGAGCAGTTTCTTTTTACTTTTATTTTAGGTTTAAGAGTACAAGTGAAGGTTTGTTACAGAGGTAAACACATGTCATGGACATTTTTTGCACATACTGTTTCATCACCCATGTAGTAAGCCCAGTATGTACTAGTAGCCCATTACCCATGTAGTAAGCCTAGTTATCTTCCTGCTCTTCTCCCTCCTTCTACCCTCCCCACTCAGGTAGACCCCAGTGTCTGTTGTTTCCTTCTTTGTGTCCATGTGTTCTTATCATTTAGGTCCCACTTATAAGTGAAAACATGTGGTATTTGGTTTTCCGTTCCTGAGTTAGTTTGCTATGGATAACAGCCTCCACCTCCACCTACGTTCCTGCAAAAGGCATGATCTCATTCTTTTTTATGGCTGCATAGTATCCCATGGTGCATATCAGCACATTTTCTTTATCCAGTCTGTCATTGACGGGCTTTTAGGTTGATCCCATGTCTTTGCTATTGTGAGCAGTGCTGCAGTGAACATTCACATGCAGTTTTAATTGTGCATTTATTAACATTTTTCCTGCATTGTTTATCTGCTATTAATCTCATTCTTCATTTCAGACATTTTATTTTTCATCTCTAGAAGTTTACATTGGGCCTTTTTATACCTCCCATGTCTCTGTTTAATATCCTCATATTTATTCTACCTTTCTGATTATCTGCGATATAGTTGTAATAGATATTTCAATGTTTTCTGCTATTTTTAGCATGTTTCAAGAATCTATTTTACTGATTGATTTTTCTTCTCATGACAGATCATATTTTCCTGCTTCTTTGCCTGCTTGGTAATTTTTATTGGCTGCCTGACATTGTACAAGTTACCTTGTTTGCTAGTTTTGTGTACCTTTAAATATTCTTGATCTTTGTTCTGGGGCACAATTAAGTTACATGGAAATTATTGATCCTTTCAAGGCTTGATTTTAAGGTGGGATCAGAAGACTTCAGTCAAAGGCTAATTCTGCCCCAGTGCTCAGGTGATACTTAGAGTACTCTACCTGATGCTCCCTTGTATTACAATGTTCATTCAACTTTAGCAGGTAGAAGCATAAACTCTTCCAGGCTCTGTGGGAATCTCAGGGGTTGTTCCTTTGAATCCTTGCCGTTGATTCCTTTTCTAGTCCTAGTGACTTTCCTCACATATATGCACTGAGTAGTATTCAATCGAAGTCTCCAAAGGAACTCTCTGCAAATCCCCAGAGCTCTCTGTCTTTGCAGGCCTCTCTTATCTGTGAAGCAGTTTCGTGCCTGGTTGTTGTCTCTGTAAGTTAAAGCCACCTTGGAATGTACAAGTTCTCAACTTTCTCTGGTCACCTCAGGGAGACTGCCAGGCACTGTTTGGATTTCCCTTTCCTGCAAAACAACGTAAAAACTCTCCAGCTAGTAAATTGGAAAACATAAGCCTCCTCTCATCTGTTTCTGTTGTCTCATTCTCTTGCATAGCCTCTTTCCAAATGTCTGAAAACCATTATTTCATATATTTTGCTTGTTTGCTTAGTTTTTTTAAGGTAACAAGGTAAATCATTTCCCTTATACTTGGTCATGGCCTAAAATAAAAGCTATGAAGTACTTTATGGATACTAATATTCTAAGGAACATAATATATTGAAAATATCTCTCTAAGTCTGTCCCATAGGGAGGTAGTGCGTCTCAGAATCCTATCTTGTACCTAACACACACTTGCAAATTGAGGTAAATATTTGGGAACCAGCTTATTCATTCGAATGTCTACACTGTCTGAGAGGTTCTATTCCACTTGAACTCTCAATACATGCTGTAATGGCTCATGTTTTTGTTCACATTTTGCAGCATGAAATCACCCTTGCTCAGCTTGAATCGGGCTGATTGCCAACCCATTGCTTGGACCACTGCCTGGTTTGATTTGGCTGTAAATATAACTAATATAATGGTTTCACACATGGTTATTTCGGCCATCGTAATATAAGCAGTTACAATCTGCTGCTGGCTAAGTATTTCGATTGCCACTATTCACCATAAAATGTCAGTGTGGTTGTGATTTATAGCGATGACCTTAGTAGGCATAATTGAATTTTTCTGGCATTGTGGAGCTGGAGCACATCTGCAAATCACAGCTGGCAATGTATCTGGTTAATCTAGGCATAAATACAGCTGGGCCAGTGAATAAGCATTCAAAAAGAAAAAAAATCCAAAACAAACGAAACATAACTAGAACCAAGAGCTGATATAGAAATTCCAGTTTATTAACTCATTTATTTACTCAACATCTTGAGTTAAGTAGTAGAATATGTGAGAAATCCAATGTAACACATATGCAAAATAGCATTTAGCCTATTATCTCTTGCATTCCATAAAAACAGATACACAAAATTGCAAAGGAAAATAGCTTTGAAATGTTAACTGATGTAAGTTTGCTGTTGTTTTTCTTGGAATTACCTGTTGCTCCTTGACTCTTTAGCCAATTCAGTTTCTAGTTAGGACTTTGCTAATTTAGTATTTCAAGGTAGTGATGATCCAGACAAAAGAGAGAAAAAAAAGGAAGTTTTTCTCAGGTTTTGAGTTTTAAAGTCTAGGTCTTCCAGATGATAGGAAGGAAAACAGCAATGCTCCTCAGAACTGATACTAGAAAAAGTCTCTCAGAGTTCAAGAAATGGGGAAAGTCAGAGAGGACACATTTTCAGTAGCTATTTGGGCTTCTGCACAAGGGGAGATTGCATGTTGCTCAACCCAGAAGATAGAAGAAGGAATGACAGGGCCCAGAAAGCCTGGAGGAGCTGTGCAAAAGGAATCCATGCCTGCTTTCTTGTGAGAACCTGGAGAAGCAGTAAGAGCTTGTCCACCAGTTCCTTCCAGTTACATAGGTCCAAGACTATTGCATTTTTATTGCACATTCTGAAGTCCTTCACCCAACAAGATGCAGATTCTTCAGAACAATTCTTACATGTCTGAGAGAAGCTCCAAACTTCCTCCAGTTGGGTCTAATCATGGGCTTCTAAAAGAAGATTACCCAAGAATGAATCAGATTTTAGATCCTCACTTACGTAGACCAAGAGAGAGCACTGCAGAGATCAACAACAGGAACGACAGTGCCCTGGTTCTCCCTCCCAACACCTTCCACCTCCTCATCATGCAGAGCCTCCTAAAGTTAAACCCAATCCTTAAGGGAGGAGAAACCCTGAATTGACTGAGAGATGTTTCTGCTAACCAGCAAAATAGGGGATTTGTAATAAAACTGTTAAAAAATAAAAAGGTCTTGTCATAACCAAGTTAAATTACTTTTCTTACACATCTAAGTTTGGAGTTTAAGATTTAAGCCAACTATACGGTAGAAGTTTCTGGGACATCTTTAGCTTGCCATTTTCTGGGCCTTACCTCTAATATCAGCATTGTAAAAGATATTCATTTAGTAAGTCCTGAGCAGATATGCAATTAGAACCCAGAGAAGGAATGTGAGATAACATAATCTGTGAGATACAGCAGCTGAAATTAATCCACGTCAAAACTCAGTGGCTAAAAACAACCATTATTTATTATCACTCGCATGTCTTCGTGTTGGGAGGGGTTTGGAAGCTTTGCTTCCTGGGGTTGGCAGCTTTGCTTCTCGTGTCTTTTATCCTCCTTCTTGGACCAGCAAGACAGCCTGGGTATATTTTTCTTGTGGTGATGGGGGAGGTGCAAAGGGCAAGTAGAAACATAATGCCTCTTAAGTCCTGGTCTAAAAACGAGCCCATTGTCACTTCCACCCACATTGCTTGGTCTAAGCAAATCATGTAGTCAGCCCAAAGCAAGGAGTGGGAAAGTGCACTCTGCTCAAGATGTGATCATGGCAATGGTGTAGTTTCAGACAGGGGTGAATAGTTTTCCAATCATTTAACTGATCACAGGTGAGAGTAAAGAATTTTTTTTTTAAGTGCCGCCTATTGGTAGCCACTTTGCTAAGTGCTTCACATGCTACACATCTAAGTCTGTAAAATGGTATTACATAGTTTGCATATTTCATCCTTTTTTCCCTTAGCATATGAGGAAACAGAGGCTCAGAGAGGCCAAGAATCTTGCCCACTATGCATAGTTAGAGACTGAGCTGAGATTCTAACCTCTATCTGTTAGACTCCAAAGCCTGTGATTTGGAGGAACCAGGCTGTTGGCCAGGTCTCAGGTTTCCTGATGCTTAATCAAGCCCCCTTTTCCTGAATGACCTTGTTTCTAGATGATTAGATAATTCCAAGTGGTCTCTTCTTTTTCTACTTTCAAGCACAGTCCTTCTTCCTTTCCTGTTTGACTTGCTAATTAATTCAATGACTTTTCCTTGATTCCTATTAGTAGGTAACTCCATGATTGATACCATCTGGAAAACATTTATCCAAGTCTTCAGTGGAAAGTTTCACAGAACAGGAGATGTAAAAGGAGACCCACAAGAGGTGCTGTGTTTGCATAAGTGATAAATTACCAGCCCTTGGATTATCTGCCAGGAGCTCTCCCTCCAGGTTTAGGGGCAGCACCTTTCCTGCTGTGGTGCCAGCTGTATTATTTACCACATGTTTAGTAAAGCTTGTGCCTTCTGAATGAAGTGAGGAGGGTGGAAGCACTAAGCTTACATAAACTAGCTTTCAATAGAGTCTATTTTCCTCCAATTGTCTCACGTGCCTTTTCCCTGGGTAGTCATGCTTCATACTTTTAGAAGCTCAGATCCCAACAGCTGGAGATAAAACTCCCAGTGTAATGGAAGAAAACATGTTGATAGTTTTAATTGGTCCCCAAAGTGAAACCCAAGGAATGATTTATTGGTTGATGGTTTTGAGGCTTCCAACTTAGCAGAGCTGGGAAACATATGGGAAAGATAAACACGCTAGAAATTTGTGGCTATTTGTTAGAAAGTTAATTTTAGTTCATTCAGTTTATGATAATCGAAAAATCTCTTTAAATTTTATTTATTATTATTGAAGTTAATGATGCATCTACTTACCTGCAGGCATGAACACCTGCATCTTAGACCATGCTGTGGTTTTCTACCAGTCTTGAATCCTCCAAAGGTCCTAAACCTATTGACCCAAATAGCCAAAATGTCTATTCCCAACCATACAACTTCATTATTCAAGTGGGAAATATCTGGTGAGGCTGAGGAGCTCTGTAAGCACTGAGAGGCTGGCCATCAAAGACACATGAGAACTTCCAATACTGTATACCCACATTCATCAACAATTGTTGCCATAACACCACATAAAAATCAACTCCCAAAGCTTCCTGGGTTATAACAGCAAATGTTTATGGTTTACTCATGAGTATGCACATCGATTTCTTGCTCACAGGACTGCAGGCCAGCTGGTCCCAACTCTGTCTGCTTCAGGTTAAAAATCAGGTTCATGTCAGCTCCTTGTACCTTTCCTTCCAGAACCTAAGATCAAGATGCAGAATCATGGTCATGTTCATCCCATGGCAAAATGCAGAAACACAATAGGGCTAGAGAAAACTAGCTGTGATTTTTTTTTTTTTTTTTTTTTGAGGCGGAGTCTCACTCTGTCGCCCAGGCTGGAGTGCAATGGCACGATCTCAGCTCACTGCAAGCTCCGCCTCCCAGGTTCACGCCATTCTCCTGCCTCAGCCTCCCTAGTAGCTGGGACTACAGGTGCCCGCGACCACGCCCGGCTAATTTTTTTGTATTTTTTTAGTAGAGACGGGGTTTCACTGTGTTAGCCAGGATGGTCTGGATCTCCTGACTTCGTGATCCACCCGCCTCAGCCTCTCAAAGTGCTGGGATTACAGACGTGAGCCACCGCGCCCGGCCTAGCTGTGATTTTTAAAACCTCTTCTTGGAATTGGCGCATTACCACTTTTGTTCATATTCCTTTGGTCAAAACAAATCACATGTTCTCAAGTCAGTGGACCAGGAAAATATACTCTACCCCATGGGAGAGACAGAGAGAAAATATTTGCTAAAAAATAATCTAATAAAACACATCTTTATTTTTATTTTTACAGACTATGACCTTTGTTTATCTCTTCCATACAATTTAGGGCAATTGAGAGTGCAAATAGGAATATGCACATGAAGTAACTCATGGAGAGATAAATAGAATAAGGAAATATAAACTTTTTTTGTAAATTGTAAAATGTCATGTAATATTACAAATAGGAAACCATTTATGAAGCACCCATTATGAACTGTGGAAGGTGAAATGTTGAGAATAAATTATTCATACAAGTCTTTCTGACTACAAAGCCTGCTAGTCTACACTGTATAATGAATTAAAAATATAGTTTTTAATAATAAAAATCCTAGTGATGAGGGCCTTATAATTATCTCTTTTGTGCAAGACATTTTTTGGCAGTGTTCAGGGTAGGTTGAAGAGTTGGCTGAAGGAGAGAAATAAAGAGGAATAAAATCTGAGTTCTACTCTCTAGAAGCATAAGCCTAGTAGTAGAAATAAAATATGTTCATGAGGAACTATAACCCTTCCCTTCCTCTCTTCTTTCCTTCCTTTCATTCTTCTTTCCTTCCTTTCATTCTTCTTTCCTCTCCATATTGTGATGGGGCATAGTATAATGGTTAAGAACACATACTCTGGAGCAAGACTTCAAGGATTTAAACTCTTGCTCTATTAGTTGTTAGGTCTATATTTCTAGGAAGTCATTTAACCGCCATGTGCCTCAGTTTGTTCATTTGTAAAATGGAATAACATCATTTCAACAAAAATTGTTGTCCCACCACATCCCCTTAGCATTTACCTGTATGTCCTGAAGGCTGCTAACGATAAAACTCTTACGAATCTCTGCTGAAGAGCTTTTATTTTCTTTCTTTTTTTTCCTCTTGTCATAGAAGTACAGTCAGCCCATCCAGAGGACTCAGGAGGAGCACTCAACCAATAATAGGCACAGAGATAGTAGACAAATATCTCATCTTCCTCACCCCTAGTTTGATATAACGCTAAGGTTTATTCTGCCTATATTTTATTGTTTCTCAATGAGATTAAGCTCCAGTTACATATTATGATAACTCACTTGACAACCTGTATTTTATTATCTTTTTTTCTCCCCTATCGCACCCACTGCCTATCGTGTTTCCTGGGATAGCTACTCAAATAAACTATTGGCACATAAATTCTTATGTCAGGACTGCTTCTGGAGAATCTAAACTAAAACAATAGTTGTATCTATGTTGTATGGTTGTTGTGAAGATTAAACATATTAACATATGCCTGATGCTCTTAGACCACTGTCTGACATGACATTTAATTTGGTGTTATCTGTTATTACAACACTAGAATGAAAATTCCAAGAGGGCAGAGCTTATTTTTTTTTACATACTTTATTTAAACTGAAAATTTTTATTCTGTTTTTGGTAAAACAGGCTTTTTATGATTTACGAAAATTCTTATGAATTGCAAAAATGTTTTTTTCTTTCCATGTTTTTCCCTGTATGACCGTGTTTTTTCCTGTGTTCCCCCATTCAAGATTGGCTGCCACAATGAGATAGAAAGCACAAGGACTTTTTTAAAAACTTGCATCTGTAGTGGAAAGCTTAGCAGCAGACAGTAACTGCTCTAGGTCTGTCCACATAGATGCAGTTTTATTCACTTTTGAATTTTTAGCATCCATAGCAGTGCCTAATCCATAGCAAGTACTCATAAATATTTGATAATAAATTTAATTAAATACTTGAGGGCCTTCTAGGCTTTGGTGATATGAAAAAATATTGGAATGTGTACATGTCTTGGAGTAGCTTAAAATCTAGTCCTGAATAGTTATATAAGCAGAAAAATTACAAAAAAGATAAAAAGGTCTACAACAGAGGTGATAGAACAAGAACAAGTAAGTAACAGGTAAGTAAGAGGAGATATGATGAGAATGCAGAGGAAAAGATTAAATTTAGGTAGATACGTAGGCAGGAAAAGAAAAGCTTCCTGAGGGAACATTTGCACTGGGCCTTGAATGATGGATAGAAATTTACATAAAGATAAAAACTCATTTGCAGGTTTGGAGTTTTCTCTGTGCCATGCATGTTATATGACTTGCCTCAGAAATTTCTATTTAATGGGATCTAGTTGCAGCCTTTCTTGAGTACTTGTCAGTAGTTAATTTTTCAACCCAAATGATCAGTGACTTTAGGGACCAGCATCTCTGTGGCATTAGTGACAAAAAGAAATAGGATAAAAGGATCCTATGAGCCTTGAAACCAAAAATTGTCAATTTATTCCCAAAGAAGAAAATTGCATAGTAAAAATAAATCTAAGAACAACTGGAACAAAATTAAAGCAGGGCAAAAAAAAAAAAAAGAGCAATTAGGGTCATTGCACTGGTAAATGCAAATGTCCAACAATGATAGACTGGATTAAGAAAATGTGGCACATATACACCATGGAATACTATGCAGCCATAAAAAATGATGAGTTCATGCCCTTTGTAGGGACATGGATGAAACTGGAAATCATCATTCTCAGTAAACTATCGCAAGGACAAAAAACCAAACACCGCATGTTCTCACTCATAGATGGGAATTGAACAATGAGAACACATGGACACAGGAAGGGGAACATCACACTCTGGGGACTGTTGTGGGGTGGGGGGAGGGGGGAGGGATAGCATTAGGAGATATACCTAATGCTAAATGACGAGTTAATGGGTGCAGTACACCAGCATGGCACATGTATACATATGTAACTAACCTGCACATTGTGCACATGTACCCTAAAACTTAAAGTATAATAATAATAATGAAAAGAGAGTAGTTCCCACTAAAAAATACAAAGATATAGAATTGAAAGTCATCATTTTACAAGCCCAACGAAATAACAGAATCAGACAGTAGTGATCAGTCATTTCATAAGTGGCTTACAAAATTGTGCTACGCCCCTGTGCAGCAGCATAAACATCACCCAAGAATTTGTTAGACATGAAACTATTTGGTTCCCAACCCAAACCAATTAAATCAGAAATTTTGTGGTTGGGGCCCAACAATCTCTGGTACAACAAACTCTCCAGGTGATTTTAACGGAAATCAAAAGCTAAGAACTGCTTTATGTCACACTGGCTCACATTACTTCATTCTGCAGAAAAATCAAGGATGATTAAGGCTAATTCAAGGACATCAAAGTTTTCTAGGACATCCTTGTTTTTATTGCTTTCTGATTTTGGCCAAGGTGGAGGTTTGGAGGTGATGGAAACATTTTTTTATTTCGGAGGCTCAATAATGCTGTCATGTTTCTTCTTCCCTTGGTTCTGACCTTTCAGTTAAGACTGTGTCTCAAAAACAATTGCAGAAAGGTCAGAAAGATCTTTTCTATCCAACTTTAGTACCTGGACTATTAAATAGTAATTTTGGTTTCTGAAGCCTCCCCAAGGAACTGGGACAAATTGAGTTAATCAAATTTTCTAGACTCCTTTGGTTTTCCTACAGTCATACAGACCTGGCTCCTGTAATTTCGAATTTCTGAGCCTTTATTTTTGTAGAGAAAATTGGATAATACTCTCAGGTGCTTTAAAACAGTTTGCAATCCTCTTAGCAAAATGACCTATATGTGATAGAAATGTTGCACCAACAGTCCTTGCATTGCTTTGAGCTTTTCATGTGACCATTATAGTGTGTACAGGTATTCTTGATTTGTATAACCTCCTGGAGGGCTGTGTCTGAATTCTGTGGAATTCCCTTTGTAGCAAGCTAAATGCTGCATATCATTAGGTATTAAATTAATGCATTTTGATGATCAAGCTTCTCTGAAGAAAATATTTCTCTTTTGAAATATTTGTGCGTGTGTGTGTGTGTGAGTGCTTTCCATCCTGAGTCCTTTCGACCCAAAGTCCTTGAGATAGCAAAGTCCTTAAAATGCTTGCAACCTGAGTCTTTTAGCTCATAGAAGGTAAATTGGGATCAGGATAACATAATACCACTTCTCACCTCTCCACACATGCGTGACATGAATTCTTGTGCACTACCTCAATATTTCCCCCAAGTAATTCTGAGAGTCCCTAAGTGGTGTTTCACCTGTGAGTGACAAACCTTGTCCTCTTGTATGCCATGTGGGCTCTGCCATTTATTCACCTTCTAGGACTACTCCAACCCCCTGTGGTGAGCCTCCTGGTAAAGTCAGTCCCAAAGCAGCAGCTCAGTAGAGATGGTACCTGTTTAGGATAAAGATGGAAGATGCCAAAAAGCTGCTGCTAAACATTGCCCTGCACACTCATGCTGCCAAAGGAGCAGCGCTGAAAAGGTTGATAAGGATGGCATTTCCTATCACTGCCCAGTGCCTTGTACTTGCACCATATTATGACCACTTTATTGACCTAGCCTTTTGTGGTTTTTAACTGACCTCTTGCAGCCCACTTGTCCTCAGAAGTAGGCATGTGCCTGAGCTGGCGAATTATCAGAGTGTCACATTTGATACCCATGATTACTTCCCTTCCATTCTGGCCCCTTGCTGTAGAGCCTAATCCACATGCTCAGCTCTCAGGCTTTGGGATGAAATTTTCAGACCCACTTCACCAGGTCTTCAGACATGCCCAGATGTGCCTGCATGCTAGGATAAATACGGCTTGAAGGCAATTATTTCTATCCCTGCTTTAGACAAAGTTAGAGGGTAATGTGGTGAGCATAAATTATGGAATAATACCAGATTTGACTCCTTGGAGGCCGTCTGAGCTAAAAAGTGCACTTTAAATGCAAGGGAAGGGAGTAACGCAATGTCCCATCATCTCTAGAAACATGTCTTCATTTACTTCATTCAACAAGTATTCATTAAGTACTTACAATGTTCTAGACCAGGGATTGCAAATAGGTTCCATCTTGTGTGCCAGCTCTGATCAATTGGTGGTTACTGCCTGTAGCCATCTGAGTCTACATGTGGGCTCAGCAGGAAAGTGTCATGAGTGATTAGCAATGCCAGCTATAGAGGAAGGATTAAGTAGTAGTGGCAGCAAACCCAGCAGGTATTTGTTATCCGTGTTCCAGTCTCTAGAGATACAGCAGTAAATAAGATGCATGCATATCTTTAGTTAAATTCCCTGGCAACAAGAATTCACAGGATTAAATTAAATTAAATTAAATTAAATTAAATTAAATTACATTTTGAGGCTCAGATTCCCTTTCCAAAAGATGTCCCTCAGTCATTCAAGCCAACTCTGCCAATCTTGACATGTACTTGTATTTTTCTCCTACTGATTTCATGTTTGCATCTGGATCTGCAGCATCGGCAGCCGGCCACAGCCTCATTCCTTGTTGTTAATGCACAAGACTAATTCATCTCCTGCCTTAAGGAATTGAAAATGACATTACAAAGAAAAATTGCCCCCTGACTCAAGAAAACTCTGTCCTGGACCAATTTCAAAAAGTTCAGCTTCCTACAGAACGATACAATTTGACATCCCAATTAAAGTAACCAGAGAGAAGAGTCAAAGAGGGAATGAAAGGAAGAGACTCACATTTCAAGCCGAAAAGAAAAACCATTTAGTTGACTTGCATGGGGATGAAAGAGACCTCAGCCCCAGAAGCTAATTACCTACAGCATTAATTCAGGATATGAGAGACAAAAAATGTACCTCTGTAAAAATGCCCCAAGATAGTCAATTGAGGCTGATTAGTAAAAGCAAAGCTGGAGGGTAGGAGGGGAGGGTGTGCAGGGAGTTGTGATTCATGGTGTCTTTTCTAATTTCCTAAAGAATCGCCAGCATGTGAGTTCTATAAAAATCGATTAATCATTTGAAGCCAGATGCATTCTTTATTGAACCTGGCCTTTCCTTATTAAATATAGTGATTAAGACCAGAAGTAAGGAAATAATACTTAGCATGATCCATCAAGATTCCTATATATTTTACTGCTAATGAAGCAAAAATACTTTTTTATTCAATAGATATTGAGATAATCAAATATAAAGCCAAACTGTCTCTTCAATTTCCTGACACAATTAATGGATGAATACAATGTTCGTTTAAAAGCAAGGCTTTCCTTTACCTCCACAATCAAAGTAATTAAAGCATCTGGTTGCTTTCCTTTTGGATCCTAATAAGTGGGGAAAAATCATCCGAGTTCTGCAGATAGCAAAGTTTTATCATTCTTGGACTGCTTTATAAAGAAAAAAAAATAGCCTTTGCTAATGAATATCTGTTATGTGTGTTATGTTATCCTATTATTTATTCAATGGAAACTTACCATTTTGTTTTTCTAACTTCTCTTGCTTTTTTTTTCCTGAGACAGCACCTGCTGTCTTCTGGGAATTGTCCTTTCTTCCCCCCAATTCCAACTTCATGATTTTCAGTATAAATGCCAATAATTGAACGTGTTCTTGCTCCTTGTTTCTCTCCACTACAGATCAAGGGGTGGGCACTAGAATCAGGATGGGTCAGAGTTCCTTCCCTGATATTTTAACACTTGGGAACATAGAGAGCCTCACGCTGCCTTTCCTTACTGGCTGAAGTCCTTGGCAGGCATGTTTTCTACCATGCAGCAAGGCAAAGCATGGGTAGCCAATGTATAGAAGGACAGAGTGGAGAGCAAAGTCCTGAAATGAGAGACAGAAGATTCTGACTGAATCCTATTTCTTGCAGAAGTCTAGCAGTATCCATTCCTGTGGCTTGGATCCTCAATTCTTGTATAAGATGCTCCAATACTCTTCCTGTTTACTCCTCATTTTGATTAAGCTAACTAAATTTAAATTTTGGTAACAAAGAGCCAAACTATTGGAGTGCCTACTAAGTGTGCTAGCAATTCACTAGGCAGTAATGCTAAGCAGTTGGGACTATTTCATCTAGCCAGTGGATGGACATTGATAGGAAGATTTTAAGTAATAGTGGGGATTGGGGAAGATTCTGAGGGGTAGTTAGGAATGGGCAGGGATGCTGAGGCAAATTATGCCATTAATAAAAGAATATCATGGCAATTTGCATTCAAATGATCAAAGCCCAGGCCCTGTTCATTTCAGAATCAGTGAGGACACCCTAGTGCAGGATTTACACAGCTAGGAAGTCAGACGATTAGTCTTTTGCCTCCTATCTATCCCCAACTACTTGCTCTCTTTGGCATCACTTGTCAGCTTTGATATCCACATCCTTCCCTAGCATCCCCTTTGGTCAAACTGTAATTACCTTTCCCTGACTTTCAGCCTTCTAGGTGAATTCCCTCCCAGTTTTCATGCTCATGGTGTTCATCCACAGCCAACTGAACTTTGTCCTAGGCCTGACCAATATAGTAGCCACTAGCCACATAAGTCTATTTGAATTTATACTTTTGAAGTGAAAAGTTTAAAAAATTTAATATAGAGCTACTCAGCCAGATATCAAGTACTTGATAGTCACACGTGTCTAGTAGCTACTGTATTGGACATTTCCATCCTGGTAGAAAATTCTATTAGACATCCCTGTCCTACAATGTAGCCCTTGCCTGGCCAGACTACCATTGGTTGCCCTCTTGGTAGCTACTAAGAGAAAATGCATAAACAGAATAATAAAATATAACAGCCAGAAGCGTCCTTATTTCTCCCAGGGATGCAAAACATGTTACAAGTGCCTCCATGCCTCTCCGGTGCCATGCCCTTGGCAGACATCACTAGTTAATCACAGCATTATTTCCCACTGAACCAAGACAGCTTTTACAATCTTTCTGAATGCTATGCTCCTAGAAACTTCTATCAGAAATGACGAGGGTGGATATTTGACATAATCCATTTAGAACCTGATTCAAGTACAATCCCCTCATTTAGCTTAAGAGGAAATCAAAGTCCAGTGAAGCAAATGAATAATAGAACCTGGACTACAATTTAGGCCTTCTGATTAAAAGCAGTATAGCATGTTCATAGGCAAGAAAGCTCTAGAATTAAACTGCTGGGGTTTGGATCCCAGTTCCACCTTTTAATTTCTGTGTGATCGTGTACTTACTGTTTTTAAGCCCCAGTGTCCTCATTCTGAACTGGGAATTTCAATAACAGTACCTTCCTCATATGGTTGTTGTGGGGAGTTAATCCGATAATTAGTGTAAAGTGCCTAGCATATAACAAGTGCAGAATGAATGATAGTTATCACCTCTGTGGCACTTAGGGCTCCAATTAGTATTTCCATCATATAAATGAGAAAGCAAAAAATCGAAGAGGTGAGACTGATGTCAAGTTCACATAGCTATTTCATCGCAGAGAAGTGGTTCTCACCTATGTCAAGTCCAGCACGCTAACCACTGTAACATGTTCTCTAAGCAAATCTTGCTTCTGTAGATTCCCTAAAGTGATTTTTCACCCTTCCAGTGCAGGGCACTGAAAAATTCATGTATTTCTGTTCTTACATAGCCCTTTGACACAGCCGACAAAGATCCTGACAGATAAATTGGTGTGGGCCTGTCTTTCTGGGACCTTCTTGCCTGAGTAAGTTTTTTCACAATCTGTCCATCAGCTAGTTAGAAATGAGCATGTAGGTCTAGGTCAAGTTCTACTTTTTCCACTGCTTCCTAGGTCTTGAAAGTTGTGACTTTATTGTGGAAGCAATAAAATTGTTGTTATTGGATAGATTTTGACTTGTGAAAACTGCATTTTAACTTAATGATTGTTATCTTCATTTGGCAAATAAGAAAAACAGACTCAGAGAACATCAGTAATTTGCCCAAGGATAAACAGCTAATAGGTATTGGAATTGGTATTATTCAAACCTAAATCAGTCTGACTAGGTTGACCACTGTTAACTATGTGTGACCTGGGAGGCTGGGCACCTTATGCAGACAACAAGGATGTCATGGGGGAGTGATAGAGTGGCCAGTCCCACCAGAGGAATACTGCTGACTCTTTGAAGACCACTCTCATCACAGCAAAAGCCTTCAGACATCATGCCTGACAGCCTGCTAGTTGAGAATGCCATTTTAATAAAACTGTATTTTAAACCCCTTGTCAATTACATGCTATTGCAGAATTAACCAAGGAGCCTAAAGCTTTGTCATCCAGGAAGTTTGTTATTTAGGCAACATTTTTATTATTTTTCTATTTCCCTAAAAATCTTAACCCAATCTTTATATTCTTACCAAATTTCCTTCTGTCATTCTTCCTTAGTGGCAAGCAGTACCACTCCTAAAGGTCTTTTGGAGTAAGGCTGTTTAAGGACTATTGCCCCCTAAAATGACTGGTTGGCTTATATTTTTGTATACATTTATAACTTTATAAAAATGAAACTTTCTCCAAGAAGATATTTTTTGAACATGAATGTTTTTTAAACCTGAGTATCATTAATCATCTTTTTTGTCCACAAAGATAAAGCAGATCATTTGTCTAACAATCATATGTCTTTGTTTTATATACTAAATGTAGTTACATTCTCAGGTAGTAGCTAACCTAAAGGTAGTTCTTTATGACATAAGGCTGTGTCACCGTGGTAAAACAGCTGATGGAAATTTTTTTAATGTGCAAGTTAATTGATTGTACTTATATGACTTCAAATATTTAGATTAACTGATTTTTCTTCCTCCAGAAACCTATTTTTTAACCCAACTGGAAAATTGAGTTAAAAAATAGACAGGGTCTCATCCCTTACATATTACATGTTTATCTAAATAAACAGCAAACCTGTCTTGGCATAGAATGCAGAAGAAAATAGGAATCTTGTGAAATTCCTAAGTGGGGTTTGTAAATATTAGTTGTTCCAAGTTTCAGCTAATGATCATATTACAGTATCAGAAGCTGTGATTATATATATTTGGAGTATTTAGAAAGAGGAAAAAAAATTGTAAATCACATGCAAGACCTCTCAATATTTTATCGTGGCCCCCATCACTTCCTCTGGCTATTGGTTATTTTGTTGAGGCATGTAAGTTTAATATGTTTATTTAAAGTATATAATATGTATATATTAAGTATATATGTATATGTTAAATATATTATATACATATTAAACTTACATTATAAGTTAATATAATATGTTTATATATATATATATATATATATGCATAAGAATATATTTTCTGCCCGAGAAATTCTGTTTCTGTAAAACTGGTGGTGAAGGCTATTGTTTCTCTGGGGCCAGGCTGACTACTTCTCTTTTCTGTTTTCAGAATTATTTCAAGACCAGTTTTCTCAGCCATAGAGTATGTGCAGCAGAGGTCTGTATCTTCTGCAGGTTGATGTGCTCCTGTGCAACTGGATGGGTCCCAGTTCATGGCCCCAGGGCCAACACAGACTATTAATGTTTCAATGAATTACCTAAGGAGCACCATGAAAAAAACAGTAAGAGTGCCAGCTTCCCTCAGGGACTCTGAAATCAGGGACATTTTCATCCATTGTCAGTCCTGCTGCCTGAAATGTTTTTCTTGTTAAATCTCAGCTGTGTCATCTTTGGCTTTTTTGGCACTTCTATGCTGAGAGTAGCAGAGACATTCTTAGCTTAGCTTTTTTTTTTTCTTCAGTTTTGTAATTCTCTAGTTCACTGTTGGGTAAGAATAATTTCTAGGCAATTCACAACACATTTAGAATCATTTAGGAGAAGAAGGGGCAAAAAGACACATTCAATCCATGATAAACTAAAATCATTTCCTATTTCCTAGTGAAATAAAAACCAGTTTTCAAATCTGATTACCAGTTTGACTGACACCATGATTCAAGACTTGGACCTTCTATGGCATTCCGCACCAGCTAAGATAATCACTTCTCAACAGTCACAAAGGAACCCAAATGCTATTGTGGTTCTCTAGGTGGATTTTGATTGCACTTGGGCACTCTTTTAGGGCACTCTTTTAAGTCTGGCTTTTTGGTTTGGTTCTGCCTTTGCTGGGTTTTCAGCACATGAAATCCATCTCTGCTGAAGGCATTGTGGAGAGCGTGGGGGAACCACTAGATGGCAGGAGTGCACTACCTAAAATGGGAACCGCGATTAAGCGGCAAGCTTTGGCATTTCTCTGAACACCGGCGGTGAGGGGGTGGGGGGAGAGGGTAGCTGAGTATTGATTGGCCCAGTGACCCCTGTCTCCTCCTCCTCTCTTCCAACTCTAATTGCAATCCTGAATGCTGTTCTCCTGCAGCTTGTCAAGCACTTTGCCAGGATGGGTGGCTTTGAAAATTGTCCTGTTGGACTCCAGGGTGGGTCTGCAAGATGACAGAGCAGCTTTAGTTTAAGGTGTCTGAAAGGTTTTGTTTTGTTTGTTTGTTTTGTTTTGTTTTTCCCCAGCACCATGGTACTGGCAATTGTTTGAAGAAGGTCCTAAATATGCCTGGGTTTGGGAGTCTCGGCTTCTACTGGGAATGATACAAGAGGTCAAGGCTACTTGTAATGAATAAATCCTGTTCTCTGCCACGATTGTTATTTGCTCATTCATTTTCTCTTCCCTTCAGTGTGTATCTTTTTTTTTTTTTTTTTTTTTTTTTTTTTGACTGAGTCTCGCTTTGTCGCCCAGGCTGGAGTACAAGTGGCATGATCTCGGATCACTGCAACCTCCACCTCCAGGGTTCAAGCGATTCTCCTGCCTCAGCCTCCCAAGTAGCTGGGATTACAGGCACGCACCACTGCACTTGGCTAAGTTTTTGTATTTTTAGTAGAGACGGGGTTTCACCATGTTGGCCAGGATGGTCTCGATCTCCTGACCTTGTGATCCGCCTGCGTCTGCCTCCCAAAGTGTTGGGAGTACAGGCATGAGCCACCGCGCCCAGCCTTCAGTATATATCTTAATATACTTGCCTTACTTACTCACTAGCTCCTACCGTGAAATAGGTGCTAGGGATACAACCATAAATGAAACATAGGCCCTGCAAGAAGCTTACAATTGAGGTATGAGAGACACAGGCAGGTAGGCAATTAAGACAGGTGATCATTGCTACAATTAGGTTACAGGACTCTTTAGCATCACAGATAAACTTTCTCATGGGGGTAAAGACCACAAGGACATCTCAAGGACAACTAAGAGTGAGCCAGGCAAATAGTCAGGAAAGGAAAATTCTAACCAAGAGTCCAACCTAGAGATGAGAAGAATATAACCCAACTAAAATGAGAGACAGTGCTGTCACTTGGGGACTTAAGAAGTTGTCTAGCTGAAATATAGACAATGATGACAATGGAGGAGCAGGGAAGGAGAGCAAGTACCAGATTAAAAAGCGTCTTGCATTAGCCTAAATTTACCATATCCGTGGGGAGCCAAGAAAGCCAATGTACAATGTCCTGGTCACATTTGCTCTTTAGACAGGTCATTCTGGTGGCAATTAGAGAACAGGTTAGAGGGAGCCAAGAGGGGAGCAAGTTAAGCTCAGCATTTCTGATAGCCACAACTAAAGAGCAGCCAGGGGATAGACAGAAGCCGGTCAATGGGAAAGGGTTATTAGGCGAATAGAAAGGATACTTGGAGATTTAATTATATATGTGGGGTAAGATAGCAATACAGGAACTCCTCACGTGAAGTCGTTGATAGGTTCTTGGAAACTGCAACTTCGAGTGACACAATGTACAGCAGGTCCTCTAATAACATCCTTTTGTTCAACATAGTTTGTTAAAATGTTGATGAGGAAAAGGAATTGTTCCGTTATGCATTATGTCACTTCAAGTCACGGTTTCCCAGAATCTAGTGACGACCTTAAGTGAGGATTAACTATATTCTCAAGAATAACCTCTTGGCCTTCATCTGGGGAGACTGCAGAGATTATTTTGCCATTAACTGTGTATAATACTAGGCAGAAAGTTAATTCTAAACCCTGATAATGTGCAGTATGCTTTGTTAGAATGTAAATAGCATGAAACTATGGTTATTTAATGAATATTCATTAATTCAATTCATTCATTCAAACAACATTCATGGATCATTTACTTTTCATAAGGTAATATGCCAGGTCTGCATACCACAACAGGATGCCAAAAAGTTACTGTTTTCCAATCTTCAGGGGGCTTAAAGAACATTGTTTTCTTCTTAATAGATGATTTCTGTTGACTGATTTTTGCTTCTATTATATATTTTGAATTTTGACTACATATGATATTATTTTTAAAAGTCATTTTTATATAAACCTCATCACTTCACCTGGACAAAAATTTGCTTGGGGTCAGTTCAACAACCATAACATTGATACCTCCACAAAAAGCTGTTTGAAAATATTTGTCGAGTAAAATGAAATACAACTATAATTTTTATAATTTCTAAAGGTACTTTTGACACATAGTTTCGGAATCTCCTACCATTGGTATTATGAAAATTAAAAAAAAGAGAGAGAAAAAATAATTAGGTTGAGTTTCATCTAAAATCCTCTCCTTCTGGAGACATTCTCATAATATTGCAAGCAAGTAGAGCTGAAAAAATAGTAGAGTAACTGGATTCTATAATGTGAGAATTGGATATATTACTGAGAGTATCCCTAATAGCTAGGAAACCTTACATTAAATATACATACAGCAATGACCTGCTGTTTGTATGTCCTTAGTAAACATTTGCTGAGGTCCTGTGTGGTGGCAGTACATTAGGCACTGCTGATAACAGAGTTAACAAAACAGGCACAGTCCCTCTTCTCATGATGCTTAAGATCTAGTGAGGACAACAGATCTTAGACAAGAAAATACACACATACTATATTCCCATAATGAATATGAACCTGTGTTAATCCACCAAGAGGTTTTTTGCTCATGATCACACATTTGTGGAGGAAATATGTAATAATGCTCATGAGACAGAGAAAAACAAACACAAGGATGTGAATCCATTGCCTCAGTCATCATTACAGAGCTAGAATTCAGTCATTCATGGTCAAATGAAATAAACACCTAATGAGAAGAGATAGGTAGTCTCCCAGGTCCTTAGAAAGAGCCTCTGCACCAGAGGTGGCAAATGTACTAGGCTTCATCTCATTTATCAATTCGAATTGATTTGAAGTGGCTGCCTGGAGTGCCATGCTGAGCAGGACTTAGTGGGAAAGAGGAATTGTTTTTCAAATGAACAATTGCTTAGGAAGACAGGGGGTGACACATGGCATACATTTGTTAACCTTTCACTACACCATGGCTTAATCAATAATATTGGCATATTTAAAGAAGACATGGAAAAGTTGAGATGAATGTCTGGAAACACAAGGATCAGAGAAGCAACCTAGGTTAGGGGCCACGGCATTCCTGAATCTGGGAGGCTCTGATATTCAGGTCTGTAGGCAGGTGAATGCTGTTGAGGGGCAGACATATTTGATCAGGCTTCATTGTGGCATCAGGACCCTTGAGAATCTATTTTTCTTTGCTCAAATTCTATGCTCAATGGAGCCTTTTAATTCAGCTGCTAAGTTCACCAAGACCAGGAAAGAAGACAGCCGGTAAGAAGTTTGGGGTCACTGGAAACAACTAAAATCCAGTTTCTGAAACTGTTAAGTCAGAGGATTCGGTCCCTGGTTATGTAATTCATTCCAAGATCACGCCCTCCTAGAGTTTCTTATTGGTCAGTCTGGCCTGGCCATAAACATTGCCTCAAAGTGACTATTTTTTTTTTTTTTGACTTTGATGAACCCACATGAAGTTTTATCAGTTAGCCAAATAAGCTAATTTGTAAAATATATAACCAATGCAGAAGACTGATCACAGAAGCAAATTATTCAAGAAATTCACAGTCTTATGTTTGGACCAATACAAACTTTAAAAGTAAACAAATGTGACAATCGAAACATATACAAATTCAATTTTGATGATTTTTTTTTTGGCAAAAAAGTACTATTCATTTTCTCTTCTCACTGGCATCTTCCCCTGATCTACTTGCAATTTCTGCAGAAGTCTGCTTTTGAATGTATTTAAATGCAAATTCTAAGTTTACCCACACACTTCTGTTAATGATGTGAGAATTCTAATGTATTTTATTTCTCAGTTAAAAGATGAAGCAAAATGCAAATTTGAAGAACATTGAAGGAATTTTCTTTCTGCCTTTTAAAATACCTGGAACAAGTGCCATCCTTCAAGTTGAAATACACACAAAAAAAATGCCTAATAACATTTGCTATTTGGCCTTGGCAGTTGGCATTGTATTTTTTGCAAATGAATACCTCAGGATTGAGTCACAGAAACTGTGTGCCACATAAAAGTGCATGTGAAGTAACTTTCTTCACAAAAAAGAAGGGCTTGAAAACACTGTAGGCTCAATAAAACACTTTTCTGATGGCTCAGCAGTCTGAGAAGTTCATTTGGAAGTGGGGCTAAAATGGAAAAGAATGGGAAGGAGACAGCAGTTGGGAGCAGAGGGCAGAAGACAGGTAGAAGGAGAGAAGGAAAAGTCATAATCAACCAGAACTTCAGGCAAGACAGGGTGGTGACTGGGTTAGGCATTATAGAATATTTGATAGATTATCTCAACTGTGAGCATCAGGCTAAGGCATTGATTCAAGGGGTTACGGTTTTCAAAACACAAGCCACATAAAGCATATTACAACCCCTGTAACAAATTTATAAATGGCCACAAATTTCTCCCATCCCAAATCAAGCAATGAGATTTTGTGACTTTTCCTATCCAAAGGTGTAGTCAAACAAAGCCCCTCTCACATGGACTCTGCCAGCCACGTAACTTGTGTCAGCAAATGGGACCTCTGCACCTGTGACACAGAAGCTTGAAAAGCATGTGTGTGCAAAGGGGCTGGCTCTGTGGGAACATTACTTGAGACCTGTTCTATTCTATTGAAGTATATGAGGGGCTGAACTGGTTCCCTATTGCTGCTATAACAAATTATTGTGAACTCAGTGACTTAAAATGCCACACACTTATTTTCCCATAGTTCTCAAGGTCAGAAGCCTAAAATGGGTCAGTGTATTAGGCTGTTCTAGCATTGTTGTGAAGAAATACCTGAGACTGGGTAATTTATAAAGAAAAGAGGTTTAATTGTCTCATGGTTCTGCAGGCATTCCAGGAAGCATGGTGTTGGCATCTGCTCAGCTTCTAGTGAGACCTCAGGAAGCTTACAATCGTGGTGGAAGGCAAAGGGAGAGTAGGTGCATCACATAGTGAAAGGAGGAGGGAGGGAGTGAGAGTTGAGGTGGGAGGTGCTATTTACTTTAAATGGCTAGATCTGGCAAGAACTCACTATTGTGAAGACAGCACCAAGCCATGAGGGATCCGTCCTTGTGATCCAGACACCTCCCACCAGGTTCTACCTTCAGCACTGGGGATTACAATTCAACATGAAATTCGGGTGGGGACAAATATCCAAACTATATCAGTCAGCAAGATGGCATTCCTTCTGGAGGCTCCAGGGGAGAATTCACCTTGATGCCTTTTCCAGCTTCTAGCCACCGCTGGGATTCTTTCTGGTGGTCCCTTCCTCACATGGCTCCAACCATGCTTTTTGTTATCACATCTCCTCTGACCCAGATTCTTCTGCCTCCTTCTTAGAAGGTTCTTTATGATTAGATTGGGCCCACCTCGATAATTCAGGATAATCTCCCCATTTCAAGATCCTTAACTTACTCCCCATCTGCAACGTTTCATTTGTCGTGTGACATCACATATTCGTATTCACAAATTTTGAAGATTTAGAACATGCACATCTTTTGGGAATCATTTTTCTGTCTACTACTGAGATCAAATACAGGAGAAAAAAGGAGCCTCAATCCGGAGCCCACACTGAGGTACCAGATAGGTGAATGAGGCCAGCTTGGCTTTTCAATCCCAGTCCAGAATGGAGCTATGTCAGAGAACCCACATGGGATCAGCAAAAGAAAAAGCCATACTACAAAATTACAAAAAATAATACAAAATTCATTTTTAATTTCTTTTGGATTTGGGCCATATAATCCATAAGCCCTGATTTAAATAATTTATGTTTACAATAATTTCCATCAACCTTTTGGAAACCTGGAATTTTATATCTTTATTGGCAACAGTAAAATTTAAAGAAGAGAAATAGCTTTACAACTTCTTCAAATTGTCCCACTCCTCACGGTATGAGAATTCATACCATTCTTATAGTGTACACACACATTATATTTTCCAACTTACCTATAAATATTACTACTTTCTGAAAAGGTTAAGAAATAAGAGATGAAAAGGATTTTCAATTCAACATCCTAATGGTTCTCTAGTAAATATTTGCTTGTTTCTCTGAATCTCTGTGTCTCTTTCTTGAAGTAATTTTAAATGCTAAGAGGTACTTGTGGCCCTTATCAGTGTCATTGGAAATTGTTCCAATTTCTTATTTTCTAAAATCTCGGATGCTTAAAAATAGTCCCATTCATCCCAACTCTTGGAATCACAGAACAGTCTATATCACAGTCTCCGTGATGTTTTTATATTCATAAGACATTTATGGACTACTCTGTTCCAATTAAATCATCATCTGTCATTTGAAATTTGTGAAGCACTAATCTCTGCATTGGGATCTATGGAAAGCCATACAAATCAAGTTTAAAAGACAGGGTCACAACTCTCTAAGGAGTTCAATAAAATTTAATTCCACATGCTCATTGGGGGAACAATAAAAGGTCTCTTTGGTCCTTCATTAACTCTAATATTAAATACTTGATTTGCAACTCAAGATCCTGACTTTGAAGATTATTATTTTGCCTTCTAGGTCATCTTCCTGGAACTTTATCTTGAATATCAATTTCATTGT
Source organism: Homo sapiens (assembly GCF_000001405.40). Taxonomy (NCBI): domain Eukaryota; kingdom Metazoa; phylum Chordata; class Mammalia; order Primates; family Hominidae; genus Homo; species Homo sapiens. The sequence continues at coordinate 117,297,599 of NC_000008.11, read as the reverse complement.
CTTGGAAGCTGGGCAAATCTGAGATTGAAAACTCTTAGTTACATTTTTCTATTGTAGGGTGTTAGGGAGATAAACAAAGAGAGGAATATATATTCTATTTTCCAAAGTTTCTTTGATGAGTGTGAGTGACTGATCAATTATTCTACATTTATGTCATATCTTCTAGCTTACCTGAGATTTCTCCCTCTGTGGCCATGTGGCAGTTTTAAAACATGTCTATGAATTATTTGAAACTTTGCACACGGAGAGGTGAGTTCTGTCTCCTCTCTTTTACTAATATCTAAGCCTGCCTTAGTAACTTTCTTGTAAAGAGTGGAATGCAGCTGCATAACTTTAGAGACTACCTCTGGAAAGGCCTGGCAGCTTCTGGTTGGATTTCTCAGGACACTCACTCTGGGGGAAGCCAGACACCATGTGAGAGCCCCTGAGACCACCATGCTGCACAGGCCCTGTATAGGCTCTCCAGTCAGCAAATCCAGCTTAGCTTCCAGCATGTAAAATCCAGCACCAACTACCACCCATGTGAGTGAGCCCTTCTGATGTCCTACCTGCTACAGCCTTCGGATGACTGCAGTGCCAGCCTGTATTTGACTGCAACTGCATGACAGACTCTCAGTACCATCTACTCAGATAAACCCTTCTGTAATTCTTGACTGGCCAAATGGTGAGCAAAATAGAATGATAGGTATCTTCTATCACTACATTGTGGAGCAACAGTAACTAGAATAGGCTCAAAACAAAAAGCTTGAGTAGGTGTCTAGCTGCATTTAAATCAATTTCCCAATCAAACAAGGCCTTGTGGAAAAAATTTAATTCTTGTTCCAGGTTGAGGAACCTGTTCTGCGAAAGAGGTATCTTGTTGAGAAGAGTCACTGAACCTGGGTAGTAGGAACCTAGAATTGTAGACTAAGAATTGCGACTAATTGCCGTGTGAATTTGATCAGAACATTTTCTCTCTAGGACCTAATCTCCTTATCTGTAAAATAGAAAGTTTGGGATAAATAATATATATGATTTCTTCTCTACTTTAAAGTTTTGTAACTCTAACAATTTTTAAGAACCGTTGAGATGGACAAATCAATTCAATGAGTTGGTATGGAATATCTCCTAGAAAAAAGCATCCCATTTCTAAGTGTGATGGTTCACTTATAAATTTGTAAGTTCTGTGCAAAAATATTAAAGAGCTTGATTCCAGGATTGGAAAATGATGAAGTTATCTTACATATTTTTATTGAGCTTTTAAAAGATGACAGTGATTAGAAAAAGCTTTCCTAATTCCACTGTCATTAACTCAAAGGTGTTATATGTTATTTGCAATTACTGCAATGTGACATTTACTTAAATTATTCATCATAAGAAACAGTCATTTATTTTCTTATTTATAAAGTATTTGAGCCCTCCATTTTCCAGATTATTTCTGTTTTCTTCTGAATGTGATCAATCTTCTTGTTAAGGATTGAGACAACTGGATGTGTGAATAGCAATTCACCCTCACTCTCTGGGGATATAGGAAAAAGGAGCCTTTTGATTTTTTTAATTGGATGTTTCTGTAATATTTATAACTGCAGGTTATAACAAGTGGGCTTTTGGGGGCAATAAAATAACAAAGAATTAAATAGTTTTCCGATAAACAGGGGAATTAAAGATATTTTTCATGATTTCAGTCATTCCCATGACTGCATGCCATTTCACGTTTCATAGTGGTTATTATTATTTTTTTCATCTTACTTTATTGTTTCCTAACTTTATCTTACAGTCTGTGTGGACTACTCAAAGTTTGGTTTAAAATTACTATTTGATTTAAAGATGTATTTTGTGAGAAGGAAAATAGTGTATTGAGATGTCCCCAAAAGGCTAAGGAAACACAGAAGAGGACGTAACTAAATCTGAAGCAGGGCCGGGCGCAGTGGCTCATGCCTGTAATCCCAGCACTTTGGGAGGCTGAGGCAGGTAGATCACCTGAGGTCAGGAGCTCAAGACAAGCCTGGCCAACATGGTGAAACCCCATCTCTACTAAAAATACAAAAATTAGCTGGGCATGGTGCTGGGCACCTGTAATCCCAGCGACTCGGGAGGCTGAGGCAGGAGAATTGCTTGAACCCGAGAGGCAGAGGTTGCAGCAACCTGAGATTATGCCACTGCACTAGAGCCTGGGCAACACAGCAAGACTCCATCTCAAATAAATAAATAAATAAATAAATAAATAAATCGGAATCAGGTAAGGCTTCTGAGGGGAGGCAACATTTGAGTTGGGCTAGTAAGTGGCAGAGGGAGTTTAACCCCCTAGTTCTTCCCATCCCCCAACTCTAGGTCTCAGCTCTGGACTGCCCGGCCTTCCCAGTTTCCACTCCCAGGTCTACTGTCTGGGCCAATCTGCAGATTAGACCTCATTTCTTTCCTGGGCCTTTCTGACCATGGCAAATAGGATCATACTAATAGTCATATTTTAACACTGACACCAACACTAGTGCCCAACACTCACTGAGCCCTCACTAGGTGCCAGATCTTTTATTAACAGGGAGATCACAGAACTGGTTGTCGAAACAGGGATGCCTTTTTAAAAACAACTTGATGGGGTATATTGACATACAATAAACTATATATGTTTAGTATATGCAATTTGATACTTGTTAATGTATGTATTCACCAATGAAGCCATCACCACAATCAAGATAATGAACATCTCTATCACTCCTGAAAGTTTCTTCTTGCCTCTTCATAATCTGTCCCTACTACCCACCAGCAAGCACTGACCTGCCTTCTGTCACTATGGATTAGCTTGTGTTTTCTAGAATTTTATACAGATGGAATTGTGCAGTGTTTACTCTTTTTCATCAGGTTTTATTCACTCCATGTTCTTGCATGCACCAATAGTTCATTCCTTTTCATTGCTGGGTATTATTCCACTGTATGATGTACAACAGTTCATTCATTTGCCTGATGACAGGCACTTGAGTTGTTTTCAGTTTTTGAATATTACCCAATAAAGCTGCTATGAACATTCGTATCTAAAAATAATGATGGCTTGGATTTTGACAGGAAGAAAAGGCTGGATTCTTTTTAGCTCCATGAATCCATTTCCGTCTCACTCTGGATCTTAGCGGACGCCATTCTTTATGTTTGTAACCCTCTCCTTTGAACGCTTCATCTGTGCTCCCATTTTCACTGTCACCTGAAAATCTCCATCTCACTCTTCTGTCTCAGCATAGACCTCGCTTCCTTCCAGAATCACTTCTCTGACCATCAGTGGGTCAGGTACCCCCATGTATGTCCTAGCACAGCACCCTGCACTTTGCCCAGGACAGGATTTATCACCCTGTATTGTAATTGCTTCTTTAATGTGTGCCTCTCTCAGGATCTCATTGAGAGCAGGACCATCTTGTATTTATCATGGTATCCCCCGAATTTACATTGACTGGAGAAATATGTTCTAAGTGGTTGAATAAATGAGTGAATGAATGAAAGGTAAAGAGTAGGATAAGCACAAAAGGGAATTGAGAATATTCTGTAATTAAGTTGTGGGGATGGCTGCACAACTCTATGCATATATTGAAAACCAATGGATTGTACACACGAAATGAGTGAATTGTATGGTATGTGGACTATATCTAAGTAAAGCTGTTTATAAAAAGAAAATTGAGAAATAGTAAGTCATCCAGATGGAAGAACATATTACATAAGGCTAGAAAGAATCTTTAACATTTCAGCGTCAACTCGAAATGTGCTGAAAGATTGAATGATCAAAACTCAACTTACCATCCAAAGTCTTTATCCCAATATTGTCTTCTTACTGGATGCGTTTGCTTACTTTATTTATTCATTTTTTTTTACCAGTCTTCAAAGTATGTTAAGATTAGTTTTCTAAATGCTTTTGTTTTCACTTTCCTGCTGTGAGTAGCAATCTAATCTAGACTGGATAGCATAATAATTTAGGAGAAAAGGGGAGCTCATTCCATACTTGGAACCATCTCTCTACAGGAGACCTGATGCAAATCTGAACTTCTATTGCCTGCATCAATGAAGGATAAGTGAGGATTTGGATTTCTCAGGGTGTTAATATGGAGAGGAGCATTTTTGTGGACATATGGAAGGGCAGATTATAACTCAGTTATAAGAGTTATAGGCCGGGCGTGGTGGCTCATGCCTGTAATCCCAACACTTTGGGAGGCCCAGGCAGGCAGATCACCTGAGGTCAGGAATTTGAGACCAGCCTGGTCAACATGGTTAAACCCCATCTCTACTAAAGATACAAAATTTAGCTGGGTGTGGTTGTGCACATCTGAAACATCTGAAATCCCAGCCACTCGGGAGGCTGAGGCATGAGAATCACATGAACCAGGGAGGCGGAGGTTGCAGTGAATCGAGATTGCACCACTGCACTTTAGCCTGGATGACAGAGTGAGACTCCATCTCAAAAAAAAAAAAAAAAAAAAAAAAGGTGTAATCCACAAAAAAGGCAGAAAGGTATTAATCATCAAAATAATCATTGAAGAAGGCCGTGTCCTATGGTGTGAAACTACACAGTGAAGGTGGGTAGCAGCAGGAATATGAGACTAGAGAGGCAAGTTGGTGTAAAATTCTTTTGGTGTAAATTTCCTTGACCTGAAAGAGGTTTGGATTTTATCCTGTGATTAAGGGACAGCCAACATTGGTTTAAATTAGGTTTCTAAGAAGGAATGAATGACTGCAGGGTAATTGTGAGGATAAATGCAGTAACAGCTAGGATAGCATTTTGAACCCCTGGGAAGAGAATGCAGAATAAATCAAAATTTCTTTTACTTATCTAATTTGACCATAGCCTAAATTAGCCTCTCATTTGAATTCAAACTTCCTACACTCATCTCCTTTCTGTCTCTCGCCTTCTCTAAAAGTCTCTGGTTCCAAGCATAGCTTTGAATGTGTCATCGTAAGTGCTCTCAGGACATCTTATTTTGTGAGTTTAGGATCAAGAAGAGATGTGTGCTCTTGGCTCCTCTCCTTCTGGGAGCTATCTTCTATCACCACAGAAATTTCACCTCAAATTGAATGTTATTCGAAACAATCTGTCTTGAAGGGAGCCATGTTTTAACCACCGCGATTTTTATCTGTTGGCTTGATTTTCATCCATAACTACATCTTGATTTCAACACTTTATTAGATATATATTTCATCCCTATTGGTAGGTTTTTTTGTGTGACAATGCATATGTATGCATTTGTGTGTGTGTGTGTGTGTGTGTGTGTGTTTAGTGTGTATGGGTAGGTGAGGGATTGTATTCCTTTATTTTGCCACAGAACTAATTATAGCAACCTTAATGGCTTAAAGCAACACCCATTTATTAGCTGGGAGTTCTGTAGGTCAGAAATCTGAACAGGCTCAGCCAGGTTCTCTGCTTACAACAAACAGGACTGAAATCAAAGTGTCGAATGGGCCAGGTTCTTATTGGGAGGGTCTGGGGAAAAATTCACTTCCAAACTCACATTGTTGGCAGAATTCAGAAAAAAGGATATTCTTTTACATAACTGTAGTGCAATTATTAAAATATGAAAATTCAGAATTAATAAAACACCATTTACGTCATCCACTATAATATTCAAGTTTGATCATTTCTGCCAACAGACCTATTATAGCTATTTTCTTCCCCAGCCAAGGATCCTATCCAGAATCACATTGCCTTTATTTGTCATGCTCCTTTAGTCTTCTTTAGTCTGTAGTAGTTCTTTAGCTTTTCTTTATCTTTCTTGGCATTGACACATTGACACTTTTTTAAAGATCATAGACCAGTTATTTCCAGAACGTTCCTAAATTTTGATTTTTATTTCCTGATTAAATTTAAGTATTTTTCTCAGGAACGCTAGAGACACAGTGTTGTGTCCTCCTCCACAGTGCATCACATCAGGAGGCCTATGATGTTGATTTGTTCCAATATTGGTGATATTAGCTTTGATCATTTGGTTACTGTATTGTCTTCCAGTTTTCTCCACTGCAAAATGTCTATGTTCCCCTTTGTAAGTAATTTGTGGGGAATTACTTTTATACGTAAATACATGTTCCTCATGAAACTAATTTTAGCATCCAGTGTTGATATTTTAAACTCCATCATTTTCTCCACATTAAAGCATCTTATAGCATCCTACTGTAAGGAAGACCTGGTTTATATATTTATTTATGTCAATATGAACTCATAGATTCTTATTTTACTAAATGTAATCATTTATATATTTACTTATAGTGAAGTTTAATTTGACCCAGATGTGGCCACGGGGGACCTTTCAACTTGTTCTCCTGCCCTATTGATACATCCTCATCATCTCTGAGTACTTTCTAATTTTTTGGTGCAGGAAAATGTTGCAGACTTAGCTTGTATTTAAACCCTAAAAGCAACTTTTCCTCCAAAGAGGCCTATTGGGTTTTTAAAATGTTATTATTTTTTAAATTTTTTGTGGGTACATAGCAGGTATATATATTTATGGAGTACATGAGCTGTTTTGATACAGGCAAGCAATGTGAAATAAGTACATCATGGAGAATGGGGAGTATCCATCCCCTCAAGCATTTATCCTTTGTGTTACAAACAATCCAATTACATTCTTTAAGTTATTTTAAAATATACAACTAAGCTACTATTGACTATAGTCACCCTATTGGTTTTCAGAGGAGAATGTGATTTAGAAACTAGTCATAGGTGTGCTTATTGCTTCTGGTGTCACTTTTGTGGCCTTTGTGTTGAAGGAGCTTTATTCAATCAGTATTGAATCATATTTTTAAATAGACACCATTTTTTAGAACAACTTTAGATTACAAGATTACAGAAAAGTTGAGAAGATAGTTAATTAGGACTTCCTTAGCTTTACTTAATGTTCTTTTCCTGGGTTCCGTCTAGAATACCATGTTACATGTAGTTGTTACCTCTCTTTAGGCTCCTTTTCACTGCAATAGTTTCTCAGACTTTCCTTGTTTTTATGACCTTGACAGTTTTGAAGAGTATAGGATACTTCGCTATTGGCTTTTTTTTTTTTTTTTTTAAGAGAGGGAGTCTCGCTCTGTTGCCCAGACTGGAGTGCAGTGGCACTATCTCGGCTCACTGCAAACTCTGCCTCCTGGGTTCAAGCGATTCTCCTGCCTCGGCCTCCTGAGTAGCCGGGATTACAGGCGTGCGTGACCACACCCACCTAATTTTTGTTTTTTCAGTAGAGACGGGGTTTCTCCACATTGGTCAGGCCGGTCTCAAACTCCTGACCTTGTGATCCACCTGCCTCGGCCTCCCAAAATGCTGGGATTACAGGCGTGAGCCACTGCACCCAGCTGATGTTACTCTTATGGTTATACTGGGATTGTGTGGTTTTTGGAAGAAGACCACAAAAGTAAAGTGCCAACTTAAGCACATCATTATTAGGAATACATATTATCAACAGGATTTAGCACTCTTGAAGTTGATCTGGGTCACTTTGCCGGTGTGTCTGTCAGGTTTCTCCACTGTAAAGTTACTCTCTTCCATCCCCACCTTTTTATACTGTACTCTTTACAGGGAGATCACTACTGGAAGACCACACTGTGCTTCCCTCCTTAAGAGCAAAGTATTTCCATAAATTATTTGGAATTCTTCTGCCTGGAAGCTTTGTCTCTTCTCTCTCATTTACTTATTTATTTATTTATTCATATCAATAAGACCTCATGAATATGTATGTTATACTTTGAGTTATAATCCATTACTACTTAATTTATTTTGTTGCTAAAATTAAGGGTTTTCGCTTTGGCCATTGAGAGCTCTTTCAGTTGGCTCCTCTGTCCCTTTGACATTCCCCTATCAATTTGGTTTGGGTTGATTGGTTTTTGAGCACTTCCTTAGTTTCTGGCACTATAAGATGCTTCAGGCTTATGTTGTATATTTCCTGCCCCAGTAAGCTTGCTTTTCACAATAGTATTTGTTAGTAATTCTAAAACCATATTCTGTGTAGGTTTGAGAAAATGAGTGATGTATTGTGGAGAATGATAGCCAGGTCTCTCACTCTGAGAAAGAAGTTAGAAATATGGAAAGGAGAAAGAATAGAAGGTAACTTGTGGGTTTGTATTAAAATTTAATATTGCTATATAAAGTCTTATGGTTGCAAATTTAAGGATATCTCTGGTGATACTCCTTGTCTCAAAGTCTGTTTTGCCTAATATTAAAAATGGTTTCTCCAACTTTCTAATACTTACTGTTTTCTTGGTATATTTTTTCCTATCCTTTTATTTTCAGACTCTTTTCATATTAAAAGCAAATTTCTTATAGATGATAATACTTGGATTTTGTGTTTTTACTGGAAAATCTCTGCCTTTTAATGGAAGTAATTAGTCCATTTACATTTTATACAGTTATTGAATCTCAATGCAGTTTTTATCTACCCTACTCCCACCATTCCTTTGCAGTGCTTGCTTCTCGGATATACTGCCTTACAAATTCCAGTCACATCAGAAATCTGTAATTACAACTTCTGCCTTCTTATCTTAGTGAGACCCCAATTCTTCTTGAGCTTCTTCTTCCTGGTCTGAAGCAGAGAAGTCTGAGTGATCATGATATTATTATGGCCCCTATGTTCTGTGTTTTTCTTCTTTCAAAGATTGCAGTACTGTGCTGTCTGTTGTTCAATGCTTTAAAAAGTTGTCTCACATATTTTATCTATTTTTATTGAGTATTTATTTTATTTTTTTAATTTATAATTATTTTTAGTAGGAGATCAAGTCTAGTAAAGTTATTCTACCATGCTTAGATACACAGATAACTAAACAATTCACCTTTTCAACTAAATACAACAATAAAAATACCATTGCCATACTATAAAGTCAAATATTCTGGTTACCTTAATACATGGGTTGTCTTTGCAGATAAATCTCAAATAACTTTTCACTGATAAATTACCTGAATATCTTTAAATAAGACATTTAACCCTTTTAGCTAACTATAATTTTGGCCAAAAACAGGAAAAAAAAGGAAAGATACGTGGTGTAAGTGACAGAATATGGATATTGTCCAAGAACACAGCACTTATATAAGTATGGTGCTTGGCTCTCCACAAGTTCTTTTACATACTTTTCCATCAGGACTCCTGTTGGTTACAAAAGACAGAAATCTAGCTCAAAGTGAATTAAGCATGACTGGCTTATATAAACAACATCTCTGGATATCTGGCTTCAGTTGTGTGGTGGGGAATCTGTTTCTCTTCATTTCTCAGCTCTCCTTACCCCTGCATTGGCCTTGTTGGCTGACAATTTGACATTAGCAGCTCTTGGCTTATATTCTGCTAGGTTAGCAAGCACAGCAAAAAGGTAGCTCCTCCATCAGTCAGCAAATAATTATTGAAAGCCTGATACTTAGGGAATACAGGATATATACAATGATGAACTAGATAATTAATGTGCTTGCCCCCAGAGAGCTTACACTCTGGTGAAATGAGAGACACAATAAAGGTGTGAACAAGTAAAATAATTTGGGACCCTGAAATTAATATGAAAAAGATAATACAGGATAATGCAGTAAAGACTATGTGATGGATGCTTTTTTTGGTCATCCAGGAAGGCCTATTTGTGTAGGAGACATTTAGCTTAAAACATAAATGATCATGGGGAAAATACAGCAAGAGAATGATCCAAGAAAAAATATTGCAAATAGAAAGAATGACAAGTGCATAGCTCCTGAGATGGGAAGCAACATAGCCTATTTGAGGTATCGAGTGAAGTGAATATGAAGAAATAACAAATGATGAGATAAATGAGGTAGGTGGAAATTAGATTATAGTAGCTTTATGGACCATGGTAAGGAGTTTGGATTTAATCCTTGTTACAATGAAAGTTATTGGAAGTTAGCCAAGTGATATTATGTTACCCTCTTTTAAAATGATCATCCTGAAGACTAGTCAAGAGGAATTCCCAACAATAAACCAGGACTGAGAGTTATTAGTCTGGCTTGGGTGATGTGCCATTCTTAAATTAGTCACTATGGCCAGGCTAATGCAATGCTTTGATTGGCCCATCTTAGGTTATCCTATTTCTGAGGCCAAATGGTGAATTCGACTCCATCTGAACTACATGGACTGAAACTAGGAATGAGGGTAATGTTCTCACATTGAGGTGGTATTTCCAGAAGAAGAGTAAATGGATGCTGGGAAGATACAAACAACAAAACCACATCTGCTCATTATTCAGGTTGAGCAAAGAGTGGTTACTATTGTTGTAAAAGTGTTGGAGCCCTGTTGTATTCTGGAAGCTATTGTTCTTACAGTCAAGAGAATTTATCTTGCCAACTTGAGAATAGCATCTAAACACTAAATACAAGTCTGAACTCTGAACAAGATTCAGAGTTTCTTATCCACACACATTTACTGAGTACTGATCTGCACATTTGGGTTCTAAAATGATTTTCAAATACAGAATATCTCATTAAATAAGATGAAGATATGTTTTCTATTATTTTAATTTTGTAAATTATGGCCAAAGAGACCACATTTGAAAAGAGAAAATCTTGTTTGTTATTATGTTGTAACTGGGTGAGTAGAGGCTAAAATACTTGCATTTCTATAGCACAAATATTCCTTATGGGAAATTCAAATGTGTCTCAGTCTTTAAGGATGTACTTCTTGAGCAACTTTGAGGAACCCAAATATAGTAAATCACTAGTATTCCTTGATATTCATCTGAGAATTCTGAGGGAAATAAACTGTGAAATAGTTGCACTGCCAGTAAGGATGTAATATATTCTCTCTATAAATAGCAACTCTCCTGAAGGTTGGAGGAAAAATTGCTAATGCCACACTGAGGGAAAAAAACAGAGGAAATGAAAGGAGATTCCAAAAATTACAGATCACCAAATCTCATCTCATCATCTCAATTCCAGGAAAAGTGATTGAGGGTTTAATTAAGTTTGGATTTTTGAATAAGTTAACAAGAAAGAGTTTTACTCACAGAATTTCCATATAGCATTTGAAGTTGTATAATAAAACCTATCTTAAGGAAAAACTGGCCTACCTAGATGGGAACTTTTATAAAATTCATAAAAAATGTCTGGTTTGTTTTATGGCATCTCTGCTGCTGTGGCTAAGGTCAGAGTATGAATAATTCAAAACACTTCTTTTTTCTTAGTAAACAAAGTGTTCGATGTTTGAGAGGACAGTGATTTTGGCATCCCACCTGATAAAGTCTCTTGTCTATTATTAGATTGCATCATCTGCTGGTCAAAACAGGTAGTCATCATTCTTATCCACAAGCATTTATTGAGTACTTATCTGCACAAAGGGCTGTGTTAGATGTGGAGGCATGAAGAAGCGTGCACCCTATCTGTAAGAAACCTGGTTAGAACATCATGGCATTCACAATTCAGAGAGGAGAGAGCAGTGTGGGTTTGGTGGCCATGCTTGTATCATTAAGGATGGTACATTATTTGAAGAAATAAGTAGCTGTCTAATCCATGTACAGAAGAGGAGTGTGTGACTGGGGCCATGCCATTTTTGCTTTCTCCTCAGTTTCTACATGTTCCTCCTGGGTTAGCTCTTTTATTGCTACAATTTCAAATCCTCTTTCTATATGTTAATGATGGCGTGCTTTGTATTTCTAGTCCAGCCTCTCTCTAGAGAAGATTCACATTCTGTTTCCTACTGCGCATCTCTAACATGGGAACTTTAACTTCAATGTGTCCAAAACTCAATGCATTTTCTCCCTATACTTGCTTTTCCTTTCATATTCCATGTGTTGGTTAAGGGCACCACCAGTCACTACCAGTTTAAGCCCAAATCTCAGAATCGTTATGGACTCTTTATTCTCCTTATACTTCCTTTACCCCATTGGCTTCCAAATTCTGACAATTTGACTTCCACGTGTTTCCTACTACATCCCCCTTTTCACCTGGTAATTACTTGTATTGAAGTACTATCATATGGTGTTATATGTATGTATTTGCACATGTGTATGTGAACTCTGGGTAGAGCCTATGGTTTCTTAGTCTTTGATCCATTCCCAGTGCCTAATGCCACACTTAGACCATGGAAGGTGCACATGAAATGCTTGTTGAAGGAATTGTGTGTTAGACATCTTTTATGTATTCAATCAGTTATTTAATAATTCACCCAACTTACATTTCTGGAGGACTTGCTATGTGATGAGAATTGTGCTTTCTTGACATTGCGGACACAATGATGATTGAGACATCATCTGTGCTCTCTGGTAGCTCATAGAGGACAAGAAAGAACAGACACACAAACAAGTAAGATTGAAAAATTAAAGTCAGATGAACCCAGTAATCCTAACATTTATCTTTTTCAGTCTCAGCATGTGCATATATGTGTGTGTCATCACTATCATTATTTGATAGTGATGTTGCATATTTTGCAATGATTCTCTCTCTCTCTCTCTCTAATGTTATTTCAATGTGGCATCAGTTAAAATGTGTTAAAATTTCAGGTTGAATTGTCACTAACAAAGGACTTTGAAGAATAAAATCATTTTCTCTTAAAAGGGCATGTTCCTGTGAATATGAGTCCTGGCTATGAAAATGAAAACACCATGGGATCTTATAATTAAAGCAAATCTTGATAAAAATAAAAATTCATCTCACAACTACCCACACTTGAGCATAAATCAAGATGCAGTGAATTTAGGGACTGTAGCCAAGAAGTTAGCGATAAAAATATGAGAATATTGATTATTCTAGGTACACTGAAAATTGACTTAAGAAATTAATTAAACATCCTAGAAAGGGGAAAAAAATTAGCAAACCTTAGTCTTTCCCAGAAATCATCTTATCTCAATCACTGTCTTTCAAGAAGAGGCTCTTTCAGGTAAGTGCTAAGATTTACCCTGTGTTTCCCTTGTTGTCTGACCACCTCCAGATCCACTTTGAAGACTTTTTTTTTTTAAGGTCAAGTAAGTTCTAGTAGCTCTTTTGAAGTATAAAAACAGAAGAGTATTCTTCAGGTTGAACCAGCTTGCAGGTTATTATACTGCCACTAAAAAATTGCAAAGGTTCATGATGAGTTACCAAAATGGAATTAGTCTGCACAATGACAAAACTCAAATGTTCTCTGTGTTCAGAATGGGAGAAATGCTATTCCATTTTTTTTTTTTTTCAGAGACAGGTTACAGCACAAAGTAGGCAAGGTACATTGGATCAGCAGTTAGTACAGTATCTCATTTTAGCACACCATTAAAGTGCTTAAAACCTCCCTACTCCAAATCCAGCCACACCCAGTCTTAGTAAACGCTGCCTTTTACTTCATCCTAAAGTTGCAACCATTGAATTTGATGTCCCTTAACTGTCCTGCCAAAATTCATCTATATCCACTTCTGCCCTCTAATCCATTTCTTTCATTTCAGAGGCTATGGGAAGGGGCCACCACATTGGGACTTTTTTTGCTGCTTATAAGAGAGTCTAGGAAAAAAAATGGCTTAAACAAATAGAGAGTTCTTTTCCTACATATCACTAAGATTAGGAAGAGATATTCTTCTTAGGTAGAGCTGGTGCAGAAGCTCTGTAGTAACAACAGTGGCCCAGGTGCCTATGATTCTTCTGTTTCTCCTTACTTAACCCTTAACTTTCATCCAAAGACTTGCCTCATGGTATTAAAAAAAAAAATGTGACTGTAGCTCTAGCCATCATGTCCACATGCCTGGAGGTAAGGAGGAGGAAAGGAGAAAAAAAGTCCAAAAGATATCTTCCCACTTAGTCATCTTTTAAAGGAGATTTCCTGGACCCAACAATTTCTGCTTATATCTCACTGGTCAGCATTCTGTTGCATGGCCAGACCTATCTGCAAGGAAAGACAAGACAAAAATCCTTTAAAACTTGGCATATCACCACCTTAAGAAAAAAAGGATTCTGTTAAAAATATAAAAGGTAACAATGAATTTGAGTAGGCAACTCATAGTCCCTGCCATAATATCTTAAACCATTTCTTCTATCCTCAAACGCTCCCTTTGTTGAAATGCTAAAAAGACAGCAACGAGGAAAAGGACCTGAAGCTTTGGAATGAGACAAAGGTGGACTCAGACAAATTCTGAGTTCATGACTAATCAGCTCTTGGATCCTGCTCAGGTTATTTAAAATGCCCAAGCCTTATTCTCTTCATGTATAAAGCAGATGAAAACACCTATTGTGAACAACCTGTTTGGGAACATTGATGTAAAGAACTGGAACAGAGTAAGTGCTCAATCATTTGTAGATATATAAAAACCATAAAATGCTTTGATTCTTATTGAAACAACATGTCCGTGCCTTCTTTTTGCCCCTGCAGATACCTTTGTTTCCTACCTGTCAAGTAAATATGAATGTGTCCAGGTTTCATTATTGGCTCACTGATCTCTTTATTCTGTGTTTCTCATCCATTATCTTGGTTTCAATTAGCACTCAAATGATGATGCCTCTCAGTTCATACTTCAGACTCAGATTTCAGACTCACTCTTCAGCTTCACACTCACCCCTGGGTATCTCCAAAGTGTCTGTAGTGACTTGAATAGTGAACCCCCAAAATGCTGCAGGACTTTTCCTGGTCACTTTTCCAGCTGGGGACCTCCGTGGCTGGCGACATCTCCACCCAGGCCTTGCTTGGCCCCAGGCCTGCCACAGGAGGCACCCTGTCAACTAGGCCCACTGGGCTGTGCTTGGCTTGCACACCAGACTGGATCTTGCACGCACTCATCACAGGATCCTCGCTCAGCCCATGGCTGGGCCGGGTATGCCCCAGCCCACCTGTGTTACAGCTCATACCCACATTCAGTGGTTCCCAAGACCTTGTCTCATGTTCAAGAATAATGGGATTATGCTCACAATTGAAGGGTAAGGAGGGCGGAGAAGAACTTTATTGAGCGACAGAACAGCTGTCAGTGTAGAGGGGATGCAAGGGTGATTCCTGCATCCAAAGTCAGGTGGTCTCTTCCTCCAGTGTAGCTGGGTCCAGGACTTTTGTGGGCTCAGAATGGGGGAGTGCATGCTGATTGGTTTGTGAGTATGCAAAAAAGCTAAAACGAAGACACCACTCAAAGGTGAGCACAACAATGTGAAAAAACCAATTAGGGAAGTGTAGATATGTGTAAAATAGGTGAAGGCTGAGGATCAATCAGAAGAAAGCACGACAAACAGGAAGAGATATTCTAAATCTGGTCTGTGGATTTGACTTGTAGCTTGGCTTTCAGGCTTTGAACTGTCTTTTGCTTGAAGGTGGAGTTTCACCCGGGACCTGTCCCTACCTACCTGGACATTTGACTGCCTCTTGCTGCTATCAAAATGATATGCCCCCCAGAAACTCAGAATGTGACTTTATGTGGAATAAGGGTCCTTGTAGATGGAATTGAGGTAATGTTCTCGAGATGAGATCATCCTGGATTAGGGTGTGACCTAAATTCAATTACAGGTATCCTTATAGGAGAGAAAAGAAAAAAAAGAAGACACACAGACATAGGGGAGAAGACCATGTGAAGACAGAGGCACAGATGGGAAAGCTATGTCTCCAAGCCAAGGAACACTAAGAATTGCTGGCAGCCATCAAAATCTAGGAGAGAGATATGGAACGAAGTCTCCCTCTTGTCTTCAAGAAAAATACAACCCTGTTGACACCTTGACTTTGGACTTCTGGCCTCCAGAACTTTGAGGGAATAAAATTCTATTATTTTAAACCACCAAGTTTGTAGTAGTTTGTTATGGCAGCCCTAGATATTAACTAATCCAATATCCCAAACTGAACTCGTCATTTGATTCTATGAAAGCCTTTCTCTGCTCATACTTTCTAACTTGTTTTGTGACACCACTATCACATAGACAACACAGCTTGTTATCCTTGACTTCACCCCCACCATTTGCCCCCTCACCCAACCAATTGCCAAACTTTGTATCTGATTAATTCTCTCATCTAGCCTTTTTCTCCAAAGTCATTTGCTACTTTCTGGGTTCAAGCTATTGTCATCTTTTCTGGACTTGTAGAAGAACTTCTCAATATGCCTCCCTACTCCTAGTATTATCCCACTCAAATATAGCATCTGCACATTTGCCAGAGAGATCTAGCCAAAATGCAAAACGAACCATGAGCCTGACTTGCTTAAAACTCTGTGATGGGGCTTTGTTCTCTTCTGGATGAAGCCCAAGATTGTGCCATGGTCACCCTGCACAGTCCAACTTACCTATGTCCCTTTGTACATGCCATTCCTGCTCCTGGCATATTCTCCTGTTCAGGAGAATGTACCAACCTTACCATTTAATGTCATTTACTGTACATTATGACTTACCTTGTGCATCACTTTGTCTAAGAAGTCTAACTGATCCCTTTCTCAGGTAGGCACATTCCTCTGAGCACTGATAGTACCCTAGATGTTTACCTTGATCTGCATGCTTTGCATGAGGTATTAAATTTAAACAGATTAATTATGGTGATAAATAAAATAAAGAGTTGAACCACCCTGCTAGTTTGAACTCCTTGAAGACAGGAAACCTCCTTTACCTTCTTATCTCCATAAACCTGCACAATGCTTGGTGGATGCTGGTGCCTGGTAGGCCCTCAAGAAATGACTGTTGAAGGACTGAAGAGCTTAAATATCTCCCCTATTAAACTATCAATTCTCTATCTCCATCCTTGGCACTCCCACTCAATTAGCAACATTGATGTCATCTCAAATCTTTTTCCTTACTGTCCATTGCAGCCAATTCATCCCAAGTCCCTAATTTCTTCTTTAATCAGAGAAGGTCTCTACAGAGACCTGAAAGACTAGTAGTTTAATGTACAGGCTCCAGAGTCACAGAGTCTTGATCAAATTCTGGCTTTGCCACTTCCTAAGTCTATGATCCTGAACAAATTATTTAAACTCCCCAGGATTCCTCCATGCATCTGTAAAATGGGGATGATCATAGTACCTACCTCACACGATCACTACCATTTACTGGTCACTAAGAAAAAGGAATGAGATAAAGGTAGGGGAGTATATCAGATGAATTGAGAATTATACTGCTCTTTTCCTGACTTCAGTTTTCTATATAACCTTAGTAACTCTGTGACATATAGTCTTTGAGGTATATGTTAGTTTATTAATTATTGTTTTCCAATGGAGCAATAATCTTGTGCCCATTCCTCCATGTGATCTGCAAGGCTTGTTCAGGCCAGAACCACTTATATTTTTCCAGAATGATTTTATGAGACTCTCAGTTATTCTACTACTTCTTACTATGTTTCATTCTTACCCTTAACATTACATGCCCTGTTTTTATATGAAGTATTAGATTCCTTTTCCAAAGTGTCATTTTGATCAGAATACCCCTTCTTTTAAAAAACTTTTAAAAAGCTTCTAGTTTTCCAACAAATTAAAGTAAAATGCTTCCTCCTAGGCCTCAAGGTTCTTATCAAATTGTTTTTCCCACAACACTGCTCTGACTTCCTGACCCTCTCAGTTATTGTGCACTTCATACGACATCCCTGATAGTTGCCTTAGAGCCACTATACATTTTTAGTCAGGATAACATTTTGGAAAAATATGAATGCCCTTATCTCCTTTGCATTTTTAGGTTCATGATCTTCTCTCTACCGAGGTTGAGGCATCCATCCAGCAAGAGAAAATAAAATTTTACCCTAAGAAATAATTGAGAAGGAACAAGGTAAAGTTGAACTTCTGACATCAAGATAGAAATTATTTTGCGGTCAAGGAAGGAAAATAGCTTGCGGTCAGGTTTTCGGAGCAGGAAAAAATTTTCAAACTTCTCCTAGTTTCTATCTATTTGTAGAAAGATCAAAACCCGGAAGACAACTGGAGTGGGTTCTATGACAGCTAGCCTGTGTGGTTTGTTGCCCTGGCTGGAAAGAATATACAACAGTGAAAGAGGGAAAAGCCTTTTTTTTTTTTTTTTTTTTTTGTAGCATTAGTGGCTCATGAAAAGTGAATGGCACATGGAGCTAAAGCAACCAGTTGAGTCTGTACAATTCTGACATGGGTTGGAAGAAAGATATCTGATAAATTGAGGGATACGCTGCCCTGGTTCCTGGCTTCTATTCTGTGAATAGCATCAACAACTCTGTCACACAGAGTTTTGAGGTTTTGTATTTTATGTCCTTTCAATTTCATTTTCTTCTTTCTTGTAAAGCTGTAAGATCCTCCAGGGCAAAATAAAAAACAAAAAACAAAAAAACAAACTTCCCCTACCCCATGGTTTGGCTTCTGAATTATCAGTACCAAAGAATGGGGAGTATATTTCCAATAACCATGGCAATCATCATTGAACTACTGGGTAGAGACTGCGAGATGAAAATACATCAATAAAACTTGAGAAAGAAAGATGTAAGATCCTTGTTTATGCCTTCAGGCTAACAAATGTTCATTGCCTTTCAAAGAATTGTGGCCATGATGGGTATGTGAGGAAAGTCCACATTTTAGTCACCCATAGGTTGGTTTAAATCTTTCTGCAAAGCAATTTCATAAGTTGCTTCTAAGAGCCCCAAGATCAACTGAGAATCAGACAGCTATTTATGCTAAGAAATGGTTATGTGGACTGTGGCCAGATAGACTTAGTAATAAATAACTGATGAAAAGGCAGAAGGGGTAAACATAATTTGAATAAATTGATTAATCTTTTATTATCAGAGTTTTGAACTATATGCCAGAAAGCATGCTTGTGCTAGGCTCCCAGAGATAAATGATGTTCTGTACCTTTACATAGTTAATATTTGTGGAACATCATTCTAAATATATAAATGAAAATTTATTAATTCCCACCACAACTTCAGGATATATGAACTATTATTGGTCCTTTCCAGATGTTCAAGGTTACACAGTTAGTAATCACTGCAGCTGGCATGTGAATCAAAGCAACCTGGCTCTGGAGTTTGTACTCTTTACTAAGTCTGTACTGTGGTCATTTGGATATGCACAGGGCTGGCACCAGAGACATCTGGGAAAATACCGGAAGAAAATTTAAAAGAATATTTGTCTATCTTGAGATGGGGAAGGTCTTTCTAAGCATGAACCAAACCCAGAAGCCATAAAATAAAAGACTGACATATTTGGCTATATGACAAACAAGAACCTTGATGTAGTCAAAGAAGCCACACGTGAAGTTAAAATGTAAATGACTACTTGGGGAAAAAGATTTGCCACCTACCCATAAAGAAGGTAATGATGCTTAAAGAAATCCTGTAAACCAATGGGGAAAAAAAAAACAAGCCAAAGAGGTAAGAAATAAATCAGGAGAAGGCAAATCACAGAAGACAAAACACAATGGCCACACACCCATACAAAAAGATGCTTAATAGCGCTAACAATATCACTAATAATCAGAGCAAATGAAAGCTTTGAAATACTTTCATCTTTTTAATTTGCAAACATTCAGAAGTTTGATAGCAGAATTACATTAGGATGTGAATACACGTTCTTGTTTGACTCGAGATAGGAAAGCCTCAATCGGATTCTCAGGAATTAAACAGTATGCAATGATTTGGAAATGCCAGTAATAATTATTGAAAGAGCCATATTAATTTTTCTCTATCTGTTGAAATTAATTGATTTTTTTCATTGATAAAACTCATAACAAACTAAATAAGAAAACTAAATCAAAACACAAAAATCTAACATACTTATAATGGTTATTCCATACTCTCCTGGGAAACTACAGCTTTTTACTAATCATGAGATACTTCCTCTCATGATTATGGATGCCTTCATGGAGACAACATTTGTAACCACAGGCTATTTTTTTTGCTTTATTTTTACACGTAAGACATTTGCTATTCCAAAGACCAAAATTAATCAGGAGTTTCTGAAAATCTGAAGTGTGACAAATATGTAGAATTAACACCTGTTCCTATTATTGTACATAACCAAATCTCTGGAGTTTTTTGAAGGCATATGCTAGGTACTTTAGATAGGGGCCTTAGAACAATTTTCTTAAGGAAGCAGAAAGAATCAGGGAAGAGAAAGTTAGGCACTTCAGAAAACTTTGAAAAGTGCTCCAAACAGATAAGTAATCACCATGTGATAAACACTGCATTTCACAGACCATCTCCTTAACAAGATTCACTTTCTGCTGACTCACTCAGATATATCAAGTGGTAGAACTTCAAAAATAAAAAATGAAGAGAATTAAGGCATGATCCCATTACCCTCCTGAGAGAACTGCTGACCTCACTGACATCAATATTCGAAAGACTTATGTAAATTTCTAAATTGAGTAGCTAGAATTCTTTTTTATTTTTCTCCTACAAGTATTTCACTGAGACCCTCTCTGGATAACTTCCATCTTCTATCATTTTCTGGATAAGAACCCTCAAGAAGGATGGAACAGAATACTCTGCTGGCTTTTATCCAGTTTGGCTCTCTGCAGAGCTTAAAAAAAGCCCTTTGGAAGGCACATTAACTCTTTCAGAGCACACAGATATCATGAGGCAATCAAAACAATGGAAAAAGTCTCCAGTGTAGAGCTGAAATGATGGTGAGGGGCCACAGATGGGTATTTAGCTCAGCTCTGCCCCTGAGTTGCTGAGTCACCATGAGAACTTGATTAACCACTCTAAGCCTCAAGTTTTTTCATCAGTAAGATAGAGGTCATACTCTATGTCCTTTGAGATCTCTTTATACCTGATATTCTGAAGTATATAATAAGATGGGGTTCAACAAAATATTCTAATACCCCAAAATACAAATTTTACAGCTAATTAGATGACACCTTTTAAATTGTGTTTTTATACAGCATCAGTAACTTCTATTAAGCTATTGAAACCACCAAATTTTATCCAAAGCATTTTCTCTGTTGAAATTTTATTTATTTATTTTATCCTTGACATTTTTTCTAATGATTTTGAGTTCAGTTTGAAATTCAACAATTTGGTATGTCAGAAAGATGATTTTGTGCCCCGCCCCCCACAAAAAAAAACCTAGCTTTTTATATGGGGCAAGATAAGGTTGGTTATGCTGCAGAAACAAATTAGTTCAATAAAGTCATAGCTTATTCAAAATCTGGGAATCCTTTAACTACAGGGCCAGTTTTTACCAATAGCGATTTAGTCATCCTGGCTGCTCCCATCCTGTGGCTGTTTGGTCTGAATTAGGTACTCCACAATTGCTGCAGCAAAGCAAGAGAAATCTACAATAATCATTCAATGGCTCCTAAATATCTGGGCCCGAAGTCACACACATCATTATGGTTACAGCTCATTGGCCAAAACTGGTCATACTGTGCTGCCCTACTGCAAAGGGCTAAGAAATGTGAGGCTAGGGCAGGCATAATAGATAGTCAGTGAGTCAATATACCTCTTCCCCACCTATACCTTTCTTTTATTTCTTTTTTTTAAAGCTACCATAACCTTAAGATGATGATCCATTAATCTATCCATTCATCCCTTGTCTCATATTTATTAAACACTATCTGCAAGGTGTTTAGTAGATTATTTAGGTAACATAAAGATGAATAGGACCCATTTTATTCACATTGACAAGAAAGGAAGAAATCTTCCATAAGCTGAACAAAGATTGTCTCATTTAATCTTTCCATTAATGCTAGTAAGGGCATTGATATTTTCTCCATCTTTATGGCTAAGAAAACTGAGACTCAAAAAAATTAAATGATTTTCTCAAGATGAGTGGTGAGTATGTGGCCAATCTGTAATTCCTACCCTAGTCTGCGTGAATCCTGCGGCTTTGTTTTTTTCCAACATAACCCTTGTCTGGTCAGTCTCCAGTTAGCTGACAAGAAAGACTGGCTTGACTTGCAGGTCAGATAAACAGACGGCTTTGTGTGTCTATGATACAGGCACACATGAAAATGGGAGCTAATAAATTGTAGTCATTAAGAGAGGGACCTCTGGAGTCAATGTCTAGAGTTTTAAGCTTACCAGCTTTATTTACTTGGATGAGTTACTTAACTTCTCTGTGTTTCAGTTTCTTTATCTATAAAATAGAGCATTGAGATAATTAAATGGAAAATTAATTCTATATGAAGTGCTTGGCACATAGTGGGTGCTCAAAAAAATGTCATCATCAGCGTCATTATCATCATCATTTTAATTATCATCATCTTTGGAATTCAAACTCTTGCCTAAGGGGCAAGGCAAAGGGTTTTCTGTTTATCCACAGGGCATTATTAATTTATTTCAGGTCTTTCAGTTTAAGTAAAAGGTCTCTATTGGTCTTTAAAACATTTTAAAAATAAATCAGAATCCATTTTCTATTGTCTTGTCTACTTTTCTTTATACTGGCTTTTATTCGTTTTTATATTACTTTCTAATGTACTCAAATCTTTATTCTTTTTAGTAGGTAAACAAGAAACAGCACAAAAAGACACATGGAAAGCTTGAATCGCAAGCAAGAACAGGGAGGGGTCTTTTTACTCCAGAAGCTTCACAAAGTCTCTGACTTCCTTAAAAGTTTCAGGGAAATACCCTCCTCCACCTCATCCTCACATACATCATGGAAATAAAATAGAACCTACCAGAAAGGAACACACTCCTCTGTCTACTCCATAACTTACAATGCCACCTGCATCTATTCCAGTATCCTCTGCCTACCCGTGTACCTCTAGATGAAATGTCTTCACTCCCATCAAAGGTCAGCACCTCCACTTGTACTCTAGGTCCCATCCCCTGTAGACTTTGCAGGGAATATACATCTGAAATTTTACACCTTTCTCTCTGCATTCTCAGTGTATTCCTATCTCCTGGATCATTTCTATCAGTATAGAAGCCTGTTGTAACATCACCTGTATTTGCTTTTAGGTGTCCACCCGAGAGTTACACATTTCGTTGGCAGTTTCCTTCGATTCCTCTAAGTGTTGGTTTTCCAAATGCTAGATGGTACAATCTCTAACTTCTGATCCCCCAGCCTTTTCAAAGGTTTTCAAAGCCTCTAATTCCCTGTATTAAATCCCTTTCTGCTTGAAATGTCTGGAATGATTTCTACTTTCCTGTCCAAACCCTGACTAACACATATGTCAAATTTTATGCTTTGTACCTTTCTTTCATCTCATCTTTCTTCTTGTAATGTTATGTCTGTTCCCTGATGTTTTAGATAACAGACTGCTTCCTTTTGTCATTACCATCACATTATCTTATTTTAATTTGGGATATTATTTACAATTCTATTTGTTTTCTTGTTTATTCAGTAGAATATAAGTGATCTTGTTCATCTGTGTATTCCCAGTGCTAGTACAGAGTTTGGTACTCAGCAGGCATCCAATAAATATTTGTGTAATAAATGAATTAAAACTTACCATCATGTAAGATTTTTTTCTCCATACCAAAGAATAACAGTGATTGAAATTTTAAGTTCCTCTGATGAATTTTCTGAGAAATCTATTAAGGATAAAAGGGTATTTTCAGTACTGTGAAAGGTACAAACTTGAATTGGAGTCCTGCCTTTGAGGAGCGAGTAAGGGAAATAAGAAATATGATGTATTAATATATATATATATCTATACTATAAAACAAAGTGGTACCGTTATGCACATATTAAAGCTATTAATGTTCAAAAAGAGTTATGCTACTTCCATTTGCAAAGATCAGTGAAGTTTTTCAGAAGGAGTTAATACTTGAATTGGGCCTTAAAGGATAATTAAGACTTAAGCTTACCGAATGTGTAGGAAGGGCATTCTAGAAATATAAGAAAGTGTTATCAATGGCTCAAAGTAAGGGTAAAACAAATTCAGTGTATAGGGAATTGGAAATAGTCTTGCTTGGTTGGAAATCAGGATGTGAAAAGCAAAGAAGCGAGAGATGGACTATATTCAGAAAATAAAAACATTGCACATAAATCCCCAAACAGAGGAATCCACTGGTTTTCACTCAAAAACTACTTACTCATATACACATGCAGATTTTAAAGTTATTTAACATGGGCGTTAAGTTTGCAGTTAGGAAGTAGCTCGTTTATGCTAACAGCCTGAGGCTCTAAGAATTCTGTTTATTACATTAGAAGCCACACCATGTTCTACATTCTAAATGCTCTGTTTCAGATTCTGTGTTGTGCATCTGCACTCACTCTCTGAATGTGAAGCAGGCTGATGCAAATGCATTTGTTCATAACGAGCTTTTAGTATCTCTCCTCCTCTCTGAAGATGAAATCAGTGTACATGCTGCTGCTTAAGTCATGTCAGTAATCTTCTGGGAGAAAGCAGAAGATGATTAAACCTACTCCAAATTTTCATAAGCCTGTTCAAAGGCATTCTCCTCTTGAACTTCTGTTTTACTCTAAAACAACCCAGCAATTGAATTTGAAACTGTCTCAGGGTAAAGTTAAAAGAAGATATAAATCTTCCTTGATGTTCTTTAACATCTAATAATAAAGTGATTGTTACTGTATTATAGCTTTATTAGTTTCCTAGACACTCTCTTACCACCAATAAGAATCCTTGAAAAGTGCATTTTCCTGTCTTGTCTTATTAAACAGATTGGCTTCGAAAGTTATATTACAGGGTTGCTCAGTTAATACAGTTTCCAAGCCAGCTATTACTGTTTGTTTAGTCAGGACAGGGTGATGTATTTCGTTTTCTGTAAGTTCTAATGTCACTGAATGAGAGTAATTATGTGCATATAAACACACTTCACAGAAAAAGATACACAGGTTATAAATCACTAAAAATCAAGTATTCACTTAAAAATGTTAAGTGCAATATCACTGGGAATGATAAAGCCTATAAAAGTACACAGGTTCTGCCCTTTCTCTAGTTCAGAAAACAGGGCAGCCAATTAGATATTCAAATTATGTATATTTTCTCCTTTAAAGATGCATATAGTCATATGTCCCTTTGGAGAAAGAAGAGAGGATCAAGACAAATTGGTTATTTGTGCATGTAATGCTGAGTTTCCTAAGTCCAGGGAAGAATTCCAGGGAGTCACCAATATCAAAGAACTGAAATTTCCTCCTTGAAAGCAATGCAATGTTATCTATGATCTCAAAATGACCTTTCAGAAACATTCCATTATCACCCTCCTTCTTATGGTTTTGTACAGATACACTATATCTTTGATCATCTCCACTGTTCAAAAATTCTGAGAATTTTTGATTCTCACAAGACCCCTGTAATATTAGACAAATTGAGCTCTGTGAAAGGGAATCTATTAAAGTCATTTATTACAGACAAGGACTGTTTCTAATAAGGTTTAAATCCTATCAGGAAGAAACCGACAAGAACCTCTGAAGTGGAGGTCACTGTTTGGGCCACTTTTAAAAAAATAATTTGAATTAGCTACTAGAAACTAATATTATACTCAACTGGCCCACTTATCTCATTAATGTCTGTCTGGTCCCTGCAGTGATTTCAGATTTCAATCCCTATAATAATACTTTCTCATTTTGTTATTGAAGAACTGGATTCTCAGAGAATTCAGATGTTCTATTTCAAGTCTCACAGCTGATAGACAGAAATGTATTGGGATGGGAAAAATTTAATATGCTTTATTTCATCATATTAATC
The DNA here is from genome assembly GCF_000001405.40 of Homo sapiens. NCBI lineage: Eukaryota > Metazoa > Chordata > Mammalia > Primates > Hominidae > Homo > Homo sapiens. Next base: position 117,272,224 of record NC_000008.11, on the reverse strand, counting down.
CCCAAATTCAGGTATGTCTCTACCATTTGACTCATATAACTGTGAGTTTGAATGTCTTTAAATTAGTAATAGTGTTGGAGTTACGGGGAAAAAGTGACTGCTTTCCAGTAATTGTCATTTGACATTTCTTCCTCCCAAAGAAAAGTACAAAAGTTAACTCTTTTCTTTTCTAATTTACCACAATTCAAATTTAAAAACTGAACATTAGAGAAGTTAGTTAGACATATATGAAATACCTAGACCATGGGGAATACACAGAAGGAGATAAGTGAGCACAGGAAGAGATAAATAACACAGAGTAAATAACTTCTTAATTCAATTATTTTGGCATTTAGGGAAACTGGGACAAGACTTGGCTTAAAAAGGGAAAGCAACATTTTTAAAATTTCTACCAACTGCCAGGCAGCGTGCATTAGTTATCTTATTCACACAACAATCTCTCAAGAAAAGCATTTTCTCATCATTCTTACAGAAAAGGAATCTGAGATTTCTGAGAGGTTACAAAACACTCCAAGTACATCTAACCAGCAAGTGGCCAGGTGGGAATTGCACTGAGGTATGATTCCAAAGTGCGTTTTATTTCTAGGACACAATTTGTTTCTTTTCTTAGACACAAACGGTGTGCAATTTAAAAGTGTAAATATGTTTGTGAAAGAAATATTTTAAATGATAAAGAAACAGAGGATAAGTCAAATTTTAAAGTGCCCTCAAGAAAATTTGTTCTATATTATCATGCAGTTAATCTAATTTTAGGCAATTCTTTTCTATGCATGAAAGCAAATTTCCTTAGGACTTTCATTAGGCACAATTTCTTTAATCTGAGTCACTTCTGTGTTGGAAAGTAACAAAAGAGCATTTTTTGGTGTGAATATCCCCTAATTCAAGCTCTTCTGGAACAAGGAGTTGGCTTTATTCAAGTCTATACAAATTTATGACTTATCTTCTCCCTGAAATAGTGAAATATTGAAGTGATAATATCCATATATGTATATGTATACATATGTTTAGTATGTATATGCATATGATATAGATGTATATATATTACGTATATAAATTTCCCAAAGCATCTCCAAGTCACTCACAAAAACAAGTAAATGTGACCAATTTCTTTATAGACAATACGTTTCTCTTCCAGGACTGCTGAAAATCTTTTCTTTGAAAGCCCTTTGACTGAGAGCTAAATCTCTCCAGACAGGCTGAGGAGGATTAGAGTATATTCCTTTGGGTAGCAGCCTAGCAGGGTCAAAGGGAGATAAAGGGATTTTCAAACACGGTTCTGATGAAGAAGGCAGCCAGAATGAATGGCTGAGGGATGTGTAACACCCAACCTAGGATACTTTCAACCCCGATCAAACCCTAGAGGGGCTGTTTCTGCAGGGAGCTCTTTGCTTTCTCAGAGCCGGCTGAAATAAATTCTGTACCCTTTCAGAATAGATTTGAATAGCGAATTACCCTGCTTGAAGATGGAAAGAGTAGGGAAGCTTTTCTTTTCCCATGAGGCAGCATCCCTATTTATAAACGGTAATGAAATTGACACAGGTGAACTGATTATGCTAAGTACACGGGGTACACAGAATCTATGAACACCATTTCCTTTGCCTGCTCTTTGGGGGTTTATACAGAAAGTTGTGAGGCTGGGGCTGAGGAGCTCAAGTCCCAATCAGTGAATAATTTAACCTTTAATAAGTTGCTGATCTCTTTGTACCTCAGCCTAAAATATGAAGTAATAGCTTTCTTAGTAAATTGTTTTGAGATTTCTTGTTGAAAGGATAAATGTGTAGTAATTATGAAGCCTTTTAAGCAACATTCCAACAAGGGATTTCAATCTAAACCTCAATTAACATGAACTGTTTATTTTTATCAAGTTGGAAATGAACCATTTTGAAATAATGAGGACTGAAGCATATACTGAGTGGTATTTTTCAATAAATATTGAGATGGAATAATCTAAAACAGAATATTTTACAAGAGAAACAGTATTTCATTCATTGGGCTTCTACTATAGGCTAGACACTAGAGTTGAAAGTAAGTAAGACACCAATCCTGATCTTAGAAAGCTCACAGTCTAGGAAGAGTGACTGAACTTTCATATTGTTTTCCATAATGGCTATACTAATTTAAATTCCACAAGGGTTTCCTTGTACACTACATTCTCACCAACACTTGTTATCTTTTGTCTTATTGATAATAACCATTCTAACAGATGTAAGATGATCTGTCATTGTGGTTTTAATTTGCATTTCCCTTGTAATTAGTGACGTCAAGCATTTTTCCATATATGTGTTGGCCATTTGTATGTTTTTTTGATAAATGTCAAATTCAAGACCCTAGAAATATTTATTTAGTTCAGGCTTTTCATGATTTAGAGAAGGAACATGATAACTGAGAAATCAAGGGACTTAACAAAAATTATGGAAAATCGTAACTCCTAATTTCAGTCATTTAAACCAAGTCCACTAGTCAAACCTATGAAAGACGTGTGTGTATATATATATATAAAATATATTTATATGTAATATATATACAGTACGCAGTGAAATAGAATATCAATATGTTATAGATCACAAATGTATAACAAATATAATGTAGAATTATAATATGTAGGCTGGGCACAGTGGCTCACACCTGTTATCCCAGCACTTTGGGAGGCCAAGGCGGGTGGATCACCTGAGGTCAGGAGTTCAAGACCAGCCTGGCCAACATGGTGAAACCCTGTCTCAACTAAAAATACAAAAAAAATTAGCTGGGTGTGTGGCAGGCACCCGTAATCCCAGCTACTTTGTGAGGCTGAGGCAGGAGAATCACTTGAACCTAGGAGGCAGAGGTTGCAGTGAACCAAGATGGTGCCATTGCACTCCAGCCTAGGCAACAAGAGTGAAACTCTGTCAAAAAAAAAAAAAGAATTATAATATGTAAAATTGTTTGTATATCTATATCAATTATATATAACCTATATTTTATATTAAATAATATAATGTATCTTATATATTATATATAATAATGCTTTTATATGTCTAATATACATGCTATTGTAGATTATATATAAAGGTTAAGATAAATACATATGCAAAAATTATTCCTTGGCAACCCAGAGAAAAAATTCATTATATAATACTCTGGATTCCTTACTTTTTATCCATTGGTTTGGCCTAAGATAAGGTATAGCTTCTTATTTAAATCATATACTTTGTTCCAATCCCACCATAAATGACAGCTCTTCCAGATAACTTTGCTCAATAACCCTCAAATCACTCCTGGCTGTTAATAGCTGATATGGTTTGGCTCTGTGTTTTCACCCAAATCTCATCCTGAATTGTAATCCCCATGTGTGGAGGGACAGACCTTGTGAGAGGTGATTAGATCATGGAGGCAGTTTTCCCTTGCTGTTTTCATGATAGATTTCTTATTAGAGCTGATGGTTTAAAAGTGTGGCACTTCCCCCACCCTCTCTCTCCTGCCTCTTTGTGAAGAGGCTGCTTGCTTCACCTTCACATTCCACCATGATTGTAAGTTTCCTGAGGCCTCCCCAGCCATGCAGAACTGTGAGTCAATTAAACTTCTTTCTTTTATAAATTACCCAGTCTCAGGTAGTTCTTTATAGCAGTGTGAAAACAGACTAATACAGTAGATTGGTACCAAGGTAGTGGGGCATTGCTATGAAGATACCTGAGAATGTGAAAGCAACTTTGGAACCGGGTAACCAGCAGAGATTGGAACAGTTTGGAAGTCTCAGAAGAAGACAGGAAGATGAGGGAAAGTTTGGAACTTCCTAGAGACTTACTGAATGGCTTTGACAAACATGCTGATGGTGATATGGACAATTAAGTCCAGGCTGAGATGGTCTCAGGTGGAAATAAGGAACTTGTTGGGAATAGGAGTAAAGGTGACTCTTGCTATGGTTTAGCAAAGAGACTGGTGGCATTTTGCCCCTGCCCTAGAGATCTGTGGAACTTTGAACTTGAGAGAGATTATTTAGGGTATCTGGCAGAAGAAATGTCTAGGCAGCAAAGTATTCAAGATGTGACCTGACTTTTTCTAAAAGCTTACAGTCCTATGAGTTCACAAAGAGATTTCTGAAAAGGAAACTTACGTTTAAAAGGGAAGCAACACACAAAGGTTTGGAAAATTTGCAGACTGATCATGTGGTAAAAAAGAAAACCCCATTTTGTGGGGAGAAATTCAAGCAGTCTGCAGGAATGTGCGTAAGTAAAGAGAAGCTAAATGTTAATAGCCAAGACAATAGAGAAAATGTCTCCAAGGCATTTCAGTGATCTTCATGGCCCATCACAGGCCCAGAGGCCTAGGAGGAAAAAATTGTTTCATGGGCTGGGCCCAGGGTCCCACTTCTTTGTGCAGTCTCAGGACATGGTGTCCTGTGACCCAGCTGCTCCAGCTGTAGCTGTGGCTAAAAGGGGCCAAGGTACAGCTCGGGCCATGGCTTCAGAGGGTGCAAGCTCCAAGCCTTGGTGGCTTCCACATTGTACGGGTCATATGGGTGTGCAGAAGACAAGAGCTGAGCTTTGGGAGCCTCTGCCTAGCATTCAGAGAATGTATGAAAATGCCTGGATGTCCAGGCAGAAGTCTGCTTTAGGGGAGGAACCCTCATGGAGAACCACTACTACGGCAAGGTAGAGGGGAAATATGGGTTTGGAGTCCCCATACAGAGTCCCCATTGGGATACTGCCTAGTGAAGCTGTGAGAAGAGGTCCACTGTCCTCCAGACCACAGAATGGTAGATCCACTAACAGCTTGCACCCTGTACCTAGAAAAGCCTCAAGCACTCAACACCAGCCCATGAAAGCAGCTGCTGGAGCTGAACCCCGCAGATACACAGCGTCAGAGCTTCTGAAGGCCTTGGGAGCCAACCCCTTGCATCACCATGCCCTGGATGTGAGATCTGGAGTCAAGGAAGGTTATTTTGGAGCTTTAAGACTTACTGAGTGCCTTGCCAGCTTTCAGAGTTGAATGAGGCCTGTGGTCCCTTTGTTTTGGCCAATTCCTCCCAATTGGAGTGGAAACATTTACCCAATGCCTGTACCCTCACTCTATCTTGGAAGTAACTAACTTGCTTCTGATTTTACAGGCTTATAGGAAGAAAAGACTTGCCTTGACCCAGGTGAGACTTTGGACATGGACTTTTGGATTGAATGTGCAATGAGTTAAGACTTTGGGGGACTGTTGGGAAGCTACAATTGTGTCTTGAAATGTGAGAAAGACATGAGATTTGTGAGAGGCCAGGGGCGGAATAATATGATTTGGCTCTGTGTCCCCACCCAAATCTCACCTTGAATTGTAATCCCCATAATCCCTATGTGTGGAGGGAGGGACCTGGTGGGAGGTGATTGGATTGTGGAGGCAGTTTCCCCCTTGCTATTCTTGTGATAAAATTCTTACAAGATCTGATGGTTTAAAAGTGTGGCACTTCCACTCCCCCTTTCCTTCTGCCTTGTGAGGAAGGTACTTGCTTCCCCTTAATTGTAAGTATGTATACCTTCTGCCATAATTGTAAATTTCCTGAGGCCTCCCCAGCCATGCAGAACTGTGAGTCAATTAAGCCTCTTTTCTTTATAAATTACTCAGTCTCAGAAAATTATTTATAGTAGTGTGAAAACAGATAATACAATAGCTTTCTTTTATCGTGCACCACCAGATAGTGAACTCCTAAAGGGCCTCTTATTTGAGAAGCAGACCCTCTGGTCATTGAGAACAGGACCTTAGAATCAGGCCATCACAAGCCAAGGCCCACTCTGCCATTTTCTAGTTATGGGATTAGAGTAATTGCTCTAATGTCTCTAAACTTGCTTATTTCCTCATGTAGAAAATGATGATAATAATTGTACCCATTGCATTGTCTTTTCGGGATTCAAGTGTATATAGGCACATGACACTCAGTAAGTGTAGGTCTTTAGCTCTTTTTTTGTGGGTATTCAACATTGAGTGCTCAATAAATGTGTGTTACGCCAAATCAAATCTTAGGTTTTCCTTCAAATTCTTTTATATTTCTTTTTCTTGTATTTTAGCTTGATTACTTAATTTTGTAACCCAGATACTGACACAGTGGTCATTGAAGGCTATTTTAAATTATTTATATTCACCTTTGGGTCCTCCAAGAAAACAAACAGCCAGCTACATCAAATTTTGCCCAACAGCATTCTCTCTTTGTCAACACAGAGCAAAAAAGGCAGCTATGGGAGTTTGTAAAAGCATTTTTTTTCTGGTGACTCATCAGCAAAGGAGAGAGAAGCAAACCTCAAACAGAAAAGTGAACAATCAAAATAAGTAAGAAACAAAATGTTGAGTTTCTGAGTGTTCCTTGGGGTAAAAAGACATCAAGTGAAGGAATGATGATGCCCTTGTCTGCAAGAATCAACCAAAATAGAAACTTTTCATGGAAATTTCCAGATAGTAACTGAAGAAAATGGTTATGAGAGGTTTTCACACAAATTAACTACCCAGCTGCCCCAACTCCTCTCTTGAATTTGCAATAGAGGCTTGCTTCCTTATCATCAGTTATTTTTCACCTCTCTGGATTATTATAAGGTTAACTTATTCAATTCACCTTTAAATACATTACAACTCTACCCCACCATCTCAGTGTCTTCATCTGAAAGGGTTACTGCATGATCAAATGAGCATGACTCACTAGCTATGCAAGGCATCCCAAATTCACCTCGCTACCCCATCACCTCTGACCTGAATTGCAAGAGCATCCTGTCTCTTTCTACTCTTGCCTTCTGTAGTTGATTTTCCACTCCATGGCCAGTGTAATATTTAAAATACATAGCTAAATGGTAAAGACAGTAAATTTCATGTGCATATTTTATCTCAATTTTTTAAAAGTGTGAAATAAAATAAAATGTACAAGTAGGCTTTCCATTATCTTTAGAATAAAATGCAAACTCCTTACCATGGTCTCCAAGGCCCAACACGTTTAAGTTTCTGATTTTCTGTTTGACCTCATCTTCTATTATTTTTTTCCTGACTTGTTTCAAGTCGTTTCTCAAATGCACCAAATTGGAACCAAGTAAGAGCTTTTGGTCTCCTTGTCCTCTCTGCTTGGAAGAATCTCTTTCCAGATTTTTGCATGACTCATGCGTTTGATAATTCAGGTGGCTGTTCAGAGAGGCTTTTCCTAAATGCCCTCATTAAATGCCCTTACCTAAAACTTATTTTGCCTTACTTGAATTTATTTTCTCATTATCACTTATGTTCTGGAATTAATGAGCTACATGTTGATATTTTCTGTGTCTCTGCACTTGCACATAAGCTTTGTGAAACTTTATCACCACAGCCTAAAGCAATGCATGGCATATGGTAGGTGCTCAATAGATAGTTTTTGAATGAATGAGGAATATAAAAAATATTTGTAAAGCTCTTAGTAGAGTGTTGGTCACATGTACACATGCAGAGAATTCATTATTGAAAAGTTATGCAATTTGAAATGTAATGTGAGATCAGAAAAAAATGTGTAATGAAATACTACTAGGGTAGGATGACCTCTGCTATCAGGCTAGGAAAAGTATCAAGATGCCAATAGGTAGAGAAGAGAGTCCATTGAAGATTTCTCCATTTATATTCATTCCTATATGAACTGATTCCACCGAGGTTATACAAAATTCTACCAGACATATGCCTTTATATTCGTAGATGTTGACCAGCCCTGGTGCATGTATTAAATTTAGTAACACAGTCTGCTTATGTACATCTAGGATGCAGCATGCAATTGAGTATAGCTTCTGCCCTGGAATTGACTGCAATGCTGCTATTAGGAAACCAGGTACTCAGACTGTCTTCAAGGCCAAAGAAAGTTTATTCCAGGCACCCAGACCTTCTTGTTTTATGTAGACACTTCAGAGATTTAACATTGAAGGCATTCTGGGACAATGCTCAAAGCCTCAGAAAATAGATTTCTATTGTCCAAGAAGAAATAGTACATTTTTTCCAGTTGTGAGCTTGTGAACTGTACTTCCTGTATTGCCATCATATTTTCAAGCTTGTGATCCCTGATATGCAGACAGAAGCTATTATTTTAATTTGCATTTCTGGAAGACAATGCTGACCTAGGTTTCCTTGTAGCCCATAGTCTGTGTGAAGAAGTGATTTTGGTGGCTGCTCCCTTAGCCCCTGTATATAATTAGTTATATCTCAGACTGAGACAGAGACAAAGAAAAGGCAGGAAAAAAAATTGGCCTGGCTTTCTGCTACCTCCAGAAACCAAATGTATTTGTTTCTTTGAAAAAAGTGTCTCCCAAGTCCTTGGCAGAGTGCTCAAAGTAGCTTTATGTAAGTGCTGAAAGTTGTCTTTAGTCCAAGGCCCAAGGACTGCAGTTCAGTGCTTGCAAGATCAAACACAGGTGCAGCAGAGATGCTGTGCAGTTCAGCAAGTCACCCTGGGGATAGAGCCAGGTGGAAGACTGTGGGGGAAAAGCTTTTCATATTTTAAAAGATATTAAAGTACCACTGCCTGGAGATGTGAAGTATTTAAGAGAACTCCTGAAAAGTTCCTTTTCACTATACCAAATGGTAGGAATAACATTCAAAACAAGCACCATTCTTTTTCATGCTGCTGATAAAGACATACCCAAGACTGGGCAATTTACAAAAGAAAGATTGTTAATTAGACTTACAGTTCCATGTGTCTGGGGAAGCCTCACAATCATGGCAGAAGGCAAGGAGGAGCAAGTCACATCTTACATGGATGGCAGCAGGCAAAGAGAGAATGAGGAAGGTGCAAAAGCGGAAACCCCTGATAAAACCATCAGATCTCATGAGGCTTATTCACCACCATGAGAACAATATGGGGGAAACCACCCCTATGATTCAATTATCTCCTACCAGTTCCCTCCCACAACACATGGGAATTATTGGAGTACAATTCAAGATGAGATTTGGGTGAGGACACAGCCAAGCCATATCACATTCCTTCAGAGAAGTTCTGTTTTTACCTCCATCACCTCCCCTAACTCTAAGGTAAAAATAAACCCAACTAAAAATTGAGATCCCACAACTTCATAAGGAGAGCTAGAAATTTTACTCCAGCCACATAATTGTTTTGGGTTTATGTTCTTTCATTCACCAAGTATTTATTAAGTGCCTGCTATGTGCCTGAATGTAGTGGGAAGCAAAACTTGAATTTCTCTCAGAGTTTACTACAGTCTTGTTTCAAAATAGAGTGCATGCCTTTGCTTTCTTATACTGGTTGTGGAGAATGATTTGAAGAGCTATACCAGGAATCCTCTCTTGGCATGTGAAATCTAGGCATTATGGAGCCTTGAGGAATGGCATTGTATTTCTGTTTCTCCCTGCTTCTACGATCACTTCTCTGGACCAGCCCCTTCCTAGGCTCTCACAGATGTTAAATCCAATGACCCACTTCAGGAACGTTTCCTCCTTGCTCCAGTCCACTTCCACAGCCCCAGACGTACTTCACAATATGGCAAAAAGAACATGGGTTTTGGCATTAGACAGAGCCAGTTTCCAATCTTAGCAGGTCTTCAGAGGCCACCACTTACGTGCTGTGTGACTTTAAATAATTTGGATTTGAGTCAATGCTCCTCTGCCTCCAGTGTATGAATTCTGGGTGCATGTGAATCTTATTCTCATCTGTATACTGAAATTACTTTTTCAAAGAAACATTTATTGAGTCCTAACTCTATGCAGGCCTTGAAAATATAAAGCTAAGTAAGACAAATTTGGCCTTGAGAGAGCCGGATGAAGTTCTAAGTGCCGATGTCATGACAGTCCTGTCCCGTGTGGTTAGTGGAATCAACACTGATAGGAAGTTACAATTTATAGTGTGATGTGCAGGAAAGAATCACTAATTCTTCCATTAGTTGAGATGGTAAGAGAGGCTGAGGTTGGGGAGAGGTGAGCACAGAATTGATTGTGTAGGAGTTTATTAGGTGGACAAAGTATAGAAGGACATTCAAGGCAGAAAGAACAACATGCTCCAAGATGTTGAAGGTTGAGCAGCCTAACATATTTGAAAAACAGCAAATATTTGAGATTGGATATAGTGTTTGCCTTCATTTCCTATGTTTCTCGGGATTTCACTCAGCCGCTGTGTTTATAATCACACACCTACAGGTTTGTTGTTGTTAATTTACTTATTTATTCAATAAATGTTTTTGAGTATCAGCTGTGGGTTAGGCAACATAGCAAATCTGATCCTATTGGTATAGTGAAATCTCATAATTGTAGTCATAAGAGGTGAATGAATAATAGTAGTTAAATATAGTTAAATAACTATTCCAAAGTTTTAAATAATGTTTCTGCTATGCAATTTTATTGTAGAGGTCACGATCATTCTAGCAAATTATAATGCACAATCATGCTAACACAATAAGCATATTTTGAAACAGATCTGTTCCTGTTTATGCATTGATCAAAGAGTGAACTTAACAGGGACCTTCTCTAGAGGATTTTACAAGAGATCAACAGATTACCAAGTATTAATTATCAAGCATTTTTATAAAAGATAGAATGCTCAAGAATAACAAAAATATCTTACTCTTACAAAGTCCCTTCCAAAGTGATTATTTCTAATCAGATCGTGGCATTTTTTCAAACAAGACACATCAAGGCCCTACACCAAATATGTCTGCTTTCCAGTCTCCCAACATGATGAGGAATCCCAGAAAACAGGGACATAAGAGATTGTTCTTAGCTTTTGCTTAACGGAAATAAACGGCTAAGGTGTAACCCTCTATTGTGTGCAGCTTTGAGACATTAAAGACTCCTCTGGTTGTGTCAGCCTGACACTGTGGAAGGGACAGCTAATGATAAGTTGTGTGTACTCTAGAGACATAGAAATGGCTGTCACCATGGCAATGGTTATCATGGTCAGACTTTGTTCTTATTTACAATGGTGAGCCACCCTTCCCATGGCTCCTCCTTTCTGTGCTGCCCACTTTAACCCCATATGCAAGATATATACACAGTTCCTGAGGCAAATATCAGCAGAACCAGATCGCTAGCTGGCTGTTTATGCCTTGAGAGAATCTGTATAAACAGCTCCTCTAGAGATGTATGTTTCTTTGTAGCCAGCTAATAATTTAGAGTAGAAGATCCCTGCCTTTTAGATCCCAAGGACTACAAGGGAAGTGAGTTGACCTGAGGAGTTATTTAACAAACATTGAGTAGAACTAGGATGTAGTCATGGGCCTCAGCTATGGCCCAGGGCCCAATGACCAATTCTGTCTCTGTAAGCTAAGTAGCCCCTGCTCACCTGTCTTGTACTCAATGTCATATGATAAGTTATAAGAAAGGGAGGCTGAAAAACAAGGCCCAGGTGACCCCACAAGACCAGCCACTCTGTTTAGCACATGAAGCCTTGGTACAGTCATTAAGGGCAATCCAAATATACTCATTTTCCACTTAATTTATTCATTTAATTATTCATCTTTTATTTCTCTTCAGTTACTGTATGTTAAGCAGTGTGTGAATTCCTGAGGATGCAATGATGACTTCTCTACGTTCAGACTTTAGTATGAAAGGAAGGTATATAAACAGGTCATCTGTAATACAAGAAGAATCAGTGCTATAATTTATTTCAACAAACATAAAATTGACATTTACTATGTGCCAAACATTATGCTAGACAACTGGATAAGCTCAGAGTTTAGTAGAAAATGTATTATAAAAGAAAGACATGTTATTATAGTAGAACATTAGAGATACACCAACAAAAGTATATGAAGTGTAAAATAGTCTCCATGAGTAAGTAGTATCTTTATTTAGAGATAATCAGAGAAAACCTGCGGAGAAGGCGACATTGCAGTCAATTTTAAGAGATGCTTAGAGATTCGCGACATGAACTGCTGGGAGAAGGCTGTTTCAGCATATGAAAGACACAGATTCAAGAAATGGTTGCATTTTTTGACTCCTCCAGTAAAAGTGGTGGGAAACAGCAGTACAAAATATCTAGGATGTTCTTCCTGTAGATGCAGGAGAAAAAGAGGGCCAAAAGATGGAGAGAGATAAAATTGTAATTGTATTTTAAAACAGTCTCTATAGTGGAAGGTTGGAAATTGAACTGCAGAGAATGTCCCTTCTCCTTGGCCACAGAAATCCTTCCAAAGGCCAAAAGTGAGCACTTAATACAATTGAAAACAATATGAATCCTTTCTAGGATGATTTTTTTCTGAAACCAAGGAAGACATCCCTTTCTTCTTGTGTTGTTAAGTTAGGTTGACATAGCTGGTTCTACAATGTCTTCTGCTATATGGAGCAAGCCTGTCTACTGTAAAACTGAGTAAAACAGTAATACTAGAGCATGGTAGGGGTGTCAGAAAGAGAGAGAGTGAGGAGAAGAAACACACAGAGAGAGAGATAACTGAAGTAGTTCTTGTTGTTCTAGTATCTGGATCCTGTTGAGTGTGAAGCCAGCCCCATCTCCGTCCATGATGTCCTTCCTGTTTAAATCATTTGAGTTGTGTCTGTCACTTGCAGCTAAGGGCTTTGACTCACACAGAAAGGCTGGGCTCAACTGATAAGTAGAAATCTAGCAGCCAGCTAAGAATATAAAAGCATTCTAGGCAGAGGGGCCAGCATTTCTAAAAGACCAGTACATGTGACTTTATATGGTGAGATCTCAGTGCTGTGAATGGGAGAGGAAGAGGCAGGTGCTAAGGTTGGAGAATTGAGCAGGGACCAGGACATCAGTGACTTTGTGGATCATACCAAGATCTGGGACTTAACCCTATAGTTCAACATTTAGCAAACTGCTTTGGCAAAAGACTCATTTTTCTTTTTAACTTTCATTCTTTCACAGGCCAATCTTTTTGTAAAACACATTAAAATGAATAATTAAAAAAATAATGACATAGTACCCAAATCTTTAATTATGAGATTAAACTACATAAAACCACTCTTCCAAGTAACTATACTTATTCTTCATTTCTGTACTTATCTTGTTGCTGAATGAAAATGAACAATTGCAGTCCAACGCCAGCCCATAGACCACACTTTAGGTGACACTGATGGAGATGACATAGAGCCATCGAAATGCTTTCAGTGAAACATTCCAATGTTTCCTTTAAATTTTAGCTTCTTACAATGAATATACCTGAAGCATACAGATTAACAAATATGTCTTTAATGATGTATCACAAGCTCTGCTCTGAATTCTATCCTGTCTAAAATTTTCTCAGGGTCTTAAATGAGCACACAGAAGGCATGCTGATAAAAAGTTGATGACATAAGTTGTTAGGTCTAACTAAAATTTGGAATGACAGCATTAGGATTTTATCTTTTTAACTGTTAGTGCAGCCCTAGAATGTAATGAGGTGGCTTGTGAGATGCCAACTTTCTTCTTGACACTGGCAGTTGAAATAGAGACTCAGAGGAGCAGAGAGAGAGAGTGAGTGTGGGAGTGGGGGCGGGCATGTACGCACGTGCACAGGCACATTTGCTAGAGGTGAAAAATGGAGTACCCACTGGGGGTCTTTTCTCAGTTCTTTTCATGAGTCTGACTGGTAAGCCACTTAGTCAAGAACAAGGGGAGAAAAAGAAGGATGCCCTGCCCTGCAATTGTCCCGGGTACATTACCTAGGTATCTGTAATTATTATCTCAGGACTGGAAAGCACAGGCAGTGGTCTGTGCCTCCATTACCTCGTTATGTGAAATAGACCCTTCACTATTTCAGAACCAGTGCTTCATAATGACCTTTCTGCAGTGCATTTCCACTAAAATTACAGTTTATTTTGTGGTATATATTCTATGTTAAAAAGTACATCCTGAAGGGCAAATAAATACCCATAAGCCCCAGAGGTTGAATAGAAAATCTTCTTGGAGTGAATTTTAAAAAGATATATTCAAAACTCCACACACAAAAGGAAGGACTCTCCACATGGGGTTATCAAATACCATCTCTCTTATACAGAACAAATCATTAAAAGAAAATGATCTCTCTGCCTGTCTCCTCCTACTCCTGAAGTCTGACTGATTTCCTCAGCCACAAGCTGTCAGATATATTTTTGGAGTCATCTTTGAGGATGATCTTGATTGAGTTAATCAATCAATTTCCCACAGTGCTGATATTTCAACTTCCCACTAAAGGCTTTAGCAGGAAGGCACATAATTAAACTCCCTGCACACTAATAAACTACACTATTGCACTAGTGCAATACAATCTATTTCTCAAAAATTGTCTGTTAGTTGAATGTCTGGAAAGATTTTCAGATCATTTTTGGCAAAGGTTCAAAATATTATCATCATCATCATCATCACAATCTACTTTGATTGTTTACTGAGAGTCAGACAATATGCTAAATATCTGAATGTGTTAGCTATATTATCTGATTTAATTCTAACAGAAACTCAGTTAAGAATTTTTTTCTCATCAACTCATTTCTAGAGATATGAAAACTCATACGTAGATTAGGTAACTTGCTCAACATGAAAAACTTAAAATCTAAATAGAAACTCATTGTAAATTATAAAACTTCCAAACCATTGTGAAGGAAGAATAAATGAATAAAGAGAACATTCTAATAGAAGATAGAAAACAAGGAGAAAAAAGTGTAGAAACAGTTTAACATGTGATAAGAGAATGCATCCACATTGATCAGTAACAAGTATAAATATATGTAGAGAACTAGTATCCTTTTTATGAAAACATCAATATAATCCCAAAGTATTGAAATATACTTAAGATAATGGCCTCTAGTTCCATCCATGTTGCTGCAAATGAGATGATTTCATTCTTTCTTGTGCCTGTGTAGTATTTCATGGTGCATATGTGCTGCATTTTCTTGATCTAATCCACCATTGATGGGCACCTAGGTTGATTCCATATCTTTGCTGTTATGAATAGTGCTGCAATGAACATACAACTGCATGTGTCTTTTTGGTAGAATAGTTTCTTTATTATTGTTATTTTGTAATTGTACTTTAAGTTCTGGGATACATGTGCAAAACATGCAGGTTTGTTACATAAGTATACATGTGCCATGGTGGTTTGCTGCACCCATCAACCCATCATCTACATTAGGTATTTCTCCTCATGCTATCCCTCCCCTAGCCCCCCACACCGCAACAGGCCCCAATGTGTGATGTTCCCCTTTCTCTGTCCGTGTCTTCTCATTGTTCAACTCCCACTTATGAGCGAGAACATGCAGTGTTTGGTTTTCTGTTCCTGTGTTAGTTTGCTGAGAATGACGGTTTCCACCTTCATCCATGTCCCTGCAAAGGACATGAACTCATCCTTTTTTATGGCTGCATAGTATTCCATGGTGTATATGTGCCACATTTTCTTTATCCAGTCTATCATTGATGAGCATTTGGGTTGGTTCCAAGTCTTTGCTATTGTGAATAGTGCTGCAATAAACATACATATGCACGTGTCTTTATAGTAGAATGATTTATAATCCTTTGGGTATATACCCAGCAATGGGATTGCTGAGTCAAATGGTATTTCCAGTTCTAGATCCTTGAGGAATAGCCGCACTGTCTTCCACAATGGTTGAACTAATTTACACTCCCACCAACAGTGTAAAAGCGTTCCTATTTCTCCACATCCTCTCCAGCATCTATTGTTTCCTGACTTTTTAATGATCACCATTCTAATTGGCATGAGATGGTATCTCACTGTGGTATTGATTTGCATTTCTCTAATGACCAGTGATGAGCTTTTTTTCGTTTGTTGGCCGCATAAATGTCTTCTTTTGAGAAGCGTCTATTCATAACCTTTGCCCACTTTTTGATGGGGTTGTTTGTTTTTTTCTCGTAAACTTGTTTAAGTTCCTTGTAGATTCTGGATATTAGCCCTTCGTCAGATGGATAGATTGCAAAAATTTTCTCCTGTTCTCTAGGTTTCCTGTTCACTCTGATGATAGTTTCTTTTGCTGTGCAGATGCTCTTTAGTTTAATTAGCAAAAAGAACAAAGCTGGAGGCATCATGCTACCTGACTTCAAACTATACTACAAGGCTACAGTAACCAAAACAGCACAGTACTGGTACCAAAACAGATATATAGGCCCATGGAATGGAACAGAGGCCGCAGAAATAATGCCACACATCTACAACCATCTGATCTTTGACAAACCTGACAAAAACAAGCAATGGGGGAAGGATTCCCTATTTAATAAATGGTGTTGGGAAAACTGGCTAGCCATATGCAGAAAACTGAAACTGGACCCCTTCCTTACACCTTATACAAAAATTAACTCAAGATGGATTAAAGGCTTAAACGTAAGACCTAAAACCATAAAAACCCTGGAAGAAAACCTAGGCAATACCATTCAGGACTTAGGCATGGGCAAGGACTTCATGACTAAAATACCAAAAGCAATGTCAACACAAGCTAAAATTGACAAATGAGATCTAATAGTTTTTTTTCTTTTGGATATATACCCAGTAATAGGGTTGTTGAATTAAATGATGCTTCTGTTTTGAATTCTTTGAGAAATTTATAAACTGCTTTCCACAGTGGCTGAACTAATTGACATCCCCACTGATGGTGTATACGCCCTCCCTTTTCTGCACAGCCTTGCCAGCATCTATTGTTTTTTGACTCTTTAATAATGCCATTTTGACAGGTGTGAGATGTTATCGAGTTGTGATTTTGCATTTCTGTGATGAGTAATGATGTGATGCATTTGTCATATGTTTCTTGGCCACTTGCATGTCTTCTTTTCAGAAGTGTCTGTTCATGTCCTTTGCCCATTTTTTAATGGGGTTATTTGGTTTTTGCTTGTTGCTTTAAGTTCCTTATAGATTCTGGATATTAGAGCTCATTGGGTGCATAGTTTGTGAATATTTTCTCCCATTCTGTAGGTCATCTGTGTACTCTGTTGATAGTTTCTTTTGCTGTGCAGAAGCTCTTTTGTTTGACTAGGTCCACTTGTCAATTTTTGGTTTTGTTGCAATTATTTTTGAGGAATTAGTCATAAATTCTTTCCCAAGGCTCTTGGTGTTTCCTAGTTAGTCTTCTAGGATTCTTAGAGTTTGAGGTCTTACAAATAAAGCTTTAATCCATCTTGAGTTAACTTTTACATATGGTAAAATGTAGGGGTCCAATTTCATTCTTCTGCATATGGCTCACCAACTATTCCAGCACAATTTATTGAATAGGGAAACCTTTCCCCATTGCCTATTTTTGTCAACTTTGTTAAAGATAGATGGCTGTAGGTGTGAAGTTTTATTTCTGGGTTATCTGTTCTGTTCCATTGGTCTATGTGTCTGTTTTTGTACCCAGTACCATGATGGTTGGTTACTGTAGCCTTATAGTATAGTTTGAAGTCAGATAATGCCATGACTCCAGGTTTGTTCTTTTTGCTTAGGATTTCTTTGACTATTTGGGCTCCTTTTGGTGCCATAAGAATTTTAGAATAGATTTGTTTTAGTTCTGTGAAAAATGATGTTGGTAGTTTGATAGGAATAGCATTGAATTTGTAGATTTATTTAGACAGTATGGTCATTTTAACAATATTAATTTTTCCAACCCATGAGCATGGAATGTTTTTTCATTTGTTTGTGTCATTTATGATTTATTTTATCAGTGTTTTGTAGTTCTCCTTGTAGAGATCTTTTACCTCCGTCATTAGATGTATTCCTAGGTACTTTTTGTGGCTATTTTAAATGAGATTTCTTTCTTGATTTGACTCTCAGCTTGAACATTATTGATATATAGAAATGCCACTGGTTTTTGTACATTGATTTTGTATTCTAAAACTTTACTGAAGTCATTTATAAGTTCCAGGAGCCTTTTGGTGGAGTCTTCAGGGTTTTTAGCTGTAAAATCATATTGTCTGTGAAGAGAAATAGTTTGACTTATTCTTTTTCTGTTTGGATGCCTTTTATTTCTTTGTCTTGCCTGATTGCTCTGGCTAGCATGTCTAATACTATGTTGAATAGGAGTGGTGAGAGTGGACATCGTTGTCTTGTTCCAGTTCTCAAGGGGAATGCTTCCAGTTTTTGTCAATTGAGTATGATGTTAACTATGGGTTTGTCCTAGATGTCTCTTATTATTTTGAGGTATGTTCTTTTGATCCTAGTTTCTTGGGGGTTTTTATCATGAATAGATGGCAGATTTTATTGAAAGCTTTTTCTGCATCTTTGGAAATGATCCTATGATTTTTGTTTTCAATTCTGTTTATATGATGAATCACATTTATTGATTAGCATACGTTGAGCTAACCTTGCTTCTTAGGAATGAAGCCTACTTGATCATAGTGATTTAACTTTTTGATGTGCTGTTGAATTCAGTTGGGAAGTATTTTGTTGAGGATTTTTGCTTCCATGTTCATCAGTGATATTGGCCTGTAGTTTTCTTTATTCATTATGTATTTGCAAGGTTTTGCTATCAGGGTAATGCTGGCTTCATAGAATGGTTAGGGGAGGAGTCGCTCCTCCTCAATTTTTGGAATAGTTTCAGTAGAATTGGTACCAGCCCTTCTATGTACATCTGGTAGAATTTGGCTGTGAATCCATGTGGTCTAGGGCTTTTATTCATTGATATGTTTTTTATTGCTGATTCAATTTCAGAACTCAATATTGGTCTTTTCAGTGTTTCAATTTATTCCTGATTCAGTCCTGGAATATGGTGTGTTTCCAGGAATTTATCCATTTCCTCTTGATTTTTAGTTTGTTTGCTTAGAGGTGTTCCTAACTGTCTCTGAGGAACTTTTGTATTTCTGTGGGATCGATTATAAATGCCACCTTTGTGGTTTCTGATTGTGCTTATTTGGATCTTCTCTCTTTTTCTTTGCTAATGCTAGTGGTCCTTCAATCTTGTTTATCCTTTCAAGTAATCAACTTTTAGTTTTATTGATCCTTTATATAGATTTTGGGGCCTCAATTTTATTCAGTTCTTCTCAGATTTTTGTTACTTTCTTCTGCTACCTTTGGGGTTAGTTGGTTCTTATTTTTCTAGTTCCTCTAGGTATGATGTTAGATTGTTAATTTGAGATCTTTCTAACTTTTTGAGATAGGCATTTAGCACTATAAACTTTCCTCTTAAAAAAACAGTGGCTTTTGCTACATCCCAGAAATTTTGATATATTGTGTGTCTGTTTTAATTTATTTCAAATTTTTTTATATTTGCTTTGATTTTATTGTTTACCCAATAGTCATTCAGGACAAAATTGTTTAATTTCCATGTATGTGTGGTTTTGAGAGATCTTTTTGGTATTGATTTTTAGTTTTAATCCATTGTGGTCCAAGAGTAAATATGGTTGGTATGATTTCAATTTTTTTTTTAATTATTAAGACTTGTTTTATGGCTGAGCATGTGGTTGATTTGGAGTATGTTCCATGTGAAAAGGAGAGAAATGTATATTCTGTGATTGATGGGTGGAGTATTCTGTAGACATCTGTTATGTGTAATTGGTCAAGCAATCAGATTTATTTTTATAAGACAGAGACAGAAAGACTTTTCAGACAGAAAGGGAGAGGTGAGGGTGACCACAGAGGCAGAGATTAGAGTGATATGACCACAAATCAACAGCTGCCTGTAGCCACCAGAAGCTGGAAGAGTCAAGAAGCTAATTTTCGTCTAGAGAGGAGGGAGCATGACCCTGCCAATGCTTGGATTTCATACTTCTTCATTTCTGTTGTTTTAAGCCACCAAGTTTGTGGTAATTTGTTACAGTACCACAAGAAACTAATATAACTCTCATCCATTCTAAAGTATAGTAAAATTTTGATTTCTAAATTGGACAAGGGCAGTATGAGAAAAGAGAAAATTAGGCAAAACTTCATATGTGAATGACTATAATGCAAAAATCCCAAAGAAATACCATGTTACTAGATTCAACCATATGTTTGTGTGTGTATGTGTATAAAATATATATGTACATACAAGCACTCTTTATAGATTTTCATTCTTTCCTTTTTTCTAATACATCCATTTGGAAAATTATTTTTAATGTTTTCAGTATATATGTGTATATATGTATAAATATACATTAAAAACTTAAGAGTTGCACAAAAAGTGAACATAGAAACATGAAAGGCATAAAATTATTAAGATAATAGTTAAATTTTTCAAAAATGAAACATATCAGTTTTTAGATAGAAGGAATCATCAAGTACCTAACTCAGTGACTAAAACAGGCTCACACTAAGCTACATCATAGAGAAATTTCAGAACACTGGGGACAAAGAAACCATCCTGTAGATTTCCGGAAGAAAATAAAAGATCATCAAAAGAAATGCTGGCAACTCAAAGGCAACAGATAAGCACCTTCAAAAATCTAAAGGGAAATTATTTTCATCTTCATATTTGATACTGAGCCAGACTATTAAACATCAGGATAGAATAAAAACATTTTTGACATATTAAATGTCAGTAAATTTATTTTCCATGTAACCTTTTCCTAAAAACTACTTGAGAATGTACTTCACAAAAGCTACCAAGAAAATCTGGGGGAAAGCATACAACAGATACAGTAAACAGAAGATCACGCATGAAATAGACATGAAGAGAACCCCTGGGACGATCATTTAGGGAGATGCCAGGATAGCAGCTATACGTAGAAGGCACCTGTCCAGAAAGCAGCAAGTCAGAAGGCTCCAAGATAAACTCACTTAGAAAAATAAAATAATAGAATCTCTGAAGGATCTAATTATCTTAGGATGAGATTTAAACACCTGGCAAAGTTTGAGGTTGAATTCTAACAAGTATATACAAAATTAAGCAAACAAAGCCTAAGAAATTATTAGTTGTAAGTAAAACAAAAAGTTGTTCAGGAAACAGAATTTTTATAGGTGGATGGACTGTGAATGGCCTTTACATAGTCATAATATACAAACATTGAATATTATTGTTAACCAAAAGGATTATAATGAAAGAATGGGAGGATTTGTAAGATTTACGAAGGTTTGTAACTCTACAGAGAGGTAAAATCTTACCTTCCATAGTGGTAGTTCAATTGATAATGTCTAAAACTAGACATGTAATAAATAGTAATTCAAGTATATTATTTCAAAACATAGGGCTATATACCAAAAAAAAACAAGTAAAGGATTAAAATTTTGTCTCTGAGGAAGGATGAGGTTAGGAAAGATGTGAGGGGTAGGAAAGCAACTGTAGCTTTAAAAAAAAACTTGTAGAAATATTTGACTCTTCAAACTATATGCATATATAACTTTGTTAACAAATTAAAACTAAATTATCAACTCAATGAACACTTTAAAAAATCTGATAGAATTCAACACCATAAATGTTTGCTCATGGCAAACATTCCAAATAATAGCTAAACCACAAAAGCTTGCCATTTACAGTCAGGAATGAGGAGTGAACAGTGTCCCAACTACTTTAGGGTGCAACTTGGCAATACCCAGTAAAGCTGAAGTTATGCTTCCACGACTTTCCATAACAGAGGAATTATTTAGTAGGTACACAAGAAGACATGTAAAAGAATGTTCACTTCAAGGTCAAGAGATTGAGACCATCCTGGCCAACATGGTGAAACCCCATCTCTACTAAAAATCCAAAAATTAGTTGGGCGTGGTACCACGTGCCTGTAGTCCCAGCTACTCGGGAAGCTGAGGCAGGAGAATTGCTTGAACCCAGGAGTTGGAGGTTGCAGTGAGCAAAGATCACGCCATTGCACTTCAGCCTGGCAACAGAGTGAGACTTCCTCTCAAAAAAAAAAAAAAAAAGAAAGAAAGTATTTTCACGTCAATGGTGCTGGATTAGTGCAAAAAGGACAACAGTGGTGAAATAAATAAACTACATTTTATTTAGCAACCATCTTCTTGGTCTTACCTTATTTTCCTAGTCTTATTTTCCCTTTGCTTCATCTTCTGAGTGTATCTTAAGTAAACTTCGTTTTGCTACTTTACAAACAAACAAATGGGAAAGTATGTGTGCTAATATTTATGTTCTTAACCAAAATATTTGTGTGATGCTTTATTTTTTAGGTTTCCAACCTCTGCTTAATTGACACGCACTCACACACATATATGTACACACATACACACACATTTATTGAGTCTAAACAGCACATGTGCCAGAAATATAATATTAGATCAGTTTTCAAACTGTGTCCTACAAATTATAAAATATAATTTTCCCTATTCAAAAAAATCTTTATAATTTATCACTGTCAATTTCTGGCAAGTTCTACTTCCACTAGTCTTAAAGAGTTTGCAGAAGTTCACACAAGAAATGTCTTAGTTCATTGATCAAAATCTGCTTACGTTTATGACATATAGCATGTGCTGTCCTTTGGAGATACAATATTAAGACAGTGACTATCCTCAAGAAGCTTGTATTCTAGTGGAGACAACAGGCAAGCAAATAGGCAATTAAAGTAATGTGCCCCATCATAGATGACCTAACCCAGGCTAGAGGATAGCTTGAAGACATCTGTAGTGGGCTAAATTTTGTTCCCCCACAAAACATGTTCAAGTTCTAACCCCTACTACTTGTGAATTTGACCTAATTTGGAAATTAGGTCTTTGCAAATGTAATAAACTAGTAGGAGGTCATATTGGCATGGGATAGGCCCTAGCACCAGTGACTAGTGTTCCTATAAGAAGAGAGAGACACACAGACACACAGCAAAGGTCATGTGAAAACAGAAGCAGAGACTAGAGTGAAATGAAGACATGCCAAAGATTGCTGGCAACCACCAGAAACGGAAGAGGCAAGAAAGAGCTTTCAGATGGACCATGGCCCTGAAGACACCTTGATTTTGGACTTCTAGCTTCCAAACTGAGAAATCATAAATTTCAGTTGTTTTAAGCTACCCCATTTGTGGTAATTTGTTACAGAAGCCCTAGAAATTGCAGATAGTATTGTATGAAAGATGACTTGAAATCTGAGATCAGAAGGGCCCATAGGTGTTGTGCAGAAGACAGTGGGGAAAATATTCCAGAGAAAATGGCATAGAACAGAGGCTTGGAGGTGTGACAGAGCTCCAGGCCATTGGGAGAACACATCCATTACTACTACTGGAGTTTAGGGCAGATCTGGCAAGAGTTGAGTTTAGAGAAGTAAGTCTAGGACTAATTATGGATGGTCTGTGTGGATACCATCCTTTGGGCTCCAGAGGGCCACTGAAGTCTTAAGCAGGGGCCTGAATTAACTGATTTGTGTTTCCAAGGAGGTCACTGCAATAATACAAGTGATGTACCATGATGACTCAAATTAGTCATCATAGAAATAGAAACGGATGAATGTGAAAGATGCTAAGGAATCCATCTACACCAGTGGTTTTCAAAGTGTGGTCTCTGAATCAACAGGATCACTTGAGAATTTGTTGGAAATTTAAATTCTCAGACCCTATCCCAGAAACCCTGAAGCTGAGGCCAAGCAATTTGTGTTTTAACAAGCCCACAAAGTAATTTTGATGCATGCTAAAATTTGAAAGCCACCAAGCTATGGAAATTGGTGATTGGATGTGCAGATTGAAGGAGAGAAAGAGAAATAAGGATAATGTCCAATTTCTGGCTTGAGCAACTGGGCAGTAAAGAGAAAAATAAAAATCCAGATAAACAATGTGCAAGTGCTTTGTAAATTGGGTTCTACTCACAGTCCATAGATACCTCGGCAGGGACCAGTTTAGTCTTGAGCAATCTCTGAACAGCAGAGTCTACCTTCAAAGCTCATGAAAATGTTAGAGGTTTTACACTGTCCTCCAAATTTGACTTTCCTCATTCTAACTTCTGTTGAAAATCAATTTTTGCTTTATCAACAAATAGCGTTGCAGCCAGAGTCCTTTACAATTCCATTTCACATGAAGGTTCTGAATTTGCTGCTGAGATAACACATGGGAAGGAGTTTAAAGAGGAGAGAGACCGCATTAGTGAAAAGGATGCAATCTCCATGAAATTAATCTTTCTTCTTTCAACAATCTGTTTTGGGCCTTTAAATGTGTCTCATAAATATTTTCTAGCCCAACATTTTTAGGGTCCCAAAAATGAGAACTCTATGAATAAATTATTTGTTTTAGTGACTAGCTTAGGTTTAGATAACAAAGCCTGGTGCAATAGTGCACCTTTGAAGAGGTACTGCGTTACCACATACCTGAACGACTGCAAAAACCTCCCGAGATCTGGGTTCCCTTCACTTCATCAATGTAGCCCATCAATGTCAGATTATCTTCTTGAAGTGTCTAGAATAAAATTTTCATTAAGTTTCTTACCTTTTTATGCATACAACATTGAAATGAGAGAGAACTGTCATATGTCTTGATAGGTAGGGATTATCCGTTGACGAAGACTCAGTGGGAAAAATTAAAAAGTGAATTTCATTCTTAGTAATTTGCTGTCTTTTTTGCTTCCTTGAAAAATCTGTTGGAAAAACCTAAAGAAAGATTGGATAGAAAAGTGGTTTGGGGTTTGTAAATTCATATGCAAGTGTAAGGTGGGGATAGTGTCCCTGAAAGACATTTCTTCCTCGGGTGAATTGGTCAAGCACATTGCAAAAGCATTAAGACAATGCTTAGGCTGGAGTGCTGAGTGAAAGGGGCTGCTGCCTGTAGGACTAGAGATTGGGACCACGCAAGGTCCCAGGGCACAGAGTGCAGTCATTCCTTTGGGGATGATCAAGAAGCATCATACTGGTGACCATCAAAGGACAGTAAATATAGCTCTAATTCAGACACCATTGGGTGTTCGCCAGCCCAGCAAATGCCAGGTGCTGTCTCGGCTTCCCTGTGGCTTCCATCTGCTGATGATGGCAGTGTTCACTTGAGAAGGTGTGCAGGTGATCTGCACACCCAGATCTCATAACCATGGTCCCTTCAGATCCAACCCTCTTGTCTTAGACCATTTTAAATGGGCTAATCCACACAGAGTTACAGAGCTTGCTCTAATCCTCCCTCATCTCTGTTCCCTCTCTTATCTTCTTTCTATTCTGATGAATCATTTTTCTTCCCCCAGCCAAGTGGGTAAAAAGGTCAGGATCTTACACAAAATGTTTTTTCCTAAACTTTTATCTACTCCTTTACTCCGTTTTCTTCTCTTAGAGGCCCAGGTTTTTGAAATCTAAAAGGCAGAAAAGATTCATTTTCCTCTCTGTTATCACTTTTTATTTTGGGGCCTAGGCAAGCAATTAGCTCAGGCTACCATAGTTTCTTCAATGAGAGGAAGGGAAAGCTGGAAGAAAACAATCTCCACAAAAATCATAGCTAAGATTAAGCTGAACCATAAGAAACTCCAGTATTCAACCCTTTTTACCTACAAAATAGCAATTTCAAATTGTTCAACTAATTTTTTAAACCTTTTTCCCCTACATAAAAGGTTATCAAAAGGCTTTACTGTAGCACAAATTACTGCTTTAAAAAAAGCATAACCAAACATGGTGCAAGCAAAGAATTAAGAAACTTTTAGTCTGAAAGTGGGTTAACTAAGGTAGAATTAGTCAAAGATAATTTACCAGAAGAAATGAGCTGTATTAGTCTTAAGGCAGGGATATGAGCTACCAGGGACACTCAGAGCACATTAGGTGCTGGAATGGCTTTAGTGGTGATGAATTGCTTGAAAGGCAAATTGATTGAGTGAGAAATGGGACTTCGCATTAATCATCAAAAGATGCACCCAGGTAACTGACAAAGGGAGTCTCACAGTTGCTCTGGGTTTGTGATTCTAATGTGTAAATCTGTCTTCTTTAAGTAAGCCTCATGGTGTAGTGGAAAGAACACTAGACCAAGAATTAAAAGACCTGATTTTTCATCCTAATCCTAACACAACAGGCTGGAGAAGCTCGAAAGACTCACTAGGCTTTGTCAGGCTGTATTGCAATATCTACTGACAAAAAAATGAAGGATAATCACACCTTTCCTGCCTCCCTCACAGAACTATTGTCAGGATCAAATAAAATCATGTAAAGAAGGTGTAAAAAATGCAAGTAATTCCTTTATTTATAGTAACTGCTCTTGAAGTCTCATTTAGGCACTGTGTGGCTTCATGTGTATTATTGATATCAAATTCAGAAAAGATGAAAATAAACTCCTCTTCAGATGCCCAAGAAATGTCAATAACATTTCAAATATGAATGATAAACGCACCATTAGCACAATCTCAAATTATTGCCCCAGGCTCTGGCTTGATAAATACTCTCTCTGGTTAGAAAAAAACATGATTTTTCTTACATCTTTAATCTCCTTCATCTTCTCTTCCTCCTTCTCCTCTTTCATCCTGTTTTTCTTTCTCCTTTCCTTCTTCTCTCTCCTCTTTCTTCTCCCTCCTTCTCCATCTCAATTTGCTAAGCATTTCCTAAAGCCAGAGTCTAGCATGTCTTTTATATAATTATTCACCTTTAATTATGTGTTATTCTTTTTTCTATGCTCTTTCTGTTCCCTGATCAAGCCAATTGTGCTAAATATTTACTTCAAAATGTAAATTTGCATAATATAC
Organism: Homo sapiens; assembly: GCF_000001405.40. Taxonomy (NCBI): domain Eukaryota; kingdom Metazoa; phylum Chordata; class Mammalia; order Primates; family Hominidae; genus Homo; species Homo sapiens. The sequence goes on along the minus strand of NC_000008.11, from coordinate 117,245,912 downwards.
ACTTTTGTAAGTAATATATTTAATTGGAAGGAAACAGCCTGTGTTTAGAAAATCAACCTATCTTTTCCCCACACTAGAACCCCACATACACCCTGTGGGTTTCTCCAGTCAGTGGAATTTTGGGGATCCATCATGGATTCAGGCCATTCCTGTCAACCTGACTTTCCACACCCTCGGGGGAGCTTGGCTTGGCTGGCTTGGTCCCTGCCCTGTCCTCCACAGCTGTTCCACAAGCACTTTGAGTGCTCCTGCTGCTGTAAGGTTATCTCAGGAAGCCCTGGATACAATCCCTCCATGTTATTTCTCTTCCCATCTTACTTAACCTCTCATATTAGCGACAATAACAGTCACTAGGATGTCAGAGGCCCATCTGTGAGGGGCTAATTGATTTCCCTCCATCACTCTCAATTTATTTTCTTTTTCCTCACCTCCAGAAGCACTCCCGGAACCAAAGGCCAGGGCAACAGCTCATGTTGGCAAAATCCTGCTTTTATTATTCCTTCCCTGGCAACAATTATTTATCCAGCTTGTGAAGTGACTGAGGACATCACACCGACCATCTGTTTCCCTCTGTCTGAATGCGTTAATGTAGTTAGACTCCATTTCCAGGAACAGCTCACTGATGCTGCCTGCGTTTTCTCCATTTGCCTTTGCCAGCTTTGGCTGCGTCTTCACTGGGGTTGGCATTTTCACTTCACACTTGTTCATTTGATTAGCAGCTTCCTCTTGCGAATTAACTGTTTAGCTTCCACAGAGTGAGCTCTTGGTTAGCTTTCCCTTCATGCCTGAAAGGGTTCCTTTCATTTCATCTATGCTGACACCATCTCTTTTCTTCAGGACCAAGTTCTCTTGGCTCCATCTCCAAGGTACTTCTCAGCCCTCCTCCCATTCTCCTGCAGTGACCTCCTGGTTATGACTGTCATCTTTTCTTGCCTGGAAGACTGGAACACCCATTCTCCTTGTAGGCAACTCTGACCTCCTGCAAACCACAAAGGCCAAGAGATTTTCCTGAAACACAATGGCACTGCCCTGCTTGAATCTCCCAGGAATTTTCCACTGGTCTTGGCTAATGCCCATCCTCTTTGGTCTTGACACACAATGTCTTATAATCTCCCCTCTGCTTTTCTCTCTAGCAGCATATTGTGTTATGTCCTCATGCTTGTTTCCTTCTCTTGCAAAGCCCTGATGATACTCCTGAATTAGGTGTGGAGGGGAGGGATTTTGCCCCTTGGATTACAATTGGCATGTCTGGAGACACCTCTGGTTGTCACAACTGGGGGAGGGAGAAACTACTGACACTGAGCGACCAGGGATGCTGTTAAACATCCTACAATGTAGAGGACAGCTGCACACAGCAAAGAATTATCCAGCCCCAAATGTTGATAATATTGAGGCTGAAAAACCCTACTCTAGCCAGACTAACTTACTTGGAGTTCTCTGGATGCACTATACCCTGTTGTGCCTCCATACCTGGGATCAATGATCTTTCTTCTCCAACATATCTCTCTTTGCCATAATTTGCCTGTTACTAACTGCCCTCGAAGGCCCAGCCCAAGGATCCCCACATTTTGATTGCCTGACCATGGATGATGTCTGATCCCTCTTCTGAGTTTCCGGTCACCCAAAAACATGAGCCATATACATTTATAGGGCATCTACTAAGTACCAGTACTGTGTTCAGTTCTAATACTAAAATCATGAGCAAAACTAACACGGGCACTGCATTTATAAAATCTACAGTCCAGAGGTGGAAATAGAAAGTCAGTAAATAGTCACCCCAATAAATGTGCTGCCCAACACTCTCTGCACACCTCCTCTCCATACCAGAGGACTCACACCTTTATTTTATTCTTGAGTTTTGTTCAAGGGTCTCCTGTAGGGCAGGCATTGGCAAACTTTTTTTTTTGATCCGGTGTTCTCATTTCTTAAAAACTCTTGAGCATGTGACCAGAATCTAAGTTCCTCAGCGCTGTACACCAGGCCACTCCCAATGGCCCGCCCTCCTTTCATCTCCTTCCCTTCCTCTGCACCCTCTGTCCTGCTATGCTCCCGGCCACACCACATGGTGTAAACTGCCTTCCTTCACCCCCTCATTCTTTTGGTAAGTTTCCCTTTTTCCTTTTTTTTTTTTTTTTTTTGCTCTTGAGACGGAGTCTTGCTCTGTCACCAGGCTGGAGTGCTGTGGCGCGCTCTCAGTTCACGGCAACCTCCGCCTCCTGGGTTCAAGCGATTTTCCTGCCTCAGCCTCTGGAGTATCTGGGACTACAGGCATGCACCACCACACCTGGCTAACTTTTTGTATTTTAGTAGAGATGGGGTTTCACCATGTTGGCCAGGATGTTCTCGATCTCCTGACCTCGTGATCCACCCGCCTCAGCCTCCCAAAGTGCTGGGACTACAGGCATGAGCCACCGCGCCCAGCCAAGTTTCCCTTTTTCCATCAATACCTATATCATATGTCACTGCCACTTTACAGGTTTTCAAAACACAGCATTATCTTCTTTATTTATGGGCACCCATTGCACATGGTTACATATTCATATGTTAACACTCAGTTTAAAAAATGGTGAAAATCATAGTTCTGGAGTCTGACAGAGATGAACTTAATTTTTCTAAGCTGCAATTTCTTTATCTGAGCAATAATAAAATAATAGTCCCTACCTCATGTTTCTAAAAATATTAAATAAAGTAATCCAACACAGTATTAAGGAGTCAATAAATGTTAATGGTTATTACTCTCTCTAACCATATCATAGGACACGTAACTGATAAGAAATACAGTTCTTATCCTCAAGGAGAAAGCAGTTAGTCCAGGGAAATGAACTGCTTTCTCCTTGAGAATAAGAACTGTATTTTATTCATCATTGTTGCTCAGAGACAAGAAACACCTGAACAGTAGATGCTTGGTGAATGTTTGAGTAAAGAAAGGATGCAGGCCCAGTTACAGTGATCTTTCCTGTAGCAACTTAATACCTAACATTAATTGAGTACTTACCAGGTACAGATGTGGGGTAAACACTTTCACAGGTTGTCTTAATCCTCATCACAACGCCCTCTGATATTGGTACCGTTATTATCAGTCTCCATCTTACAGATGAGAAAACTGAGGTACAGAGGGATAGAGCCTGACTAAGGTTATACAGTTAAGGGGCAGAGTTCAAATTTAAATGCATGGTGTCTGATTCCAAATCATTCGATCTAGAACATTAGACAATTAGATTAAATCAATATTTATTCCAAGAATTCATTGATATGCAGTGCAATGGATACACAAATAAGCTTTTTGTTTAGAGATAGATGATACAAAAACACTTTTCTACAGACATCAAAATTAGTTCAGGTGGAGGAATTCTCAGCAAGAAATAGTAAGCAGGGTGTTGGCTTGTGGGATGGGTGGGTGGGAGGCATTTATCTCCTCACTCAAACCAGGTGCTTTTCAACCAAGGCAACGACACATATGTCTTCTCTTTTTCCCCCAAGATCTTCTATAGTAAACAGTGTGAGAAATATGTAAATAGGAGAGAAAAGAATTAGAGTGATAAATACATCACATCAGGAAAATTGACAGAAAAATGGTTCATTGACAGAGGAATGACAAAACACCTCGGTGGACTTCCTAAACAGGGATGTCATTGTCATCTACCCACACAGGCCACCTAAATGTCAGGTTTTTACTGGGAGAAGGAGAAGGGAAGAATTAATGAAGTAAATATGAGAAGCAGTCTCTGCAACATCTCAGTCACAGGTGGTTTCTCTAACAGGAGTTTGCAGCACATAACTCGGCTGTAAAGAGGATCCAGGCAGTTCTTAAGCTACCTGGGCTCCCGGTACCTATTTAAATTATTAATTTTAGCCAAATGAGAATCTTCCCCGCAGGAAAGTCGGGTGAGCTACTAAGTTTCACAATTTGCTCTTAGAGAAAACTGTAATTAATTCTCCAAAAAGTCACTGGGATGTAAAACTTGCAATATAGGGAGCAAATGTTATTAAAGCTTCAAGCTTTTCCCATTTATTCATGATGCTGCTACCCCATTCTATTACGCAGTTCTTGGGTCCAGGCCATGGGCTTAGGTTATAGGTGGCACAGTTATAATGAGGTCCTACAGGCTAGCCTGATGGCTGAATCTCCCAGCTTGGAGAGGAAAAAGACCTCAAGTATGTCCTTAAACCCATCTAAACGTTGCAGAAGAGGTGAGACACAGTGGTATATATGCCTGTTTACATGCTCCTATTAACTCCCTTTGTTCTCTGCTCTTCTGACTGAAGAGCCCATAAGCCACAGAGACCCCAGAAAATCAAATACAGTTGAAATCATGAGCTCAAAGAAAGGGGAAGTTATAGGGAGGGGCAGAGAAGAAAGATAACCATTTGGATTATGAATTTGAGAAAAACATTGCCTCAATGGCCTCAATGTAATTGATTTGCGGGGATATGGAATATATTGAAGAGGAAACAAAAGGGAACCACTTGATTTGCAAATAATCAAAGAGGAAAAATAAGTAAATTATCTGTGGAAGCTATTTGATTAAAAATATGCCCTTTAACTACATATTATTTCACTTTTTGCAATGCAGCAGAGGTATTTCCCCAAAGATACATTGGTGTACTATTCACATGAAGAAGAAAGACATGCTGGGCAGACAAAGGAAGCATATGTCCTTTGCACAGATTATATATGGAATCATCTCTATCATTCAATTTATGGCATTCAACAAGAAAGAAAAACCAAACTGGATCCTGTGTATGCATACAAATCTTTAAATAATTAAAATGAAATAAAATATTCTTAACATGGGAACTAAATGACCACAATTTTGTATTCCACATCCTCTCACACCTACAGAAATTTCCTAAATATTTGTCAAAATGATGGATAAATTTATTAAATTATTAGAGATGTGGCTTATAGTTTCATAAAACCAAGGGTTCTTTATACACATTACATCATACTTATTACATATCTAATTTTACTGGCAAAACACCAATAATTATATGTTATACATGTAGTATACATTCCATATGATATAGATTATTTATATGATATAGATTACATCAATATCTGCTTATATATCATATAATTATGTCTATTATATATATTATATATAATATATCAAATTTAAAAGTATACATTGCAAATCACCAATAATAGAGATTTCTGGTGAATAGAATTTTCTAGCTGACAGAATTTTTGGTAAAAGAATCTAGTTTTGTCATTGGTCAATAAAAGATATGATGGAGAAATAATTACCCTGAATGACCAGGGAGTCTGGGAAACTAAATTTAACTTCAAGACTCATTGATTTATTCCTGTTATATCCGAGAAATTAACTCCTTTGGTATTTGTAACTTTACTTTCCACTGGAAGCAGCACATTTTAACTCTGAACCCAATTATCCTTAGTAGTTCAGCCTTTGCTTTGTCTTCAAAGCCCATCTAGACAAATGCTTTCTCTGGAATACATTTCTTTCCTTGTAAGAATGAATAAAATGAATCTGCAATCAGAAAGACAGCCAGGGTGTGATTAGTCAGGGTGCACTGGATAAACAGTGTTTATACTTCCCCACATTTTGACAAAATTCACAATACTGCAAATTGTAAAATTCACTTTGAATTTTTCAGGGGAAATTAAAATTAAGTACTGAGCACCATGACTTTACTGCCCTCCTCGCCAGACGTGCAGCATGCAGATGGCACTCATTCATCTGGTCGTAAATCACGGTGGGTCTTGTAAAGCCCTTGGCTGGGGCTTAGGGTCCTCTTCCTGGTGCCACCTGTGGTCCTGGTTCCCTGTATCTATTCGAGCAGGGCCCTGCTGTGGCCTTCAGACCTGCTATGAGACAATGGCACTGCCACAAGCATTAGCATGGCACTTCCATTTCTGAACAGAATGCCCCCAGAACAAGGCAGGGGCTGAGGAAACTCACTGGGCACAATGAATAAACTAGAACCAGACACGGAATTGAGCAGGTTTATCTGTCAGAAAGGAGGCAGGAGTGGGAGAAAGGAAAGACAAGGGAGGCAAAAGAAGCTTGCAAGGGAAGCAAGGGGAGGAAAAGGCGGAAAGATTTTTTAAAGTGGAGGGAGAAGGAGGAGAGAGAAAGTCTCATCCTAAACGGCGAAGGGGAAGAGGTCAAGACTGAGGCTGAGACAGAGAGTGACACTGCTGGAGAGGGAGACCTGAGGAGCAACACTGAGAGATAAGACAGCTTAAAGCTGTCTTGCACTGCAGGCAGTGATACAACCAGGAACCGGCAAGTGAGGGACTAGTGAAAACAACAGTAAAGCAAAAATGCACCACAGGATTACCAAAAATAAAGCTAAAACAGATTGTATGTGTATTTCAGTGTAGAGAAATGTAAGAGCACAAATGAGGAGTGAGAAGGTCTCTAGTCTTCATTGTGCCATTAATAATAAAAACTCTCATGGCAACATTTATTAGGGATTGCTGTTTTCCAGGCATGGTGCTAAGGGTTTCCCAAGTACCCTCTTGTTTGATCCTTACAGCAACTCTATGCAGCAGATCATACTATCTTTCCTCTTTGGAAGAGGAAGACACTGGAAAATACTCAGCAAGGTCAGACTTGGCCCAAGGTCACCCAGCTGTGTGATGAGGGGAAGGGGGCTGGGAAGGGTAGTAAGGAGAAAGCTGGAACAGGTGTCAGGTGTCACAACCAGTTGGCAGCTTCAACCTCACATATCAGGATCTGGCTTAAGAATTTTGTGTGACAAAAGAGTTTATCAGCTAGATACATCCACATTACTAACCAGATACCTCCTGAAATTCTTTCCTGTTCTTGAACTCAACTCAACGCATAAAGTTCTTTCCTTGAAACTAACCAATGAATGATGCTGAGATTGTAGGTGGCCCAGGATTCTTTCTCTAAGGTCTTTCCTTTTTAAAACAACTGTTTACAGCAGGGGAAGAGGGTGACACACACACATACACACACACCCCAGAACACACAATTATAACTAATTTTCCTATTTATTTTATTCATGAAGATGAGGAGAAAGACTACAGCTTTGTTCCAGAAATATAAGTGGTCAAATTGGCACATGGGCTGTGATGGTTAGCAACCAGCATTTACAAGCCTTTTACCTGAGAAAAGAAAGAATCTCTGGGTGTGAATGAGGGAGTCCTTGTGGCTGTGAAACTTGAGATATCACACTTATGCCCTGCAGCTTGGTCATTCCCACTCATTTCTAAATATTGTAAACAACTTCCTTACTGCAGCAAAGACATCTCACCTGTTGCCAGAAGTCAAAGCCAATACAACCATGGTGCCCACAGCAGGCACTGAGCCATCAATAATACCATGTCTCTGTAATAAACTCTCAATGGAAGTGCAACCCAAGGCCAGTCCTGTCTACTGGGGGGTCTTTTCCTTTTCTTATGAAAGTGGATGGGGCTTTTTTGTAAGCAGAAATTGAGTAAAGGCTGTGAAGGAAGACCAGGGGAGAGAGCTGTCCCCAAATGTTTCTAGGCTACCTCAAAGCTGATACTTGTGTCTCTCAATCCCCTACACAACTCACACAGACACACACACACACACACACACAACTCAGTTACAGAAAAAGTTAGAGAATAAAGTATTTCTTTACTGTAGGTTTTCTTGAAAAAGGAACACAATAAATCACAGCAAAGCATACTAAAATTTCTTGTACCCATCTTGCTGAAGTCTTCATGAGGCCTACTTACAAATCTCCTCTCCTAGATTCTCTTGTCTGGGTCACTTGGTGCCACATCATCTCTCAACCATTCCCTTTATTCAGTTCTCTTGCCTCTCTCACGTCCTACTTCCTTCCCCAAGCTCTAGCACTTGCGGCCAGGTAGCTGACCTGCAGCTGTTTCCAGCACACAGGACATCCAGTCCATCCAGGTCTGATTGCTCACTTCTCTCTGAGGGCATCTCCCTAGAATACAAACCTCTTTATAGAAAGAAGGGAAGAAAATAAAAAACTGTTATGAACAAGATGTGGAATCCTGGGAGAGTTAAGAAGTGAAAGGCACAAGAAGGCTTAGACCCAAATGATGTGCAGATTAATGGGGTGTTTTAATGAGTGGCTTATTAGGAAATTGTAGATAAACCAAAGCAAAGACAGGAGAAGGGCCCAGTTAGGACATTTTAAATATAGAATGAAGAAAAAAGAGCTAGTCAAATTAATGCCATTTTCTTCATTGTTTAACATGAAATGGATTAAATGAAATGACTAAAATATTACATAATGGAAAATATCAACTGCAAGTAATATTCACAATAGCAAATGGAGAAATTATGTTTTAGTTCAGATGCCATAAGCAGAATTGAATATGATGGCCCCACAATTTGCTGCATTTGGAGAGATGTGTAAGAAACTAATGGAAGAATCTTAATGACACAGACAGGCATTGGACTTTGCAGTGGAGGAGGGGATTGCATCTCACTTAAGTACTTCCTCCTCCTTCTCTCCCTCCCATTCCTGCTAAATGGAAATCAGACACATGTGTCAAGGGGACTCGGTCACTTTGTCTGCATATTAACTGTTATATTAAGATTTGCTGCAAAAAGACAGTCCATTAAAGTTTTGCCTCTGAAGAGGGAAAGGAGTGGAAATAAATTATCAGCTGAAGGACATTTTGGGAAGTGTTCTTTTGAGCATTCATTATTACTATTTAAGACTAATTGAAATCAATTGTTCCAGTGCCTCAACTCTGCCCAGTTTTGTTTTGCCCTTGGGAAAGCTTTATCTCTTCCCACATCTGAGTCAACAAACAGGGTTCAGATTTGTTAGCTCTGTTACAAAAATACAAGAGGCCTCAATGATGTATTAATAATTCAGCTTTCAAAACCGACTGTGTTTTCACTGGAATGCAGAATTGGGGTCTATGCTTTCTCATGAGAAGTCAGAGCAGGAGGGATTCTGGGAAGATGGTGTGACACTCACTGAGGGATGGCTTGGTCAGCTTAAGGGCATGTGAAGCTGAGGGGCAATTCCCTGAGGCAGTGTCAAAATGGTTCAACCAAATCATCTTCAGGGAGACATTATTTATGGTATACCTCCCATGACTCTTTCAGGAAACTACAGCCCAGTATCATCAGGCCTTCCTGACTTTGCACTTGGTGTACCCTCTGCCTGGTATTCCCTTTTCTAGTCTGAAGTACAGGTGGATTATGTGATTCTTGAGCACTGGGAAAAGTCCTGCACTTAAAATGTAAATGACATGAGTCTGCTGTGGTGCCTGAAATCCCCACACCAGTCATTTCAAAGGTTATAAATTTGAAGGAAGGTCTTAAATATTTCCAATTTTTTGTAGTTAATTGAGCTGAATCACATTATCGTATTAATCATAAAAGAGACCAAGGTGCAAAAGAATGGGACATTGGATAGATCAGTTTTGTTGGGAAATTAAATGAAGAAGAAGAGAGGACACATGCTTCCAGTAGAGTGGGTTGGTGGAAAGAGAATTGAACCAAGAATCAGAGGTCTGGGGTTTGAATCTTTGTTTCTTACAAACTACAGTCTTTGGATGAGTCATTGGGAATTTTAGAATCTTGGTTTTCTTATTGTAAAACTAGGTTAATAGCATCTCTTCCTTAGTAACCTCACAGGGCTATTGCAATTACAGCAAAAGGTGATCAGAGAAGGTCCAGGTTCTGTGAAGCCTGAAACTAATAGAATTTGGGGGACCCTCTTTAAGGAAAAAGATCACAAAATTATAAAAAAAAAAGATAGAAATTTAGAATATGAAAAGAAATCATAATACATTATGAAAAAACCTGTATCCACCTTCAAAAAACAACAACAACAACAAACTAAAACAACAACAACCAAAAATTACTCCCAGCTCAAATTTATCATAGCCACTTGCCAAAAATACCTGTGGTCACACCAAAGCCAGCAGCCAGGGGGAGCAACATGATAGAGAGGAAGTTGAAGTAAAGAAAGTTGTCTTAACAAACGACAGTTAAAATGCCTACTTTGCAAATTTTATAAAAAAATGCAGACTATATGAATACATTGCAAGCAGTGTTTTCCATTGAAAGGCGCTAGTACCATTGAAAAGCCCAGAAGCTAAAGTTTTGTTAATGATACGGTGTTGCTGTATCCACATCCAAATCTCATTTTGAATTTTAGCTCCAATAATTCCCACTTGTCATCCTGGGAGGAACCCAGTGGGAGGTAACTGAATCATTGGGTGGGGGGTCTTTCTCATGGTAGTGAATAAGTCATATAAGACCTGATGGTTTTACAAATAGGAGCTCCCCTACACACGCTCTCTCTCTTACCTGCCACCATGTAAGACGTGACTTTGCTCCTCCTTTGGCTTCTGCCATGATTGTGAGGCCTTCCTAGCCATGTGGAACTGAGTGTCTATTAAACCTCTTTTTCTTTATAAATTACCCAGTCTTGGGTATATCTTTATTAGCAGCATGAGAACAGACTAATACAGTTAGCTTTATGGTAAACAACTTTCTGAGATGATGTTTGTTAAAGGTTGTCATGAGTTGTGAACTATAGTACTGTATAAATGAAAGGTATTGTTTCCATGTTTCCCATTTCCAGAGCTGTCACCTGATACAAAGTATGTTAAAAAGGCTACCCTTCTAATATCACTGCAGTAAGGTTGGTGTAAGTTGGAGTTTAGATTATTTGTATCACAGCTACAACCCATATTTCTCAATGAAAAGTTCATATTTACTTAAATTTCCTGTCTCAGAATATATATACCCAATTCCATGTAGAAAGCAAGATTTCAATTTATAAGTCATTAGTTCAGTCTATAGAACACTTAAAATACATACCTCTATTAGTAGCACTGCATTGTCTCTTGATTTATAACAAAATACCCTGAGATGTAGAGTGGTGTCTTAAAACAATAATAATCATGTATTTTCTCATGTATTCTCATGCTATGTGTGGGTCAGATATTTGGAAGTTGTTCAGCTGAGTGCTTCTGGCTTCGGGTCTCATGTGTTTGTAGTCGGATGTTGGCTGGGGCTGCAGTCATCTGTAGGCTTAACAAAGGCTAGAGGATTTACTTCCATGGGGCTCACTGGCATAGCTGACAAGTTGGTCCTGGCTGTTAGCTTGGAGCCTCAGTTCTACCCCATGTAGGGGCCTCTCTTGGGCTACTTAAGTGTCCCCATAGCATGGTGGCCAGCTTCCCCCAGAGCAAGCAACCAGAGAGAGAGAAAACATCCTTGCCATTTATGACCCAACATAGGAAGTCATCAATGTCGTTTTCCTTGGATTCTCTTGGAACAGGAGTTACAAAGTCAGTCTAGATGCAAGTGGAAGAAATATAAACCTTACCTCTCAAAGGAGGTTTGTCAGCATTTACATGATAAGAAGAGCACACAGAATGAAATATGTACTGGCACAAACATCTTTGGCAAAAAAAAAAAAAACAAAAAACAATTTGCCACAACCTCCCTCACAGAAGCCTGGGAGATGGTTAAGGCAAATATTTTAGTCTTTCTTCATCAAGAGGGAGCACTTTAAAATGTGTTATCAAAAAGCAGCCCAATAGGTCTGGGTTCAAATCCTCTCTTAATATTTTATTTTCTGAGTCACGCAGGGAAAAGTTACTTAACCTCCCAGGGTTTTTGTTGCCTTGTCTGTAAACTCAAATATGATAGAATTCTCATGAGGCTTAAATGAGGTAAAATCTAAAGGGATCAGCCCAGGGACTGGCACGAAGTAAATGCCAATACACAGTAGGTACATTTTGGAGACACATAAACAGAAGCTGAAACATTAAATAATTGCTCATTAAATAATTTCTCAAGGTTGCAAACAAGAAAAAATAAAATTATTGAAGCAAAATCTTTTAACCTAAAATACATAAAAATCTTTTAATCTGCAGTCTAAGATCTCTTAACCAAAAGTCTTCATGGTAACAGGTGAGTGAATATTGCACTCACATGATGAGTAAATGACTGTGTATGTTCATATAGGGTTGGTTCTTATGATTTGATTTGAAATAGACTCTTCTTATAGTCTAACTTTAAATACCAACTGAAAAGCTAAAAGCCTCCAAGTTCCAGGTGCCCATTACTTAGTTTTGGATAATAAATGTGATCCACATTATTGATTATGCAAGTACTGAACTTATGAATTACTTTTTAATTATTCAAGTTGATAGGACATACAATACTTATAATTAATAGGAGCCTGGAGTTGGGAGCAAATTTCCATTTTTTCCTTTAGTTAACAGTCTTGGTATAAACAATAATACAGCTAAGTTTGGCACATAGGAAAATGTGATCATATTTTAAAATTGAGCATGTTAACCAACCATGTTCTCTTTTTGAATATTAAGGGTGATTAAGGGGCTTTGTTTATCTCAAATTATTTGGGACATATTTGCTGAGAGTTTGAGGGAAAGGGTGAGTAGAAAGTGTTTAATGCATTTAGAATATGTATAAGGTTTCTGTAATTCATCAGCTCCACTTTTTCATGCCTTCGTATGTATTTCCAGAGACTGCATACATTATACAGTGATAAATAGGGTGCTTATTAATAAAATTTGTTGCTCTTGCCCAGAATATATATATTTTCACATTAATTTAAGAAATTCTAAATGGTATCCTTAAAAAATGACTGTTTATACCAGACTTGAACTCCAGGGTAAACCAGAGTTATTAGGAGTTCAACAAACAGAAAGTTTGACTTATCTTGACTTTTGCAGAGGATGACACCCACCCTTTCCATCAAGACTAAGAAACAAAGCAAATTAAAGCATAAAATCCTATCTTGGACCTTCAACAATGCTTGAGATCTTCAGTGTTCAAAATATTGTGCTAGGCAAATGTATCCCGCACTCCCAAGGTAGTTAATGATCTCAGAAAAGCCTATCTATTCTATCTGCCTCTAAGAGAGTCACTGGGTACCCTCACACATTAAAGGTTCTCAGAAATCAAATAACAAGTTGCTTAGTTTAACTCAGTTGCTGGGTTGAACTCAGTGTTTCTCAAGTGTATTTGAACAGGGAGTTCTTTTTTTTTCCTCCAAGGAACACCGATTGGCACCTCATAGATCTCGTCTTCTTTTAAGGGCTACACTCCCACTATCCCAGTGGATGTGCATGATCCCGTCTTATTTAACCAAACTCCTCCTGATGGATCTTTGTTACCATGCTTTTGCAATTTTCAACCTCCATTTGTAAATTGTAGCACAATAGCCATGGTTATTGTCTTTAGATAGATTTCTAAATTTAGGATGCATGGTCTTGACCCACTCTTGATGTATAAGCTATAAAACCATCTCTGAATGTCACTAAAGTTGCACCCTGGAAATGAGAATGCAGTCATCCCTCCTCTGCAATGGAAATCTTATGGTTTCTGTGTAGTGACTGTTCGGGCAAGAGGTGCTGACATTCAGGAACAGACAGAGCACCATTAGCTGCATTTCTATGGAAACCAGCTCTCTGCTTGGCCCTGATCCCTATTCTGGATTGGGATATGTATTTTCACTAAGTGTAAAGTTGGCCACAGAAGGAGCAGGTGAGCACCTCTGTCTTCCTAGATAAGATTTTGCGATAATGTGTGTGCTTATTCTGAATTGCACTCAGACAGCCCATGGAATTGCTGAGTTAACTGCACAAGTCACCAAGTACCCATGTTTCATCTGCATTTCCCCTGCCAAGTGCATTTAGTCCCCCTCTTATTTGTTTTCTGCTGTTGGCTGGTCACAAAAAAGAAGCAAATCAACCACAAAGAACAACACTCCGAAGTCCATCTGTTGCCTGGGGCACTAGTGAGACTCATTCTGCTCAGCTTTTAACTCTGTTTCCAGTGGCGAATATAATCTCTCAGTCAACACTTGGCCAAATGACTCATTTGCAGTCAGCAACCAGATATATTCTTGTGCATAAACATATTTATGTATTTTGGAAAAACTCTGAGCCCATCCAATTCTATGACTATGATATTTGCACCAATCCTGGCTTACTGTTTTACCACTTTCCAGAACAAACCCCCTTTGTATGTGTTGCTGTATCCAAACATCACTAGCTAGTGCTGTACTCACTCCTGTATCCAAACATGACTAGCAGGTACCATTCCTTCTTCCCCAAGTAACTTTCATTCTTTTTCACCTTTCCTCAACCCCATATCCTTCCTCCCCAATTTTATGATTTTCACCTGTTCTTAGAGGCTCAGATCTTATCCAAAACCTTCCTGAAGCTTCTTCTGCCCATCAGAGCCTAATAGGACCTCTTTCTCCTCATTTTATTAGGCATTCACCATATTTGGACTTGTGTTCTCATTTATCTTTTTTAAAAATGTGTTTTGTCTTCAGCTGGATTATAAGTATCTTGAAGTAAGTTACTTTCTTTTCATCCTTTTTGAATTATGAACCATAGATTCTCTTTTGTTTGCTAGAGATTTCAGGGCAAAGCCACCGATGATGTATGCCCAAGTTTGGCACAGAACCTGCTGGGTAACTGCCAACCACTTTCTCAGATTTTTAGGCAATGAGAGTGCCCAGGATACCTGTCTCAAATGTTAACTATAGTAACTAGTTAGAGAAGAAAGATTAACTACAAACATTTATTAAAATCCCTCTATCAGCTAGGACCCATCCTAGGTTCTGGAATTAATCAGTGAATAAGACAGACACAGATCCTGCCCTCATGGAGCAAATGCACTGAAGATCTTTCACTCTTGGAAGACTATGAACCCAACCTTGAAAGCTGAGAGGTAAAAGAAATATGAGTGGCCATTTGGAATTCTGGACATAAAATATAGGCATCACCTGTTTTATGCAGACATGCTGGTATGTGGTTGCATAAAATGGGGCCTTTTTATTATTCTTTTATGGATTGGCCATAGACTATGCAATACAAGTGGGACATAAAAGAATAATGGAAAAGACGAGACCTGACTAAATAAATCCTTTGAGAGCTTTTTTTCCTTAACACTTTGTCATGAGAATAAATTCTCCTTGTACTGGTTTTTGCTTCTGTTCTTTTCTAGGTCACTAAAAATGAAAATATATTAGAAGAATGGCATGCATATTAAAAATCTTTGCAATATCTCCAACTCAACACTAGACCTTTACGTACCAAAAGGAAATACCCAAAATGAATACCTTGGAGGAAGGGCACTGGATAACATTTGGAAAACCTGAAAATATCTACTCATTTGTCTAGGGTGATGGCTAATACTGTAATAAGAAACTAAATCCAAACAAATTATGAGACAGTTTTTAGTGACAGTTTTCAGATTGCAATCACACATATCGTGAACACATAATAAACATTAGATAATCCTCATGATGTTAGAAGAATGTTCTGCAGAATAAATAATATGAGGGGGTTAGGGTGATGCAATTTTAGTGTAGAACCTGGGCCCATATATATGAGACAACAGGCTACAAATGTATCATTTCCGTAATATGATATAAAATAGCTTCTCGTTGTTAGCAATTCCCAAGCCACAGTGAACGATAGATGAATGATTGGAAGGTAGAATCAGAATGCTCTATGATAAAAATGAGGTATTGATTCTGCTAGATTTTAATTTAGATTAGTTTACTTAGAAAAAGTAATAAATTGAAATGTACTCAACACAGCTTACATTCAAAATGACTTATCAGGATTTCAAAATGAAACCTTAGGCAAGCAATAATTTTAACTGTAGCACTCACCTAAGTTGCCCACACTAAATTACAGCATCTTTGCAAATAATTTGGACAAGAATAAGACAAGTAATATATCTCTGGATGACTAATGGGAGCTTGCACTGCAATGCCAGAAGAAAAGATGGGAAAAGAACTGGAAGTGAGTGTCTGGCTATAATAAATTAGGAAGACAAACATCTGAACTATTAGAAAAGTGATTCAATGTAAGCCATGCTGTATGTTTGCTCGATGCCTAATTCAGTTTGATGGTCTCAGATTGTCAGATGAAAGGCATTATCTGTAGGCAAATGTGGAACTGGATTTCTTTTTATTCATATCTAGGTTTCCTGAGATATTAATTTGTTGCTACTAACTTTAGCTTGAAAAAAATTTTCAATTCAGTCTTTTTAGCTTTTTATATGAAATTAAATAAAATAGTGCATATAAATCTGATAATACAAAGCTTAGTCTATACTGGAATGATAATAATTATGATCACTAATAATAATTGAGCTCTTATTATAAGCCAGACACTAAGCTCAACATTCTTATTATTGCATTAAATGTGGAGTTCAGAAAGTATTAAGTTCCTTTATGTGCAATTATGACTCACTTTTGCATTTAGTTTTACATTTTCTAGGTTGAACTGATGATCACAAAACTAGAATTTTTTAGTCTTTTATTTGCATACTACTAATTGAAGATTGAAGGCCCTATGACCAAGTATACTTTTACTGTCTTCAGCACTTTTCAATTCATACCATGTTCAGGATGAATATTTTGTGTGTGCAGCATACACACACACACACACACACACACACACACACACACACACACACACAAATTCAGATATGCTCTTACAAGGATTCCCAATTTAAATAGCTTTTTCTCCTGGCCCTTTTTGAGGAGCTGGCCTTTACCAGATGATCATTATTAAGTGTTTTCCCTGGTGTACATAATTTGTAGAATCCATCTCTGAAATTGTTAACTGCCCTTAGTAAAGAATGACTTCGTTTCTGGCTCTTTCATAATAATAGCTCAGCTTTCTGATCTCCACTTGAAAGAATTTCTCTTTTGTAGGTTCAATACTACCTCCTTAGAAGTGAGGTTCTTTGTTAAAGGTTTAGCTCCTGTAGCATTCTGGGATGCTTCTGGGGCCATTAAGCTTAATGAGTTAACAATTTTTTTCCAAAGTGTGTATGAGGTGCCTACTGAAGATAACTTTTACAGGTTCTCCTGATTTATTACAAAGACAGTCCCTTTTCAACAAAAGCTTTCAGGCTGAACTTTCATGCTCGTCTAAGGGAAGCAAACTTTTGGTCTCAATTGCTGCA
This sequence comes from Homo sapiens, assembly GCF_000001405.40. Classification (NCBI taxonomy): domain Eukaryota; kingdom Metazoa; phylum Chordata; class Mammalia; order Primates; family Hominidae; genus Homo; species Homo sapiens. The sequence continues at coordinate 117,228,972 of NC_000008.11, read as the reverse complement.
TAATACATCACATGCCGTTTTTGTATTCTTGGGCTATTATGTAACCAAGCTATCAGTTACATCAAAGCTTGTCTCTCTACATAAAGATGAATTGACAATAGATAAATCCCTTCTCTCTCCAACTTTTTTTAATAGAATTCCATTGAATAAGGACAACCTTTTCCTTTTTAAATGAGATTAAAATTTCACACATATTTATCAAACGGTCAAAGCAGAATTAGCAACTTTTACCATAGAAGTGTTTTTTTTTTTTTTCTTAATAGAGAGCCTCTAAAAGGCAAACCCCATGGAACCATCAGAGGACCTTTTTAGAAGCAAGTCTTCAAAGCATTCCTTTAGCAGAGGGTGTCAGTCTCATAATAGGGACTCCTAAAGTCCCTCACACTCGATACTCACCCTATCTGAGACTTCAAAGGGGACTCTTGACCCAGAGGAAGAGGAGGCAGAAGCAAAGTTCCTGCAAAGACAAAAAGGCAGGAAGAGCCCCTGACCTGTTAGCCAGAGATGACACGAGCTCTAGCTCATGTGAGGCAGCTCCGTGGGGTCACCTTGAAACCACTTTCTACAGCGAAAGAAGTCAGTGCCCTTCGCCCCTAAAGAGACCCTCTGACCTTCGCCAGTCCTCCGCTCTGATTCCGGCTCTCATATTTCTAAAATGATAGGGTTCGGCATAAAAGCCTTCAGTTCTGTAAACTTTGTTCACCACTTGTAAAATAGCCAGCCCGAGATCAGCATGACATGCAAGTTGCTGTGGGACCTTGTGCAAGTTTCTTAACATCTCTGTGCCCCTGACTCTCATTTGTAAAATGTGGACAATTTATTCATTTAGCAAATATTTTTCGAATGTTTCTGAATGTGCCAGGAACTGTTTTAGTTACTAAGACTACATCAGTGACCCCCGCCAAAAGGCAACAAATTAAGAAATCTGTACCTTAAATTAGCATACGTTCTACTAAGAGGATTTAGACAATTTTTAAAAATTAAATAAATAAATTACTGCAGAGAAGAGTAAAGCACAGAAAGGAGAATAGAAGTGGAGGTGAGAGTTGCAGTTTTTTCTTTTTGTTGTTTTTTTGTTTTTGAGACAGAGTCTTGCTCTGTGGCTCAGATTGGAATGTGGTGGCGTGATCTTGGCTCACTGCAGCCTCCACCTCCTGGGTTCAAGTGATTCTCCTGCCTCAGCCCCCTGAGTAGCTGGGATTAGAGGCGTGTGCCACCACTCCCAGCTAATTTTTGTACTTTTAATAGAGACGGGGTTTCACTATGTTGGTCAGGCTGGTCTTGAACTCTTGAGCTCCGGTGATCCACCTGCCTTGGCCTTCCAAAGTGCTGGGATTACAGGCATGAGCCACTGTGCCCGGCCAGTTGCAGTTTTAAATAGGGGAGACTGTGAAGGTCTTTCTGAGATGGTAACATTGTAGCAGAGCCTGCAAGGAGGTGAGGGCTAGAACTATGGAGATACTTGGGGGGATGACAAGGAAATAGAAGGACCAGATAAGGTAGAATAATTGAGTTCCAGGAAAAGCAAGGAGCCTGGAGCAGTGGGAGAAAAGAGAAGACTGGGAGAGTAATAGGATATAAAGTTAAAAGAGCTGATGCAGGCACAAATCTCTGGGCTTCTCATCCTTTGTACTGTGTCAGCTTTCCTTTGAGTAATAAGGATTTGAACAGAGTGATATAGAGTTTAAAAGTGTCACTCTGACCACCAGTTTTGGGACAGAAGGGGATGGGGGTGAACAAGGACAGATACAAGGAGATAGCTCAACAGGCTGCACTCATTATTCAAACAAGAGATGGTAGTGGCTTGGGCCAAGATGTGATGAGAAATGCCGAATTCTGGGTGTATCTCCTATGTAGAATCAGCAGGATTTACTGATAGGTAAAATGTGCAATGTGAGGAAAGAGAGAAGTTGAGGCTGACTTTGACTTCAGCTACAGTACTTATAAAGATCTATTTACTGAGTCAGAGAAATCAGCAGAAGCCACAGGTTGGCGGGGGCAGGACTGGAGTTTGGTTTTCTATGTGTAGCTTGAAAGGCCAAGTAGATTTCAAGGTGGAATTATGGAGTTGACATTTAGATAATACAAGTACTTATTACTTGTGATGGCTGTGAGGATTTACTATCCAACCCTGCCTACCTTTCCAATCACATCTGCCACCACATCTCACTGCCCACCCAGGCTCAGTCACTCACCCAGTGCTCAGTACCCAACAGCATACTATTTTGTTCTCTTTCTCATCTTTATATCTTTGCATGTGTAGTTTCCATCTCAAGATGATCTTTCCTCCTTGTCCACCCATTCCCTTCATTCTGCCATTTCTTATTAGCCAATATTTAAACTGTTTTTTTTTTTCAGTTTCTCCCTTCTTTTATAATTCTCAGGGAAATGCAAGGCCATAGTATTTGTTTAAGACAAATACCACCTCCTCCAGACAGCCCTTCATAACTTCTCTGGGTAGAAGTAAGAGATGTCTTCCTTTGAGCACTCATGGGGCTTCTCTGGGGCTTTAATGACAACCTTTATCATATTAATTATTAATTAATAATTAATTGCTTGTCACTGTACACTGATTTTCATGAGTCTCCCCTAAGAGGCCCCACAAAAGGTGCAATTGTTCTATTTCATAATAAGTATTTAATAGATATTTTTGAATCAATGAGTAAACGAATGAATGAATGTTTTATAAGGCAGAAACAAAATGAAGAAATTATTACTTGAACGAATTTTCTGTAATGGAACATTTGTCATGAAACTGGTTTGAGGAGAGGCAAACCTTGAGTGGTCATCATTGCTGGAGCTCTTCCCAACCCAATCTGTTTAGCCCTGGTGTCTGGCACAGTGCCTGGCACTGAGGATACACTTATTAAATGTCTGGTGATAGAGGGACCAGATGAACTCTAGAGATGAGTCACAAAGAAGATGCTATCTCCAAGGTCTATGCAATTGTGGAGGATTGGTCACTGGAATAAAATTAGGAACTTAAATTTCAGCCGCTTTAATAAAAAGCACCCTGCAGAATTATTTCACACTGGCAATGTTGTCACAACCTTCTGGGAAGAACTTATTCTTAAACAAGTCTTAAAAGTGCCAGTCTTCAAAACCACCTGTCAACACAGGTTTGCCAATATCAGATAGTTAAGGAGCAAATGTTTTTGAAAACAGCAGCTGCCAAGCATTTCTGAAGGAAGTGCCGAGTGTTTTGACGAGTGCCGAGTAAGAACTACTCTTCCCTAGACATGTGAGCTTATTTCCCTTTGGCCATTCATTTGTCTGAAACACCCTTCATCTTTATTTCACTTGGCTAATTCTATTCCTCCAGGTTTCAGCCTAATGTCACTTTCCACCCAGGAGTTCTTTATTGATCCTCCAGGATGCATGTTGGACCTTTTCTAAGTGTTCTCAGAACATCCACACCCTTCCCTATCTGAGCAGTGGTCCCCCTTCATCATGAATTCTTGGTCAGTTGTCTGTCTCTCCTCTCTTTAATTTCAGCACCCTTGACTCAAAGACTCAAATATTTAAAGCGTTTGATAAACATTTATGATGTAAACCACTAATCTTTGGTGGCTGGGGTGGTTGAAAAAGCACTGGCGGACAGGACTCTTCAGGAGGGTTGGCCCACATGCAGGGTGCTAGAAATAAAATGTTCCAGGCATCAGAAATCATGAATCATTTATCCTACAATTTAGCCTGGGCCAATCCCACTAATAATACCATGGTAAAATTTACCATGGCTGAGTCATGCTATTATGAAATTACTTAAATCTCTCTTAAAAAGTGGAATTTTACCTCAATTAGAGAATTTGAAGGCCTAGGCCACGTACTCTCTTCTTTACAGCCCTTCAGGTTTTCTAATGGTGAAAAAGAAATCTGAAATTCAGATGTGATAATCTCAATGTTTGTCCTGAAAGGAAATTTTATAATCACTTCCACAAAGCTTCAGCGTTTCCTGGGACTTGCAGTCTACATCTGTACTAAGGTTGAAATATTTGTTGAATCATTTTCTTTCTTTCTTTCTTTTTCTTACACAGTGGGTTATTCCAAACCACAATTTTGAGTAGAATAGGAGAACTGTGGTGGATTTAGTCAGATTCCTTTTCCTGAATTTCAATATAGTTTCCAGAAATGCCCCTGTATAAAACCCGTCTCTGTGTTTCTTTACTTTTCTGCCAAGATCCTTTGTGTCCACAGCAAATAATGCATGAAGTCCTTGAAACTACTGAACTCATTAGTTGCCGGAGCAATAGACTGAGTGCAAATCGCAATTAGAGCACCACTGGAAAAAGAAATCAGTTATGAAACAATCCTAAGTCCCCTTAACATGCCGGTGATATTAAATGCTTAGTATAAAGTAAGCAAGGTCATTACCAAGTTGCACCAATCATTTCATGATTCCTGCAGAAGTTAAATGAGCTCAGCCAAATAATGTCTTACAAGCCAAGCTTTCAAAAGAAAATGACTATTAGGCTAAAAAGTCTCAAATTTTATTATTGAATAAAATTAAAATCAGGTAAAATCAGGCAATCTTTGCCTACCTTTGTTTGGTTCTCAAGACACCCTCTTTTAAAAAATCCAGTCTGTTAATAGCCATTTTTTACATACACACATACACACACACATGCACACACACAAATATACATACTATGGTGTGTTAAAAATTAAGCCTTATATAAAATAAACCAAAATTTAAAGTCTATTTCCTGCTTCAACATTGATTAATACTGACCTCTAAATTTATATAATTTTATTTTCAAGTTAGATGTGATATTGTTTATATGTTGAACACCTCAAAACCAAGAAAATCAGAAGAGAGAATGAGAGCTTTCTGATAATATTTTAAAACAGAGAACTACATGTGGAATTATCGAGTTAGTCCCAACCCCGAAAATATATCATCATGAAATCCATACATTTGTTTGGTAAATTCAAAGCATTATTATTTTATGACAGATAGCAGTGATTTTTATGAAGTAAAAGACCACAGTTCAAAGAAATAAATAATGTTTAAATTAAATTAACTACAAAATGTGGCAGTATTTTTTTCCAGTTAACATTATCTGTGCATGCTTTTTCTGAGGTTTTTGGGAGACCAACTTGCTACTTACTTAATCTGCTCACTGTTTTTCATTTGAGCTTTCCAATTTTGAATTGTGAGCACACCTTCAAGATATTCATTTGTGGATGTCCTGAGAGGTCTGAATTTAAGATATGTCCCAAAAAATAGATTTGGTGTTTGCTTCCACCAAGTGCCCCAGTATTACTAACATAGAACTGTTCTTTTGTTAATATCTACTTGAGTGGTTTTTGGAAAATACAGGCAGTAGAAAGTCAAACCTCAAATCTATCTGGTTACCAATTTTAGAAGCGATCTTCCCCCACCAAATTCCAGGTAAAAATGTAGAAACTCTTTTAGCTTCTTCTAATGATGGTGAATGAATTGTTTCTACACTGTCATTTCAACCAGGATGCAGCATTTTGAGGCCCAATGCCAATGTACTGTATTGTGAAGACTTGAAGGCTTCTCTTGCTTCTGTGTAGTTACTGAATTTCAGCTGCAACCTACAGACCTTTTCTAACCCTGTTCCCACCTCAAGTGCAGCTATTGAATTTTCAGCATCCTGGGATTTTCCCTTATTTTCTTATGAGCTGAGCAATACATTTTAAAATTCTATTTTCCCCAGCATTTCTGGAAGTTTTGCTGCAGGCAGATTTTCTGGCTATATACTCCACCACACTGCAAAACAGTATCTTAGCTGAGACCGTGAGATGCACTTAAGACCAAAAAAGAAAACAAAACAAACATTAAAAAATGCAAATTAATGTTTTGTTACTAATTGTGCAATTCTCAAAATATGTTACTTTTCTAATTATTAGTTCCTGAAAGAATAGCTACTACCACATAAGTGCTTTATTTATAAAATCAGGAAATTCAGTCTGATGTTATATACTACAATATAGAGAGCTTATAATGGCTTATAATAAAATGAGAAATTAAAAATAAATCACACTGTGTGTTAACATGTATTTAATATATATATAATCTACTTATTGAAAACATAATATCAAAAGAAAACTATATATACCGAGCATTCTTAAAATCATTTGTCAAAGGTTTTAAGAAAATGTTTCGTTTTCTGTCTCCTAGTTATATCAATTACAGAGAAAGGAGTCTTGGAATATCCAGCTACATTTTTTCATTTGTCCATTTCTTTTTAATTTTATCAGTTTTTGCTTCATGTGTTTTGAAGCATTGTTATTAACTGCATAACTACTTAGGATTAAGTCTTTTTAAATTGAGTCTTTCATCATTATGTAACATACCTCTTTATCCCTCATAAGGTTTTAACTCTGAAGTCTACTTTGTCTAATATTAATACAGCCTCTCCAGCTTTTTCAAAATTAGCGTCTGCATGTTATATACTTTTTCCATTTTTACTTTCAACCTATCTATACTGGGTCATCACACTTTTCTCCTAAAGGGTCAGATGGCAAATATTTTAGGTTTGTGGTCCATGTGGTTTGTTTCATAACTACCTAATTCTGCTGTTGTAGCATGAAATCAGCCAAAACAACTTGTAAATGAATGGGCATGTCTGTGTTTCAATAGAAGTTTATTTGTAAGAACAAGTGGTAGGCTCATGAGCCATAGTTTACTGACCCCTAACCTATGTTGTCTATTTGATGTGAATTTCTTGGATAGAGGATATAGAGAAGCAGTAGAAATTGAGATTTTTTTCAAAACAGCTTTATCACAGAATAAACCACACATATTCAAACTGTGTAATTTGATAAGTTTTGACATATATAGACCCTTTATCACCACTGTATTAGTACGTTCTCATGCTGCCAATAAAGACATACCTGAGACTGGGTAATTTATAAAGGAAAGAAGCTTAATGGACTCAGTTCCACATGGCTGGGGAGGCCTCACAATCATGGCAGAAGGCAAAGGAGGCAAAGGCACATCTTACATGGCAGCAGGCAAGACCGTGTGTGCAGGGGAACTGCCCTTTATAAAAACCATCAGGTCTCATGATACTTATTCATTGCCATGAGAACAGTATGCAAAAAACCAACCCTCATGATATAATTACCTCCCACTGGGTGCTTTCCATGACACATGGACATTATAGGAGCTACAATTCAAGACAAGATTTGGGTGGGGACACAACAAAACCATAGCAACCACCATAATCAGGGTAATGAGCATATCATCATCCTCCAAATCATTGTGCCTCCCACTCCTTCCTGTCCCCTACCCACCCCCAGGAAGCCATTGATGTGCTTCTTGTCACTCTATATTTGTTTCCATTTTATAGAATTTTATATAAATGACATCATCTAGTTATGTATTATTTTTGTCTGGCTTCTTTCACTTATATAATAACTCAAACTTTATCCATGCTGATGAGTGTATAATAGTGCATTACATTTTATTCCTGAGGAGTACTACATTGTATGGATATCCCATGATTTATTTAACTATTCACCTGTTAGTGGACATTTTGGCTATTTTCCATTTGAGGCTATTACAAATAAGGAAACTTTAAATATTTGTGAACAAGCCTTTCACAAGATATACTTTCATTTCTCTTTGGTACAAATACCTAGGAATGGAATGACTGGAGCATATGGTATATGTATGTTTAAAATCTTAAGAAACTGCCAAACTTTTTTCCAAAGTGGTTATACCATTTTCCACCACCACATTTAATGTGAATACAGATAGGGTTAGTTTTCCATCTATCATTGTGCTATTTTTTTTCTTTTGCTTCTGTTTTTCCTTCTCTTTTGCCTCTGTTTCTGCTCCCTTTTGAGTTTTGCTTCCATTTTATCTCCTTTTTTGAATCATTAGGTATATTTCTTCATTTTACTATTCTAGTGGTTACTTTTTGGTTTCTAGTACACATTTTAACTCATCACAGTCTATCTTCAGGTGATATGATACAACTTCACATTGCAGTATAAGAATGATATCATGGTATACATCCATTTCTCCCCTCCAGATGACTGCACTCTAATTGCCATGCAATTTATTTTATTTTATTTTATTTTATTTTATTTTATTTTATTTTATTTTTGAGACAGAGTCTTGCTTTGTCGCCCAGGCTGGAGTGCAGTGGCGCGATCTCCGCTCACTGCAAGCTTCGCCTCCCGGGTTCACGCCATTCTCCTGCCTCAGCCTCCCGAGTAGCTGGGACTACAGGCACCCACCACCAAGCCCAGCTAATTTTTTTGTATTTTTAGTAAAGACGGGGTTTCACCGTGTTAGCCAGGATGGTCTCGATCTCCTGACCTTGCGATCCACCCATCTTGGCCTCCCAAAGTGCTGGGATTACAGGCGTGAGCCACCCCGCCTGGCCACAATTTATTTGTAACATGTGTTATAAGCCCCATATTACATAGTTAATATTTTTGTTTAAACTGTCATTTATAAACAATTTTAAGGACTATGTATTGTTACCAATGTCTTTACCATTTTCATTGGTTTTCATTCCTTTTTGTAGATCCACATTTCATCCTGGTCCCATTGTCTTTCTGTCAGAAAGATGTCCTTTAATATTGCTGTAGAACAGACTTGTTGGTGATAATTTTTTAAAATGTTTTGTGTGTCTATTTCAACTTCCTTTTTGAAAGATATTACCACCAGGTATAAAATTCTACTTTAAAATTTTTGTTTTTTCAATAATTGTGTTCTTGGAAAGAATAAGTGTTCCGTAATTGTTGGGTGTTGAATTCCGTGTTTGCTTATTAGATGTAATTATTAAGTGAGTCATTAAAATATATTATTATGTTGTTTAACTGTTTTATCCTTACTAATTTTTGTCAGCTTATCAATTACTAATTAATGCATGGAAACCTATGTTTATGGTAGTAGATTGGACGTGCTTTTCCTTTAAAGCTGCTAAATATTGCTTTATATGAGGGCATATTAGGCTCATAAAAGTTTAGAACTGTAATTCTATTGTTATGATAGAGGCTTCCAGTGCTCACTCGTTAATATTGTTTGGATATTTGTCCCCTCCAAATCTCATGTTGAAATGTAATCCCCAGTGTTGGAGGTGGGGCCTGGTGGGAGGTGTTTGCATCATTCACCCTCATGAATGGCTTAGCACCATCCCCTTGGTCATGAGTTCATATGGGACCTGGTTATTTAAAAGTGGGTGGCACCTTTTGACTATTTCTCTTGCTCCTGTTCCGGTCATGTGATGCACTTGCTCCCCCTTCACCTTTTTCCGTGATTGTAGGGTTCCTGCGGCCTCCCCAGAAGCAGATGCTGGAGCCATGCTGGTACAGCCTATAGAACTATGAGCCAATGAAACCTCTTTTCCTCATAAATTACCCAGCCTCAGGTGTTTCTTTATAGCAATGCAGAAATTGATTAATGCATATACATAATTCTTCTCTCCTTCTGGGTACAGTAGAATATAATAATTCCCTGACTTTCTGCAATAAGGCAAGACTAAAAGTGACCAGTTCATACAAAGTTTCTATGAGAAGAAGTAAATGTCACTTGCAGGCTGAAGCATTCAATTTATAGCATGAGAAAATCCAGTGCTCTCTTACCTTTCCATGGCAAAAAGAAGGTTTTGCATTTCTGACAGGGCCATTACAAGACGATAGAGGCTGTATCAGCCTGAGTTTCCAGATGACTGTGTGGAATAGAACACCATTCTGACATGTAATGGTTATATAATATGAGTAAAACATGTTAAACAATATGGATTCGGGGCTAATTTTTACTGAAGCAAAACCTTTCTTATGTCACTAATATATGTAGTGATTCCTTATCCCTAATGAGGCTTTTATCCTTAATAAATTGCTTATGCTGTGTTTTGTGTTATACATGCAACAACATTAGCTTTCTTTTAATTTGTAGTAGTTTGGTGAATTTTTTACTTGTCCCTTTTAAGCCTTTTTTTGTTTTTTTATTTTGTTTTAAATGTGTCACTTGTAAATAGAAAATAATAGGATTTCAACTCAATTTTTATTATTTCAACCAAGCATTAAAGTATTCATTTAGTTACTTATGAGTACTAGGCCCTATTCTAGATGCTTGGAGTACAGTAATGAACAAAGCAAAATTGTGTCTGTAATAAAACTGTGAATAGCTCTCTTTTACTTACAATGCCATAATTTCACCCTCATTGTTAAATAAGAATTTGTCTGAATAAAATTTGGTGTGTAACTAAACTGTATGTAATTACCATTTTGTAGGTATATAATTTAACATCAGCAATTCTGTGTGGCTTAAGCTAACTAGGTTATCAATTATTTTCCTTTAGCATCAAAGGTATTTGATGTCTGTCACTGCTGTTGAGAAGTTTCATTTCAGTGTCTCTATTTCTATTAAAGATAATTTATTTTTCTTTTTTTAATTTTTAATTTATTATTTTTCAGTATTGTTCTACTTATGAATTTGTAGACCCCTTTCTTTTCTTAGTTTAAAAAAATTAGCAGCTATTTTCTTATATGAATATGGCCATTGTGTTATTCTCTCTAGAGTTTCCTTAGGAATTCCTATTAGATGTATATTGGACCTTCTCATTTCATTGCCTTCATTTCTAAACATTGCTTTCCTATTTTGTCTCTTATCATTCATGATGCATTATTGATTTTTTCTCAGATACATGTTTCTGTTCATTAATTCCATTTTAGTTGTGTTTATCTGATGTTAAGCACATTTATTGAGTTTTTAGGTCCAGTGGTTATGCATTTTCTTTTACTTCTACAAGTTTTATTTACGTTTCCAAAGCTTTTTATTATTTGCATGTAATGTTTTGTGTTTGTTTGATGTTTTGATTCCTTTCTTTAACTCTCATTCATCTTAAATAAGATTACTTTATGTTCTTTTTCAAACTGTCATTCAAATACCTCAAGTTTCTATGACACTAATCCCACTGTTATTTTGTGTGTGGACTCTAAGCCATTTAAATTGTTTCTTCATATGCTTTCTTATAACAAGCTCATCGTTAGGTGATATATTTTGTTATTGTTTTAACTGAGTATTTTGTGTGACCTGAATTCTAGAAGTTTCTTTCGAGGGTTAGTTTGCATTTGTTTCTGACAGGAACCGCTTGAGGCCTATTGAATTTTTGGGTTAGGGTTTCCAACTTACATGAGTGGTGTAGTTCAAAACATACACCTCAGTGCAACATAAATCTTGAATTTGTAATTATTTTTTCTGTCATAAGCCAAGTCTAGACAACAGTCTTTGTTTTCTACTTGTTACAATCTATAGGTGTTCACAACAAATGCAGTTCTTCAAGGGTCCCAGAATTATGCAACAGTCTTAACTCCAACTCCTAGCCCTATATGTCTGTAAGGCCTCACTACCTATGTCTTCTACATCATTAAAACCCAAAATCATGGTTGACTGATACCACTACTTCCTTCTCCTTATTCTTCTAGAAAATCAAGAAATAGGCAGACAATTAAATTTGGAGCTAAGGTGAGATATATGGAGGCAAAATGCTGCCAGTTCTTAATAGTACAAAGGTTAAAACAAAAGGAACAATCTTTGCAATCTTTGCAGTTGATACAGGCAAGATTTCCTTGGATAGATCACAAATAGCACAAATCATTTAAAAATTGATAAACTGGAATGTATTAAATTTTAAAACTTCTGCTTATTGAAAGATAGCATAAAAAGACTAAAAATGCAAGCAATACATAATTGCAATCCACATATCTGACAAAACACTCACATCCAGAATCCCTAAATAATACCTACATCTCAATAATAAGTCAAAAATTGGCACAAGACTTGAATGGACTTCACAGACAATAATAAGCAAGTGTAAAGATGCTCAATATCATTAGTCATCAATTAAATGCTAATTAAAGCCAAATTGAGACCCATTATATATGTCAAATGGAATCCTCAAACATTGCTGAATGTGAAATGGGACAATCACTCTTAAAACACGATTATCGTCTTATATAGTTAAATATATACTTATCATATGACCCAACAATTCTAAGTTTTTACCAAATAAACAGAACACATACATCCACACAAAAACTTATATTTAAATGTTCATGGCAGCTTTATTCATAATAACCAAAATAAATGAACAAACCACAGATACACATAACATGGATTAATCTGAAAAAAATGCATTGCAGAGCAAAAAAGCCAAACCAAAAGAATACTTACTATATCCTTCCCATTTATCTAGATTAGAAAGCAGTAAAAACTAATGTATAACAGCAGAGATCAGATCAGTGATTGCCTGGGTTAGAAGAATAGAGGCTAGATTCAATGAAAAGAGATACCAGGAAACTTGTTGGAGTGAAAAGAATGCTTTAAATATGGTAGTAGCGCATGATATCTTTACTTGTCAAAACTTAAAACTATATACTTAAGATGAGTGTACTTTACTGTATGTAAATTATATAACATAACTTATATACCTAAACAAAACTGTAAGGATGAAAGTAATTTGTTATTACCCCAGTGGTAAAACAACAGAGTGATTCCAGCAGCAAAGCTGGTGATGCTGTCACTAAACTGCTGCCTCAGCATCCCTTAGCTTCCCTAATACCAGGAAAATAGGTGTTCTCAAAGCCTGAGAAGGAATTATGGCCTGTGAATGTATTGAGTGTCCCCCTCTTCCATAGAGGCTGGATGTAGAAAACCAGACAGGTAGTTATTTTCATGGTCGTTCTTGTTTTCTGTAGTGGTCACTGGGCCAGATTTATGTCTAGGATTTACCAAGTCAAAATTAGGGGAACTCAGGCACATGAGTGAGAAAAATGAAAATGAGTCCTGTCCTCAGAAACTTTCAAGATTTTCTATGACAGCATACTTTATTGAGGTACACAGTTCTGTTTTCTCATATTGTAGCAAATTCTTAGACAATTATCAAAATAACATTTCCCTTCTTCTTCCATTTCCTCATAGTTAACTGATACTAATTTGTTTTCTGGCTTACAGTGGGATTGTTAATGACTTTCCTATTTCAGAGTCTGACCCAGACACTCCAGGTCACCGGGCTTTTGTGTGGGAATCTAGAGCAGGAGTTGGCAAACTTTCTTAAAGAGACAGATAGTAAATATTTTAGGCACTTGGGACCAAGAAGAAATATCAAGGATATTATATAGGTACTTATATAACCATTTGGAAATACGACTATTTAAAAACATTTTTAAAAATTTGGTTACAAGCCATAAATAAAGAGGCTTTTGGCTGGATTTGGCCTTTGGTAGGTCTCATAGTTTGTCAACCCCTGATTGAGGAGGATTAAAGTGCAGTTTTCCTTAGGGACCTCTTTCCTTGGGACCAAAGAGAGGAGGACAATGGTGAATTCCAAGAGTTTGGAGGAGCAAGTTCCACTTCTGTGAAATACCTAGGGGTGAAAGTGCCTTTGTTGGATGGGCTAATAGATGGGTTTCAAAAGGGATGGAGTGGAAAGCAAACACCAAGGTTGGTGGCCTAGGGAGCCATTGGCAGAGCTCTCTGTGTCCCAGCTTAGCACCAAGTTGGTGAAAGCAGGTACATTTAAATGGACTAGGAAGCCCTGGGCAAAGATCTTGGGCTTTGCTTCCTGGAAGGAAAGCCCTGATGCCATGAAGCTGAAGGACCCCTGCTCAAGTTCACTGGATTACGTAAGCTATTTGGGACTCTGGACAACCAAGGTGAAAAGAAGACTCCTTAATAAAGGCAGATATTGGCTATTCCATCGTAGTTCTGGGGGCACTCAGAACCAAATTTAATCTGGTTTAAGAAAACAAAACAATGTAATATCTTATGCACCTGCATATTGTAGGAAAAAGATCTACTGTATATCATTAATTGACACCATATTTTCAGAACCAGCAAACTACTAATTTAGAAGCAAGATAAGTTATAAGCAAGCTTGTTATATTGTCCAGACTCCATGAACTATTTTATAGCTGAGGCAATTAGCACAAAATGAGCAAAACTCACAATACTTTCTGTGGTTTTCCCACTCTCTGTCTCCTACAGAATAAAAGAAGCATTATAAATCTTAAATAGCGATATCATATCATGGTATAAAAGTGTCACTCAGCTTCTCATGGAATTACAGTGAAGGAGCAGTCGACCCTTTCGCTGTCAAAGACAACTGTCAACTTCTGCTCTGGTGGATGTTTCCATTGCTGGGCCTTATTATTTTTCTTACCCATGTTGAAAATGCGCACTCCTCTATCACAGGCTTCTCAGGTGCTTGGTAGATTTTGCCATGGAGACCACAGTGGCAGCTTGATGCCTGGTGTGTGAAATAACATGTCAGCATCCAACCTTGCTCAGCAATGAGAACTGGCATTTCTGGGAGCCCAAATTCTCCAGAGTCAGTGACTTTTGCTGAGAGTGGATAAATATATAGATGAAAAGAGCCTTTATTTCTCCTATTGCTTGTTTATTTGATTGCATATTTTGTTGTTTTGATTTATAATCCACCCTCAAATTCCTGGTTTGGTAGTATCTATTATCTGTGGTTGTCATTTGCAAGAATTGAGCTTTATTTTCTTTACTGCTATTAGGTACCGGTGGTGGGTGAGAAATGGCCTTCTCTGTGCCTTCATTTTCACAGGCTATCCATAAGAAAGTTGACAGGGAAGTCCCTCAAGTGCACATATGTAGTGTGTATAACACAGGGGAAAAAAAGAGCCTGAAAGAAAAAATAATGAATAGACCTTGAGCACTGAAATAAAAGGAAAGAAGAAAAACATACTAAAGTCAGGTTTTTGTAGTTAGAAACAAAGGGAGGTTAAAGAAATGTCAAGACATCTGGCTCCCCTGCCACTTTCTATGTTAATTAATATTTCAGAAATGAATATCTTCATGTTTAAAGCAGTGATTATAATTCCACCCCTACCATTTTATTTTGAAAGTTAGATAGCGCGCAGTACGCGGCACTTTGAAAGTAGCTCTGCTGGCTTTGCCCAGCTAATAATTAGATAGTACATTTAAATTGAGTCACTGGAGAATGTTTAATTGTTGAACTCTTTACAAAGCTGAGGATAAAGTTTAGGGAGCTATAAGGGATCGTGTAGCAGCCCAGGGCTAGCAACAGTGAGGACCCATTACCATTCCTAGCCTTGAGCTGGTGAGAAGTGTTTACCAGTCCTAAGGAGGGCAGGTGTGGAAGAGCTCACCTAGCAGGAGCTGAGTGCAGTGGAGAGATCCAGTGGACCCTTGACAACTTAGCAGGGAGATAGGCAGAAAAATACCCCAAACTCACTCACTTCGTGTGGCCTGATCTTCTTGTGTCCTGCCTCCATTCCTACCACTACCCAGATTAGCAGACAAGTCAGAGAGCAAGGATGGCTGTTGATGCAAAGGCAGGGGAGAGAAAGGTGGAGAGCAGATGGAGGGGGCAAATGAAGACATCCAGATTTGACAACAAAGGCGGCCTTCTTTCCTTCCTTTCATGCCTTCCACTTAAGAGTTTTGGGTAGGTGGGTAGATAGATGGAAGATAGATACATAGATAGATAGATAGATAGATAGATAGATAGATAGATAGATAGATAGATAGTTCAGGGGTACATGTGCAGGATGTGTAGATTTGTTACATGGGAGAACGTGTCATGGGGGTTTGTTGCACCTATTATTTCATCACCCACATATTAAGCTTAGTATCAATTGGTTGTTTTTCCTGATCCTCTCCCTCCTCCCCACCGTCCACTCTCTGATAGAGCCCAGTGTGTGTTGTTCTCCTCTATGTGTCTGTGTGTTCTCATCATTTAGCTCCCATGCATAAGTGAGAACATGTGGTATTTGATTTTCTGTTCCTGCATTAATTTGCTAAGGATAATGGTCTCCAGCTCCACCCATGTCCTTGCAAAGGACATGATCTCATTTTTTTCAGTGGCTGTGTAGTATTCCATGGTGTATATGTAGCACATTTTCTTTATCCAGTCTATCATTGATGGGTATTTGGGTTGATTCCATGTCTTTGCTATTGCGAATAGTGCTGCAGTGAACATATGCATGCATGTGACCCTTTATAAGAGAATGATTTATATTCCTTTGGGTATATACCTAGTAATGGGATTGCTGGGTTAAATGGTATTTCTGACTTTAGGTCTTTAGGAATCGCCACACTGTCTTCCACAATGGCTGAACTAATTTACACTCCCACCAACAATGTCTAAGTGTTCCTTATTCTCCACAACCTCACCAGCATCTATCTTTTTTTGGCTTTTTAATAATGGCCATTCTGATTGGTGTGAGATGGTATCTCATTGTGGGTTTGATTTGCATTTCTCTAATAATTAGTGATATTAAGCTTTCTTTCATATGCTTGTTGGCTGCATGTATGTCTTCTTTTGATAACTGTCTGTTCATGTCCTTTGTCCACTTTTTAATGGAGTTGTTTGTTTTTTTCTTGTAAATTTTATTTAAGTTTCTTATAGATGGTGGATATTAGATCTTTGTCAGATGCATAGTTTGCAAAAATTTTCTCCCATTCTGTAGATTGTCTGTTTACTCTATTGATAGTTTATTTTACTGTGCAGAAGCTCTTTGGTGTAATTAGATCCCATTTGTCAATTTTTGCTTTTGTTGCAATTGCCTGTGACGTCTTCATCATGAAATCTTTGCCCATGCCTATGTCCTGAATGGTATTGTCTAGGTTGTCTTCCAGGGTTTTTACAGTTTTGAGTTTTACATTAAAATCTTTAATCCATCCTGAGTTAATTTTTGTATATGGTGTAAGGAAAGGGTATAGTTTCAATTTTCTGCATATGGTTAGCCAATTCTCCCAGCACCATTTATTGAATTAAAATTCCTTTCCCCATTGCTTGTTTTTGTCAGGTTTGTTAAAGATCAGATAGCTGTAGGTGTGTGGTCTTAGTTCTGGGTTCTCTATTCTGTTCCATTGGTCTATGTGTCTGTTCTTGTACCAGTACCAGGCTGTTTTGGTTACTGTAGCCCTGCAGTATATTCTGAAGTCAGATAGTGTGATGCCTCCAGCTTTGTTCTTTTTGCTTAGGATTGCTTTGGCTATTCAGGCTCATTTTTGGTTCCACATGAACTTTAAAATCATTTTTTTCTAGTTCTGTGAAGAATGTCCATGGTATTTTAATGGGAATAGCATTGAATCTATAAATTGCTTTGGGCAAAATGGCCATTTTAATGATATTGATTCTTCCTATCCATGAGCATGGAATATTATTCCATTTCTTTGTGTCATCTCTGATTTCTTTGGACAGTGGTTTGTAGTTCTTTTTGTAGAGATTTTTCAGTTCCCTTATTAGCTGTATTCCTAGGCATTTTATTCTTTTGTGGCAATTTTGAATGGAAGTTCTTTTGTGATTTGGCTCTCAGCTTGGCTGTTGTTGGTGTATAGAAATGTTAGCAATTTCCGCACATTGATTTTGTATCCTGAGACTTTCCTGAAGTTGCTTATCAGCTTAAGAAGCTTTTGGTTGGGAGGCCGAGGCGGGTGGATCATGAGGTCAGGAGATCGAGACCATCCTGGCTAACAAGGTGAAACCCCGTCTCTACTAAAAATACAAAAAATTAGCCGGGCGCGGTGGCGGGCGCCTGTAGTCCCAGCTACTCGGGAGGCTGAGGCAGGAGAATGGCATGAACCCGGGAAGCGGAGCTTGCAGTGAGCCGAGATTGCGCCACTGCAGTCCGCAGTCCGACCTGGGCGACAGAGCGAGACTCCGTCTCAAAAAAAAAAAAAAAAAAAGAAGCTTTTGGGCTTAGATGATGGGGTTTTCTAGATACAGAATCATGTCATCTGCAAACATTGATAGTTTGACTTCCTCTCTTCCTATTTGAATGCCCTTAATTTCTTTCTCTTGCCTGATTTCTCTTCCAGAACTTCTAATACTATGTTGAATAAGAGTGATGAGAGAGGGCATCCTTGTCTTGTAGCGGTTTTCAAGGGGAACGTTTCCAGTTTTTGCCCATTCAGTATAATAATGGCTGTGGGTTTGTCATATATGACTCTCATTATTTTGAGATATGTTCATTGAATACCTAGTTTATTGTGAGTTTTTAACAAGAAGGGATGTTGAATTTTATCAGAAGCCTATATATTTTTCCCAAACTTCGACTCATCTTCCCTGTTCTTCATTTTCCACAGAGCATCTAGAGTAATCTTACAAACTTGTAAATCTGATCTCATCTCTTCTCTGCTCAAAACCTTCACCAATTTGCCATTGAAAGCCCAGTGTGACCCACCCATGCTAACCTCTGTTCTTACCCAGGCCATTTTCTGCCTGGCTCCCAACACTCAAGTCATACCTCTCACACATCTTCTCTTCCTTCTTTAAAAAGCCACACTTATGTCCACTCCAGGGCCTTTGTTCTCACCACTTTGCTCATGATTTTCCTAGAGTTGTTCAAGTATCTGTTCCTTCTTACCTCTTCAGGCTGTAGGTCAAATACTATGTTGGCAGAAAACCATTTGTGACTATGCATTCTAAAGTATCCCTCATGGCAGACACTGTTGGCTTTCTGCCCAATATTTTATCTTCTCTTTCCTTTCACATTAACAAAACTGCAATTTTTCATTGGACACATCACTACCCGACTTAAAGACTACATTTCACATCCTCTTGCAGGTATGTAAGACCAAGTGACTTAGCTCAGAGTAATGAAGTGGGAGCATAAGTGTCCTGTAGGAATACTAGGCAGTCTTCCAAAGGGATGAGATATTTCCTTGTCTTCATTATTGCCCATCTTGCTGCTTGGAACAGAGATGTGATGGCTAGAACTCTTTAGTCATCTTGAACCATGAGGACAGGTTGGTGCCTTAAGAATGAATTAAAGACTAATAAGCTGGAAAGGTGCAAGATCCCTCATGATCAGGCCTGAACTTTTCAGCTGTGAAATATTTGTTCAATGAGTTTAAAGCATTATTGGGTGTTCTTTTTTCCTGTCTCTTTCTTGAAGCTCCCAACTCTTCGCATTATTTCTTTGTTTATTTCTTTCATTGTACTCACCACTATCTGAAATCATCCCATTTGTGGATTTGTTCAGTTGTGCATTGCTTGTCTCCCCTCATTGGAGGACAAGGCTCATATCAGTCTTACTATCTCCAACCTCTAAAACAGTCCTGACACAAAACACAGGCATTCAATAACTACTTTGAATGAATTAATTGAATGAATCAATAGTTTTTCTTTACTTTAGTTTTACTGCAGATGGGAATGTTTACCTGTGAGTCCAATTTTCTTAATGATTGTCTTATTCTCCACTGGAATGTTCACAGTGAAGAACCCAGTCACTGTGACTGTTCAGAATCAATGTGAAAATTATTTCTAAAGTGGAGTGACTTTATATTTGGTTCATTGAAAGGCCGGCACTCTGTTGGAACCTAGGACCTAAAACTAATGTAGTCACGCACTGTCACTGTATCAATCGGCAGCCTGAAATTAAATTTCTGTATTAAGTTGATCTTATACCTTTTACAAGGATCAACTTGGGAATTTTTCAAATAGATTCTTAGAGGAGGATGCTGCCAATGAAAATTTACAACAACTCCCCGAAGGTCAGTACACACAGGTACATTTACGATTTAATCCTGTGGGGCTCTTTTGCAATAATTAATACTATGGAGAGTTTTTCCTTCAAGATAAAATATTCTGTAACTCTTAATGAGTACACCCTGAAGCTTGTCCACAGCATAGTCTTTTCAACCCCATATCATGTAATTCAACTCTACCTTTGTCCAATCAATTTCATTTTTAGTCTTCTGGTGGCAGTGAGGGAAAGAATGCGTAGTTTGTTGTTTGCCTCTGAGTTAGAGGCTCTTTAATCGTCTGAATTGCTCTACCTGATTTAGTGTGGTTTGGGTTTGCTCCTACAAACTATAGGGGCTGTTGACAGAGGTGCTTGGGATGTGGGTTTGTGAATCTGGCTGGATTCTCAATCTAGATCCTTCATAATTAGATATGTGCAGGTATATTTATAATAAGACTTATAAGAGCTAACCCTTACTTAGCATGTATCAGGCAATTGTCTAAACCCATTTCATATGCTATCTAACTCAACCATCTTACCAAGAGGCACTATTTTCATCTCCCATTTTACAGATAAGAAAAGTGAGGTAAAGAGAGGTACCTCAACAAGGCTGGCCAAGGTCATAGGGAAAACAAGTAGCAGAGCTAGGTTTTGAACTCTGGTCGTCCTGACAGCAGAGTCTGTGCTCTCCATCACCATGCTAACATTCCCTCTAAAAATAAAATCTTTGTGAAACACTTTCAGATGTGAGACCTTATTTAATTATTAAAAAACTATATTCAGGAGAGCAAGACAGACAGTGACATCTTCATTTGGACAAATCAGAACATGGAGATACCAAGAAGTTGAATGTTTTACTTAAGGTTATAGAAAATTCAGGATCAGTGCCCTGTAGTGGGACCAGCAGAAACTTTCGAGCTACTTAACCTATGTCAAATGTAGGCTCTATTATTACTGGTTGTGTGCTTGGAATGTCATCTTACCTCTTTGAGCTGTAGTTTCATCATCTCATCACCTATACAATGAGATGTAGAGCAGGGTTTCTCCATCTTGGTACTATTACCATTTGGGCTGGAGATAATTATTTGTGTGGAGCTGTGATGTGCATTGTAGGAGATTAAGCAACATTCCTGGCTTCTATTCATTAGATGCCAATAGCATAACCTTTTTCACCTTTTCACCCCCAGTTATGACAACCCAAAATGTCTCCTGATATTACCAAATATCACCTTGGGGGTAAATAGCCTCTAGTTGAGAACTACTATCTCTACCTCACAGTGTATTTTCAGGTATTAAAGAAAATACATATAAAGTGATGGGTGCACAGTGTGTCCTTGGTGAATGTGAGCTTGTATTAATTATACTTGAGCTTAGCTCATTCTTTGACCAGTGTTTTTTCCATGGTAATAAGGACAGCACTTTTCACAGATTGTTGGCGGCATCAAATGGATCAGTGTATATGAAAATGACTGGTTGTTACTTAAAACTCATATGCCATATTGAAGCAAGATCAGACTCTGAAGGGTAATACATTAATTAAAATGGTTCATTCTTTGCAGTGCTCACGTCAGTATCCCATGTTGCACTTGCTTAAGGCAATAGAAAGCCCAGAATATACACATGTGTACACATACCCAGCTCCAAGCTAATTCTCTAGTTCACATTATGGGCACAAGTCTTGGCTCTGGATTGAGTACTGCTACTTCCAATTATAATTACAGTGGTTTCTAGTTTATCTATTATGAGGGTTTTGAGTTCCATTGAAAACAAAAGCTCTTGATCATGTTTTTCGGATTCACTTCCTATCACAGCTGCCCAAGAGGCCTTTTTGCACAGAGCCGTCTATCTTCCTTTGTTCATTATAGGATTTCAGCCAAAGACAGTTGCAAAGTACTGACTGTGGTCTAGCTAGTTCTGGTCTTCTTTCTCTACCAGTAGTTGAATAAAGTAAAGAAGGGCAGTTCATGTCACAGAGAAGGATGGAAGTGGAGAAGACCTACCTAACAGCATCTTTTGCTGGCAGAGGCATTTGAGACTCCATTCAGCAGCCTAAAAATGTTTTGAGTAGGTTTATTTATTTTTTCACAACTTTCTGTTGTAACAGCAATGTCTCTGATTGTATATCTTCAAGGCTCTTTTTACTTCCCATTTATTTAACAGGCAAATGCATAGGGGATCACCAACTGCACTGGCATCATTCCTCATGGATTTTTTATTTCTACACTTTGCCATATGAAGAAACAAATGAAAGCACCCGTGCCCAAAACACTTTAACAGTTTGCATCATACACAAAGCAAACCATGCCAAGATGTAGGCATTTCTGGCTTGCCTCTGCTCCTGGACAACCCCCATTTTAAAAATTTTTATATGTTCCCCATTTTATTCCTTACAAATGTCTGTCCCAAATTTGTCCTTTGATAATTGCAGTCTCTTCCTTTCTGCTGGCTCCTTTTCTCCTTATTATCTAATTGTTTAATTCTAATTCCTAATATATCACTCAGGTCTAACCTCTTGAAATTTAGACTCCACCTTAATTATCCTACTAAAATTGATCTCTCCAAGGTTCCCAAAGTGCTGGGATTACAGGTGTGAGCCACTGTGCCCAGCCCCTAAATGGTAGAGGGATTGCAAAACACACACACCACCACACACATATGTGACAGGGTCCTGAAAAGACTGAAACATTTACTATCTGGCCTTTACCAAAAAAAGTGCTGACCCCAATTCAGAGAATATGATGTTCATATTTCATAACAAGAAGTTATAAAAATATCTAGGAATAAACTTAATAAGAAATGTGTACTATCTATATGAAGAAGACATAAAAATCAGATTGAGGACTAAAAAGAAGTCTTGAATAATTGGAAAATGGAAGATTTTTTATTTTGAGTGAGAAAACTCAATGACATCAGTTCTCCCTAATTATGTTTGTAATCCCAACTACTCGGGAGGCTGAGTAGTTTATCTATTTAATCTATAAAGTTAATTGAATTTTGATTTAAATTTTGATTTAGGCATATTTTTTCAAAAAATCATAAAAGCCTATCTCATGTTTTAAATGTCATCAATATACCAAAATCCCATAAATGTACAGATCCACTTCAGACATCTCCTCAGACATCTCCTCAGTCTCCAGATGCATGTCTTCAACTCCCTACTTAATATCTTCAATCAGATGACAAAAGATATCATAGAAGAACATATCCAGGCAGAGCCCTGACTTTCCCTAAGCCATTCTACCTGCAGCCTTCCTTATCTCATTTAGCAGCAATTCCAATCGTCCTTTGGTTTAGACCAAAAATATCCTTAGAGTTTTTAAAGATGTCTTTCTTTTTCCAATACCCCACATCCTATCAGTCATAAAATACTTCCAATTTTGCCTTGAAAATATATTCAGATTCTGTCCACCTCTTATAACCTCCACTACCATCACTCTGCTCCAAGCTACCATCATCTCTCTACCTGGATACAGCTGTGGTCTCTCAACTGCTCTCTTGTATCTGCCGCTACCCCACAGTATACTCTTAAAAAAGCAGTCAGGTCATTTCTTTTATGTTTTATTTTTATTTATTATTATTTTTGGGGGTTGGGGGGATGGAGTCTTGCTCCGTCGCTCAGGCTGGTGTGCAGTGGTGCTCACTGCAACTTCCACCTCCTGGGTTCAAGTGATTCTCCTGCCTCAGCCTCCCGAGTAGTTAGGATTACAGATGTTCACTACCATGCCCAGCTAATTTTTGTATTTTTATTAAAGATAGGGTTTCACCATGTTGGCCAGGCTGGTCTTGAACCCCTGGCCTCAAGTGGTCCACCTGCCTCAGCCTCCCAAAGTGCTGGGATTACAGGCATGAGCCACCATGCCCGGCCTCATTTATTTTAAAACCTAAGGCATATCATGTCACTCTACTAGACAAAACCTTCTCATAATTTCCAACGTTGGGCAGGGTAAAAGCCAACATCTCTACAATGGCCTTCAGTGTCTGACACCATCTGGCCTACATCACCCTCTGAACCTGTATCCTAATACTCTCCCTGCCCACTTTGTTCACTTTGACCCATTGGCCTCTTTGTTATTTTTCTAAGAAACAAGGTGCGTACTCATATCAGCAACTTTGTGCCTGCTCTTTGTTCCGCATAGAATGTTCATCCCCCAAATAGCTAATTCCTACCTCCTTGAAATCTCCATTCAAATGTCACTTCAGTGATGCCTCACTTAAAACCACCCTCCAGGGCTCCTGGCACCCTGCTTTCCTTTACCTTTCTCTAATTTTCTCCAAGTCCTAATTTCCTATAGATTGTCTGTATCCTCTACCAAAACTGTAGGCTCCACAAACACAAGGACTTTTTCTGTTTTGTTTTCTACCATATCTCCAGGGCCTAGAATAGTGTATGGCACATGGTAAAATTTTCAATAAATAGTTGCTGAATGAATGCAGAATGTGTGGGGAAATTCTATAAAACAGCATTGAGGAGAATTACCTCTACCAGATAAGCAAAACTTTGGTATATAAAACATTTTATACTACAAAGGAGTATCAATTTCAATGGAGCTAAAGAAAATGAAGAACTAGAACCAAATACAGATAGAAATTTAATACATGGTAAATGTGGCATTTCAAGCCAATGGGAAAAAGATGTAAAATTGAAGAAAATGTTTGGGAACAAATTGGAAGAAAAATCAAGCTGGGTCTTTATTTCTTATTCCAAGATAAATTAAACACAAACCCGTGAAAATTTTCAAAAAGAATTTGAAGGCTTTTAAAAGTCTGTGTTCTGGTGGTGATTCAGGCAGAAGCAGACAGAGAAGCATGGCTGACAGAAAAATAAACAACAATAATAACAAAAATAAGCCTTCCAGATGTGCAGCAAAGCTTCCAGAGTGGGAATAGAAACACATTCAGAGCTCTCAAAATGGACTGGAGAGATTACCAAGTGTGCAAGAGGGAGAAATTTTGAATTGCCAAGAGGATAAGACAACTAATGAGACCTCATCCATTTCTTTGCTTTTTTTTTTTCCTTTGACAAGGTCTCACTCTGTCACCCAGGCTGAAGTGCAGTGACACTATCTCAGCTCACTGCAGCCTCAACCTCCCAGGCTCAAGTGACACTTCCACCTCAGACCCGCAAAGGGCTGGGATTACAGGTATGAGCCATGGTTGCCTGGCTTTTTTTTCAGCTTCATTGAGTTATACTTGACAAGTAAAAAATTGTACATATATGAGGGGTACAATGTAATGTTTTGATGTTTGTATATAGACTTTGTGAAATGACTATTGCAATCAAGCTAATTAACATATCACCTCACATAGTTAACTATTTAGTGTATATGTGTGTGGTACGAATACTTAATGATCAAACTTCTTAGCAAATTTCAAGTATACAGTGTGGTATTATTAGCTATAGCCACCATGCTGTACACTAGATCACCAGAGCTGATCCATTTCTAATGTCAGAGTCATTTTCCAGTACCAGAGCCTTTGGTCAATAGTTTCATAGAAGGTGTATCAGGAGAGTGTCTCATTAAACAGGATTTATATGCAAAATGGATTTTGACTACAATTTAGAACTAATGCTTGGAAATAACTAAACTGAATCGAAAAGCCATCCTTTCTCTGAAAATAGTAACTTTTTTACCTCTGAGAAAAAAAGGTTTGTTAATCAATATCTTAAGGACAAGGACTTCAGTTTTCCATTTACTGGTCAGCAAAATGAAGTTAATTTTCCATCATTGAGGATGAAGCCATTCAAGGGAAACCACAAATACTCTCGCTTCTGGCCTTCTTGGGAGAATCAAATGAAAAACTGGCTTTCTAGAGAAGTGCTAATGTCAGTAACCCCAGGCTATTATGGAAGTGACAAACAAATCAATTAGCTTGGTGGAGAGCATGACCTTGGGCTCTGAAATAGACTTCTGAGAACTGCCAGATGAGCCTCCTTCTGTGAGAAACAGTGTTTTTGGAAAGAGCCAGCAAACATAGGTTCTAATTCTGGCTCTGATACATTCAATACTTCTGTGACTGCAAGGAAGTGGCTACCTATCCACTGGACTTCTGAAAATATTAGACAAAATAGAATATTCAATTAATTAACTTCTATTTAGCACTTTCTATGCAGCTGACATGTTTGGTGCTAGGAACACAGGGATGAGCAACAGAAAAAATAGAAAACAGCTGTATGGAGAGTTCACATAATCAGATATTACACAAGTAAACAAATAAATGGTATCATTATGGACAGGGGCTAGAGTCATGACATAGAGAATAACTGGTTAGGAATAGTAGGGGTACCACCTGACATAGTATAGCCATGGCTCTGCTTAGCATATTCCAAGCAGAAAAAGCTGTAAGTGCAAAGATCCTCTGAGGAGACAAGAGCTTGCCACATTGAAGGAAACCAGTGTGACTGAAGCACAGGGAATGATGCACAGAGTGGTGTAAGATGCAGTTATTGAGGCAGACACTGACTGACTCCCATTCTGCCCTGTTTGCTCCTAATATCTTTGATTACCTTGCATGAGGCTGGCCATGTGACACAGCTCTAGCCAATGAGATGAGGCATAATTCCCAGTGGAGAGCCTTTCTCTCTGAATTGAAAACAATATCAAACTCTTAGATTTGCCCTTTAGACTTCTTTCTTCTTGCCTGGAACAGTGATGCTGCAGTATCTGGAGACGCAGCAACCATCTTGTGGCCATAAAGACAAAAACTCCACGTTAAAGAGAGCATAGGAGAAAGATAGAAGGGGCCTGGGCTCTTGGATGAGTCTCTTGATTATCTGCTCAGACTTTCTGCTTTAGAAAAAACTGTTACACAAGAAAAGTTGATTTCTTCCTTTACTGTCTCATTTTGTTGAATTTTCTTTTACCTAACACAAAACCACTATTCCTAGCTGTTACTATTGCCATGCAGACCATGCATGGCAAAGAGTATAGAATTTAAAGATTATGAGCACATTCAAAGCAGCCAGTTACATTCAATGGCACATTTTAGGTTTTCAATAAATGATTATTACTACTATTAAAATGGCAATATTTACATATTTGATGCTAGTTTAGAAAATAAAAATCTTAGGTCAGCTTTTCATACCACTACAAATATTTTTTTTCTCCAAAATCTTCTCTATTCTCTTCTCCAAAGCAAAATCTCAGAAAATTACCCGTAATGTACATTGGGTCAATACTAGTATATCACGCTACATTAGGTGCCAGTGATTAAACTGACACCATCTGGACTGAAACATGTGGTCTTTGCCTGATGTCAAAAGAGCAACGACAGCAGAACTCATATTCAGTGTGCTGGAAACTTCTAAGTATCAATCCACAGAAGGCTGCTGAGGTTGAGAAAGTATAATCCCAATAGTCACAAATAGCTCAGAGTCCTGGAATTGGCCAGTAAGCCTAAAGGAAGAAATGAACACAGCTTGCAGCCTCAGGAGATATCACTTCCCTATAGGTGAGAAGTGAAAAATTGGCATCTCTCCTCTGCTCCCCAGCGCAGACAACCCCCAAATGGGATGCCTCAGAAATGGGATAAGGTGGAAATCTGAACCTCCATAGCTGTAATGTGAGGCCCCTAGCAACTTGCTTCAGGATTATCATCAGTCTGTGATACATACAATACAACATAATATACATAACATAATTTTAATGTTTAGGTGCAGTGGCACAGGAGGGTATCTGCAGAAGATTCTCTTCCATTTCTGAGCTGGTCAAGAATAGCTATACAAATATTGTTTGTAAGTTGTAAGATTTATAAAATAATTTTACAAAAACTGAAATTTCTTTCATTGGACAGCATAAATACACACACATATATACACACACACACAGAGATATGTATGTTTGTACACCTATTTTATGTATGTATATATTACATTTACATAGATATAGATATGTATATGCATGTATGTGTATATATATTCATGCACAAGTATATTTACAAGCATCATAAATTCATCTCTGTAAATTACCAAAGATGGTGGCAGATGTTGTTTCATATAAGTTTCAGATTAAAATTCACTGAGATACAAGTTATCTGTAAAATTAAGTAAAAATCGTCATGGCAGTGGGCCCCAAGTCCAAAGAAGGGAAGCTTTATGGGTAGATGAAGTAAATATGACCCTACCCTGAGTCTAATATCTGGAATTCAAGACTTGGAACAATCATTTTATCATCTCACCCATGCCCAACCGAGTGGGTTAAAACTTCAAAAACACCCAAGATGAAGAATATGAACATGTTCCTCTACCTTGAAATGTTACTGAAAACACCCTATAGTCAATTCACCTGCCAATGGGCCTGATATGCTGCTTCTACTTACACCATACCAGGGAAAATATCCCCCATGTGAAAGCTACAAGGGCACTGGGGAGAAGGGACAATAGCCATCTGTACAGAAGCCACCATGCCTCTTTCTCTGTTCTCCACCATCTTTAGTAGCCCTGGGGCAAAGCTATCTAGTGCTGACAAATGGTAATTTTGAAAATCAGACTCCAAGCAGGAGCCTATGTATTTGTACCTAAGGATATATTACACATGTGTTTATATACTTTATGAAATGAATTATTATGAATATGCAGTATGCATAAGAAACTCACCAAAACCTTGCTTCCTGCTGACTTGCTAGCTAAGAAAGCAGAGCTTTTTGGAAATTTAAAAAGCAAACTAATTTGCAAAATAGATAACAAGGGCTTCCACGTGATTCTCAAGTATAAGTTTCAATTTACAAGTCTTTTATCTGTCCTCACTTTTTATCTGCCCTTCTTTTCTTCAACATCATTTGAACCTAAACAGATCTATCAGCATGAAGATTCTGAAGAATTGCCTGAGGGCTTCCCAAAAGAGTACAGAACTGTCTATTTGGATATTTTAAGGCACTTTTAATTGTAGGACAGTGGTCTCTGGATACCTGCCATAGATCTTATGGATTAGTGAAATTCATTCAGCTCATGCATAACCTGAAATATTAATAGTAGCAGTAGTACTGGTAATAGTCATAGTAGTAATAGTCACCATGTTAATCACTTTACATACATTTTTCACTAAATTATTTTTACATTCTGCAAGATGGTCATTTAAAAGCTGATGAAACTGGCTCAGATTTATCAAAACCACACAGCTAGTACATGTCAATGGCAGAAATGAACCCAGGTTCATCTCACTTCACAGTTCATGCTCGTACCTACCTCTCCATGTTGTTTCTAGAGACACTGATCATGCTAACTTACGTGTTGCACAGAAGCTATTGTGGAAACCACTGGATCAAGATTATTGGTGCCTTCACCTATAGATGCTGAAGCTATGGCTCAGAGGGAAATAATAGTAGACAGGCAGGTTGAAACACTGATACAGGACAACCACACACCCTACTTGAAGCATAGTGCAGCTAAGACACCTCTGTAGCAGAAAGACCCACTGGCATATGTGGTAATGAGATAGGCTGATTCTGAGCAGGAAGCACTGACAACCACTGGAGAAAGACCAAAACAAAGTGACATCCAGGTCTACACCTGTCTACATCCAGGTGTAGACAGAGATGCTTATCTGGAATGTAGCACAGAGAGGTCAGGTGCCACGTGCATAATCTTGAGCATTATCAGCACTCAGATAATTGTAAGTAGTAACACCCCTAAAGTGTCAACTTCTAGGTGAATTCTTACACACTATGTGCAACAGAGAATGATGTTCACCAGGCTAGGTGGGTTTGTAGAACACAGAATAACCAATCTTTTAAAATTATTTTTAATTTCTGCAGATTTTATGTTAGATTTATTGTAGTTCAACCATCAGCTTCTGTCTTTGAGAGCTACATACTTCAGGAGATAGGCACATCAGCAGCTGCTGGGATCTACAACAAAACATGCCAGAAGTATTGTCGTTCAACATTATCCAAGACTTGTACATCAGGCCCCTATTGATAAACTTGGAACTATGTCTATTACTGTGTAACACAAGTTGCACAGTAGATTTGAATTCATCCATTCATTTATTTATTCAGCCAATATTTCTCCAGCATCTATTAAATGCCAGCACCATACATATACTTACAGTCAATCTAGGGTGGGGAGAACATTTTAAAAATACAGAAATATATGTTTAATTGTCAATGTGATTAGTGCTACAAAGAAGTCCAGGATGCTACGGAAATTCAATGTAGGGGATCTAAACCAGGCCTAATTGTGTGTAATTTAAATTCAGACTTCAATGGGAGTTTTGCTTTTGTTCTGTAAGGAAGAAAGTAAGAATCTTCGAAGGAGAGAAATAGAATATGTGAAGTTCCTGAAGAAGAAAGTTGGGACTTCTGATACATGGGAATGTGGCTGGAGTATGAACAGAGGGAAGCAAGAGCGGTGTTAGAGAGACTGGAAAGATGGATTATAAGGGAAGCCATCATCAACCACATTTGGCATTTCAGACTAATCTAAGGACACTGAGAGGTCACATGAAGGGTTTTAAGCTTGGGTGTGACATAGTAATGACAAGCCAGGAATTATTCTGTATTTGTTAACTTTACAATCCGTTAACTCTACAATCCTACTAGGTAGATAAACTGATCTCCTCTATCAGATGGGGATGTTCAGCCTTAGAAAATCTCAGTAACTGATGTTGGACAAACAGCAAAAAAGCTGAACTGGGATTCACACCAGGCAGCCTGCCTCAAGAACCGAGCTGAACTGTTACCTGACATTGCCCCTAATGAGCAGCTTTGTGCTTCAGAGGGCAGCAGATTGTTAAAGGTGTTCCGTACATATTTCTTCAGTTGGATGTCCATGAATGAGAGTAGAATAGGATTTCAAGAAGAAATCATTGGGCATCTATCTGCCTTGGCTTTGTACAGCTGGTGGAGGCCTTTTGACAAATGTGAACATCACAACCAGAAGTACTTTCTGCACCTATTAGACATTTTGCACTTAAAAGCCTCTGAAAAAAATGGAAGGTAGTCCATATTTCAGCAACTTCCATTAAGCTGTCATGTACCTTTCCCACACTTCCTGCCATATGGCAAGCCTTGGATTAATAAGATCTTCCTTACTTAGTGAAAGTGCTCTTCTCTCATTTACCCATCCATCCTGTATTCTACTCCTGATGTCATAGTGCAATAATTTGAAGGTGAGAAGCACAAGGTCAAACCCAGATCTTGGGCCCTTGGGTAGTTCTGAATCTTAGCAACTGTAGCAATGTTTAATAAAGGCTAGAAACATACTGAGCTTTTGCTTCTTCAGAACCACCGACTATGGAAAACTCTCCCCCATCTAGCTCCTGAGTGTGAGAAACAAGGGAAATATAATACAAAAAGCTAATGGTATAGCTGTGTTTTGTGTATTTTTTTATATGGAAAATTCAGAGAATATAGATGTAGAACTCTACAGTAAGTGTATTTTAACTAAGCATTTTAAGCTGTTGAAAGTTTTATTCAAAGTCTGTTTTTTAAATAAGTAATATATTTGCAATACAAATACAATTTTTCACTCATCCCACTAAAAATTATATGCATATACATACATATATACATATATGCACATGTACATATATATGGAGATATATGTGTACATGCATATGCACATATACTTGTGTATACGGAAACAGAGTTTCAATTATTCCTCCTACTCTAAGTCACTTGTTTCCACCAAACCTCTCCAAAATAGGTAAGTTCTGTTATTAGTTTCTTCTGTACCCGTCAAGAGACTGATTTTTTTTTCCTCATTTTTACACAAAAGAGCATACTATGCACACTATTCTATAGCAGTTTTTCATATAACATAAATATTTAGGATCCTAAAAGGATCACTTTTCTTTAAACTATTTGTCATATGTGATTATTGAGCATGTGACTAGAACAACAATTTCTCTTTTAATAGCTTGAGATAATATTCACATAACATAATTCACTCATTTAAATTGTATAATTCAGGCCAGGCATAGTGGTTCAGACTTGCTTTTTTTTATTTTATTTCATTATTATTATACTTTAAGTTTTAGGGTACATGTGCACAATGTGCAGATTAGTTACATATGTATACATGTGCCATGCTGGTGTACTGCACCCATTAACTTGTCATTTAGCATTAGATATATCTCCTAAAGCTATCCCTCCCCCCTTCCCCCATCCCACAACAGTCCCCAGAGTGTGATGTTCCCCTTCCTGTGTCCATGTGTTCTCATTGTTCAGTTCTCACCTATGAGTGAGAATATGAGGTGTTTGGTTTTTTGTTCTTGCGATAGTTTACTGAGAATGATGATTTCCAATTTCATCCATGTCCCTACAAAGGACATGAACTCATCATTTTTTATGGCTGCATAGTATTCCATGGTGTATATGTGCCACATTTTCTTAATCCAGTCTATCATTGTTGGACATTTGGGTTGGTTCCAAGTCTTTGCTATTGTGAATAGTGCCTCAATAAACATGCGTGTGCATGTGTCTTTATAGCAGCATGATTTATAATCCTTTGGGTATATACCCAGTAATGGGATGGCTGGGTCAAATGGTATTTCTAGTTCTAGATCCCTGAGGAATCGCCACACCGACTTCCACAATGGTTGAACTAGTTTACAGTCCCACCAACAGTGTAAAAGTGTCCCTATTTCTCCACATCCTCTCCAGCACCTGCTGTTTCCTGACTTTTTAATGATTGCCATTCTAACTGGCATGAGATGGTATCTCATTGTGGTTTTGATTTGCATTTCTCTGATAGCCAGTGATGGTGAGCATTTTTTCATGTGTGTTTTGGCTGCATAAATGTCTTCTTTTGAGAAGTGTCTGTTCATGTCCTTTGCCCACTTTTTGATGGGTTTTTTTGTTTTTTTCTTGTAAATTTGTTTGAGTTCATTGTAGATTCTGGATATTAGCCCTTTGTCAGATGAGTAGGTTGCGAAAATTTTCTCCCATTTTGTAGGTTGCCTGTTCACTCTGATGGTAGTTTCTTTTGCTGTGCAGAAGCTCTTTAGTTTAAATAGATCCCATTTATCAATTTTGGCTTTTGTTGCCATTGCTTTTGGTGTTTTAGACATGAAGTCCTTGCCTATGCCTATGTCCTGAATGGTAATGCCTAGGTTTTCTTCTAGGGTTTTTATGGTTTTAGGGCTAACATTTAAGCCTTTAATCCATCTTGAATTAATTTTTGTATAAGGTGTAAGGAAGGGATCCAGTTTCAGCTTTCTACATATGGCTAGCCAGTTTTCCCAGCACCATTTATTAAATAGGGAATCCTTTCCCCATTGCTTGTTTTTCTCCGTTTTGTCAAAGATCAGATAGTTGTACATAGGTGGCATTATTTCTGAGGGCTCTGTTCTGTTCCATTGATCTATATCTCTGTTTTGGTACCAGTACCATGCTGTTTTGGTTACTGTAGCCTTGTAGTATAGTTTGAAGTCAGGGAGTGTGATGCCTCCAGGCTTGTTCTTTTGGCTTAGGATTGACTTGGTGATGCGGGCTCTTTTTTGGTTCCATATGAAGTTCAAAGTAGCTTTTTTCCAATTCTGTGAAGAAAGTCATTGGTAGCTTGATGGGGATGGCATTGAATCTATAAATTATCTTGGGCAGTATGGCCATTTTCATGATATTGATTCTTCCTACCCATGAGCATGGAATGTTCTTCCATTTCTTTGTATCCTCTTTTATTTCATTGAGCAGTGGTTTGTAGTTCTCCTTGCAGAGGTCCTTCACATCCCTTGTAAGTTGGATTCCTAGGTATTTTATTCTCTTTGAAGGAATTGTGAATGGGAGTTCACTCATGATTTGGCTCTCTGTTTGTCTGTTATTCGTGTATAAGAATGCTTGTGATTTTTGTACATTGATTTTGTATCCTGAGACTTTGCTGAAGTTGCTTATCAGCTTAAGGAGATTTTGGGCTGAGACAATGGGGTTTTCTAGATATACAATCATGTCGTCTGCAAACAGGGACAATTTGACTTCCTCTTTTCCTAATTGAATACCCTTTATTTCCTTCTCCTGCCTGATTGCCCTGGCCAGAACTTCCAACACTATGTTGAATAGGAGTGGTGAGAGAGGGCATCCCTGTCTTGTGCCAGTTTTCAAAGGGAATGCTTCCAGTTTTTGCCCATTCAGTATGATATTGGCTGTGGGTTTGTCATAGATAGCTCTTATTTTGAGATACGTCCCATCAATACCTAATTTATTGAGAGTTTTAGCATGAAGGGTTGTTGAATTTTGTCAAAGTCGTTTTCTGCATCTATTGAGATAATCATGTGGTTTTTGCTTTTGGTTCTGTTTATATGCTGGATTACATTTATTGATTTGTGTATATTGAACCAGCCTTGCATCCCAGGGATGAAGCCCACTTGGTCATGGTGGATAAGCTTTTTGATGTGCTGCTGGATTCGTTTTGCCAGTATTTTATTGAGGATTTTTGCATCAATGTTCATCAAGGATATTGGTCTAAACTTCTCTTTTTTGGTTGTGTCTCTGCTTGGCTTTGATATCAGGATGATGCTGGCCTCATAAAATGAGTTAGGGAGGATTCCCTCTTTTTCTATTGATTGGAATAGTTTCAGAAGGAATGGTACCAGTTCCTCCTTGTATCTCTGGTAGAATTCGGCTGTGAATCCATCTGGTCCTGGACTCTTTTTCGTTGGTAAGCTATTGATTATTGCCACAATTTCAGAGCCTGTTATTGGTCTATTCAGAGATTCAACTTCTTCCTGGTTTAGTCTTGGGAGGGTGTATGTGTCGAGGAATTTATCCATTTCTTCTAGATTTTCTAGTTTATTTGCATAGAGGTGTTTGTAGTATTCTCTGATGGTAGTTTGTATTTCTGTGAGATCAGTGGTGATATCCCCTTTATCATTTTTTATTGCATCTATTTGATTCTTCTCTCTTTTCTTCTTTATTAGTCTTGCTAGCGGTCTATCAATTTTGTTGATCCTTTCAAAAAACCAGCTCCTGGATTCATTAATTTTTTGAAGGGTTTTTTGTGTCTCTATTTCCTTCAGTTCTGCTCTGATTTTAGTTACTTCTTGCCTTCTGCTAGCTTTTGAATGTGTTTGCTCTTGCTTTTCTCATTCTTTTAATTGTGATGTTAGGGTGTCAATTTTGGATCTTTCCTGCTTTCTCTTGTGGGCATTTAGTGCTATAAATTTCCCTCTACACACTGCTTTGAATGTGTCCCAGAGATTCTGGTATGTTGTGTCTTTGTTCTCGTTGGTTTCAAAGAACATCTTTATTTCTGCCTTCATTTCATTATTTACCCAGTAGTCATTCAGGAGCAGGTTGTTCAGTTTCCATGTAGTTGAGCGGTTTTGAGTGAGTTTCTTAATCCTGAGTTCTAGTTTGATTGCACTGTGTTCTGAGAGACAGTTTGTTATAATGTCTGATCTTTCACATTTGTTAAGGAGTGCTTTACTTCCAACTATGTGGTCAATTTTGGAATAGGTGTGGTGTGATGCTAAAAAGAATGTATACTCTGTTGATTTGGGGTGGAGAGTTCTGTAGATGTCTATTAGGTTTGCTTGGTGCAGAGCTGAGTTCAATTCCTGGGTATCCTTGTTGACTTTCTGTCTCGTTGATCTGTCTAATGTTGACAGTGGGGTGTTAAAGTCTCCCATTATTAATGTGTGGGAGTCTAAGTCTCTTTGTAGGTCACTCAGGACTTGCTTTATGAATCTGGGTGCTCCTGTATTGGGTGCATATATATTTAGGATAGTTAGTTCTTCTTGTTGAATTGATCCCTTTACCATTATGTAATGGTCTTCTTTATCTCTTTGGATCTTTGTTGGTTTAAAGTCTTTTTTATCAGAGACTAGGATTGCAACCCCTGCCTTTTTTTGTTTTCCATTTGCTTGGTAGATCTTCCTCCATCCCTTTATTTTGAGCCTATGTGTGTCTCTGCACATAAGATGGGTTTCCTGAATAGAGCACACTGATGGGTCTTGACTCTTTATCCAATTTGCCAGTCTGTGCCTTTTAATTTGAGCATTTAGCCCATTTACATTTAAGGTTAGTATTGTTATGTGTGAATTTGATCCTGTCATTATGATGTTAGCTGGTTATTTTGCTCATTAGTTGATGCAGTTTCTTCCTAGCCTCGGTGGTCTTTACAATTTGGCATGATTTTGCAGTGGCTGGTACCGGTTTTTCCTTTCCATGTTTAGTGCTTCCTTCAGGAGCTCTTTTAGGGCAGGCCTCGTGGTGATAAAAATCTCTCAGCATTTGCTTGTCTGTATTTTATTTCTCCTTCATTTGTGAAGCTTAGTTTGGCTGGATATGAAATTCTGGGTTGAAAATTCTTTTCTTTAAGAATGTTGAATATTGGCCCCCACTCTCTTCTGTCTTGTAGAGTTTCTGCTGAGAGATCAGCCGTTAGTCTGATGGGCTTCCCTTTGTGGGTAACCTGACCTTTCTCTCTGGCTGCCCTTAACATTTTTTCCTTCATTTCAACTTTGGTGAATCTGACAATTATGTGTCTTGGAGTTGCTCTTCTCGAGGAGTATCTTTGTGGCGTTCTCTGTATTTCCTGAATTTGAATGTTGGCCTGCCTTGCTAGATTGGGGAAGTTCTCCTGGATAATATCCTGCAGAGTGTTTTCCAACTTGGTTCCATTCTCCCCGTCACTTTCAGGTACACCAATCAGTCGTAGATTTGGTCTTTTCACATAGTCCCATATTTCTTGGAGGCTTTGTTCATTTCTTTTTATTCTTTTTTCTCTAAACTTCTCTTCATGCTTCATTTCATTTGTTTCGTCTTCCATCGCTGATACCCTTTCTTCCAGTTGATGGCATCAGTTACTGAGGCTTGTGCATTCGTCACATAGTTCTCGTGCCATGGTTTTCAGCTCCATCAGGTCCTTTAAGGACTTCTCTGCATTGGTTATTCTAGTTATCCATTCGGCTAATTTTTTTTCAAAGTTTTTAATTTCTTTGCCATTGGGTCGAACTTCCTCCTTTAGCTCAGAGTAGTTTGATCTTCTGAAGCCTTCTTGTCTCAACTCATCAAAGTCATTCTCCATCCAGCTTTGTTCCATTGCTGGTGAGGAGCTGCATTCTTTTGGAGGAGGAGAGGCACTCTGCTTTTTAGAGTTTCCAGTTTTTCTGCTCTGTTTTTTCCCCATCTTTGTGGTTTTATCTGCCTTTGGTCTTTGATGATGGTGATGTACAGATGGGTTTTTGGTGTGGATGTCCTTTCTGTTTGTTAGTTTTCCTTCTAACAGTCAGGACCCTCAGTTGCAGGTCTGTTGGAGTTTACTGAAGGTCCTCTCCAGACTCTGTTTGCCTGGGTATCAGCAGCAGTGGCTGCAGAACAGCGGATATTGGTGAACCACAAATGCTGCTGCCTGATCGTTCCTCTGGAAGTTTTGTCTCAGAGGAGTACCCAGCCGTGTGAGGTGTCAGTCCACCCCTACTGGGGGGTGCCTCCCAGTTAGGCTACTCAGGGGTCAGGGACCCACTTGAAGAGGCAGTCTGCCTGTTCTCAGATCTCAAGTGGTGTGCTGGGAGAACCACTACTCTCTTCAAAGCTGTCAGACATTTAAGTCTGCAGAGGTTTCTACTGCCTTTTGTTTGTCTGTGCCCTGCCCCCAGAGGTGGAGCCTACAGAGGCAGGCAGGCCTCCTTGAGCTGTGGTGGGCTCCACCCAGTTCGAGCTTCCAGGCCGCTTTGTTTATCTACTCAAGCCTGACCAATGGCGGGCACCCCTCCCCCAGCCTCGCTGCCGCCTTGCAGTTTGATCTCAGACTGCTGTGCTCGCAATGAGTAAGGCTCAGTGGGCATGGGACCCTCCAAGCCATGCGTGGGATATGATCTCCTGTTATGCCGTTTGTGAAGCCTGTTGGAAAAGTGCAGTATTAGGGTGGGAGTGACCTGATTTTCCAGGTGCCGGCTGTCACCCCTT
The DNA here is from genome assembly GCF_000001405.40 of Homo sapiens. NCBI lineage: Eukaryota > Metazoa > Chordata > Mammalia > Primates > Hominidae > Homo > Homo sapiens. The sequence continues at coordinate 117,191,679 of NC_000008.11, read as the reverse complement.
TCTTTGACTAGGAAAGGGAATTCCCTGACCCTTTGTGCTTCCTGGGTGAGGCGATGTCTCGCCCTGCTTCGGCTCATGCACGGTGCGCTGCACCCACTGTCCTGTACCCACTGTCCGTCACTCCCCAGTGAGATGAACCCGGTACGTCAGTTGGAAATGCAGAAATCACCAGTCTTCTGCGTCGCTCATGCTGGGAGCTGTAGACTGGAGCTGTTCCTATTCAGCCATCTTGGCTCCACCCCGTCTTGTAGTAAGTTTTAAAATTAGGAAGTGAGAGTCTCCTTACTTTATTTTTCTCTGTTAAGATTGTTTTGGTCATTCTGGGCTTCTTGCACTTTCATATGAATTTGGCAGTGGCTTGTCATTGGCTGGAAATTTAAAAAAAACAGCTAGGGTGGATGTTGTTAGGGATGTCATTGAGTCTGTAAATCAATTCTCAGAATAAGCCTTTCTTAACAAAACTAAGTCTTCTGGTCCATGTTTATGGGTTGTCTCCATTTACTTAGATTTTTAATTGCTATCAACAGTGTTTTTAGTTTTCATTGTATAAGTCTTACCCTTGTTTCCTTTATTTCTAAATATTTTATTCTTTTTGATGCTATAACAAATGGAATTGTTTCTTAATTTCATTTTTGAATTGTTCATTGATAGTCATAAAATCACTGTTAACTTTTGTATATTGATCTTATATATAGTAAATTTATTGAACTCATTAATTAGTTCCAATAAATTTTCAGTTGATTTCTTAGGATTTCTATATGTGAGAGATCATGCCATTTATAAAGAGAGATAATTGTAATTCTCCTTTTCTGATCTAGACATCTTAAATTTTTTTTATTTGCCTGATTTCCCTGGCTAAAATGCACAGTAAAATGTTGATTAGAAATGGTGAAAGCAAACATTCTTGCCTTTTTCCTAATCTTAAGAAGAAAGCATTCAGTCCCTCACCATTAACTATGATGTTAGCTGTGGGGTTTTCATTAGATATCATTTATAAGGTTGAAGAATCTACCTTCTATTTCTAGTTTGTTGAACATATTTTTAATCAAGAAAGGGTGTTTGATTTTGTCAAATATTTACAGATAAAATATTTCACAAAATCAAACACCCTTTCATGATAAAAAAAAGTTTATTGAGATGATCATGTGAGTTGTGTCCTTAATTGTATTAATATGGTGCATTATACAGATTGACTTTTGGATGTTAAACTAACATTACATTCCTGGGATAAATTCCACTTGATCATGGTTTATAATCCTTCTCATATGTTGCTGGATTTGGTTTGCCCCTCTTCCTTTTTTTAGAGCTGTATATTATTCCAGTGTGTGAATAGTTTACTTATTGCTCCATATTGATAGACATTGGAGTTTTTTAATTGCTTACTGTTTACAAATAATGCTGCAATGAGTCAGCCCATATGTATGTAATTTCAGAGGTAGAATTGTTATCAAAGAACTGTTTTGATATATATTGTTTAAAATCTCTGTAGAGCTGGAATCCATTTACATTTCTGCAAGTCATGCATGAAATTGATCATTTGATCACAGGCTTGGGAACTGAGTGGTATCAAAGTTTTGGATACTTGTCTTTTTAATAGTTCTGCATTAGTGACCATGAGCATTGTTTTCATGTTTTGGGAGCCATTTTAGGGTCTACTATTTTCAGTGTTTATTCCTAGGCCTTGCTTATCTTTTAATGAGGATACTGATGTTTTACAATATGGTTATAATTTAGTTATAAAAGCACTTTTTTAAATTAGGGAAAATGCAACTTGGCTTTTTTCTTTTTTTTTTTTTTTACTTTTTGCTATGCAGGATTTTAAAAAATATTATTGAGTAAAATTTAGAGATTTTTATATACAGTTTCTGATTATTAGAAATAAATAGAAGTGTCTGTTTTATGCCAAGGCAATTAGAATTTCCGTTGTCTTTTTTTCCTAGAACATTTATGCTTTTATTTATTACATGTAAGTAATTGATCCATTTGAAATATATCCTGGAGTAAGATGTAAGAAAGATTTACAATAATCTTTTTCTGATTTTTTGGTCTATCAAAACTTATTGTTTTTATTAATTTGAAATGTCACCATTTTACATAACATAGTTGCACACTAATATGAATTAGTATCTATATAATAAATTCTCACATTAATATTTTCAAATTTTTCTTTTCTATTCCACTGGATTGTCTTCCTATTATTGTCTCAGCACCATGCTGCTTTTCTCATTGACTCCTTAAAATGCATTCTTTGTTTTAATAATCTAATAGACTGATTCCTCAAAAGAACTTAATTTTTTTTCCTATTCCTGGATATATTTATTTGCTTATATTGCCATATGACCCTAGAAACAGTCTATCTGGTTTTTGAAATGGTGATACTTTTATCAGGTTAGCATTATATTTATAAATTAACTTAGGTAACCTTGACATTCTTCATGATATAGACTATTCCTATTCAAGTCATAGTATCTATCGAATTTTTCAATTGTTTTTGATGCCCTATGATATTTTATCTTTTTCTTCATATATGTCTTGCATATTTCTTATTTTTTTCTAGGTATTTTATCTCTTTTCTTGCTATTATTTATGTTAATATGATTTTTATCATATCTAATAATTTATTCTTGCTTTAACATATTAAAATACTAATTTAATAATTTCATAGCAGTATGTATTTCTGAAAATTTGTATTGTTTTTAATAGTTTTTAGTTGATTATCTTTGGTTTCCAAGGTATATACATAATCATTATCATCTGGAAATAGTGATAGTTTTACCTCTTTCTAACTTTTAAAATTCTTTTTCTTAAATATTTGGGTTAATTTATATCTACACAACAAGTCTAAATAATTGTGTATTTCTGTACTTATATAAAAAGTGAATTTCTTGTAGGTAGCATTTAGTTGGGTCTTTTATATCCAGTGTGATAATTTTTACCTTCTAAATTGAGTCTTTAGGCCATTTATATTTCATGTGATTTGGATTTGATTACATTTAAATCCATCATCTTGTTTATTGTTCTATATGTTCTTTGTGTCCTCTTGTCCATTTTTTTGCCTTCATTTGGGTTAAATGAATATTTTTTAATGATTTAATTTCATCACTTGTTGATGTATTAGCTACAGCTCTATGTTGTATTATTTTATGGGTTGCTAGGACTTATGCTATACATCTTTAACTTATCACAGTCTATCTTCAAGTGATAGTCTTCCCCATCACATGTAATATAAACATACTGCAGCAATTTACTGCTATTCTTCTATTCTGATATTTCGGCTATTGTTGCCCTTTGTTTACTTCTACATATTGTATAAACTCCATATATAATTTTGTTTCAAAAGTCAACCGTCTTTCAAAAGGAATTAATAAGAAGAAATGTCTGCTTTTTAATTTTGTAACTACCATTTTCAGTGTGCTTCATTACCTTGTAGAGCTCAACATTTTTGTCTCATATTATTTTTCTCCTGAATGAAGAGCTTTTAAAAATATATGTCTCGTAGTGCTGGTCTACTTGTGATGGATTATTTCAGCTTTATTATATTTGAAATGTTTTATTTTGTCTTTTTAAAAAGATATTATCACTGGGTAAAGAAGTATAGGCTGACAAAACTTTTTTTCATTACATTAAAAATGTTTTCCTAATGTTTTCTAGCTTGCATTGTTTCAAATGAGAAATATAATATTACTCTTGTTTTTGTTCCTCTTTGGGCAATGCATATTTTCTCTTGATACTTTTAAGATTTTTTTTTCTTTATCATTGGGTTAAACAATTTGATAGTGATAAGTTTTCTTATAGTTTTCTTCATATTTTGTGATTGGCATTTGTTGAGCTTCTTGGACCTGGGGGTTCATTGTTTGAAAAATTTTTTGGCTGGTATGTTCACAAACATTCCGTGTGCCTCATCACCCCAATTATCTCCTTTAAGGGCTCCAGTTACACACACATTTGACCACTTAAGGTTGCCCTACAGTGTAATAGTGCTCAATTTCTTTTTTTTCCAGTGTTTTTTCTCTCTGTTTCATTTTAGATAGTTTCTATTGCTATATCTTCAAATACACCACTTTTTATTTGCAATGTCTGTTCAGCTGATAATCTCATCCAATGTATTTTTCATTTTAGACATGGTTTTCATCTCTACAAGTTTGATTTTCGTCTTTTTATAAATCTTTCTTGTTTCTGCTTTTCATGCCCAATCTAGCTCCTCAAGTTTATGGAATACACTCATAATAGCTGTTTTAATCTCCTTTACTAATTAGGCTACTTTAAAAGAATTTCATCCTTTTGGGCCTTATTTTTTAGCTTTGTTTAGCTGAGCACTATTTAGTCTAGGGTTGATTTTCTTTGCTATTGAATAAAGACCCATTTTTACTACTCTAACTAAAGCCTCCTAACTTATGAAGTTTTCCAATCTGAGTGTTGGGAACAGGCACTATTTCAGCCTTGTTTGAGTTATGAATGATTCCCTTTTATTCTTTCAGTCGGTCCTTTCCAGACTTAATTAGTGTTCCCACTGACAGACACTGATCACTCCTCAGCTGAGGACTTGAGGAAGTCTTCCTGAAGATCTCTGGCTCTCTCTCTCTCTCTCTCTCTCTCTCTCTCTCTCTGTATATCTCTCTCACCTCTAGTACTATGTCCTGTGAACTCTACCCACTCGGGCATCCTCAGACTCTTAGCTCTATCTCTCCCACTCAGGAAGACTGCCAGACTGTCTGCAGTTCCCTGCCCTGTGACACAGTCTGGACACTTTTTCAACACAATAAACTAGGGAAATTATTGGGCTCACTATTTTGTTACCTGACTCCTGGAAATAACTGTCCTTCATTGACTGACATTCAATGTCTTGAGGGCCATCCCTTCATTGATTTTGTCCACGTTTTATTTGTTCGACATGAAGGTAAGTCTCTGTTACTCCATTTTGGCTACAAGTACAAGTCTTAGATCTGCTTTTTGTGTCCTACTGGTCCTCTCTCTATGCTTCATTTTTTCACATGCATCTTCTGCTCAATACTAGCTAATGGTGAAAGCCTTATGCATATACTGGAATCAATATTACATCCATCTCCTAGAGTGACTGAAAATAGAGCATAAATGTTTTAATTTTCCTAGTCTACTTGTTTTTCCTGATAACCAAAAAGAGAATGTGAAAGATGTTGACATTCTCAAATAAAGCCATTTCAGTTTCTATTTCAACAATAGCTAAGGGCATGCACAAATCCTAGATTCTCATTTAAGTAGAATAAATTGGGGCACATTTAATGCCAGTAAGTTTCTTAAGCCATTTGATGCTTCCAGGTCATCATATATGGGGGCTGCATTTACAATTCTATAGCTAACAAATCTTGGTAATATTTTTATTATTATTCAACAACTGGGAACATTTTCTCTGAAGTTTTGTGGCCATTATAATCACCATTATTAGTAGTATAATTGTCTTTCTCTGATGAGGCAAAATGCACTATGCCTTGGGGTAGTGGGTTTAAGAGACAGAATGCAAAAAGCATAGTGTGATTTTCCCTTTATTATTAGTCTGTTCACTCCAGCCACAAGTCTTCACCTCACCTTCTACTACTTCTTAGAAATTTTGCCCTTTGGTGCCAAATGAGGAAGTTGAAGGCCCAGTCTTGCCATCCAAAGTTATTCATATATTCATGTAGCCACAATAGAAAATAGACTAGAGGAGGAGTATAGAATAAAGTTCTAGAGCACATGATTTGGAACGACACAAATCAGAATTTGAATCTTAGTTCTACTGTGTATTAGATTTGGGCAAGTCACTTAAACTCTCTGAACTATTTTCCATCTGTAACATGAAGGTTATCATACATACATCATTGTTTTACTGAGGGTTAAATAAGTTATGAATTTAATTTCTCAGCCCAGTGCCTGACATCTTGCCAAGCACTGCTATCATTATTATTGATATTATGTTTATATTGCAATTATAATTATCATTTATAATGAGAAAAGGTTGACCCTATTTTTCCCTCCAACAGCCAGTTAAGCATTACCCGTCTCCTGTCCAAGACTTCTAAAGGGATGTGCCAAGCTCAGGATTTATTGCCATTTTGATTATTTAGTATTCACTGAGCACTGAGAGAATGCAGCATTTGTGGTAACACAGGAGGTAGGGGCAGCCTCTCCCACTCTGAGTGGAGAAGGAAACCTGGAGCTGGCTGGATGTGTGGCTGAGAACAGCACAGCCAAAAAAGACCATCTGGACCAGTGCAACCAGGGCTCCCAGGAAATCTGTGGGGCCTCTGACTAAACTAAGTTATTTGGCTTCTAATCAACTTAACATTAACATTCTCCAAGCCCTCCCATCTAAGATGCTAATTTCTCCTAAAGAGGCATGTGATGTATAGGCACCCACATCAATCAAGCTGCTCTTTTCTTCTGCCTCATCTCACTTCTGTCGGCTAGGTTGATCCCCTGGAAAACAGAGACCTTCCCCTTAAAGTAAAACCCTAATTTGAATAAACACCACTGCCAAACCCTCACTTTAAGAGCCCTGAACACAGTTGGGGACTTAAGGCCTTGCCAGTCCAGTAATAATTCTACCGGAAAAAATGCCAAATTCCCTTTCTTTTTAGAAAAAGGGCCAAGCATTGCTTCTAGAATTGCCCAGTCCTTGACCTCCTAACCTTCCAAAAATTGCTTCAAGGCCAAGGGTGTTCTGAATTCTGGACATAACATTAGTACAGAAGCTGTCTCCTCCAACAGGTTGATTAGTGACAGGGTTCAGTTCTAAGTCACAAAATGCACCCTGTAATTGCTTTCTTTACTTCATTACTTGCTTCAGCCCAGACAAATGGTATTCAGGAAAGTCTAAGGGTATCCACTTTCCCACAGAGAATTAAGCAAGACCTTCTTTTTAAAACCCTATCTTATAAATTTGACCCATTTCACCTACAATGCTGAGGGAAATTTCAGATCAGACCCTCTGCCTCATTTTTCATGGAATTATCTTTACTTCCCCAGATACAGTGACAGGCACATGGAAGGTGCTTGGTCCATTGTCTGCTACAGACAGTACAACCAAAAGAACCATTCCTCAGCTTCCATGGGTTTTTATTTGCAACTTTAGCTCCACTGGTATTTATTTCCAAACTTCATGATCGGGTAGTATTACAGGAAGGCCTCAATAAGCAATTCTGCACAACCAGACAAGCAAATAGTCAATGTAGATATGAATGTGTGTGTTCTAGACATGTTGGAAGTTGGAGAGGAGAGGAGGAAAGGAGGAATATCTGTAGTCCCATGAAAAGAGGTAAATATATTGTAAAATATCTACAATATATTGCCACAGAAATCATTTTAGTTAATAATGATACTAACTGTTGATTATATGATAGTTCACAAAGGGCTTTTGCCTATGGTATCTCATTTGATCTCCGTAACAATTGAAGGAAGTAAGAAGGATCAGGATTCTTATTCCTGTTATATCCATGGGGAAGCAGAGCTCCTAGAGTCAGTTGTGAGCAATTTACAGTGACAGAATTGGCCATGTTGACACCTATCCTGCTACACTCCCTATTACATATTCTCAGCTGCTCCTGATGCTTCACTTCCTTAAGGGCTAATCCGGGATCACTGAATCCACTCCTAATTTTAAAAGTTGACATATTGCATAATTATTTATTCAATTAATTGTCCAGTGATTACTTAGATAGTAGGCAACATAATGGGTTGTGGAGGAAGAGAAAACATTAAATAAGATAAAGATCACTGTTTTTGTAGAATTTAAAGTCTACTTGGAGAAGTCAAAAATTGTAAATATTTTTGTGTAATGTGATAAGTCCCTACAAAGTGTTCAATAAGCAAAGAAGAGAGAAGAATAAACTTTTCCGAGAGTGGAAGTCAGTGAAGCTTCAGAAAGGGTTGATCTTTGGCAGGGCTTTAAAGGATAAGTAACAGTTTCAAGGCAGAGAAGAGAAAGGAAGAGAAGGGAGGGTATTTAAGTAAGGGAAAATGAGCACAGGCACAGAGTCATGAACAAATACAGCCTACTTGTGAAAAGATGAGCAGCTCAGACTGTTACATTATAGGATATTTGGGAAAACTGGTAATAGGTGAGACTACAGAATAAAATCAGGCCAGGTGGCTCCATACTGAGAAATCTAGTTCCTAAACCTGTGTGTTATATATATTTTCAGAATTTAATTTTTTAAAAAACAAGTTTTGTAAATAAGCGTTTCACCTAAGTACTTGGTCAATACCAAGTACCAAATACATCAATATTTGAAATGCCTTCTGTGGAAGAAGGCCAAGTTTGTTCCAAGACAGGTGTAGATAGGATATGGGCCTGGAGATCAATAGTGGAGACTGTCTGGGTGCCATGGCTATCTCTTGGTGGCCGCATGAAGAAAAGGGACAGCTCATGCAGACCCAGAGAAGGAAGCCATGTCTAAAAAAAAAATATATATATATATATATATATATATATGGTTCTAATTTATTATAATCTTATTTACATGTTGGTGATAGCAGATAGCAGAAAGACTCCCAGGAAGAGATGTGTCTCAAGAGCATGGAGATGGGATGGACTAATTCTCCAGCCTCCCACCTCTCCACCTGATGATTCTCCTGTACTGACTGTGGGTTATATTTCCCTGTTTAGTGCTTTGCAGTGTGTGTATGTGGATAATATATATTAAATAACAAATAAATAAATATGTGAAACACTTCTTTACAAGGGATTTTGGGGTACTTGGTACATCTTTGACAAATTTGGTAGAAAATGTATTTTGCCAAAATAATACAAACCTAACTAAAGAATTGCAGCATGCAAGCTTTCTGTGGTTCTTCTTCCATTCAGTTGAGAGCTTTGTACTTACCATAAAATTCTAGCTCCTTCTCATGGCCTACAGGGCTTTTGCCCAGTCCAGCCCAGATCACCCCTCTTCCCCCAGCCTTGTTCACTACACTCAGTACATCTGCTTCCTTTCTTTTTCTCAAGGCTGCCAGGTTCTTCCTACCTGGGGCCTCTGTCCAAGCTATCTTTCCTTTTCCTCCTCCACTTTGCATGGCTGGCTCAGCCCAAATGTCACCTCTTCATAAAGGTCATGTAGATATAGCTGCCTCGCTGTAGCCCTCTCCTAATTATTACCATATCCATTGGTTTTATTTCTGTCTTACTACCTATCACTATCTGAAAATGTCTTATTTTGGTCTTTGTTTTTTGTCCATATCTCCCACTATAATGTGTCATTATCACCAGGATCCCCATGTTCACCACAAGGCCTGGCACAAAATAGTCACCCATTAAATGCTAATTAAATAAAAAAATGAAAGAAAAAGCAAAGGTAGTTTTGGGGAGAGTTAAATTCTGCTTCCATTGGCATCAATATTTCAAATACCACAATTTCTACTTGACTTTTCCAGCTACAGAAAGAAACAACCATATATTATTTCACTTTCATCACATTATTTTAATATCTTTCATCCAAGTAACTTGTGAATCAATTTTATTTCTTTACCCCCAACTCCTGACCCTTCACCCCACCTCACTCTCCTTCTCATGTCCCCATTCCCCCTATCTATTCTATTTCTGTGAGTGATAGGGAAGAAATTTATGCTTAGCTCACTATCTGGTATAATGCCCTACCATACCAAGTACCACACTAAGCACTTCTTTTTGTTTGTTTGTTTGTTTGTTTGACTGATTATTATTATTATTATACAAGTTTTAGGATACATGTGCACAACGTGCAGGTTTGTTACATATGTATACATGTGCCATGTTGGTGTACTGTACCCATTAACTCATCATTTAGCTTTAGGTATATCTCCTAATGCTATCCCTCCCCCGTCCCCCCACCCCACAACAGTCCCCGGTGTGTGATGTTCCCCTTCCTGTGTCCATGTGTTCTCATTGTGCAATTCCCACCTATGAGTGAGAATATGCGGTGTTTGGTTTTTTGTCCTTGCGATAGTTTGCTGAGAATGGTGGTTTCCAGCTTCATCCATGTCCCTACAAAGGACATGAACTCATCATTTTTTATGGCTGCATAGTATTCCATGGTGTATATGTGCCACATTTTCTTAATCCAGTCTATCATTGTTGGACACTTGGGTTGGTTCCAAGTCTTTGCTATTGTGAATAGTGCCGCAGTAAACATACGTGTGCATGTGTCTTTATAGCAGCATGATTTATAATCCTTTGGTTATATACCCAGTAATGGGATGGCTGGGTCAAATGGTATTTCTAGTTGTAGATCCCTGAGGAATCACCACATCGACTTCCACAATGGTTGAACTAGTTTACAGTCCCACCAACAGTGTAAAAGTGTTCCTATTTCTCCACATCCTCTCCAACACCTGTTGTTTCCTGATTTTTTAATGATCACCATTCTAACTGGTGTGAGATGGTATCTCATTGTGGTTTTGATTTGCATTTCTCTGATGGCCAGTGATGATGAGCATTTTTTCATGTGTCTGTTGGCTGCATAAATGTCTTCTTTTGAGAAGTGTCTGTATATATCCTTCACCCACTTTTTAAGTATGATCTCTGAAGGTGATTTATTATTAACACCTTCTAAATATTGCCAGACCCTACACATTTGCATTATAACTGTTCCACCTACCTGCTTTTTTAAAAAAAACCAAAAACTCCTTTTTACCTTCTATCTTTTCACCTCCTACTTATTTCTACCAATTCCTTAAAATAGTTGTATATCCAATAAAATGAATCTAATTTTAAAGGTCCTTTGATATACCCCAGAACAATTTTTATGGCATATTTTGATCACTTGGTTCTTCAAATAGTCCATCAATCTTTCTTTTTAAGTAAAGAACACATGCCTTCTATGACACCATCAGTGAGGTTTTAAAAGCAGGGATTTAGTTCAGAGAAAAAGAAATTTTAATGCTCTCAGTTCACATTATATACCAGCCATTGTGCTGAGAGAAGCACATTAGTTATCTAATGATTACAACAACCTTGTGATATAGGTGTCGTTTTCCCCATTTTATTGTAAGGAAACTGAATCCTGCTTCACAATGTGGCCAAAACCATGCAGCTAGAAAGAAGATGTACTGGATTAGAAGCAGAGGCTGAGTGAATATAAGGCTAGAGGTTAGACACAGATGTCTGGTGTTTAAAATGAAACATCTGAAAGAATTAAAATGCTTCATTATCTTACTGATATCTATTGAGGTCTGCTAGATGAAGGTGTGTTCCTGCAGATAATGTAATAATACTACTCTGTGCTGGGACCGGTGCTAGGTGTTATTATTCAGAGATAAATAGAAATACTTTAAGGAGGGGAACATAGAAAAACACAACAGACAAGACACAAAGTGACAAAAGCAAGAACACAAAAAGGTGATTGCTTGAAAGGCAGCACTGAAGATGGAATGATTGGCATCGGGTAGAATATTAGGAAAAGCTTTCTGGACTAAGGGCCATCTGAGTGGATTCTCAAAAAATGATAACTAGAATTTATTGAGAACTTACTATGAGCAGTGAATTGCATTAAGTGTTTTACATGCAGCTTCTCATTTAATCCTCACAACTACTCTAAAATGGGTAGTTTTCATTCCTTCACTGGGTAAAAAACTGAGACAGATAGGTTGACTAGGTTGCTGGTGCTCAGCCAGCCACTGTATCAAACATGGTCCAATGAGATCACAACAATTATTTTATATTATTTTATATGTAAAATTTAGCCAGATATTGAAGAAGTGGAAAGCAAAAAGAGAATAAAAAATAACAGAAGTAGAATTGCATAAAGCAGTTAACCCTCCTAGGGCTTAGGGAATTAATAGAACCCAGAAGCTTGGAGGAGTAAACCCCAAGCTAAAACACTGTCCTCTGAGGACGAGACACTGATTAATTAATGCTGATATCTTAGCCTGGGGGAAGCTACAGTGGAGCTGGGATCTAGACCTCTAAGGAAAGAGTACAGTAACTTGGTACTTTTCTCTGAGGGGATGTGATGAGGCTGGTTCTTTGAGTTTGGGGTAAACTGCAAACTGGAAATACTGCAGGAAAAGAGAATGAAGTGCTGCTGCCAGGGTGAAGAAGTATTACTGGGTTGACACTGTTTGAGAGAGGATCAAGCAGGAAACAAAACAAGAAGAAAGTCCCCTTTTCCTCCCTCTAGGCTTCTCATCTCCCTCTAGGGCCTCCTAACAAGGGGCAGCCAGCAAAGGAGAAATGTAGTTAACACAGTCCCTGCCCCCAGCATCATGATGCCAAGAATATTGGAGAGAGTTGGGGGCTGAGAGACAACAGCTTAATAACTGGCACAACCAGGCAATCTTACTTTCATCATGGCCTTTTCACTCTCCACTCTCCTAGATGACGATTTCACTCTTGCTCCTCTTGTTTTACGTCACTAATACCTCCTCTTTCATTGTCACACTCAGTTGATAACGTTGCTTCCTACTTCACTTAGAAAAATGAAGCAATCAGAAGAAAATGCCAGATTGCCTCCATCGTACCTAGCCATCTACCAGCAGAATTCTGTTACTGTAAAAGCTCTGTGTTGTATATAAATACTCCCGTCTAGAACCAGGCACACGACCTGTGCACTAGATTCCATCATTTCTTGCTTCCTCATGTACACCACTCCAGCAATTCTCTCCTCTCTCTCTGAGTTGATGGCAGTTAATACCCATCAGGAACCCATGTGTTTCTCTATATTTCCCAGCTTCCCTTCAGTTAGGTTAGGGCTATATGATTAATTTTGGCCAATGGACTCCAAGCAGAAGTGAAAAGCGTCCATTTTAAAAGGGACTGTAACAAATTTAAGATGTGGTTTCCCTTCTTCTCTCTCTTCCCCCACTACCTCAGAGGCTAAATAATGTTCCAGATGGTGCAATGACAAGATGGGAGGGCCTTCATTACTATTAACACCTGTGTAATTGTGTGGCCCTGACAAGATAATGACTTTTGTAACTGCAGCCCAGACTTCTCTCCTGGGATGAAAATACTGTTTTTGTAACTCTAGCCCACACTTATATAAACAAGTGCCTATTTGACATCTTTACATGCTTGTTTAATAACTCAACTTGCCTAATACCAAACTCCTAATCCTGCCCCATCTTATAGGCATCCTCCCCTCTAATCTTTCTTGGCTCTACTTCCGAGATCTATTCCAGCACTAGCAGTCCAAGCCTAACACCAACATTCACATCATTGCCCAATATTTACCATTGTACAATGCAGAAACTGACATCTCAGTAATGAGAGAAGGAAAGTAAAGTGAAATACCTACCAAGTTCTGGAATAAACAGGAAAATTTCATCAGGAAATGTAAATTATTCCATGATTTGACAACACATGAACAGTACCTTAATGAAATATATTTTTCAAGGGAGAAGCAATGCAGGTATGTTGACTTCCTAAAGTTGATGCCTACCGTATCAGTATTGAATTTTTCAGGACCCTTAGGGTTTAGCAATTCAGTAGTGTTTTAATCCCAAATATTAATAAAATATTCTGGACAAATACAAATGTATCTAAAGCAATATTGTACTCCCTGATGTTGTTTTGACTTGCAGTTGATTGATGAATACATTAATTGAATTAACAAAAGTCTCAGGGTATAGGATTTGAGGGTTTTTTTCCCCAAAATCTATATATTGTAATATCTCTAGTATTGTGCAAATGTTTATTCTCAGGCAAAAAGAATTCTGTCGTTGAAGGATAAGTGGTAAAGTCTACAGTGTTTAAGAGCTACGAAGATGAAGGGGGAAGAGTAGGAGGAGGAGGAGAAAGGAAAAGGAGGAGGATAAGAAAAAGAATAAAAATAATTGTGTATTCTCATCAGCTATGTTTGATCACAGTGCTTCCCTCATAACTTTATTATTAGAACATGAAAAATTACCTAATCTAAGATCCTGAAAGACCATCTCCACAGCTTTATCTTTATAAAGGATTGGAGATTGAATGGAAAGGGAACCTGCTTCTTGTTTATGAATTCAGAGCTTATTGAGCCAGGGAAATCTACTGTCCTTTCCCCATCCAAGTTGAAATAAGGTGCTGAACTTTATGAGTAGGTGGAAACCAGAAAAAAAAGCCTTCATCTTTCTGGGCCATTAATTATTCATAGAAAGTATTACTGTAAAGAAATGCCAGCACAGGGTATTCTTATTTTCCCGACCATGGACTTTTGCCATGTCAGAGGCAATTTTGGAGTGGAGAATAAGGCCATGACAGAAATTCTTGTTCATCAATCCCACATATATGCCCAATAAAATCCCCTATTCATCGCTATAAAAATGGAGGAGGAGTTAGAAACGAACCAGGGCATTAGTTCATTAAATCTCTACTGATTCCCATTTGAAGAATGCAGTTTAACTTCAAAGGAGACCCTAAATTTGCATCTGATCCTAATTCCATTATACAGGTTAACTCACCATGGTTTACAATATCTTCAGTACAGCTGGTGCCCTTTCTTCTTCTGCAGCACCCCAAAACACTCCTAAACTCTACAGATTCAGGGAAATAATGTTTGATAGTACTATTGGACTGTGTATAACAACCATAGGGTTTTAATGGCTGTAAATAGGATAATCGTGTTTTTAACAAATGGGTACCCCTTTGAAGAAAGGAAATATAGGGCAATTATAATGATACATTGTCTCCAGGACTTGATTGACACTTCTGAAAGGGGTGCAATTCAGCTTGACATCTCTCATCACTTCCTGGCTTTATGGTTGAAGAAGCACAAGTTCCTTTTTTACAACCGTCAAGGGCTCCTACCACCTCTGACCACCATCTTCTTCCTCCACTGGGGTTTTATGCCCATGACCAGAATGATTTCAAAAGCACCCCTGATTCTAACACATTATCTTCCATCTCTCTTAGACAAGTATGTTCCCCAAATGAGTTATATCTCTTCCAATAAATGACTGAGAGTGAAAGAGTGTATTCTCATTACAGTCCTCACTGGTGTCATGAAAAACATGTCCTGCCATGATTTTGGTGATAAAAAGATGATGACTTAACCCAAACTCTCTCTTTCTTGATTTTATTTTAAACAACACACATTAACATTTTAAAATAGAATTTAAACAGGTGCCCAGTAACAGAATGACAGACGTTAAGTGTGAAATCAGAAAGTTAAAAAACTAAACCGCAGATGGTCACCTTTTTATTTTTTTTAACATCCGCCTGCGCTGGACTGTTAAGTGGCCTCATCACTGTCAAGCCAGGCAGGATTTGTAAAGCTTGGGATGTGTGTATTCAGAGATGACATTTGCTTGGTGCCTTTAATGATTTCTGTAATTAGTCATTTAAACAGATTGCCCTGTGATCCAAAACAGGGAATACAGAGAGATGAGCTGAGAAAATCATTTCCTGGAGGCACTTTAGAGCTAATTGTGGAAAATGAGGCTTGTCTCTTTGCAAGACTCTCTGGATCATATTTCATTGGGTGGGGATGGAGCTGGAGAGCAACATTCTCCAGGAATCTATAAAATGTATATGCCTGGGAGGTGTTTTTCTTTTTGACACCACAGTGCTAAAAGACTTTGTTGGGTCACAAAATTTAACAGATATTAAGTAAGTGATCCAAATTTGCCACTGGCAATTTAGAAACCAGAGAAAGAAATGCACCCGGTCAGAGAAAGTTGAGGCTACATGACAGAGAAAAGCCAAGAACTTGATATTTCACAGGAATGGGGTAAGACTTGGGAGACCTATGACTTTGCCTTCATTGCACTGGACAGTTGTTCTTTTTATTAATAAATGTCCTTGGAGTGACAATTCTGCTCTTCAAAGATAAAAGCGGAAGCTTTCAGAGACAGTCAGAAAGGGATTCGACTATTTTAATTAATTCATCACTCTCACTAGGTAACAGCCTCTCAGTAAATGCCTTTATCCCAGCAAGCCTCCATTGCTTCCTCTGAGAAACAGCTGTTTAATTCTCACCAATAATTTTGCCACTGTCTTGTGGGAACGGTGTTGATAACTCAAAATTTCTCAAAAGTTGAGATGATTTAAAATTCTGTGCCCACTCATGTTTGTACATAATAAAAAACAACATTTAACATGTACTGAACACTACATGCTATGCACTGCTCCAACATTTTTAAGTGTCCTAATTTATTAAACTCTCACACATTTGAATAGGGAGGTTTCACTGATCAGGAAATAGAGGATCAGAGCATTTAAGTAACTAGCTCGAGGTCACAGAGCTAATAAAGGGAAGAGCTAAGATTCAAACTCAGACAATCTAGCTTCAGAACTGATGCTTAATGTGTAAACATCCTTTCTTTCATGTCCTTCAACATTCCCATTTCCCATCTGTAACCAAACATATGGAAGGCATAAATTTCTTTTATGGGTCCTAACATCACCACAGAGCCCTAGATAAATCTTAAGTAGGTGCTGGATGATGGTGAAGCATATTAAAAATGGAGGCTGGTGGTAAAGTTGACCTGATTTCACTACTCAGAAGAACAGAGTGTTGCTTTGAAAGACAGACATAAAAGAATGTAGATGACAGGTTGATGAGTGCAGCAAACCACCATGGCACATGTATACCTATGTAACAAACCTACATGTTCCGCACATGTACCCCAGAACTTAAAGTATAACAATAACAAAAAAAAGACATAAAAGATCATTAATGTTTTGATAGCTGGAGAGAATACAATGTCTTGAAGTAAAGAATT
This sequence comes from Homo sapiens, assembly GCF_000001405.40. Taxonomy (NCBI): domain Eukaryota; kingdom Metazoa; phylum Chordata; class Mammalia; order Primates; family Hominidae; genus Homo; species Homo sapiens. The sequence continues at coordinate 117,175,050 of NC_000008.11, read as the reverse complement.
CAACTACATGATTCCACTAACTTCCAGTGACCTGGAGTTCTGACCACACCAGGGAAAGGGTAATGGGAGAGTCAGAACTTCAGAATTGATGGATGGTTCATAAAGCCCCTGAGTAGCATCTGTTTTTTCATCTCAAAATCCTTAAAATCTCCCTTGTAGATTGTCTTGCATTTTGCCATATAAACATCTACTGTTCAGAGTTTTCAATCTAGCTGACTAAAAAAGCAGAATTTCAGGGAAACAACAGAAATACCCTGGGGCCATGGGACAATTACTTTGGTTGACACACAAATCTCCCTCCATAATGATTACCTGACATTCAGTGAATTTCTGACTTAAAATCAAATCTAAACATGATTTTCAAAAAGAAGCAGAAGCAAAGAATTATACTAACACTTGTGTGTTTGCCAAGTCACCTAGTCTTTAGGGCGTCCTATGCAAAATATGGAAAAACAAAACCATTCAGTGGTCCTTCAGACAGGAAAAGTGATTTGGCATAAACCATTCTTTCCATTTTGAGAACCCGATGTGGCAGGAGACGTTGGGAACCTGAGCAGCTCTAATCCTGGTTGCCTAAACAAGCTCACTGAGGTGGGGGATGAGTATATTTGTCTCTACTGAGCAGGGAAAGCTCAGCAGAATGCTAAGTAGTTATTTCAGTGGTGCTGATTGATTTGCAGAGATGGCACAGATGTGACCTCCTCAGTCAAAGTCAATGTTTTCTTGGCCCTCAAATTTCAGAAAAAAATACAAATATAAATGATAAATAATGACAAGGCCCAGATATAGCCTCAGAGTCATTGCCTCAACAATTATTAATGCCTGCTAGGTTTCTAGTACCTTGCTAGAGTCTGACAACAACATAAAAATCATCTAAGACCTATCTCCTGTTCTCTACAATACTCATAACCATAAAGTTGCAAAAAGTATGTAGTTTTAAAAATCACAGCGTGGAGAGGTTTCTTTGCATCATGTATTTTGCTTTTTCAACTAAAAGCTAACAGACAAACATAAGTGTGCCTTGTGCCTAGTCTTCTTTTTGCCTAGAATGTCCTTCTCTTCTTCGTCTTCCTGGAGAGCCTCCATATGTAATTCAAAGTCCAGCAGAGCTGTCACCTCAATGACGTGAAACATCACTGGCCATGCCCATCCGGCAATATCCATCGCTTTCCTTTTATACCCCACTACATCATTGCAATTCATGATACTATTGTAGCTGCCAATGTATGTGTCTAGCTGTCCCACTCAATGAACTCCTGTGGTTGACAATCTTCTAGACTATGGCTCATCTTTAGAAGCATCTCTGGGTAACTTTTAAAAATGCAGAAGTCCAGGTTCCAAACCAAACCCATTGACATAGGATTTCCAGAATGTTGGCCTGCACATCTTCAGTTTACTCTCCACAGATAGTGTTGAGTTGCTACCAGAACACAGAAGCACTTGCTGCGTCTGATTCCTCTTTATAGTTTCAATGCTAAGCCCAATGTCTAGCACAAAGCAGTGCTCACATCATGCTCGTGGACTGAATGAATTGGTTGCATCTGCTTTATTCCTTCTTGCAGGTAAATATCTAAATTATCTGTGGCAACAACTTGGTGGGGTCAACTCGAATGTTTTTGTCGGCTGTTCTTGAAGACTTCTGGGTCTCTACAACCACATTCTTTGGCTGGTGCCAGTGTTTAAGCACTCTGGTAGGTGAAAATATTTCCTTTTGAACAGTGATTATATAAAGTTTTGAAATAAACAAGTTAGAATTTAGAAATAAGAGGGATTTATTGCCAAAATGTGACAAGTAAATAAAAATTAGTTGTAAGCACTTCTCTGTATATTCATACATATTTCCAATTCAGAGTAGAAAAAAAAATCACATTACAGCTTGGTGAGAGAACCAAGTTCTAATGTGGCGTTAGCATACAGAGTCACTTTTATTCCTGACTTGGCTCTCCTTATTTTTTGTTTCTAATGTTTTGGTAAAATTTTGTGACTATTTGTCCCTTCCACTGATTTCTAGTAAGACTTTCCTGAGTTCAAATTTACCTATGTGTTCTCAAGATGCATTATTGGAAGGGAGATGAATTTGGTATTGCCGATAGTTACAAACAGCTGTTACTTCGGCTCCACTCAGGAATAATCTATATACACATTCCTGCAATTGAACACAGCTACTGATCAGTATATAATCCAATTGATTGATGGATCTCAGTGCCTCTTCCTTCATGGTGAATGGAACTAAATAAATAGATAAAATGTGCATTGCACCATGACATGAATTTCTTCCTTTGGTTCCTTATTTTCTATGATGCAGAAACTGCATAGCAGCATGTTTGAAGGTGGCCTGTCAAATTTGGGAAACTGACGGTGTGACTGAGCTAGTCACAGGGGTCTTCACAGAAAAGGCAGTCGGGGTCCTGGTCAACTGGAGATTCCATCTGAATGGTGAGTGAGTGCATCGTAAAGCTTTTGCTAAGGGCTTTAGCAATTTCTCTCCGAACCACTTGGCTGTCCCGGCTGGCTGCTGTTGATAAAGAAGCACAGGGAGATTAGCACTGATTGCACACGCATGGGCGACTGCTCTGACTCCAACTTCAAGTACTTTGTCTTTGACCTGCTGGGGTGGGGCAGAGGCAGGGCACTCAGAGGAAGCCACGTTTGCTCTGATAATCAGCTACATTCACACAGACAAGGCAGGGGAAACTCTAGTGCAGCAAAGTGCCCTGTCGCTATGGGAACTCTTTCTGTCCACTGTTATCTCTGGAGTCTGGCATTCCTAGGAGCTTACTATGGAAGGGGAGACAAGCCCTGGAAAAAGCCAAGACAGAACTATTATTTCTTATACAGCCCTGCTCACCAGCTCCCAGGGATCTCTGGGTTGCAGGCTTTGTATGTAATCAGAATTTATATCAAGGATAGTGACAGGAACCAGGAAGCGTTTAGAGCTCCCCACAGACCTTTCTTAGAGCAGCAACCCTCACTGCCATTTTTTTCCTGTCCCAAATGCTATCAGCAGGCTGTAAAGTCTCCTCCATAGCAACCTGAGTGTTTACTAGATTCTTCCATTTGCAGTGAAATATTGGCATAGTGAATGCTGTAAATTCCCTCAAGTCAGACCTAAGCCCCTTCGAGAAGATGACGATGTCTGAGAAAGCACAGTTTTCAAATGACTGTCACTAGTGTTCCTGTCCCCTGCCCCTAAGTAACTCCTTGAGTCATTTTTTAGCAGCCTAATGTGTTATCCTTGGCCTGAGCTTTCTCTTGAGGCAGTAAATGCCCTCCCACTGCCTATCCTCCCAGCTCTAGGACATATCAGAGACAAAATTAACTTCTTGAAAAAGTAATTTTAGTATAAACCTAGTATTATAAGAATTTTCTCACATGGCTACAGAATTTCTAATCATACAGTGTGGGACCCCACCATAATTCCTATTAGCACATCCATTAGCTTGTTAGAAATTTAAGAGTGGGGCTGGTGTCTCTTTCATCTTCCTATTTTCAGTGCCAGGAAAAACATCTTATACATAGGAGATACTCAATTAAGATTAAGTTTTTAATTCATTCCTATTATTTGACTGATAGGGCACCAAGCCAAACAGATGAAGTTGAATATTCAGAGTCCAAGGCCTTGAAGTGGCGGGTGCATTTTAGTCCTTTGTTCTGTCTGTCCTCAGCCCTCTGCAGTCAGCCCCAAGAATGTCGTGGGTATCATTGTTGCTATGACAACATCAATAAGTGGGCTGGTTTCAAAGGCCCTTGGTAATAGAAAACACTTTATAATGTTTTGACAAGCAACAGACAATAAGGGCAGCTCTACAAAAAGAAGGGAAATTACTGACTTTACAGGACAAGGACTGAATTTTTTCCAGGGTGTTTACAAAACTCACTGACCTGTAGCAACATGAGCTGAGAGAATTACTTGATTCATTGTTAGAGACCAGATGTGCAGGCTGTGCACAGACAGCACCCCGTCGACTGCTAAAATAAGCTCTTTCACACCACTGTAATTCAGGCTCTTTGGCACACCTGACAAAAGGGAAGAGATGGAGGCTGTAGTTATTCAACTAGATACAGCTCATTGAATTACCTAAACAAGCTGCAAAGTCCTCACCAAAATTTCAATGTGTTCATCCCTTTGCTGGTTTCTTACTTCAAATGTTTACAAATAAGATTTACCTGACTACTTCAAGGTTTACCATCAATCAAAATTTCCCACTCAGAATACTTGCAGAATTTACTATGCAATAACCAACAATGGTAATTATCCTTAGTTTTTATGGTATACTATTAAACTAACTGTGCCTTTTCCAACTATCTTTATATACACTCTGGAAAGTAAAATGAAATAACATGAAATTTGGTATCAAATAATCATGGGTTAGCATCCTGACGACAACTATTGTGAATTTACCCAAATCCCAGAACTTCTCTGACCCTCAGCACATTTGTAGTAAAATAAGGGTGTTAAGAACAACACATAGATCACAGAGATCTTTGAGGAGCAATTCAGAAAATATCTAATCATTATGAACAGCAATGTTGTACAAAGATTAGTTACTCAACAGGTCATTTAGTGAACTGTGCTAATAGAGGATCCTAACATTGTATAATACCATCTTATTCGGTTTGTAAGTTTTCTATTATTTTAGCTACATTGGAGGATGCTGTAGAAGAGATGTCTAAGTACAGCCCTTTTTTAGCCTCTACTTCAGTTATGTACAAACAACACAAACACCTGGGGTGTTTATTAAAAATAAATGTACCACGACTCCATTCCAGACCTAAAAGGAAATTTCTATGGATGAAGCTCCAAAATCTAGAGTCTTTCAGAGTGGTTTTCAACCTTGGATGCACATTAGTATTACCAGAGGAGATTTTAGAAATCCTGATGACTAAGTTACACCCAAGACCAATTAAATCAGAATCTCTGTGGATAAGGCCCAACATCAATGCTCATTTGGTGATTCTATCAGGCAGCCAAGATTGAGAACCACTGCACCAACATTCATGAGCCACTGAGCAGCTCTGCTTTGCAGTGGTTCTCTAGTCTGACTACATGTTTTTAAAAATACCAAAGCCAGCCCCAACCCCAGACAATTAAATCAGAATCTCTGGGTGATATAGTTTGCATATTTATCCTTGCCAGTGTCTCATGTTGAATTGTAATCCCTAATGCTGGAAATGGGGCCTGGTGGGAGGTGTTTGGGTCATGGTGCCAGATCCCTCATGGCTTGGTGCTGTCTTTGCGATGATGAGTGAGTTCTTGCAAGATTTGGTCATTTAAAAGTGTGTAGCACCTCCCTTGCCCTTGCTCCATTCCCATCATGTGACGTGCCTTCTCCCCCTTTGCCTTTTGCCGCTATTGGAAGCTTCTTGAGGCCTCCCCAGAAGCAAATGCCACCATGCTTCCTGTACAGCCTGCAGAACCATGAGCCAATTAACCTTATTTTCTTTATAAATTATCCAGTCTCAGGTATTTCTTTATAGCAATGTGAGAACAGCCTAATAACACTGGGTATGGGAGGCCTGAGCATAAGCATTGTTTAAAAGCTTCCCAGAGGATTATAATGAACAGCTAGAACTGAGAAACATCTACTTAAAGAAATGGGGAACCCTTAACCCTCCTTTTGAAAAATTTAACCCATTTATGCCTGGGGTTGCAATTTTTTGAATTTTTGCAATCAGACCTTGGCAATGACCTTGAGCAGGATATAAATAACTCTCACATGCTTAGCATTCCAATAATGGAACACTCGGCAAAAAATGGGCTAAGAACCTTGCTCATGGGGGATTTCCTCCTTGGAGTTAACTCAAAATTCCCTACAGCATGAGCTGAGTTTTTGATCCTACCTCATATTGTTTGGGGAAGTAACAAAGAGCTGGTTATCATGCTATTTTACTCTATGAGTGGCAAAAGACCTAGGCTCCTAGAAGCAGATGAAAGGAGTTCTTGTCTCAAATTAGCCATACAATGTGAATAAAGTCATGGGTAAAATTGTCATAATAATAATAACAAACTTTTATTGAGGGCCCACTATGTGTAAAGTTTGTGCAAAGTACTTTATATATAGCAATTATCTCATTTAATAGTCCTAAAAACTTTAGAAGCTAGTTATTAAGGTTACAATTCTTATTTAACTAGAGAAGAGGAAATTGAGGTCAGTTAGATTAAGGAACATTGCTAAGGCCACACAGAGAAGTGGCAGAACCAGGGATATCAGATCCCAATGTCTGTGCTCTGAGTATAAAGTGTTACGCAAATACTAGAGTCTAGGAATTGCAATCAAAACACTGTCTGTTATGCCTAATGTGTGTCATCTCTTTGGGGAAGTTCTGTTGACCATTTGAAGACTTGCTATCATTCATCTAGGCCCTTTGAAATTAAGTCATGATCCCACTACCCTTTTTTCACTTGTCTCCTTCATCTCATTACTATTATAGAGAACATAGGTCCACCATGACTTATTTTATTATAACAAATAGTGTTGCCAGGCAAGAGGCATGGCCCCACTGGACTCAATGCTCCATCACATCCTAGAACTTTCTTTTACTTGGGGGGGAGTCTGAAAAAATATTAATGCATCCAGGAAAATATCTAAATTAGTGTTTAATAAATAACTTCCCAGACTTATAAATGTATTTGAAAAACCACTGATCATTCATAATTAAATAATTGCATTTGAAATCAATAAGATATAATATTTCACCTATTAGAGTAGAAAAGAATGAACAGTTAGTTTGATAATACTCAGTGGTTGTGATGATGTGAGGAAAGGGGCACTTTCATATGCTGTTGAGGGGAAAGAAATTGATACTGTATCTTTGGTAGAAATGGTAATATCTATCAAATTTTGAAATGCATGTGATATAGTTTGGCTGTGTCCCCACCCAAATCTCACCCAAATCTCACTTTTAATTGTAATGATCCCCACGTGTCAAGGGTGGGGGCCAGGTGAAGATAATTGAATCATGGGGGCAGTTCCCCCATACCGTTCTCCTGGTAGTGAATAAGTCTCACAGATCTGATGGTTTTACAAATGGGAGTTCTCCTGAAAAAGCTCTCTTGCCTGCTGCTATGTAAGGAGTGACTTTGCTCCTCCTTTGCCTTCTGCCATGATTGTGAGGCCTCCTCAGCCATGTGAAACGGTGAGTCCATTAAACCTCTTGTTCTTTATAATTACCCAGTCTCAGGTATGTCTTTATGAGCAGTGAAAAAACATACTAATAAAGCATGTAAGTTTTGAAACAGCAATATCACTTCTAGGAATTATTCCACAGATATACAAGTGCTAAAAATATATATGTACAAGGGTGGTAATTACATCATTGTTTATAGTAATTACATCATTGTTTATAATGTCAATCACAAGCAAGTACTTCCATGCTGTGGAGTAATTACAGCTGTGAAGAAGAATGGGGTATATCTATGTATGTGCTAATATAAAAGATCTCCAAATGAAAAATGCCAGGTGCAGAGAAAAAATGTGAATCAATATGTAATCCCATTTTTATAAAAAAAGGTACACACTTACATCACATACACATATACATATACATGTATGTATGTATATATATATATGCAAATGCACAAATATCTTTGGAAAGATAAATGTCAACTTATTAACAGGTATTATCCCTGAAGAATAGGACTGAGAAGTCAAAGACGGAATTATAAGGAGACTTTTTAAAATTATTTCATACTTTTCTGTATTATTTTTAAATTTTACTAAGTACTATACTAACATAGTTTGAAAACCTAATTTAAAAATTAAGTGTCTTCCAGAAAGGAGTTATCTGCCAGTTTCTATAACTAGCTGACGTAGTCCAGTCTCTGCACTTTTCCTGAAGTAAAATAAGAAAGATAATCACCAGGGAAGAGCTATAGCGAGACACACAAAGAAAAGCGGAATATAAGTCATTTCAAATTGTACACCAACTTGTCTTTTATCTTTCTTTAAGTCAATAACTTCCATAATAGCAACAACAGCTGCAGCTCAGCATTCGGCACTCAGGAAAGAAAATGGATGCTTCTGTGGCTTGACAAACCAAATATTCTCATGTTTAGAGACAGAAAATTCACTATTACTCTGTGACATTTGACTCCGTTATCCATTTCACTGTTGTCAACACTATTATCTTTCAACAATTATAGTGACCACCAAGAACAAACCTTTAAATGTATACTTAGCAGTGAACACTAACGAAGTGTGAGCTGTCACTGAAGGCAACTGCACTCTGAGACCAGATCTACCTTATGTCAAAATGTGCTGGACAAAAAAAAAAAAAAAAAAAATCAGCTAATGTCTGGATATTTCAATCATCTGGATGTTTGATATGATGCAAACTTCTAGCTCTCACTGAATTTTACAGGTGCCATTCCCAGGGCCAGCATGTGGGAATCCCTTCAGTGGTACTAAAAGATTAGTCCAGTGGTTCCTGAAGTGTTGTCCTGGGACCAGCAGCACCAGCATCTTGTTAGAAATTCAAATTCTTGCTCCTCCTACTCCCCAATAAGATATACTGACTCAAGAATTGTGGGAGTGGGCTCAGATATCTGTGTTTCAATAAACCCTCCACGTGATTCTGATGCCACTAAAGTTTGAGAACTGCTGGGTTAGTCTAATAAGGGTTTTAGGCAAGTCCTTCATAATACCTGTTTTCCTGGAATGTAAGATAGAAAATAATATCATTTGTTAACGACAAATGGCCAATGTAGCAATGATAAATCACCTTGTAAATATAATCAAGTACCTCAGGTCTCCAATAAACCTTATTTTTAAATTTTAAACAGTTTTAAATTGACATGATAATTGTACATATGTATGGGACATGCAGTGCTGTTGCCATACAGATAATTCATAGTGATCAGATGAGGGTAACTGACAAATTCATCATCTCATACATTTATTATTTCGTTGTATTGGGAATGTTCAATATCTTCCTTCTAGCTATTTGGAACTATATATTATTGTTAACTATATTCTTGTCATTCTGTAGTGCTATAGAACACTAGAGCTTATTCCTGCTATCTCATTGTAATTTTGCATCCTTTAACAACTCTCTCCCTATCCTACTCTTCCCCTTCCCTCCCTCTGCTATCTGTTCTACTTTTCACTTCTATGAGAACAATTTGTTTTTAGCTCCCACATATGAGCCAAAACATGTGGTGTTTAACTTTCATTTCCTGGCTGATTTTACTTAGCATAATGTCCTCCAGTTCCATCCATGTTTCTGCAAATAACAGGATTTCATTCTTTTTCATAGCTGAATAGTATTCCATTGTGTATATACACTGCATTTTCTTGATCCATTCATCTATTGTTGGACACCTAGGTTGCACTCCCACACTTTCCCTTTGATGCTCCAGTCAAATCTCCTCTGGTTATTTATTGCCTTGGCCCTTTCTTACCGGGGGGACTAGCCCCAGCATCTCTAGTCAGCCATCTTGCTGATGTCACTCTCTGACATACTTTAATATTCCAAGATAATGTCAATGGGAGTCAGTAGTTCTCCCATTTCAAGTACTACTGAATGGTTCTTCTAGTAATGAAGATGGATTTATTCTGATCAAGACTCTCTTATCTGGCCTTTCTGAGGCCATCAGCATCTATGATTGACTGGTTCTATGGCCACAGTTTATAACCAAAAATTGAGAATATCTTGCTGTGCAGATAAATATACAGTACAGTGTTTATCTCCACAATGTAGCTTCATATTTCCTATATTCCAGTCAACCCAAAATGCTAGCTGAGAGTTTATATTTACTGAGCTCCTACTGTGTTCTAGACATAATGCCATTTATTTCATCTAATCCTCTCAACAACACTATATTGTGGATGTGATATTCCCATTTTTGAGTTGAGAAACTGAAGTTCAGAGGAGATTGTCTGAGGTCTCACAGCTAGAAACTTGCATGACTAGCATTTGAACAGAGGTGGGTCTGATACAAAGATCTTGCTTTTTCAACTATATGATGTGTCTCTTTGCGCTAACTCTGCCAGTAAAGATGTAGCCTAGAAAGGGCAGAAACCAGTAGTTCTTCAACCATTTTATGCCAAATGAAAAGAAAATCACCAAACTGCAGAATGGGGGAGAGGAGGCAGGCAGTAAGCTTTAGGCATAAGGACGGATTTCTTTGCAGTGAGGGTTATTTATGTGATCTATTCCTGGACAGTTGGAAGACTCAAAGAGCCCAGAGAGAAATTTCACAGGCCCAGGAGAGTAGTCAAGGATAATGGGGCTGTAGATGATGAGGTTAATAACATAAGATCCTACTCGGGGCTAAGAGCAGGCCTTAGCAAAGCCTCTGGGACCACTGGCCCCTGCTCCCAGCCGTGTTAAGATCTCTAATAAGAGGCCCACACCTCTTCTTTGTAGCAGTTCCCACTACTGCATTTCTGTGTAATTTTTTGAATAATCTCTTTCTCCTCTTATTAAAGTATTATCCCCATGAGGACAAAGCTTTTTTTATTTATTTTATTTTGTTGAGGTAGGGTCTTACTCTGTCACCCAGGCTGCAGTACAGTTGTGCCATCTCGGCTCACTGCAGCCTCTGCCTCCCAGCCTCAAGCGATCCTCCCATCTCAGTCTCCTGACTAGCTGGGACTACAGGCATGCACCACAATGCCCAGGTAATATTTTGCATTTTTTTGTTGAGACGAGGTTTTGCCATGTTGCCCAGGTTGGTCTTAAACTCCCGGACTCAAGCAATCCTCCCACCTCAGCCTCCCAACCTGTAATTCCTGGAATTATAGGCATTAGCCACTGTGCCCAGCCCATATTTTATTTTACTATACTTTATTTTAAGAGACAGGGTCTCACTATGTTGCCCAGGCTGTAGGGCAGTGGCTATTCACAGGCACAATCCTACTACTGATCAGCATGAGAGCTTTGATCTGCTCTGTTTCTCATCTGTGCCAGTTCACCCTTCCTTAGGCAACCTAGTGGCACCCTGTTCCCAGGAGGCCGTACTGATGTTGACCTTAGTGCAGACACCTGAACCTCATAGCACACTACAGCCCAGAACTTCAGAAGAGAGCTGTGTTCTGCTCTGCTCATATCTGTAATTCTAGTTCTGAGCACACTACCTAGCACAGAGTTGGGGCTCAATAAACACTTGCCGGACAAACAAATAAAAGGTCACCCTTGTTTTATTCTACTCTGAGATACAATTTGATAAAAATGTTTAGCTCTAATGCAGCCTGGGGGGTAAACTTATGTAGTTTTTTTTCTTAGGTCTTTTCCAGGTATATTTATATTTTTGTAGTATCTCCGCATGGTGTTTATACTTACTGTTTTTACACTGTGAGCTATTACATAACAGTTGCTAGAGCAAGAATAGAAGCCAGTTCTTTTTACTTGTTCCCATAGGAAAAAAAATCAAATGATTGTTTTCACAAAAATTCCTTTTCACTTTAAATTTTTCCCATAATTCAAATTAACAGTGAGCATGCCTTGTAGCCATTCCCTTTTGTGATTCTAGGGAAGAGAAAACACTGACTCTGGGAGTAATAATAAAATCACTCCTACCTTCCATGAGTAAGATGGAGAAGTCCTTTAAGATAGTGATGGTGCTGGCCAAGACCAGGATGGAAAAGATGAATGTGCAGATTGGGTCGGCTATTTTATACTCTGGCTAGAAAAAAAAACAGGGATTTTGGTTAACTGAATTCATACCTCTCTTTCAGAAAGTCTGATTAATAAAATAAGTAAACCTCCCTGTGTCTTTCCTTCTCTGTCACTCATTTACCCTTTTGACATGTGTCATCCAACTGAGAGGGAAGACTTTGTTTTTGAAGACTCAATCCTTCCTTTCAGCTTTAAACTACCAGCAAATAAAGAAGTGAGACTACAAGTCATGCTCTCCCCATAATTTAAGAACTAAAAGGAAGAATATTCTTAAGTTTGCTCTCAAGAGCCCTGATTTAACTTCTTGCAGATTAATAAAAGTACAGAGTATGTGATGAAAGTATGCACAAATATGCCCACAAGATCCAAAGACTTTTTGGCCTTAATTATAATGAGCAGAAGAAAGGACATAACTTGTTCAGAAATTGCATGTGGCCAGCATACAGCTGGACTATGCTCTTGGCTGACTGGAGTGAGTTTATTTCTTTGCCTCTCAAGTATTGCACATACTCAAGGCTGGCATCTTTGATGCAGTCTTAAAGGTGTGAACCAAAGTATCATCCTTGCTCAGTCGCCTCAGGGTGAAATGTCTGCTTTTCTACCCTTGAGAAAGTTCTATGCCACAGAAAAGTCTGTGCCCCACTATCTTTAAGAAATTCAGCATCAACTCAACTTTTGTAAGTGGACCCTCAAACTAGTTTTGCCTTAGACCTAAAGCTTTCAGTGATCATTTTGCTCAACTGAATTTAGATATGTCTTTGTAATTTTTCTTTCCATGTTTTCACTTTTTTAGGAAAAGCTGTGAGTCTCTGCAAATCAGACAATTGTGATGCAAACAGACAGAGCTAAATGTTCTTCTCCATTCTCTGCCTGCTAACCCATCTCTGTTATCAGTATTACCAGGTAGAGATCTGCAGTGGATATTTATTTGTTTAGGGTCAGAGGCTTACCGGGAAGTCATTCCCACTTTTCATTAGCACCTTGGCTTCTGGGGGAGAAGTTACCTCTCCCCCATTGTGGGCAATACTGGTGGAACAATAAATCAGGTGCTCTAACCTCCCTTCGGCCAAGCAGCAGATACAAGACACAACCTAGGTCAACTGGACTCCCGTTCACAGAAATATCATTCTTCAGAAGTGACAAAAACAGAAAAAAAAATTTGTTGAGACACATTTATTTCAGTGTGGTGTCTGGGACAGAAGTTGGATCGTTTCTAAAACCTAGATATCAAAATTTGCCCTTATTTCTACTTTGATGTCTGTCTAGGAGCACATCCAATAAATTTCAGCCAATAAATATACTTTTTGCTAAAGTGAGCCAGAGATGTTCCCTATTGCTTATAATCCAAGAACCTGAAGGTATTCACAGTTTTGTTGCTGTTCATCTTAACACCATGGTTGAGTGTTTGCTTGCTTTAGCTTTGCAAAGTAGTTTGTATAGGTAAACAGAGGATGCCCATTCTCTTTAAGTTAATGTTGGAGGGTCAGCTTCTGTACTACCTAATCTACATAAGTACTAGGATGGTGGGTAAACTCAAACTCACCTTAAAGTAGATAATAAGTGCACTAATTAGCACACTGATACTCTGAAATAGATCTCCAAGGGCATGCACAAAAGCAGCTCTGACGCTGGCATTGGCTTGTACTTCCTTGTGATTGTGGCCAAGGCATCTCTGGTGCAAAACCACAGTTAGTCTGAAAGAGAGAACAATGTTCTTAGCACACATGAGGTCAGTCTTAAAAACGTAGGCAGCATAATGGAGAAGCTGGCAATAACATGCATTATCCAAAATGATGGATAGTTGAAATATTTATGCTTTAAAAAGAACTATCTTTGACTAATGTTTAAATACATATGTCATAGAATTTTAATACTTTTATACAAAAACAAACCACAAAGACCCATCCAGTTTACTCATTCATCCACCTAATGTTTATCTGTTTCATGTTGAAACTGGAAAGCATCACTTCTTAGATGAAAATCAAGCATTTGATAATGAAGGGAGGAAATCTCCTTTATTGAAGGTTGACTGACTGTCAGGCACCAAGCTGGCTTAAAGTCAAGCTTCATTGGGAGCTTAATTAAAAGTACTGGTTTCAAATGCAAAAAACACAGGAAGGGATAAATAAGGGAAAAATAAGATAAGTAGTGAATTTTATTGAGGTTTTATTTTACCTAATTTTGTGCATTTTCAAAAGAATTTTAAATTTGAATGATTTCTTACTGTCCAATGATGAGAATATTGTGCTCATGTATATAAAGCTATTAATCCAGAAGTAGAAATATATTAATGTATGAAAAATGATCTTGTATGTGTACATACATATACACACAATATATTGCAAAGCTGAGCATCTCTTGTCTGAGTCAAAGTGATCAGTAGCAAACACTACAAACTATGTACATAATTCTGTTTATCTATAACTTTAAGAGGTATTAGACTAAACGTAAAATTAGAACATTTTCACTGACAGCTAACAGTGTTTTGCCTTTCTGAACTTTTTCTAAACATTTTGGAACAAAGATTTAAAAGCAGCAACATATTGTTCAACACCATGTATCCCATTCTATTTTCAGGTAAAGTGTCTGTTAAATCTCAGGTCATCACCACAAAGTGGAATGACCGCTAGCCATCTAGATCTGATCACTACTGAATGTGCAGTTTTCAGGTGTTCATTGTTTGGGTAGAAATTCACTCTCACCTAGGAGTTAACATTTAAGGTTCCTTAGACAGCCTGATATGGCTGACAGATCATAGAACCTCATCTGATCTGCCATGTGTGTTCATCACGTTGTCATTCATTCTTTTACTCATCTTATTGACAAAAAGAGAGAGGAAAAAAACTTGTGTAGTCACTCATATGCAGACATTTGTAAAAGCTTGGGCCATAAAGGTGAGTGAAAACAGTTGTGGTCACTCCCCAGTGTAGCTTTAAATGTGCTGGAGAAGGTAAAGATTAAACACCCCACTCCCCCACCGCGCGCACATGTGCGCGCACACACACACACACACACACACACACACACAAGTGGAAAATTCTAATTACAATAAGTCCACTGGTACTATGGGTAATACAACAGAGGAATCTGATTTAGTTAGAAAGACGTAGCAGCTGAGTTGAATTCAAAAGCTTAAGCTAGAGTTAAATATGCTGATGGGAGGAAATGTTTCAGGCAGTGAAAACTTAGCAGGCAATAGCCTTAAGGCTGTATTTATAACCTTCATCCTAGAATCTCTTCACAACTTCTATTGGAACTTTCTGTCCTGATTTTGAGTCCCCAGGGAATAGATTTATTCCTGAATCGCAATTCCGATATCTCTATATTCAAACAATACAGCATCTAGCAGCATTTGAAACCTGTAATCCCAGTTCTTGGAGAAAATATTATAGTCACTCAGCATTCTTATCCATAAATAACTATCTACTTGCACAAAGAAGGCAGAGCTTTCCAACTGCCTTGACTTTCTGAGTGTAAAAAGCACCTGCAATGTTAAGGTCAATGTTCAAAAGCAGTTACGAGAAAAAGAAAATTTGGATGATATCTGTTTAGAAAATCAAACCTGATCATTGAGGCCCCAGATTGATGTGATAGTTGGGTAGGTTTGTAGCCTTCATCTTTGTGTAGCATCAAGACAGCCTAAGTGACATATGACTCTCAGGAAGTTAATACTTGCATTCTTCCTTCTGCCTCAAGACCATATTGTTCTCCTTATGCAAAGCGGACTTTATTGACCCGTAGTCAGCAATATGTGTGCTCTGGCATATTTGTCTCCTAGAGGTGACAGATTTACATTGATCTACTCACACTTTTTCTCCCAGTGCCAATGTGAAACACATTTTCAAGTTAACTGGCTAAAGATGGGGATCTAGTCAGTGACAGCAGATCAAACACCATTCTTCTAATTATTTAGCTCAGAGATTTTGAGCAATGGTTCACAAACTGAGAGCTGAGTAAGTGAGATGTCAAGGGGCAAGGCTGTTAGAATGACCTGAGGACCTTTTTCAAAGTGTACATGCTCAGCTATTCTTGAATTCCAGAGATGTCATTGTGCCCCCTCTTAAAATCCACTGTTTAAAACTTCATTTTTCGATCACTGTCTTCTCTACCTTCATGTAAAAATCTACCTCATAGCATGTGTCAAGTTGTATTGCAAGATAGATAGGCAGATGATAAATAGGCTGAGTTTCCTATTGCTTCTGTAACAAATAACCATGATGCTTTAGCAGCTTAAAACAACACAAACTTATTATAGTTCTGGAGGTCAGAAATCTAAAGTGGGTCTCTAGGACTGCATCCTTTGTGGAGGTTCTAGAAGGAAATTCATGTTCTTGTCTTTTCTAGCTTCCAGAGGCCACTTGGCTCCAGGCCGATTTCTCCATTTTCAACATCAGAAATACAGCATCTTCTCTCCTCTCTGATCTCCTGTCTCCCTCTTATAAGGACGCTTGTCATTATGTGGACCCACCTGGATAATCAAGGATAATTTCCCATCTTAATATCCTTCATCATATTTGCACAGTTCCTTTTGCCATATGATTTAACATATTCAGAAGTTCCAGGGGTTAGGATGTTTAAAGCTTTTTAGGAGAATGGGTCATTATTCTGTCCACCAACACGATAGCTAGCTAGATCACTAGATAGATAGATGGATGGATGGAGTTTTAAGTAGAGTTGCCCAGAATTAGACCCTCAAATGGGAAGGAGAAATTTGACTCAAAAAAATCAAAGTCCTGGCCTCAAAACCCCATTGCCTGGGCAATCCAGTAGTTCATTTTGGGAAAGGTAGACTCATTTGTCAAGGGACATATGCTCATCTCCTGTAAGAATGATTTAAGACTGCCTAGATAAAAGAATGGACAAGCAGGTTGAAACTTAAGGGAGAATTTAACTAACATAGCATAAGGAAGAATTTTCATGCAGTCACAATGCTGCAAAGATAAAAGAGGCTGTTTTTGAGGGAAATAAATTTCCTTTTATGAGTTCTATTAAAATATATGAAACTAATGACCATTTTATGGAAATGTTGCAAAAGAAAATGCAAAAGTAAAATGGGGACTGAAGTAAATACATTTTAGAGTCCCTTTCCACCCAGCTCACTGGGAAGCCACCATCTGCTCACCCCATAGAAATGGAACAGTAGTAAGTCATGCCCCATGTGGAACCATCAGCATGCCTGAGAGCAGAATGTAAAGCAGCTCAATTCTGGGTCTGCGAATCTGGATTAAAATCCTGGCTCTGTACTACTTAACTGGCAGTGTATTTAACCTCACTGGGCTTTAGTTTCCTAATCTATAACATAGGGGTGTTGTGAACATTAAAGTTGGTAATATATATTCAAACATCCTAACCCTGCCTCTAGCACACCAGAAGCTTTCAAAACATGATAGCTAGCAGAAGCCAATATTAAAAAACACTTTAGCTTAAACGAAAGCAGTCAACCTTATTTTCAATCTTAGAGCCATTCAAACACTCTGTCCAGTCTCTACCATCTTCACATGTACTGAGTTTTTTAAAAGGTCGACTTTGTCCAGATAGTTACAGGAGAGCCTCATGAGCAGTGTGTGGGGACCAGGGGATGACTTACACAATGTTGGCCGCCACTGCGCAGCTGGAAACGATGATCATCACAGTCGCCTGGATCTGGTAATCAGGATACAGCAGGCGCTCACATGCCAGGTACACTAGCACGCCAGTCACCACCCAGATGCACAGGATGGAGAGCAGGGCACCAAGGATCTCTAGGAATTCAAACACACACAGAAACCCACACACAGATAACTCCATCACCTACACCTACACCCCCAAGAGTCATAAGACACTTTGCCACTTCCCCCAAAAAGGCTTCACATTAGTTCATCCAGTGATTCACAAAGTAAAAGTGTGGATGGATTTTAAAACTAAGAGAAAGTATTTTAATGTTGCATTCATAAAACACCAGCATCTGAGTCACTATGTTCCATCTTACTAAGTAATTTTTCAGCAAATTTTTAGAACATATTAATTGCTGCCTGCCCCTACCCCCTGTTTTCCTTGGGGATCTTAATTTAAACAGGTGCTAAAATGATTGAAACTTATTAGGAGGTAAAATAATGAGACACAGAGAGTAAAATGTGTTTAGAAACTCTTAATTTTGCCATAAAAAATTTACGACCTGCCAGTGCCAGCACCTTCAATGGAATAAAATAGTGAAAAGGGAAAGCTTCAGAGAGCACTTGAAGAAAATGAGTTTTATTTGCCAACGCAACATATTATAAACACAGAGGTGAGCTCAGAGGCTGACTAACACTCTGACTGCATTTTAAGAGCAACAGTACGAAAAAGAAGCATCAGAATAGAAGTGTTTACATCAATATGTAAAGATAAAATGGTGTTCAATCTGCCCACTGAGAAAAGTGCATTTGCTCACTTAGGAGTTAACACCTCACTCTGACCTTTAATTCAAACCCATAGATTCTAAAAACCCAGAAAGGTCTAGAAACATTCTGTGAGTCAGTGGTCAGGTACAATCCATCATTTAGTCCTTCCCCACTTTAAGCTAATCCCAGAGATTAGTTCCTTTTAAAGCAGAGTAATGTAATATATTATTACCCATTGTGTGGCAATTATTTCCCAGACTTTAGTCATTTACAGACAACCTTCATAACGTTTTCCAAATCCACATGCTACCTGTCTTATTAACCACTCGATATTTTTTCAAATAAATTCACTTTTTACACTTAGCTTCTTCCTAAACAATGTTATCCATGAAATTACATATTTGATGTGCTAGTTTATTTTGTAATGTGCATCAGGATGTGTAATTATTGTCCATATGACACTTAAAATTATCTGACTAACCAACTGTGGAACATTTCTCACACTATGGGAAATGCTGATGCAGATGTTTAAGGCATGAGCTCAAGTGTCAGACGTATATGGCCTGCCAGTGACTGGCTATGTGACTTTAGACAAGTCACTTAACCTATTTGAGCCTGAATTTTCTTATCTATATGTATTATAATAATAGAATATATGTAAAACAAGTTGCCATAGATTATGGGTTGAATTATGTTCCCCCCAAATTTATATGTTAAAGTACTAATCTTTGGCTGGGTGCGGCGGCTCATGCCTGTAATCCCAGCACTTTGTGAGGCTGAAGCAAGCGGATTGCCTGAGGTCAATAGTTCAAGACCAGTCTGGCCAACACGGTGAAACCCCATCTCTACTAAAAATACAAAAAAAATTAGCCAGACATGGTGATGTGCACCTGTAATCCCAGCTACTCAGGACGTTGAGGCAGGGGAATTGCTTGAACCGGGGAGGTGGAGGTTGCAATGGGCCAAGATTGTGCCACTGCACTCCATCCCGGGCAACAGAGTGAGACTCTGTCTCAAAAAAAAAAAAAGTACTAATCTTCAGTTCCTCAGACTGTGACTTTATTTGGAAATAGGGTCACTGCAGATTAAGTTAGTTAAGATGAGGTCACATTGGAGTAGGATGGGCCCAATATGGCTGGTGTCCTTGTTTAAAGTGGAAACCTGGACATAGACATGCAAATTGGGAAAATGCCATGTAAACATGAAAGCAGAGCTCTATGAGCTAAGGAATGACAAAGTTTCCCAGAAAACCACCAGAAGCTAAGAGAGAGGCCTGGAACTGACTTCCCCTCACAGACCTCAGAAGGAACCAACCCCACTGACGCCCGATTGCAGACTTCTGTTTCTCATAACTGTGAGACAATAAATGTCTGTTGTTTAAACAGAAATGTATTTAAAACCAAGTAATGTAATATATTATTACCCAGTGTATGGCAATTATTTCCCCGACCTCATTCATAGACAACCTTCATAATTTGTTATGAAAATTAATAATGTACCCCCCAAAATACTGTACCCAATTTGTAGTACATTATTAAGGCAGCCCTAGGAACCTAATATAACATATAGCAAACACTCAAGAAATTGTTATTTTATTAGTCTACTCAGGCTACTTACGACTCCCCTTTGCAGAAGTTTATGAGGACCAAGCCCAAGAATTTCTGGTTAGCCGGAAATGGAGGTTGAGTCTGTGGATGTCAGGTAGTGTGCTTCCTATCCATGAAAATCCAAAACAGGGTATGAAAGTGGAGTGTGTCTAACTCAAAACCCATGATTAGGAAGCACAGTGGGAAAAGAGCTGGCGAGGTAAAGCTCAATACCAAGAGCAAGAGTCAGGAGTCAGATCTTAAGACAAAACAAAGAGTCAGAAATCCAAAAGTAACTAGTTAGAACAGGAGGCACATGAGGATCATTGGTAAATGTTACAATGATTGCTTAAAAAAGAAATAAGTTAGCTTAGCTGGGCTCATTGGGCTGGCCAGATTATGGGTGTGTTGCGTATGAATGTGTTGGACTCACCTCTGTATCTATAGAGGTGCTGTTTAATATGGTAGCCACCAATCATGCATGGCTGCTTAAAATGAAATTAAGTAAATTTTAAAATCTGGTTCTTCAGTAGCACTAGCTGCATTTAAAGTGCTCAATAGCTACATTTTACTGTATATTACAGAATATTGCCCTCGCAGCAGAGAGTTCTATTAATAGCTCAGGGTCTTCCATGGCCACGATGCCAAAGTACAAGCAGAGATCTAAATTCTGAGTTCACCCTACATTTTCAAATCATCCTAGGTTTACAAAACTGCTTTGACAAATGGTATCAGAAAGGGTCAAGTACATGTAAAACTTTACACAGACAAATAATGGGTGCTTAGCTACAGGTCCATGTTTTCCAAGTGTAGCGCTGTTCAAGCACCAGCAAAAACATTCTCAGATCACGTTGTCACAAACTCTCTTTACTGCTGTTTATTGCCTCATCTCCTGAATGTTAAAGGGAAGCAAGTCAAAACACCTGCGATGATCAAGTGTTTGTTTAGTATGAAATTAGGACTTCCTGCCATTCTAAACTTGAAAAGCCGCAGTCCACAGTTATCAGTCTATAAGCTGTGATATGTGTCTAGCAGCCCTTTCAGTGAAGGCTGGCCACCCTTGCTCAGCTCTCCAATTTCCTCTACATGGATGTTCTCAACCAGTGTGAAAATGTGGAATTGTGGCTATTTGTTCACATGATTTGCACAAAATATTCAGCCGGAACCTCCTCCAGCTGATAGAAGGAATAACACAGAGGAGAAGAATTGAAGTTGCAGAGTGTGGGGGTTGTGGGGGTGGGTTAGGGAGGGACTGTAAAAATGAGTCAAAGTAAAAACCCTTATCAATACCTAGATGATGGGTTGATAGGTGCAGCAAACCATGACGGCACACGTTGACCTATGTAACAAACCTACACATCCTGCACATGTACCCCAGAACTTATTAAAATTAAAATTAAAATTTAAAAAAGCATACAGTCAAATGTGTTATATACCAAATTTAGAGACCTCCAAGTTGTTTATGCTACTTGGTTAAGTTATTTATGTCTGTTTTAGTGCATACATGTTATTTGAAATCCCTATAATTATGAGTTGAGAAGGCTGGAATTTGCACTAGACTTCTTCTCTCCCTTTCTTAATCAGAGTGGATTCATTTGTCTATTGTGAAATTATTTAAGGAAGCACACGTGAACCACATTTAATAAATGGCAGGCAAGGCTCAGGCACATGTTTCAGCACGTGTTTGCTTTCCTCCTGTTACAACAGTCAACTGAGCAATAAAGAATGAATACACACACACACACACACACACACACACACACCCCTTATCATGACCTTGGCTACTGCCTATACAAGAGTAAGCAGTTATTCAGTGAAGGAACCAGCGCAAGAAAGGAGAAAAAGTAAACTTTCATCTTCTCCTCTTCCTTCTCCTCCTCCTTTTTTGCATTATTGTTGATTGAGCGAGCAAGATATTCAATTGGACCAATGGCTGAATGGCTAAATGCTGTGTGTGAGCAGGAAAGCCTATATTCTATTCCTGAATCCTCTATAAGAAGTTCTTCAATCTCTATAACTCTCTTGGGTGCTCTGTGCCTCATTTTGCAATATGGCAGAAGCTTTACTCCTATCCTCTCTTCCAGGGATGCAGAGTAATTTAATGAATTGCGTTATGTCTGTCACCATACACAGAGTCCCTGAGGCTGGGGCAGTTGCTGAAGTGATACACGTGTTCCTGTTGTCCCAGAGGACTAGAGATAGCACCATTAATCTGTCTGTTATCTGAATTAATATTGAAAACACACATTCCCACATACACATTTGTTTTATCCTGTGCATCAGAAATGTGTCTCTAAGGACTTTCCAACAAGGCTTTGCTTCGTGTCTTCCACTTTTACCCTTGGTTTGACTTTGCAGCACCAGCCTGCTGTTATTGCTCACTCTATGAACCGTACCTGCTCGGTGCCATCCAAATGTCAGCCGCTTAGAGGGAGGCTTCGATGACAACCACAGGGAGAAGAGACTGAGCAGGAAACTGGTCAGGTCAATTAAGAGGTGGGCAGCATCTGTGACAACAGCAAGACTCCCAGCAATGTGCCCACCTAGAGAATGCAAAATAGTACACTGTGTTAAGGTCCCAGAATGCAGCTAGATTCACAGACATGCTAACCATCATGGGTGAAAATGCCACAGACTCACAAAACTTTAGAGGAAAAAGAGATCTTAAAGTTGATTTAATTCACCCCTTCTGCGACTCAGAGAGGGGATATGATTTGAACATGTAGAAATCAATTTCAAAGGAGAAGCCATTCCTGGGGTAGAAAAGACATAGAGACTAGAAAGTGTGGGGCAGGCACATCTGGAGAACACCTTAATTAGACTGGGTATAAGGATTCAAAAGAGGAGAATACAAGAGAATCAGGCTGAAGCAGTGCGGGTCAGATTCAAAGAGTCTCATAATCCAGACTGAGGACATGGACTTTTGTTTATAAACTAGATGTTGCGATCTGGCCCACAGATGTGTTTTTATTTGACTTATAATTTAATCAGCATCTTTACCCTTTCCTTTTTCTCTATTAATATATATTATCCACCTGAGCTTGAAATCCCTGTAAGAAATAACAGGGAGCAGAAAGGAGAAAGGGCAGGTACCTTCCAATGGGCGTCCTCAGTGCTACAATCCAATAAAGCATAGGGATGCAATGTAAGCCATGAGAGTCCTGCCTGGCTTTTCCCTTTATTTGATGTGCTCCCTCTACTTCCCTCTAATCCTCCTTTGAGAAAAGACCTCCAGCCTCCAAAATAGAAGTTAAAGAAAAACCTTGCCCTTTCCTTCCCAGACATGGTTTGTTGTTTGAGAGCAATAACCTTTATTGCTCTTACTACATCTTCCCAGCAAAGGGCTTTTGCTGACTGATTAGTTCTCCCTACAGCTGTTTATTGCCTTGTGTACTACAAAATAGCAGAGACTGTCAGCCATCAGCCCCGCCATCATCAGACTCACCTTGTCTCGCCTAATTTTTAAAAATTACATAGATGGCTCATAATTGCAATAATCCCCACAGGCCATTGGCTCTAGCCGTAGTTAATAACTGGTTTGTCAAGGTTTAATGGGCTGAAGCAAAGTAATCTTCAAGCTTGTTACTGAACAGTCACTGCAAAAATCAGAATGATTCATTACCCAAAAAGCAACATTTTGCTAACAAATCAGCTGTCCTTCCAATTATCCTCTAATGTTGCTCTATCTGCCAAACTTGGTCCTGATGATAAAACTGTGTTAATAAGGCATTATTTCTTGCCCAGAGAATAACTCCATGCAGATAAGCAGTACGCTGCAATCACAGCAATGAGTGATGACGATTCTATGTGCTGGGCTGAAATATAGTCTAAATCAAGGAAATGAAGTCAGTTTTATAAACTCTCTTCAACAGTCTCAGCTGAGGCAGGAGGCACCTGAGAAAGAAAAAGGGCTTGCTTTGGAATAAGCATGTTACTATGGAGGCTTGGAAACTGAGAACCATTTTGCAACCTTCAGAGCTACTTATAAGAGCCATCCAGAAAACTGCGGGCAGTCACTGATGCATAGAGCAAACTGCTTGCAAGAGGTAGTTTGTGACTGATCTTGCATTTGCTTCTGAAAGCATGGAGTATTACTGACAATTAATTCAATTATCCAGCCAATATTTATTGAGCCCTTACTGTGCATGGTACCAGGGATTGGGTATACAAAGATAAACAAATAACAGCCTCTCTTCAGTGATCTCCTTGTTTAACACTCACTGTACCAGAGACAAGTTAATGGGCTAAGGGATCAGAGAGCTGCCCTCACTGGGAAGAGTGAGGAACTTTTCACAAAGAGAGGGGTAAGAATTAGCAAAAAGAGAAGGGGTTTTCAGGAAGAGATAAAAGCACGGACTAAAATAGAGTGAAAGAACATAGAACTTTTCGGGAAAAGCAGAAGGTATGGAATGTTGGAGGAAAAATGGGAAATGAGCCTGGGAAGGCAGGTTGGAAACGCCTGTGTGGGGTATTATATGTCAAGCCAAAGGGTTTGAATGTGATTCTATGGCTAAGGAGATCTACTTATTATTTTTGAGGCAAGGCTGTGGCATGTTGAGATCTGTATTTAAGAGAGACTTCTGGCCGGGCTTGGTGGCTCACGCCTGTAATCTCAGCACTTCGGGAGGCAGAGGCGGGCGGATCACGAGGTCAGGAGATCAAGACCATCCTGGCTAACACGGTGAAACCCCGTCTCCACTAAAAATATGAAAAATTAGCCGAGCGTGGTGGCAGGCGACTGTAGTCCCAGCTACTCGGGAGGCTGAGGCAGGAGAATGGCGTGAACCCGGGAGGCGGAGCTTGCAGTGAGCCAAGATCGGGCCACTGCACTCCAGCCTGGGTGACAGAACGAGACCCCGTCTCAAAAAAAAAATTTTCTTTTAAAGTCTCGATAGTGTTAGCGAAGGGAAATTATGATAAAGGCATGAACTAGGGCAGCAGCAGTCATATTTCTGGAATACTTGACAAGATGTGCAGAGCAGTACACTTATAACAAGATAAGAGACACACAGAAAAGACTCAGACCTGGAAGACTTGACTTAAGGCCTGTGGAGTGAAGGTGACAGCAATAGAGCAGAGGAACGATGGGGCCTGGGTCTCACAAACCACCTCCAACTGAGATGGTGTTAATTCCCCATGCGGGTTTCCATGGAGAACACAGACTTACTGACAGCAATGAAAGAATGTTTATCTGACAACGTTAGCCATGTGTCCCATTGCTGGGCTACAGTTGTGTGCTATTAATTAACATATTTTTAAATTCTTCTTTAATTATTTTGTGAATACTATTATACTATACCATATGTTGTGTCAAAACCCCATTGAGTTGTTACTTAACAAGTACAACAACACGTCCTCAAATAACATCATTTCATTCAACTTCCTTTGTTTATAATGTCGATAAGAAAATAAAATGGATTCCTGACCAGGGTTGCTGTCTGTGTGGAGTTTGCATGTTCTCCCCATGTCTGCATGGGTTTTCTCTGAGTACTAGGGTTTCCTCCCACATTCTGTGCACATGAGGTTCACTGGCGTGTCTACATGGTCCTGGCGGGAGTGAGTGTGGGTGAGTGACTGTGCCCTGTGATGGGAGGGCTGTTTTCCCACCTTGAACCCTGAGCTGCTGGGACAGACTCCAGCTATGAAACTGAAATAAGCGGGCTGAAAAAGGAATGAATGGAAACAAACGATTGTAAAATAAATATGTGTAAGGTAGATGATCATCATACAGATGCCCCCCATAAAAAGACACAGTATGAAAGTGCTCAGCAAGCCCAGCTCATTTTTTCTTGAGTTTGAACTGTGTGATAGCAGGAGGCACTCCTGACAATTTTCACTTTGCAAACATTTATTCCTTGATGTAACCACCACCATTATGACCACCCTCACGCACTGATTCACCCAAAATTGCGTAATTATCTCACTTGTGTTTATCATCTTTCTTAGATGTGTGTATAGCTCACGTTTATTTCAGTGTTTAATATTCAAAGTGTTTTAGCCTTTGTGCTTCTAGTTCCTTCTATAAAGTGAGATTAACAATAAGAGCCACCTCTTAGGGAATTCACCGGGATTAATTAAGGTAATACATGGAAAGCACTCGTCACAGCTTCTAACACATAGTAAGCATTAAATAAATAATAGCTACTATCATAATGCCAAAAATGCAAAGATCATATCATGTTTCTCTTAACATAACACACCTCAAACAAGAATCAAAAAGCTTTAAAAAACAAAGTCAAAAGTAAAGGTATTTGCTTAAAAGTCAACACTCATCCTTGATTCTTTGTTAATCATTACAAAACTGAAACAAAGAAACATTTCATTAACATAATACAAAACACTTAACCCTTCAAGAAGCATTTTGCTTAACAGCTAAATAATCAAACATAGATTTGATTTAGCATAAGGTATTGTTTAACGTGATAAAAACACGAAACACACAAAAGAGATATAAATATTGAAATGAGGGGAAATATGTTTTCTGCACAAGACAGGGTGATGTCCTGGGATGAGGAAGATCCATGAGACAGGAAAAAGGGAAATGCACTGAAATATATTTAGAATTGACAATAATTCAAATATATAATTGAGTACAAAGTGAATATACAAAAATCAAAACTTTAGAATACAAAAAGTAACTATTTAGAAAACAAAACATGAAAAACGGTGGACTGCATTCACCCTTGGAAAGAATAAGCCAAACACATATAATAATCACAAATAAGTCTTGCAAGAAATAGGCTGTCCATGTATTAAGATGAACACCATAAAACCTTGATGAGACATGTAGAATATTTGGATAAACGGAGAAACATAACATATTCCTGGAGGGAAAGCTGAATACTTAAAGATACTGTGTTCTCAAATTAACTTGAATATTAATAAAATCATAATTGGATGAGGGAAAACTGAACAGAACAATTCTCATGTTTAATTAGGATAATAAACAGAGATGAATAGCCTTTGCTTTTCTTTGTTAAATTAAAAATCATGAGTAGGAAATAACAGATATTATAACATATAAATCTACATTAATTATGTCCTTGACAGAGACCAGAAACACAGATCAGTGAAACACCTTAGAAACAGACCCTGCTATTTATAAAGTTTTGATAAGTGATTAAAGAAATATAAAAAATCAATGGGGAAAATAATTATTTCCTAAATGATGCTGAAAACTGTTATTTAGAAAAAAATTCAGTCCTTAGAGCATACAATATATCTAATGTGAACATTAATTTTAAAACCAAATGCAAAAATTAAACAACAAAAAAGCTATCTTCTCAGTAGATGGAGAAGGATTGTTAAGCACTAAAATAGTGAGAGTAGTAAAAGAAATGAGCTCAAAATGAAAAGTTTAAAACAGTTACCTATATAAAATTTAAAACATCTCTAAGTCAAAATAAACATCAAAAGGTTAAACAACAAACTGGAAAAGCACTTATAACTAATATAACAAAGGTCTAACATCCTAATATATAAAGAGCTCCCAGAGATCAATATAGAGAACTAAAAATTTTCTAAAAAACGAATGAGTAACAGACATTAAGAGACAAGGAGAAAATGCATTAACAGAGGGAAATACAGATCACTAATAAGCATGCAAAAATAGTCTAATAGTAACAATTAAAGAAATAAATATTAAAATAAAACATTCATCTATACAGTAGCAAAGTATTTTAGAGATTAAAATTAGGTGTCATTAAGATTTGGAGTCAGAATCATTCTCAAGTAGAGCTGGTAGAGACGAATTGTTTAGCTTTCTCAACAGCACTCTGGCAATATGAATCAAGTAATACAAATATTCATGTCCTTCAACCAATTATTTTCACTTTTAGGAATCTCTTTGAAGGGATTAACCAGAAAGACAGGCAGAGTTTTCTTCAAGATTTTGCATTGCAGCATTGTCCATAAGCAGGAAAAAACTCCCTAAATTTCTAACAATAGAGAAATGGTTATGTAAATTACAGTGGAGCATATTAGAGAATATTGTTCAGGCATAAAAATGTTTTTGAGGAGTATTTGACAGTATGGTCAAAAGCATTCAGTATGCTCTCAGTTATGTTTAAAAAATAAAACCTGTGAGCTATGAATACAAAATGCATTGTACAAAACACTCCCTAAAATTATTGAAGGCTATAGCTCAAATATGGAATAGTGATGAATTTTATTTTGTTTCCTTCTATTTTTCAGCTTATCTACAATGAGCATATTGTTACCTTATACTTACAGAAAATATTAAATCTTACTTTATAAGAACTTAGGTAACCCTCCCATAATGATGCAGAGTTTTGTTTGGTTGTTTAATGAAAAAAGTCTGCAGAAAGACTCACCCACGACCTCTGCAATCATGAAAATGAAGCATATTGCTGAAGCAGAACAGAGTTTCCACTTGGCATAGGCGTACTCATTCGCCCCCTTTTCTGTGGGCTTGGAGCCACTGTGGCAGTGGTACATGCCTCCTGACTCCAGCTCCTCTGGTCTCTCTCTGGGACACTGATCTTTATTCACCGGTTTCTGTTGGAGTTCCACACTATGGATGAGTTTGACAGAAGCAAGAAGTGAACATAGTTGCAAACAAGCCACTCACTGACCCACCCTGCCCATACTTGGAACCGCTATTAGGACATTTGCTTACTTGCTATGAAGTGTTCATTTGCAGCTCCTTCTACAAGAAAATATCAAGTGTTAGAAACAAGCTAGAAATTTCCTTCTAAACTTCAACTACTAAAAGTTTTACTTTTATTCAGTCAAACTCTTATTCAGTCAATGCCACCAATTATTAAGAGATATCAAAGGAATAGGAGAAAAGAAGCAGATACATTTTGAAGGGATTTCTTCCCAGTTATTTCACTCTAAAAAGACTGTGGACACTGTGCTACAAAAAAATAATAATAAAATAAATTAGGGTACATTACGATATGTGTATAAGAGCCAGACTGAGGATTCAAATACACATCAACATCATTGACAGATCATAGCACTGTTTCCTGCTGAGTCCGTAAGTACTCTCAGAGACATTCTTACCACCGCTCTGCAGACAGTGGCTACCAATTATTAATGTTATGATAAGAGTTGAAACCTACTTATGCTTCCCAAAGCAGGCAGTGAATATCAGTTCTGCTCAAATACAAAGCATGATTTAGATTCATTCATAGAATTTCACAGATGGAAAGGTAGATAACATTTGGTCTAACCCCTTTTTTCTTTTTTTAAAACAATTTTTATTGATGCATAATAAATATAACTAATTTAGGGTACATGTGATAATTTAATACATTCATATAATTTTTAAAGATCAAATCAGTAAACTTGAGATGTCCATCACCTTAAATATTTCTCTCTTCTTTATTCTAGGAACATTTCAATTATTCTTTTCTGGCTATTTTGAAGCATATGATAGATAATTGCAAACTATAGTCATCTCACAGATCTATCAAACACCAGATCTTTTTCTTCTCTCAAATCATACATTTGTACCCATTAATCAACCTTGCTTCATACCTTCCTCCTCTCTACCTTTCTCAGTCTCTTGTAACCACCAATCTACTCTCTTATCTTCACGAGAGCCACTTTTTTAGCTCCCATATATAAGCGAGAACATGTGATATTTGTCTTTCTGTGCTTGGCTTATTTCACTTAACTGCAACCCCATATTTCTTGGCTGAAGTAACTAAGGTTCAGGAAGTTTAAGTAATTGCCTGAGGTCAAATATCCAGGAAATTTTGGAGTGGGAATCCCAAGCTCAGTGTTTCTTCTGTCATGCCTAAAACCAATTTTAGGTGTCCTAATATTGAGTCAGGAAGGCAGATGTCAAAATCCATGGATCTTGAACTAATCAGATTTTTAAATTTTTAAAAATAAACTCATGTACAGAAATAAATAAGAGTCTTGGAATTAAGAACTTTGCATTCCTGACTCTGAAAGGTAATAACAAACAAACAAACAAAACTAACAATATATTAGCTTTCACTTCATTTCATTTAGCCTATCACCATTCACAATTAAAAGTCTGATGGTTTTGGCTTAGATGACAATTATTATTCTGACTCTATTATTATATTTGATTTTTCTGAATAAAATAATATATATTCATTATAGAAAATCTGGATTACAAAAAAAAATCACAAAGTAGAGGGAAAAATAACTGGTAATCCTCTCCAAGAGACAATTATTATTGATATTTTATTGTGTAGCTTTGTAATATATGAATATATTTTTTACATAATTAGATTCCATATTAATTAGGATGCTTTAGGTTATAAGCACAGAAAACAAGACTCTTGCTAGAATAATTAATAAATAAGAATTATTGGTTCTGCAACTGAAAACATCTAGAGGGGCCAGGTTTCAGATACTTTTTGACGAGGTCTCCAGATTCATTTCTCTGTGGCTCTCAGCTATTCTTCAACCTCAAGCTGATCTTCCCCATGGTAGTGGGATGGTTGCCAAAAGTAATCAAACTATGTATTTCTTTTTTAACAGATACATAGAGAGATTATCCCCTCTCAAACTGCTACACAACAGTCTTGATGTGCATGTGGATTTAGCTAAATGAGAAACAACCACTATAGCCAGGGGAATATGGATGAGCTGATTGACTTAGGCATTATTATACTCAGAAGACTGGCAAAACCCAGCCATGCTGACTCATAGAGCTGAGAATAGGGAAAATTCTACCTAAACCACAGGGCTGCTCCTCAGTGGGGAAGCGCTAGAATGGATGTGAATAAGATGATTGCATCACAAGAGGATCCTACCAAAGATACAGATTCTGAACCTGATTCTCAGCTATCAATATTGTTAATATTTTCTCCATTTATAAAATTTTCTATATCATTATGTTTAAAATATGGAAGGCAGTATATATTTAATATAGCTATATCATAGCATAATTAACTAATATTTTTAAATTATTGGACAACTCATTTTTTTCCAATTATTTGCTCATATAGGCACTACTATGATTCACATCCTTATAATTAATCTTTGCTCAATATATTATCTCCTTAAAGTGGAATCTTAAAGGGGAAATTACTTGGTCAAAAGGTACCTACATTTCTAAGGATTTTGACATATATTGCCAAACTGGCTTTGGAATATACATTAAAGCCAATTTACAACATTGGTTTTTTATCAGTTATGTGAATAGCACTCAGGATTTTGAGTAGTTCCAAACAATCTTCTTAGTTGGAATAAGAACAATTTGGAAAGTAACAAATAAAGTATTTATATCTTAAATGAGTAGACTTTTGCTTTTGTTATGTATAATATCCTAATAATAACCACAGAATTTGGTAGTTTGGGTCCCCAGTGGCCATCATCTCAGAGGAACCTGAGTACTAACTTGAACACATTGTTGAGATTTACTGTTTCCTTGGGCTGAGAAGACAGCATGAGCAAAGCAGGCTCACCAATTGTTCTGGAACTGCCTGGTATGCTGTGGTCATATGAAGCATTGCTTTATTTTATGTTTCTCATGAATCTTATGACCAGGGAAAGCCAAGTAGTCAGTGACCAGGAGAGATAATTTATCCTGGAGCAGCTCAGAAGCCAGTCCAAAGCAAGAATCAAACCTGGAGAAAAGCCCCTGAGCAATGCCACAAGGAGGAAAGTGTGAAAATGTGGGCAATTTTTACTTTTGTGTACTGCTTCCCTGTCTTGGGTTCTAAGGTTAACAAATATGGATATACTCTGAGCTGAGACTGCTCCTTGAAGAACTAAGCCAGAAATCCAAAAGTGGGCTTCATAAGGTCCATTGGAATTGTATACGATGTGTTCATGTGTGAGTGTGTGTGTGTGTGTGTGTGTGTGTGTGTGTTTTATGGGAGAGGCAAGAGTACACAGTCTTCACTTGGCTCCCAAAAGAGCCTGTGACCTCAAAGAAGTTAAAAACCAAAGTTAAGATATATTCCTTATCATCTCATTAAAGTCAAGTCATCTAAGTATCTCTAGATGCAGAACAGGCTCTTGATCAGAACAATGATGTGAATTTTAAGTATTATTTTAAGAAGAAAGTTATAAAAAGCAAATGCTATGATGCAACAAACACTGAATTGTGAATCTGCTGTTAATGAATAAATCCTGGAAGATTCCCATGCATTCAAATATGGCCAAAGCTTTAAAAATTAGGAATAATAGGCCAAAGAAATTTACTGTAGCATCAAAGAGAAAAAAGACGGAGAAAAAGAGATGAAAAAGTACAGAAATATTAGAAAATTTGATGCCAGTACTCTAAAACTTTGATTTCATCTCCAAA
This sequence comes from Homo sapiens, assembly GCF_000001405.40. NCBI lineage: Eukaryota > Metazoa > Chordata > Mammalia > Primates > Hominidae > Homo > Homo sapiens. The sequence continues at coordinate 117,143,227 of NC_000008.11, read as the reverse complement.
AATGGGATTTAGAAAATGGGACTTTATTTTTGCAATCTTGGAGAAGCTTTTATTTTTTAATGTTTTTTTGTTGAGTGGTAGAACTTTGCTTCTATCTCCAAAATAATGTTGGTAAAATTTGTATTTTTTTATCCTCTTATTTCAAATGTTGAGCACATAAAAATCACTTTGCTTTTGTACTTTCATATCAATTTTCCCAAGAACCTCAAATCACTATTCCTGTTAGAAGGGGAGATAAAAGCTTCAGCCTCACCATGAATGTCTAACATTTCATTCATTCATCATTAAATATTTACTGCATACCTAAAAAGGGCCTGCACCATCAGAAGTGTTAATGATACCATGTTGTATGAGAAAAACAAAGTTCCTTCTTTAAAGATCTTGTATTTTAGTAGAGGGAGACAAAGAGTAAATGAATCAATAGTAACAGAGGCTATATAGTATGATGAATGGTGAGAAGGCAAGGGAAGATGAACTACCTTAAATTGTGTGGGAAGGAAAGGCACCGCTGTGGAGGTGATATCTCAGCAGCAAGTTATAGAATTACCAGGAGAAAACCTATGTGAGTGAAGGCTATCCCAAGTAGAGGGCATTGCTGGAGCAAATGCCCAAAGACAAGAAGGATTTTCTTGTTCAAGTGCTTGTCTTGAACAGAAAGAAAACTACATAGGTGTCCCCTGTGGCGTAAAGAAAGAGTGAAATATAAAGAGGTCAAAAAAGGGATCAGATTTTGCAGAACACTTCAGGCCATTATAAAGAGTTTAATTTAATTCAAGGTCTAAAAGGAAAAATTTGGAAAGTTTTGAGCTGGGAAGTAACATTACATGGTTCACATTTCTAAAATGATCACTTTGGGTGCTGCCTGGAAGACTAGAGTGTAAAAGATCAAAACATAGAAACCCTTAGGAGGTGACTACAGCCAACACATTGGTGGCTTTGACCCACGTGGTGACAATAAAAATAGAAAGAAGTAGTCATATTTGAGGGACTTTTGGGAGGTGGAGTCAATAGGACTTGCTAATAAATAACAGTAGTTAAGGGGGAATAATAGAGAGGTGCAACTCAAAGATGACTTGTTGGTTTCTGGTTAGAGTAACCTGGAGAAGGGCATGCCAATTCCCAAGATGGGGCTGAGTGGCAGGCAGTGCAGTATAGAGGCTGAGAGCTTGGGCTCTGGCAACCCACCACCTCAGTTGAACTCCCACCCTTACCACTCACTAGTCATATGACTGTAAGAAAATTACTTAACCTCTCTGTGCCTCAATTTCCCCATCTGAAAATAGGAATAATGATAGCATCACTCTCATAGGCTGCTTGAGAGATTTTTAGCTAATTCATATAAACCACTTCAAAGTGTAACTGGAACAAGATGAATGCACAGATTATTAAATTATTTCCAGTCTGAATGTCTTTTATTTTGTTGTCTTCCCAATTGCTCTGGCTAGAACACACAGTACCACGTTGAGTAGAACTCATTGAAGTGGACATCCTTATCTTGTACCTGATTTTAGGGGAAAGTTTTCAGGCTTTCACCATAATTATGATAAAAGACTGCACATTGGTACAGTGTACACTGCTCAGGTGATGGGTGCTTCAAAATCTCAGAAATCACCACTAAAGAGCTTATCCATGTAACCAAACACCACCTGTTCCCAAAAAACCTATTGAAAAAAATTATGATATGAGCTGCAAGTTTTTCATGGATGCTTTTGAAGAAGTTTCGTTCTATTTCTAGTTTCACAGGTGTTTATATAATTAAAGGGTGTTGAATTTTGTCCATTCGTTTTCTGCATCTAGTGAGATAATCATGTGAGCTTTGTTCTGTATCCTATTAATATGTTGTATCACTTTGTATTTCAGATGTTAAATTAAGCTTGCATTACTGGGATAAATCCCATTTTATCATTGTTCGTAATTTTATATGTTGCTGGATTCAGTTCATTAGTCTTTTCAAGGATTACTGCATCTGTATTCATAAGGGATATTGTTCTGTAGTTTTATTTTCCTGTGATATTTCCTCCTTTTTTGCTATCAGCAGAATATTGACCTCATAAAATGAGTTGGGAAGTGTATTTACACCTCTTCTATTTTGGGGAAGAATTTGTGATGAGTTAATATTAATTCTATTTTAAATTTTGGTAGAAATCACCAGTGAGGACATCTGGACTTGGGCTTTCTTTGTGTAAGGTTTTATGAAATTTATTAATAATTCAATATCTTTACTTATCAGATTTTCTATTTCTTCTTAAGTTCATATGGTAGTCGGTGTCTTTCTATGAATTTATCCATTTCATCTAAGATTATATACATTTTATTTCATGCAGTTTACTATTAAATCTGTTAAGAGGAAAAAGGAGAACAAATCATTTGTCTTTTATAATTACCCACATTATTACCTTTATTGGTGCTATTATTTTTTAGGAATGATTCAACTTAATATCTGGTGTCATTTGTTTTCTTTAATATTTCTTCCTTTACTATTGCTTTCTTTACTGATTTTTGTAAAGTGAATCCAGCAACAAATTATCTTAGATTTTGTTTGTCTTTATTTCATCTTTATTTTAGGAATATAGTTTAGGTAGATGTAAGATTATTGGTTGATAGGAATTTCTTTTTCTTTTACAGCTTTAAATGTCATCTCACTGCCATCCTCCTTTGCTTCTGGTAGAAGTTGGCTGTTAATCTGATCAGGATGCTCTCATACATAATGAATCTTTTCTTTTTTCTCTTGCTGCTTTCAAGGTTTTTTATTTGTGTTTTGCTTTTAATAGTTTTACTGTAATGTGCAAGCATGTAAATCTATTTGCTTGATTCTTCTTAGAGTTTGTTGACCATCATGAATGTGTAGATTAATATTCAACAAACTTCAGAAGTTTGGGGCCACTATTTCTTTGACTGTTTTTCTGCTCCTTTTTCTCTCTCCTTCTGGCCCTCTTATTATGAATATGTTAATGCATTTAACAATGTACCACATTTCTCTGAGGCTCTGTTGATTTTTTTACTTCATTCTATTTTCTCTGTTTTTCATGTTGCATAATATCTTCCAATCTATCTTCAAGTTCAGTGATTCTTTCTTCTGCCAGCTTCTATGAGTACAGCTCTACTGTTGAACCCCTCTAGTGAATTTTTAATTTCATTTATTGTACTTTTCAACTTCAGAATTTTCATCTGGTTCTTTTTTAAAAAATAATTTCTAACTCTTCATTGATATTCTCAATTTTATGAGACATTTTAAATCATATCTATCTTTAATTCTTTGTTCTTTGATTTTCTTTAATTCTTTTAACCTAGTTATAATAGCTGTTTTGAAATATTCAAATTCTAAATACAACACCTGGACTGTTTCTACTTTTTTTTTTTTTTTTTTTACCAGATGTTGTCTGACTTTCCCTGCATGCGCAGCCTCTGTTGCCATTCCTCAGAAGGTGCATCATTGGGTAGATGCAGTCTTTCTTATCCTCTCCCATTTCCAAGGGATAATAATCATTTTAGTAGTGTTCACTTTGACTGTTTCTTTCCACTATCTCACTGTTAAGTGATTGTTCTGCCTGTGTTGGTATCACACCCAGATTTTGGCCTTCTTAATTGTTTGCTGAATTGTTGCTCTATGGTTTTCAATAATACCCTGAGGTATGAATTGACCAACAATCTGATCCAATTAAATTTGTCTGCTTCAGCTACTATAACAACATACCACAGACTGTGTGGCTTAAACAACAAAAATGTATTTTCTCACAGCTCCAGAGGATGGAAGTCCATAATCAAGCTGCTAGCAAATTCACTGGTGAGGGTTCTCTTTCTGGCTAATAGATGCTTGCCTTTTCGTTACTTCCTCGCGTGGTCTTTCCTTAGTGTGTGCACCCAAAAAGAGAGAGAGAGTGAGCTATCTGGAGTCTCTTCTTATAAGAACATTAATTCTGTCAGATCAGGACCCCACTCTTATAACCCCAATTAACCTTAATTACTTCCTTAGAGGCCCTATCTCCAAATACAGCCACACTGGCATTTGTGCTTCAACATATAATTGTGGGGGACATAAACATTCAATCTATAACAGGCTTCTTTATAGGGGTAATATTTGAGGCCAAATTTTGTGGCTAGTGCCAAATCCAAGAGGGCATTTTTTACCTCTTTTTCTGCCTGTCTTTGCTTAACTTCTAGCTGGTCTGCCACTATCTTGTTGCTATCATGAAGCAACAAGCCTACTCTTAATTGTCCACCAGAAGAATCTTCATTGTTTTCAACAGTGTCCCTATGCTTGAAATACCCTATGCTGTCTTACAAATAAAATTCCAGCTTATGTATCATCAGTCTTCTAAGGGAAAGATACATAGCCCTCTATTCTTATGGCCTGCCTCTCCTATGAGTAGTACCTTTACACCACTGCACCAGAGCTGGCAGAAGAGACAGTGACCTACTTCTCCTGGAGCAATACTCTTGCTCCACAAGTGGAGCACTGAATACGGATCGTAGTCCCTAGTCTTTTTTGCTTATGCCTCCTGGAATACATCCTATACACTATGAGTGATCCAGGGCAGGGATATTCAGGACCTTGCTGCTCCTGGGCTAGAGATTATACCCTATGAGAGGAGGCTGGGTAGAGGAAGGAAACCATAGTCCTCTTGGTCCTGTCTACAATGAATAGAATTTCTGCAACCTGAAGCTGGGACAATAAGAGATTCCAACAGCCTTTTGCTCTAGGGGTGAACTATGATCTTTAACTGGAAGCTGGGAGGAGAGGGAGCCCAGTCTTTTGGCTACATCCACTCAGAGTTGAGCTCTCATCATACTGAGCTTGGGAAGAACAGAGGTTAATGGAGCAGATCTTGGCTCAAATGCCATAGACGCTCACTTCTTACTGAGATTTAGATTTTCTTGAATAAATAATTATTAATTTTCTGCATGCCCTTAAGACAACTTCCAGAGATTTTCATTTCTTTTTTATAATTTTTAGCAGTTAAATAGTTGTTGTAAAGGTTCTAGCAGTTTACCTCTACCATCTATTCCTGCCCTTACTTCCTCTGCACTTCTTCAACATATGGCTTGGGGAAAAGAGAAACTTGATCCCTTCCACCTAGCACCAAGAAAAACATTGATTGTTTTTCGTGTTGTAGTTCAACTTTACACGACTTTTTTTTTTCTTTTTCTTTTTTTTTTTTTTTTTTTTGCTACAATGAACCCAAAGCCCAGAGAATCCCACCAATGAAACAGATTTGGAGAGAATGGAGAGGGTAAAAAAATATGGTTCATGGCACCTACTGGGTCCAATATTACTACTTCCTGTGGTAAAATGCCTGTAAAGATTACCTCCAGCAATTCCTGTCATCCAATATGCACATGCAATCAAGAGATAGAATCTATTGCCTCACCCATGGAATCTGAGACTTGGGACTTGCTTTAACCCATAAATTGTGATAAAAATGATACTGTGCCAGTTCTGGGCTTAAGCTATCTGAGAATGGTCAGCTTCCACTATTGCTCTCTTGCTACTCTGGACTGTCACATAAGGAATTCCAGGCTAACCAGATAAAGTGAGACATCATACAGGGAGAGAAGCCATGGGAAGAAGAATTAAGACCCCCGCCCCAGGCAAAAGCCAACACAAAGATCTCAGTCATGTGAGTGAAGCCATCTTAAACCTTCTAGCCTAGCCCAGATACCAGCAGAATGCAGCCTTCTATTCCAACTAATTCACATGGAATGCTGCCCAAATCCTGACCCAGAGAATCGTAATAAAATAGTTGTTGTTTAAGCCACTACATCTTGGGGTAGTTTGTTGCACAGCCATAGATAAATGGAACACTCCATTTGTGGAATTAGATAATAAAGTTTTCTTCAGAGTAAGTTTCTTAACAGCCAGTAACCATTTAAATAGAAAGCTGATAATAGAAAGTAGAAAGAAAAAGAGGTAGAAGGAGAAAAGAGGAGGAATATCAGGGGATAAAGTTATCCACAACTAATAGAGACAGAACAAAATAAATGAGATAGATTGGTAGAGGTGGGGGAAGAAGTGAGTAAGTGAGGGAATTCAGGGACATGTGACCTAAGGAGGAGATAGATTAAGGATTCAGGAGCCCACATGGTGCATGTATGGGTACAGGAGATGTAGACGGAGAAGGGGAACACTAAATTAACAAGAAGGGGGCCTGGGTCCACAGCCCAGTTCTGTTGTAATTAGCCATCTGCCCTCAAGAAACACATTTATTCTGACCTCAAGAAAGGCATTTGTTCTATCTGGCATTCAGTTTCCTACATGGTAAAATGAGGGATCGAGATAAATAATCTCTTCCAGATTTAATTTATTTCCCTTGACAAGAAAATACAAATGAGTTTGACAATTCTTATAAACACTGTGTCCTGAAAACCATACCTATTTATGGGGTGAATGAGACTTTGTAACTATAAGTGGTTGGCTTATTTGTGCAACAAAATGCTAATAGTCTATGTTAATAAGAAGGGAAATATTGTTATTTCAGTAATGTGGAGATGCTCTATTGATAGTATCCATAGGGTTAACAATTTTTTGTCCAAAACTTCTGCCTGACTTACCACAAGGCTTTGTTTTTTATGTTAATAACCTCAATACATCATATCTAATATTATTTTCTAAGAAAAATAATTCTTCTAATGTGAGATTGCTAGATTCTTTGTTTTAAGCCAAGTTATAAATATCCTTTTTATAAAATCTCTTTGCTGTTACTAAAATATTTGATGCTCCCAAACATAGTATCACTACTCCTTAGAATATTAGTTTGGCTTTGTGAAACAAACAAGAACATTACACGTATTATTAATGGGCAAGTATTCTCTTAAATTCTTCTTCTAACATCAATTCTTTTCAGATTTTCATTAGCTCATTTATATTCACTGAATGTGTTCCTTTTTTGAACCCCATTCAGATTCAACTCCTCAAACAAACCAAGCTCACATTCTTATGTATGTGAAAGTATATTTACTGTGCAATTATCGAAGTCTGGGAAACTTTCCTTAAAACTATTTTCTATGTAGGTTATCCCTAACCCTACTTTAATTCCTTTTTATTTTTAGCTCTTAGCCTATTACTTCTGAGAAAGCTTCCTCTGATTCCAAAGTCCAGTTATTCTTATTGAACACCCTCAATATGACACAAATACACTGTTTTGTAATTGCCTAGTTCTAATATGTATTTCACATTAGACTAAGTTTCAAGAGGACAAAGATCTGAAACTAGACATTTTTTTCTTTCTCATTATAAGTTCTGCACTTACTACAGGTGTGTTCAATCAATAATTGTTAACCAAGTGAAAAATGAATGAATGTATTGCATGTGACACTGTGGGAGACATTAAAAAGAAATGGAATACTTTGTAGAACATTAAAATCAGCTATATTTGTTATAGGTATGTATATTAATAATGATACTTTATAAGCATGAAAACAACAGCTCATTTTAAGATCAATACAACCACAATTTTGCCATGTAGCTGAAGTCTTAACTTTTTCTAAATATAATATAATAAAATTTACTATCTATCTTAAAATTGAGAATAATTGAGAAAAGGAAAAGTAAACAGATTATATAGGTCTATTTTCTGGAATAAACATGACAGATGAAAAACACATCAGTAAAATGTGTTCTTTATGCACTTAGGATATTTAAGGAATCAAATCAACTATATAAAGTATTGCATTTTTCAGAATATAAAATACATGTCAGTCAACAACTTATAAAATGTTCCAGAGTGCCCCCAAGTTGCAGAGTAAAGGCCTACAATTCAGAAGCAACAAGGTATAGGAATTGGATGATATTCAACAGAGAAAATTGTGAAGCAGACACAGACATCTATTACCTTTCTAGTGTGAAAGCATACATCTTGGCAGCTTTATCATTCACAAGATACGTTCTTTCAAGAAACTCCATGACGGCCAGGATGAGCTGCGGCTGTTGTTGTCGTTGTTGTTGAACTCACTGCCCAGTTTTGGAAGCAAAGCAGCACTGCAATTATTTATACACTTTCTAAAGAAAAAATTAAAAGGCTCCAGAAATTAAAATAATGAGCTTCCTACATCAGTGTTGTTGGTAGGTCTGCTAAAATTACAGCCTCCTTGCAATATTACCTGGCTTCATTGTTTTCACCTACAAAAACTGCTTTTCTAGGGAGACTTGCAGGTAGCATTACATGAAGTGTGTATGTCTTTCATATGATATCTGATTCAATTGTGCTTTCTAAGAGGTAGAGGAGCTCAAGAGCTTGCTACAAATTGCTGATGTAGGGTTTTGACCTTCGGAGCACACGTGGGTGAGCTGCAAATAGCTACCATTCGCTACACTAAACTAATTCTTTCTTTTTCTCTCCCTCCTCCTTTTTCTGGACTCTTTATCAGCCTAAAATTATTTCTTTGGAATTTAGTTCTAAGATGACCTCTAAGCAGCTGTCAGAATTTACTTGTCTCTCCTAGGACCATTTTGGGATTTCACTATTGAAAGGGAGGACAAGGGTCAATAGTTTCTGAAACCAGTAATCTGAAAACAGTTCTTGGTACAGCAGCTTTGAAATCCTTTTGATTGGCAAGAGAAGGACAGACTCTGCTTCTACGTAAATAACAGCCCTCCAAAATACAAGAACCAGAGTGAGCTTTGTTCTTCCTGGCCAAGGTACCCTCTACTAAGGATCAAGGATTCACCCAAGGAAACCCTATCAGGCATGCCAGTTCCAGCTCCGAGGAAGGAAGCCTCTGAGTTGCTCCTGGGAGACCTCACACTCCTCAACTCCTAGGAATCAGCATTTTACTTCATACAAAGCACTTTCCTTCCCAAATAAGAGAAAGAACTATAGCCTTATGGCAAGAGCCTGGACAAACAGTAGGCATTTGTGTGTGGGCAAAAGGTTTCAAGACCTATAAAGATGTACACAACGGTAGAGAAAGAGGGGGTTGTGCAGACTGGAGAACAGGAGTAAACCCCAGACCACCAGGTTCTTGTTGCCTTTTCCTTGTGTGAACACTAACTTTCTAGTGAGAAAACTCAGAGTAGTTAAGTCCCAGAATAACCCAGTGGCCCAGAGTCACGGGAAGTTGCCCATTATGCTGAGCTGAGATCTCTCACAATGGCCTAATAAAATGAATATTGTGCTCTAAAAGGAGGATGGGGTTCAATGCCAATTGTCATAGGCAGTGACAGGAGAAGTCACCTTTGGTTCAGAATGAGACTATTAGGTCTCCTATCACATCTGTGGTGTAGCTGTACCTCTTATTATCTTAAGATTTCAAACACTCTCATCTATAACATAAATTCTAAGGTCTTCTCATATGACCCCACTCTTACTGATCCTTAACTTTGCTCACACAGTTTGGAGCCTCTAAGAGGCTCTGGGGGAGCCTTTTCCTTGCAAGTGAAGGCATTGAAATCCTGGGTCTACTGTTAGCAGAATAAAAACCAATGTATTTTTTCTCGTATATTCTTACTCTTAACCTTACAAAGTAATCAGTTATTCTGTGGAGGCGAAAGTAGAAAACCAGAAAAGAATTACTAATCCACCTGTGTGACACACTGCCATATGTCACAGCTTGAATCATTTGTGAATAGTTTCTAGCACAGACAAGAGAAATAGAATTCAAGTGAATGAATGTCAGAAAATGAGGAAACTACTTTAAATCAGCCTGAAATTCATTAAGGGTGAGTACAAAAAAAAGAGATAAGCAATATTTTCAAATCAGGAAGGAGAATATTTGGCTATAGATATCAACAGGAAATAAACAATCTGGAAGTTTGAGATTCCTCCATGCGAACTTTGCCTCTAGTACAAATACGGATGTACAGATCTATTTATAATTGACATACATACATACATAATTGACATATAATTTATAATGAGTGTGAAGGATACATGCCAGGTAGTTAATGTGGATTGCCTATGGGGCAAGAATAAAGTGAGAGTAGGATGGGGTTGATGTAGGACAGGGAAAAGTGAAGATGGGAAAAGAGACAATGAGAGACCCAAGCAAAACAACAAAAAATACTGCTACCCCCTGTCAAAAATGTATCCTATGATCTCTTCTATTTGTCTATAAGATAAACTATATAAGTCCTATGTGGTCTAATATCAGCAATTTTATATGGTTCAACTTAAATATACATGCACACATATATAGATACCTAAAATATATGTGTGGATATGTATGTTACATTTACTAATAAAAATGTACATATTTATAAAGTACTAGGAAATTAATTATGATTTTCATCAAAGATTTATGAATCCCAAAAGTTACTCTTGAAGATGATTACCATAAAGCAAAGCTTCCAGTGTGAGTAGCATAAGAACAGAGAACAGTAGATTACAGCAAATAAAATTATGCTTAAAAAGTTTTGCTGCCATAAATTTAGATGCAGATGTTATGATCAAGAATTGCATATTATATCATGTAAAATATGCATCTGCTGATCACCTTATTCTCTTACAAGTTCATTTTAACTGCACCGTCATTCCCTCTCTCAAATATTTTGTCATCACAACATTTATGAAAAATCTCTCATCCTCCCTGACAAACCTTTGGTCTACTTTGGCATGAACTGCCCACCAAGGGCCAACGGCCTAACTGGGCTCCACAAGCAGCATAGAATATATATTTGGAAAGCAACTTGGATCAAAAAGGAAAATCCCATCCCCTGTAGACATTGGTTTTAGTGGGCATTACGCTGCTCATTTCAGTTTCCTAGGCAACCAGCTTCCAAACCATCCCGAATTACAGGTTGTCTTCTCCGCCCACTCTCCTTCACAAGCTTGGAGTAACTGAATGGGAAACACACAATCTATAACAGCTACCTGTGGAAATAAGTATTCTGTCAGCCACAAGAACATCACCAACATCACTGAAGAACTGGTTTGGCTCTTCAGTCCTAGCTGTTGTCAGCAACAATTTCTTAATAGGGTGTTACAAACAGTAGCTAATACTTGTGCAAAAATAATTTCACAAGTATCTTAAACATTGTTGGATATTTCACTTGTAGAAAGGACATATGGATTTATAAAAAGCTACCATCATTATCCCTAGATACTAAAGTACCAAGTACTTACAATTTGTGTTCCCCATATTTAAACTCGTATTTCAGAAATACTTCATGTTGCCAATGTGTGCATGCAACCATCTTTTTAAATCAGACATAGAAATGTGCCTGTTTTTAAATAACAAATGTGGACTTTCATCATGTTTTGCTTTTTCCTGTTGGTGTGGAGAGGTAGTGTGGTGAAGTGGTTTAATATATGGGTTTTCAAGTTAGTTAGGTAGACAATTTTAGTTTCCAGTTTGACCACTTTCTTAGATATGTGACCTTGAACAAGTTGCCTGACCACTGTGTTTTTCCGTTTCTCACCTGTAAAATGGGAGTATTAATCGAATCCATCTTACAGAGTTCTTGTGAAGAGGAAAACAGATAATATGTATAAAAGTTCTTAGCATAGTCTCTGATATATAACCAGTTTTATGTAACTGTGAGTTTCTATACACTGGGCCATGTCTAAGTAAAATGTTTTGGCTATTGCTGAGAAATTGGCTCCAGCTTTAGCAGAAGGCTAAGAATTACCTGTGAATGAAGCATCCATCAAGGAAATAAAGGTTATTGAAAAAGGAAGATCTGGGGACTTCAGCTATCGGCTCTATGACTTTGGGTAGATCTCTCAAACCCTCTGGACTCTACTTTCTCAAATTAGATTGATGTCTGCCTCATTCTACCCCCTCACCAGTAGAGTGCCATTCAGAATGATCTTCACTATGGAGCTGTCTTCCACAACAGGGGAGGCAATTCAAACTCAACCAGTGTAATCACCCACTAAAGATTCTGGACTCATGCATTCTCACATAACTATAAAGATCTTATTATTTCTAAGTTGAGTAGTATTTTCTTAGCAAGGTAGCTTTATGGTTATTACTACAGTGTGAGTATTTCAGAGGTTTCATCTAGAAATGTGAAAACAAAGACATTAGAAATTTAATTGGATTGTATTTTAGAGAGCATTATGAAAATTTTATTTTAATCTAAAGTAAATATGTATAAAACACAAACCATTTCCAATATTTTATACACTGCTTGAAAATGGACCGAAAGCAATATGATGTTTATTTCCTTCTTGATAAATTAGGACCATGTAATTTTTTTTACTATTTCTATTTTTCAAGCGATTGAGCTATAGGAATGTTCTGGTGAAAATGCAATTTGTATTTGTTAAGAATAGAAAGACTTGATAAAATATTGATACTAAAAGAATAAAAGAAATATTTTATTAAGTCTCATAGATGCAAATAAATGACAGAAAAATGAACTAGCATTATTTTTGGGGGGAGAAATATTGGGGCTAGCTGCTTGAAGTGTTTATGAAGTGTATATTTCTTCAATTCTTCTCCATATACCACACTTCTTTTTCCAAGCACTTGCAAATTTGAACTAATTAACCCTCAAAAACGCCCTCTAGGTGAGATATGGTTGTTATTTCTTACAAACTCCAAAACAATGGCCTTTTGGCTTCATAATCTCACAACTATATGTCTTTTTATTTATATAAAAAGGCAAGAGAGGATTACAAAGAACCTATCCATTATTTTAAAGATTAGAATAGAAAAGTAGACAAAAATATACTTTCTAATATTCCAACCCCTTGGTCTATAAATGCACAGAGCATCACTGAAGACTAAAACATTAAATGCTCAAATTTAATAATAATAATAATAATAGAGCCCTCTTGTCATTATCTGGAATGCCACCATTTAATTTTCATGAGCACTGTTTATTTTCCTTCAGTGAAAGGTTTTAGGGGATCATAATTCATCTTTGGGAAATGGATTTTCACAGAGCATTCCCAGATGAATACCAACAGAGCAAAGGCAAAGCTCATCGTCTCCTCTGAATCTCCAGGCCTGGCTTTATTTGACTCCTGGCTGACAATACTTTCTCTCAGGAGATAGTCCAGGAGACAAGACAAAGCTTCCTCAGAGCTTTCCCATGAAAGACTGAACCGTTGCTTTTCACGTTGAATCCAAAATGCATCAAGGGACAGCAGCTGTCTTTCCTGCTTGGAAGCACAACCACAAGGCGTTACAACTAATTCATCTCTTCTTTTGGTATTAGTGAATTTGCTTCCAGTAAGTCTACAGTTTAAAATGCTGCTAATCCAATTGTCGCAAATCTCACCACTACCATCAGGAGATGAGTTATTTTAATCTGTATCCAATGAAGACAAGTGAGGCACCTTATCACCTTTTGCAACCCTAAACTCTCGACCAAGTCACCCAGATATTGATCAGTGAGCAGATGACAGGAGCTTCCATTTCCTTCGCAGTCAGCTAACTCCAAAAGAGAACAAAAATGTTTATTTAATTATAACAAGCAAACACAAAACATTATTGAAAACATTGTATTTAGCAACAGATTTTTAAAAGCCTTATATACCTAGGATAATATTCCCCTTTACCATTCAGAATCTAAAGCAAAGATTATTCTCTGAGTCTCCACCAGAAATATAATACGTTATCATTCACAAAATAAAAATTTCATTTTAAACTTTCATATTAAACTGTTAAAAAATAATATCAGGACACAATTACAATGTTTTCCTATTTTAGGTATTACATATATATAAGAAAAATCAATATGACAAAGCAATATGAAATTTTTAATAAGAGTTGTTAGAATGGAATTTGGAATAATTTGCATTTCCTAGTCACAAGTTAGTTTCCCAAGAAACCTGGTGAATAATAAACTCAGACATCCCTTGAACTTTTCCTATGGAAGGAAACAAAAGTAGAAATCAATTCTATGATTAAAATGATGTCCCAGTGGATACTAATTTTCCATCACTTCTTAGAATCATCATTATATGGATATTGCTGACAACAAATGAAGAATATTTATTTTTAATCCACTTTATACCATACAGTCATTTCTCCTAATTTTTTAATAAACACAAGGCTCCCAACTAAAGTGAGGTACACTGACTAGTCCTAAAGTTTGAGCACAACGGATTCATTGTCTGCTCAAACACATCCATTGCAGTGCTAACTGGCCAGATGAAAAGTCCTGGAGCATTCTACTTTTATTCAACATAGTCATTAGCTACTAACTGAAACTCCTTGCTGGGTAGATGTGATTATCTAATTGCCACCCAACAGTGTATTAAATTCTGCTCTGAGGATAGTTCTTCTCAAGACTAGCACACCTGACACCTGAATCCAGCCCAAGCACCCATTTTAACTAACGTTACTGCTGAAACTAACATGTTTTCATGCTGAATGCATTCAGTTGGTATATTTGTAGGCTGTGAGTTCGAATTCTTTCCCTCTCACTGATTTTCAGTGTGTCACTGAATATGTTTGCTTCTTTCCGCCCCAATTTCCTAACCAGAAAAAAAGTGAATGATACCACTGTGAAACCTCAGAAAGCTCTTGTCAGTAAAAATAATCCCCTTTTTCCTTCATACTAAAGGAAACACTTCCCAAGTATTTTGTTGTGTACACTATTTATGCTAAGGATTGAGAAGTTATTTCTTGCTAAAATAAATAAATTGTACTACCAATTAACTGCCAGCTAAATAAAACTTTTAACATTTTTTTAATTTAAAAAGTAACACATGTGCTCAGCAAGGTGTTTTAAATTTCAAGAGTGTAGACAGTGGGCAGCAAGTCTTCTTCTTACCCTAGGCAATAATAACACAGGGAGCATATTATTTTTTAAAAGAATATTCTGAATGTCTTTATCAAATTCTTTGTGTGTTTATGAGCACACACACAGACGCGTGCGTGCGCACACACAAGCACACACAAGCACACACACACACGCCTTTTTATACCAAATTTGACAGACAGCAGTCTGGTGACTATAAGGTAGCATCAGTAATGAAGCATCAATAATGAGACTATTTCCTTTCCTGTGGCAGCTGCTAGGAAACTCCTAGTCCTCTGCCTCCTGGACTGGGAAGATGTGATGTTTGTGGCCGCTGTGCCATAATTCCCCGTAAGTCAGCAAGTGCATGCCCACTTCTCACTCACTTCTTGTTTACTAGCAAATTAAACAGACTATAGTTCACAGAAGTGGTTTTTCATTGGGAGAAAACTGAAAGAAGAAAGCAAGGAGCCCTAGGAGATAACTCAGGTAATTGCTCAACCCAACAATCGCCACGTTCTCTTCTATCTATGCCTTAACAAAACTCCTACTTCTAATGGCTAAGCTCTAAGCTGATGCTAAACTCAAGCAATTTAGACAGATGTAACTTCTGCTCTCTGAGAATTTATAATATAAGAGAGAATTGCCTTTGAAAAGAAATACATTGGTACTGGGTGATATACAACTCATTGCAAGCTAGCAACATGTCACACAGCATTGCCAACATTTTATCCTTAAAGTATATAAATTCATTCATAAAACCAGAATAAAGACGGAGGAAGGAAAAAAGTAAATACCTCCAGGCCAGTTACCTTCAGCATCAACACTAAAAATTAGAAACACCTATCTTAGCCCCTGGGATTATTAGATCTGACTCTGTCAATCAAAAACAACATCACACACCACACATCATCTGATAATTTCTCATGGCTTTAATACTCTCCAGAGCCTGGAATTACAGATACAAACTTATAACATTGTGCTGAACAGTTAGACAACTTAAAATGAAACATTTACTTTGTCATATAAATTCAAATATTTTCCTGTCTTTCAGGAAAATGTCACAAGAAGGTGAATCTTTTCCTGCTTAGTCTAATTGTGAGAGACAATGACAGAGCACAAGAAATAATGTCTCTTCCAACAACCTAAGGGCAATATTATATTTGTTGCTCTACACTGCAGATCTCTTTCATGAAGAGTTTTAGTTATTGCTCTTCAGCATAGTGTTTACAAACACTCAGCAGCTTATTATTCAGTAGATAAGAGGAAATGGGAAGATTACCAAAGAAAAAGTAAGTTAAAACATTAAGTAATGTGAAAAGACTAATTATAAGTATGAGCTGCCCATCATTTTTCCCTAAGAACTTCCACATGAGACTTCTTTTTCCTAGGTTTCAAAAATAATTTGGAACGCGTACCAATTAGGTACGCGATGCTTAGCTAAAATGAATACATTTATATACCTGTGGATAATCTCATAAACAAAAACCCAAGGACAGGTCCAGTGGCCTCTCTTCTAGAAAGCAGTATGGTGTGTAATGAATTGTAGACAGTTTCCACTGAACTGGCTACTTTGCTTTTAAAATTGGCACTCAAGAGTAAGCTTCAGTTACCTGGAAATGGCGCTATTAGATGCCCCAGTACTGTCGCCTTTGCCTGGAACATGTGCTCTCCCGCTGACTGTGCACACAGATGCTGCATTCTCATCCTGCCAGATATCACCTCCTCAGACAGCCCCTCTTAGATCCCCCTGTGAGAAGCACAGTGAGCTCAGCTATTTCGAGTTTTTCCTTTCCACACTGTGCTCTTCATTCCTTTCAGCACCCTTATTGTTATCTCTCTTCCATCTTTAATTTTGTTTGTTTCTCATCTCATCTACTCCTATGAGAATATAAGCTGTTAGTGGCTAGGGGCTTCAGCTCTTTCCACACTGTTGTCTCCCCAGTTCTTCATAAACGGTATCTGGCATATCATGGGTGAAGAATATATTTTTTATAAATCAATAAATGGATGGATGGATGGATGGATGGATGGATGGATGGATGGATGGGTTGGTGGATGATGGATGGAATGTACTGATGAGAAAGCCATTACATAGTGAGTGATTCAGAGTAAAGCCTTTGAAGTCAGAAGACTTGGGTACCATTCACCAACCGGGTAATCAAAATCTTTCTGAACCTGTTTTCTTACATATAAAATGGGGATAAATGATTTTTCTCTAATCCTAATTTCTCTAAGATATTTATAAAAATTAAATGAAGTAATTTAAATTTCATATATAAAGCTCAGAGTAATTGCTTAATAAATAAAGACTATCATATTAATACTTCATACATAAAACCAGCCTGTTATCATGTAGGCAATTCTGCCTCATCAAATAAAAAAGAAAATCACAAAGTACTTTGAGATCTAGTTGTCAAGTCAACTAACATGGAGAAAAAGCTACACTTGATTGGACGTTTTTTGCCATAAAAAAATAATATTTGGAGTTGGCAAGAATATTAAGCTTGAAATTGCATTGCTAACTGGCAGGTTTTAGTTTCTTCTGTGCTTCATCGAGGGGGGAAAACACAGCTAGAGAGAGGAGAAGATCGTTGAAGCTGATGCATTCTGGGAGAAAACAAAAAACTCTGACATTCACTAGATCAATTATTATACACCCAGATCCTCTTATTACAGATACTATTTTAATTTTTTCTTCCTAAAATACAGAAATTATATTGCCTCTTCTTTTACTAAAACTTGCAGAATATGTTTTATTCTAGTGCTATTTAAATTTAAGTACATTTGTACTGTATATATGCATTCTTAAATATATATGGAGAGAACCAATTTATTATGAGACATGAGGAGTTCTACATTATTTCTCATTGGTGCAAAACTAATTGCCTTTTCTCAGTCATTGCACAGATCTTTATTTTTCCATTTTATCATTCTTGTAACTGCAGCTGAAATTAGTAAAGGGCACAACCACCTGGCAAAATCTGGAGCAGGAAGCTTTTCATTTCCAAGCATCCTAGCCACACTGATTTTCCAACCTCAAGAGATGCTGCTGATGGAGGTCCCTCATAGTGCCACTCCTGCTAATAGCACAAGTTTCCCATACACATCTCCATTCACAAAAATATTTGGTCAATTTTTCTCTTGAGCTAAAAAGACAGTCCTAACATGTTAGTGCTGTCTGAGGCTCAAGAAGTAGGAATGGAAATTAGTGGCATAAACTACTGGTTCCTCTGCTGACCACATTAGAGTCACACAAATCTGGGCTCATGTAAAATGGAGAAAGAATGATAAAAACTGTAAAAGAATGGAGTAAATGAAAATTACCAAAACCCATAAGACAAAACTACATATGCAAATTTGGAGACTAGATTCAAGAATCTCAAATGCAATCATGGCAACACCAAAACTTCTTATTCTGATAAAAATCCTGTATATATTCTGATTAAACTACCTGGAGATCGGTTGCTCAGTTTGTTAGTTCTTAACCCTCACCCCAAGATGCATATCAAATTATTTTCCCAAATGAAAAGAGTTCTTTCACTAAAAAGAAATTCTGATGTTAGAATTTTGGTATCTCAATATTTTTTTTATTGTTGATGTTTTCCTTCATTTCATTAGATGCTATGTATGTAATAATCTTTACTGATTTTTTATTTCAACTTTTATTTTAGATACAAGGGGTACATGTACAGGTATGTTACATGTGGATATTGTGGGATGTTGAGGTTTTGGGTATGGATCCCGTCATCCAGGTAGTAAGCATGGTACCCAATAGGAGCCCACACCCTCCCCCATCTAGTAGTCCACAGTGTCTATGGTTCTCATCTTTATGTACATAATGTGCTCAATGTTTAGCTCCCACTTATAAGTGAGAACACACAGTATTTGATTTTCTGTTCCTTTACCGTTATTCACTGATTTTCTAATCTTTTTTTTTTTTTTTTCTGGATACAAGGGAGGACTTCTCTGCCCTTTTGAGATTGGAAATTGGATGTGGTCATGTTGCTAATTCTTCCCAATGGGTTGAGAGCGAAAGTCATATGAATTACTTTTTGGTGGAGGTATTTAAATGCCAATGTGAGATCCCACAGCTCTGATTTTGCCTGCTGTGGCAACCATGAAAGCCTGTGTGGAAACTGAGCCTGCATGAGCCCGGGTGCAGGAATAGTAACAATGAATCAGCAGAGCCTCTCTACTGACCTGCATTGGGCTTGTAACATGAGGGGAAGCAAATCTTTGTAGCTGTGAGCATCTGAGATCTGTTGCTCATTTGTTTGTGCAGCATCAACTAGCCTTTTCTGACTAATATAATATTCTTACTGTAAAAGCATGGCACAATCCTTTACTCCCCTCTCCCTATAACTAAAGATTCATCTCCCTAGACCAGTTTTTACAATCACAGGAATGAGCTCATAAAACAGGTTCTATCCTTTCACAATAATCTGTATGAGTCTCAATACATGAAAAGGCACTACTTTTGGAAAATGTGCTCCTGGGAAGCAGTTGGTCCTAACTCCCATCCACACTCTTCCCCAGCTTTGCCTCTCCTGGGACATCTCCTGTCAAGAGCCTATCATGTTGAAATTAATCAGGCACTTGCTTCTCAAAGATATAATAAGAATGTGCACACCAAGGGTGAGAGATGAGAGGATTCCCCACAGCAAGTTAACATACCAACTGCACTAGCCAATACCCAATGCAAGCTCTTTGTTCAATTTCCTCATCAATAGTTTCCAAAATCTTCAATGTCCTTTCAGCCATTTATAAATGAATTGAGAAATTAAAATAAGCAACTTTAATTATGTTGTACAGCAGATCTTAATGTGAAGTACATTAAGAATGACATATTGTGTTATAAAATTAAAATGTGATATTGTACAACTCTGTCAATTTACTAAAAATCATTGAATTATACACTTACGTGAACTTTATTGTAGGTGAATTATACCTCATAAAAGCTGTTAAAAATGACAAAGTAAAATATGTAATTGCTATAAAGTATAATTTTAAAAATCAAATATTGCTTTACATTATGAAACTTTTGTATTACTCTTCACACAAAAAGTATCTCACAAACTTTTATTTCCACATTTCAAGAAGTATGATCATTTTCCCAGGGTATCAATGCCTAATAATGAAATTAGTTCAGGTTTCTAATTAATGCTACATTTAAAGATTCCTTCATGCTATTTTAATATTGATAGCCTGTTTATGTAAATGTCATCCATTAGTCTCATTCTGATGTCTGTTTATGCACTGCATAAAATCAGCTAGATTACATTTTTAAAACATTAAGGTATTTGGTCAGGGAGTAGACCTTTAGTCTCTGTGTCATCTGAATAAATGAGAAGGTTTAAATGTAGACACATCCTGTCTGTCGCCATTATTAAAACTTAGACCCAGAAGAGGATGGTTAGTTTCCCAGTGGCAAGGAGCAAATGATGAAAGTAGAGGAGATGAAGCCTGACCTGAGGTCTGCCCTCTAAGGTGAGACAGAAGACGGAGAAACTTCCCATTAATTCATTCAACAAATATTAATTATGTTCCTAGTCCATGTCAAGCAATGGGCTTAGTGATAAAGGTGCAACAGTGAATAAGTCCAACTGGTTCCTCTCCAGTGCAGTGTATATTCTAATAATATAAAGGAACGCCCAGTACATTGCAAAAACCATCACAAGCTCCATCATGATTTGGGAAGCAATTGACTTAAGCATTTCTAAAACAGAGGAGCAGAGTCCACAGAGGGGAAAGGAGACTGTGGTTCTCTGTGGAAGAAAGGCAGTCTGGTCTTCAACCAGGACACCAAAGACACGACAAAGCTCTGTGATCCTTGCCAGAAAAGAGACTTAGACTTCAATAAGGGAGGTCTTCACTAAAACACCCAGAGCCTGAGTGTGGCATGTGGCCTATAACTGGGTTCCACTAAAAGTGAATAAGACAATGTTTAAAATTGCCTACCTCAACTGTGCATTCATCTGGGGCCACAGTAGATGTCAGTACTCAGATGAAGAGTGCTTGTAGATGGTAAGCCCAGCTCTTGGAAGCAATGAAGAGAACAGACAAGGAGAGGGAAAAGTTGGATGGTTAAGAGTTACAAGCCTTGTAGGTGAAAGGCCTGGGTTTGAATCCCAGTTCTGCCATTCATGAGCTAGATAACTTTGGGAAAGTGATTTAATCAGTTTCCTTATGTGTAAAAGGTGGACAATTATAACAGCATCCAACTTACTGTATTGTTGTAATTATCAAGTGAGATAATGAATGGTGCTTAGAATAGTGCCTAACACTTCATAAGCTCTCAAGACATGTCACCTATTATTAAAGGATGTCAGGGCCTAAATGTTGCAGCTGTAAGCAATTCTCTTAATCTCAATTTCCCACATACAATCCTACTATAAAGCAATTAGAATAAGTCTATAGGCCTTACAAAGGCCAGTCTTATCACTGCTTCTAAGCCTCAGTTACTAATTAGTAATTAGCTTAAGTATAAACACCCAATAAAGCAATATGACATAAAAAGGGCCACTCTAATACCCTGATTTCCATTTCAGTTAAATTCCGCATATCATAGAGGATAGTGACAAACTACATTTTATATGTTTTTTATTGTGAAAAACATAAGACCTACTCTCTTAAGAAATTTTTCTGAGTGTATAGTATTGTTAACTATCAGCACAATGTTTAGGTCTTTAGAACTTTTCCATGTTGCTTAACTGAAACTTCATACCCACTCAACAGCAACTCACTATTTCCCCTCCTCCACAATCCCCGGCAACTATCATTCTACTTTTTGCTTCTCAGTTTGACTGTTTTAGACACCTTGTATGAATGGAATCATGCAGTATTTGTCCTTTTGTGACTGGCTTATTTCACTTAGAATGCCTTCAAGGTTCATCCATGTTGCAGTGTAGGAAGGTGCTACAGTCTGAATGTTTGTGTACCCCTCCAATTCATGTTTAAATCTAATCACCAATGCGATAGTATTAGGAGGTGGCATCTTTGGGAGGTGATTCAGTTCATAAGGGCAGAGTCCTCATGAATGAGATTGGTGTCCTTATAAAAGAGGCACAAGAGAGAATCATGTGAGGACACAACAAGAAGGCACCATCTGGGAACTAGAAAGTGGGCCCTCCCCAGACACTGAATCTGCCATTATCATCATCTTGGATTCCCACCCTCTAGAACTGTGAGAAATAGATTTCTGTTGTGTATCAGCAGCCTGGTTTATGGTGTTTTGTTATATTAGTCTGAATGGACTAAGACAGCAGGATCCCCTTCCTTTTTAAGATTGAATAATATTCCATTGTATGTATATACCATGTTTTCATTATCCATTCATCCATTAATGAATGTTTAGGCTACTTCCACATCTTGGGTATTGTGAAAAATGCTTCAATAAACACAGGAATGCAAATATTCTTTGAGATACTGATTTATATTATTTAGGATAAATACTTAGAAGTATGATTGCTGGATCCCATTGTTCTATTTCTTATTTATTGAGGAAACTTCATATTATTATTTTCCATAGTGGCTGCAACATTATACATTCCCAGTGACTGTGAGTAAGGGTTCCAATTTCTCCACAACCTCAGAGACCCTTATTTTTTGTTTGTGTGTGTGTTTGTTTTTGATGGCCATCCTAACAGGTGTGAGGTGATATTTCATTGTGGCTTTTCAGGTGCATTTTTCTGATGATTAGTGATATTGAGCATCTTTTCATATACTTATTGGCCCTTTGAATATATTTTTTTGGAGAAATGTCTGTTCAAGCCCTTTGCCCCTTTTTTAAACCAGGTTATTTGGGTTCAGAGGTTTTGGGTTTTTGTTGATTTTAGAGTTTTTTTTAGAAGTTCCCTATATATTTTAGATATTAACCCCATATCAGATATATGGTTTGCAAACATTTTCCTTTATTATGTAGGTAGCCTTTTTTATTCTGTTGATTGTGTCCCTTGTTGTGCAGAAGATTTTTAATTTGATGTAGTCCCACTAGTCCATTTTAGCTTATGTTGCCTATGCTTTTGGTGTCATATCAAACAAATCATTGCCAAGACCAATACTGTAAAGTTTTCCCCCTATGGTTTCTTCTGTTTCAGATCTTA
The DNA here is from genome assembly GCF_000001405.40 of Homo sapiens. Taxonomy (NCBI): domain Eukaryota; kingdom Metazoa; phylum Chordata; class Mammalia; order Primates; family Hominidae; genus Homo; species Homo sapiens. Next base: position 117,120,490 of record NC_000008.11, on the reverse strand, counting down.
TGTTTACATCTTTAACCCATTTTGAGTTGACTTTTGTGTATGGTTTAAAATAAGGGTGCAATTTCATTCTTTTGCATGTTGTAATTGAGTTTTCCCAACATCATTTGTTGAAGACACTATCCCTTCCCCATCATGTATTTTTGGCAACCTTGTCAAAGATCAGTTCACTATATATGTGTGGTTTTATTTCTGGGATCTCTATTCTGTTCCATCGGTCTGTATATCTGTCTTTATGTAAGTACTATACTGTTTCAATTACTACAGATACGAAATATGTTTTAAAATCAGAAAGTGTGATACCTTCATTTTTGTTTTTTCTCAAGATTACTTTAGTTATTTTGTGTCATTTGTGTTTCCATACAAATTATAGGATTTTTTTTCTATTTCTGCAAAAAATGCCATTGTAATTTTGACAGAAATTGCATTGAATTTGTTAGTCACTTTGGGTAGTGTGCACATTTGAACAATATTAAGTCTTCCAATTTATGAGCACAAGATGTCTTTTTATTTACTTATGTCTTTTCTTTCATCTATGTTATGTTGTTTTCAGCACATAAGTCTTTTACCTCTGGTTTATTCCTAAGTAGTTTATTCTTGATGCTATTGTAAATGGGATTGTTTTCTTAATTTTCTTTTCTGATAGTTCATGGTCTGTGTATAGATGTATAGAAACACAACTGATTTTTATATGTTGATTTTATATCCTGCAGCTTTACTGAATTTATTTCTAAAAACACATTACATTTTATCTTAATATAGCACTGCTGTACTACTATAGCTTCTACCATCTCCCAAAACTCTCTGTCTCCTGCAAGGGTTTTAAGGATAAGGCGTTATATATTAGCCATGGAGAATAAAACTTAAACTTAATGATTATGCATACACACAGATGATGTGATATGGGAGTAAGGTGGGGCAGGGGAGGTTGTGGCACAAAAGAAGAGTGACTGAAGGGGTGATCACGTAGAATAATTCCTAAAAGAATGTAGTCTTCTCTCATTCCCCTTGACTTCCTCTTGGACTAACATGGGTGTGGCAAATAGGGAGGTTACTTCAGCAGCCAAAACCCTGGCATTGGCCAGCAGTCTCCTTTCCCCTTTCCTTTAGAAACTCAATCTAAATTATGAAGATGGGGGAAAAAAGCAATATGGACCGACTCCCCAAAGATTCTAGCCCAAGGTGGATCTCCAGTAATTCCCTAACATAAAACAGATGAACTAAAGGTGTTGAAGACGACAGCCAAAGCTGGGAGTTGCTTTGGGAACATAATGGATCTCTGAGATGATTGTTTACTGCTAGCCTCACAGTATCTCAGCATCACATTCAAGTTTCTCTTAGCCTACTAGTAGAGCCTATCTGGAACCTTTTCCAGAACACTATTTCTGATACAGGTAATCAAAACTTGGACTGTCCTTTTCAAATTAGGCCTCTATATTCCTTACCATGGGAGCCAAACAAAAGGAGGCTAACTTAGTTGACTTCTACCCAATCCGAATCCCCACAGACATTAGGCCTGTCTCAGAGGCCCATAGGAATTTGCCTTATTTCCAACACCGCATCTTTGAGTGAGTTTCGATGTTAACTGAATTGTTTACACTATTTTCTTTCTATAAATTTGCCAGAATTTTACCATCACCTGACAGCAATGCAGATGAATGACTCAAATTGTTGTTCAGTTAATAAAAGACCAGATTGATAAGTAGTTTTACACATCAAAAGATAATAATGATATCTTTCAAGTGAGGAGGTATGCTTAGAAAAGGAACTAGATGTGTTTAGAGACACACTTGGAATGGCTATTTTTTAATATATTTGTGCAAAAAGAAAAAAGGAGCCTGCTGTAAAATATGCTACCAAATATACATTAGGCTGCTGTAGACTCTCAAGGTCTGAAAATATGACTTATCTGGCTTGGCAATGCATTAAGAATGCTCCGTGGTTAAAAAAAAAATGAGCTATTGATCTTAGAAGATTTTAATTTAGATTAGTTCACTTAAAAGTGTAATAAATGGCAGAGCTCACATGTTGAATCACTAAGGCAGCAATTATTTTAAGAGTATCAGTCATCTGTGCTTCCAATTTAATCAAATCTCTTTATAGAGTTTTTAGACAGTATTTGAAATAACCATATAACCTCTCTGTGAAAAGGTGTTTTGAGTTGTATGTCAAAAGTTGAAGAGAAATTAGAAAGACAACTTGTGATTTTAAAAGACCAATGATGACAGATGGGCAGTTGCTTTTATTTTATCTGAGAGCAACTGTTATTTTGCAAGGTTTTTTTGTTTTTTGTTTTTTGGTTTTTTTTTTTTTTTTTGAGACAGAGAGAAGGTATACCATCTGAACTGAAAAAGTAACCCAAAATGTTTCTGAGTTAAATTTGCAACAGCTAAGTCTTTAAGAAGTTAGAACAAGAGTAATCACACAATTTTGGTGACTTCTAACAAATAAATTCTTGCTCATGTTCATAAGGAAAAGACAGTATCTCAGCATCACATTCAAGTTTCTCTTAGCCTACAAGTACAGCCTATCTGGAGCCTTTTCCAGAACACTATTTCTGATAGAGGTAATCAAAACTTGGATTGTCCTTTTCAAACTAGGCCTCTGCAAAGAATTTGCAGAGCAGGAAAGTTAGCATTAACTTACAATTTTACCTTAGATGTCAAATATTTAGTCTGAATGGACTTTTTACCTCTGACCTCTTCAGATTTTAAAGAAGATGTCATCATATTGGTTCGTGAGATGCTGGTAGCTCCCTGCTGAGATGAAGACAGGCCTTCATCCCTAGAGCTAGAACTGCAAGTTCTCCCTTAAGTCCTATAAAATTCATTTAGAGCCATCTTTCCTGACATCTGTACATAAAGCAGTGTAAAACATTACAATATAAATTACATCTGGGGGATTCATCTGAAATTCTATTTCACTGTTAAATAATTAAAAGTTGAAAACCTCTCCATAGCTTTATTGCACTCTCTTAACAAGACTAAAATTTTTTCATAAAGCATCTTCCTTCCCAACAGTGGAAGCCTTTGGTGCATTCTGCAGAAATGAGTTTAGTAATTAATAAATCGGATCCTCTGGGACCTGACTCTGTGGCTGAAGCTCTTACTGAGGTGATGTTACATATTCAGAACTCCTAAATTATCCACATATTTAGAGTATATGAATTTACCATAACTGTCTTTTTTTTTGTTCATAAAATTGGGATGACAATAATACCTGTTACATAGGGTTGTTGCAGGATTAAATAAGTTAATATAAATAAGTGCTTAGAAAAGAGCCTGGCACACAGAAAATACTACAGTATCAGCTATTGTTTTAACTGTTAGTGGTTTTGCATTATTCAGAAGAGCCCTTTTGCTTCATATAAAGATAAATTATTCTAAAGATGGGTCTTTCCTCGGAAAGACAAAAATGCTGATAGCTACAAATTATTTTTCATTACCTTTTTAGTCTCAGGCATTTCTGGAGGGCTACAGCATTCATTTCTGAGGGCGTAGAAGCCACAAGATGTAGGAAGAAACAGTATTATAAACCATTAGGACTGTATAGGTGGGGTAGTTTCAGGACTTCTAAGAAGGGCTCTTGCCCAAATACTGGCCTTCTATAACCTTGACTCATACTTGCATTCACTCACATGAAACCATTGCTCCTATTCAAATGCACATTCTTAGCAAATAAACATATGAAGTCACTGTCTCCTATGGACACTTGAGTGTAAACTAAACCATCAGAACTTTTCTGATTTCACTGTGATGGGTACCTGAGAAAAGACTTTGATGGTGGCAAGAAGAAAAAGAGTAACTTCAAGGACAGACAGGTTACCTACCAGTTTGGGAGGCATGCTGGGAGTAATGTGTAATGAAGAGTTCTAATTCTAATTCTTTATATAAAATCCAGACACACCTGAAATTAGTACCCAAAATTATGCTACTCATGCATTCTGATATGTTTTTTGGAGCAGAATAGAAAGAGTACACTTACAGCTAAGATACTTAGAATTGCCTTTTTCTATCTTGCATTTCATCTGAGCCGTTGCCTTATGAACAGGAGTCACACAATATGCCATTCCTAGCTTCAGTAATCATAAATGATAATTATACAGAATTTCAATTGTCCGTGACATCAGTATTGTTTTAGTATTTTAGTTCAGTTTAATCATATTCTGGAGCTGCCTGTGAATTGGGTATTTTTTAGATCAAAACATGAAAACCACTATTCTGTCACTTCTAATCAAAGCCCTCCAGTGCCATCCCATTACACTCAGAACAAAATTCAAACGCCTTGCCATCACTGCCTACCTATAAGGCCTTGTAGACTTCTTAGGCCTTGGGTCATCCTACCTTGCCCAAACACAGCAAACTCCAACCACACTGGTCCTATTGTCATTTCTTGTTTTTATCTGAGTCTTTGCCAAAGTCTTCAAGAAAGGGCGTACAGAAGTTTGGTAGGGGAGCTCTTCTCCCCTCCACAAAAATCTCTACTAACCCTCCTTAAGCCACTCATAATATAAACGCACAACCAACACACAATATAAGCAAAACAATGTGCTTGCTCTGCAAATGCAACTTCCAGACAAGTCCCAAAACTCCCCCTCCTGTTAGCCCACCCTCAAGCACTTCCAATGGCTTTGCATCTGCATTTCCTCTCTATGGAATGAGCCTCCCCAGATCTCAGAACAGCTAGCCCCTCCTCATTGATTAGATCTCAGTTCATATGCCACAGCCTCAATGAGCCCTTCCCTACCCACTCTGAAGAAAGTGGCTCCTAATCCTTCACCCTCATCTTCAGACCTCCAACTGTTTAACTGTTTTGCATTTATTGGTAACTGAAATTAACCTATTTCACTAATTTGCTTGATTGACATATGACTTTCTCACCCAAAAGGAATTTCACTGAGGAAAAAACATGTGTTTGTCTTCTGAAGGTGCTCATGCTTATTTGTGGAGAGAAATAAAATTATAACAATGAAAGAATGATTGTAAAGAGAATACCTACTGCTGCTAGCAAAATGCAAAATTGGTGAAGAAATTGCAGGGGGACCAAGGGAGTTCAAAATGGCAGTAGGACAAGAGAAGAAGTACCCCAAAAAGGAACAAAGAAAATTAGAAGATTGATGGGAGAAAAGAGGATCAAAATGGCAGACAGGGATGATGCTGGGCAAAGACAACCTTTCGCTATTTTCACTTTACATCACATACCAACTAGAGCAGTTCCTCCTGCTGGTTTTCTATTTAAGAAGACAAAGAAGGTTAGATGAGACCTGTGGCTCACACCTATAATCCCAACAGTTTGGAAGGCCAAGGCAGGAAGATAGCTTGAGACCAGGAGTTCAAGACCAGCCTGGTCAACAGAATGAGACCCTGTCTCTACAAAAAATAAAAACTAAAATTATAAACAAAAAATAAAATTCAAAAATTAGCCAGGCATGGGGGCACAAGCCTGTAGTCCCAGCTATTCAGGAGGCTGAGACAGGAGAATCACCTGAGCCCAGGAGTTTGAGCCTACAGTGAGCTATGATCACTGTAGCCACCACACTAGAGCTTGGGTGACAGAGCAAGACCCTGTCTCTAAGACAGAAAGAGAGAGAGAGAGAGGACAGAAGAGAGAAAGACAAAGAAGGCAATTAACTTACAGAGCCTAAAGTATAATTCAGATCTCTACATTCCCATTTCTGAGGCTGCTCCCAGCTTCTGTGATTCTGGAGGCTGAAATTGGTCATTTTCACACTGCTATGGAATATTTTATAGCTGGGGAAGCATAACCTACAAGAGTGGCTTTTTGAACACCCCCACTTTTTCTCTCAGTAGACTCCAGTCTCTTAAATCTCACTTAGATGAGAATCTGCTGAATCAGCAGAGGTAGGAACTCGAGACCCTTTGGCTTACTTAACAGCCAATTAATTCACTTTATCATATGAAACAGTTTTAATAGGAGGGCTAGGGATTTAAAGCTGACGGGGGTCAGCTTAGCCTTTGAGTGGGGAATTCACTCTGGTGATTACCCCAGGGCTTAAGTGTTCTGTAAGAAAACTTAATTTCTCCAGATTGATTTTCTGCTCTCTTTCATCACCAAATTGTTGCTAGTTCACCAAGTATACTCCCTTAATGTTCAAATTCTGTGTCATGGAATCCGAATAGTAGTTCAGAGGGGCAAGGTGGAAGGGGATATATAGACAGGAAGGTATGGGTTCAGTGATGGTCCTTGTCAATTGAATATGGGCAGTTTTTTCCATTCAAATCCTAATCTCATTTCATCTAATAATTATTCCTAAATGTAGACAAGCAGTAGGACAGCCCTTTCCTGGAGAAACAATATAAATGTTTGGAAAGAAAAAGAGCTTCTGTTCTAAGTGCTGTGTGTCTGAATTCTCCAACTTGATGGCTAAGACAAGGCATTTGTTTGTACCTGGAGCCAGGTCATCATTTTCCAGTAATCTAGTGATACTGTTCTCCAACATCTGGGAGGTCTCATGACCCAGCTGCCCTGTGAGTTTGCTAAAGAAGCAGATGATAAAAACATAATCTTTAGTTAATCTGTTGTCCTCGTTTCACAAATCTTCTGTGTTTTATAAATCTACCCATGTCTTCACCTATTGTCTGAACCACACTCAGTGCATCTACATTATTGTATCATGAATTACAATTATTTTGTATGTTACCTCACCATCTTAAACACCACTTGAGGGCGGGAACCAAGCATGCCATACCCCAAAGTTTTTCCAAGTAGACAAGCCCTCATTAAGTTTTATTAAATTGGTTGAATACATAAAATGTCTAGCACAACAACTTCTGTATAACTAGAGCTAAGAAGCACTAGAACCTCTCTGCATGCTGGCGCCTTGGCAATCCTGTTACTCACATCTCTGAATGGTAGAGATAAGAATGCCCTAACATAGAATCACAATGCAGGCAATTGTTAAATCAGAATAAAATTCCAGTTCCTGGGCAATGCAGCCAGGCTTAGTATACAGAAGCTTCTCCAAATCTTAAATGTTACAATAGCAATACCTTACTTTTGGATAACACTTACACTTTTGCAACAATTTTCTTATCTCATCTTCATAATAATACATGAGGGAGGAAGGGCAAATAATATTATCTCTATTTTGAAGATAATACATTGAGTCATAACATGGAAAAATGACTTGCTTCCATTCCATTACAAGCATCAGAGCAGAAAGCTGGCAACCAGTATCAGTCAGTCTTCTAAACCACTAGTTCATTATTTTCCCACTAAACTCACCATGACATAAGTCTGCTTAGAGCTTTGCCTCTCAAACTTTCATGTGCATACAAATTGCCTAGGGATCTTGTTAGTATCCTGGTTAAAAGCTGATTCCGTTTGTCTGTATTTCTCTAACAAACTCCTAGGAGATACTGATGCTCCTGGTCCCCTCACCACAATTTGAGTAGCAAGATTATAGAAGGCAGTGACTATGGCTACCATCTTTATATCCTCACTGCTTGGCACATAGTAGGTGCTTGATAAATAGATGTTGACTGAATAAAGGAACAGTCATGCTTGACCCACTTTTTCTATCTGTAGTGCTGAACAAATAGTAAAACACTCAGGAGATAAGTACTGAGTTAATGAAGTAATCAACAGTCAATGAAACAAAGAAAGTGCTGACTCCGCAAAACTGCATGTGATCACACTTGAAGGAAAAACAAAGAATTTGCAGAGCAGGAAAGTCCTTGGGATACACCCCAGCATTCGCCCTGGACTAGATATTGAGTCTGTAATAACACATTTTCTTATGCAATTGCATCCATCAGAGAATCTTCATGGCCCTACAAGTAATATGATGACTTTTTTCCAAGTACTTTTTATGCTTTGAAGACATTGTCTTCCTAAAACTTCCTGCCAATGCTCAGTGAAGTAAACAAAATTCAGCATCTTCATTTTTGCTCTGGGAAAAGAAGGCTGAGTTGTCCCAGTCTCTCTCCGGCAGAGCTGAAATTAGAGCCGGGGCTTTCTCCCTCCCAGCTCAGACCTTGACACTCAATGAGTCTCAAGGGGTTTTTCATTTACACCAACTCCTTTAACTGTTCACCCCTCCTGTGTGGTGAATTGGCAGGGGCTGTACTTCAAACAAAATATTTAACTATTCTGAACTGAGTTATGAAATAAAGGGCTTTATTAAGAGTAAGGGATGAATACAACAGAGCTTAATTAAAATTCTCTGAATGGTTGGTGAGACAGAACAATACAACCCACATTAAAACATTTTCCAGGAATCTCATCTTTCAAGGTCTGGAGCACAAGACACTCTGGCATGTTGAACCTATCTCAGGAAAGCATAAAATCACCTGTCATTTATCAATGAACCCATGAGGTGATATCTTCACAAACTCCTAGTAGTTAAATTTTTCAAGAAATGGGGTTAGAGGAGAGAAAATGATACCTGAAATAGAGACGGAAGAAATGTCATCCTCTTTTTTACAGAGGGACGCATAGCCCAGATGCTGCTGCTTGTCTCTGAGTCCCTGCAGCCTTCTTCTTAGATGACTTGGGGTACCTTGGCTCCCACCTGAGGCATAGATTGGCCTTGTTTTCTAGACATTTCCAGATATTAAACAAGGAGGACATTTTGAGAATCAAAAACTGTCCATTTATAAAGAGGAAGAAAAAATGCCTCAACCAGGAGCAGAGCTGGTTTTATGCACAGTTACCTCAAACCATGTAATTGGGGAGTTAGTTTCCCACTATCTCTCAGCTGTGGCTTCCTCCAGGTCGACTTCATGGCATCAAAAAGATGCTCCCTTTGGGGCAGCAAGATGGCCTCCAGCCCCTCAGACCTATATTGTAGTAGCTTTGCAGCGCCAGTGGAAAGACAGTGCCTCTTTACCACTAGTTTGAAAGAAAAAAAAAGTCCCATAATGCACTCTAATTAGTTTAGTCCACATGTCCAAAGCTAAACTATCACAGTCAGGGAACATGGTGTTCTAAGCAGCCAGGCCTGGTTGGGTACTCTGTCATGGTCTGGAAAATGGAGCCCCACTGAAGCACAGCAACCAATAATTTGGAAAACATAGTGACCCAAAGGAAAGGTAGGGTGCTATTACTAAAAGAAGAAAGAAGAGATGGTGAGTAGGCAAATAAGAGTGGTCTACTGCTAAAGTCTGATCTTACCTTTTGTTTGAATTCTGATAACTAGGTTTTTCCCTGCTTCCAAAACCCAGTTCCTAACCTGAACACCACTTTTGACAACAAGCTACCTATCTTTTCTTATATCTGGATCCTGTCTTGGGAACATGTCAGAAAACAACAATAAAAATAGCTACCAATGTTTATTAAATATTTAGCTTGTGCCAGGATTTGTCCTGTGTTAACTATTTTTTCTAATTTTATTATTACAAACACCTACAAAGATGTGTTTTATCACAATTTCATTTGTAGCTGAGACACCTGAGGCTCAAAGTTAGGTAGCTTTCCTAAGAGAATGTGACAGTTATGGAAGAACCAAGATATAAAAGTCTGTTTGATTTCAGATTCTAAGCCATTAATCACTATGCCATGTTACCTGGCTACCTTTTCATGGACTTGCCTACAATTAATGCTTTCCTGTTTTAAGGCTAATCACCCGACGGCCTCTAACCTTGGTGTCCTCCTCTGTAAAGCAAGAAAGAGGATGGCTTCCTCATTTGCCTGTCTCATCTCTCGGGGCTATTGTGAGGATTTAATGAGTCAATATACATGTAGCATTATAATTAGGATTATTCCTTATAAATCAAGCAAAATGACAGATATGAACATGAATTTGGATACACACATACACGTACATCACACCAGTTCTCACTGTCACTCACTTCTAGCTCTGCAGAGGACGGACCCTTCTCAGCCCATTCCTTGATCCTCTCAGAGAGTCTGGGGCTCAGGACACTTTATCCCCCTGAAAGGAAAGGCTTCGTCATGTGCCCCTGCATGCCCTGGCATCCAGCCAGCTCCTGCAGATCCTTTGCTCTCAGCATTTCACAGTCCTGCTCTACGAGTTTGATGGCCGCCCCTGAGAGGACATCTTGCCCTTCCACTTCTCTGGGCCACCATTCCCTACTCAGGACATCATGACACATGGTGACCTTACGTCATTTCCTTGGCTCTTTTTATCTTCTTGGCACTTACACCCACAGGGCTGGAAAGAAGTCCTCACCTCTGTCAATCAGAATGACAAAGTGACAGAAAGCACGATGTTAGACTACCATTTAACCTATTTGATGGCTTTTTTTTTTTAAGTAATGTTGCTGAGTCTCTATAAAATTCAGAGGAGTGGAAAGAATTTGAGCAAGCCTCAATACCTCTCTCTGGGGCCCACGCCAAACATCAATAGCAGCCACAGCTTCTGTCATTTTCTTATGGAGGGTTTTTTTGAATCAACATGCTTTTATTCTAATACTCTTTCCAGGTGTATCTATCTTACAAGGCGTAATGAAGATACAAACAAGTCAGAAATTCTTCATTAAGTTAACAAAATGCTTTGCACTTCAGTTTAGTTTTTCAAAACAGAGAGGGCTTGGAAAAGTCAATAAAGAAAGCGTAATTCTAAGCACCTTAATCACTATAAATGCTGAGCCGGCTCTTCTGTGAAGCCAGCCATTTCCTGATTGGTATCCAGGGTGGTAATTCCTCTTAGATCATCCCCTCAAAAGTGTGTCTTCTTTGAATTCTCAGCATTTGTCCTTAACAGCACTAAGGCTCTTTGTTAAAGAGTTTTTACCTTAGGAGACAAAGTTGAAAAGCCTACGAGTCTGTTGAGATAGCAATTTTTCAACTTAATAACAACATGTCTTCAACAGACGTAAATACCGATGTTGCAGTTTAAATGGGTGTTTCAGCATTGTCAGATAAGGGGCCATTCATTAAATACAAGTGAACAAACAACTTTCCAGCCAAAATATACACGGGGCTCTTAGGAATTTATAAAATCTGATTAGTTCCTTCTCTTGTTTTTTTCCTATTGGCAGTGAATGGATTTAAAAGGTGACTGGAACACTTCTTTCTGACCTCAGAGATGTGATGGATGTCCGGGAAGATTTTCTCAAGGGCTAGAAGTTAAGAACTTTGTTCCTACTGTTTATCTTTTTCCCTTTCATATTCAAGCCACTTAACCATACTGAGCCTCAACTTTTTCATTTATAAAATGGAAATCATTTTAACTTTTCTCTGGAGGACAGCTGTTGCCTGCCCATCACTATTTCCTCCTTTTCTGGTGACAACATCCTACTTTCCTTCAAAGAATAATGCCTACCCCATTATAATAACTTTTACACGGGGCTGTCCCAACACATGCTGCCTTCAAGGCTAGGTGCATGACACAGGCCTGGCCAATCAGTGTGTCCAATCCCTCTGGCCACTGTGATTGGTCCAGTTACGGGTATATGATGCAGATCAATCCAGTAAAACTCAACCTCGTGACTTTTACTGGAACCATCAGTCAAGACGCCTTCTTTTTCTGTGAGTTTTCCAGGCTAGGAGAAGGAAAGTTAGAGCCCTGGGATGCCACGTCATGAGAAAAGCCTGCCAGAGAGCAAAACTAGCACAAAGGAAAGAAAGTATTCCAATAAAAGGGTGACGCTGAAAGCTGAAATGTGAATTTGTTAAATCCTCAAATAGCCAACAGCTTCTAGGACAAGATCATACACAGTTAGGACCTCGATAACAATTTGTTAGTGGAATAGATAAGAACATTTTAGATCCTGTTGCTCAATTCTGAAATGCTGCTCTGTGTCATGAATATTGGTTTATTTTCTTTGTAGAGTGAAGTCATTAAGACTAGAGCTCCAGGCTTCTTCATCCAACTCCAAGGGTTCCCAGCAACATGTGAAGTCCTCTATCTGTCACTAAGAAGCCGTGTGAGTGAAGCAGGCTATATACCTTGGTTTCAACATCTGTGAACAAGGTGTAATGATGGTTTTCTCATCTTTTTTTAGGATCGTTATAAGAATCTGAGACAGTGAGAGGGAAAAGATTGTTTTCCATTCATTAGCTCAGGCTGGGCATTGGAGGCATCTCCTCTGAGCACCTGCTAAAACAGCACTGGCAAGTCACTCTTTGGAGCCATTTCTGGAAAGAGGTTCTATACAAATAAAATTAGAAAAGTCTGAATTTAGCATATGAGAAATGTTATGGCCATTGGTACCTATCACTCTAAACACCATTCTGCTTATTCTTGTCATGTAGGGGCATTTGATTTTTAATCTATCCACTTAAATATTGGCTGCTTCTATAGACTTCCCAACCAGCAGTCCTTGTGCAGGCAAAACTCCCATTTAACTGAATGAAAGTATTAAACATAAAATATTGTTAGGAAGAGTCTGATATTGTATTTATCTTGCTGATAATTATCTTACATGTTTTAATTACTCCCAGTAGTGTCCCAAGGCTGATTAAAGGAAAAATATAATTTACTCATCGAAATAAGATATTATACAAGTATCAAATGATATTGATAAATATTAAACAATAAACTTTCCTAGAATTCTTTCCCTAAAAAATTGGGGACCTTATACTTCACTAGTTATATATTTCAGAGCAAGCTGGTTTATAACAGAATGATAAAGGTGATTAGAATGAAAGAGAGGCCATTTGGATTGATTCAGTTTTGCTACATTTATTATAATTTACAATACTTTGCCATAAAAATAAAATAGTTACCCAACCTCAGATTACTGTCTTTATATTGTGGTTGATTTTATAATTGCTGACCTTTATCCCATAGATTTTTCAGGGTTAGTTATTACTGGTTTTTACCTGAGAGATTTGGGGGAGTTGTGTTTATCGCTCAAATATCCAATCTAAATTTGGTTCTCTTATAGCAATGGATGGATGACTCACCTCTCATAGGAATGATAGAACTTGGATCATCTTGTCAATCACAGGTAGCAGATTGGATGTCTGGCCCCAAATAATAAAGCTCTGCACCAAGAGATAGTATCGTCTCCTTCCCTTAAATAACAATCCTCATTTCTAGCTGGTATAAGAATTTCATCTTTAATAATTGACCAGTGTGACAGAAAATCTGTTGTTGGCAAAGCATGTTTAAAATTATATTACTTAATCGTTCTCATCTCAGAGATACTTTCCATCTGCTCCTCAAATCCAATGCCCATTGCAAGGCACAGGTCCATTTTATGCAGCAACTGATTGCCATTATTTTTAAATTTTACTTTATCTAAAAAGAGCAGAAGCAAACTTTGAGTGCTTCATGGGCTATATTTAATACTTTGATATTATATTAAATGCAGAGTCAATATGACATCCTGTTATTGGTATAGTGCAAAATATTTTCAAGCTTATTTTAATAAGGATGGTATCCTGACAAAGGCACACTGTCAATATAAATGCATTTATTTTACACAGTGCAAATGAACAAAGGAAGTTCACTAGTATAAGAAAATAGATCAATAGTCCTGTGAGAAACTCTTAGGATGCTCTTCTCACTCTGTTTTTGTCAGCTAAAGATTTATCAAGGAAAGTGCTATGGCAAAAATTGCATCATGTGGGCCAAGTGACATTTTTCTCCAAAGAAAATACTGATGACTCAGTGCTATGCAGATAGAATGGTTTTCCTTCTCCAATAAAGCATATGCAGGTCAGGTAGAGAGAACATCCCTTTGGCATCACTGCAGAGGTGGTAGGTGTGTCATAAGCCAACTAGCTCCTGAAAGAAAATGCCAGATCATTCTGCCATGGAGCAGGGAAGATGCAATCATTCTGAAACCGTGTGCAAAGTTGAGTTCTATTTTTAGAGGCATTTGTTAATTAGAGTCAAAGTGGGCTGGGGATTCCAGGTGGAAAATCAAATGGTCTAATTAGATGGGGACATAGAACAGGGTAGGGAAATAAACACTGAATTGACAGGCAGCCAATCCAAGTTCTGGGTCCTGCACTACTGCTAACAAGCTCTAATTCTCAGCAGTTCATATGACCTCTGAGTCCTCATCCACAAAAGAAAAACAACTCTAAAATCCTCTTTTGCTCGAAGTTCCTTCTTACTCTAACAATCTCTGAAACAATAATCAAAATCTAATTTATCCCTGTATCTTAGTAAAAGAAACTCAATAATGTATTAGGTTGGTACAAACATAATTGTGGTTTCTGCCATTACTTTTAATGATAAAAACCACAATGAATTTTGTACCACAATTGCATAAGGGAAATTATATTTCCCAATACAGTAGTGTCATTTAGACATTTAAATGTAAACCTAAATTAATTACAATTAAATGAAAATAAAAATCTACTTCCACAGTAATACTAAGTATACTCCTAGTGTTCGAAAACCACATGTGGCTAGTGGCTACTATTAAGTAGTACAGATTATAAATTTCCTTTATCCCAGAAAGCACTAATTTATAAAACCATTTTCCTCTCCCTAGAGCTTGGTGGCCTTCTACAAATGTTTGTGGAATGAATAAGTGAGAGAATGAGAGATTAATAAAGCCAATACTATCACCAGTCCAACGAAGAGCTGCAACTGAAAAAAAAGTCTGACAAAGTATGATGTACATTGAAAATGAAAAGAAACCATTCTATTCTTCGTGAAGTTAGACCTGGATAGCTATGTATAGCTCTGCTCTCTGCAATTTAAGAGAAATAATCTGGAAATGCAGAAGAAATAGGGAAAAGCACTTGTAACGTGCAGTTTTATGTGTCAACTTGGGTAGGCCATAATACCCAGTTATTTAGTCAAACACTAATCTAGGTGCAGCTGTGAAGGCACTTTGTAGACGTGTTTAACATCTAAAATAAGCTCACATTAAGTAAGAGATTATCCTCAATAATGTGGGTGGGCCTCACTGAATCAATTGGAAGTCCTGAGAGCAAAAACTGAGGTTTGCCAGGGAAGAAGAAATTTGACCTCAAAACTGCAACATAGAAATCCTGACTAAGCTTCCAGGCTGCTGGCTTGCCCTACAAATTTCAGATATACCAGGCCCCAATCTTACGAACCAATTTCTTAAAATAAATCATGTATGCGTATTCGTTAATATACACACTCATATAAAGAACACACATATGTGTACATATATGTATATGTGTGTGTATGTTCTATTGGTTTCGTTTCTCTTGAGAGCCCTCGCTGATAGAGATTTTAGTACCAAGAAGTAGGGTGCTATTGTGTAAATAAATAAATAAATAAATAAAAATATGGAAGTAGCTTTGGAACTGAATAATGGATAGAGGCTGGAAGAGTTTTTAGGTGCATGATAGAAAAATCTTAGATTGCTTTGAAGAGATTCTAATAGAAATGTCAGAGGCGTTTGAACCAGAGCAACTCCATCTTTAACAGGGGCTGGGTAAAATGAGGCTGAGACCTACTGCGCTGCATTCCCAGGAGGTTAGACATTCTAAGTCACAGAATGAGACAGGAGGTTGGCACAAGATACAGGTCACAAAGACCTTGCTGATGAAACAACTTCCAATAAAGAAGCTGGCCAAAACCCACCAAAACCAAGATGGTGACAAAAGTGACCTCTGGTGGTCCTCACTGCTCATTATACGCTAATTATAATATATTAGCTTGCTAAAAGACACCCTCACCAGTGCCATGACAATTTACAGATGCCATGACAACATCAGGAAGTTACCCTATATGGCCGAAAAGGGGAAGGAACCCCCAGTTCCAGGAATTGCCCACCCCTTTCCCAGAAAACTCATGAGGAGTCCACACATTGTTTAGCATATAATCAAGATATAACCATAAAAATAGCCAACCAACAGTTCTCTGGGCTGCTCTGCCAATGGAGTAGCCATTTTTTATTCCTTTACTTTCTGAATAAACTTGCTTTCACTTTACCCTATGGATTTGCCTCAAATTCTTTCTTGCATGAGATCCAAGAATCCTCTCTTGGGGTCTGGATCAGGACCCCCTTTTGGTAACAGAAATGTGGACATTGAAGGCAATTCTGATGAGCTCTCAGAAAGAAGTAAAGAAGGAGGACTGTAGGGAAATTTCTATTGTTTTAGAGAATACCTATTGTCATGAACAGAATGTTGCTAGAAATATGAACATTGAAGATGCTTTGGTGAAGTCTCAGATGGAAATGAGGGACATGCTACTGAAAACTGGAGGAAAGGTGATCCTTGTTAGAAAGTAGAATAAACTTGGCTGAATTGTAGTCTGTTGTTGGGTAGAGAGCAGAACCTGCGAGCAATAAACTTGGATATTTAACTGAGGTTCCCAAACAGAGTGTGGCCTGGTTTCTCCTTGCAGCCTATAATAAAATGTGAAAGGAAAGAAATGGAGAAAGAAACTACTAAGCAAAAAATAAACCAGAACCAGATGATTTAGAAAATTCTCAGCCTAGTCACATTGCAAAAATATGAGAAAGCAAGTTCTAGAAGAGAACCCCAAGTTGGGGTCTAGTTGGACATTCTTTTGCTGAAGAGATTAGGCATATGACTTATGCATTCAATCAGCCATGTCAGCAAAGGCCAGGAATAGCGACGGGGTATCCAGGAGGAATGTGTGGAGAAACTTTTTGTCTAATGGCATGATCCCCATGATGTCCACAGAAGACTATTAAGGGTTTTGAGAATGTTATACATGATGTTCACAGAAGACTATTCAGGGTTTTGAGAATGTTATACAACTAAAAGCCGTAGCTTGGACTAAACAGGACAGAGATGGAATGAAGTGAAAGAAAGCTGTTGGACTTTTGGGATTCTACAGGCAGGAAACAGGCTGATAGAGCAACTCAGCTGAAAAAGTATGTTACCCATGGCTGGGCGCAGTGGCTCACACTTATAATTCTTGCACTTAGGGAGGCTGATGGATTGCTTGAAGCCAGGAGTTCGAGACCAGTCTGGCCAACATGGCAAAACCTGTCCCTACGAAAAATACAAAAAATTAGCCAGGCATGGTGGTTCATGCCTGTAGTCCCAGCTACTTGGGAAGGTGAGGCAAGAGAATTGCCTGAACCCAGGAGGTGAAGGTTGCAGTGAGCCAAGATCACATCATTGCACTCCAGTCTGGGCAACAGAGTGAGACCCTGTCTCAAACAAACAAACAAAGTATGTTACCCTTAAAGCAAAAGGAAACATGACTCTGAGGGCACTGAGGGTAGAGTGACAGGCTGAAAGGACAGCACTACCACTCATGTGGGCCAAGAAGAGAGGGCAGATGCCTCAGGCTCTCTGAGCATCAAGCCACAGAGAATTATTCTCACTCCTTGAAATTCTGCTTGTCTTGCTGGGTTGCAAACTTGCTTGGGACTCATCACCCCTTTTTTCCTCCCAGTTTCTCACTTTTAGAATGAAAATTTTCTACCCTGTGGCTGTCCCATCATTGTATTCTAGACATAGATAATGTGTTCTCTAGTTTGGCAGGTGCACTAATAGAGAGGAATTTTACTTCGGGATGGACCCTACCCAGATTCTCACCCATACCTGATTTAAATGATTTAGAAGAGGAGATTTTGAACTTTTCAAGTTAATTATATGTAGTAAGATTTTGGACTTTGAGTTGATGCTGGAATGACTCAAGACTTTTGGGGATGTTAGGATGGAGGGAATGTATTTTGCACATAGGAAAGACATGAACTTTTGGGACCCAGAGAGTGGACTACGCTGAGTTGAGTGGTGTCTCCCCAAAATTCTTGTCCACTTGGAATCTGGAACTGTTTCCTATTTGGAAATAAGGCCTTTGAATCTGTAATCAAGTTGAGATGCATCATGTATTGTATTGGGATGAGCTCTAAGTCTAATGATTGGTGTGCTTATGAGAAGAGAGACATTTGGATACAGAAACACACAGGCACCCATAGAAGAAGGCCATGCAAAGATGAAGAAGAAATTGGGATTATGCTGCCAAAGCCAAAGGAATGCCAAAGATTGCCAGAAACTAGAAGAAGCAAAGAAGAAGTCTTCCCTAGAGCCTTTGGAGTGAGCATGTCTCTGTTGATGGCTTGACTTCAGACTTCTAGAGTCCAGAACTGGGATAGAATAGATTTCTGTTTCTTTGGACTACTCAGTTTGTAGTGATTTATTATGGCAGCCTGTAAACTAATACAGCACTCAAGGTAACCAGGGTGATGAGAGATAAAATGCTAAATAAAACCTGACTAGCAACATTCGATCTTTTTAAAGTCAGAGAGATGAATGGTAACTAATAAAAGAATTATGTAATATAAATTTATGGAATAATAAATTATTTAGGCAACTCATTCATTTAATTTAAAAGACATCTCTTAGAGCATGAAATAGGTATATTTAAGACAAATGAATTGAAGCAGAGAACCACTTCATACCACTAATACTAAACTTATGGAAAACTTTGTATAAAAAGGAAGCACAAGCTAAAATTCAAGTAAATTGAAGGGGTTTACATGAATTTATTGGAGACAGATTTTCTATAAAGATTAGAAGAGTGTTTTCAAAAACATCAATATGATTTTTTAAAAAAACCGAACAAGTTGGAATCTAGCATGAAATCCCCCAGCTCAACAGTGACATAACACCTGTGTAGAACTTCATATAGGAAGTCTGTGTTCTCAGATACCATATGTATTAGTCAGGGTTCTCTAGAGGGACAGAACTAATGGATAGATGGATATATAAAGGGGAGTTTATTAAGGCATATTGACTCACACGATCACAAGGTGAGGTCCCGCAATAGGCCATCTGCAAGCTGAAAAGCAAGGAAGTCAGTCTAAATCCCAAAGCTGAAGAACTTGAAGTCCGATATTCAAGGGTAGGAAGCATCCAGCAGGGGAGAAAGATGTAGGCCAGAAGACTAAACCAGTCTAGTCTTTCCACATTCTTCTGCCTGCTTTTATTCTGGCCACACTGGCAGCTGATTAGATTGTGCCCACCTAGATTGAGGGTGGGTCTGCCTTTCCCAGTCCACTGACTCAAATGTTAATCTCCTTTGGCAACACACTCACAGACACACCCAGGTACAATACTTTGCACCCTTCAATCCAACCAAGTTGATAAGCACTATTAACCATCACATCATATATCTAAATAAAAGGAAATGTTCTTTTCAAACTCTATTACTCTAAAATTGAATTTTTCCAGTGTCTTCAGTGGCTGATCACAGGCAGTATGTAAATACATCTGAGCCAACTGAGTTAAATAGGTCTCCTGACTACAGGGCTTTACTACTGGACTTAAATATGCTTATGTACACTGAGACACTCTAAGAGGGAGATGGTGTGTCCAACGACTCCAAAATTATTTATCCATTGAATCCCTTTTAATTGAGCATATTTTTGGTGTGCAAGATAAAAATTCAGATATAAGGCCCTGGAAAGACGCACTTGTCTTTACTGGGAGGTCTCCAACAAAGTCAGTAAACACTTTATCTTATCCTTCTGTCCTGGGGGCCATATGGGTTCATGGGTAGGGGAAGGGATATAATAATATTTTTTTAATTGAAAACAGAGCATAATACAGAGTCTAAGATTAAAACTTATCTGGTAGCTTCTATCATTCACTCGTCATCAATCGATTTACTCTTTGACTTGCCATTCTCCTACATCTTGCTATACATGGAGAATCAGGTTTGAACTTGTTTATACTCCTAAATAGTGGTATGTTTAGTTCTAGTAAAGGACACTACAGAGCATAATGGAGACATTAAGAAGGATTCAGAGAAGAGTTACATTCATGAATTAGGAGACCAGAAAATGGCAGCTCTGGGTAACAATTTTATGAAATTAACAGAATTATTCCAGTTGGAGAAACAAGGAAAAAAAGACTAAATGAGTACAGGTTTCTTCAAGCATTCCCTGAACAAATATTGATAGTATCTACTCTAAACAGGCAACTAGCTATTTCAGATCTTAGAGATTGAACTGAAGTCTGAAGCAGAAGAAATGAACTTAACAATTATAAGAGCAGAAGAAATGCTATTCCAGGAGACCCTGATCTGCTCACTGTAGAAGACCTGCAAGTGCCTCCAGTAGCCATACTGGCTTCTTGTTTCCAGCACAAACCAGTACTCCATTGCCTGCTCTAAGAGCACCCATGCATGCCCTGTTGTACAGCGGGGGAAAGCATGGGACACAGAGTAGGAGGGCAGGCTTGTGTTGGGGGCTTAGAGCCTCAAAGAGGAGCTGTGGAAAAAAGTGGTTATGTTCTCACAGATTAAGATTTGAATACCTCCCCCAAGGTGCTCAAAATACTTTTATGGAGAAAGTACCAGATAATTAAAAGAGCATGGTTCAAATATATCTTTTCCACTGTGATATTGCTCAAGCTACTTAACAACTTACATCCTTTATTTCCTTATCTATTAACTGGTGACAATAATACCCATCCACTAAAATTTTTGTAAATACTAAATGATATATATGTAAAGAATTTAATGAAATATATAAAAATCTGTATGGCACCTGAGATAGAATAGGCAAATAGTAGATAATTGTTATTATTTTCTATTTATACAAAATGGTTGTCAATATGGGTTTGAGGGTACAGGAAGGGGTGGAGGGTACAGTGCATTTTTATAGATGTGGTACCTTTAGACTATCTGGCTCACCTCTTGTTCCCATTACTTTATAGCACTGTGACCTTCAGAAAGTCATTCAACCTCTAAACCTCACTTCCCTAATTTGTAAAATGGATATATAACAATAGTACCTACCTCACAGGGTTGTAGTCAAGATTAAATGAAATACAGTATGTAAAGCACTTACTTCAATATATGGCTCCAAAACAAACAATACATGTCATCTCATTTAATGGTACAGTACTCAGAGTTTATTTTATCAATAAACCCTTCCATCGGTTAGTGTATGTTTATTGTCCAAAAAGAGACTGATGATGTTTAGTGAGCAGGAATCTTATTCATAATTATCTAGGTAAAAGCCCATCCATTGAATATTCTGTAAGCTAGTGGCTCTCCTACAGGCCCCTGTCTATTTTTGCCATAAAGCTTTCTTTAAGATACCACAAGTGATGGCTTGTGGTCACCAGATATTTTCTTTCTTTTTGGTTGACCCTTCCTAGACTTCAGATGAGAAACTGCTACCTCTAGATCTCCCATCATATAAGCTAAACTATATTTTCTCTAACTAAAATGTCTATTTCTTATTAAGTAAAGCAGCATTGAGACTGGAGGGCTTGGGTTCTGGAGTGAGACATGGTGTGATATTTGTCAAGTTGCTAACTACTCACAGCCTCATTTTAAAACAAGGGAAGGTGACATTGTAGCTGAGACGTGAGACCTGAATAACAATGAGAAGCCAGCCATTCAGAGATCTTGGGTGGGAGGGAGAAAAGGTAGGCAATGACAAATCTAGACATAAGGAACAGCAGGTGCAAATGCCCTCAGGACAGAACCAAGACTGTTCACAAAAAAGTGTGTGAGAGACAGAATGGTTTGGCTGTAGGCATTCCACAGCTGAAAGTTTATGAGGAAAGATACATATCTTATACTTTATATTAAGCTGCTCCTACTTCTAGCATGCTGACTTAATTTGCTGATAAATTGATTCCCTCTCTGCTAGAATTCATCCCTGAGTTTAACCTATTTTCTTATATTCTTAACCATATGCAATCATTTTCCACTAAACCTCTGTGTACCCAAGTAATTTCACTCCCCACTTGGTGTCTCTGGTTTCTAGCATTGTAACAGAAAACTATGACAGTCCCTCAAAAGCATTATATGTTATCACCTTTTTCCCCAGAAGCTAACTATCCACCCCATTCACTGCTCTGCTGAACTTCCTCCAATTCATCTCTATCTTTTTTGCTGCTGAGCTAACAAAATGGAATAGCCTTTTCTCTAAGAACAGTATTACCAAAGAACAGAGGGACAATCTCCCCTGCATGCTTTATTTGGCATTTCTTTGTGCCCCATCCCAAACAGTCTGTTTATTTTCTGTTACCTGATCCCATCACAAAATCAAGTCTGCTTTTCTGCCCACTACTCCTATGCCATTCTTGTGGCCAGCTTTCCAGGATGTGTCTTTCTCACTTAGTGCCTGTTTCCAATATTCTCTCTCCAGAAATGGCTAGTTCAAGTAGCAGTTTATCCCAGACACGCATCCGTGGATAGGAGGGAGCTACACGCTTTCCTGATAATCTGGTTTCATATGAAGACAAAGGTTAAAGTAGGACAGACGAGTGATACTCTACCAAAGATTTTGAGTATTCTTAACATTCCCATTTTTCCACTAAGAGCAGGACAAAGGCAGGTGAGTTTGCTGATTTATACTGATTGATCAGAATGCATGTCTTTGGCCTTATATGTATGATACACTATTGAAATAACCAGAGAAACCCTCATCCTACCAAGCATGTATTCATAGAAAAATGAGATGACCGTCACCTTAAATTCTGCTTTCTCAGGGAGGTCTTGATTGACTAAATGTTCGAATTTTAAATTAGCTCTTCCTCTTTTTCCCTCTTTTCTACCCTGTTACTTAGCTTCACAGAACGTATATTATATATAATATATATAATTATATTTATATTTTTAAATTATAATTATATATAATTATATTTATTTAATATATTTATTTAAAATAAATATATATTATATATTTATTTAAATTTATTAAATTTATTATTTATTTAATATATTTATTTAAAATTATATATTATATATAATATATATATTTATTTAAAATTATATATTATATATAATATATATTTATTTAAAATTATATATTATATATAATATATATATTTATTTAAAATTATATATTATATATAATATATATATTTATTTAAAATTATATATTATATATAATATATATATTTATTTAAAATTATATATTATATATAATATATATTATTTAAAATTATATATTATATATAATATATATTATTTAAAATTATATATATTATATATAATATATATTATTTAAAATTATATATTATATATATTATTTAAAATTATATATTATATATAATATATATTATTTAAAATTATATATTATATATAATATATATTATTTAAAATTATATATTATATATAATATATATTATTTAAAATTATATATTATATATAATATATATTATTTAAAATTATATATTATATATAATATATATTTAAAATATATTTATTTAAAATAAATACATATTATATATAATATATAATTATATATATTTATATATATTTTTTTTTTTTTTTTTTTTTTTGAGATGGAGTCTTGCTTTGTCACCCAGGCTAGAGTGCAGTGGCGCGATCTCGGCTCACTGCAAGCTCCACCCCCGGTAAACGCCATTCTCCTTCCTCAGCCTCCCGAGTAGCTGGGACTACAGGCGCCTGCCACCATGCCCGGCTAATTTTTTGTATTTTTAGTAGAGACAGGTTTTCACCATGTTAGCCAGGATGGTCTCGATCTCCTGACCTCGTGATCTGCCCACCTCGGCCTCCCAAAGTGCTGGATCTACAGGCGTGAGCCACTACACGCAGCCCAGAACTTATATAAGTTTTAAATTATATGTTTATTGATTTAATATCTCTCTCCCTCTTCCAGTCTGCACACTCCATGAAGGCAAAAATGGGATGACTCTATTCATTTATTTTCTGCCTCCCCACTAGAATATAAGCTTCTTAAAGATAGGGGCTATGGTCATTATTCTTGGCATCTCCAGCTCCAGTGGCAGTAATAAGACAACGAGTGCCAGATGGACCAGTACTCCATGATTTTGTGTGTGAGTGGGAGGTGGGGAGAGGTGCAGGCTTCAAAGACAAGTAGAATTTGGAGTGAAAATGTTGCTAAGAAAAATCTGACAATGGTCATATGACAATATGTCATTTCCTCACTTTGCTCCATCTTTGCAGGTAGTTCCCACTCTTCCTAAGAGTGATGACTTTTCACTTATAATAATATTATTAATAATGATGAGGGTTTAAACTGGTGTTTATTATCTATTTACCAAATATGAGGTGTCAAATATTATCCTAAGCATTTACACTAGTAATTTTATAACTTCTGTGTGTGCTCCCAGGAGGCCAGAACAGTATCTGAGTCTGATTTGCAAATGTAGAATAGGAGATTTCCTTGACCCAAATGTTGGATGAATCTTAAGTCAGAGGCAGATTCAAGTCATTAAATGCATCTACTTTCTTCAAGCCCACATAGAACCAATTGGGTTCCATTCATCAAGCAAGGCAGGCATGTGAGATGTGGAACAGCAAGTAGACTTCATGCTTCACTGCAACTCCAATCATTTGGAAGCAAATATCTAGACATTTTGTAAGAATTGTTCATCTAAGCTCAGCAGGAACAAGTGCCTCTATTGGTTAGCAATGTTTACCACATACATGGATGAGGAGTAGCAGAGGTCACTCAAGGTACTCATCAAACCCAGCCCTTCTGCAGAGAAAACGAGTTCTCCTTCTTAATAATGCTCGTGGAAAGAGCAAAGTTCAAACCCCATCAGTGCCTCAGAGAGACTATAACATCAAGACAGTCTTTCTCCTTTCTAGAATTCCTGGCCAGAACTACGGCCACAAGAGCTGGTGTGAGAGAAAGATGATGAAAAGGTGAGCCCAACAATGTGCAAATAAAGAGTTGAGGCTGTTGCTCTCTCAACAGCAGCTCAGTGCTTCAGCCCATCATACTCTCAGGAAAAATTTCCCTGAACTCTTACCCAAACTGGGTGTGACTTCCTATTCTGTGATATCACAGGTTTTTATACATTTACTCCATAATACTAAATACAGTTTGTAATTATATAAGTTTATGATCAGTTAAAAAACTTATGTGCCTCTAACTAAACTCTAGGCTGAGCTCCACAAAGGCTGAAACTATCTGTTTTGCATCATTCACATCCAGTTCCCACCTCACTGCCTAGCAAGTGGAAGCCCTCAATAAATATTGCATACCTGACTAAAGGAATGAACAAGGCAATGGATTCTGGGGAAGCTTTATCGGGAGGCTTTGACCATCTCCCTATTCCAAAAGATATTATTTGTACAAGGTTGTTGTTGCTTTTTGTTTAATTCACTTTGTGATTAACTCCGTTTGGGAGATGAGCAAAGCAGAATGAATGACAACTTTTGTCAAGAAAGTCCCATTTTAAGAAAAAAAGAACATTTTGGCAATATAAATATATTTTTATGCAAAAAAAAACCCTGTCCTCAAGTTTTAGTTCCTAGTGTTACTAAAAGTAACACTAACTACTAACACTAGTTACTAACTAGTAATATGTTACTATTATTACTAACTAGTAATGCTAGTAATATGTTACTATTATTACTAACTAGTAATGCTAGTAACACTAACTAGTAGAACAAACCATTGAGTGAATAAAACCGACTAGTATTGATGACAGCAGCGGCCCATCTAGAGCAGCTGCTGCTATGACACTGGCTACAGTCGGAGAGGTACAGCCAGGGCTCTGTGCTACACAGAGCCAACGGGGGCTGGGAGTAGGCAGGAGCCCTGCCCTCCCTGGCGCAGCTGCAGCCACCTAAGCCATGGCTGCAGATCTGGGCATCTCTGCACTCTTAGGGGCCTGGGAAGGCCCCACCTGCCCCCAAGGCTCAGAGATATCTGCTCCCGCTGCCTGGCCTGCTCCTGGCATCTGCTCCAATCTTGGAGCAAGGTTGGGGCCACACCCAGGTGCTGTCACAGCCTGGCCAGGCGTGCACACACTCAGGGCAGCACTGCTATGCCAGCCCCCTGCCACCTAGGCCCCCTCTGGACTTTGGGTGCCAACAAGCATGGGAAGGAGGCTGAGGTGGGGCTAAGGGCAGCTCAGTACTCACCTGCAGGTGCCCCATGGCATGAACAGCCTGGACGCCATGAATGACAGCAGGAGGCAGACAGGCTCCTGGGTGGAAAGGGACGGGTCCCAGGTAAAGCCCCACCTTCAAGCCAGGGAGAGCCTGAAGCCTGGGGGCCAGGCTGCTGGTCCCACAAACAGGAGTGGGAACTTGCGGTGCTTTTTCCAGGCCCACCCATGGCCACTCATGGACCAACTGGCACACACTTATTCCCCTCTGAGGCCCATAAAAGCTCCAACTCAGCCAGACTCAAACAGCTGCAAAGAGGAACTACCCACAACAGAGTCCCCTCTCTGCTGAGAGCTGGACACTCATCAGGACACACTGCCTGCAGAGAGGAGCGGCCCATTCCAGGGTCTCCCCTCTACTGAGGGCTAGACACTCATCAGGACACCCTGCTTGCAGAGAAGAGCTACCCACTGCGGGTCTCCTCTGAGCTGTTCTCCTCTGAGCTGCTGCTCAATAAAACTCCTCTTCACCTTGCTCACCCTCCACTTGTCTGTGTACTTCATTCTTCCTGGACACAGGACAAGAACTCGGGACCTGCCAAATGGTGGGGCTAAAAGAGCTGTAACACAAACAGGGCTGAAACATGCCCCTTGCTCACTACTTTGGCATTACCAAGAAGGAGAAGAGAGAGAAGATGAGAAGAGCTGTGGCCCTTCGGGGAGCCCGAACCTAGGGGCTCCCTTAGTCAGGGCTGTGACACCCTCTTTGGGGCTCTGCAGTTCTTGGCATATCCAACCTTCCAGGCACTACCACATTCCCAGTGCCAGCCATGGAAGCTGCTTGCAGGATGCCTGGTCCAGCCAAAGCCTCGCAGGGAGCCAGCGCCAGTGCTGGTCCGTGGAGCTGCCCACCCTGCCCCAGTTGGTGTGCCTGCCTGTGCACAGTGGCTGGACCCTCCCATGCTCACTCACATACCCCTTGCCACTTTGCACCTGGTTTTCCCTTGGCAGGCATGGGATTCAGGTCAGTAGCACGAGCCAAGCACAGCCTGCCAGGCCAAGTTGGCAGAATGAGTCCAGAGGGCCCAAGCAAAACTCAGGCAAAGGCACCACTGGCCACAGAGGTTTCTGGCTGGCAAAGCAACACCCCAAAAATCCCATGACAGTAACTCTGGTTAGTAGTGTTACTAATGAGTTAGTGTTACTAATTAGCATTACTAGTTAGTTTTATTCATTTGTAACACTAACTAGTAGAAAAACAGTTGAGTGAATAATAAAAATAGGCCCTCACTAGCAATGACCAGGCCTCACAAGATATAAACCAATATAAGTTCCTGCATCTGATGAAGCAGCTTTGGTGTGGAGTAGTGGCAGGGGGCTCAGGACCACTGAGGGGCAATGGGAGAGAAATACTTAGAAGAACCAACCCAGTAAGGTGAATGTGTACCCATTCTTATTAAGTCTTATTTGGCTTAAGTAAGATAAGACTTAATAAGAATGAGTACACATTCACCTTACTTGGTTGACATTTCAAACCCCATCTCAACTCCTTGGACTTTCTTTTTTTAAACGTTGCTGAAATTGTGGGTCCAGAAGCTGTCAAGCCATGGTCTAAGAGGAGTCACAGACATGGTTATCATCAGCTACTTTCATTCTAAGAGAAGGATACCTGGGCCATGAGAGTATCTTACCTCATGGCCAAGGGTGGAAGATTAAGGAGGAGAGGAGGTTGTCCACTAAACTCAAGTAAGTAAGATCCTGTTCTTTTTTAAGACCTTAGTATTAAGGGCTAAATTCTACCAGCCCCTGGTAAGGATAGACTAGGAAGTAGTGAGACAGGCTAGTAGCCCACATCTTAGATCCTTTAGCTGACACAGGGGATATATGACATTCCTCCCAAAGGAATACAAGCTATACTATGAGCAGAGAAGACCCCAGAATAAGTCATGCAGCCTGTGAAAGACTCTGATTGCTCAAATAAGTTGACTCTCACTCCAGTCCGAAGCAAGGAGGCACAGCACAGCTTTCACCTGCACAAAATGGAGTTTTGCTCAGGCAGCATCCTTGGGAGCCTTATCTCAGTGTCTCCCTGGAACAAACAAGACGAGGAACCTCCCCAGCTTGTACCAGGGTCTCACTATAAGGGCACCTGCCTGTGCCTCCCCAGCTCTGTTTCTTACATTCTACTTTGTAGTCTCAGCTAGTTTTCTCTACCTATCTCTTTAGGCATCTCTCTAATCTATCTCTTTAAGTCTAGGTACTAGTGGGCACTCAGGAAATCTTTGTTGAATGAATGTTCACATCATTAGTCTAGTAATCATGGCTAGCTAAAAATTTTGCCAGGCCAGGTGCAAAATGAAAATTTGGAATCTCTCCTTCAAAAGACAGGAAAAAGAGGGCTGTTAAAGGCACTAAGATCCAAAGGGTTTTTTTTTTTCCTTCCATGTCTTCTCTCTTAACTCATCATAGTGTTTTTTAATTTGCTGTTTAATTTGTTGTAGGTAAAGAAAAAATAAAAATTTAAATTATTAGCATTAATTTTGCTATTTATCTTTATATCATGCAATGACAATTTGAAATGCAAATATAAGAACATTTTGCTCATATGAGGAGTCACTGAAAATATAATTTGTATTTCGTAAGTCACGTATTTGTATTTTGTTTTTACCAGAACAGTTGAAATGCTGCACAAAACTAACTCAACAGTTTTTATGTCACTCCTTGTTACAGTTCTACCAATACTTTCTCCCTTCTACTTACTGACGATTAATGATGAGTAAAGAAAAAGAAGGATGCGTTGTCCTTTCTTTCCCATTCCTTCTATGTCATCATTTTCAGCATAATACAGGGAAGTATGTAAGAAAAGACATGATGGGATTCCTTGGTCTTTTATGTTTATTTGAACACCATTGCCTGTCCCTAAGAATCATAGTGAGGACCCTGTGTGCATTTTCTCTATGCTATATATGTGCACAATGCATTAGCAATTGGATCAGCCCTGAAACTGACATCAAAGTCTAGGTCAACTGAACTGTTTTCACATAGCCCACAGAAATACCTTCATTTTCTTACCTTATGAGATTGTGGCTTATAAGGTAAGCCACATATATATTGTGGCTAGAAATAAAGTGAAGAAAGACAATGAGGGAAATACATAACGGGATTTCTGAGGCCAGTTTTTATTCATCTATTTCTAGTCCCAAGGGTTTAAAGCAGATTAAAAACAAACAAAGATCCTGACCATTGTGGCTCTGTGGGGTCCACAGGGTTTATTTCCCTTACCACCAAGATAATTCAATTCAACAAATATTATTTAGTTTTACCATACGCTTGCCATGACAATCCCAAGACCATCTACGGAGGCAGGGCAGAAACTGAAAGCTGCCTGGAGATCAAGCTTTTCTTCCTGGGAAACACACAGATATTTAGTAAAATGGAATAAAGGACTTCTGAAAGAGAAAAAAAATGGATTCTGTACAGGAAACTAGAGAGATTCTGTACAGGAAACTATGTCCCCATCTTCAGTGTGTACAAAATTACACACTTCCTCACCCTGAAACTGGTTTTGTTCATGCCCCGTTCAAGATACATTACAGCAAGAAAGGGAAACTGGGGCAGATTAAGAGAGCCTTGGCTTTCTGTCCCTTGCACTCATTGAAGTTAGGGGTGTTACACCATGAAGAGCTAGCAAGAGATTCTAGAAAGATTTCTGTGATTTTGCCTCAGGAGCAGGTGCTGAGATGAAGTGGCTCTGCCAATCTAAGTGCAAAAAAAAAAAGATGTTTTCAGATTAATGATTAACCTAATCTTGCTGTTTCTGTGTTCTAAGAGTGAAGAAAAAATTCAAAAAGTGGTTTATTCATCCATTTATTCCAGACATATTTTATGAACACCTACTTTATATGTCAGGTACTGAACTGGGTGTTGCAAAAACACAAAACAATAAAACCAATAAGACATTGGTTTTGCCCAGAGGGTACTCTAAGTCTAGTGGGAGAGACATTCACATAAAAAGCAAATTAAATGCAATGTGACAAATACAGAGAGCTAAGTATGGCTGCCATGGGACATCTTAAGGGCTGGCAACAAACCCAGTGCCCAGGCATTTAGTGGCTCTGCTATGGAATGAATGTGCTTTCCCTAAATTCATATGCTCAAATCTTAATCCCCAATGTGATGGGATTAGGAGGTGAAGCCTTTGGTATGTGCTTAGATCATAAGGGCAGAACCCTCATTAATGGGATTAGTGCCCTTATTAAGAAACCCTAAGTAGCTCTCTCACCCTTTCTACCCAGCAAGGAGATGGCCACCTAGGAACAAGGAAGCAAGATCTCACTAGACAACAAATCTGCCAGTGCTTTGATCCAGGACTTTCAGTCTCCAGAACTGTGAGAAATACACTTCTTTTGTTTATGTTACCCAGTCTATGATAGTTTTTTACAGTAGCCCAAACAACAAAGACAGGCTCCTTACACAGAAAGGCTCCTTAATAAATATTTAGTAAATGCACAAATGAATGAGTAAATGAAGCAAAGGCTTCTTAGAGGAGTTAGTAGATAAAGCTAGTCTTAAAAATTTATTAGGAGTTGGCCAGGTGCAGTGGCTCATGCCTGTAATCCCAGCACTTTGGGAGGCTGACCCAGGCAGATCACAAGGTCAGGAGTTTGAGACCAGCCTGGCCAATATGGTGAAACCCCATCTCTACCAAAAATACAAAAATTAGCCAGGCATGGTGGCAGATGCCTGTAGCTTGGGAGGCTGAGGCAGAAGAATCGCTTGAACCTGGGAGGCAGAGGTTGCAGTGAGCCGAGATCATGCCACTGCACTCCAGCCTGGCCAACAGAGTGAGAATGTGTCTAAAAAAAAAAATTATTAGGAATTATCAAGATTGTTTCAGGAAGAAAGAACACGTGTAAAATCCCAAGTGCAGAAGGCAGCAAGGCATGTCCAGGAAAACCCAAAGAGATAAGTGTGGCCAGACTGTAGGGTGTGCAAAAGGGAGAGGTAAGCAATGTGCATGAGGAAGTGAGCAAGAGTCAGTTATGGTGGAGCTTCGTAAGTCATGCTGGGGTACTGGACTTTACAGAAAGGGCAATGGGAGCCCATAAAAGAGTAGAAAGAAGGAGGAAAGAGGTGTGATTGATTTGTGTAGTAGGAAGCTCATTCTGGCTGCAGTGTTAAGTATACATTGCAGACAGCTAGTATATGAATACAGGGATGCTAGCTGAGCCTTGCCATAATCCAGATTGTCATCAGAGATAATGACTGCCAATGGAGGCAGTAGTGGGGATGGAGAGAAGTGAAAATGCCCAAGGGATATTAAAAAGTACAAACATAAGAGTTTCTGATGACTGGGTATTGGGATGTGAATGAAGCAGGAGTCAGATTTCAGATTTGGGCAAGTAGTCAATGTTGGCACCATTTCTGAAATAAGAATCCACCATTGCCCCCATAAAAAAGAATCTTGTTTGGGGAGATGGGAGATGCAAAATTCAGCTGGGAATATGGTGGGTTTGAGGTTGCTAAGGAAAACCCATGCTGAACTATTGGGTAGTTTGTCAGTTATATAAGTCAAGAGCTATGGAATTTGGGGCTAGAAAAAATATTTAGAGAATTTCATATATATTTAAAGTTGTGTAATTAGAAAAGCCCACCTAGGTAGATTGTACAGTGAAAACCAAAGAGGCTAGAAAATGGAATACCAACACAAATACAGTGGAGCAAATGAAAACCTGAAAGGAAATAAAATGGAAGTTTACCCAAAGAGTGTAATGTCACAGAAACCAAGGAAGGGAGTACTTCAAGGAGGAAGACACCAACACGGTGAAATATGCAGTGAGGACAAGTAGGATAAGAATGTATGCATGTTCAAGTGGATTTGGGAGAAAGAAGATTACATATCACCTTGGTGACAGGACTTTTAGCTCATTACCTGGAATGGCACACATGGATACATTCATGTGCTACCTCCAGCACTGGGTGCAATATCAGGATCCACCTACCAACCAACGTCATCTAATACAGTCAGCCAAATACAAGCTCTGCCTCCAACATCTGGACTCAACAGTATCCCATCACCATCTGTGAAATCATAGGGTCTACGTGCACACGGGGTACTTGGAAAAACATGTGTATTACCTAAAGGTGTTGAAAGCTTTACGGGGTTTACTTAAGCATAATTTTTTAATTGTCTTTTCAGGAGCTAGCAGACAGGAAAACAAATTTGTCTTAAATACCCCAAGTTTATAGGCTTCTCACCCCTCGGCAGCTGCAACTGGCAAATCTAGTTTACAGAAATGGGAGATGAGGGAGATGTGCACGTTTTTCACTGTCGGAACTTGAGAGGCAGTGATGGAATACTTACGAAGTAGCAGCTCTCGGCAGGTATTTGGGTTATTAATGTGCATGGTTGGAAGGCTGTAGCTTTCTAATTTGAAAGAGGTCTACTAACAGTAATACTGGACTCCAGGAATAAGGGGGGAAACCTGGGCATCTGCATTGTACTGAATGTTTACAAACTTTCAGTTTCTTCTAATTTATAGGATCAGTTTTCTACGTTTCTTTAGCACTTTCCCTTACATTTGTATAGTAGAGGGGAATGTTGCACATAAAACAATCATAGGGTCAGGGGGTCTTCATGGCAAAGCCTTTAGGTATCAGCTACCCATGCAATTTTTCTCACCTGTCCAAGTTCTTTCTTGGCTTTCTGGATCTCTGCCTTATGCATTCTCTCTGTTTGTTTCTCTTTCTCTCTCCCTCCATTCTCTCTCTCTCCTTCCCTTGTCCCTCCTCCCTTTCTCCTTCCCTCTCTCCATTCAATCATCCTTTTTTCCTCCCTTTCTTTCCCACTTGACACATTTACCTTTCTTCCTCTCTGTTCATCTCTCTCTCCCCCACCGCCTACTTTCTTTCTTTCCTCCCTGTCTCCCCATCTCCCCTTCAGGGTAAGATAGCTACACAGGAAGAAGTAGAAGACAGAAATCAGACTTAATACTGTTTATATAAGTCTAAAATGAATATAAAAAACTTTTTAGACCTGGAACCAGGAAACATTAAAAAGAAGCAATAGATCTGCCTAGAAGTATGGGACAATAAGCCACCTACCCTATTATGAGAGGGTACAGCTGACACTGAGCCAGAGAAAAGTATCATCAGTTGCTAAGAGTGGCATATAATGAGGTAGAAATGTCAGAAGTCCCTGAATCAAAAAAAATCTAAGATTGGAGTTCCAGAAACTCATAGAGAGTACCAAATACAGCAAGACAAATAAGATCTGTGAATAACACAGGGAAAATATAGAAGATTAGAAAAAAAAAGACGAAGCCAGCTTGAAAGGTAGTATGATATCATACAGGCTTAGCTAGAATTGCTTGAACAGAACAGAAAAAGGAAAGATGGCCCAAGGAATTAAAAATGATGAGCCACCTCAGATGAAGGCTGAGAGAGGAAAACATATCCCAAGACAGATTAAATGTGCTTTCCTAATACATTTTTGTGGTCATCGGTTGCCACACTAGCTAATTAAATACCTAACTATCATCTGCTTCATAATTTAACCTCATCCTTGGGCATCAAGTTCTGGCTCTCTATGAAATGGTTTCTCTTTTCCTACTAATGTAAATTACCACTGTTGACTTTCTATTTGACCACAGCACAGCTTCTTAGATCCCAGACAAAGCTGAATGCCAATCACGTACTGTTTTTTCCTTCAAAGCTACCATATCCCTAGATTCCATTTCCGAGAAATCCCATTATAACCCCAGATTTTCTGTGTTAGAATATGTTTTCCATAGAGTTTACCTCTAAATGCTGACCCTGAAGAAGGAGATAGCCATGTGAAATGCCTATATACATACAGCCAGCAGCAAAGAAAGATAAAATATTGGTGGGGACAATTAATTTGTGTCTAAGATGGTTTTCACTTACAGCTCTTTGCACTCATTTTGATACTTTATTTTCTCCTGATCCATCTATGAATGTTAGATTTTATTAGTGATTCTAATTCCTCACAATTTGCCCATGCCATCAGGATGAGTAGAGTGTACTTTCCAGCCACTTGACTTTAAGCCTAGTCATGTGACTTGCCTTGATCAACACAATGTTAGTAGATGTGGCATAAATAGAAATTTGAACTGTGTTTGCATAGTTTAACTTCCTGTCTTGTGTTTCTGTCTTTATAGATGAGAAGAATACACCTTGGCAGCTGCTGGATCAAGGCAAATGAGAGACCCATGGAGCTCACTAAATCCAACTCTACAGCTTGGAGCTAAGCCTAACTTAGCCAAGTCTAAACCAGTTTGACCTCAGCCAATTCACAGATGTTTGAGCCAGAAGTAAGGTGCTTGTTGCTGGAAGCCAGTTAAATTTTGAGATCTTTTTGAAAAATATATTGTCATTGCAGACATAGATGCACATAGTTTTCCACACTGTGGGAAGTCAAATTAAGCATGCTTAGACTTTTAAAGCAGAAGCCCATTATTAGTGGGGTGGCAAAAATGTTACAAGTGACATAGTCCTCCAATTTCCTTCTTCTAGCCCTCTGCCTAAGAACTAGTGTACTTCATTTTGAAGTGGAGCCCTAACGGGAGTGTTCATCTTCTGTCAACAGGGTTAAGCCTCTTGACGCTTACTGGGCACTCACAGTTGTTAGTTCCCTGGAAGACATGAAAGAGCTTGATTGGTTCTGTAGTCGTCAGTCAATAACCAACTGTAACATACCTACACTTCCAACAAAATCTTGATTTGGGAAATTGAGTGTCTGCTTATAGTTAATCCTCTATTTTTTGACACCTAGTAGGAAAAACATTTTCAAAAGAGCCATGACCTGACTCAGTTAATATGCAAGGAAAAATAAGCAGTTCCAAACTTGTCAGTTTATCCATCATCCCTTATCCAAAATCCTTCAACTCTCTTGGAATTATTTTGTTCTTCATACTTGCCCAACAAATATCTTACTCTTGTCTTGGACTTTATTTTATAGTTATCTCACATAAGCTCCTTGTGGCTAAGGGCACATATTTGGAATCAGACTACCCTAGTTCAACTCTTGGGTCTACCATTTATTAGCTTGTATTACTTTGGGAAAGATAATTAAATTCTCCAGATCTAATTTCCCCCATTATAAGATAATAATAGTTATTACCTGCTAGGATTGTCTTGAGAAGTAAATTAGATAATTCATAAGAACCATTTAACACAGTGCCAGCCACATAATGAAGGCATAGTAAGGGAAAGTTATTATGCTGTTGATAATACTTGTCTAGGCAGGGGTCTCATATTTTTCCCTGTATCCATTACTGTACAATTCATCTGTCCCATGACATTCTAAGATTGTTTTAGAGTGAGTTGCTTCAGAGTTGAATAATTCTAATAATATATTCTCATGTTTGGAAACAACTTGGAATTCCATTTAGTGTAGACATCAACAATGAAATCGCTAGAGGATGAGTAATTTCTACAATTTTTATTCATTATAGAGAGACCAATGGGTATAATGGTGAAAAGAACTGAGTAGAAGGTCAGGAGGTCAAAGAGACTGAGTTTAAACCCTCACTCTGCTGAGTACTGTTAATAATGGTATGATCTTAAGAGAACTAATCTTTAGTTTTTCCCACCTTAAAAACAGAGTTGTCATGAGTATTTAATAATAGAGGGTAGTATGTAAACTTCCTGGCATATAGCAACTGCTCAACAAATAGAAGTTATAGTTTTTTCTTAACTTGCCAAAGAGCCAAGGGAAAAATGAAGATTTTGTAGCCAAAGCCATTTATCTTTCTCTGTTATGTGCCTATCTGTTCCAGAAACAGAATCAATTCCTTGAACCTCATCAAAGGAAGGATTTGAACATTTAAAAAAAAATCAATCTCTTTGGGTTTGTTATTGCTTGTTTCCCATACCTCAGAGACACAAATACAAACCTTTATAATGTCATCAGGAAGAAGAGGAGTCAAACACTCCTTAACTCAATAATTGCAATGTTATTATTTTGCAAGGAATAGAGTCAAAATTCCATTCACATGAGGACTGTAACTTCTTCATTACTCCTTGAGGCACGATGTCCTTGATTTTAAGTAGCTCATGTAGAAACTAGTTGTAAGTCTTTAGCGGAGAGACTGTACTGGAATTATAGGATCTACTTAGGGGTTTGAGCTTCCCCACCCACTTAGAGTGACAGTTCACACCTATAAAAACACAAAAGTCCGGGGGTTTATTAAACATTAGGAGATCCAAAGAGCCAAGACTTCTACCTGTAAAAGTGGTGCTTCCTAAGCAGAAGAAATGGAATTTCTCAGAGAATACAGCTTGGCTTGACCAATGGACTGTACAAGGAAGATTAGGAGGTAATTACTGGGGTAAAAGAGAAATGGTTGCATCTTTCTGGAACACTCTAATAAAACTGAAAGTTTTTCCTGATTTCTTCTTTTATTTGATACAAGGGTCAAATTTGATACATAAAGTCATAATGTCCCACATGTACTTCTCAGGAACATCTGTTTAGTCCTACTACAAAACTTGGGGAACATGGTTTCCTAATGTGGTACCAGTCGTCTCTTCATGGATGACTTCAGGAAGAAATTCTGACTGGCAGACTCCACAAGTATAAGACAATAAGAGGCCAATTTCTTTATTCTTCTCCTCTTCTCCGCTTGTCCCCCCACCTCATTAGCTTTGGGAGAATAACACAGTGTGGAACAGAAAAATAAGGAGCCTTGTTGTACTTCATTGGCCTCAAGAGGTCTCATCTATTAAATAGATCCATTATGTTACTCTCAGAGAAAATTATAGTCAAAAATATTTCAAGTTTTAGGGCAGTACTGAATATATAAGGGCTCTGTTACTTAATCTCTGTGCTCTTATCTTGGGGCGGCAAAGCTCAGTAGGGCTATCTTGAAAGTAGCCTGAAATCAATTGGTCAGATGAAATCAATTGGTCAGGAGGAGCCCATCAGGAGGATCAAGGACATGGGTGACACAGTGAGTGTAATTATTAGTCAGGATAGGTTAGGTTAGGCATTAGTGGCAAATTATCTCCAAATCTCAGTGGCTTGGTACAATAAAGGCTTATTGCTTATTCATGCAGCATGTCTACTGCAGGTCCACAAGGGCTCTGTTCCACTCACAGATCCAGATTGTAACATTCTTTGCCATCTCATAGCTACATGATCTAAACATCAGCAGAAGGAAAGTGTCTTGGGTCAGGCTACCTGGAAAACAGATCAAGATAAAGATTTCTGTGCAAAAAGGTTATTGGGGAGGGAACTCTAATTGATATCTGCCAGGGATAGTGCAAGAATGGTTGAGCAGACAATTGTTGAACTACTTACTATGTATGTAGTAACAACAAAGGTCTTGACCAACCCAAAAGGGAGTCCTGGAGCTCAAATGGTTCTTCACAGTTCTCTCACCTTAAGGCAAGGGACCTGGGCCTTTATTATCCCTTATCAACCAGTCATTTGATTAGCTTGACCCCAGAGAGAGGTTATGACCTTGAGTAAAGTGGCTCTCCTCTACTGAGGATAATTCCAGGAGAGCAACTCAGCTGAGAGCTGTCAGCAATGGGAGGAATCAGAGTCTCAGTCCTGAAGAGCAGATCTGGGCAGCATATCATAGCATCCACCACAAGGGGGAAAGTGCGTGCACTTTTCATTGCCTCCACCTGGGAGTGACATATGCCATTTTTTGCTGTCATTTCAATGACCAAAAGGAGTCACATGATTCTAATTGGAAGGAACCTGGGAAGTGTGGGGAAAGTAAATGGAATATTTGGGAAGGATCATTATTTCTGCCACAATGGAGAAGAGATGTCCCTCCGGAGCTACTCGTTTCTACATCCAGTGGTGTGATGTCTTTTAGTCACGGTCATAATACAGGTTCTGTTTTGCACTTGGCATCCAATGACTTTGTAATCACTTGTCTGGTTTCTGCCTGCTTTTCCTGAAAACTGCTTAGCCTCCTTTCCTTCCAGCTGCAAGATCAGACCCTTCTCCTGAGCTCTTGTCCTTGTCTTGTCTAGGCATCAAGTCAAACTTCCTAGTGCTTTTTTTTCTCTTCTGGTGCTCCAGTTCAAACAAAACAAAAATCAAAAACAAAACAGGCTCGTTCTCTAGTCCTGACTGAACACTTCTTACATTATCGTTTCTCCCAAACTAAGGCTTTCTCTGTCAGTCCTCTCTGTTGATTCAGAGTCCTGAACTCTACATTATTCTAGTAGGTCCTATCACATGACATTCACTTCTTTTCAAATTGTCTACTCTTATCTTCACATCATCATGATCAATATCCTTACCTGGACATCTGCCAACTGCCTTTTGTTGGATCTTCTAGACTGTTCTCTCTAACCACCCACCTGGTTGAATTTTTGGTACCTGAAAACCCTGAAGCACTGGAACTCAGCCAAGACCACTACACTGAGATAAAAAGAAATAAATACCTTCTCAACCTTAAAATTCTTTGAAAGTGCATTTTCTGTGATCAGCTATTTTTTTTTCTCTTTTAATCATTTGGTTCTTTCTTGCTGTCTCTGTATATACACATTACTTTTCATCATTAGGGAGTCATTACATACTTCATCTAGACAGTGCCTTGTGCTTTAAAGACCTAGACCAATTATAATTAAAGCAGGGTATGGATCACTGCATACATGGTATTAGTCCTTGGACACTCAGTAGCTATTCACCTACTTTAATAATTGACTGAGACTATTGATTCTTTAAATATAACTATATGTTTCTATCTTAGTGGAACCAATTACAGTTAATAAGTCTATTGAAGAATAGCTGACCTCTCAAAACTTGACTTATTCTATCTCAGGGACTCAGGAGATAACTAATGACAACTAAATGACTTCTGACCCATGTCTGACTGAGGCTGGGCTACTACTTGAGTCCAGCTCCAACATTCTCTATTTGCAGTGAAATGGTACCTAGAGGAAGAGAGAGAGCAGGAGAAGAGCAGAAAATGGTGACAGAACAACCCATTGTTGTGAATCGGCAATTATTGCCTATTTGATCCAGACTTCACAAACAGATAGCTGGCCACAAACACATATTTTTGTTATTAGGTGACAATTTTTGAAATTGGAAGACTTTACTTAAAAACTTGTATTCCAAGTGTGAATTGAAAAGGCAGACCTGACAATGCCAAGTCCTCCTTCCTTGTGGCAGTAATTAATGGGGGCCAAATAGGGGAGGGTCTCCTTCAAAAGGACAAGAGAATGCTCATTCTCCAGGTCACCAGAGCCCCACTATATCCCTTTATTAGGGACTGAATTGCAGTCCTCCAAAATTCATATGTTGAAGTCCTAGCCTCAACATGACTGTATTTGGAAATAGAGATTTTAAAGAGGCAATTAAGGTTACATGAGGCCATTAGGGTAGAGCCCTAATCCAATCTGACTAATGTCCTCACAAAAAGAGGAAGAGATGCCAAGGATGCTTGCACACAGAGAAAAGTCATGTGAGAACACAGTGAGAAGACGGCCATCTGCAAGCCAAGGAGAGTGGCTACAGGAAAAACCAAATCTGCCCACGCTTTGATCTTGGTCTTGCAACCTCCAGAGCTGTAATATTTCTGTTATTTAAGCGCCCCAGTCTGTGGTGTTTTGTTATGGCAGCCTTGGTAGACTAATACATTCACTGTGCCCTCAACATCTATCACCATGCCTGCACTTTAGGGTTTTTCTCCCACACCCTGATCTTTTCACTCATTACCTGCCTGAGTACAGTTTGTCACCCATGATATCAATTTCACCAATAATAAGATGCAGATGACTCTGCAGTTTACAAAAAATGACTTTGGAGGAAGATATTAAAGTAAATAAAATGAAACAAGATTAAATATTTAGGTGAAAACAGTTTCTACTAAGATAGATATTTTTGTCACAAAACAGACCATCACAAAATTTTAACAGTAAATTAGTCCAACCACTGTGGGGAGCAGTTTGGAGATTTCTCAAAGAACTAAGTATTGAACTACCATTTGACCCAGCAATCCCACTACTAAGTATAAACCCAAAGGAAAAGAAATTGTCCTAGCAAAAGGATGCATGTACCCGTGTGTTCATTGCAGCACTATTCACAACAGCAAAAACATGGAATCAACCCAGGTGCCCAACAATGGTGGACTGGATGAAGAAAATCTGATACATATATACCATAGAATACTATGCAGCCATAAAAAAGAATGAAATCATGTTCTTTGCAGCAACATGGATGCAGCTGGAGGCCATTATCTTAAGCAAATTAATCCAGAAACAGAAAAACAAATCCCACATGTTCTCATCTACAATTGGGAGCTAAACGCTGGGTACACATGGACATAAAGATGGGAACAATAGGCACTGGGGCCTCCTAGAGGAGGGAGAGAGGGAGGGGCAAGGGCTTCTCACTATGCTCACTACGTGGGTAAGAGAGTCAATCGTTCCTCAAACCACAGCATCACACAGTATACCTTTGTAACAAACCTGTGTTTGTTACACAGGGGATACGTGTGTATCCCCGAATCTAAAATAAAAATTGAAAAAGAAAAAATAATTAAAAAAATAAAAGGTATGCGCCAAATGTTAACAGTAGTTATTTCAAGAAAGTGGAAATATGAATTGTTCTTATATTCAGTTTTGCTTCTGTATGCTCTACTTTTTCTATAATGACCATGGATTATTTGTAAAACAAGAGTAAAAATGAATCTTAAAAAAAAGATTTTTAAAAAATTGTACCAGATATCAGGTTAAGAAAGATAGGGTGGTTAAGATCACTGATTGAGAAGCAAAAAGAAAAGAAAATTCTGAGTTCGCTCCTTGTCTGTACTCCATTTCCTTACTTTAAAATGAAGATAGTGATGTAAGGATGCATCCAATGTACACCAAGTGCAGAGTAGAGGGCCTGGAACAAACACGACCAAAGTAATTAGAGATATTTGTTCTGTTAGGATTCTGGATGCTTTTAGCTACACATAACAGAAATTTCAATTCAAGTTAGTCTAAACAAAAAAGAATTGACTCAGTTTAACAACGGGGAATTCAAAATTATGGTGCGTTTTGCAGTTGACTTACTCTCGTAGCCCCAGTTGTCTGTTTCTCTATAGCTGTTTTAGATCTGTTCCTTACTATGGACCCACTCCATCCTCAGGCAGGTAGCTAAATAGCTGTGGCAGTGCTGGGCTTCATAGTCTGGAAACATATATATTTTCCTATATCTTCATCTTTTTCCAGAAGTACCCATCAACTTATCTTTATACCCCATTGGGTCAAATGCCCATGCTATTTCCTTGTTCTTAGGGGAAATATCATGATCTGATTGGCTTAGCCCTGGGTTCCTGAACCCATCATTAGCAAGGAGAATAGTACAATGAAGCTTAAAATAATCAAACGTCACTGCTAGAGTTCTGAAGGGTTAGTTTACCCTGAGACACAGGGGCTACTTGGTGGAGGTGCTAGATATGTGAACAAAATAAAGATCCTTTTATGGTGGAAGAGAAAAGCCACGTAGGCAACCAACAATGACTACTATGTGAATATTTTCATTAGTAAAAGGAAGAGAATTCAGGCTGGGTGTGGTGGCTCACTCCTGTAATCCCAGCACTTTAGGGGGCCGAGACAGGCAGATCACCTGAGGTCGGGAGCTCAAGACCAGCCTGGCCAACAAGGCGAAACTGTCTCTACTAAAAATACAAAAATTAGCCAGGCATGGTGGCCCGCACCTGCAATCCCAGGTACTGGGGAGGCTGAAGCAGGAGAATCACTTGAACCGGGGAGGCGAAAGTTGCAGTAAGCCGAGATCATGCCACTGCACTCCAGCCTGGACGACAGAGCAAGACTCTGTCTCAAAAAAAAAAGACAAAAAAGAGAAAAGAAAAAAGAGAATTCAGGCCAGGCACATTGGCTCACACCTTTAATCCCAACACTTTGGGAGGCTAAGGCAGGTGGGTCACTTGAGCCCAGGAATTCAAGACCAGCCTGGGCAACATGGTGAAACCCCACCTCTACAAAAAATAAGAAAATTAGCTAGGTGTGGCGGCATGCACCTATAATCCCAGCCACTCGGGAGATTGAGGTGGGAGGACCACCTGCGCCCAAGGTAGTGGTGGCTGCACTAAGCTGTGTTCATACCACTGCATTCCAGCCTGGACAACACAGTGGAATAAAAGAAAAAAGACAGAATTCATAACTTTTGGAATTGTCTTACTTAAACCTTTTGATGTGCTAAGTGACATAATATAAATATATCAGCTAATTTAATCTTCACCACAGTCCTATGAGATGAACTTTATGATGCCCACTTTGCAGATGAGGAACTGAGTGTAAGAGAGGAATGTCATGGTTTTAAAATCTAGAAAGTAGCTACATGCATGGACTCAGCAACATGGGGGAAAAAAAGAAAAAAAAAATCTAGAAAGTAGCCAAAAGTTAGAATCACATCTCTGTGACTTCATTCCTTTTATGTAAAATGAGAACAGCAATAGCACCTATCTCATAGGGTTTTGTGAAAACTAAATGAGTTGATACATGTGGCCTGCTTGGAAGAGTGTCTGGCACTTAGGAAGCAAGCAGTAGGACTAGAATTTTCATTACTTCATTTCATGGAATCTAACTATCCATCAATGGGAAGAAATTCCATTACTGTGGGACCTCTAAGAAAGAAAGAAAAATATCCTGCTAATTAAACTATAACCTAAGACTGCCTTATCACTTAGAATTTTTATATTATATTTATTGGAAGAATGGTTTTGGCTTAATTAATCATAGATTTTTATCATAAATTACTTTTGTGCATACATGAAAAGGAAAATGTAAGAGAAATAAACTGGTTAAGGTATTCCTGACATTTCTCTAAAATTCAGACTTAAATCTTCATCACTTTTTCACTGAGTCCTTAATATCCAACTTCTCCTACACAATATCAATCCGTGCCACGAAAAGTGCTAATGATGAAGTTGATAATAAAGTATTTTCTAAAATCCATATCAAAAACCAAGTTTACTTTAGGTCTTCTTAACATAGTTTTGCAATCATGTACAGCTAGTCTTCT
The DNA here is from genome assembly GCF_000001405.40 of Homo sapiens. Lineage (NCBI taxonomy): Eukaryota > Metazoa > Chordata > Mammalia > Primates > Hominidae > Homo > Homo sapiens. The sequence continues at coordinate 117,077,826 of NC_000008.11, read as the reverse complement.
TTGACTCGCTCTAGAAAGATTGCCAATAATCTGAACAATTGGTTTCTAGTGGTTAAAAAGAGTGATCCACTTCTGTCTCCAGGATTTTTTTCCAAGCTGTTGACATGCATTCAACAAATTTTGATGCTGACATCTTGAATGCATGTACAGGTCATGCCAACCACTTCACAACTGCTGCCTCCCTGAGAGATAATATAAAATGCCATCAATTAAAAGGTACATCCCAGTTTCAGAGATTTTAAGATAGGAGAGATATACATCTTACAGATGATGAAATAAAGTAGTCATATTCTTCATATTGGTTTTTCTCTTATTCTTATAGGTTTGCGTCCAAAGATCATAGGCCTTAGATTAAAACCAAAATCCAATGCCAATAGCACAGACATCAAAAAAGTTCAATTGAAAAAGTACCTTGTTTTATTGATTAGAGAAAATAAGCACAGAGATGCCTATACAAGCAACCATAAGATATTTTTTTCTTCTTTTTAGAATGATGAAAAGAATCAGAAGCTTGAAGTGCAAAAATATTGAAATTTCCATCTAAGGCTTTCCCTTTGTCACTATGAGCTAGAGCCCTGACATTGGTATTTTTAACAAGCTCCTCCGGGGATTCTGAGGCATCACCTTTATTGGGTGAATAGACTGCCAGTGGCCCATACTCACCTAGGTCACATAGGAGAGCTCAGACAGGAGTAACCTGGGAGGATATCCCAGTTTGCATGAGTGTAAACAGGTGGTCTATCAAGAGCTACATTTGCTAATAACTTTGCAGAACTGAAAAACATTCCAGTAGGTCTTCAAAAGTTTTATAATTACCTATGTCAGCCAAGAAAATTTAGAGAAATAGAACATACCCTACCAAGAGTCATCACAAGAGATCTTGTCTTCTTTTAATGCTGAAATATCCCTTCGGAAGACATTTTGCAAACATCAAGATCACCTTTGTTAATTGCTGCTACACTTTATTAGTTTAGTTCATCAGTCAATCAGTCAACAAACATCATTAATTCCTCCTCTTTGCCAGGCACTTTAATAGGTGCCGCCAAAAAAAAAAAATGACTATTTGACCCCTCTCCTCGAAGAAATCAGAGTCCAGTGGAGATAGATAAATAAGGTAATGATTAAAAAAGAGTGTGACATGTAGTTTAGTTGAAAGAAGAAAGAGTAACTGAATCCCAACCTAAAAACTGGAATAGGTGTGTCTTGGAGAAAGGAATACTTCCTGTGTTTAATTAATAATAGCCTGGTTCTTCCTGGAAGTTCCCACTCCACTTTTTTTTTCTCCCTCTTTCTTTAGATAATCAGAGTACAAGACAAGGGGGTAGGATGACTGTGGCAGAGAGCTCTGTAATTTTCTTCATTCATCTTGATGAGTAACTATTTCTCAAAATTCGCTGCAGTTTAAATTTCTAAAGCCAAGAAAAGGCAGAAGGAATGAATTTCATATCTGATTACCTTTGGTTGTCTTGCCTTCCCAAAGGGAAAAACTCTAGCTCTTCAATTTCAGTAAATACAGAAAAATAGACTTCTCCTCTTTAGACATTTATTTAACCAAAAATATTTGGAAGATGGTGTTACCTGGATGTTTTCATAGGAAATGCTTGGAATACATTTTATTGGCATATCTGGCATGATATAATAAAACTGAACAGCAGCTAGAAAGCTAAGGAACTCTAGCTGAAGGGGGTACAGAAAATTGTACTATTTAGTAACTTTTTAAAGTCTGAAATTATTTCAGAATTAAAATTGGTTTAAATACCAAAGAAAGAGAGAAAAGAAGAGAGAGGAAGAAGGAAGCAGGATTTCACCAGGGTGGGAAGGGCAAGAGAAAGTAATGAGAGAGGAAATTCTAGGTAAAGGTACACGGAGACACAAACCCATATTGTGTATCTGAATAACTACAAGTAGTCCGAAAGGCTGGAAGATGAGATATCTGAGACAGAGGGTACAGGGAAGAGACTAGACAAATGTGGCACAAGAGAGGCCAGATCATAGAGGAACTTCTACACCCTATCAAGGTTTTTTGCCTGCATGTTATAGGTTTCAAACTCCACTGAAGGGTTTGGAACATGAAAGTGACTTGATTACATTTGCATTCTACAAAGGTCATAGCTGTCAATATGAAGAACGGATTAGAGAAAGGTGAAGCTAAAGATGAGAAAACCAATAAAAAGACGATTTAAACAGTCCAAAAGACAATGTAGAAAGAAAAAATTGTAAACTCACCCAAACTTTCATATGAACTTGATTAAAATTGCATTTGAAGCCACAAAGCACATATCACAATGACATTTTATGAGAACTCTCAAGAGGAAAGGAAGTTGTTGGTATAAGAGTCCTTGAGACTGCAAAGCACTGGGCTAGAAATCCATGCTCTGTTATAAAAATATGGAAGAAGCTAAGAAATATTTACAAGCTCATTTTCATAAAAGAATGATAAAGAAAGAATCAGTCAAGTATATTGAAAAGTTAAACCTATAGTACTTCATATATTATTGTTTTAAACTTGAGATTCTGCCCAGTTAGCTAAAAGAGGGAGAAGGATTTCCAGTAATATTTTGCTTCCTAACCAGAAAGACATAGTTTTCTCCTATGAAATATAATTCTTAATTTCAAGGTTACTGCAAGCTTGTTTACTATGTTTGTGATCGTATGTCTTTGCTCACTATTTTTTTGTTATAGGAAGTTGTGTTTGCTAGATTATATTAGTTATAGAAATCAAGTTTATTCACTAAAATTGGATACTAACTTCTTTCTGTAACTTTTCCACTACATAAAGGCATGAATTAACTTGCTGGTTAGACAGTATTGACTGTTGCTGTTGGTTTTCTCCCTATAGACCTATTTAAGAAAAAAAAACTAATGCATAATTCCAAGACGTTCATTGTAAATCATGTACCGTTTGTTTCTCCCACAATGACAAGGGTCCTAACCTAGAACATAGGTGATAATGGAGAGAAAAAAACAGAATCAAGCAATTTTATAGAGGCAGATAAACGGATCTTACTATTTTAATGAGATATGAAGGATGGAAAAGAGTAAAGGGTATTACTAGATTTCTGTTTTAAGTGACAAGAAATACAGTGGTGTCATTAACCATGGTACAGTAGAAAGAGCAGGTTCAAAAGATGACGAGTATCACTTAAGACATACTGAACTGATGTGCCTTTAATTACATTTAAGGAGATATCGAGCAGATCACTGAAAATATGGATCTGAGGTCAAGGGGGAGACTGGGGTTGGTGATAAAGATTTAAATATTATCAATGTGTTAGTGACAGTGATGGCTATAACATCAATGCCCCCTGAAATAACGATTCTATACATCTGTATAGCATGTAGCAATTTTCAAAGCACACTTGCCTTATAATACTATCCCCTCTAAGGTAAGCAAGTCATATGTAGTTATTCCCATTTTATAGAAGAAAACACTAGGAACTAGACAACATAAAACTTGCCCAAATTCATGAGTCTATGCTAGAGTTTGGATTCTTAGATTTCTTTTGTTCCATGTTGACTCAAAATGAAACCATTGTATGCAAAGTCCACAGGAAGGGCCATGAGGCTTATAATACTGCGCCCTTCAAATTGAGTAAATCTAATCACTTAGAAACAAATATCAGATTCTCCAGTGCACTAAAATCATAACAAACACACACAAACGTGCATGCGTTTCATTCTTAAAGACCTTTAGGTAGTTATTACCTTCTTCTCACAGTTGGCATCTGTCTCCTTCTGGTACATTTTGAAGTCTTCCACCTTCTGTCACTGGGAAAGAAGAACCACCCCCACCCACCCGCCCCAATTAACCAAGTACGATGCTGCCTTCTACTTACTCTCCTGTGGCAAGAAAGATTAACTTTCCCAATGCCATCTACCTTAATTCATAAACAAGCAGAAAGAACAGAATGAGTAGACTGTCAGGTCCCACGTATCAACCCTATGAATTATTTGTGGAGGGCTGACGGGGAACTTAGGCAGGCACTAGATCACAGAAGAGCCATGTCATCCACTGTGCCATTGGGTTTTATGATCCATGTGACTCAGACCACAGTATTCTCTAGGCTAAAATAATATCTCTTTTGAGAAACTGGTTTAAACTTATAAGTAAGAGGATATTTATTTTCCAAAGGGAAAGAGTTTTGAATAGTTGAGGTGAAAATGGTACTGAATGAGACAGACCAGATTGCAGAGGAAATTTTTTAAAGAATAGTGGCCTATTTTAAGTCAAAAAGCAAGAACTATTTGTAGAGTAGAAAGAAGTATCGGCCAGGCACAATGGCTCATGCCTGTAATCCCAGCACTTTGGGAGGCCAAGTGGGGCAGATCACTTCAGATCAGGAGTTCAAGACTAGCCTGGCCAACATGGTGAAACCCCATCTCCACTAAAAATAAATCTAATCAAGTTAGCTGGGCATGATGGCACATGCCTGTAATCCCAACTACTCAGGAGGCTGAGGCATGAGAATTCCTTGAACCCAGGAGGAAGTTGCAGTGAGCCGAGATCACACCACTGCACTCCAGCCTGGGTGACAGAGTGAGACTCAGTCTCAAAAAAAAAAAAAAAAGTGAAAGAAATATTATAGTAACTAGAGAAGGAAACATAAGCAATGTTACTAACAAAAAGCTCTAGTCTTAGAAGTAGTGTGCACTCAAGCATGTAGAATTGCATCTACTTTACAAAGTGGAAAATGAACATTTTTCAACTAGAATCACAATGGTGGCTATGGAAATGCAGCAAAATGATCCAAAAATCAAAAGATATAAAGCAACCTCAGCAACTGAAATAAAGTTCCAGACACAACACTACTCTCACATCACACATAAATGTCAGACACAGTATATTTTATACCAAAGACCACATTAAATTTAATGGAAATTTTACATGTGCAAGGACTCTAGAGTTTGGATACATGAAATAAAGATTTGAATTGCTAATCCTAAAAACTGGACAAAAAATCCCCTGTATTTGAAAAAAAAAAAAAAAAAGTAGTAGGATTTGGGGGTTTGAGCAGTTTTTTTCTTTGGTAGGGGGTGAAATTGCTATTGGCTTATGAAGATGTTCTCAGTTGGGCTTCATTTTTTATGTCCCTTTAATGTAGAGACTGACAAAACAGCTCACATAGATGGGTCTATAAAACATCTGGGAATGAATGAGGAAAATAAAATCAAAGGTAGGTGATGACAATAAAATAAAATACTGTGGAGAAAAAAGTAGGATATTGTGAAGGAAAGTCAGAAAAAGGACTTAAAGTAAGAAAGAAATATAAAGAACTGGAAAATCTTATTGTGGTTGTATGATGAATGTTATCCTTGATTAGATGTATACTAGGTATTAAGGATGAAACATTACCTCTTAGAAAATGCAAAAAGAAATAAACACAGGCATATTCTAATTTTTGGTGTCATTAGGGATAGGCTTTTAAAAATGTATTCACTATATCTGCATATTCCTAATAAAGGGTCAAATAAAGAGACAACTAACATATATCTTTTATGGATATATACTTGAATTCACTCTAGATGGTCAAATAAAGAGGCTGCTTTCAGAAAAGTGGGATGGGCGAGGGATTAAGCAGTGGATAGTGAGGCACAGAATGAATAACAAAAGTGGAAAGCTGTCACCAACCCTTAGCCAAAGTCAAAGGAAGAACATACAGCTACTTAGCAGGAACTGTAATCATGGTAACCCATAGATTTGGTGCCAAAGCAGTAAGAAATCAATCACCAGACCATTTTCTTCTCCAGCCCAGCCCTCCAATCGTATGTTAATGCCTCCGATAAACCAAAACCAATTGGAAGGAAGCTCCTGATGAGGAAGCTTGCAAAATACAGTCTGTAAGAGTTAGGCTCTTAGAACGCAGAACAAAACAAGGCAGAGAAGGGTGGGAGATAGGCTAATGGGAGATGAACAGAATAAAACAAGGCAGAGAAGGGTGGGAGATAGGCTAATGGGAGATGAACAAACAGAGAAAAACTAGCATGTTTATTAAAATGGTAAATCTAGTATACAGTTAATTTTGGATATTAAACTTTCATTTAACATGATATCAATGAGTATTTGAGGAATAAATAAAATTAGATCCTTATCTTACACCACATACAAAAATCAACTCAAAACCAATTACAGGCATAAATATAAGATGTGAAACTGTAAAACTACAAGAAGAAAACATGGTAGAAAAGCTCCATGGCATGGGTTGAGGCAATGATTTTTAGACATGACCCAAAAGCACAGGCAACAAAAGAAAAAATAGACAAACAAAATGGCATCAAACTAAAAATCTTCTGCACTGCAAAGAAAACAATTAACACAGTGAAGAGATAATCCACAAAATGAGAGAATATATTTGCAACCCATACTTCTGATAAGGGGTCAATATCCAAAATATAATATTAAAAAGTCAATTAACTTAATAGCAAGAAAACAACCAAATTAAAACATGGGCAAAGGATCTCAACAGAAATACTTCAAAAGAAGATATAAAAATGGCCAATAGGCACATGAAAAAAAAGCTCAGCATCACTCATCATTAGGAGACTGCAAATTAAAAGTACAATAAGATACCACCTCAGACCTGTTAGAATGGCTCTCAACAACAACAAAAAAATGGACAATAAGTGTTGAAGAGGATATGGAGAAAAGGGAACTCTTGTATGTTGTTGGTGGGACTATAAATTAGTATAGCCATTATGGACAACAGTATGGAGGCTCCTCAAATAATTAAAAATAGAACTATCCTATGACCCAGTAACTCCATTTTAGAATATATAGCCAAAGGAACTGACATCAATATGTGGAAGGAGTATCTGCACTCCCATGTTCATTGCAGCATTATTCACAGTAGCCAAGACATGAAAACAACCTAAGTGTCCATCAACACCTGAAATGATAAAGAAAAAGTGATATATATACACAATGGAATAGTATTCAGCCTTAAAAAAGGAAGGCATCATGCTAAGTAAATAAGACAGCCACAAAAAGACAAATACTGCATGATCTCACTTATATGTGGAATCTAACAAAGTTGAACTCATAGAAGTAGAAAGTAGAATGATGGTTACATGAGGCTGGGGAAGTGTGAGAGAGGGAATGGAAAGTTGCTGATCAAAGAGTACAAAGTTTTAGATAGACAGGGGAATAGGTTTTGAGATATATTGCACAACAGGATGACTAAAGTCAATAATAACATATTACATAATATATTTCAAAATAGCTAAGAGGATAAATTTCAAATGTCTAACCAAACAAATGATAGGTAAGCAAGGTGATGGATATGTCTTGCTTTAACCAATAAATAGAATGTGACAGAAGTGATGTCATGGGAATTTCAGAGTCTGGGTTTCTGGAGATGTTGCAGCTTCTGCTTTTGTGCTATTGAAATGCTGCCCTGACCAGCCAAGTAAGGAAGCTTGTCTAGCCTGCTGGAGCGTCTGAGGTACTTTAGGAGAACCAGTGTCTTTGTGGGTGGTCAGCACCAACGGCCAAGCATGGAAATGAGCCATATCAGACCTTCCAGCCCAGTCCACCCTCCCGCTGAATGCAGCCCCATGTGCAAGCTCAGGCAAAACCAGCAGTGGAATCTCACAGCCAACCCACAGAATCATGAGAGAAAAAAAAATCTGTCATTATTTGATTCATTAGATTTTGGTGCTGTTTTGTTTCTCAGCAATCATTAACAGATATGGACTCCATAAGAGGCACTGGACATGTCTCTGAATCACTGATTGATTTCAGTTTCATCCTACAATAGAAATGTAGGAAACTATAGATCATCAAAATTCCTTCCAGGAAAATGAAGTCATTTGAGTTTGAATGTGAAAGAGTCACATATAAATTGATAAAAATCAAGCTGTGTGTGTTTATGAGAGGAAAAGGTAATTAATAAAGTCAAATTATATGTGCAAACCACACCAAAACTAATGATCAAACCTACTTCCAGCGTGTGTGTGGCCTTGTTTGGGCCATCTTCCCATAGGCAGACTGCACTGCCAGTGTGCCCGCCCACCCCTGGGTAAACAAGGTGCCGCAATGCACAGGACACTGCTACTGTGGGGAGACAATGCAAGGACTTGTGGGTTTTACCAACACCATCATATTCTAGAACAGAAGTCTGAAAATTCAAGAACGCTAAATTCAAACCCAGCCTTCATGATAGAGGTAGATTTGCCAAGAGATGAAGATAATAAAATGTATTTAAGTTTGTTAACTTGATTCAAAACTTCAAAATACTTAGACATGTATTATCCAGACCTCCATTGTACTCTTCTCTGGAACCCCACAAATGTTGGAAGTAGTCACTAACTCTCTAAATTGGGGGCCACTGACCCCTGAGGATCCATAGATATATTCTTTCCCATAATACAGTCACTTTCAATTATAATATAAAACTCATCATTTGAGTTTCAGCTGAACAAAATACTAAGTACTTGAAATATGCTAAGTGCTCTGTAAGGTGATCCTTGATAATTACTGAAATAACTCTTTGGTTGAAAACAAATATCCCCAATATTTTAAATTTTGGAACACCACGATATACTTTTCCAAAACCTGATGTAACTTTAAGCAGTTTTGTTTTCTTTTTTATCCTCTCATTTCTAATTCCTTTTTAATAAGCAACTGAAATGTAGATGGGATTATAGCTATTCTTTATCATTTTGTGTTTACTTTCTTGTTTTTTTAATAATGAGTTTGCATTGCTCTCTAATAAAATTGTAAAAGTAAAAAATTACTCAAAGAGTATACAAAACTATAAAAGTCATCTATGGCTAATTCCCTGAGCCAGGGAAGTAGCAAAATGGCAAATAAAGGCGAAATTCAAGATACATTTTGGAGGAATTTTGGGTGAATCTTGGAGATAGAGTGAGAGTTGACAGTTAAAGGTGAGAGAGAGGTGGAACCAATAGCAAGGACCAGGCTGTTGGCTTCAGCAGTTGGTAAAAAAGTGGTTGCCACATGTAGTGGCTCGCGCCTGTAATCCCAGCACTTTCAGAGGCCAAGTTGAGCGGATCACTTGAGGTCAGGAGTTCGAGACCAGCCTGGCCAGCATAGTGAAACCCCGTCTCTACTAAAAATACAGAAATTAGCCGAGCATGATGGAGGGCACCTGTAATCCCAACTACCTGGGCAGCTGAGGCAGGAGAATCGCTTGAACTCAGGAGGCAGATGTTTCAGTGAGCCGAGATCACACCACTGCACTCCAGCCTGGGTGACAGAGTGAGACACTGTCTCAAAAACAAAACAAAACAAAAAAATAAAAATAAAGTGGTGATGCTCACTGAGATGGGCAACACATGTGGAGAGAAGCAGTTGAGAGGATGGTGATGATAATTACGTGCAAAAATGATGCATGTGGAGCAGATGAGATGGCAGAGCACACCGTGCCAGTGTGACTCTTCTGCCAATTAATTAAAGTCATAATCATCCTTGTTTTAGAAAATTTGCCCCATTTGTTCACTTTTAGCATGTCTATCTGAACCTAAAGCTGTTTCTTGCTTTTATTTTGCCTGACATTACATTTTACTAGTGAAGCACCCTTCTTCTACAGCAGGCAGGCTCAGAGGAGTTGGCTCCCAGAACCCCTGATGGAAACACTACAGGGAGTGAAAACTGGGTTCGAGTCTGGCTTGCTGCAGTGCCTCCTCTTAATGGGTAGGAATGTAATATTCATTAAAAAGAATTCAGACTTCAATCACTCTAATGATCATGAAACTTCTTTCATCAATGCATAATAGAACAAAAAGATTGATTTTCATTAGGCATGACTTTCAACATTTTTTACTTCTTATATAAAAAATGAATCTGTTCAAAGTCTTTCAAGGTCCAAGATATTTCTGATCTTCTTGGAAACTGTAGGTAAGTTTTTACACAGTTTGCTGCCCTGCACCACCATAGTCAATTTAGAATACTCCATTATCTGGTGAAATTTTGCAGCTTAAATTGCCGTCAATTTAGGAGCCCCCCATTTCCCAGTAAAATGTTATTTTTGAAAAGGACATTTAGTATGACTAGAACATTGTGCCTTTTTTTCTTATTGTAGGTTATAGAAGAAAGGAGGAACAGGAGATAGTTATTAATATTAGTACACTGAATTTATAGTCCCTAAAAGTTAAAAATGATTACTCCGTATTTCCTAAGTATCAACAAAAAACTGAACAGCTTCATCAGAATATGATCTCATTCACAGACATCTGCATTTGCAAGATGTTAAATAAATGTGAGTCCTCCAGATTCTGTAGCCACTTTAGATTGTATGGACTAACCTTGTGTTTTCAAGATGGATTCTCGTTAAACTTGAAAGTCAATCTGTTTACAAACTTTGAAGAGTTGAATTAGAAGGGCCCATAGAAGTCACAAAACCTGACTTGGTCGATTAGAGAATCACATTCTCCTGGCCACAGAGATTGAAACAAAATCACAGAATAATGGTGATATGGCAGTAAGAAATCTTTCAGAGATTAAAAAAAAAAACGAAAAAGAACAGCCCTCCAAGTGGCTCAAGCATGAAAAACACCTATTGATTTATATGACTAAAATCCAGTAGAGTCAATGTTATGGTTTGGCTCTGTGTCCCCACCCAAATCTCACCTTGAATTGCTGTTCTCATAATCCCTACGTGTGGTGAGAGGGACCTGGTGGGAGGTAATTGAATCATGGGGCTGGTTACCCTAATGCTGTTCTTGTGATAGTGAGCGTTCTCAAGAGATTCGATGGTTTTATAAGGGGTTTTTCCCCCTTTACTCAGATTTCTTGCTGCTGCCATGTGAAGAAGGACGTATTTGCTTCCCCTTCCACCATGATTGTAAGTTTCTTGAGACCTCCCCAGCCATGCTGAACTGTAAGTCAATTAAACCTCTTTCCTTTATAAACTACCCAGTCTCAGGCATGTCTTTAATAGCAGTGTGAGAACAGACTAATACAGGAGGCTTCCAGGCATAACAGGATGTAGAAGCTCAGAACATGTCATCAAGGCTGGGTTTCTCTTTATTTCTCAGTTTTGTCTTTCCAAATTATTAACTTCACTTTCAGGCTTCAGGAGATGATGCCTGGAAATCTAGGCCAACCTATCCTTTATTGCCAAAAGTCCCAGAGAAGGAAAAAAAAAAGTACACATCTTTTCCAGGAGTCCTAGCACTATGAGATGATTGGATCTCCCTAACACTGATTGAGTCATGTCACCAGTCTTCAACCAATCACAACATCCAGGAGATCATAATGTTCTGATTCACCCAATCTGTGTCACAGTCTCACCAAAGCCAGTAGGAGTAAACTCCACCTGAAACAGTTGAAGTGAGTGTGAGGTCAGGATGATTCCTCAGGAGAAAAAAAAATCACTTTTCTGTTACTAGAAGAGGTTGGGTGGTATAAACAACAGGTGTCTATAACAGCAGGCAAGCAGCACCTGGATCACCAGGGCCCTGACTCCAAGAAAGAAGCTGTTTCCACCACTTCTTTCTCTCTAATTTAAAATCTCTGAACAAGTTACTAGGAAGAAAGGACAGCAGATGTACAAGCAATAGGTAGAGTGAGAGCCTCCTTGGACTGAACACAAAACAACAGAGCTTGAGCCAGCTTGCTTGCTGCCCAGGACCAATAAAGCAACAGGACAGTGGAAAGAAGGCGCTTGCCTACTTGCATTCACTGCCCAGTCTTTGTTTGACTGGGGTCTCTTCTTTCACATTGTTGTTTTTCCCCATTGGAAGTTGACAGTTTGACATCCCATGGGTCAGCAAGTGATAGAAAGATGATGGTCTCCTTATCGCCAAGAAAAAACCTTCCTGTGTGTTCCACCAACACATGAGAGGCCAATTGAAGTGCTGAGGGAAGGAATAATACAGAATGGGGCCATGGGATCCATCTGTGGCAAATTTCCCAGTTTTCTCAGTTTTGCTAAGGGGCAGCCAGCCCAGGCTCCACCAGCCCTAGTCACATAATGGAAGGCACCAACTTCCACAGGACATCTTCTGAAAACTCTACATCTGATCCTGCATGTAGACTTAGACGCATCTACTCACTTACTTTTCAAGGCCTGTATTAACTATACAGACAAGACTGAGCTCTCTCTTTTTCCTCCTGGATTGAGAATTCCTGGAGAAGCAACCAATTGCCCCAGCTTGCATCATTTGTCCAGTTCAAGTTATCCTGTGACCAAGAGAGTGGGACACAAAAAACAAAATGGCTGCTCCCACAGAGACCGTGTAAAGTCACCATGAGCGGAGATAGTTCCAAAGAATTAGGGTTAGGGAAGAGCAGATGATACAACAGGTGACCAGGCCAGAGCAATTTGACTGCACTGGCTATATGCTCCTACTGCTGCTGCCTAGGGAAAATGCTGACTCTTAGGCCAGGGATTTACTAAGGTATGTAGGGACACCAGCAGGCTACAATTTCATATTCATTCATTTCTTTGATAAATAAGGGGAAAAAGTTTTCTATTAATATAAATAATATCCTTCCTTCTTTAGGTTCTAAATAAGGAATTTATTATGTAATTTTTAAACTCATTTCACCAATTTTTCTATCAGCAAAACAACTCACAAATGTTAGACACCCAATCTCACTAAGCATAGAGAAAAGTTATATACTCATATATTTATAAGGCTTTAAATTTTGTTTCCAGATTTAATGTTCAGGTCGTCTTTCTCACTTTTCCATAGTTTATGGTCTCCAGTTTTCTGTTGCAATCTTTCTGACCCAGATAACTTTCTGGGAGACACACTAAAGTATTTAAAATGCATATAATAAAATAAAATATAAAAGTAAAACATAAAACATGATTAACACAGTGAGGTCAAAGTTAAACACACATTTTAATGTGTAAAGACATTGAGTTTATTTCCCAGAATGAATCTGATCTTCCTCACAAGTCTTTACTTTATTGGATAGTAGAGGGAACGCTTCAATCGATTTTATCTATTAAACTTAGTCCAACTCAATAAATCGAACAGTGCCATTGCAATGATCCACTCCTGTTCAGATAAATTTCCCGCCCTCACATATTTCTCTCCCCTCCTCTTCCTCCTCTCCCAGATGGGGCTGGGTGAGGAGGGGCTGGGGAAGGAGGGCTTACATAGCCTCCTGGCGCAGAGAAAGTCTCATTTATTTTCCCACACATAGGTCCTTGTGTTCTCCTCTGGGTCCCCTGATCACTGAGATAATGCTCTTCGGCTGTCCGATGGTGAGTCATCCCCCTGCCATCAAATGATAAAATCTGTGACAGGTTCTCTTACTTTGATCAGTAACCTGTGATCACTCCTATTGAACTTGCCCCTCTTCAGCAATTGCTGGTGTTGTGTCTACTCTGAGATCTCGCTGTAATATCTTGTTGATCCCTAGGCAGAATTGTGTGCTCAATTATCATCAGCTATATGATCACTTCACATCCCTGAGACATCCTCCTGGTAAATTAACCAACAAGCACCATCAGCTACTTCCCACATGTCCCTGAAGAACATGTGAGAATGTCTTGATAGCTTTCACCCTTATAGAGATTGAGTCTTCTTGAATAAACACTCTACATCAAGGATTTTAGGTCAGACCCAGTGGCTCATGACTGTAATCCCAGCACTTTGGGAGGCCGAGGCAGGTGGGCAGATCACCTGAAGTCAGGAGTTTGAGACCAGCCTGGCCAACATGGTGAATCCTCATCTCTACTAAAAATACAAAAATTAGCCAGGCATGATGGCAGGCACCTGTAATCCCAGCTACTCAGGAGGCTGAGGCTGGAGAATCACTTGAACCTGGGAGGTTGCAGTGAGTGGAGATCACATCATTGCACTCCAACCTGGGCAACAAGAGCGAAATTCCCTCTAAAAAAAAAAAAGGATTTTTTTCTAAGGTAGCCACCACAGGTTGGTGTGAGAGTGAAAGGAGCCATCATGAAAGGTGGTCCTTTCTCGGATCTCTTAATAGAAAAGTAAGACAAAACAGCCGCTTCCTTTAGGGCTTCCCTCACTTCATCTAATACCTCTCTGGTATTAGACTTTCTACCTAGAAGAGAAAAATCACATGTCAAATGTGTCTCAACTCCTATTTTCCCTTACTCTCATTCTGTTCTCCTTTTGACAGTCAACTGAGAAGCAAAAGAGTTAAGATTTTTCTACTTCTTCCTTTTAAACCAGAACTTTCTCTATATTGTGTGCTTCTCCTTCTCAAGGTAGAATTTTCTGTCCCACTTTTTCTGATTCTATATTGACGGTTGCCAGGGAACAGGACATAGGAGGAAGTGGACTAAAAACCTAGGTTATAATATTTCCAATATATTTTCCAATTTGCATGTGTATGTTGCATCAAAGAATGGTCAGTGCTATCAAAGATGCCTTTTGCTTTGCATTTGAAATTGTTGTCTGCTTTGGGGAAAAAAAATGGCCTGATTTATATTTTGCTTGCTTTATTAGAAGTCACATGTGGAGTCCTGAATAAGAGAGGCACTTAGGACATTTCTGATTTATTCCTGTGGTGTTTTCACATCCCTAAATAAGTGGACACCAGAGGGGAGCCCTCTGGCTGACCCACGCAAAATCCTGCTCTGCCTGGACCATAATTTCCCCGATAAAAGAGAGATTTAGCAACTGCTAAAGAAAAAAACAAGAGAGACTTTCTTGCTAATATAATTAAATGAGCTGAGAAAAGGAAGTGTTTTGGAAAGAAGGTGAGCAGCCATCCAAAGCAATTCTGCCAAGAATAAATATTTATGGATTTGTCTGTTGATGGGAAGCCCTAGCCGCTGATTACATTCTGGCTTGTGTGGTCTCTAAATACTTCCCATGAACTCGCATTGTTGGACTCGAAGTCATTAAGCATTATGTCATCAGCAGCTGTTGCCTGAAGCCCTCTCATGGTGTTACATACAAAAGGTCCTGCACCGTATAAATGGAGGCGATCTGTTTTAAGTGAGGATTCCAATCAGGAAAAAATGATTTCTGCCAAAGGGGCTTTAAACTCCCTCTCACAAGACCACTGTGGACGAAAACTATGGGTAAAGCCCGAAATGAGATCACAGCCATCAAAGAGACTCGGCCCTGCAGTAAGAGAGAGGAAGACAGAATCATCCAGCCACTCCTGGGGTCTAACCAGACTCTGAAGGTCACAGGCATGCTGCTTCACCTCCCTCTATAGTTTCCTACTTCTGACCCCAGCCCTATGGCCACACTTATGTGCCACTCTGAATGCAGACTCCTCCTTCCCACGTAATGTGGTTTGGATATGTGTCTCCTACAAATCTCATGTTGAATTGTAATCCCCAATATTTGAGGTGGGGCCTGGTGAGAGGTGTTTGGATCAGGGGTGTATCTCTCATGAATGGCTTAGCGCCCTTGCCTTGGTGATGAGTGAGTTCATGTGAGATCTGATCGTTTAAAAAACACCTTCCCCGCTCTCTGTCTTGCTCCACTTTTGCCATGTGATGTGCCTGCTGCTGCTTCACCTTCCACCATAAGTAAAAGTTCCTTGAGGCCTCCCCAGAAGCTGAGCAGATGCTTTTGCCACGCATGGACAGCCTGCAGAACCATGAGCAAATTAAACTTCTTTTCTTCATAAATTACCGAGTCTCAGACATTTCTCTATAGTAATACAAGAACAACCTAACTAACACACATGCCATTCTTGACACCGTCTGCTAACTCCACACTCTGCATTGGACTAAGACTGCCTCTGTCCCTAAGTTTATTAAACCAGACCCAGTGGCTTAGTCTCAACATCTACCTCCCTGGATCCTGTGTGGAAAGTCCACTTCTTCCAAGTCTATCCCCTGCTTTATAACTGCAATTTCTAGGGCACATCTCAATGGTTTCAAACATGTGGGGAAAAGCATGAAGGGAGATGGGGGCAAGGCCAGAAAAGAAGTTGGTCCTGTTCTCAATAACATAACACCCTGCCACAGTAACCTGCCCTATTCCTCTCTGTGATATTCAGCTGTTCTTTCTGGTCCACTTGCAGACTTTGTCCCTCATTTGGTTCTCTTCTTGTCCCTCTTACTTGGCTATCTCACATGATTTCCTGCTCAGCCCTGCTAAGATGACTCTCAGGGACTCCATAAGTAAAATGCCATTTGCTGATACTGCTTTCCGGATCACAGACAAAGCTGATAGCTGAAAACACACTCAGGTCTGCCAAGCCTTTTCATGCCCCAGTGCAGCCCACAGCTTGAGCAGCCCAGATTTGGCTTATAAGTAATAAAGGATTGTGCTGGACATTACAAACTAGAAGAAGGTCATTGTCCAAACAGCATTTTTAATATTTTGGTATTATTTAAAGATGGAAAAAATATTTCCATGTTTAAATGGAAACAGCCTAGGATACATTTTATGAACTTCTTGATTGCTTCTTCTGAGATGATCTTTATTTCACATGTTCATATTTATAGGACTCATTTTCAAGGTAAAGATAAGCAAAAACCTTGGCATGTGAATTTTCTCTAAGGCACTATGTATCAGTTATAGGAATGCTATGAGAAAGCCTATCTGGCTGGGTTTGCACAT
Organism: Homo sapiens; assembly: GCF_000001405.40. Classification (NCBI taxonomy): domain Eukaryota; kingdom Metazoa; phylum Chordata; class Mammalia; order Primates; family Hominidae; genus Homo; species Homo sapiens. The sequence goes on along the minus strand of NC_000008.11, from coordinate 117,061,347 downwards.
ATTTTTCCAGTGGTGTATGCATGCACGTATGTGCACATGCACTGTGTATGTGTGTGTGCATCCTAATACACCAAATGCATGCAAATGGGTGATGGATAGGTAGATGATCTTAGGTTTTGCTGTTTGGAATTTTATCACTGAAAACCCAAACTAGAGTCATAGTGAGAATCACTGAAAAAGGACTTCAATTATGGAAAACATGATCTGCTGTATTAGCCAGAAAGCTCATCAATTTATACTCTTCCATCTATTGAGAACAAAACAATACTCGTTTTCTGTCCAAGCAAATGAGCAGGCTTGCTGAATAAAACTATGGTAAGTAGCAATACTAAAGAAGTCTTCTAATTCTTTACAGACTCAGAAACCCCAATTATTGCTCAAACGTAGAGAAAGAAAAAAAAACAGAAGACAAGCATAGAGAAATATGTCCACAAAATTCATTGAAATATTTTTATCTCCAAAATACATTTTGAACTAAAAATAAATAAATAAACAAAGTGATGAGAGGCAAAGTTACCTGGGGAAAATGAAACCTGCTATAAACCACCTGGTGGTTTCAAGAAGAAAGAGAATATTTTCCTTTAGAAAATTTCCTTCCCCAGTTTTTGGCAGCTAGAAAACATATGTGATAAAACAAAGACATAAATGAATCAACAGGGGATTTAAGTCTAATCAGATTTAAGAAAAGCCAAATTGTCTCTGGAGTAGGGAAATGGAAGGAAGAATCTTTATAGAGCACATTGGGAGAACATTATTTACTTCTCTCTGGAACACTGATAAGCTAGCAGGTAATAAAATTTTTATTGCAATATTTACTACAAATTGGCTTTGTTTCCTGCATCTATATTTGGCTATGCACCTCCCTTTGCTGAGCTATCTTGTCTGGCAGTGGGGTTTTTACTGCCACTCTCATGCCGTCCTCTCCTCCTTTATTTCTCATTCTGACCAGCACCAATACCACTCACTTGTTCTTCCCCTTGTTCATCAGAGTTCTTAAGATGAAACTCTGAAATCTTTCTCTGGCTATATAGATGCTCCCACCCGCTTGCTTGCTTGCTTGCTTTTGGCATCTGAACTCTGTGCAGACCCCTATTCTGTGTCAGAGTACAACTGCTTCTCCTCTTCCATATTCTACCACTATCTCCTGAGCTCTATAAATAAAAATAAATAATAAAAATAAAAAAGCATCTCCATTCTCTATTTTCACTGCTCAGCCTGCATGTCCTGCTGACACTTTCACTCCAAACTCATTATCTCCATCCCAAACCAGCTCCTCCCCTTAACTTCCCTGCTTCCATTAATGGCATCTTGAGCTCAAAACTATCCTTGTTCTTCAACTCCCACATCCAGTCAGTTGCTTCTGTTCTAACTCTCGTATCTGTTCCCTCCTTCTCACCCCCTCTGCCTCCACACTAGCTCAGAACCTCATTACTTTTCCCTTAGCCTACTGGGAAAACGACCCCATTGATCTCTGTCTTCACCCACTCTAATCCATCCTACTCACAGCTACCAAACTAATCATCCCAAAACACGCCCCAATCTTCGTGTCCACCCCCAGCTATAAAACTTTAAAACAGCTCACTGTTTTTGGAATTAAGTGCCAACATTTTATCCTGCCACTCAAGTAACTTTACAAATGAATTCAACCTAACTTTTGAGATTTATCCACCACTACGATCTATCGTCCAACTAAACCAACATGATGGAGTAGAAACCAAGAAAGGTCAGGTCCAGAACTGGGCTTTTGCCTGAAGTGCAGGTCTGCATATTATTCATGAGTAGGGGTGTAGGAAGGTCAAGATGTGGCCCAAGGAAAGGAGGGTTGCCTAAGATAAGACCTGACAGTTGCATAGTTCTTTCCACAGCTCATTACTCTATACTAGTAGATGTTACATGAATATTTGTTCAGCAACTTGGCTTTCACTGCATTTTAAGCTAGGATTTTACATTTGGACAAATATCAGCCAAAGAGCAGATGTTTTCTTAAGCTTTTCTAAATCAATGTGGCTTGTTATTTGTAGTTTCCTGCCTATATACATGCTGTTACCGATGCATTCCCCAGGCTACGACTTGGCTATATTTTTGATGAAGAGAAAGAAACAACTTTCCCTGAAGTCATATTAATAACAGCAGTCCTTTTCTCTTTCATTTTTCAACTAACAGTGCATCCATCTGGTCAATGAAATGTCTGTAAATTCAAACTATTTAGGAATAAGTTAGCCCTGCTGTTGGATATTAAGGCTCCCATAAACGTGACTTCAATATAAAAATAACAATAACAATAATTCCCCAACTTTATAATGTTCTGCAGTATGAAATTTCTGTCACACATTTTGTGAACTTTTATCCTTGCAATTTTTTTAAATTAGGTAAAAAAGGTATGGTGGAGGGATCAGAACATTTTTTAAGAAAGGGTTAAGTAATAAGTATTTTAGGCTTGTGTTCCTTTCAGTCTTTGTTTTAACCTCTCAACTCTAGCTTTGTAGCATGAAATCAGCTACAGACAATATGCAAAGGAATGGGTGAGTGGGTGTGTGTGTGGATTCCAATAAAAAAGTTGTGTGTGGACACCAAAATTTAATTTCATATAACTTTTGTGTGCCACAGAAACTTCTTCTATTTTTCCAGCCATTTAAGCCATTTTAAAAAGCATTCTTAGTTCATAGGCCATGCAAAACCGGGTGGCAGTCTGGATTTGGCTCACTGACCATAGTTTGCTAACTCCTGTTATGGTGTTATCATGGTCTGAATGTTTGTGTCCCATGCCCCCACAAATTAATATGCTGAAATGTGAGCATCCAAGGTTATGGTATTAGAAGGTGAAGTTTTTGGGAAGGTGATTAGGTCATGAGGGTGGAGCCCTCATGAATAAGATAAGCTAACACTGGCCTTGGCAATGATTTTTTTGATATGACACCAAAAGCACAGGCAATAAAAGCAAAAACAGACAAGTGGGACTACATTAAACCAGAAAGTTTTTGCATAGCAAAGAAAACAATCCACAAAATAAAAGGCAATCCACAGAATGGGAGAAAATATTTGCATATATATGATAAGGGATTAAAATGCAAAATATATAAGGAATTCATGTAACTCAACAGGAAAAGAACAAATAACCCAATTAAAAATGGACAAAGGACATGAATAGATATTTTTTCAAAGAAGACATACAAATGGCCAACAGACATACAAAAAGGTCCTCAACATCACTAATCATGAGAAATATAAATCAAAACCACAATGAGATATCTTCTTGCACCTGTTAGGGTGGCTGGTATCAAAAAGACATGAGATAACAAGTGTTATGGAAGGTGTGGAGAAAAGAAAACCCTTGCAGACTGTTGGTGGAGCATAGATTGGCATAGCCACTATGAAAAACAGTATGGAATTTCCTCAAAAAATTAAAAATAGCACTATCATATGATCTAGCAATTCCACTTCTGGGTATATATCCAAAGGAAATGAAATCAGTATCTCAAAGAGATATCGGCACTCCCGTGTTTACTACAGCATTATTCACAATAGCCAAGATATGAAATCAAACCAACTGTCTATCAACAGATGAATGGACTTTTTAAAAATATAGTGTAGTGTGTTGTATATATGCCTATATATAAAATAGAATATCATTCAGCCATTAAAATGAAGAAAATCTTACCATTTTTGGCAACATGGATAAACCTGGAGGACATTACTCTGTGAAATAAGCCAGATACAGAAAGATAAATACTGTATGTTATTTCACTTATACATGGAATCTAAAAAAAGTTGAACTCATAAAACCAGAGAGTAATATGGTGGTTTCCAGAGGGTAGGGGTTGGAGGAAATGTTGATCAAAGGGTATGCCTTTTAATTATAAGATGAATAAATTCTTGGGACCTAATGTACAACACAGGTCTCAAGAATTTATTCATCTTATAGGTAATTAATGTGTTATTTCAATTGTAGTAGGTAATGATAGGACCCAAGAATTTATTCATCTTATAGGTAATGGATACATTAATTCAATTGTGGTAAGCGTTATACAATATGTATGTATACCAAATCATCACACTGTACGCCTTAAACATGTATAATCTTTATTTGTCAATTATACATTTTAAAATAAGTAATAAGTATTTTTAAATGGTCTCAGGGAGCTTGTTTGTCCTTTCCACTTTGTGAGGACACAGAAGATGCCATCTCGGAATCAGAAACAGACCCTCACTCGACATCAAATTTGCTGGCTCCTTGATCTTAAGAGTTCTTAGCCTCCAGAACTGTGACAGTTAAATTTCTGTTGCTGATAAGCTACATGGTTTATGGTATTTTGTTATAGCAGCCCTAGTGGACTAAGGCAAGTGCTATCCTCATTATACAAGTGAGATTCTGTGGCTCAAAGGTTAATATGACTTGTGTCTGAAATCACACAGAATGGTATCAGTATTACTAGTGAAACTCTAGTCCACTTCCTGTGACTAGAATTCTAGTCCCATCACTCTACAGCAATGCCTCCCTATATTTGGAAACATCTAAGAGTGGCCACCTATTTCTCCAAGCAGTGAACACTGCATCCAACAGGGAGAAGAGTATCTGAAAAAGACCATGAAAGCATAAAATTTTATTTTCCCCAAAGGGCTTATAAGTGGTCTGTTGCTTCTCTGTCCCCAAAAACTAAATGCAAAAAATATGTGTGAATTTGCATGGACAAGGACACCCTCCTTGACCAGGCTTTAGTTAGACTTCTCTGGTCCCCCTTCTCAACTAGACCTCATCCTGGGACTGCAGTTCTTAGCCTACTGAGCTCAGTTTTAGAAAAAGAAAAAAAGAAAGAAAAAGAGAAATCCATGCTTGTACTTATCCTGGGACCTACCCAGCCTTTTGGGATCAGGATGGTGGCTGCTTAGGGAGGGTAAACACAGACCCATGCCTTACAATAGGGACGAGGAGTGGTAAAGGTCCCCACAGCGCGAGCCCTGACTTTGGCCAGAAGCCTTTCCTCCTTAAAGCTACTGCTGTGGTGATGGAAAGTGAGCAGGGAAAGGGAAGCAGCAAGAGAGTCCCCACTGATTACATCATGTTGGACAACAGTAGGTGGCAATCACAGGAGGAGATGGGGAGAATTGTGAGTCTAGAAATGCTGTGAACTTGAAGGGCCGCTCTGGACATTATTAATTATACTGCCCTTGGTCAGATGTTACACTATAATAAGCAGACATACTTTGGTAGCATGGGGAAATCATCAACCATCTTTACTGGAGGAGTTAAGCCAACAGAAACAAGCTACCTAGAGATGTTTCTCTGTTATAAGCACAAATGGACTGCACAGACAGTGGATGTTTCACACACACAGAATTCATTTCTTAAAACATTTGTTGCTTGCTTTCCAGATTATCACCATTTATGGGCATGGAATTATTGCAAAAGTTAGAAGTAGTCAGACCACCAAGAAAAGCATCTGGATTAGCCAAGTCTGCAGATCCCTCTTCATTTGTTTCTGTCTTAATTTTGCTCTTTTTCTTGACTCCAGCTAAGAATGATGGAGCTACTTCACTGACTCATTTTATTATCCAGGCCTTACACTTGGAACTGTAGCTATTACTGAAGGACATACACGTGTAAATTCTCTATACAAACACTCATTATATTAGTGGTCATCTAAATGGTTTCCATTATTTCATTACTTCACGTGGAATGTTCAAATGACCACAAGTTCTACTGAACTGGAAATATAATGATGATCACATTAGGGTAAGAATACACAGAATATAGAAAAAGAAATACTCATTGAAGAAATATCAACAAGAAATGTAGACTTTAAGTGACATTTGTAATCTAAATCAAAATGACATTATCCAAGGAGCTGGAGAAGGGCCCCCGCTGGTCCTAGGATTGCTGTTGTTGATACGTGAAGTCATGCTATGCAGCCCAGCAACTGCTGCTGTCCCTGGGGGAGCCAAGTTAAGATTTGCTTCAGTAGCTGTAATTTAAGAGTAAGGACACTGGGAGTTGAAACCGAGCACTCCACCAGCATATAACCAAGGAGATTTCTATCCACATTGCAGAACCTTTGGGCTCATGCCACAGCTTTTCTATTCTTTGTCATCTTTTTCCAATTAGAAAACAGACCAAGTAGAAGGAAATGATCACCCACCAGCTCTATCTGAAAATTATCAGTGCTGAGCCCCTTTGTGAACTTTCTGAGCTCTGCTCCCTGGAGAGGGACTGGTAACCCCGCACTTTCAAGCTCTGATTGAAGCTCATTATCATCAAAATGGTTTGGTAGTTCAATTTTATCCACCCATTTCACAGATGGTCAAGTTAAGGTCCAGTGAGGTTAAATAGCGAGTGAAGCCTCACAGCTACTGAGTTGCAAGATCTTTTAGCTGGAGACCAAGGTCTGCCCTTTTTACACTAGAAACCATTTGCTCTCCTTTATCAAAAAAAATACATATTTTCAGAGAATCAGAGAGTTAAGTTTAAACATGTCATATGACTTTTAGGGCTCTGAATAAAATGTTCTGTGGAAGCCACCTGAGACTTTGGTAGCTCATGGTTTTTGTCAAATTATTGAAAACAGATTTTTCTGACTCTGGTTAGCTCTGGGAAAACTTTATTTTCCTTATCCTCTGCAACCCTTTATCATTTTTCTGGAATACCTCATATCAAAATGATATTCTACATACCTCTGACAATTTCAACCCTTCCCCATCATGATTCTAATCTCACCATGTAAGGGAGGTGGGTGGGGGGTGGGCTTCTTACCAGTCACAGCTAGAAACTTGTTCAGTGCTAATTAGTGCAAAAAGGCAGGGATTTCAGTATTCTTCTGTATGTTTGCACATTGATGGTGACAAACTGGATACCATTAAGAATCACATACCATTTGCTCTCATCTGTTACTTCACCTACAAAATGATGTTCCAACCTCACAGGGTTAAATCAGATGGTAAATGCAAAGAATTTAGGCTGGGCACAGTGGCTCATGCCTGTAATCCCAGCACTTTGAGAAGCTGAGACAAGGGGATTGCTCGAACCCAGCAGTCCAAAATTACCCCAGGCCACACGGCAAGACCCTGTTTCTACAAAAAAAAATTTAAAAATAGCCAGGTGCGGTACCACACGCCTGTCGTCCCAGCTACTCAGAAGGCTGAGGTGGGAAGATCACTTGAGTCCAGGAGATCCAGGCTGCAGTGAGCCATATTTGCACCAGTGCACTCCAGCCTAGGAGACAGAGCAAGGCCCTGTCTCAAAAAAAAAAAAAAAAAAGATTTTTGCAGTACATTTAGTGTATGTTCAGTGCCTGTTAGCTATTATTTCTCATTAAATATTCTCACATATCTGTAATGAATCATTATTGCAACATAATGGAAAGAGCATAGATTAGAGTCAATTCAGAGGCTTGGGTTCCAGTTGTGAATCTACCACTGAGTGCTCACTTCCATAACTCTGAAATACCTCCTTCCTCTCTCTAGTGTGAGTATTGATACTTGTTCAGTCTTCTCTAAGTTATAGGAAGGATCAAATATGCTGGTAGTTTTCAAGTTCATTTCAAAAACCTAAAAATCCCTGCCTGCAGGTATCACTGACTATTTCAGTTGCTCTTATCATTAAGTCCCTGCTGTATGCAGCACTATGCATGCATTGCTTTCATATGAGAGGGTGTGGGTTGTGGTAGAGAGAATGTAGCAAACTTTGGCTTCAGACAGAAAAGGGTTCAATCTCAGTTCTACCATGATTTGCTTGTCAGAGCCTCACTGTCCCCATTTCTTCAGTGGGGCTAATAAAGACTATTATAATAGACATTCCTATAATAGCTGGGCTGGGGCTCGGGCTCGGGCTCAGACATCCAGGAAATGGTTCTTCCATCCATACAGATGCATCCCAGGATATGGATCTGAGCAACACGGCCTCTGTTTTCCGTCTGCACCATCTGTTTGCAAGAGACACAGAGAAAACTTGAACCCAAGTCTTTAAGTGGGCTTTAAATACATGTACATGCAGACATGATTCTCTGAACGGATCTGAGAATGGGTGGAAACCAGACGATAGGAAAATAAGGATCCTGAAGGGAAAAAAATCTTAGTAAATGAGGAAGACCACTACTAAGCACAACTGAACACTAAGACAGGAGGCTTCAGCCAGACACGGTGGCTCACGCCTCTAATCCCAGCACTTTGGGAGGCCGAAGCGGGCAGATCACGAGGCCGGCAGATCACGAGGCCAGGAGATCGAGACCATCCTGGCTAACACAATGAAACCTCATCTCTACTAAAAATACAAAAACTTAGCCGGGCATGGTGGTGGGTGCCTGCAGTTCCAGTTACTTGGGAGGCTGAGGCCTGAGGCAGAAGAATCGTTTGAACCTGGGAGGCGGAGGTTGCAGTGAGCTGAGATTGCACCACTGCACTCCAGCCTGGGCGACAGAACGAGATTTCGTCTCAATAAAAAAAAAAAAGAAAAAAAAGGAGACTTCACATACTTACATTACCCTGAAATGAAATTCAGAGATAATAAAACCTCATGTTTTTAAGAAACAATAAAAATGGCTTAACTATAATATGAAGGAGAAATAAAAAGAAAAGTAATTTATAGTAAAATCATTTGCAATTCAGAAAGAGCTGGAGGTGATAACACCAGGAGATTAAATGAAATAAGCATAAGCTCATGCCTCTATGTAGAATCCCAAGGTTACGATCCAGCTGAACCACAACTCTATAATATTAGCAACTAACACACCAGGAATGGTGTTGCTACTGGTGAAATAATTTTCTGAAATGAACAAATCCTGATTATGTTCTGAGTAAGATAAAAAAGGTCATGTTCTCTCAGTGTATGCAGTGGCTGCATTCTTAGAAAATTCAGAATACTGTGTTAAAACTGTACCTAAAAAATGTATTGTGCTGATACAAAACATAGTTCATTCCCAGGCCTAATTAATGGTAAATATGTTTTTTCATCTAATAAATGCCTAGATGCAGATTGTGTTAGTCCATTTGCATTGCTGAGGAACAAAGGAATACCTGAGGCTGGGTAATTTATAAAGAATAAAGGCTTGGCTGGGCGCAGTGGCTCATGCCTGTAATCCCAGCACTTTGGGAGGCCAAGGCAGGTGGATAACCTGAGGTCAGGAGTCCAAGACCAGCCTGACCAACATGATGAAACCCTGTCTCTACTAATAATAGAAAAATTAGTTGGGTGTGGTGGTGCACGCCTTTAATCCCAGCCACTTGGGAGGCTGAGGCAGGAGAATCGCTTGAACCCGGGAGGCAGAGGTTGCAGAGAGCCGAGATGTCACCATTGCACTCCAGCCTGGGTGACAAGAGTGGAACTCCGTCTCCAAAAATAAAAAATAAAATAAAAGAGGCTTATTTGCCTCTGCAGGCTGTACACAAAGCATAGCGCTGGTATGTGCTTTTGGTGAGGCCTTAGGAGGCTTACAATCATGGCCGAAGGTGAAAGGGAGCCAGCATATCACATGGTGAGAGAGGGAGCAAAACAGAGTGAGGAGGTGCCAGGCTCGGTTTTTTTATTTTTTTTATTTTTTTTTATTTTGAAACAGAGTCTCATTCTGTCGCCCAGGCTGGAGTGCAGTGGCACGATCTAGGCTCACTGCAAGCTCCGCCCCCCGGGTTCACACCATTCTCCTGCCTCAGTCTCCCGAGTAGCTGGGACTACAGGCGCCTGCCACCACGCCTGGCTAATTTTTTGTATTTTTAGTAGAGATGGGGTTTCACCGTGTTAGCCAGGATGGTCTCGATCTCCTGACCTTGTGATCCGCCCGCCTCAGCCTCCCAAAGTGCTGGGATTACAGGTGTGAACCACCACGCCCAGCCCCAGGCTCTTTTAAACAACCAGCTCTCACATGAAGTACCACAGCAAGAATCCATTCATTACCATGGGGTGGACACTAAGCCGTTCATAAGGGATCTGCCCCCTTGACCCAAGCATCTCCCATGAGGCCCCGCCTCCAACACTGGGAATCATATTTCAACATGAGTTTTAGAGGGGACACACATCCTGTCTCACACATCAAAGGGTTTCTAGCATCTCTGTTCTAATCCACTAAGAGCTTCCTCATCATTGTGATAACCAAAATGGCCCCATAAATCTCAAACACACTCCCTAGAGGATGATTGGCCAACGAGTCAGTACAATTTTAACAAAATAATAAAACTATAGTAATCAAGTAACTTCCTAATCTGTTCCTTTCTCTTGGCTCCATTTTCATTCCAGAAATCCTAGGCCACTTTTTCTCTTTCTGTCTCTACTTTTAAATCAAATTATCTTTTTAGATTATACTCTGACCACTTTGAGACTCTTATTTGACCAGAATATTACATCTCTTCTCAGAACCTTTCATCCACCACAAGTGGTTATTAGAAACCTATTTATCAGTAACTTTAGCTCCATTTCGCAGAAGAGAGACTGAGGAATCAATCAGGTGGCTCATTCAAGGGCATGCCACAACCTGCCTGCAGGGGTTGACCAGAACCTGTATCTCTCAGTGACCCCTGAACTCCTTTGCTCTTCTCCACTGTTCCTTCTACTTCCCTCTTGGACTTGTGACTTCATTCCTTTTTTAAGGAGTGAGTAGGAAAGCAGATAAAAGCTCAAATCACTGTTTTGCTCCTTGTTAATTCCTCTAGTAAAAAATCAGTCAGCCAGGCGTGGTGGCTCACGCCTGTAATCTCAGCACTTTGAGAGGCCAAAGAGGGCGGATCACCTGAGGTTCAGGAGTTCGAGACCAGCCTGGTCAACATGGTGAAACCCGTCTCTACTAAAAATACAAAAATTAGCCAAGCGCGGTGGTGCTCGCCTGTAATCCCAGCTACTCTGGAGGCTGAGGCAGGAGAATCACTTGAACTCAGGAGGCAGAGGTTGCAGTGAGCTGAGATCATGCTACTGCATTCCAGCCTGGGCAACAGAGTGAAACTGTGTCTCAAAAAAAAAAAAAAAGAAAGAAATCAGTAGTGAAGAAGAACCCCGAAATCAGTTTCCATTAATCCAAGCTCTTGCTCCCCCTCATTTGCATGATTAATTGCAATCCAGCTCTTAGAGGACTGCGAGCCACCACCAAGGCTACTGCTCTATAGAGAGCAAATCCATCTCTGAACCTGCTCAAGTGTTTGAGGGGATGATGAACACACTAGACGTGATCAAGCAGAGCCGGGCCACAGACTCGTTAGGTCATGGAACAAGGCACGCATCATGCCTCCTGTCTCCCTGCTTTGCAGAGATGTGGCAGAGAGTGTAATAAAAAGTAATGATGTGGAAGAGAGCATGCTGTTGCCTTCCAAGGGTCGAGTCAGTACAATTTGTGCAAGGTCCTGACATTGTCACTCTTTTTCAGTACAGAAATACTGAATGAAAAAAATACAGTGCCAAAAAGAAAGACACATACCCGGGTCACTTTAAACACTTTAAAATAGATCCCAGATGAGGCATCCCTATATATCAGGAAGATTGTTTTTCAGAGTGAGAGAGGCAGCTTGTGGGGACTGCCACTCGGTGCCACCTCTGTGAGTGACAATGGAGTCGCTCTTCTTAATCACTGTGGGCCATTCTCGTGAGCAGCTATATATCAGCTCTCACTTTTGGAAAAGCCATTTTCTAATAGGGCCAGGGGGCTCTTGCTTATTCTGATAAAGAGACCTATCATTTCAGGAAGTGATTCAAAGGATTTATTTGGTGTTTTCAGAAGGAGAAGGGCACAGTGCCCACCTGGGAACACATATCAGGCAGTAGATAAAGAGGATGGCAGTTCGTAAAAACATTTTCAAAGCTTCCAAATGACTGATGTATTCCTGAGGGCTCTGAAAGTGATGAGGGGAACTTTGCAGCCTCTAAATTGCAATGATTGCAGCTGGGACCTCCTTGGATTGAGAAAGGAGACTTTTAAAGGCTTGACTACAGAGCGTATTCAGATAATGTCATCATCTAAATGGTTGCCTAGCATTGGAGAGGCAATAGAACGTGCTATTTGCAACCTTGGTAAAGTTAAATAATCTCTTCATGTGTTTCTGTAACTACGTATACATCTAATTCATAGGGTTATTGGGAGAATTATATAAGTTGCCAGTGGTTGGCATGTGGGCAACATTATGTAGTGACCACAAGGATAACTAGAACACCATTAAAGGCCAATGCAGGGTAGACAGAATAAAAATATAGCTCTCTACATTTTAACTTGAGGGACACAAAGTCCTGCATACCCCCAAAATCTCCCTACTTGCTTAGTAACTTCTAGTTTACAAAGCCCTCATTTTGATCTTATTTAATCCATTCTAAAATGCTATGAAGTTACCCTGTATGATACTAGAAATCTTCAGTCTTTCAAATCAAGATATATGCTTCAGAAAGCTCCCTTTCTAAAATGTCAGTAATGCCAACATTGGTAGAAATTGAACTCTCATCAGTGAAGACAGCACTTTGTAAATCAAGATACATTTCTCTTCCTGCTGTGCTCATGCTTACCCTGTAAAAAGAAATGGAATTGAGATTTTTTTAATCCAATCGGGAATGTTGCAAGGGTAATGATCTTAAAATAACACAAAGTCTTATTTTTGGCAATGAATGTTATGTTTTTAGGCCAAAGACTTATTGTATTCATTCATTCAACAAATACTTGTTGAGCACTCATGCCAGGCACTTCTGCAGGCTATAGAACACAATAGTCAGCATTTTTGTTTAAATATCTACAATATATTGAGCCATCCTACTAAACCAGACACAGAAAGAAAATTAGGAAAAATAAAGTGAGGCTGTTTTATGGACATTGAAAATGATTGTAATCAGCAGGATCTAGTGATAAATGAAGCAATTCAACCAAAGGATGGGAAGCATAAATTGCTTACCGTGATAGGTACATAAAGATGCATTTTTGAACAATTATGGCAATTAAAGCACTTGAGATAAAATGTGAGGGATATACGAGGGGAGTATAAGAATAGAACATATCTAGATGTTATTCTAGGCCTCTTTCCTCCCCCACTATACACTACCTGCCAGCTCGTCAATCCTGTTCCAACAGTCATTGGGTCACTGATCTCCTGAGCTTAAATCTGATGAACACATTCAATTCTTTCCAGCCTGATCAGTCCCACTGAACACATGCCATATGACCATCCTTGGCACAGAATGCTACTAAAGTCAAATTGTTACCAGAAAGGGGTCCCAATCCAGACCCCAAGAGAGGGTTCTTGGATCTTGTGCAAGAAAGAATTCAGGGCAAGTCTGTAGAGTAAAGTGAAACCAAATATAGGAAAGTAAAGGAATAAAAGAATGGCTACTCCATAGACAGAGCAGCCCCAAGAGCTGCTGGTTGCCCATTTTTATGGTTATTTCTTGATTATATGCTAAACAAGAGGTAGATAATTCATGCTTCCTCTTAGACCATATAGAGTAACTTCCTGATGTTGCCATGGCATTTGTAAACTGTCAAGGTACTCGTGGGAGTGTAGCAGTGAGGAATGACCAGAGGTCACTCTTGTCACCATCTTGGTTTTGGTGGGTTTTGGCTGGCTTCTTTACTGCAAGCTGTTTTATCAGCAAGGTCTTTTGACCTGTATCTTGTGCTGACCTCCTGTCTCATCCTGTGACTTAGAATGCCTGTCTGGGAATGCAGCCCAGTAGGTTTCAGCCTCATTTTAACGAGCTTCTACTTAAGATGGAGTTGCCCTGGTTCAAACGCCTCTGACGAAATGACCCCTAAAGATCTGTGACCAGAAGATCCACTCTCCTATCCTGACCTTTTTTACTTCTCAGCTGTAAAGGTTAGAAAGGACTATATGTAGTCCTTTCCAAGGTCACCTTACCTGTTGGACTTGGGAGTTGATGTCAGTCACCTTGAAACTGTACTCAATAATAATCCTCAGAGGAGTTATCAGCCTCTGAACCTCCTGGACCAGGTCAGACTCAAAAGCATTTTTGCAAATATTATTTATATTCCATTCCCTCTAGTTTGGAGGAAGAATTAGGGATAGAGCTTGAGCTTTAAATCAAATCCAGGACCTGTCACTCAACGGCCTTGTAGTCTCAAGCATATTTCTTCAAGTAGCTGAGCCTTGGTTTCCTCATGTACAAAACAAAGACAAGGCTGCGACCCTCACAATATCATGGTGAGGATTATATAAGAGAATACGTGAGAGAATACTTTTACCAAGGTTGCCAGACATGACTACATTACCCATCCACCCACACTCCCTCCAAAGGAAAACTCCCTCAGTAGTCCCTGCTAATGCTATTTAGCCTGTCTAATTTCCATTCCTGTGATCCGAGATCCCGTCTCCCACTCATCCACAGTGACTAAACCAAGGTGGTCACCTGAGCCAAAAGCAGGCAATCCATGGACCAATCAGCTATCATGATGGCTTGGCCTGGGTCAACATTCAAACAAACAAATGAGCAAGCTGAGCCAATCAAATTCTTCTCTTTGGAATTTATTACAAATTTAGAAAAAGGAGAGGCTGAGATAGTTAATAACAAAGAAAAAAGTAAAAGGAAGCTAATGGCTGCTTTAGTGCAATGGCAAGCTAAAGTCATGGGAAGGCATAATTTATGAGCAGGCAGGAAATCCGTAGAGTGGAAATTGAGAAAGACAGCTATAGAAAGAGGCAGACAAAGCAGACATGCAGAGAAAGAGAAAGATCTTGAGAGAAGGACACAGCTTCGTCTTAGTTCCTGAGCCTTCTGTTCTGATTCTATGTCTCTAAGGGGATTCTTAGAATAGCCTCATTTTTATTGAGATAACTTGGGTTGAACAAAAGAGGTCTGATCAGGCATTCAATAAATTTTAGTTCCCTTGCCTTATTTACTTATTTAGTTAATTATTTGTCTCATCACTTATTCAGGCACCTATTCTTTAATTTATTTACTAAGTTAAATAACTCCTGACCACCTACTCTGTGTCAGGTATATTCTATCTGCCATATTTGTACTGAGGGCTTAACTTGTATCCTTCCCAAATAACATGTTTGGAATTATCTGGGCATTAGGGAAGGGGACAAGACGCATGCAGAAGTGATCCTAATGGTGAGAAAGATGTTTAGAGAATTAGTGGAAGACTTATCAAATTGTCTGTGGCGGTGGGGGGGTCCACCCCTCTAATTCTGAGCAGCATCAGCCCTGCTAGCTCCAGCATCAGCCCCAAAGCCAACAGTAAACTGCCAGGCTTAGGTTTAAACTTACATCTTCTTGTATTTCTCTCAACATGCCTCAAGCGGGATTTGGGGAGGAACCTTCACAACCTCTCCCTCTGATCCTGCCCTTCATGACTCGAGAAAGTGTGTTTCTTTTCCCCCTGCTCATTCCTAAGGCTTTCTCATATACCATCATCTGTCACAAGGATGTTGACAGCCCAGCATAAGCCAGCTTTAATTCTATGGGATATTTTCTTCTGTCAGTTTTAAAAAAAAAAAGAAAGAAAAAAGAAGGGGGAAAAAAAAAAACAGTCTGCCCAGGCTCTCCTTGAAAAAGGGTAAAGAACCAGAGGCAGAAAGAGACCATGCCAGAGATCCGCGGGGCCATCGGCTGGTCTGAAGAGGTCGGTAAGTTCAGATTCACGTTAGTGTCCAAATGTTAAACAAACAGATGGCTTGTCACATGGATGTTTACTAGCCTCACAGCTCTGCACTGGCCACGCTTTGAAAGGACTGCTGCTGCGAGCAGAGTATATGTCAGGCTTTTACCCTGCAGTCACCTGGAGTCAGCCCACCTAGGTCACGGACTCCAAGTTGCTTCTTCAAATATGGGAGTGGGAGCCCGTGGCCTCTGTTCAGTATTTCCAAACCTAACAGACACTGCCTGTTTATCCACAATAAAACTGCACAAGCTGCCAAAACATCCAACTTCTTTGCTTTGGGCTGGAATGATATTAACCCAGGCTAGCTGTGTTTGTCATTTCTCAGTTTCCAGAAACCAAAATTGACACTTAGGGGTCTCTTTGATGAATACCAAATAAACAATAAATTAACTGCTTTTTTTAAAAAAAGGTAATTTGTTGGATCATAAAAAACCTTTCAAGTACGGTGGGGGAACGATGAAATGGAAGCCTGGTGAGGAGAAAGATGGCAATATTCTTCCCTGATGTTATAGAGCATCTCAGCATTTCCTCCATCCAGATTGTAAAAGGTTCCTCCACTAGAAAAACCAGAACCTTCCTTTAGGAGAAGAATAAGGCTAATGGTCCATATTATTACCCTCCAACATGCTTTAAAAGGTCAAATCGTGGTTCCATCAAAGCTGGGCTGGCTCCCAGTTACACCGCTGAAAGGATGAAATTTTGCCTTTTCCAAAAGAAGGAGGATGCAGAAGGCAATGCTGTCAGTAGAGAAATTAATTCCTGGCAGGCCAGTGTTAAATTCCCTACTGGAATCCCTGGCTCGCGTTTGTTTAATGCATCTTGTGGATGGAGCCACGAGAAGCACAACAGCTCGGAATTTGCAGCTAGTTCTGAGGCAGAAGGCGCCTTCTCGCCACAAGATGGCAGCAGGAGCCTGCGTTTGAAGCCAGGGCTCCGCGGTCCTGCAGCAGTATTTCCCCCACCGCCCAGGAGGATCTGATTCCCCGAATTTTAACCAATTGTGTTACAGCTTTTGTCTCCAAAAGGACAGAAATAGGTTTTCTCTTTCCCTCTAATTGATTTTAAGTTTCCTTTTGTTCAAGCTCTGCTAAAAAGAAGAGAGCCCTATTTTTCAAGACGTCTATTAAGTGGGCCAAATAATTATACCCCAAAGATAAACCTTTTCTCTGAAAACCACGCTCAATATTTGCTCTAGAAGCAATGCTTGTGCTCTGTCAACCCGCTGACACGCCTTAGGGAAGCAGTCGACCCCCTGGGGATGCTTTGGCTTTCTCCTCCAAACCCAGTTGTTGGCTGATTGAACAAGAATCATCTGCTGGGACGCGTCCTCTGGGGACTGGTGGGCGCGTCTAAAAAGGTGATAAATTTGCCCTTTGGTTTCCAGGCCTCGTTACTGGATTCTCCATCACCCTTTTGCAGAGAATAACATCACCTAATAAGGACAAACAGCCTCCAATGTGTACTCAGTCATTTGTCCAATGAATAAACAATGTTACCGATTTACTAGTCTTCCTTCCATACTGACTTTCTGTTGCACAGCAGCCCCAGAAACAATGGTGAATTCTTGGCCTTTGTGTACGCGGATACCCCTCTGCCTGAACACTTTACCCCAGGCTCTTCACTTGGGTAAGACCACTACCTCCTCAGTCCTCAATCTAAATGTCACCTCCTTTGGATAGACTTGTCAAGGCCAGTTCTAATGAGAGTCCCCTCACAAAGCTCACATCACATCCTACGCTTCCATCATTACAGTTCTTCCAACACTATATAATAACTACTAGTTGATGGATCATCTCTCCCCAAAGAATGTAAGCTCCTCAAAGGCAGTGTCTCCATCTGACTTAGTTTACCTTATAGCCTGTAGCTTAAAGTTGCCTCCTCAACACTTATTGAATAAAATAATTGCAGAACTAAAAAACATACTGAAATTTTTGAACTTACCTTTTCATATAATGTAACTATGAATTCTACCTACTGTTTTTTGAGGTATCTCATTTACGTGGATTTCAGTACGCCATTTTCAACCCAGGGTGGTGGTGGGGCAAGGCAGGTGGAGAGAATTATAAATGGAAAATGTTGAGAATTGCACAAATCTCTGAGTAGCTCACAGGCACATGTCACAATATTATCCGTATTATATTTTTCTATGGGGGAAAAGTGTCTGGTGTCAGACCTTATGGGATCAAGTTAAAATACCCCTGTTTTATAGTCAAGTTATTCTGAAATCTGACCCTATCTTTATCAATCACCTTTATCACCTGTGTGGTATCTCCCCAACCAGGAGTATCTCTCATTTTTCCAAATACATGCCAGGCTTCTCTCACTTTTGTGATTATTCTGACTGCCTGACATACGATGACTTCCCTGGTGTCTCTCTATTCACGCACTTCCCACTCATCCTCACAAACCCACTCAAGTTCTCTTTCTGCCGGAAGCTTCTCCTGACCAACGAAGCCCATGCTGATTTCCTGTCTCTGAAAGTCCACAGTTTGGAGGGTCTGGATCCAATGTCCTTGGTTTCTGTAATTCAAATCACAACTTGATAAGCTCTAGCATGCTAGAATCCCAAAAAACAGGCTCCATGCTAACTGGGAGTGAAAACTCTACATTTTTGCTTTTTCTCTAATTATATACTGTCTGGAAACTTATTCTCCCCAACCAAAAAAATATAAGCTGCTCAAAGAAAGCTTTATGTTATATATCTTTGATATCCTGCAGGGTTTCTGATATGATCCTAAGCATAAACCCTCCATAAAGGTTGATTCACATAAGTAACCCTGTAAATTGACAGATGAATAGTACTACATTAGCCTGGGCGCGGTGGCTCACGCCTGTAATCCCAGCACTTTGGGAAGCCAAGGCCAGCGGATCACCTGAGGTCAGGAGTTCGAGACCGGCCTGCCCAACATGGTGAAAACCCGTCTCTACTAAAAATACAAAAATTAGCCGGTTGTGGTGGCACATGCCTGTAATCCCAGCTACTCGGGAGGCTGAGGCAGGAGAATCGCTTGAACCCGGGAGGCGGAGGTTGCAGTGATCCAAGATCATGCCACTGCACTCCAGCCTGACCCTGGGTGAAAAGAGCGAAACTCCTTCTAAAAAAAAAAAAAAGCACTAAATTCATAGCCCCCAAATCTAGTATTATTTAGCCTATTCCAAGTCTCAGCAGGCTGTTTCCCAGAGGATGACTCCCAAAGCAGGACTTTAAATGTAAGGAATAAAACAGCACCGGCTTCCTTGGGTCCAGACCAGATAGTACCTGAGGATACATTTCCCAAACCCCGCCCCGCCTCACATACACAGATACATGAAAGTCTGCAAAATCCAGTCTGATTTAGGCATTATCCAAATAACCCTGCCTGTTACCAAGATAGTCACTTAATTATGGTCCATTTCCTGAGCATTCAACCAGACGAAAATGTAAAGTGCCATGACTGCTTCTGCAGAGCTCACAAATTAAAAACCTTGAGGTTTTCTGCAGTTTCCGAAGCAAAGCCAGAAAAGCTGAAAGATGACTGATATGGTTAACACATTTATTGGCATTAGGACATTGTTATTTTATTGCTGATATCAGGGTGACATCATTTTTCATAAAGACATCATAATGTCTTTGAATGTCATAAAAGGTGAAATTCATTCTCATGAAAATTAAAGAGAATATTGCAATGCTTCAGTCAAAAGGGGACTAAATGATACAGAAGATAAAATGTACTGGCTTTAAATTTCTGTCCATAAACCAGGAGTGAAACTAAAGATAATTAGGATAGAGATGAAGACTGTAATAACCTGGAATTAGTTTAGGCATCCCTCTAATCTCATTTATTCATGGCGTAGAACTATTCATTGGGAAATCTGTTTTCCTTCATTGGCCAATATTTTAGCTGTCTACTGCCCAAATGAAAACACCGAATGGCGGGATGAAGAGGCTGTAACTGAAATGTATCTTATTGAAGACGGCAGAAGCAACTCACTTCTCACTAAAACACACAAGACCTAGGACCTAAAGCAATCAATGTGTCAAGTCCTTTGCTCAAAATGTTTAGACTCTCATTCCCTCAACCATCAGAATTTTTTTTATTTTTTTATTTTTTTTTTGAGACAGAGTTTACCTCTTGTTGCCCAGGGTGGAGTGCAATGGCCTGATCTCAGCTCACTGCCTCCTACGCCTCCTGGATCAAGCAATTGTCCTGCCTCAGCCTCCCGAGTAGCTGAAATTACAGGTGCCCACCACCACGCCCAGCTAATTTTTTGTATTTTTAGTAGAGACGGGGGTTTCACTCTGTTAAGCAGCCTGGTCTCGAACTCCTGACCTCAGGCTATCCACCCGCCTTGGCCTCCCATAGTGCTGGGATTACAGGCGTGAGCCACCGTGCCCAGCCCGCCATCAGAAATTTTTCAGGGCAAATTCTAGAATCTGTCACATACAAATTCCTTTTTCAACCTGCCAAGGTGATGAAACTCGGAAAGTGTTTAGGAATTCCTTTCTGCTATATGTCCAAATTCCATTTCTTCCTCTTCTCCACCCCTCCCTCAATCTGAGCCCCACTAAAAATTCCTTCTGCTGCCAAGTGCCTTAGAAAACCTTTACATTATTTATTTTTTCTGTGGATTCATTGTGTGTTGGAAGCCTCAGAAGAAGCTGAGTGCATAGTTTCAGGGCAATAAAACAGTCAGAGCAAATGGCAAACTGTTTGGTTTGGCACCGCGGAATCCAGCATGCATCTGTGCATTCCTCCCTGTGTGGCTGGAAACCTCTCAAATCTGGTCCTCAGTTTATCTCCCTTGGGTGACTGGTTCTTTGGTTACTCTATGGGAGAAAGCCCCTAACAGAAATGCAACATCATGGGCCAGTGATTCCCCATTTTCACGTGCATATATGTCTCTTGGGGGTCTTGCTAAATGTAGATTCGAATTCAGGAGATCTATGTATAGGGGTTAAAACTCGGCATTGCTAAGAAGCTTCTAGATGATGCTATGAAGCTGGTTCATGGATTACACTTTGAAATGAAAGGCATTAGTTAGCTCATCTTCAATACTAGATTGAGCTTCCTGCAATTGTCAGTGCTTACGCTTGCCTTCATTAAAACAAATTTGAAATTAGTCCAATTCACAATGCTTGCAAAAATGAATTCATTTCATTACCATTTTGATCCTGTATTTACTTGGAGGCAAAATAGGTATTAATTAATCCGGGGAATGAGGTGGGTGAACAAGGAAAAATTCTTTCATCTTTTTACTTAAGCATTTTTCATTCTCACTTTCCAACTATATATTTTGCTTCCTTGTTAAAGTAGCTAATGCCATTTTCCTCTTGCAGTTTATTAAAAAGTGCATCTTGGCTAAGTACAAATCAGTTCCAGAAATGTCACTGAAGCCCGTGTGCATCAGGCACAAGGATTAGACAGAGCATAGTTTTGCATGGCCTGTTTTATTTTGCTCACCCAAAAGGAATCTCATGTTCATTCCAACCCAGATGTCATTTGGGGTAATATTATATAGAAATTCCAGTAATTAAACTCACTAAACTATGACCAGCTGACATTAACCCTATTGTTAGGTCGCAAATTGCTTCCTTCTCTTGTATGAGAAGATATCTAAGAGCTCCTCTGTATTCCGAACTAGTCACAAGCTCTCAGGAAAATGACCTCTGAAGACAAGGGCTCAGAAAGTCACAGTGATCAGAAAGAAATTTGTATGTGTCTGTAAGTGTAATGTCCACAGGCATATGTACATACACAGGCTACGTGAGATGGGGGAAGAAAAACAGTGAACTTGAATTTCAGATGTTAGCACAGACATATTAGCATCATGACCTAAAGGAAGTATCCTCTCCTTGAGGGGAAAGCTCGGGGGGAGGAGAAGATAATTTATCAAAAGGCCTAGAAAGGTCTAGAGGTCAGAAAAAAATCAAAAGCTATAAAAAATGGCACTGGAAACTCTGTCCTGCATCTCAAATAACAGTTAAATAAATGTATCTACTTTCTACACACCTACTATATGCATGCTAGTCACAAACATACAGAAAAGCTAAAAACATAATAAAAGCAAGATATTATTCAGCTATTATTCACTGATGCCTCCCACTAGGAGTACAAACCATTGCCCTCAAGGGTCCACTTGGATAGACAATATTGTGAAGGCCTCAACAATGTCCTCTTCTGTCCTTGAAGAGACTAAAGCTCAGTTGGAGGCACTAGTGAAAGACAATTACATTACAAGACTGTCTGTATAAAGTATGGGGCAGAGCCTAACGTGACTACAGGTATCAAAAAGGATTCATGAGTAGAATGGGATTTGAGCTGCATAGAATGTGTAGCAGAAAAAGAAGCACCAGAGCTGAGTAGAAATATTTGCTCATAAGGATATTTTTATCTATTAAGAAAGATGTAAGCCATTAGATATATTATTAGAAAAGAAAACAAGTAAAACAAAATTTTAATGAAAATTAAAGAAAAAAATAAAGCATACTACCAAATTTATACATATTGATCTCCCTCTCACACACACAGAGTAAATATAGATATACCTAGGTACTGTGCTGTTGTCAAGAAAACACGTCTTCTCTCCTGTAAGAGAAGTAAAAAATGAGCAACTAAACTGAAGGTGGAAAATACATCTTATTCCCTTTTCGAGCTTCAGGATCCAGCAGGGGTCTGGTTGCAGTAGGTGCACAAGACTGTCTGAATGATAAAGGAATAAATCATCATTTATTATTTGAGATCCAGGTCAGAAATGAGAGTCTCCACGAGTATTTCTGCATCACTCTCCTGAATCTCTCTGCTGTTTCAGCTGGCACTGCCTTCCCTTCCTCCTTGGCAGTTCTACAGCCTTGACAACTGCACTTAGGCATCTAACAACAAGAAATGATTCATAAAGCATCTTCAGAGATCCTTTGAAAACACCAAGGCAAACACTTGTGGGATGGTTGTGATGACCTAACAACAAGCTATCTTTTAGTTTAAAATCATCTTATTGGTTACCCAGGGGAATTGTGAAGAATACAGAAAATGCTTCAGATTGGCCAAAGTGTGGAGCATCGAACACTCTCAAGCATGGTTGATAGAATGTCTTCACATTTCTAGAGTACGATTTTACTCTACCCATTGCAAATTTAAATTCATATACCTTTTAACACTTCCACCTCTAGTGATTTTTTTCTACAGCTATGTCCACATGCACAATGATCTACGGATGAAAATATTTATTGCAGTATTGTTTGTAGAAGCAAAATACTGAAAACCTAGTAAATGTACATTAGTACAGGAATGGCCAAATGAGTTCTGGTGTGTTCATCTAATAAAGACTATACAATCAAGAAATAAAAAAGAAACCATCTCCAAGATCCATTGTTAAATTGAAAATAAATCAAGATATACAGCAGCAGATATCATCAGTGGTTTCAAAGGAATGCATACACACATAAATTATTGTTAAGTGCATAGAACTTATTTTTAAAGATGTACATATCGATCTCTGGTGTTTTGGAAAAAATAAAAATAAAAAAAGATGTACAATAAGCTAGAAATAATAATTGTCTCTGGGGAAGGGAAATTTGGGGGCTAAAAGAGAGGCTTAACTTATCATGTAAACTTTCTTGTATCATTTGCATTGCTTTTACCGAGTATCCATATTAGTTTTGAAGAACAATTTTATAAAATTACTGTTTAGAGAAATAGAAAAGCTTGAGGGTATTTAGATACCACATTCGGCCTCAGGATGGCAGTCTAGTTCTTCCATTTTTTTCATTACCCTAGCCAGAACTTAATTTGGATTTCCTCTGCGTGTTCTCTAACTTCACCTGCAATGTCTGAATCTGCAGTGAATTCAATTATTAAGGAGCTACTTCCCCAAAAGGAAGACTTTGGTTTTATTCTATTTAATCCACTTGATCATTTTCTTTTCTAACTTTCTCTCTCTTTTAAATGCTTACCAGCCCAATCTTGCCTCCCTTACCACAGAATGCATCTGCGGAAGTGAAGTTTTCCAATTACTAGCTTGATGGGTGGTCAGTTTCCAGAATCTTTCCCTGTCCAGGGAATCCCATTTAGACACCATAGATGCATATGCCTTGTTTTCTCATTATTCTAAGTGGTGTTTTTATTTTATTTTCTTTTTAACCCCTATTCCTCCAGCTGTATCCACTATATAGTGAGTATATTATTCTATACCAACTCTGTGGGAGGGGGAGCTTCTCAATGGTACATTTTATCTCAAAAAAAATTGTAGAAATATCCATAGAGTCAAAGTTGTCTTCTCTGGCTTAAGCGGTGGGTGAGGGGGGCAGTGGTATGGTGACTCCCCTGCTCACGTATTCATCCCATTGCCTACCTACCCTTCCTCTCCATTCTCCTCCAACCCTATGGACAATTTTGCAGGATCACCAAAAGGTGCTAGGATTCCACAGTTAGTCTTCGAAAACCTCTAATCTAGAGCAAGAAAAGCTGACAGTATGGGAAATCTGCTCAAGTCAATATTTTCAGAAAGAGGCAGTTATTATGGTGAATAAGGAGAATGTAGATCTAGGATTTAGGTCTTCTAATCTGAGCTACAGAGAATGCCTAAAACATTTTGTGCAGCAGCCTTCTAGGAAAACCACAGCACATTAGTAAAATGGCAGCTAAACAGATTCCTGCCTGCCAAAAAAGAATCTATTTTTTTAAAGGTGAGAATAGAAAGAATTTTAATTTTTCATGATGCCAAGAAAATGTTACAAAGGTTATACCTACAAAGCCTGTCTTCCTAACATGAAAAAAAATTTAAAAATTGATGTGCTAGAAAGCTCTATTACTCACATCTCTCTTTCTCTCTCTCTAATCCCAGGCAGGGCTAAGACAGACATGGTTCCAATGGACAGCTGCCTTCTAAGGCAGAAAGATTTATCAGAAAGTATCAAGGCCTTGGAGCCCAACTAGGCTCAAATTCCAGCCTTGCCATAAACTTGGGCATGCTACTGGGCCACATCGAGTCTCAGTGATATGGTTTGGCTCTGTGTCCCCACCCAAATCTCATCTCACACTGTAATACCCACATGTCAAGAGAGGGACCCGGTGGGAGGTGATTGAATCATGGGGGTGGTTTCCCCCATGCTATTCTCGTGTTAGTGGGTGAGTTCTCATGAGATCTGATGGTTTTATAAGTGTTTGACAGTTCCTCCTCCACACACTTCCTCTCTTGCCTGTCGCCATGTAAGACGTGCCTGCTTCCCCTTCCGCCATGATTGGAAGTTTCCCAGCCATGTAAGACCTCCCCAGCCATGTCGAACCGTGAGTCAATGAAACCTCTTTTCTTTATAAATTACCCAGTATTGGGTAGTTCTTTATAGCAATATGAGAACAGACTAATACAGGAAATTGGTACCAGGAGTTTGGGGCTCTGCTATAAAAATACTTGAAAATGTGCAAGTAGCTTTAGAACTGGGTAACAGGCAGAGGCTGGAACAGTTTGGAGAGCTCAGAAGAAGACAGGAAGATATGGGAAAGTTTGGAACTTCCTAGAGATTTGTTGAATGGTTTTGACCAAAATGCTGACAGTGATATGGGCAATTAACTTCAGGCTGAGGTGTTCTCAGATGGAGATGAGAAATTTATGTTTAAAAGGGATGCAGAACATAAAAGTTTGGAAATTTTGCAGCCAGATCATGTGGTAGAAAAGAAAACCCCATTTTCTGGGGGGGGGAATTCAAACTGGCTGGAGAAAGTTGCGTAAGTAAAGAGGAGCCAAATGTTAATAGCCAAGACAATGGGGAAAATGCCCCTAGAGCATTTCAGAGAACTTCACAGCAGCTGATCCCATCACAAGCCTGGAAGAGTAGGAGGGAAAAATGACTTCATGGGCCAGAACCAGGGACACACTGCTCTGTGCAGCCTTAGGACATAGCACCCTGAGTCCAAGCTGCTCCAGCTCCAGCTGTGGCTAAAGGGGGCTGAGGTACAGCTTTAGAGGTGCAAGCTCCAAGCCTTGGCAGCTTCCACGTGGTGCTGGGCCTTCCAGTACACAGAATTCAAGAACTGAGGTTTGGAAACCTCTGCCTAGATTTCAGAGGATGTATGGAAACACCTGGATGTCCAGGCAGAAGTCTGCTGCAGGGTTGGAACCCTCATGGAGAACCTCTGCTAGGGCAGTGTGAAAGGGAAATGTGTGGTGTGAGCCCCCACACAGAGTCCTCACTGGGGCACTGCTTCGTGGAACTGTGAGAAGAGGGCCACTGTCCTCCACATCCCAGAATGGTAGATCCACTGACAGCTTGCACCCTGCACCTGGAAAAGCTTCAGGCACTCAATGTCAGACCGTGAAGGAGCTGCCCAAGGCTGTGGGAGCCCACGCCTTGCATCAGCATGCCCTGGATGTGATACATGGAATCAAAGGAGATCATTTTGGAGCTTTAAGATTTAATGATGGCCCTGCTGGGTTTCAGACTTGCATGGGGCCTACAGCCCCTTTGTTTTGACCAATTTCTTCTATTTGGAATGGGAGCATTTATACAATACCTGTACCCTTACTGTATCTTGGAAGTAACTAACTTGCTTTTGATTTTGCAGGCTCCTAGGTAGAAGAAACTTGCCTTGTTTCAGATGAGACTTTGGACTTGAACTTTTGGGTTAATGCTGAAATGAGTTAAGACTTTGGGGGACTATTGGGAAGGCATGATTGTGTTTTGAAATGTGAAAGAGACATGAGATTTGGGAGGGGCCAGGGGTGGAATGATATCATTTGGCTCTGTGTCCACACCCAAATCTCATCTTGAACTGTAATCCCCACAGTGTCGAGAGAGAGACATGGTGGGAGGTGACTGGATCATGGGGGTGGTTTCCCCCATGCTGTTCTCATGTTAGTGAGTGAGTTCTCATGAGATCTGATGGTTTTATAAGTGTTTGACAGTTCCTCCTACTCTCTCTCTCTTTCTGTCTGTTTCTTTCTCTGTCTCTCACCTGCCACCATGTAAGGTGTGCCTGCTTCCCCTTCTGCCATGATTGTGAGTTTCCTGAGGACTCCTCAGCCATGCAGAACTGTTGAGTCAATTAAACCTCTTTTCTTTATAAATTACCCAGTCTCAAGCAGTTCTTTATAGCAATGTGACAATGGACTAATACACTCAGTTACTCTCTGGTAAAACAAAGCTCATGTTTGTAAACAGCATGGTGTAGTAGTCAAGAGCTTGGAATCTGAAGTTAGAACACCTGGGTTCAAACCCCAGCTCTAGCACCTTCTAGTTGTGCTATGTTGGGTAAGTCTCACCACTCCATGCTTCAGTTTCCCCAACCATAAAGTAGGGTGAATACTAGTACCTGTCTTACAGGGTTGTTATGAAGATTCAATTAACTGTCTTTGGAAACGACTTACTAAGTACTATATAAGTATTTGTTAAGTATTAACACATAATAGCATTATGTAGTAAAATTTAAATTACAACGGACAGTTAAAAGAGGAAATGGTAAGTGCAATGAAGCAGGACTGGATGTGGGAGTATTGGAAACTGATGATTTCCATCATAAGCCCTTATAATGCTTATGATGTGATTGTTTTATTATTGTTCATGTACATGCATTACTTTGATTTAAAAGAAAAAGTTTAAAAAATAAAACCCACAGTACTAGATGTTACATATTAGTCATGTTATTTAATCTCACTGAATCTGCTCCCACTCTCATAAAATCAGGACAATAACCTCACTCATTGTTTATTCTCCTCCTATCTTTTTATTTCTAGGAGGAAACACTGTTTCTGAGTATATAGGACAACTAGCTATGTGACCTTGGAAAGTAATATAATCTTCCACAGCCCTATTTCATCAGAATTGGGCTGACCTCTGAAGTTCTTTTCAGCAATGAGGCCAATGCTTGGTATTTTGTTGCCTTTTTTAGCTTAGGAAAAAATACAAATGTATTACCTTGCAGTTCAGTAATACATGCTCTCACTAGGCCAGAATCAAGGTGATTGCAGGACCATGTTGTTTTCTGAAGACTTCAAGGAAGGTTTTGTTGCTTGCCTTTTCCCACTTCTCAAGGCTGCCCTCATTGCTTGGTTCTGACCTCCCTACATCTTCAAAGCCAGGACCAGCTGATAGAATCCTTCTCCCATAGTATCACTCTGACCTCCTCTTCCACTTTTTATTCCTTCAACCTTCACTCTACTTTATTTCTTTTAATTGAGGTGAAATTCACAAAACATAAAACTAACCATTTCAAAGTGAACAATTCAGGGACATTTAGTCCATTCATGATGCTGCGTAATCACTCCCTCTATCTACTTCCAAAACATTTCATCACCCCTAAAGGAAACCACAAACACATTAATCAGTGCTCCTCATTTCCTGTTATCCTTACTGTCTGGCAACCACCAATCTGCTTTCTGTTTTTATGAAGTTACCTATTGTGGATGTGTCTTATAAATGGAATCATACAGTATAATTCCACACAGCATACTGAGGTTCATCCATGTTGTGGCATATGCCAGCACTCAATTCCTTGTTATGGCTAATAAATATTCCATTGCATAGATACATCATAATTTGTTTATCCATTCATCCACTGATTGACATTTGGGTTCTTTCCACCTTTTGGCTACTTTGAATAGTGCTGTTATGAACATGCTTGTGTATGTATTTATTTGAATACCTGCTTTTGATACTTTTGGATGTATACCTAAGAGTGGAACTCTGTGTCCCATGGTCATGCCAAGTACCACCAAACTGTTTTCCACAGAGTCTGGACCAAATTACTTTTAATTTTAATACATCTGCACAGAACTCCACTCCCTTCCTTCACGTGGCTGCCAATGCTGCCCAGGATTGCAGAGGTTCCTCTGACATTAGCTACAGCAGGAACATTCCACACAAGCAAGACTGCCAGAAATACCTAGATGGTTGACAAGTCTTTTTTCTTTTTTTTTTTTTTAAAGACAGAGTCTCGCTGTTGTCACCCAGGCTGGAGTGCAATGGCGCAACCTCAGCTCATTGCAACCTCCGCCTCCAGGGTTCAAGCTATTCTCTTGCCTCAGCCTCCTGAGTAGCTGAGATTACAGGCACCCACCACCACACCCGGCTAATTTTTGTACTTTTACTAGAGACGGGGTTTAGCCATGTTGGCCAGGCTGGTCTTGAACTCCTGACCTCAGGTTATCTGCCCACCTGGGCCTCCCAAAGTGCCAGGATTACAGGCATCAGCCACTGCACTCAGCCAAAGGTTAACAAGTCTTTCTAAAGAGTTTTAGAATTTTAAAAACTTTGATGAAGCTGCTTTATGACAGGCACATGCCCAAAACATGTTGAGTGTTTAGTGAATGTGAGGAATAGCATAAGGTCAAATAAGCCAACTGGCTTTTAGAAGCTGAAAAATGAAACAACCACAATTTCACAGTCTCTATAAAGTATTTTTTTACATCTTTTTTACACCTTTTTATTCATTTGGCAAAAACTTATTAACTGCCTGCTGTGTGCCTAGCATGGTGAACTGATTACAGAACATGATTCCTGTTTTCAGAGAACTCATGATCTAGCTAAGAAAACAGATGATAAGCAAATAATCATACTAAACTTTGACAAGTACTGAGAAGGGGGTATGTAAAGCATTATGAAGGTTCAGTAGTAGATAGAGAAGTTTACTGTGCCTGAGAAGCTGAAAAAAAAAAAGCATGGCAGGAAAAGAGATTTTCAGCTAGATCACAAAGCATGCGTAGGAATGTGTTCCTCAGAGATGGGCTGAGGCGTAAGGTGCTATAATCAAAGGCTTGGGAGCATACAACCGCAAGATAAATTTGGGGAATCCTTAAATAATCAAGTTTAGAAATAATAGAGTATGTGAAGGTAAGTATGAGGAGTGAAAGTGGAAAGGAAATATCTTACCAGCCAGAAATGAAGGGGATGAAGGGATTTCTGCCAGCATTTGACCATCTCCTTGAAGAGCAGCCCACTCCCCAACAATGAGAGTCCTTCGGGTATCAGCAGCCTACAGAAGCTTAGCATTGGCATCAAGCACGTGCAGGAATGTGTGACTTACTTCTGGGGGCATTATTAAGAAGATTTCGGCTGGGTGCGGTGGCTCACGCCTGTAATCTCAGTATTTTGGGAGGCCGAGGTGGGCGGCTCACCTGAAGTCAGGGGTTTGAGACCAGCCTAACCAACATGGTGAAACCTTATCTCTACTAAAAATACAAAATAAATGAGCTGGGTGTGGTGGTGCATGCCTGTAATCCCAGCTACTCGGGAGGCTGAGGCGGGAGAATCGCTTGAACCCAGGAGGCAGAGGTTGCAATGAGCCGAGATGGCGCCAATTGCACTCCAGCCTGGGCAACAAGAGTGAAACTCCATTAAAAAAAAAAAGAAAAGAAGAAGAAGAAAGAAGAAAGAAGAAGAAGAAGAATTCAAGACTTTAGAACGGCATTTCTCTGAATTTCTAAATGCATTTCTCAAAATTCTAGAAAGCCCTATAGTATAGCATATAAGCTTTGGAATTGAACAGCCCTGAGTGATTACTGTTTCTCTCTAAACAACAGTTTTCTTACCAGCAAAATGGCCTAATGGCAACATCTATCTTGTAGGATTTTGGGAAGATTAAATGACCAAAATGTGCATACAAAATATAGTATCGAATACACAGTAAGCATTTATAAATGTGGCCTAATATTCTTGATAAGAGGCTTTATGAAGTCAAACTGATCTGATACTTGGGAAAAACTATCTAGTTCAGCTTTCTCTTCTGAAATATTTGGGTCAATGGGGTCAGTTATGGCCTCAAAATCTTTATCACAAAAATTCCGAGAAGATCAGGATTTTTGTTGTTGTTGTTAGTAAGCTTAGAAAGAAAAACATCTATGATATCTAGTTCTTTGTGGAATCTTAAATAGATTGTTTCTCTTGAGAATTTCCAAGACGTGTTCTCAGCTGAGAAAGCACACATGTCTGTGATATTTTCCCATACTTCTTGAACATACCCCTGAATAAAGGTCAAGTGTGACTAGGAGAGAGAACTCAAGCTTTTAATAATGGTAGTCTTTTATTGGTTAACATCATTCGAGTATATTACATTAGTGTTTGCTATTCAAGTCCTTGTAACTTTTCAAAGATTTACATTCCAGACTATCTAAATAACTCAGCAAAACCTAGACTTACCTTGACTAAATCTACACTCAAGTAAATTTAAATTTAGAAAAATGGAGATAATTCTGACATGGCTTCAATATTTTTCTTCAAAATCTGTCATATTTAACACTGCACCCAGGCAGAAGTTTATTCCTTCCAGCATGACAAAGAAGAAGACAGACCAAAGAGATCAAGTTCAGACATTGAGCATGCCTTAGATTCACTCAAAAAAAGAACTGGTAAGAACATTGGAAATATTGTTAAATTTACACAAAGAGAAAGATGGGAGGCAACGTTAACTGGATCATGGGAACCATAACTGAGAAGTAGGTAACATGCCTGGTGAACAACTAAAAATTAGTTAAGAGAGCAGAAAACACTGCATATATTTTTACATGCAGAGCATCTTTTCCTAGTAAAAGTTGTTTTGGGTGCCTTTTTTTTTTTTTTAACAAAAGCAAGAAATGCCCACCATAATAGCAATGTATGGTTCTGATTTGCCTAACATCTGACAACTTATAAAGCCATCAGCAATTTATTGATATATAGCTACATGTCCCCTGATATACCCATGAACGACTGAGGGTCACTTCTTTATTTGCTCTACTGCTGTTTCTAGGCTATTCTTAGAACTGTAATCTGCAGGGAATTTCCTATGCTCTGAAAATGTCTAAGATCTGCCCTTATTAAATGCTACATTTTCATCAAACTTAAAAATTAGGCACAGGTTCTTAGTTTTAAAAAAACAAACAAACATTGCACCATTAGGAACTTCTGTACTTTAAATATTGCCATTGTGTTTGGAAAATCATCTTCATTGTCTTGTCTAATAATTGGTTTCCAAGTGACTACTCAAAGAGTGAATTTATCTTCAATGTCAAATATTCCGACATTGGACTTGATGATTTTGAATTTGTTTGCAGTGTTAGATGACTCCAAACAAACACAAAAACTCTGTACAGGAGAAAAACTGTCTCAACATCAGTTTTCTGTTCAATTCCTGTAATCTACTTGTTTGTAATTATCTTTCCATTACATTAGCTGTTTGTGTGAGAGACAGACATAGCTTTATTAGCCATGACAGTGAGCCAGGGAAAGGCAGAACTACTGATCCACTTCCAAAGCACCTCAGCAATGCGAGGGTTATGATGATGGGCTGATGAATTTAAAAGCCTTAATTTTAGTTTTCAAAGCAAGTCAAAATTATTCAAATAGTTTCTGTGGTTGTCTTTCTTCTTTGGAGATTTGTTTTGATGTTTTAACCTTGAAGGTCTGGCTCTGAAACTAAATTTCCAATCTCATTGAAATTCTCTTAAAATAAAACAAATAATCTATGCACTAGAAGCACTAAACCCCCACAACTAGAAGGTGAGTAGGTTACCAGAATGCAATGCTGAATTTCTTATGACAATTGCAAGGACCTGAGTATTAAAAGTGGGTAGTTAGTCCACCTTTTAGCCAATACAAAAGTTGACAATAATTAAGATCATGAACTCATCGACTGATACTACCTGTGAATGAATGGAGGAATTATTGAGTAATCCTGGCAGGGTCAAAGTAGCCCATCTTAGAAAAATGGATAGTTCGGCACAGGGGCAAAAGATACTATTTCTGTTTAGAAAATTTTGGAAACAGAAGTTTTACCTTTACTTAGCCTTGTTAGTGGTATCTCCTTAAATGAATGCATTTTTTTCATTAATACTTATTTCTTTTCCAGTTGGTTATATGGATAAAATAAAATATTGTTGACATTATTTGCTCATTAAGAAGTAATATGTCACTAGGGCAAATGAAAACTCATACTGATTTCTTTCTAGTAAATTGAGGCCACCTCAATTTGTCCTTAACACTGTCCTTTACTGTTACCTTAGACAAAGGTGTCAATTGTTTGATAACCTTTATCTGTTAATTATATTTGCTTTATTATTTACAGACACATATATATTTCTTTTGATATATATGACTACATATATATATATTTGTCATATGTATATTATATGTAATCCTTCTACCTGCTTATATCAGCTAAGGGGAAAAGATTCAGAGGCTCAGAAACTTTAGATTTTACAAGAATTATATTTCTACTTCAACAAAAAGACCATTCCTCTTTGACCTAGTCTTCCTAATTTAGTACTCCTTACAATAAAAAAAAAAAAAACTGTGGTGAGAAGATGCAGAGATTTATACATGTCAGAAGACATTAAGGCTAGCTCATGTTTCTAATTCCAAAATTTTCAGACACTATCCAGCAACCCTCTGAGGTCTAGAGACTGTCCCCAGAAATCAGGGGCAACAGTGCCATGTTTGTACTTCTTACCCTTTTTGTTTTTAACCATTTCAAGAAATGTTTGTTGTATTCATATTTCAGGAAAGTGGTCTGAGTGGTTCACTATGTAAAAGATCTGAGCTTTTATGCTGCATTTTAAAAATACCACTATTAACATTTCCATCTGAGTTTTATTTTTTGTGCCTATTAACAGCCTAGCAAGTATAAGTGATTGTGATATGAGATTAGACAAAAATCTTTGCCTCCAAGGAAATCACAATGTCATTTAAAACAGCCTTCTTCCTCTCTTTCTCCACTTCTTTCCCTCCAGCATCAACAAATCAAATGGTAGTCGACCAACGCACGGCAGCCTTCAAAACCAAAATGTATTTCCAAGAAAGTTAGAGTCCTTGGGAAAGAGGAGGAAATATAGTCTGCCAAACAGTTTTAAATTCTTTGTAAATATCTTAATTAAGCTCAGGATAATCCTATGAAATATTTTATACGTGAAGCAGCTTAGGCTTAGAGAGCTTGAATGACACACCCAAGGTCACACTGTAAATGACAGAATTAGGATTTAACCCAAGTCCTGTGTAACTCCAAAGACCCTCCTTTTTCCCAAAACTTACACCTTCTCCAAAGGTGACAGCAGGGTGGCAGGTGAATATAAAAACAAAAAGAAAAACCTATTCAGAAATGAAGAAATGAGAATTTTATTATCTTGTTCTTAAACTAGAAATGACCCTTAAGAATCACAGTGAGACTAGAGTATAGGTTAGCATCCAACTCAGGGTCCTGCCTAGGTTTCTCTGGTCTCCTCTAAAGCAGACATTCATTTCTTCATTTAACACCAATTTACTGGGCACCTAGTAAGAGCTTAGCACTGTGGGAGTCAACAATACAGCACAGTGAACTAGAGTCTTCATTCAGAAAAGCCAAACAATTAACAAGTAAATAAACAACAAAAAAAAGCAAAATAATTGGGAGGCCTGGGTTTTCCTGACATATTGACATTTGAATTGAGACCTGAAGAATGGGAAGAAAACAGCTGTAGGAAGAATTTTCTAGGCAGAGAGAATATCAAATGCAAGGATCTGGGGCAAGAAAGAGTTTCACTTGGAAGAACCTGACAAAACAGGCTAATGTAGCCTCATGAGCACTTGCTTGGGTGACAGGAAATGGTGTTGAGAGGTAGATGCAGCCTTGAGGCCAAGATGAGCCCCTCCTTTTTCTCCCTGTATTCAACTTTCTATCCCTGTCGCCAAACACATGCCCTTTCAGTTTGGATGATGGCCCAGCCAGAAAAATACACCATGTTTTCATTCTCAGTATACCTCCTGCAAGACCTAGGTCTCAGTAACCACTATGAGTGCTACTCAGTGATAATGCCTCACATTTATATGGGCATTTACAAATTACAACAGGCTTTCAGACATCTCTTTTACTCCTCACAACCAAAGTGTTAGGGTAATCTAGTGGCGCCCGGACCATGGAATCAGTCACACCTAGACACACATCAAAGCTCTGCTACCCCACCAGCTATGTGACCTCAGATTAGTCACTCACCTAATCTCTATAGATCCCAGGTTTCTTGTTTTAAAATAGGAGTATCTCTCTCACTGCATTTATTTTGTGAGGATTAAACAAGATAAAGTATCCAGATTGCATAGCATAGGGCCTGGCAGATAGCAAGAGTGCACAATACATGTACGTGTTTTAACCATTCCTCCCCTGTTCTGCAGATAAGGGAAGCAGGAATCAGAGAGATAAAGTGGCTTGTCTAACAGTGTACATTTAGGAAGGGTGAGCACCAAACTTTGGATACTTCATCTAAGAGCTTTTCTCTGTCTACCGCAGTGAATCACTGCAAAATAAAAGGAGGCTAATAAACCTGCTTCTGCCCTATGGGAGAGGGTATCATGTACAGAGAGAGGGAGGTCAGTTCCTGGGAGCGTGAGATTAGTTTGAGTATTGATCTAAAAACTCTTACACAAGAATTTCTTCCAGGCATACTTGCTTTCCATTAAACATTTCTCTTTGCCGTTTCTGCTGAGCAAAAGAATACATATATTCTGCCCTATGCTTTCTTAAAAGAAAAAACAAATGGAAGTTTCATGAAACTGTGTGAGCGCTCTTGACTTATCTTTATCTGTCACCCTAAAATATCCCCTTATTGAAGACAAATATTGTTATTACATGCAATGATTAGAACTACGTTTCAAAAATGTTGACATGTCACTAATCCCTTAAAATATATGGAAGTTAATTATAACTGAAGCACACCAAAGTCAGCCAGGGGATTGCAATCAACAAGATTCACTAAAGGAACACTTTGTTCTTTGCTGTGAAGGGACAGGCAGTTCTCTCTCCTTTTCTCCCCCCTGCATCTCCCTTCTGCCTTGCCTTCATAACTCCTAAAGTGCAGCTCCATGCTACGAACAAATGCACCATCACCCTGCGAAGGAAAGGAAATATTCGCATTGGCTCATGCCCAGGGGATGCTTTAAAAGCCTTGAGGCTGCAGATAGCCTGGTGCTATCTCTGTAATCTTAATCCTGAGACCATTAAATGCCATTTTCTTCTCCTAAGAAGAGCATCCATCATCAGGTATTCAGCATAGTAGCATCTTTCCCTGAAATATGATTAGCTGCAAGGCCACCAGAAATTCAGGCAGGTACTGATTGCTATTAAAGCTCTACTAGGAAGCTTAGGTAAGATTTCAAGAGCTGTGGTTCCTGTGAAAAGGCAATCAGATTTTCTGCCCTAGAGATATAGGATCAATCAGCCCTGGATCAAAGAAAAGCATGGAAAAAGAGAATATGAATGGAACTGGAAATAAGGATTTTGGCATCTGTTGCTCATTTCCTTTGGCTGTCTGGAGGGAGAATAGCGCTGTCATTGTCCCTAACTCACTAGGAGTTCAATCATTCATTCACTCAAAATATATTTTATTACATGCTTAATTGTGCAAGGGACATAATCTTTCCAGTATGTATCCCACAGAACATTAATCATTCAAGAATTTCACTGAGAAATCTACTTTTGTAATTTAAAAAATAAATCTAGAAATGCTGACTACTCTTTTTCAGAAGGCTCAAAATGCATAAAAGTTCTGAGAAGTCTTGCATTTAAAAAAACTGATTTTATTTAATCCAGCATTTCTCAAATTTCTAGTCTTAAGACCCCTTTCCCATTTTCAACCAAACCTATCGACAACTTATGGAGCTAGTGTTTCATGGAGCACACATTAGTAAAGGCTACAGTTCTGTAGCTAATCAGTCCCAAATTTATTTTTTAAACTCTCCGAATTTCAAATGTGCCAAGATAATCTTTTTAGATTTCTGACAAGTTGTTTTCCTGCTTAAACTAAGTGACAGAATGAATACTTCATTTCTTTGGGCTTCAGTAGAAAAATACAAATCTTATCCTCCTATGACTGAGTTTAATAATGCTACACACTGGGGCATGTAAGGGATGGGGAAAGAGAGAGTATCAGGAAGAATAGCTAATGGATACTGGGCTTAATACCCAGGTGATGGGTTGATTTGTTCAGCAAACCACCATGACACATTTACTTATGTAACAAACCTGAAAATCTTGCACAAGTACCCTGGAGCTTAAAATAAAACTTGGAAAAAAATTAAAAAAAACAAATAATGATGGGCAGACACTGATAGGGGAGAAAAAGAACATAAATATTTATGGAATGTTGCTCTGCACCTTTGTTTATCACCAAAACAAACCATTACAGACAAAAGGAGTCTCATGTGTTCACTGGCCTCTGAGTGAAGTGTTCAAAACTATTGGTATATGCTTTTGTGTATGCTAGGGTTCATAAAATTGAACCATATGCCCATGGACCTGCCCTCATGGCAGTTACAGTCTAGCAGAGGGGTAATACAAGTACAATAAAGATTATAGCACATGGTGGCAAATGCAGTTGCCATAAGGAAGATGCAGGTTAAATGCAATGAATTGGAGGAGGAAGAGATTACGCCCAAAAGGAGTGGAAAGAGACCATGGAAGGCTTTGTGGAAGAAATAGAATTTGCAATAGGACCTCTTTTCAAAGCATATTCAAAGCCAGAAGGCTCTTGATTTGTAATAGCTCAAAGAATTAGCCGAAACTCCAAAAGGAAAATTAATTTCTTCATTCAGCAGAATGACAAAAATACCTAAAGACAGTATTTCCTAAAATCGTTTACCATTTAGAAAACACAATTTGTTTTTTGCAGACTGTGGGAGGAAATAACATTACATAAAAGTCATTCCTTCAAAATAGCTAGGTAGTTTTATCAGATAAACAATATCTATCCAACAGCAAATCAACTGATTATTTTCAAAACATTGATACTAGACATCCAACCATGAGTAAGGTTGCATTATTAGGTAATTCCAAGTTTAATCATGGTTGTGCTTTTACCTTATGCCAAATAGCCAGAAAATAAAAAGCAAATATTTTAAAATATGCCATCAATTGAATGAAACTGGTAGTTTCTATCAAAAGAAAAAACTTAAGAGTCCCATGGAAGCACCTTAAGACTTTTTCAAGTTAGTTAGGGTGATAATGTTCTTTTTTTTTTAAGTTTTAGGGTACATGTGCACAATGTGCAGGTTAGTTACACATGTATACATGTGCCATGTTGGTGTGCTGCACCCAGTAACTCGTCATTTAACTTTAGGTATATCTCCAAATGCTATCCCTCCCCCCTCCCCCACCCCACAACAGGCCCTGGTGTGTGATGTTCCCCTTCCTGTGTCCATGAGTTCTCATTGTTCAATTCCCACCTATGAGTGAGAACATGCGGTGTTTGGTTTTTTGTCCTTGTGATAGTTTGCTGAGAATGATGGTTTCCAGCTTCATCCATGTCCCTACAAAATACATGAACTCATCATTTTTCATGGCTGCATAGTATTCCATGGTGTATATGTGCCACATTTTCTTAATCCAGTCTATCACTGTTGGACATTTGGGTTGGTTCCAAGTCTTTGCTATTGTGAATAGTGCCACAATAAACAAATGTGTGCATGTGTCTTTACAGCAGCATGATTTATAATCCTTTGGGTATATACCCAGTAATGGGATGGCTGGGTCAAATGGTATTTCTAGTTCTAGATCCCTGAGGAATCGCCACACTGACTTCCACAATGGTTGAACTAGTTTACAGTCCCACCAACAGTGTAAAAGTGTTCCTCTTTCTCCACATCCTCTCCAGCACCTGTTGTTTCCTGACTTTTTAATGATAGCCATTCTAACTGGTGTGAGATGGTATCTCATTGTGGTTTTTATTTGCATTTCTCTGATGGCCAATGATGAACATTTTTTCATGTGTCTTTTGGCTGCATAAATGTCTTCTTTTGAGAAGTATCTGTTCATATCCTTCACCCACTTGTTGATGGGGTTGTTTTTTTTCTTGTAAATTTGTTGGAGTTCATTGTAGATTCTGGATATTAGCCCTTTGTCAGATGAGAAGGTTGCAAAAATTTTCTCCCATTCTATAGGTTGCCTATTCATCTGATGGTAGTCTCTTTTGCTGTGCAGAAGCTCTTTAGTTTAATTAGATCCCATTTGTCAATTTTGGCTTTTGTTGCCATTGCTTTTGGTGTTTTAGACATGAAGTCCTTGCCCATGCCTATGTCCTGAATGGTATTGCCTAGGTTTTCTTCTAGGGTTTTTATGGTTTTAGGTCTAACATTTAAGTCTTTGATCCATCTTGAATTAATTTTTGTATAAAGTGTAAGGAAGGGATCCAGTTTCTGCTTTCTACATATGGCTAGCCAGTTTTCCCAGCACCATTTATTAAAAAGGGAATCATTTCCCCATTTCTTGTTTTTGTCAGGTTTGTCAAAGATCAGATGGTTGTAGATATGCAGCATTATTTCTGAGGGCTCTGCTCTGTTCCATTGGTCTATATCTCTGTTTTGGTACCAGTATGAGATTGTCTCCTTCTAATTTATCATTGAATCCAGTAGTGATCTCTGGTTTATAAGAGGGACACTAAAGGTCATTCATACCAGACCTCTTTTTTGCCTGTTCTGCCATTTGAATCCAGCATGTATTATCCCTAATTCATCTTCATGTACCTAACATAAAAAAAGGAAGATCCTAATGTAAATACAGTTCAATCATCAATCTTCCCCTGATGGTTAGTGTTTTTTGACCTGTTTAAAAAAATTTTATCCATCTCAAGATCATATATCTATTTTCTTATAGGAACTTAACTTGTTTTCTTTTTTTTTTTTTGAGACGGAGTCTTGCTCTTTTGCCCAGGCCGGACAGCAGTGGCGCTATCTCGGCTCACTGCAAGCTCCGCCTCCTGGGTTCAAGCGATTCTCCTGCCCCAGCCTCCCGAGTAGCTGGGACTACAGGTGCCGGCCACTATGCCCGGCTAATTTTTTTGTATTTTTAGTAGAGAAGGAACTTACCTTTTTAAACTTTTACATTTGCACAACAATTTATCTAGTATCAAGATTCATTTTTTTCTCCCATATGACTATCCAATTGACCTGATATCATTCTTTAAAAAGGTCATGTTTCCCCATTACTCTGCAGCAGCCCTTCCGTCATAAATTGAGTGTCTACATCTGTGTGGGTTTACTTCTGGGCTCTCCTATTCTGTTCTGTTGATTAACTTGTGTGTCTTTGAACCAATACCACACTGTTTTAATGATTATTGTTGTATAATACATGTCTTGATATATGGTTGTGTAAACCCTGCAGCTTTGTTCTTCCTTGAGATTCCCTTGGATTTTCTTGACCTTTTGCAAATCCATGCAGATTTTAGAATCAGCTTGTAAATTTTCACACAAAAAAATAGCAATTTTTAAAACCTGCTTGGGTTTTTGCTGACGCTGCCTTGAAAATGTGGATGAATGTGCTGAGAAAAGACATCTTTACATTATAGGATCCTCTAATCCATCAGCATGGTTTTCCTCTACATATTTAGGTATTCTTTAATCTCCTTCAATAAAATCTTGCAGTTTTTGTTTTTGTAGAGGACACTGTGGCTGGTTGGAGGATACTACAGCAGATCCTCTAGAAGGACATTTTAAGAAAACAAGGTGCATTTAGAAGAAAAGAACAAAAATATTAAAAAGAAATTGAGGTGACCTCAAACAAAGTCACTAAATAATAGAGAAAAGTTGTGTTATCTATTTACCTCATATTGTTTTCAAAGTACAAGTAGGAATCCTCAAAAGTTTAAAGAGATCAGAAGGCAGCAAACCTTTTTGAAAAGCTCTACATGGTAACAACTGTAGGCTTTGAGGACCAAGAGGAAAAAAATCAAGGCTATTACACTAGGTACCTATATAACCATTTAAAAGGTAACTGTTTAAAAATATGACAATCATTATTAGCCCTTGGACCATAAAAAACAGGCAACTAAAATCTCACCACCCAGGAATGACACCATCATACATTCTACTTTTTCTCATTGACCCTCTTTTTAAAGTCTTTCTAAAATTTTACTTCTCTCCCTTTTCTCCATCTTCTTTTCCATTCCGACGAATACCACTGCAGTCCAGATTTAAGGGTCTATTAAGTCTATCGCTTATTATTCCACTCTTTTCTTTAGGTTTTTATAGTCATATAAAAACATCTACAGATATTTATAAAGAGAGAAGGGTCATAACGTTGTTTGATATTCAAGAATGAGATAATTTTACATCTTCTTATCAGTGTCTTGCTTTTCTTACAATACAATACCAATATCTCTCCAAGTCAAAAAATAAAGATAAAGATACTGTTCATTCTTTATAAAATAGCTGTATATCCAATTTTATATAGATGTACCAGAATTTATTCAACAATTCCCCATTCACCATTTTCCTGTTCTTTTTTTCACAGCAATGGTGCACTAAATATTCTTCTGCATATATACTTAATTATTTGGATTTTTATTTGTAAGAACTAGATTCTCCTGAATAAGACTGCTAGGTCAAGAACTATGTATATGTTTAACTTTAATAATTAGTACCAGATTACTTTCCAGACAGTTTGTAATAATTCACATTTTCACCAACACAGTGAGATATAATTTCTTCCTCCTACCCTTGACAATATTTAACATTACCATAATTTCAATGTTTGCCAATTTCATGAATAAAACGATAGTTAATTTAGTTTATATTTGTCTTTCTATTATTTATCATTTTATTGGCTTTTCATTGTAGAATGGGCCTATAAAATTTCCATTTATTTAAAAATTATTTAAATAAATTTTCTTTGTAGCCAAATGTAGGGCTAATTTTACACAAGCTCCATGTGTTGAAGAAGAATTTATTTTCTCATCTGTTGGAAGCTAAGTTGCAACAACTGGCTGCAAATCCTCCCCTTTCAACAGAGTCCTCTCCTCCTATGACTGAGCCCTGCACTGAGGCGGACAGGCAATTGCGTTCTATCATCCTGTGCTCAGCTGTGCCTTTTCTTACCTGCCTGGCTACTCTTAAGTACTTAAGCTCTTAGCCTTCAGAATAAAATCTGAAAGTGTTGTTGTCCTACATGTTCTTTGAAGATGTGTGCTGGACCTATTGCAATCCAGGGCCTCACTTGCTACACTCTCCCCTGCCATGCCCTCAACATTCCAGCCATACCAACTATTTGCAGTTCTCAAAACAAATCTTAATTTTCCTGTATCACTGCTCCTCAATGCCTTTGCTTGCATTGTTTCCTCTGTCTAGAACATTCTTCCAACACACCATCCCAAGAGCCCATTTCATAGACTTTAGCATGTTTTCAAACATTCTTTTCAATACAGCACAGCCTCCGTGTTCCAGTCCCTGAGCTAGGTGCTGGGATTACTACTGCGACCAAAATAGATCCATTTCTTGCCCTCAAGAAGGAAGGAGAAAGGAACATTAAACAACAAATGATGAAATCATTGTTTAAGACAAATGTGTGTTTAAAGAACTGGGAGTTATGAAACTGAACTCTGTTGCCCTCTTGTAATAGGACAAATGAAACAATAGAGGGAGCATTGAGGAATGGCTCTTAATTAGGCAATGTAGAATCAATGTGTGAAATTTGAGGCAGGGGAAATGATAAGGAAAGTGCTCAAAATTAGAAACTGCCTTTATTTTTGTATGAAATTGTGACAGAATGATCACGAGGAGTAAACATCTGTTGCTCTAAAAGTAATTCCATAACTGTGAGCACTAGTTTACATTGTTATATACATTGATTCAGTTTTTAAAAATGCGTTGAGCTTCAGCTATTGCCAGGCCTTGTGCTGAATACTCAGGATATAACATGGAGTAAGATGGGTCCTGTTTCTGGGACCTCACAGTCTCTGTGGGGATTGTTGTGATAATCTCAATAGAGAGTCTGAAAACTTTTTCTTAAAGGGCCAGAGACTAAATATTTTAAATTTTAAGATGAAACCAAGACTACTTTTGGTACTTATATGACCATTTAAAATTTAACCATGTTAAAAATTTTTTAAAAAATGCTTAGCTGGTAGTTCATATGAAACAAGAGGTGGGCTGGGCGCAGTGGCTCACGCCTGTAATCCCAACACTTTGGGAGGCCGAGGTGGGTAGATCACCTGAGGTCAGGAGTTCAAGACCAGCCTGGCCAACATGGTGAAAAACCGCATCTCTACTAAAAATACAAAAAATTAGCTAGGCGTGGTGGCAGGCCCCTGTAGTCCCAGGGAGGCTAAGGCAGGAGAATCGCTTGAACCCAGGAGGCGGAGGTTGCAGTGAGCCAACATTGCACCACTGCACTCCAGCCTGGGCAACAGAACAAGACTCCATCAAAAAAAAAAAGGGGGGGGGGGGCTAGTCAGATTTGGCCCACAGGCCGCAGTTTTCAACCTGTGGTCTAGGCCAACACTATCAAACGCAACAGTGCTATGCAACACAGTGTAGCTATCCAACACAGTGGTGCTATCCAACACAGCAGTGCTATCAAGGCAGTGGTGCTATCCAAACATGGTGGCGCCAACCCCCTGTGGCTGCTGAGCATTTGAAATGTGGTAAGTCCAATTGAGATGTGCTGAATAAGCATCAAAGACATTATGGATTTTGAAGACTTAGTAAAAAAAAGAAGAATATAAAATAGCTCAATGATTTTTCATATTACATGTTGAAATAATATTTTTGATATATTATGTTAAAATATATTATTAAAACTAATTCTTCTTACCTTTTACAATTTTATGTATGTATGTATGTATGTATGTATTTATTTATAAGAGACAAGGTCTCACTACGTTGCTGAGGCTGGAATGCAGTGGCTATACACAGGTGCAACTCCACT
Organism: Homo sapiens; assembly: GCF_000001405.40. Taxonomy (NCBI): domain Eukaryota; kingdom Metazoa; phylum Chordata; class Mammalia; order Primates; family Hominidae; genus Homo; species Homo sapiens. Next base: position 117,018,182 of record NC_000008.11, on the reverse strand, counting down.
GCTGTTCAGTATAGGAGTTTTGACCTACTCTGTTTCTGACCTGGGCCAGTTCATCCCTCTTTAGGCAACCTGGTGGTTTTCTGTTCCCAGGGAGGTCACCATATTGATGCCAAACTTAGTGTGGACCCCAATCAGCATAGTGCACTATAGCCCAGAATGCCTGGACTGGAAAGATCCTCCCACTTTAGCCTCCCCAGTAAGTATTTGGGACTACAGGCAGATGCCACCATGCCCAGCTCTACTAACTTTTCAAATATGGTTACAAGAAACCTCAAAATTATATAAGTGGCTCACATTTTATTTCTATGGGACAGGACGAGTCTAGATAACTTCCCTGTTGGGCAGAAAGCCATCATCCTAAATGAACTCATTAATAAAAAGAAATTCATCTCTTCTGAATCTTCTCCTCCAACCCAGAATCTTCTCAGCAAGGTCTTCCATGGCCTGGGCAGCCAATAAAAGTTAAATTTCTCTGCCTCATTTAGTCACTCTCATATAATGCCTCATTTTCTTCACAGGTATTCTGAAATTGTTGTATTCGCTTCTTTCCTTACTTATTCTCCACCTGCCTGAACTAGTGTCAATTCCACAAGTGCAGGGCCCTTTCACATCCTCTTCACTGTGGCTCCACGTCAATTTGACTTTGGTGTTGGCTGGTGCCTTGCTTCTATTGGGCCAAAAACTATGCCAGACAGAGAGTAAGTGTTTAGCAAATATTTTGACTGAGAGAAAGCACTACAAACATAGAAAATACAGAAATGAAATGCTGTTGCAACTGAGATAAAATTTAAGTACAGGGATGAAGAAACCTTGTATTCTAATATTATTTGGCAACTTCAGAAACTGAAGCAAAGTGCTTGAGAGCAGGTTGATATTAGAACACAAGAGAAAACCACAAATCCACCCTCAGCCACTGGGCCCTGTAACTATGATCTTTAATAATAATATTAATAACAGCAGCAATAGCCAACATTAGTACTCTGTTGCATTTACTTTGTGCCTGGTACAGTTCTAGTGCCTCACATATATTAACTAATTTAATCTCTAAATAACCCTATAAATGAGACACTATTTCCCCCCTTTTACAAATTAAATAACTGGGGCACAGAAAGTAAAGTGACTTACCCAAGGTCACACAGTATCAAGCATCAGAGCCAGGATACAAACCCAGGCACTCTAACTCTCTTAACCACCTTACTATACCTTAAACCTCGACGATCTTCCCTGATTTTATTAGCTTTATCTTGTTGTGAGCATGCTAGATGAATATAACATAACGTGAATTAGAAATATAGATCTTTTAAAAATCTGTTTAAAATGTGAATGGCAGTATCATCATAACAATGGAGAAAGCTTCAGAATAAATGGAGAAAGAATCACTATTTTTCATGCTGTCTTAAGCGTCTACCCTCATGACAGGAAGAAAATGAGGTAAATGTTTTCTCTTAAGCTCTAAGCATATTTGTACATTTTAATCTCTCTCCTTGTATATTCATCAGAGCAATCTTTTGTTAGCTGTAAACTTGCTATGTAAATATATATAAAATATGTGCTATCTACAGATATTCTCTGCTGAAATGATGACAGTATTTGTTTTCAGTGACTAAACAGGGAACCCAAAGTGGATACTAAACTAGCAGCTGTTAGCGTGCATTTCAACAGGAGAAATGAGAGACTTGAGAGAGATGTATTTATTTGGCACCTCAGCCTGGAGTTGATAGCTGCCTTGTTCTTTGCCCCTGTCTTTTCCTGCTCAGTTTCGTTAACTTGATTTTCCTCTTTCTGCAGTGCCCAGCCCAACTATAGTCTGACATTATATCTGATCCTCAGCAGAAAGAATGTTTGAAACCACCTAACTCAAAAACTCTTTGATTCAATATCGACTTCTATTATCCATTGGTGTCCATTTTTCAAAGGCTATTTACTGAGCATTTTCTGTGCGCAAGGTTAAAACAACACCTAGCTTCCACAAACTACTTTCCTGGGAACCTATCCCTTTTTCCCTTCAATATCCCAGTTTTTGGATTTCTGGATTTCTAGTTTCTTCTGCCTGGTCTAAACAGACAGCCTAGGTGACCTCTCCAGGACTGATTCACCTGGCTGAAAGTAACCTTATGCCCGGTATTATCCCCCTTCTCTCTTACCAACGTTTGCTCTTGTTCCTTCTTATTCAAGCGCATTCCATTGCTGCTTCTCCTTCCCCTTCTCCCAAACCATTAGACACACCTGTCATTTGTGGCAGAAGTTAACCTACTCAACAAGTACTTCTGCCCATTGTTCTGAATGTTCAATAAATGACCCTGTGGCTCTCCCCAATGTACCAGGTTGTAAAACACCAGTGAAATAAAGCATAACACCAATTAGGATCATTTGAAGAGAAAAACATATGGCTTAGAGTCATCTGCTATATTTATTATTTTCTGCTTACTACAAAGTTTCCTACTTTAGGCCTGTGTCACAAAGTGAGTCCCAACAAACACTGATCCTAAGACAGATGTCATGAGGAAAAATGCTCCCCTCCAGAAAAAAAAGGTGGGTGGGAAAGCGTTCTGTGCAGAAAACCCTGTATTCTATGTCCCCTTCTTGTTTCACAAACAGGTTTGACACAAAGCCCTCCCTCGCCCTCTTTTTTTTGGGGGGGGGGGGTGCATAATAGCATCTAATTTATTACTGTAATGTTTCCCATTGGACCCACTTTAGGAAATGCAGCTTTAAGAAGACAAAGATGAACCAGATATTTTTTTCCACCTTCAAAGGACCTTTATCTTGGAATGGACCATGGAGAAAAATGAACAGCAGAAAATAAGAGTAAACAAAGCACAGGTGTATGTGTTTGTGTGTCTGAGCAGAGGGAAACTATAAGAATGGGCTGTTTGCTAAGTTTCATTGTAAGGTGACTGGCATCGTATTTTCCTTGGAATAATGATACATGGTTTTTTGTCCTAAATCTCTATGTGGTGTAGAACATATAAAGAAAGTCAGATAGCGGGGAACTTTTAAGAAGTTTTATGGTTGATAGAAAGATCCTTAATCCTCTTGTTTGTGCCACGCAGTTTCCTATAAGCTCCCCTCACCAACATCTTGTCCTTTCAACAGCCTCTAAAAAGAATTTCCACCTTCATCCCAAATTCTGGTTTCAGCTCTCGGTATATCTATATATATATATATTTGTAATATATATAGATATATAGTTGTGATGTTACCAAATGCCAGGGGTTCGGTCTAGGTCCCTTTGCTTGCTGCACGCAAAGCCAATTACTGAGACAACAGATATTAGCAGAGAAGAAGGTTTTATTCATGTGACATCAGCCAGAGAGACAGAAGACAAACCTCAAATCCATCCCTCTCCCACAGACTAAAGTTAGGGGTTTATATAGCAGGGAACTGAGGAAGGGTAAGAAAAGGGAGTTGGACAACAGGCAGTAGGTGCATCTCATTTCCCAGGGGCAGTGACCTATCAATAGAAAGCCTCAGCTCTCTGATATTTGCCAGAAGGCCTGATGATCAGTTCCCTGAGAAAGGAACTGAGATAAGACATCAGTAAGTTAAAACTGGATCCATTTCAGTAACACTACGTACTTGTTTTGCAACCTATCCTCTCACACACTTGATTTACCTTAAGTCCAAAAGGGACCTAAAAAGACCATCCTATATTTTTCAGATCTAAATATGCTCAGCATATTTGCATGACTAGCATCATGTTTAAACAGCTAACTCATGGCAATTGAAGGAATAGAATCAAGGTATAGGGACTCACCACCACAGACTCATCAGCCATTCTCTTTCCTTGGCCAACCCATTGAGAATTTCCTCAAAGATGATAGGCTCATTCTTTGTAAAGACTTCATTTGTTACACCCTTGTTACTCTCAGCCACATTCTGGAAACTAAGAAGGACTGTTCAGCAGCCAAAGGCTAATATGATAACACTTGAAAAGAAACCCCAGTGAGTTACTAATGGGAATATTTATTTGTGAGTCGGGATCTGACCACCTTTTCAGAATCATTACTGATCCCCTCATCTTCAGCATTCATGTGCCCCTATATTAGGTTGGTGCAAAAGTAATTGCGGTTTTGCCATTAAACGCAGTGGCAAAAACTGCAAATACTATTGCACCAACCAAATAAAACAGCAATGCCAAGTTCACCAAGAGCTAAATGAAAACATATTGATAGTCTGTTTCACACTTTTTTCAAAAATATTCTAAGTTAAAGATTCTGTATTAAGGGTGAAGGATTTCATGAATTTAATGGCTAACAATTTATCCTTAAATGTGCTATCATTGAAAAAAATGACTGATAATGATTAATATATTCTCACATGACCTACAGAGAGGCTTTGTTTTTAAACATCTCTATGTAAAACTAAAATCTTTAAGAAAAAAATGAAGTTAAATAGGAAAGCAAAGTTAAAAAGAGGGATTAAAATGGACTTGAAAGAAAACACTCTTCATTCCTTCACCTCTGTCCCTCCTAGATAATTCTTTGGCCCCTTTAGACTCCCATAAGAAGGATTTCCATCTTCATCCCAAAGCTTGACACCACCAAGTCCAGGTATATATATGGTTGTCATTTTTAAGCTGTAAGGTGCTAATATACCTGACACATTGTGGACAAGAGAATTTACTGAGAAAAAAATGAATGAATATTAATATTTTATTTTCTTTTTTACTTCCACATTTTCTTCTTTTATCTACCCTAGAGCAATGCTAGGTGCTGCTCAAAAGGGGTGCCTAGATGATTTGATAACATTTCCCACTGAACATCTCTGCTGCTCAGTCCTTGTATTCCCAGTCTTTTGTTATTAAATACTTGTTACCTTCTACAACTCTTTCAAATGTGGGAATGAGAAGGAATCATGCAGTAGAGACAGATAACAGAGGAAGGTGAGCTGTATACAGAAAGCAAAATTCACAAAAAGATGAATGCTAAAATGGCAAAGAAACATTCTTATGCTTTTCCTTGTGCCTCATTGTCCATGCCTCTACTCCCTCTTATCTTCCAAATTTCTTGACATTTCTACCCTTGAGCTGAAGGAATACAAATCCATTTTGCTAACATTCTTCACACAATTGAATTCTCAAAGCTATACCTCTCCTGACACAGGTAGTAATGAATCTCCAAGAAAGTATAAGAAATATTAATAGTTGCAGAGAAAGCCAGAGGAAATGCCAGGGTCTGCTTGCTCTTTCATCAAAAGTAGCCCCATTAGAATGAGGCAGTCATGCCAATAGTGAATTATTAGATCTTTTTCTTAGAGCTGTCAGATGATACACTGTTGTCATGACCACTATAATTAAAACACTGTTTACTGAGTTTCTCTGAAGTGCAAAAGCATTATGATTGGCTCTAGAGTATTATAAGATTATAAGAAATATATGCTGACTGCCTTCAAAGGCCTACAATCTATTTGAGGATCCACCGTGTGTGTGTGTGTGTGTGTGTGTGTGTGTGTGTGTATACATATGTCTATGTACATGCACAACACACACACACACATGCACACACACACACACTTATATACAGTCGTCCTTCTGTATCCTTGGGGATTGGCTCCAGGAACTCCAGAGGACACTCCTGATATAAAATGGCATAGTATTTGCATATAACCTACACACATCCTACTGTGCTCTTTAAATCATCTCTAGATTATACACAATACCTAATACAATGTAAACGCTATGTAAATAGTTGTCATACTGTATTGTATGGGTAATAATGACATGACAAAAGTCTGTATGTGTTCAGTAGGGACACATTTTTTTTTTAATATTTTCAATCCACAACTGGTTGACTTCACTGGGAAGTCTGGAATTAGAAAATTAAATTAGGAAGATTAACTGCTAAAATACTGTAATTAGCTATCATTAAAATGGCATAACACTGACAGAAAACATTGAACAAAAGAAAATGTACACATTAAAAATAAGAAGTAAAAGAACTTTCAGGAAAGGAACTCTGTATTGTTTACCTATCTTTAATTTTGTATATACTCTTCAAATTTTAAAAAAAGTTAAAACTCCAAACAGCATATGCTAAATACAAAATGAGTTTTATGTGAGCAACTAATTAGTTGCTCAACTTTTGAATGAGCAACTAATACAAAAGTTCAGAGGAGAAAGCAATCTGGAATTATTCTGGGTTCTTTTCAAAGTAAGCTAAGTACACAAAATTTCTATCCTCAAGGAGCTCGAAATCAGTATGAATTATGTTACAAAGAGTAAAACTTACCCACTGTGAAACAAGTGCATGGAATGAGAAAATCTTCTGAATTAATAAAATTCACATTACTCATGGTCTTTTGAAATAACTGTCTTAACATTTTCATAAACTGGAAGCTTCCAAAATATTTCTCACGTAGTAGTCCTGCTTATGTTTTATTGAGTAGTTAAAAGTTATTTGCCATTAGATGATTATTAATATGTAACAAAATGCCATTAAACTTTAAGAAGTTTTGGAGGATTGAGTATTTTCTTTTTCCCAAAGAGGTCCAACATCACCCCTGGCTTCTTTTTGCACAATAAAATTGAATGCTATATTTTTGGCAGTGCCCAAGGATAGTGCAAAATTACAGAGGGTCCACCACGAACTCTAAATTAACAAGTCTAGAGCCTTGAGGCTGGCAAAAAGTGACTTCTGCTGTCAGCTCTCTCTAGGCTTCTCTCTGTCTCAGGTGCAGGAGTTGGTATAGAACAGGGTAGAAGTGTTTAATTTGGAAACTATCTACTCCATTGCAAGTTTACCTTACGAGTTTCACAAACGAGCTATTTGGCATTTCAAGGAACTTCGCAATAAGAGGGCAGACTAAAATGATAAGTTTCATTCAGGCAAAGAGGACACAACCTGAAAAATGAAACGTTGGTCAAGACTCCTGATTACAAGTGACATAAACCCAGTTAAAACCACCTGGTCAAAAAGAGAGTTGGTTCACATACTGCAAAGTCCAGGGGAGGATCTGGTTTCAGGGGCTCCTCCATGTCATCAAAAATCTGCATCCCCTTCCCCCACTGCCCTTCTCTTTCTTGCTCCTGTTCTTATGGCTATTTCTCCCTATGAGTTACCCTCGTTCTCTCGGGCTGTAGCCTGAGGATGAAGTAGATAAGAGTTTAGCGTAGTAGAATAGAATTTGAAGAAACTGTGGCACACCCAGATATACGACTGATAAGGTTTGGATCTGTGGCTCTGCACAAATCTCATGTCAAACTGTAATCTCCGGTGCTGGAGGTGGGGCCTGGTGGAAGGTGATTGGATCACGGGGGCAGTTTCTAATGGTTTAGCACCATCCGCCTGGTGTTGTTCTTGTGACAGAGTTCTCACAAGAGCTGGTTGTTTAAAAGTGTACAGCACTTCCCCCATCTCTCTTTTGCTCTTGCTGTGCCATATAAGATGTGCCTGTTTGCCTTCCACTTTCCACCATGATTGGAAGCTTCCCGGGGCCTCCCCAGAAGCAGAAGCCATTATGCTTCCTTTACAACCCACAGAAATGTGAGCCAATGAACCCTCTTTTCTTTGTAAATTACCCAGTCTCAGGCATTTCATTATAGCAGTGCGAGAACAAACTAATACAGTGACGTCAGTCACCAATTACATCTGTGAATGTAGAACTCAGGAGAAAAACATGAACTAATAATTTTCATAAAGCACCATGTAATAATAACAATGCTTTTCGACCGTTGCCTAAATTCTAGGCACTTTACTAAGCAGTAAAACTCATTGAACTTTCAACATCCTGTGAGGTAATCTCAGAGGTTTAAATGAACTGCTTAAATTCTCACAACTACTAGGCCGTGGAGCTGCCAGATTCTAACCCGAGGGTATGACTCCTGTTCTGGACACTGTGGGAGCTGGCTGAAGCTTTGTCTGCTGAGGACTCACAACTGACCTTTCCTGGAATTTCCCTCCACAAAGGGAGCTCCCTCACCCAAAGTCAGGCCCCATTGATAAGAAGTGGTTCCAGAGCCTAACCGCTTTGCCTCAGTTTGGAAGAGTACAACAAAGCTCTCATGGGGTCTTCTGAGGCCTCTGTTCCAACTCTATCCCCATTAAACTTCTTCCCCTGCCTAATTCTAATTCCTCCAATTTTTTTACATGTGCTGTCCCTAGGCTTACCCTCTGATAAAACTCATATACACAAAACTCCATCTCAGAGTCCATTTCCAGGGAATCAACCTCAGACAGGTTCAAAGCCTGTGCTGTTCAAACCTTTCTCATAAGCAACCTCTTCAAGTCAAGTGCGTTGGCTTTGCCTGCTTCACTCCGAAAAAATATTACAAAATGAATCATGAAGTTTTAAAAATGAGCAATTTCCAAAGAGAGGACAAAAAATGTTCCCATGACATATTCAGAAAACCTGCATAATTTTATGTGAATTGTGGACCCAGTCAACAATCTTCCCAGGTAAATACTGTATATTCTCTGTTACAAAGCTGAGAAGAAGGCCTTCATCATATTGGTTTACTCTTTTCTGTCTCCCCAGCAAAATAAACTGTTTGATAAACAGCCTGAATTTATCAGCTTCTCCTTTACAAAGTTTTACAAAACCCAGCCTGCCTTCACATCAGAAAGTGTTTTGATACAAACTATTTCCTTTGAGAGTAACTATGGAGTCCTGCAATCTCAGGTCACTGGGGATTTGTTAATATTCATTGAGTCCCCATGATTTGTCACAAGATCACAAAATTGCCAATGCCCCATCTTAAACTGAATTGCAACAGAAATCACATAAGAATGACAAAAAACAAAGAGCAATTTGTTCACCTAGTTCTTGAAGGGCAATTCAAGTTCATTTGGTCCTTTTAGAATTTTCAGAAAATAGTCTTTTTTTCTTCCCTCTCAGTTTTTTCAATATGAAATTCTGGCCTCCAAGTTATGATTTCTGGAGTTCCAGAAAAGGCCCATGCTCTTTCAAATATCTCCCTTCACTGACTTAAGAGTATTTGCAATTCCACCATTAGAGATTCTTTTTTTAACGTCAGTCAAAGGTCTCCAAGGAAATAGAAACTCTTTAAGCCATCGAAGTCCAGCAGTTTAGTTTGAGTATGACTGAGTTTATCAGCAACTTTCTAAGCAGGGGATTTTGATTACTAAGTCCTTGAGTAGAAGGACAGGGTGGGAAACCAGCATTGGTAGAAGAGTTATTTGTTCAGGATACTTTACAAACATCATCTCATTTGATTCCCAAGTAATCCTGTATTATTCCATCTTTACTGGGGAGGAAACTGAGTTTTAGAAAAATAGGTAGATTGCCCAACATCACATAACTAGACACTCCGGATGTGGGCCTACCTAACATAACAGTCATCTACCCTAAAAACACTGGGCTGATAAGGGTTAAGAAGAAATAGAAACTAAGATACAAAACAAATGCTTGACCTCATGAGTATCATCAGGCTAGGCTCTGGGGCTGAAGGCAACACTGGGCTACACAAAGCATGACCTGAAGCAGAAGGGGGCCTTGAGGTAAAAGGATCCTTCCCAACAGATAGATATAGTTCTCATGTACTTTATTGTAGAATGGCCACCACCTCTGTAAACAAGGTCAGGAACATCTATAAACTCATTGCAACCTCAGATGGCAGAGATAGTCCACTCTGGATTGCAGATACTTGACCATTTGACATATCAATCTTACCAACAGTTTCTACAGCCCACCCTCAGACAGAATGAGGTTGCTCTGAATAGGACTTTGGGGGCAGGTACAAAGAGAGTGACTTGAAGGTATCTAATGTAAGGCACTTAAACCTGAGTAGGTCTCTACATGAGGCTACATATTCATTCTCAAATAAAATAGCTTTTCTTTGGGATTCTCTCCTGTTAAAGTTATTGACAATACCTCTCCCTATAAGAGGAAAAGCACTTACAAGTTTGAAGTTAAAAATATACTTCTAAGTCATACAGAAATACTTCTGGAGTCAACTTTAGTCCTCCAAATACAATAGGGTTCTTATTGGTATTATTAAGAGCAAAGTTCATCCAAGCTCAAAAAAATTTATACTAAGTTATTTATTCATTAACCACAATTCTAGTAGTAGCCTTTTCTCATCTTGGAATGTTGGCAATGAAGCTCAAATAGTTTACTATGTAGTGGGAATACAGCATGTGATTAAGAATATGGGTTTTGCCACTACCAGCCTCTTATCGGTTGCTCATTTCCCCTAATACCCATTACCTTAAGGTTGAATGTAGAATTGATGCTTGCACAGCCATTACCATATATCATTTTACATTTTCTTTTGTCTCTCCTTCCCTGGGCAATGATTCTAATTTGTTTAATTTGTATATTTGTGTTTTTAAGTGTTTTTGTGTACATCAATTTTTAATATATTAAAAGATATTATGTGACTTTTTTTAAAAAAGAATATTTTTTGGAATCAGAAAGCCTTTGGTCCAAGTTTCAGTTCTACTGTTTACTAATGTGTGCCCTTACACAAGTTATTTAATCTCTCTATGCCTTAGTTTCCACAGGGATAAAATGGAAATCGATAGGTATCCAGCAGAGTTGTTGTGAGGGTCAAATGAGATAAGGTATGCAAAACCTTTAGTGTTATCTCTTTAACTCACACATCATGACTATGTATTTGAAGAAAAGAATTGAAATGGACTTAACATGAGATTGTGCTCCTCTGCCAGGTAAGCACATGGCTGTTCAGAAGGAAAACACATTTGTTTGGCTGAAGGAATACTAAAATCACTTTCTTCACCTGCCTCCAAGCAAAAATCCAGAATGTTAGTAACTAAAGGGCAGTTTTCCAATTCTAAAATCTCAGTTTACATTTTCCCAAAATAATCTACTTCAGAAAAACAATATGAGAGGAAAAGAGATTTTAATTTTTATGAAGCCAAAAATATACAGAATTCATCAAAAACCAAATGCCTCCAAAACCTGTTTTGCAACACATAAACAAGAATAACTTTAATTTATACTCTAGAAAATAAATGTTTTTTAACCATCTCTATCTCTCTTACTTGTATGATAAGTAAGACAGTTGTCTACCTATAGGTACATTTTTCAAATAGACACATCACCTCTGAGACCATGTGCTACAGCATAGGTTTTAGAATTCAAATTACCTGACTCCCCCGGGGCGCGGTGGCTCACGCTTGTAAACCCAGCACTTTGGGAGGCCGAGGCGGGCGGATCACTTGAGGTCAGGAGTTCAAGACCAGCCTGGCCAACATGGGGAAATGCTGTCTCTACAGAAAAAAAAAAAAAAAAAAAAAAAAAAAAACAAGAATTAGCCAAGCGGGGTGGCAGGTGCCTGTAATCCCAGCTACTAGGGAGGCTGAAGCAGGAGAATCACTTGAACCTGGGAGGCGGAGGTTGCAGTGAGCCAAGATGGCACCACTGCACTCCAACCTGGGAGACACAGCCAGATTCCGTCTCAAAAAAAAAAAAAAAAAAAAAAAAAAAATTACCTGACTCAACTCTCAGTCTTAGCACTAACTAGCCGTGTGATGTTACTTAGCATCTCTGAGCTTCAGGGATCCTTACACTAGAGATATTCATTCCAAACTGCAACAGACATGGTAGACTGATGACGCACCAGCCGTTCTGCCCCCACTTTTTCCAAGCCAACAGATCCCTACATACAATAGAGAGGCTGAAATTGTCAGACACTCGCTTTCCCAGCTTCTTGGAAATAGGAATAGGAATGGAACTCCTCTGTGGCCAGTAAAACATAACAGAAAGTCTACAAGGGTCTTCTGGGGAAAACATTTTTTTCCCTGGTAAAATAAAAGAAACACACAAGAAGAAAGAAACATCTTTCCTCCCTTCCTGTTTTGGGAAGAGCAGGGTGAGGGCATAATGCTTACACTCCATCTTGCAACTGTGAACAAAAACCCAATAGGATCACACTGAAATAGACTCAAAAGCCTGACAACATTAAACCACTGAATCAACTCTGTAACTGCCTCCCCCAAGACTTTGTATTATGTAAGAAAAATAAACCACAATGGTTTAAGCCACATTTGCTCAGGTTTTATGTTACTTGCATCACCAACATCCTAATTTCTATCCTATTCGCTTAGAGTTCCTGAGAGGAATATATAAGGTAGCTTAAGTGGAGGCTCAGAGGTTATTAGTGCCTCTGGATAACACTACCCTTAATCTTATTACTTTTCCTGTAAAATCCAATTCCATTTTTCACAATAGTTTGACTGCTGGTCCAACCACCTACTAGCTGATTATTTAATTTATCTGGGCCTACATTTGCTCACTTTTAAGTTACAACTAATAATACTTACTTTCTGAGGTTGTTTTAAGAAATACGCAAACTGGATGCAGTATCTGTCACTTGAGGGTAAATCTATTGCCAAGTGAAATGGCAAAATCTGTTGGAGGCTCAGTTTCATGAAGTTGACGAAATTAGGTTGGAAAACTGTTCAGGTTATTTCCAAAACTATCCATAAATGAGGATCTGTCAAAGTCAGACAACTGAGCAGTTGAAGAAGTAAAAACAATATGATGATGATAAATAGCTATTTTGAAAGAATGTGGTAATGTAAAATGGGATAGCTGCTTTGGAAAACACTCGGGCAGTTCCTCAAAAGGTTAAACATAGAGTTATCATATGACCCAGCAATTCCACATAGGTATACACCCAAAAGAATTTAAAACAGATATATTCAAACAAGTACTTGTACATGCATATTAATAGCAGCACTATTCACAATAGCCAAGAGGTGGAATCAACCTAAAAGTCCAACGACTGATGAATGCATAAACAATATGTGGTATATTCATACAATGGAATATTGGTCCGCAATAAAAATTGATGAAACACTGATACGTACTACAACATGGATGAACCTTGAAAATCTTATGCTAAGTGAAAGAAGGTAATCATAAAAGTAATAAAAGACATATGATTTATGTGATTCCATTCATATGAAGTGTCCAGAATAAGAAAATGAATAAGAAAATCTACACAGACCAGAATAAAAAATCTACACAGACACAGCAAAGATTGGTGGTTGCCTAGAACTGGGAGTCAGAGGGAGAGGGAACGGGTTTGGTGGGAATTGGGGAGTGACAGCTAATGGGCATGTGATTTCTTTCAAGGGTATAATTATAAATATGTTCTAAAATTAACTGTGGTAACGGTTACACAACTCTGTGTAAATAGTAAAACCACTGAATTGCCCATTTTAAATAAGTCAATTGGGTGATATGTGAGTTATATATTAATAAAGCTGTTTTTTTTAAAGGTGGGGAGGGGAGAAAATTATTCCAATATAAGAGAATTGAGAGAGGCTCCTGGAAAAATATATCAACCTTTGAAAATTTTTGCAAAAAATGCTCTTATTTATAAACAAGTTGCTAGAGTCAAACGTGCATCGAAAGATGGCATTTGCTACTATTATATAGTTTACCCAGAAAATTATAGCAAAAAGAAAAATAAAAACAATCAACACTTGGTACATTCTTGGTTCTAATCAGTGCAGACATTCATACCCTCACTGTATCAAATGTAAGAGAAAGCATCCTTATGTACATAATTTTTGGTTTCTGTTTAAAGATAACGTTCCAATCTAATCTTTCATTGATTGAATGATTAACTATTTACCATGAAATACCATGAAGTAGACTTGCTTTCAGAGCACCTTTTCTGGTATCAATTATCCTCCGAGAAGGAGTCAGAGTCTGTCCATATAGACAGGGACACGCTCTTGACGCCATCAAAAGCTCTTTTACAGTTGATGATGACTCATGCCAAAGAACTCAAAGATCCAAAAAGGAAACACTTTCTAACAAGCATCTATATGCTCAGCTTAGTGTATATTTCCCAGGACTTTATTCAAGGTTTAGACCTTATGGCAGAACTATTTTGAAAAGGACTGAGAAAGATCTATTCAAAATGTGTCTCCCAGTCCCCTTGTGTGGCTAACTTTATTCTACAATAACTTTGTGACACTTTAAATAACATGTCCATTAGCTGTGATAGGAATTTCAGGATGAGATGTCTGGAAGAATGAAAATGAGAACATGTGCAGATTAAAAGGTGACTGTGGGTATTAATATCCCCTTGAACTCGATTCAGCTGTATCAAATAGAGGCACATAAACAGGGACTGGACAATGAGGTGCTGCCAGATTTTGTTAGTGCTCAGATTCTGAAAGTTGGTTTTAATTTTCAATATCATCCACCATGTTTCTGACTAAAGGTTTATAGTTGTTCCTTCAAACACGTCTATGTAAAGCCATATTGATAAAGTGGGTTTTTTTACATTCAATATTCTGGCTTTAATGGAAACATTCTTTTCAGGACCAAAAATTAAGGAGGAGAGAAAAGACTTGTAGAGGATAATAAGCAAGACAGAGATGTCAAAATGTTTTCCTCTGGCCCATATGACAAACAGCATTAATTAATTGCTTCACTCTGCCAATGAATTATCGTAAATAAATTAGTAGGGAAACCTATTTGCTTTCACTGCTTATGCTACTAAGATTCTAAACAGCCTGGAGAATAAAATGCTAATTATTTTCACCTACCAAAACCCTACTCATCATTTAAGGCAAAGATCAAATATCATCCCTTCCAGGAAGCCCTTCATGTCCATGGCCAAGTTCCATAGTGCCTATTTTCTCTATTATACAAAAGAACGGCAGCAGAATTTAAAGACCTTCTTGATAACCTTTACATCAGAGTACCAGCTCTGCCGCTCTGCTTTTCAAATTCAAGGATAATAACAATCATGATAGGTATCAATATCTTACCATACACAAAGCTTTATGTGCATTTTAAAGCTGAGGAAACTGACTAGTTAAATAATTTCACTAGGCTAACACACTCAGTAAGCTAGTATAGAACTTCAACCAACATGCCCCTGCCAATTCATTATGCTACCTTTCTCACTTTACCTACCACTTAGTAGGTACTCAATAAATGGTAGTTCTTATTACATACGTGTTGACAATACCATTTTGTTTCTTGATTAACCATATAGGCTCTGATGGGAAATTTTAAAGACCATATTAACCACTGTGGTCTTAGCGGGCCTGAGTTTTACATTTACTGTAGGCAATGTGGACCTTGAATTTTATACTCAGCAGCAGAAGTGCTGCAGCAGAAAGTACTGAAGGCTATGACATTCAACAAGATTAGATATCTGTCATTTCTCTTTATTTCTTAATGAAAATAAGGCCATTTTCATAGACACAGAATACTTCTGACTATTATCTACTGTATGAGATCCAAGTTGGTTAATCTGGGCATGATAAAATATTTCAAAATATTGAAATTCACAACGAATGGATGCTAAAAAAAAATAACATCTTTTGGCCAGGCACAGTGGCTCACGCCTATAATCTCAGCACTTTGGGAGGCCGAGGCAGGCAGATCATGAGGTCAAGAGATCGAGACCATCCTGGCCAACACGGTGAAACCCCGTCTCTAGTAAAAATCCAAAAATTAGCTGGGCATGGTGGCCAGTGCCTGTAGTTTCAGCTACTTGGGAGGCTGAGGCAGGAGAATTGCTTGAAACCGGGAGGCAGAGGTTCAAGTGAGCCAAGATTGCGCCACTGCACTCCAGCCTGGTGACAGAGCAAGACTCCGTTTCAAAAAAACAAAAACAAAAACAAAACAAACAAAAAAACCATCTTTCAATAGAAACACTGAATCCTCATTATAAATCACATTTTTACTCTAGAAATTTTTAACTTTCAGGGCAAATTGAAAAAAAATGTATTTTTAAAGGTATTTTATGGTGGGGTGAGAATTCCAAAGCCTTATTTGGAATAACCAATGTTAGATCTGGAATACAGGTTGTCAGTTCTATTTAAAGTACTTGGGGCAAGTCTTTCGGATGTCAACTTAAGGCATGTAATTTGTAACAGAAAGAATTCCATTGAGGGCTAGAAACTACTTGGGCTTAGCAACCTGGAGTTTATATATCTTATCTCTCTTGCTCTTGGCAATGATCTAAGTCAAAAAATGGTAAATGTGATGAAATTAGGAATTGACTCTGAAAAAGCTAAACTTTCTCAATTGACAGCTACTTGCCTTAGATACCAATCCAGTAAATTACACCATAAACAAACTTCTAGTAATAATGGGATGGAATTTTTGATGCACTGAACCAATGTGGTACAGTGACAGAAGCAAGGACTTTGGAAGAAAGCAGACAAAGGTCTGAGCCCTAGTTTTGAATTTACTTGGGCAGTTAATTAACACACAACAATTAGTTATTGAGAGCTCAGCATAATGGGCACTATTTTAGGCACTAGGACCTAAAACCATTCCCTAAGCTTCTGTTTAGAGAATGGTTTATAAATAAACCATTGCTTTATTTAAAAATTCTAAGAAATAACTAAAGAAAATATAAGCATAGCACCTAGCAGAGCTCCTTAAATACAATAGGTGACTGCTGAATAGTAGCTAATATGATATTATGGTTTCTATGGCAAGGAAACCATATCCAGATAAACCAGCATATCTGGAGGAAATCTGACTTTTACAGTTTGATTTTCTTTATTCTCCATCTCCTAACCAATGTAACTAAAGCTCAACTTTATTATTTCAGAAATACAATCTTAGCCCAGTTTCAAAGCTTAAATGTTCACGTGAAAAAAACTATTCTAGTCACCTGAATATTTTTCTCAATGCCAATAATTACCATCATTTTAGAATGAGTCAGCCATTTGGCATGTTGCAATAATAATACTTGTATCAGGATGCTTTCAGTCACAAGTCATAGAAAAACCCTACTCCAACAGCATAAACAATAAAAGAGATGCATTCACTCATATAACTGAGAAGAGAGATAGTCAGGCTGCAGGTGCTACTTGATCCAGCTGCTCAATGATTTCACCAATGACCTAGTTTCTTTCCATTTCCACAGTCTGCCTTGCGTGATATCAACTTCATAAAAGATGCCCCTTGTATTCTCAAAATGGCTATCAGCAGCACCAAGTTTATGTGCTTTCTTATTCACCCAATGAGCAAAGAGAAAATTCCAAAAAAAAAAAAAAAAAAAAAAGCCCCTAGCAAATATTTTCTCCTACGTTATTGGTTCAAATTGGGTCATCAGCCTATCCCTAACATAATACCTATGGCCAAAAATTTAGGAGAACCAGCTGATTGGGTTAGGCCAGTCAGAGCCCACCCTGATACACGGAAGGTAAGGTTACTCTCATACAAACCACATAGTGGAGAAATTCAATATTATGCTGAAAAAAGATGAAGGGGAAAATGGATTCTGGGAAGGCAACCAACAAATACTTCTACATTATCTAATGTTTATTAAGAGCTCATTAACATACTAGGTATATTACTAAACTCTATGTATTATTATATATAATCCTCACAATGTGCCCATTATCATTTCCATTTTAAATGAGATAAATTAAGTCTAGAAAGGTTATGTAACTTACCCAAGTTCACACAGCCACCGTGTAGTAACGTCAAGATTTGAACCCAGGCCATCTAACTCCAAAGCCCATTCTACTATTAAACCACTTAGAACAATTCTTGGCACAGCACCCACTATTAGATATTAATAATAACTGCTAGACTATTTTGCTTTCTTGTATTGCTTTTTCTTTTTTTTCTGTCTTAACATTTGAGCATCAGCAGATACAGCCAAATAATTTGGATTAATATGCTACTTTACAATTATTTTCACTTTTCAAGTCAACAAATGTCTAGATCCAGGCACAAAACTAAGCACATTAGATAAAATACTTGGCCTTCATTTTAAGTTTACAATTTATACACTTTTACAGCTCTTCAGAGCTTGCAAAATAGTGTCTGGATTAGCTCATTTGATCCTTACGACAAACCTGGTCACAATTTCTACAAGCCTTACTTGGACTGGAAGCGTCAGGGCCCACAGTGAGGGTGGACTGACTAAAAATCTTCACACAAGATTTAAATGTTTGCCCTCGCCCAGGTCCAGACAACTCGGTCATAGGAATTTGCGCCCACTCCCCCATCACTGCCCACACCCACCTCACTGGCCCCAGTCTTGACTCTCAGGCCTGTTCTGATTTCAAGAAATAAGAACTGTTATCCACAACACATAAGACATGGCTAACATTGCTTGATCTGACTCATAGCGTTTAAAATAGAGCAACCAGCTCAATCAGCTTGAAATGGAGAAGAAAATTGTGGGCCTTTTTCTCCTTCTACTGTAAGTGGAAGCACGTCCTCAAAGGACCAGATTTTCCACTAAGGATCTCCCAAAGACTAAAATGCCCAGGGCCATGTTAGGTCACAGGGCTTCCTGGGACCTACTTTCTCATGAACAGAAAACTTTTAGGAAAATATGTCTATTGTTGTTCTCTTAGCAGCTAATAACATTCTATATAATTATTTTCATATCTGTTTATTAATTTTTTATGTCTGCTTTTTTGTTTCATAATTTCTTTTCCTTATAAATGTGAAACTTTAACTTACCTCTGCATATCCTACTATAATTATTTTAAAGCCTATGTCAATATAAAATATCAAAGAATTTATGGTGTGAAGTGGGATACTAATGGTATCAGAAACAGGAAACCTCATTTATCAATGAAATAAATAAGTAAAGTCTGTGTCAGGCACTGCAATAGAATTAATTGCATCTGGAATACATTTATGTTCCAATAGCTGATTCCATTGGTTTTTCTTAATGCTAGTTTTCTTCATGTGTTTATGAATTCATGGTTGCAGTGTCATTTTGAACAAAAGCCTTTTGGTTTGGGCTTGGACAGGGACTTTATGTCTCCTCACACCCACATACTCTTGCACTGTCCCTCGCCTTGTCTCTCCCTCTCTTGCTGTCACTCTCATGCTCACTTCTCTTGCTACCAACCTCTGCCTGCTTGCCTGCTTTCCTCTATCGTTGCCTTTACATGCCTTCCACACCCAGCCCCAAGTCCAGACCAGGTCTTCTAAAGGAGGTGTGAGGCATATGTCAGTTTCTTTTTCTTTTTTTCTCTTTTTGAGACGGAGTCTCCCTCTGTCACCCAGGCTGGAGCGCAATGGCATGATCTCGGCTCACTGCGACCTCTGCCTCCTGGATTCAAGCAATTCTCTTGTTTCAGCCTCCTGAGTAGCTGGGATTACAAACATGCGCCATCATGCTGGGCTAATTTTTGTATTTTTAGTAGAGACAGGGTTTCACCATGTTGGCCAGGCTGGTCTCAAACTCCTGACTTCAGGTGATCTGCCCGCCTCAGCCTCCTAAAGTGCTGGGTGGCGTGTGCCACCACGCGTGGCCCATATGTTAGTTTCTTAGGGCTGCTGTAACAAATTACCACAAGCCTCGTGGCTTAAGACAACAGAAATGCATTGTCTCATAGTTCTGGAGGCCACAAGTCTGAAATCAAGGTGTCAGCAAGGCCATACTCCCTCCGAAGGTATTAGGTAAGAATCTTCCTGTCTCTCTGCTAACTTCTGCTGGCTCCAGCATTCCCTGGCATGGTTTGGCTTGCAGCTAATTGTAAGCTATGTCCCTCTCTTCACATGGCCTTTTCCCCTATGTGTCTCTGTGTCTTCTCTTTTTATAAGGACACCACAGTTATTGGGTTTGGGGCCACTCTAATCCAAGTTGATTTCATCTCAAGATCTTTAACTAATTACATATGCAAATCTACAAAGACCTTATTCCCATATAAGATCACATTCTGAGATTCTGAGCAGCCATGAATTTTGGGGGACGCTCTTCAACCCACTGCAGGGCATAGGCCCTTAGATGAAATTGAAGAGAATTATAGACACAGTTACCAAGACAGTAGGATGATTTTATCAGCTCACAAGGCTGTTTCTTGGTACTTTGACTCAGGCAGTAATTTGCAGCATTTTTCCCAGCTTTTCATTTTAAATAGTATGGGAGGGACTTCTGTCTCCTGTAGTGGACCCTCTGCTTCTTGAAGAAGCCAAATTTCTGGCCATCATTGCCACTTGAGAGCACAGTGCATCTTCACTCTAGCTCTACCACCTGTTCATGTTTCTGTTCCATTTCCAGTTTTTGAAGATGTTTGCCTTGATTTGAACCTGTGTCTGCTAAGCTTTCTTTTTTCATATTTTATCTCATATTGTTATGTGTTTGGGTTCATCAAGACATCAGTCTACTACATCACCTTGAAGAATTTCCTCTTCAACTTTTTTATGCCTGCTGAATAAGTCAAATAAAATCAGCCTCTGTCACCTTACAATCTCTGCTTAGATCAAACATTCTGAATTCTGGCAAGTCTTTTTAGACTCCACAGACACAGAAGAAGAGCCCATTCTGCTTTATACACAGCTCCTTTGCAGCAATGACCAAGTGGTAGCTTTGTTTCCATGTGCCTGTCTCATCTTTAGACTGGGAACCACTTGAGAGAACAGACCCTGTTTTATCATCTTTATACTCCCAGTATCTGGCACTATATATGGCTCCCAGGAGGCCCATCTATGCTCACTGATTGAATGAATGAACGACTGGAGCAACTCCAATAACTTCGCAAGCCTTGGGTCTCATTTACTCATATTTCTACCTGTTCCTCATTCCAAAGAAATTCCTCTAATAAATATTCTTCATTTTCAAAACACTGTCTGGGGTGTTTTGCTATGTACCCTGACTAAAATAAAATTTCCAAGTCCTATTTTTAGATCAAATTTTACTTGACAATTAGGTTTTGGTAAGTAAATTTCATTTCCCTGTTTTGATCTACATTCAATGCAAAAACATCCCAAAAGCAAGCTACTTTAAAAAAAAAACTGATTTAATTTTCTAATAGCTAAATCATTAAAACTGTTTATCATCTTCCTTGTAAATAATCTAGCAGCTGTGAATATTCTATACATCTAACAAAAAATATTTTTAATAGAGGACAGGAAAATGTCATAAATAATGAGACATTGTAAAAATTAATGTTTTTGCATTTTATGGTTCACCTGCAATGAATTATAGATTACATTTTAAAGTGTGCTCTGGGCTCCCATCTCATAAAGACTATCATCAGAAGAACAGGCAAACTGTGCAGTTCCTCATTTTGTAACCCATTAGCCCCTAGATGATCATGCTTCAGAGGTGGATGGTAAGCATGGGATCGTGTGCTTCACCCCCTTCGTCTTCTGCCTCTTGCAGTTCAAACATGCAAACAGGTTTTTAGAAACTGTGCCCAACTATCATTCTGCTCCTTAGAGACAGAAACACTACACATATTGTCTTTGCTAAACTGGACTCTGAAGAGTGAAGTTATGTGACAAGAGCAAAACTCCGTCTCAAAAAAAAAAAAAAGAATGCCTCCTTCTTGAAGCACTCCAAGTCTCTATGTTTAAATCATTTTCTACTTAGGAAACAATGCAAACAATGGGGTTTGGAGTTGGGCCAAGTTTTCATTTGCTTTTGCACTTTTCTTCTGATGACAATATTCTGCATGCCTTTCCAAATGCCTGAATACCACTGAGTAGGAGCCATATATACATGCAAAACATCAAACTTTCAAAGTTTCATAGCTACCAAATAAATGTACAGCCACCAACATGTCTCACAAGCTTACACTTGTAGAACAGCATACACGGGGTTTGCCTATACAAGGGTAAATGTGTGATGACCTATAAGCCCTACACGGGATAAGAATAAGGTCTCTGTCTGGCCAAGATCACCCTTCCTGCTCAGGGAGAGAGAGAAAGAGAAAGACAAGTAGAGACAAAGAGACAGAAAGAGAGTTGGGGTTTAGGGAGAACAAGTATAGCTAAGAGTAGATTTTAAGTACCCTCACCACAAAAAAATAAGTATGTGAGGTAACACATGTTAATTAGCTTGATTAGCCATTCTACAATGTATACATACTTCAAAACATGTTGTACACCATAAATTTACAAATTTTAATCTGTTTATTTAAAATAATTAATTAAAATAAAATAAAGACAGACAATGGGTATTTTCAAAGTGCTCCTGACTGAAAGCCCAAAGCACTGAGTTCTCACCCCAGCTTAGTCTCTGAGCCTCAGTTTCCTCCTATAAGAAGAGAGCTTTGGACAAGACAATGTCTAAGATCTCTTTTAGAGCTAACATTTTGTGAGACTAAAAATAAAAATACTTGAACAATCCACTTTGTCATGGGTAGCGACTAACTGGGGCTGGTGGTGTGGATGGTAAAGGAATTTACCAAGACAGTTGGAAGTAAAGAAAGGCAGATTTATTAGAGAAAATATGAAAATATGTTGCAAGGATGCAATGGGCAGATCAGCAAAAGAAGAGCTGACTGCAAAGAGACAAAGGCTTACCGGGGATTTTACAGGATGGTGCTTGTGCTGGAGAGGGCTACATGCAGTACAGAAAATGCCAAGGTTGCAGTGCATTAACTTGCATTTTTTTCTATCAAGTGATGGTCTGGTGATTTCAGGTGCAAGAAGATTGTGCGTTATCTGTGCAGGACGGCTATCTGTCCCGAACCATGAAGAAAGCCAGACTTACAGCTTATCTGCTTTTGGTTTTTGCTTTTCCCCTGCTCCCACCAGCCTGGCTCCTTTTTCCTTATTAGGACTCCACATACTTCACTTATTAGAGACTCTTCTATTCTGAGGATACAAAACCCTGCACAGTGTTGTTCAAATGACTCCCCTCCCTACTGTGCCCCCAATACATTCAGTGCCTCCCCTTTGGGCTCTGTTCACATAGTGTCTTAGCTGCAGTAGCTCATACAAGTCACCAACAGGGCTTTCTAAAGGGACACATCCCACAACCTGCACCTCCAGATACAAATTCCGTAAGTAGGAAGGGGTTTTCATGCTTTTATAAACATGATTCTGCTGGGTACTGCCAGTGGAGAATCACATCTAGTGGGAAATGAAGTTTTTTCATCTGTGAGGTGTGGCCATGAAATAACTAAGAAACTTGACCCTAGGTGGCCTATTTGGATGGCTTTATTTGGTGGCTTATTTAAAGTTATTTACGTCTAAAACCCATGGGTCTTTCAAATGATTTCTTGGAATTTCAAGAGCTCTCCATACCCAAGCATCTTTCAGCACTTTTCAAGCAAAGATGCATTAAACCTTGCTTCAAAGCAAGGAAAATGGCATCACAGCCATCTCAGGGTACAGCAGAATCAGTTTAGAGGCTGAGGTAGGGCAGAATCAGTTTAGAGCCGAGATCTCTTCTAGGGCAGCTTTGTATCTGTTTTATGTTACATTTACACCGCATTACATTAACAATCGAAGAGGCATTAGCATGACCTTCCATGAACTTGCTAATTACAGATGTGAACACACAGTCACAAGTGAAAAAAGGGAAATTGAGAGAAAGTAAAAAGAATGTGCTTAACATTATTATCCTGATTACATTTTTGCAGTCTTCTTCCATAATCAGATGCATAATTAATTTAAAAAGAGCCCTTCCTCTACCAGCTAAAACATACACACAAGTCATTTCTCCATGCCTCAAAGTACATGAATTATACATGTTAAAATTTTGAGGACTAACTTCGCTTTTGGGAAAGACAGGAGAGGTATAATATACATACAGAAGGATTCATAAATCCCACATTTATAACTCAATGAGTTTTTTACAAAGTGATCTACCTGTGTAACCACTTCCTGAATCAACGTATAGTATATTACCAGGACTGGAAGTCCCTCTCTCGAAATCACCCTTCCAAGTAGCCACTTCCTGTTTGAATCGGCATAGATTAGTTTTTGCCTGTTTCTTAACATGAGCAAATAGAATCCTACAGAACTGTATGTTGTCTTCTTTCAGCTAACACTGTTTCTGTGAGATTCATTCATGTTGAAATGTGTAGTTGTAATTTTTTTCATTGCTGTATGGTATTCTATCAAGTGACCTGCCACAATTTGTTTTTCCATTTGACACTGCCTGAACATCTGGTTGTTCCTATCATGAGTAATGATACTATGAACACTTGTGCATTCTTTTCTGTGCACGGATGTAATCTCTTCTGTTGAGTCTAGATCTGGAAGTAGCAAAATGTAGTCACAGGGCCTGCATATATTCAGATTCAGTAGCAGTGCCAAACTATTTTCCTAAGTGGTTGCACCAGTTCACATTCCCACAAATCACAGAGGTCCAGTTGCTCCAAATTCTCTCCATTCATATTCCCTTGAATCATTTCTGTGAAGTGGTTTTATTTCTTCTTTAAAATTTTGGAAAAATTCACCAGTGAAGCTATCTGAGCCTAGAGTGTGCTTTTTTTCTTTCTTTTTTTTTTATTTAGTTTTTTGTTTGTTTGTAGCAAGATTTTTAATTACAGATCCCATTTCTCTAGTAAGTATAGAAATGCTAAGATTTTTAAATTTCTTCTATCAGTTATATCAAGTTGCATTTTCAAAAGATTTTCTATTAAACCTAATATTTTAAATGTATTGGTATAACTTTTTATAATAGCCTCTTGCTTGCATTCTTTATGAATTTTGTATTATTATTTATTACTGTTATTCTCCTTACTTTGTCTTTCAGATCGGATATTTTCTGCTGATATGCCCTTCATGCTACTAATCTTGTCTTCTATCATATCCAGTAAGTTTTTAAGCTTTTTCAATGAGTTCTCAATTTTAGATACTGTGTTTTACAGTTCTAGCATGTTCATTTTATTCTTTTTTGTAGATTCTGGTTACCTGTTTCTATTCTCCATATTGTCACATGTTTTTCAACTTTTCCTCTATTTTTAACATAATAATTTTGGTGATTAGGTTTAGATGCTAACTCCAACATCTAGATTGTCTCTGGGTCTGGGTCTGTCTTTTCTCTTGATGATAGATCACTTTTCCTGCATCTTTGCATGTCAGTAATTTTTAGACATTGTAGATGCTTTGAATTACACTGTGAACTCAGTTTTCTTCCTCTAGTAGACAGTTAAATTACAAACAAATCATCTTGATTCTGTCAAGGCTTTGCTAGTTCAGTTCTTAGGGTTTAGTTTTACCCACACTTGTAGAGTATTGTGCTGACTCCTAAAATGTGGACTTCCTATTGTCCTGGGTAAAATTTTTTAGGGTTTCCTGAGGTTGCTCCATCTTGCCTGGATCCCAACTCCAAACTCTGCCTCTCTAGCACTGCAGAGCTTCTATAATCTTTGCTCAGCTCTCAAGCAACTATTCTCTACTAAGCCTCTCAGAGTTGCACCCTGTGACTAGGTAGTTTGGGATTAGGCCAGGAACTCAAGGAGATTATCTATTCAGATTTTGACAGATTTTCCCCCACTAATAATTTGGCTATGTTTTCTTTAAGACCATGCTACTAAGTCTCAGCCACCATGGCACTCTGAAACTTTAATCTCTATATCTTCTTTACTCGACATGGCCACGATTCTCTGCGTAGGCTCTGTATTCTTGTGCTGCAAATTGGAAAACTCTGTCAGAGAAAAAGCATCAGGAATGCTGGATCACTTCTTATGCTCTATTTCTCTCAAGGATTACAGCTTTTTCATTGCTACCCCATGGCTGCAAATAATTATTTTATATGCTTTGTTCAACTCTTAGATATGTTCATTACCATAGTTTAAGTCCAATGCAAGATAAGAGAAGTCTCCTCTACTTAGATGTTAGCCTCATAGCCTCCTCTCTCTGTTTGGTTTCTGAACTTTTTTCTCAATACAGGTAGCCCTTGGTAACTGATAAGCTCCTCATAGAGAGACTGCATACAAACTGCTGGACCTACTTGGGACTGCTTTGCTAGTCCTGCTCTCTAATTTTTGTCCCTCCCACCCATGACACTTCCATAAAGCTTCAACACAGCACTTTTTTTTTTCTTAACTTCTAAGTCTCATATTGTGTCTAGGCAAATGCTCTAAGAAGACAAAACCCATGACAATTTAGGGCTCATCGTGTACATTCTTTGCCTATTGAATCTTGGCCCTATGCTTCTGGTCACCTTCAAACAGCTGCTTTTTGCTTTGTTTTCAGTTTTAATCCAACGTTTATAATTATTCTTGGCGGAAGCTTTAGTCTGATACAAGTTACTCGCTCATTGCAAAACTCCTCATTTGCATTTTCACTTTAACTTTCACATTCTGGCCTAAAAGTTAAAATAAGATAACACCTAATCAAGAGATGACATGACTCTTGATTTTTCTCGGCTTTGTCACCTTGTTATTTTTGAACCCCCTCCTACATAATTTATACCATTTCACCTATAATATAGTTCATTGACGCAAGTAATTTTAATGCATTTCAGTCAAATAAATCTCCCTAGTGAAATATTCTTAGTTAATAAGTAACACGTAAAAAGCCAGAAGTATTCGCCAGAACCATAAATTTGAAGCTAATTTCACAACTGTTGAAGAGCAAGATGTTGGATGTAGACCCTGCACTGCATCTTCAGGGCCACAAGACACTGCAAAATTAAATGGACCTTGATAAGCATCATCAGATGTGGCTGTTGTGTTCTTTTTCCGCATTAGCAGTGGACCCTTGCATGATTCCTTAGGCTACAAGTCAAAGGGAAAGTATTTTTTTAGTCAAAAAAAGTAATTTAAATTCCAATATTATGAATGTGTACTGACAAATATCAGCAAGGGGAAAAAGAAAAAAGATCTGAATTTACTTATCTATTGTCATGGCAAATCTTTTATTTGGTTTAAAGATTAAGATTTACAACTGATGCCACAAATTATAAAAAAGATATCTAAGTTTTGTAAGAAAATGGAAAGAACATAGGCTGAGCATGGTGGCTCACGCCTATAATCCTAGCACTTTGGGAGACCAAGATGGGCGATCACCTGAGGTCAGGAGTTTAAGATCAGCCTGGCCAACATGGTGAAACCCCGTCTCTACTAAAAATACAAAAATGACCCAGGTGTGGTGGCGGGTGCCTGTAATCCTAGCTACTCAGGAGGCTGAGGCAGGAGAATTGCTTGAACCGGGAGGCATAGGTTGCAGTGAACCAAGATCATGCCATTGCACTCCAGCCTGGGTGAGAAGAGTAAAACTGTCTCAAACAAAAAAAAAAGAAAGAAAATAGAAGGTAAAATAGTTTGGAATATCATATGAAAATACAGTTAGACATCAAAAAAGAAAAGATTCTTGACTAAAGATAGTAGAATGAGTATTTGAGAGTAAAAGTGCAAGGAAAATTTTTAAAACGATGACTATTCTTCTAGAATCTCATTCGTAAAGGGAAAAGAAGGAGGAAAAATTCTTCTATAGTAAGGTAAAGGAGATTCAAAAATAGAATGGCAAATAATAACTAAGCAAGTCACCAATAAGACTCATCCCACAAGACCCTCCCCAGATAAATGTTCTTATTCCAAAGCCCAGATTCTTCAGGTCTATATTATTTGAACAAAATACTAATTCTTTCTCTCTCTCTCAGTCTTTCTGTCTCAGACACACACAGATGCAAAAATACATAACTCTCTTTTAACAAGTTTCATTCACTTATTTGGTTGTTTTTTAGATAAACTTTAAATTTTAGAATAATTATAAATTTACAGAAAGTTGCAAAGATAGTACGAGGTTTCTGTGTGCCTCTCACCCAGTTTCCCCTGTGTTAACATCTTACATTATCATGGTGCATTTGTCAAAACCAAGAAACTAATACTGGTGCATTGCTATTAACTCAATTTCAGACTTTATTTGATTTCACCTGTTTTCCACAAATGTTCTCTTTCCATTCCGAGACACCACATTGCATATAGTCATCACGTTGCCTCAGACTCCTCTTGGCTCTGATATTTCTCACTCTTTCCTTATTTTGCATAAGTTAGACAGTTTTGAGGAGTACTGGTCAGATATTTTGTAGAATTCTCCTAGATTTGATTTTTGCTTGTGCTTTCTTATGATTAAATGTAAGAGTTTTAAGTTTTAGGGAGAAATACAACAAGGTGAAGAGGCTACATGATATCGGAAAGTACATAATATCAACGCAACTATCATCACTGGGGAGGATAACCTTGATCACTTGGTTTGCCAGATTCCTCCACTGTAGAGCTATTTTTTTTTTCCTTTCTAAACACTATTCTTCAGAAGCCATATTCAAAGAGAAAAGGTAAGACTGGGTGTCACCTCCCGGAGGGGCAATCAATGTTTCTGAAACCTAGGTTTTAGGAACAAGCAGGAAAATGGGAAAAAAATCCAAATTTCTTTTCTCAAAAACAATAACAACATTAAACCAGTATATAGCATGTTATTTCAGCATCCAACATAATAAAAATTTAAATATCATTATTTCAGCCTCAGGAATTGGAAACTGGCTTGCAGTTCTTGCTATTCAATTGAATGACTGGGAATATGACACAGACCTGAGATGGTAAATGCACAGGCAAGCTATTCCCATCTTCTGTCTCATGGCAGACACCACTAATCAATCAAGGAATCTCTCCTAATTTTACCTGATGTAGCTTTGGAATTCTCTTATTATCAATACACTAGAATCATTGGCACACAAGTTGAAAACTGTTTGCCATTCCTGGCAAATGTGATCAGAAGACTGACCATTGGGCCCAGGAAGAAGTTGTTTCCCATGATACATTTCCAGGTGGGGTTTTACTTCTGATCCATCCTCAGAGTAGAGACTGAAATGTCCTCTTCTGCATACACTTATTGTTATCCTCAATTGTATACAACTTCGTGTCCTACTGCATCCTTCTGATATATCCACATTCACCATCATTTTTCTATTATACTTCTTTTCTTTCAGGATTAGATGACAATAGTCTTGAGATGAGGTAAATGGGAGAAAGAACGAACAATTTAGGTAAATAATAAACAATAATAATTATTTTGAATAAATTGAGTAAACTAAATTGTTTAATTTACTTAACTGAATAAACAATTTAGGTAAATAATAAACAATATAGGATGAGGTAGGTGAGAGAAAGAATGAACAATTTGGTGAACTTATGGTCAACAGCTTCAGACATGTTTTCATATACTTTACAAAATTTAAAAATGCCTCCCATTACTATGAAATTTATCTTGTCATTACACTTAGCTTAAATCATTGGCAATGGCAGTAGATGCATAAATAGACACCTAACATCACTTCTTAGTTTGCTTTCCAGTATTGAAAAACACCACCACAAATTTGCCCTTCTTCTTCAGCAAGCATTTTAGCTTTGACTCAACAGTCTTTATTGGGGAATTAAAGCTGTACAGCACATTCAAAGTTGCCAGCATCTTTATTCACCTCCTCCTTCATGCTTAATTCAGCATAAATATGATATAGTTCTAAGAAATCAATAAATGTGATCCTGCCTATTTATCTCTTCTTATGTATTCAAAGTGGTTTTTGAATATCTATCTTATCCAATCACTTGTGTTAGGGACCACAGAGGTTCATAGCATAGTATTAGTGCCCTTGAGGAATTTATACCCTACAAGAGGAGACTTTTCCACAAGTCAGGAATACAATGAAAATCTATATGAATGGGAAGAGTATTACAGGCATTAAGAAGATAGGGATTCCTTCTCACTGAGATAATTCAGAGAAGTAGTAGAGAAGGCAAGTATAGTTGCCAATGTAAGCCTTAGTTTATCCAGCTGGTCTAAAAATACTTATCAAATTTTAAGTATATGCCAGAGGCTGGCGATTATAGTAAAATAACAAGAATATGGAGTTTATTCTTGCTGAATAAACAATATTACCAGCATGGTCTTTGACAATTGTTCTAAGAGAAACACGCATAAGATATTAAGGAAGCTCAGAGGAAAATCATCTAAAAAGGATTAATATAAAGGCAAAAATTCCAGGAGGCTTCTAAGAGGAGTAACTCTTGAGCCAAGTTTTAAAGAATGAACAGAAGGTAATTATGTGAACGGGGCCAAAGCACCGCTCCCAAAGAGAGAAGGGCTTGGGGAAGCCCATAAAGCAAGAGACATCATGATATACCTGGTACCATGAGAGGAAAAGGAGTTGTCCATGCAAGGGGGACTGGATTGCTAGCCAGCAGACGGAAAGAAGAAGGCCTGAGCTTCACGGTACTTAACGGTATCAGTTGACTATGCAGTACGCAATATAACAGCATGAAAAGTGGAGCTTACCCTAAAATATCTTCTAATTATTTGCCATGAGCTCCTCTGGATTAAGATATTGCCCCCAAAATGCCCTTTTGAAGTGTTGCCCATCCAGATCACCCATCATCCCCTCTGCATGGGTGAGTTTATCAGAAGAAGAATGAGCACATACATCACTCTTATAAGTCTAAATCTTGGAGCTTGACTCCAACTAGGCAAAGTGCCAAATGGGGATATCTCAGTTTAGGAGAGAGGGGAAGAGAGCATCCACCAAAAAACAAAAATAATAAATAAAAGCATTAAGGGCAGCTGGGCTTAATGGCTCATGCCTGTAATCCCAGCACTTTGGGAGGCCAAGGCAGGCGGATCACTTGAGGTCAGGAGTTCGAGACCAGCCTGGCCAACATGGTAAAACCCCATCTCTACTAAAAATACAAAAGAAATTAGCCAGCCGTGGTGGCACGCATCTGTAATCCCAGCTACTTAGGAGGCTGAGGCAGGAGAATTGCTTGAGTTCAGGAAGCAGAGGTTGCAGTGAGCAGAGATCGTGCCACTGCACTCCAACCTGGGCAACACAGTGATACTCAGTCTCAGAAAAATAAAAAATAAAAAAGTAATAATAATAAAAGTATTAAGGACACACTTCACCTAGCTCACAGGCTATGGATTTTTTTTTTTCTTTTTTGGTAAATAGTAGTGAGATGCCTGGATCAGAAGCTAATTAAACAGCTGACGGAACTTCATGTTGGTATTCAAGACTTGAAAGAAGAATATAGAGACTTAACAGATGTAGAATTAAATTTCCCTTAGTCTAGCCTAGCCTAGACAATATTTATTTTATTTTATTTTTACGTGTGCATTTTTTATTTTATTATACTTTTAGGGTACATGTGCACAACGTGCAGGTCTGTTACATATGTATACATGTGCCATGTTGGTGTGCTGCATCCATTAACTCGTCATTTAACATTAGGTATATCTCCTAATGCTATCCCCTCCCCCCACCCCACCCCACCCCACAACAGGCTCCGGTGTGTGATGTTCCCCTTCCTGTGTCCATGTTATCTCTAGATAATGTTTATTTTAATCATCCATCCTTAACAGAACCTTCCCCTAATTATAAAAAGCCTTTCAGAAAGATATCCTATAGAAGTTCTATACCATGACATGAATAGACACTGGATTCCCTGACTTGGGCAATATTTATCCTGTTTTTCAGTCTGAAAACTGATTTTTCTTCCATACCAATGTGCCATTGTCAGTGCGCTATCATATTGTGTCTTTACTTAGAGATGTGTCTCAATATGAGAAGACTAAACAATAATGATATAGACCTATAAAGGACTATGTGATGTATCATTACATTTACATTTCTTCTTAGAACATGAAAGGTGGTGAAGCAAGAAGAATAAAGATATACAAAGTAGAAACGTTTGATTTTTCTTGGGTCTACATTTTTTTCTCTATCATAACCAGCTTTTAAACTATAAAATATGCTCATTTATGAGGATCATCATTATGAGTTGCAGTGAAAATCCACTTCAAGCCATCTGCCTAGTTACAAAACCTCGGAGTGCCTGCTCTCCCTTCCCCAATCCTGCACTGTGGTTGCTGATGACTGAGAAGGCTGTCACATCCAGCTTTCCTGACTGGGGTGTAACTGATTAATTCTCCCTGAACACCATACAAGATGAGCTGTTAATTTTGTTTGTTTTTCGGTCTATCTTCTGACTTGATGATTGATTCCCACTGCAGATCATTAATGGAAATTAAGTATTTGATCCGGCTTTTAATTTGAATTTTAATTAAGTTTTCGATCCAGCTTCCAAAATGTCCAATAGGTAGAACTGCCCTTTCTACCCTATTGCCTGCTCATCAGTATGGGATTTAGTGTGACCTCCTGTCTCCGCCTGATTCCCCAACCAGGAGACTACAGAGGCTCTTAGTGCACTAGGGTGAGGAGGTGTTTGCTCAGTTCTCTCCCACTCTCCTACCAGACCGGTCAATGAACACAATGCTTATGTCCCCAGTGCTCAGGCCAATGCCAATAGGATGATGAATAAATAGTAATTAGATGAACACATATATGTGTGGGTGAACTGATGACTAAACTATGAAGAAAACTAAGAAGAAACTACGTACTGGGTATTTTTCTGTTTACAAAGAATCTTCCCTCATTCAATAACCACTAGGTGTTCCTGTTAGACTTCTAGAATTATGTGACGGGTGGGATATTTCCTACTGATGACCCCTCAAAAGAATCCCATTCCTTCCCTTATTAGCATGAGAAAGTGGAAAGTTGCTGGTTTTCCAGAGTGTAAAGACTCATCCCAGTTGGTTTCAGAAGCATCTTTTTTATTTTGTAAAACCTTAGCACATATTCCAAACAATTTTAATTTTACAGGATAAAAAATAAAACTGTGTTCCTTGATAACTTTCTTACGACACACATATGCATGCACACCCCATGTCTTAAATCTATTTAGAATGCAGAAAAAACAGAACGCATTTCTTGCTTCTCAGATAGGCAGAAAATAAAAAATTAGGTAATTTCCAGAGTAAGGTAATTTCCAGAGTAAGTGAGGACATGGGAAAATTGGTACTTTCATGCATTGTTGGTAGAAGTGTATTATGATGCTCCATTTTTAAAGAAGAATTTGTTGATATTATCAAAATTGTAAAATTGTATCTGTAATTTAATAATTGTAAAATCATACCTGTAATTTAAGAATTTCATGTCTGAGAATTTATTCTTCATACTTGTACAACATTATGTACAAGAACATTTATTGCAGCATTACTCATCATAGCAAAGAAAATTCCTATAAAAACCTAATTTTCTATTATTAGCAGGAAGGTTATATATATTATCCTTGCAGCTGTTAAAAAAATAATGAAAATGATCTTTAGATACTGCTGCAGAGAGATACATCTAATGTCCCCTTTGGGTTTTAAAAAAGATATACATACTTGTGTGTGTGTGTGTGTGTGTGTGTGTGTGTGTGTGTGTGTATGTGTGTGAGCATGCACATGCTTGCATATACTTAGAGAAATTCTAGAAAGAGATACAAGAAATTAATTATAGTAGCTACCCCAGGAAATGAAAGTGGAAGAAGTAAAGGCAAATTTTTTTTTCTAATTTGACCTTTCTACATTTCTGCATGTTATTTTTATAATATAAAACTAGTTAGTAAAAAAGTCTTGTATCTAAAATAATACATGGTTTAATTTTATATTTTGGGGTTTGCAACAACCTTCTCAAGCAACACACAAACACAGAAACCATAAATATAAAGACCAACAAATTGAACCTTGTAATTTTATTTTTACATTTTAATACCAAAGGGGAGAACTCATTAAAAGGTACTTTCTAACGCCAGAAAAGGGTTCATAGTCTTGACACCAAAAGCACAATTCAAAAAGAAAAAAAATTATAAATTGGATTAAATCAATATTAAAAATTTCCTCTGTGAAAGATCCAGGGAAGAGAATAAAAAGATGAGCTACAGACATGGAGAAAATATTTGCAAATTACATATCAGACAAAGGCCTTGTATCTAGAATATATACTCTAAAAACTCAAGGAGCTCTCAAAACTCGGCAGTTAAAAAGCAGACATTTGTAGCCATTGAAATGCAAAGAGAAAAAAATAAAACGCAAACAACCCAATTAGAAAGTGAGCAAAATATATGAACAGACATTTTACTGAAGAGGATATACAGATGGTAAATAAGCACATGAGAAGACGTTTAACATCACATGCAAATTAAAACCCCAATGAGACATCATTACACAACTATCAGAATAGCTAAAATAAAAAAATAATAACTATACCAAAAGCTGGTGAGGACATGTAGAAACTGAGTCACTCATATATTGCTGGTAGGAATGGAAATGACACTGCCATCCTGAAAACAGTTTGGCTGTTTCTTAAAAAACTAAACATGCAACTACTATATGACTTAACAGTTGTACTCCTGGATATTTATCCCAGAGAAATGAAAACTTAAGTTCACATAAAAACCTTTACATAAGTATTCATAGAAGCTTTATTAATAATAGACAAAAACTAGAAACAATCCTAATGTCATTTCATAGGTGAAAAGTTAAACAAACTATGACACATCCATACCATGGAATACTACACAGCAATAAAAAGGAATGAATTTGTGATGCACACAACAATCTGAATGAAAAAACACAGTTTCAAAGGGTTGCATGTTATATGACTCTATCCATAATAACATTATTGAAATAAAAATTATAAAAATGTATAACAGATTAGCGGTGGCTAGAGGTTAAGGGTGAGGAAAGAGGGTGGGTATGGCTGTAAAGGATCAGTACAGGAGCCTGTGTTGAAGAAATAGCCCTGCATCTTGATTGTGATTGTGGTTACATTAATCTACACACGATAAAAATTGCACAGGACTGCACACACACAAACACAAATGAGCGCATGTAAAATTGGAGTAAGATCTGTGAGTTGTACCAATGTCAATTTCCTGGTTTTGATATTGTACTGTAGTTAAGCAAGATGTTACCATTAAAACAAACTAGGTGAATGATACATGGAATCAAATGAAAAAGCATTTAAAATAGTAGAGGGGAAAAAAGGAAGACCAAAAATATATTAAGAAACACATAAAAAAGAAAGCAAATAACATAGAAAAAGTGAAATTCCAATCATATTATTAAACAGGGACATTTCGTGTTGATAAAAGTTACAAAGCCAAATGACAAAGCATGAAAGTCTATGAAAAAAGTACATGAGACATATGCCACAAAATACAACTGTAGTGGGAAAATTTAACACACCAGTAACACTTTTTGAGAAGTATATTGACCCTTGCACTCTACAAATGGAGACTAAATATTCTTTTCATGTACCTTGGATTATTTCCTAAAGTGTATCATATTAGCTACAAAATAACCTCAAAAATTTCAAAAAGTAGAAATTCCAGAGCTCACAGCCTCTGATCATTTTGCCCTAAAAGACTCACCAGGAATTACAATTAAAAATAAAAGGTGAAATATGCAAAATTATATCTCAGAAAGGGACTATATCTGTAGACATAAATTTTTTAAATGAGAGAATGCATCTTAATTTTTATTACTCAAGATTAATTTGACAATCTCAATACATGGTTTTATAAAAAAGTACACACTACTAAAATAGAAGTTATAAACACTAACTTACCAATAATTTCAGAACAATGTAACAATGACTTCCCAAAAAATGCACTTGGTCAAAATGGTTTGAAAGGTAGATTCTTTCAATTTATCAAAGCAAATATAAAAATAATGATATACGACAGAGTATAGAGATTATATTTAAAAAGTGAAAAAGTTCTCATTCATTTTACTAATGTGTGGCCCTGATAGTGACAAATTCAGCACATGCACACACACAAATACACAAGCACACAAAGGTACTCTCTTACACTTTTGATGGAAGTATAAATTGATGCAGGTTCTCCAGGGAGCATGAATTAATTTTTTTAAAAAAATATATGTGCCCCTTTACCTAGGAGTTCCACTAAAGGAATTTCCCCTGAGGTGATAATGTTTCACGTGTGAGAGATTATTTGTGCAGCAGATTCTGGAACAATGTAATCTGGTTCAATGTCATTTTGTTCTGGACTGATAGGGAAAAAAATTGATTCTGACTGGAATAAATGGGATTGATTGATCAGTGGACAGGTTCCAGCCACCCACCATGCTGAACTGGACTAATTAAGTAAATAACTATCTTATTTGCTTTTATTAATCTTTCTTGTGTGTGTAGCTCACATTTATTGTAATGTAAAATATTAGAAGTATTTTATCTCTCTTTAGAAGTCTGGTGATGTTTTGTGACTACAAATATGCTGTAGGAATATCACTGTTGTTTCCATCAATCAGCCTATGGTAAAACTGGTTTCCCTACATATTGTTTTGCTTAAAGTTGCAGTCTCCAAGAATCTATGGACAATAATGTTAAGTGAAAACTTACTGTGTATGAATATTCATAGTGGCATTGTTAGCAACAAGATATGAAAAAAAAAAACTGGAAACAACCTAAATGTTTACAGTGAAGATTTTTTTCAGTCACCTCAAATTCTTTGACATTAAGCATATGAAAGAATGGCCAACATCACTAACCATTAGAGAAATACAAATCAAAACCACAATGAGATACCATCTATGACATCAGTCAGAATGGCTATTACTAAAAATGAAAAAATAACAGATTCTGGCAAGGTTGCAGAGAAAAGGGAATGTTTATACACTGCTGGTGGGAATATAAATTAGTTTAGCCATTGTGGAAAGCAGTGTAACAATTTCTCAAAGAACTCAAAGCAGAATTACCATTCAACCCAGCAATCCTATTACTGAGTATATACACAAAGGAATGTAAATGATTCTATCATAAAGACACATGCACACATATGTTCATCACAGCACTATTCACAATAGCAAAGACACAGAATCAACCTAAATGCCCATCAATCATAGACTGGATTTAAAATATGTAGTACATACACACCATGGAATACTACACAGCCATAAAAAAGAACAAGATCATGTCTTTTGCAGCAACATGGATGGAGTGGGAGGCCATTATCCTAAGTGAGCTAATATAGAAACAGAAAGTCAAATACCACATGTTCTCACCCACAAGTGGGAGCTGAACATTTAGTACATATGCATACAAAGTAGGGAACAACAGATACTAGGACCTGCTTGAGGGTAGTGAGAGGGAGGAATGGGAGGATCGAAAAACTACCTAACAGGTGCTATGCTTATTACCTGGGTGGTGAAATAATCTGTATGCTAAACTCCTGTGACATGCAATTTACCTGTATAACAAACCTACACACGTACTCTTGAATCTAAAATATAACTTTAAAAAAAATAAGTAGGACTGACTTCTCCTCCTCTTGTATCAGGGCCTACTTGTGACTTCACATGAGTGTGTGAACCAAGAGAGGACTGTGGAAGGGATGCTTTGTGAGTTCTGAGCCTTGGTCAAGAAAAGTCATGTAGCTTCCACCTGGTTCTCTAGAGCACCAAGCTGTCAAGCAAAAAGTGCAGCTACCACAAAGTCACCATACTAGAGTGAGAGTCCCAGCTTAGCACAGCCTTCCAGCCAACACATCACCGCAAATTGCTACACATGGAAGTGAAATTATTGTGGCAGTACATCCTTCAGTCCAACCATTTAACACCTCCAGTACCAGCCGATGGCCAAGACATCACTAAGCAGAAGAGCCATCCCATGGGCCCTGCCTGAATTTGTGACCCTCGGTGTTGGTGAGCATTTATAAAATGGTTGTTGTTTTATGCCACTAAGTTTAGGGTGACTTGTTATGCAGCAATAGTAATTAGAACACCCATTCATTAAATAAATTTGTTAACCAAATCATAGTGAAATCCTATGGCACCATCAGAAATGATAGTGTCTTTATAATAATTAATATGTGAAAATCACATTAGCAGAAATATTCATATGTGCATTGGTTGAGAGGTAACAGACATGTCTGGAAGGATAATCACCTAAAGGTGATGGTAGTTGCCTTTCGATGGGGGTGTGTTTTGAGAGTGTTCCTTCATTCTTTACCTTGTTCTGCTGCAGCATAGAGTTTTCTATTCCCCTTTCCAGTTGTAGACTCATCTTCCAGTTGCTGTGTGTGTTGGCTGATAAATAACTCACAGTTGTCCTTTTTTCTGGAGAATTGCTCTTGGCCAAATGAAAGTCTTTTTGCCAAGATGACACTTTATATCCCCAGACCTCAGCCAATGACTGACTGACACAAGGAAATCAGAGCCAGCCTCCTCACTTCAAGGGAGGACCAACTGTGTGGTGTGATTTCTGCTCCAGAACTTCCTGTGGGATGAGATTAAAGCTGGTCTCCAGCTGAGACTACATACTGCTTAAATTCTCCCCCTGCCCTTTCCTGCTACCTCAGTCCCCTCCTCCCAAGAAGACTCTCCCTACAGATCACCTGGACAAGACTCCCCATTTCAGGCCCAGCCTCTGTAGAATCCATTCTAAGACAAATATGTATTATTTTTACAAATAAATCACAATAACTAAACAGCCCAAAACTACCAAAAAAAGTGATGCATCAATCACATGGCAGGGGTTAAGATAAAATTAAGGCAATATGTACTTATTTGAAATTTCAGCAGCCCAGATTATAAAATCTCTACTAAGGTTATATAAAGTTTCTCAAGCCTCAGAAGGAGCAGGGATCAAGGAATCACATCCATAGTCGTTCCCTTTGTTTTAATAACATCATTTAGGGTATTGGTCATTGTGATTTTCAGAAAAGTCAAACCTGATGTTATGCTGTCTTC
This sequence comes from Homo sapiens, assembly GCF_000001405.40. Lineage (NCBI taxonomy): Eukaryota > Metazoa > Chordata > Mammalia > Primates > Hominidae > Homo > Homo sapiens. The sequence continues at coordinate 116,979,965 of NC_000008.11, read as the reverse complement.
ACTTTCTTTTCTTCCTTCCTCTAAGCTTCTGTTTCTTTGGAAATGATCCTATCCTTACCTCATAAAAGTTTTTAATTTTCCTTCTCATTTTATTTCTGCTGCAAGAGAATGCTATTTGTTGGCATGGTCCCAGCAATCAAGCTCCTGGGTAAAAAGGTCCAGGGCAGAAGATAACAGACTGCTTTCATGGGTAGCGACATCTTGCAAATGCCTTATTTCAGGGGCCCTCTTAGGGGAAGCTCACCTCTCCCGGGACAAGTGAGTACATGAAGAATCCACTTGCGTTGGCCTCACACTTCTGCTCTGTGCCTCCATGGCCTTTGGCATAGGTTCTGCCATTTTTCTTCAGACAGTCCCCTGAGGACACTGTAAGGAAACTTGGTCCAGAAATTTTCAAGACTTGGACAAATGCCGTTCAGAAATGGGTCTGAGACCACCAGTACCCAAAGATTCGTTAAAGTCTCATCAGAGGACCACTAATCTCCGGTCCTATCTAACCTTGGCAGAATGGAAGCCAACGACAGGGAAAGAAAGATGTCCTGCTCCATTTCTGGATTCCCCAAGACATTTAGTCTCTATCCCTTCTCTGCTTTATGCATTTATGTTTTCTTCGAGGAGGATAACGTTGGAGTAAATTGTAACCCAGTCACACCTAGAATGAGTGCTTAAAAGAGACACAATTATCTTTATGATTTGTTTTCTTTTTTTTTTTTTTTTTTTTTTTTTTGAGACAGGGTCTCACGCTATTGCCCAGGCTGGAGTGCAATGGCAAAATCACTGCTTACTTTAACCTCCGCTTCCCAGGTTCGAGCCATTCTCATGCCTCAGCCTCCCGAGTAGCTGGGATACTACAAGCGTGTGTCACCACACCCAGCTAATTTTTGTATTTTTAGTAGAGACGGGGTTTCATCATGTTGCCCAGGCTGGTCTCAAACACCTGACCTCAAGTGATCCACCCTCCTCGGCCTTCCAAAGTGCTGGGATTACAGGCATGAGCTACTGTGCCCGGCCTCCTTATGATTTAAAAAAAAAAGAAAAAAAGAAAGAAAAAAAAAAGATACAGCCCTTCACAGGTAGGATGACAGTGACTCACAGGTGTTTCTAAAACAGAAATGCACATATAGGTGAGCATATGCATATATATATGAAGCATTCTTAAGGCTGCTGGAGACTGATGCATTTTTAAGGCCACTGGACTGGTCTCAGAAAATTTCCAGAAAATAATTATCTATGCAGAATATCTCCAAGGGGCAGCATCAGATTATGTCTGAACACTTAAGACATATTTGTAGTAAATACACAGCATGTGGCTTTCTTTCATAACATTTTTGTGAGATATTTTATTTAAGCTCTTGCACATACTGTAATAAGAGAGAAAAGAGACAAAGGGAAAAAAAGAGCAAGCAATAATCACCACCTGTCAGACTTAACGTGCATTTTTATCCTCAGTTTGCAATATTACTAATCACCTCATTTAGATTAGAAGCGTGCCAAGAAAAGACTATATAAAGCATCAAGCATCATGTATGCTCAAAATAACTGTTAGAGCATCATAGCCAGTGGTTTTATGTGTTTCTTCATTTCTATTCAATGATGCAAATGGTATCCAAAATTCTTACCCCATCCTTCCCAAAGTCTTTTAACAGTAACATAGATTTTACATACCTATTCCTCATTCAGTCAGTCAACAAGCATATTCATTATTAATAATAATATCAAACACTGACTAAAAAAAATACAATATGCAAGGTACCAGGCTAAGACTTTATGTATGTAACCAGTATGTTGATAGACCAGGACTTTTATGTTGAGTACTAGTTAGAGACTAGGCTATACTGGTTTGAAAAAGTGACCAAAATACAGGAAGGTTACAGGAAGGTTAAATGGGAAGGGTGCTTTTCTTTTTCAGGACAACCTAGAGGGGAACTGACCAAAGTTGGCAAGATAGCTCTGCCATCTTTAACATGCTCTTCGGGTACTAGCCATTTCCCAGCAAGCAGAAGGGAAGAAAAGGAACGTTCATGGGAAACAGCTTATCTTTAAGAAATTCATGTAAAAATATAACCATCAGAGCTGAGAAAACTAAGCTGAGCTTATTCATTGCCAGGCAAAACAGGCTTTCCCTTCCCCCACATCCAATAGAAAGTGGTAGAGCAGGCTGGGAGTGGTGGCTCACACCTGTAATCCCAACACTTTGGGAGGCCGAGGCAGGTGGATCATGAGATCAAGAGATTGAGACCATCTTGGCCAACATGGTGAAATCCCATCTCTACTTAACATACAAAAATTAGCCAGGTGTGGTGACACACGCCTGTAGTCTCAGCTACTCAGGAAGCTGAGTTAGGAGAATTGCTTGAACCCGGGAGGCGGAGGTTGCAGTGAGCAGAGATCGCACCACTGCACTCCAGCCTGGGCGACAGAGCCAGACTCTATCTCAAAAAAAAAAAAAAAAAAAGTGGTAAAGTAGTAACAGTGTGTCTACAATAAACTCCCATTTAGGAAAAGAAAGAAAAGGCCAGGCACGGTGGCTCACGCCTGTAATCCCAATACTTTGGGAGGTGGAGGCAGGCGAATCACGAGGTCAGGAGATCAATACCATCCTGGCTAACACAGTGAAACCCCGTCTCTACTAAAAATACAAAAAAAAAAATTAGCCAGGTGTGGTGGCGGGCGCCTGTAGTCCCAGCTACTCGGGTGGCTGAGGCAGGAGAATGGCGTGAACCCAGGAGGCGGAGCTTGCAGTGAACGGAAATCGTGCCACTGCACTCCAGCCTGGGCAACAGAGCGACTGACTGAATCTCAAAAAAAAAAAAAAAAAAAAAAAGCAAGAAAAAGAAAAAGAAAGAAAAGGCCAGGCACGGTGGCTCCTGCCTATGATCCCAGCACTTTGGGAGGCTGAGACAGGCAGATCACAAGGTCAAGAGATCAAGACAATCCTGGCCAACATGGTGAAACCCTGTCTCTACTAAAAATACAAAAATTAGCCAGGTGTGGTGACACATGCTTGCAGTATCCCAGCTACTCGGGAGGCTGAGGCAGGAGAATCGCTTGAACCCAGGAGGTGGAGGTTGCAGTGAGCTGAGTTCGTGCCACTGCACTCCAGCCTGGCAACAGAGAGAGACTCTGTAAAAAAAAAAAAAAAAGAAAGAAAGAAAGAAAGAAAGAAAAATAAAAGGGGAAACTCAGCATCCCCTGGTCCACAGCAATGATGACATCCTGCTAAGTAGTCATTGTAAGACCCCCCTACCCCAGCAGAGGAACAGGTAACCTACATTGTGATGTCTGGGAATGATTCCCTGTCAATTGCCCTCTGCGCTCCTGGCTTTGCCCTCTGGAAGAGCCCTCTTTATCAGTTAGTCTCTGTAGCCCCAGCTGAAGACGTTGGAGAGTATGCCCTTCTAGGCAACAGATTTCCTGATTTCCTGCTCTTGCGTGCTTGAGAGTTTGATGGATTCCTTAGGGATCAGAACATTCACAGGCTTTTGTCAGCTAGGGTTTTAGTTTCTTGGGGAATACAACTACTTGCAAAATTTAGTAGACAGCCTATTTTCTTCCAATCAGTTCCATGCAGTGGTGTTTTGGGTCTGGCTTACATCGGCTTGTAGGAGCCTATTGTGCACATCTTTTTCCAACTCCACACAATCAGTGACACACCCTGTAGGTATCATGAAATAGGTCATGGGTGGGAGCATTTATACCTTGGAAGTAAAAAAAAAAAAAAAAGAGAGAGAACTTACCAGCTTCACTGGTAAGTGAGTAGCTGGGACTACAGGCGTGCGTCACCACACCTGGCTAATTTTTGTATTTTAAGTAGAGATGGGATTTCACCATATTGGCCAAGATGGTCTGGTAAAAAAACATTTACCAGCTTCACTGATTCTATATGAAAGTAATCATTATTCCCAAGATCTCTTCTGGACAAGCTTCCTAAGCCTGCTGGCTCTCCCCTTCCTTATTGGCTTCTAGTTCAACCCATTCTCCTCTCCCATATTTGAACAGGAGCTGTCTTGTTAAGGCTTGAATCAGAAGGCCATAATTTTCAAATGATCGTTGTCTGAGGGCTACCTCCCACGAGCTGAGAGTCTTAATAGGACACCTCTGAAAAAAGTTATGAATAAGTCTATCTCCTGCTATTCCAGGTAAAGATAGAGCTGGCTTTTCCAACCTTGCTGGCCTCAAATCTCTGGACCTTCAATTTAGATTAAAAATCAAAGGCAGAAAAAGCCTCCTTTAGCACAGCTTCAATTCTTTCCATCTCTGCTTAAAACTGGCCAATTCTTGCGCAAGCTCATTTCTTCCTTCTGAAATCTTGCTAAATGCAGAAGGAAACAGTTAACACACATGATAGTCTACCTTTTTCTGACCACTTCTCTAAAGTGGTCTGTCCTCTACGTCATTGCAGGTGACACTTTACCAAACATATTGCCAAGGCCTTAAAAAATGCTCATGACCCTTCCAGCCTTCTAGCCTTAATATGTTCCTTGGTTACCTTCTACTTGACAACTAAGACAGACCACATATTTTAAAGATTTTCTGTGACAACAGCAACATAAATTTAGGCACTAATTTCTATATTAACTAGGGTATGTATTAAGCTTTATAACAAAGATATAGAATATGCAAAGTCCTAAATAAACACAGTTTATTTTTCTTTTATACTATCCCAGAGCTAAGCAGTCTAAAGCTGGCAGTGTAGCTCTGCTAGCTTCAATTTGTGGCCCAGATTGCTCCATTATTACTATTCCCTATCCATAAGGAAAAGAGCTTATCTTTTTTTATTATACTTTAAGTTCTAGGGTACATGTGCACAATGTGCAGGTTTGTTACATATGTACACATGTGCCATGTTGGTGTGCTGCACCCAGTAACTCGTCATTAGGTATACATTAGGTATATCTCCTAATGCTATCCCTCCCCCCTCCCCCCACCCCACAACAGGCCCCAGTGTGTGATGTTCCCCACTGTGTCCAAGTGTTCTCATTGTTCAATTCCCACCTATGAGTGAGAACATGCAGTGTTTGGTTTTCTGTCCTTGTGACAGTTTGTGCAGAATAATGGTTTCCAGCTTCATCCATGTCCCTACAAAGGACATGAACTCATCCTTTTTATGACTGCATAGTATACCATGGAGTATATCTGCCACATTTTCTTAATCCAGTCTATCATTGATGGACATTTGGGTTGGTTCTACGTCTCTGTTATTGTGAATAGTGCCACAATAAACATACGTGTGCATGTGTCTTTACAGCAGCATGATTTATAATCCTTTGGGTATATACCCAGTAATGGGATGGCTGGGTCAAATGGTATTTCTAGTTCTAGATCCTTGAGGAATCACCACACTGTCTTCCACAATGGTTGAACTAGTTTACACTCCCACCAACAGTGTAAAAATGTTCCTATTTCTCCACATCCTCTCCAGCATCTGTTGTTTCCTGACTTTTTAATGATCATCATTCTAACTGGTGTGAGATGGCATCTCACTGTGGTTTTGATTTGCATTTCTCTGATGGCCAGTGATGACGAGCATTTTTTCATGTGTCTGTTGGCTGCATAAATGTCTTCTTTTGAGAAGTGTCTGTTCATGTCCTTCCCCCACTTTTTGATGGGGTTGTTTATTTTCTTGTAAATTTGTTTAAGTTCTTTGTAGATTCCGGATATTAGCCCTTTGTCAGATGGGTAGATTGTGAAAATTTTCTCCCATTCTGTAGGTTGCCTGTTCACTCTGATGGTGGTTTCTTTTGCTGTACAGAAGCTCTTTAGTTTAATTAGATCCCATTTGTCTATTTTGGCTTTTGTTGCCATTGTTTTTGGTGTTTTAGTCATGAAGTCTTTGCTTAGGCCTATGTCCTGAATGGTATTGCCTAGGTTTTCTTCTAGGGTTTTTATGGTTTTAGGTCTAACATTTAAGTCTTTCATCCATCTTGAATTAATTTATGTATAAGGTGTAAGGAAGGGATCCAGTTTCAGCTTTCTACATATGGCTAGCCAGTTTTCCCAGCACCATTTATTAAATAGGGAATCCTTGCCCCATTTCTTGTTTTTGTCAGGTTTGTCAAAGATCAGATGGTTGTAGATGTGTGGTATTATTTCTGAGAGCTCTTTTCTGTTCCATTGGTCTATATCTCTGTTTTGGTACCACTACCATGCTGTTTTGGTTACTGTAGCCTTGTAATATAGTTTGAAGTCAGGTAGCTTGATGCATCCAGCTTTGTTCTTTTGGCTTAGGATTGTCTTGGCAATGTGGGCTCTTTTTTGGTTCCATATGAACTTTAAAGTAGTTTCTTCCGATTCTGTGAAGGAAGTCATTGGTAGCTTGATGGGGATGGCACTGAATCTATAAATCACCTTGGGCAGTATGGCTATTTTCACAATATTGATTCTTCCTACCCATGAGCATGGAATGTTCTTCCATTTGTTTGTGTCCTCTTTTATTTCGTTGAGCAGCGGTTTGTAGTTCTCCCTGAAGAGGTCCTTCACATCCCTTGTAAGTTGGATTCCTAGGTATTTTATTCTCTTTGAAGTAATTGTGAATGGGAGTTCACTCATGATTTGGCTCTCTGTTTGTCTGTTATTGGTGTATAGGAGCTTATTTTTAAGAAAGTGACCTAGAAGTTGCATAAAGTGCTTCCACCCACATCTCACTGGTCCAAATCTAGTCATGTGGCCACAATTAACTACAAGGAAGGTGTCTTAGTCTGTTTGAGCAGCTACAACAAAATACCACAAACTCGGTGGCTTATAAAAACCATACATTTATTTCCTACTGTTCTGGAGCTGGGAAGTCCAAGATCAAGGTACCACATCTGATGGCTGGTGAGGGCTTATTTCCTGGCTCATAGAAGGCATCTTCTTGTTGTGTCCTCACATGTTAGAAAGAGACAAGGCAGCTCTCTGGGACCTCTTTTATAAGAGAACGAATCCCATTCATGAGGATTCTACCATCATGAGACCTAATCACCTTCCAAAGGCCCCACCTCCTAATATCCTCAGATCGGGGATGGTTTCAACAAATGAATTTTGGAGAGACTAAAACATTCAGACAGTAGCAGAATCCTAGAATGTAGTCACTAGTGGAAATTCACATCCCTAGTTAAAAATTAGAGGGCTTTTTTACTAATAAGGAAAACAAATGGACTTGAAATTGTGAACAATTCGTGGTCCCTCCGCAAGCCTAAGTAGAAAAGAAGATATAATTTATCACGTCAGTTCCTGCATATTGGCTCTAGAAAGCAGTTCTCTGACCACTTGAGTAAAATCTAGAGTCAGCCTTATGATTTTCTGATTACTCTCAAATTGTAAAAAGTCTACTGGTCACTATGGTCCCCCAAAATAGTCTCAGTTCACTAATTCGTATGTTTAGTCCAGTATAATAATTAAAACTCAAACATCCATTGAAAGTTAAAGCTTCTCCTCCTTGTGAGCTTAGGTCTGCTGAAGGTGAAAAACCTACATCGGAAACAAGCATGGAGTTGGTTTCTTTTCTACGTCTCTTCCCATGGTCCTAACCATCTTAACCCAAGTCAAAAACAGCAGTCGCTTATTCCTCCACGGTTAGTCACTTGCCCGTTGACTCACTTCTCTGCATCGATTTAATAAGAGTTCACAGCTCTGCTGCCTTTGTTTTGATGGAGATGCCTACAGAATTGTTACCAGATCTCTGATTCAAACCTGGTGCCCAGACAGCCTTTTCAGCAAAAGTATAAATTGCTCCCCAGATGACTGATCTTTGTGCCATCAGGAGCATGAAGAATGTTGCATGATATTTCTAATGGTTAGAGGGTGAGGTGTAAATTTATAATTAGACATGTTTCTTGGGAAGAAGAAGAAAATAAAAATTTTTGAACAAAGGTATTACATAACTGGTTCTTTTCCACTTGGTAGGGCTTTTATAGTATTTGAAATAAGCAGTTACAAGACTTGAGCTAGTTTTTCACTAGGTTTCTTTATGATAGGAAAAATTATCATTGTTCTAGTTTAAACATTTATTAGTATATATATCTCAGTTTATAGATATTTCTCCTCACCTACTAAATTTCAGAGATGCTATTCAAAGGAAATTAACACTAAATTTTCCAGCAGAATCTGTGATATAGAGAAAGGAAATAAGCCATACTCAATTTGCATTATAGAACCTCTATCATTATGACGGTGAGGCATTTGCATTATTACAGTTGCAGTGCTATTTAGGAAATTGCCTATTTGATTATTCCTCAAAATAGAGTATTAAAATAGTGGAAGGGTCCAATATTCATTGTCTACAGAGACAAGCCTAGGGCAGAATGAAAAATTAATTGTTCATTCCCAGAACCCAACATCTTTCTGAATTTGATTCTTTGAAAACACAGAGGAAAAGATTCTGGAAAAAAAAAAAATGTTTCCTCTAAAAGCTGTTGAAAATAGGAATATCATCAAAAAGTCTCAAAGATAGGAAACAAAGTTAGTGGTTTATACCATAATATTAGGCATGAATTCTTACTGCTTACATTTTCTGCCAGTTCATCTCTAAAGATGGGTGACTATAAGACAGAGGAAGAAAGTAGTAAAGAATCAATGTCATGGAGCAATCGAATTGTGTAGAAGTCACTTAAGAGGAAATACGTACACCATTTCCCCACCACAGCTACTTTAATTTAGTTGATGTGTTTTTGTTTTTTTTTTTCCTACAGGGAATGCCTCTATAACATTACTATTTTATTTTAAGTTCTGGGATGCATGTGCAGGATATGTAGGTTTGCTACATAGGTAAACACGTGCCATGGTGGTTTGCTGCACCTATCAACCCATCACCTAGGTATTCAGCTCAACATGCATTAACTATTTTCTTTTCTTTTCTTTTTTGTGTGTGTGTTGTTGTTGTTGTTGTTATTGTGAGACAGAGTCTCACTCTTCGCCCAGGCTAGAATACAGTGGCGTGATCCCAGATCACTGCAACCTCCGCCTGCTGGGTCCATGCTATTCTACTGCCTTAGCCTCCCAAGTAGCTGGGATTACAGGCATGCACCACTACAACTGGCTAACTTTTGTGTTTTTAGTAGAGACGGGGTTTCGCCATGTTGGCCAGGCTGGTCTCAAACCCCTGACCTCAGGTGATCCACCTGTCTCGGCCTCCCAAAGTGCTAGGATTATTGGTGTGAGCCACCACCCCCGGCCTTATTTTCATAATATAATCAGTAATAAAAAAAATAGCTAACATCTGAGGCTATGTATGTCAGCCTTTGTTCTAAGTGATTTTATATATTTGTGTGTGTAGGTATGAATACAGATATGAGCCACATAATGACGTTTTGGTCAACAGACAGCATATATGATGGTGGTCCCATACAATTAAAATGAAGCTGAAAAAATCCCTATAGCTTACTGACATCATAGCCATTATAAAGTTATAGTCCAACACATTGCTCATGTGTTTCTGGTGATGCTGGTGTAGGCAAACCTACTGTGCTGCCAGTCGTATAAAAGTATAGCACATACAATTATGTACAGTCCATAATTCTTGATAATGATAATAAAGGACTATGTTATTGGTTTATGTACTTACTATACCATACTTTTATTGTCACTTAAGTGTACTCCTTCTACTTATTAAAAAAATGTGAACTGTAAAACAGCCCCAGGCAGGTCCTTCAGGGCGTATTCCAGAAGACAGTATTGTTTTCATAGGCAATGACAGTTCCATGTGTGTTATTGCCCCTAAAGTCCTTCCAGTGGGACAAGATGTGGGAGTGGAAGACAATGATATTGATGATCGTGACCCTGAGCTAATGTATGTGTTTGTGTCTTGGTTTTTTAACAGAAATCATTTAAAAGTTCTAAAAATTTTTTAAATTTAAAGATAGAAAAAAAATTATAGAATAAGAATATAAAGAAAATATTTTTGTACATTGGAGTAATGTGTGTTTTAAGTGAAGCATTATTACAAAAGACTAAAAGTATAAAAAATTTAAAAATTTATAAAGTAAAAATGTTAAAGTAAGCTAAGGTTAATTTAGTATCAAAGAAAGAAATTTTTTTCTATATTTAGTGTAGCCTAAGCATACAGTGTTTAAAAAGTCTATGGGAGTATACAGTAATGACCTAGGCCTTCACATTCACTCACCACTCACTCACTGACTCACCCAGAACAACTTTCAGTCCTGCAAGCTCCATTCATGGTAACTGATATACAGGTATATCATTTTTTATCTTTTATGCCATATTTTTACCATATTTTTGTTTTAATATGTTTAGATACACAAATATCACTGTATTACAATTACCTATAGGATTCAGTACAGTAACAGGCAGTACAGATTTGCAGCCTAGGAGCGATAGTCTATACCATACAACCTAGGTGTGTGGTAGGCTATGCCATCTAGGTTTGTGTAAGTACACCCTATGAGGTCTGCGCAATGACAAAAACCTGACAGCGCATTTCTCAGAATGTGTTCCTGTCATTAAGTGATGCATGCCTGTACATATAGATAAATACATACGAAGTTACTTCATTTTTTAACCCTATGAGATGAAGTAGATTCTATTATCCCAGTTTTCCAGATGGGTAAACCAGGCACAGAAACATCAGGTAACTTGCCCAAGTTTGTGCAGTGGCACAATCTGGACTCACTGCAACCTCCACCTCCCGGGTTCAAGTGATTCTCCTGCCTCAGCCTCCCGAATAGCTGGGATTATAGGCGTGTACCATTACGCCCAGCTAATTTTTGTATTTTTAGTAGAGATGGGGTTTCACCATGTTGGCCGGGCTGGTCTCGAACTCCTGACCTCAAATGATCCGCCCACCTCGGCCTCCCAAATTGCTTCAATTACAGGCCTGAGCCACCATGTCAAGCCCCGAGTTCTTACAGCAAGTAACACTGGAGGTGGGATACAAACCCAGGCTCAAAAGTCCATGCATCTCATGCACCTTCTCTGATAATAGAAATAGTCATTGTGGGCTGGGCACATTGGCTCATGCTTTAATCCCAGTACTTTGGGAGACTGAGGCGGGCACATCACAAGGTCAAGAGATGGAGACCATCCTGGCCAACATGGCGAAACCCCCTCTCCACTAAAAACACAAAAATTAGCTAGGCATGGTGGTGCATGCCTGTAGTCCCAGCTACTTAGGAGGCTGAGGCAAGAGAATCGTTTCAACCCAGGAGGCTGAGATTGCAGTGAGCTGAGATCGTGCCATTGCACTCCAGCCTGGTGACAGAACGAGACTCCATCTCAAAAAATAAATAAATTAAAAAAAAGAAATAGTCATTGTGGCAGAAGGTAGTTCCCAACTATTCACTCCTCTTTCCTATAAGAGAATGGAATATATATATATATATATTCATTGTCATGAGACCTGCAGTGCCTTTGGTGGCACTTCTATACTTCCTTTCCCTCTAATGGCAGGCTTGGTCATGTGATTTACTTTAGCCAATGGAATGTCAATCTTCCAAGTTCCTGCAGAAGTTTGAAGAGGCATCAGTTTCCTCAAATTCTCAATCTCTCTGTCTCTGCCATGAATAAAACAGTCCCCACATAGATGCTGCTCCATCTGACTCACAGCTATTGAGTACAATAAGCTATACTATAGCTTATTAATATAGTATACTATATAATATACTATAGCTTATTTATATATACTAAGCTATATAATATAGCTATACTATATATTATTATAGTATAGCTATAAGCTATACTATAGCTATATAATAAGCTATTGAGAATAAATCTTTTTGTTGTAATCTAATAAATCTAATAAAATCTGGGGATTATTTGTTGCTGCAGGACAGCTGATTAGTGTGGTTACCATCTCCTGAGGCCAAGTGAGTTGAAACAAATTATCAAATTTTGCCAAGTACAATACTTTGTTCTTCCTAATCCACAAAGGTAACTTGTGTAAATCTGAGTACGTCAAGAATCTTCACGTTTATCAGGAAAATATCATTATCTGCAGGTAATCTCAGATTTTAAGTAACTGGGCCAAGATCACAGAATTAGTATTGCAAAGCCAGCCCAACCCTCATCTGTTTGTGCAGCCCCAAGCCACAGGTCTTTTTTATGATACTGCATTGCATCTTCTTCCAGAAGGAGAGAAAACCGGGACGATTCATATTGCCTACAGAGAGTTTGTGACATTACAGCTTGAAACAGAATCTCCAACCTTCAACCAACTTGAGCTAGATGTACCCCTAAATTGCTGGATGTGTCACAGTATTTTGTTTCATGTATTAATCTAAAAAATCATATCATATTGTTTAGAAAGAATTGCCACTTCTAACTGTGGCTGATTATGCTCTCCAAACTTACACGCCACCGTAAGAAACCTACTGTATATTTTATCAATACTTGATTTTTATTTAAGGACTTGGTTCATTCAGGTACCCATTTATTACCCCCTATGAATTCTGAAAGACACAGTATTACATGTTGCAGATTGGAAAATACAGTTCGACTTGAGGGTTCAGAGCTATGGAGGTAAAATGTAGCATAATCAGTATAGAAATCAGGCAGCATCACACTCTTGTCAACTACCAATGTCCTGAGCAGACAATCTTCAGGGCAACGTGGAAAAAAATACATTATTGGACAATTTTCATCAGATAGACACTAGCTCAAATTAAATTAATTCTCCAGGCAATCTAAAAATCATAAGGAAAAGATATTTGGTTGTTCCTCAATTTTTTTTTACTCTTTTATTATCTCCTCTCTTCTCTTCCATCTACTTTTAATATAAGCTAAATCAGCTTTTGTGGGTTTTGTTTGTGTTTTTAAATTTAGGCTACCGTTTAAGACAGAGAAATCTTGAAAATATATTCATTCTACATTGCTAAAAGTCCATTCCTCTACCCTGGGGAATTTTTATTTGAGTCATGATATTATCTTGGTCCTTTATAGAATGCATACCCTTACATTTCACTTTTGACAATGACAAGCTATAGCTGTTTACTACTTTTCAAGATTTAAAAGAAGCAGCTGAAAAGTCAGAAATGCTCAAGAAATGAGAATAGATCACTGCAAATTGTTCTGAATCTCCCTTTGGTGAAAGAATCAGAGAATGATTTTTATTCAAATCCTTGGCCATTATATTTAGATGCATGTTTAGAAAATGGAAAATTAGCAATAAAGTGTTTTGTGAGATTCAATTCCATTGCCATCATGCCACTGATGGGCTTTCTGTTTTTGTTTTATACCTGAGTAACAACATCCTCCTCTCTTATTTCCCTGGTAATTTTCTTCTATTATTGGGAAAATATTTCTTCAAGAATCTGATGTCAGCTAGGAGAACTGAGATTCTTATTACTCTTTTCTAAAATAGGTTTTCTGTGGGCAAATTCATTAGAATCTTATCCCCTTATAATTCATCAGTCCTGGAGAACCTAAGCTGTGACAGTGTGCGAGGCTGCTTGTGATTGTGAAAGTCAGAGAAGAAGAAAACATTACTTAAAGTTACCTAGAGGTATTACCGACTTGTAGGATTTTTTTTTTAAGGCAAAACATGTTTATAGGATTATGGCCTCATTCCCTGCTTCTGTCTCATAGGGCTGGGTGAACTTAGGAATGCCAGAAACTCCAATTCTCAGTTAAAGGGCCTGAAAAAGGCAGACACAACTGAAAAGGGAGTAGCAAGATATCTACGGGTCGCATATGCCAAGTAACTAGCCATTGAACTTGAGCAAACCAGAACCCACACTGATCCACTGTGTTCTCAACTATAATATAAAGGTGTTGAAGGCACAAATCACTCAAGTCTCTTCCATCTCCTGCACTCGCCATCTTTATACCATGCTTCAGCTACACTCTTAGTTTGCTTTGTCTTGTTAAGAATTAAATGTAATCCCAGCACTTTGGGAGGCCGAGACGGGCGAATTGCCTGAGGTCAGGAGTTCGAGACCAGCCTGGCTAACATGGTGAAACCCTGTCTCTACTAAAAATACAAAAATTAGCCAGGCATGGTGGTGTGTGCCTGTAATCCCAGCTACTTGGAAGGCTGAGGCAGGAGAATTGCTGGAACCCAGGAGGCAGAGGTTGCAGTGAGCTGAGATCACGCCACTGCACCCCAGCCTGGGTAACAGAGCAAGACTCCATCTCCAAAAAAAAAAAAAAAATTAAAAAAAATTAAAAATATTGTTAGGGAAGAGCCTCTAGCAAGAAGATTTTAGAGTAGCAAAAAAACAGGTTAATGTCAAGAATTATCCAGGGATTTTAATGCCCAGGGTTCACATAAAGAAAGAATAGTTATTTAAGCCAAAATTGATTTAAACCAGTCAATTTTTTGTTATTTCACTTCTAGGGGTCAGGAGGGGAAAGAGAATGCTCAATAAACTAAACTAATTCAGAAGATGCTGGAGCTTGGAGCCAGACTGAATAGGCGATGGGAAGCCCCTCAAAATCCTGCAAAGATGTGGAATTCACACCACACAGGAGATTGAGGGTTCCAGTCAAATTCATCTGGATCTCAAAGAACAGAACAACCTCAGCAGACACCTAGCTAGTGGGCAGGTAAATGTAAGACATTTTTAAAATAGTCCAATGTATCTTATGTCTTGACTTGGAGGAACATATTTTTTAATTTTTAATGTTTCTTGTTACTTTTACATTTCCCTCTTATTTTGTTTGAGAAGGTAACTGGTATATTAGCAAGATCTCAGGCTTTAGAATCAACTATCCTTCAGTTTGTATTTTAGCTTTGCTGATTACTTAGCCTTTGGAGACCCACTTTCTTCGCTTCCAAAATGAATATAAAAGTACTACCAGCCAGGCGTGGTGGCTCATGCCTGTAATCCCAGCACTTTGGGAGGCCAAGGCGGGTGGATCATCTCAGGTCAGGAGTTTGACACCAGCCTGGCCAATATGGTGAAACCCCATCTCTACTAAAAATACAAAAAATTAGCTGAGCATGATGGTGCACGCCTGTAATCTCAGCTACTTGGGAGGCAGAGGCAGGAGAATCACTTGAACCTGGGAGGCAGAGGTTGCAGTGAGCTGAGATCACACCATCGCACTCCAGCCTGGGCAACAAGAGTGAAATTCCGTCTCAAAAACAAACAAACAAAAAGCACTACCTACTTTACATGGTTGTTGTAAGGATCTGAAATAACAAATTTGAAATTCATTAACACATAGTAGATACTTAAAGATTTACTACTTTTAAAACTCTTTCCCAAGTGTTTACTGAGTCAGGGTATGTGAAGGATCTACCTTAGCCAATGTGGGGCTTTAGTAGGTTAATAAGAGATGATGAGTAACCTCAGGCCATTTAGAAATGTTAAATTAGAGAAAAACAAAAACAGAGCTCTGGGTATCTTATGTGGCTTCTGTGCCTGCTGTGTGAGCTCATTTTGGCACCTTGATCCATTAGGCAAGTCATGGATTGATTCAAACCTAGGAAATGGGTTATTCTCAGAAAGCTTCCCATCCAGGATGCAGGTGCTGCATAAACACTTTGCTAGGATGATGAGCTCCCCTAAAAGCTCCACGTGCACCAGATATGTAATAGGAGCTGGCTGCCCCCCTTAATTAGAGTTTTAAAACACAGTTTAGAGCCACAAAATAGTTCAAATTTGTTTTTCACTTGGTTATCTCTCAGGAACCATTGTGGAAGTCTGTTAAAACGTGGCAAACATCATCTGTTCAGCCACGCTTTTGCTTCTGCTTTAAATTAACAGCAATCTTGGGTTTTAGTTCATTAGAATATTCTGAATAGAGATAAATTAATTAATGGATCCAACAACCAGCATCAGCGTGCTCATACTTCAAAAGGATAGTAC